>NC_000002.12:157489618-158739618 GCF_000001405.40 Homo sapiens
GTGGAATTGCTATAGTGAATAAGGGGAGTTAAGATCAGTAATATGGTGCCAAATAGTTTATATAAATAATCTGTATTTTTTAAATCATTAATTAGATGAGCAAGCATGTTTGGTGATGCAGACAGCCTTTATCCACGGGTCTTTTTATGATCTCTCTTTTATTTGATGTGACAAAATGGCAGGTCAGATATAGAAAGGGGTTGATGCCGTTTCTAAATTATTCTTTAGGCATCGGACTCCAGATATTTTAGAGTAGATGGTTGTCTAAGACTAACTGGATGAAAGAGGCTGGTGGCTGCTTTTAAAAAATGCATGGCTTTTTGATGAATTGAAAGGGACTCAAGCTGTTGTCTTTTAAAGATGCAAGCTAAGGATTCTAGTCTGTTGAGGTGTTACCCACACAACAGGTGGGTTAAACTGCTAGGCAGGAGACAGTCCAATGAGCACAACCATGGAGTATTTAAGAGGGAGATTTTATTATTTGCAACAAGGAAGGAGGACATCTGGGATAGTTTCCCAAAGCAGTGCCTCCAGGAACAACAGTAAAAGCAGGACTTGTACTAGGCTGGTTAGCTGAGTCATTGTATGTGGAAGTGGCATAAAGGCAGTGCAGTCGCCTGCTGATCATGCTTCTACATACATTGCATGTACAGAAAATGGCAAATAAACTTCTCCCTGAGCAAGGTTTCTTACTATGGTTAATGAGGAGAGTTGGCCAAAGTTCCTCTCCAACTCAGGCATCTCTGGATCCAGCCAGTTTTAGTTTTTCCAGGGCTGAGCTTCTTCCCAGAGATTTTTGAAATAAGAACTCAAGATACAACAGACACAAGTGGGGATTTCCTCACAGTGCATACCCAAAAACCTGGAACCCTGGGTTACACAGGGAATCACTAACCCACCCTAGTTTGGACTGAACATAGAGGCTGTTGTGGTTCTCACTCAGAAATTTACATATATTTTTAAAGTTGTAGAGAACTATAATGCCACTTAAAACCCAACATTCCTCCCTAAAAAATACTTCTCTGATGAACCAGAATATGATGGAGGTATAATATTGATCCAACATTCAAATGTATTGGTTAACACACATACCCCATGAAATTCAAGCTCCACATCTTAGCAGTTAAGTAGCACCTTCCTTTGGCCCCAAAGTACCTTTCCAGCCTCAGCCTCATCTTCATCCTCCTTATCACTCTGGCCACAGCATAGGTTTTCATAACAGTATGTGATGCTTACCTGGTACCCTCTGTCTTGAAGCCTGCCCCCACCCAGCTTCAATAGACAGACAGACAGACAGACACAGACACACACACACACACGCACACCCACCTTTTCTACTTAAAAAACTTCATTCTTCAAGAGCACATGATATCTTCTTAGCCAATTTCTTCCCAAAATATATCATGTATAGAGATCATATCTTATTCCTTCTTATCTTCAGCAATTAGTATAAATCTTTGTTGAACGTGGATTTCCTAAAACACATCAATATAGCATTTACTGAGGCTGGCAAGGTGATCAATTACTTGGGTTTACTCTTCAGCTGGTTGCACAAATTGGATTTTAAAAAATCTTTTTATTAAGCAGAGCTGTTAATGAAGAGAATAAAATCAATTAAATAAATTATTAAGTTGAAAACAGATCTATTATTTTTATTAGAGAGGTGCTACATTAATAATACCATTATTACTCAGCTTCTCACACCTTAGATGGCAAAAAACTTCAGAGCCTGGGCCATGTTCTATCTACTCCAAATATAATAGCACTGAAGGGAAAACTATATACCTGTGGAACTTCTACAGGAGGATGAGAAACAGCTAAACATCAACAGCAATGACAATGCCAGCTGAAACTGCTTATTTCTGATTTCAACTTACATAGGAAGAGAACAGAATAAAGGGATAGGGAAGGATCAAAAAGAGAAAAGAAGGAGAGGAAACCAAGGCAATGGCTGCTGGAAAACATTATCCTTAGAATTAGGTTCTGCCATTTTTCTCTTTATGAAAGTGAGAAATAGAGACATTTCTCTTGATTGCACAGAACAGAATGACCAGCAATTGGAGATAAATACTACTTAGTAAAAAGTTGTCCCATCTTCAAAGGCTCTTGCAAAAATTAGGGGCTGCTGATCTCTTTCAGTATTTTAGGAAGAGTCCTGTCATTATCTAGATTTGAAACATTGATGTCTGTTTTTCAGTTTTACTCAAAATAAACAGGGAAATCAATAATTTAACCTGTGAATAGCATGTATGTTTAAAACCACATACTTTTAGTGGGCATAGTAAAGTGCTCCTGTAAATATTCTTAGTTCACTTGATCCTCACAGCAACCCTTCAAGATGAGTATGGCATCTTTTTACAGATAAAGAGACCGAGTCTCAGAGAGATTCAGTATCTTGCAGAATTAATATATAAACCCCAACAGTCTAACTGCACTCTTGTTATTCTTTCATCAAATTACAACACTATGTGAACACTTTAAGAATTATTATAGATGCAACTTTTATTCTTTACAGAACAAAATGCTGGCACTTTATATTATGCACCCAAATTTACTGAACAGGAGGTCTGTATATGATATAAAACGATTTTTTTTCCTTGACACCTGGAAATTACCTGAGAATCCCGATGTCATTTAAGGAATGCATTCCCAAGTTAATTAAACCTCATCAACACACAAGCAAATATTTATTTTCAGTTCTAAAAGCTTTCAGCCTTAATTCTTTAGCAGGCAATGCAAATTCATGTTTCCCGCCAAATCCAGCAGAGGGCAGGATACTCCCACCAACAGTCAGCAGCTGGCTAGTGCCTCTAGCCAAGCCAGTGCAGTTGCCTGGTGCAGTGTTCCTGCACTGGAGCAATCATCATCTTCTCACCTGGATCCGAAATACAGTGCAGGCTTGTGCTGAAAATAGGGAATGTGGGATGTACCCTTGGAAATGTCCAGAAAAGTTTTGCCTTAGAGGCTGCTCACATTTTGTTTGAGCTAAAGATACCTGGAAACTAGCCAGTTCCCATTACCTTCCTGGAATATCTTGCTGAGGATGCTACACTATGGAATTAATTTAAGATATACCATGATAGTTTCTGTTTCTGGCTTTAGGCCATCTTAGGTCATAGCCGAGCTACTCCACTATTGGGCTCCATGCCTCACTCCCACACCTTCTATCTCCCTGTGTCCCTAACAACTCTTAAGAGCTACCCATTGCATGGCTTCCTCTGTCTGTCATCCCTGCATAACCCTCACTAATCAAGAACAATGACCTCCTGCCCACTAATTCAACTTCTCCCCAAGCCTGACTTACGGGCCACCTCCTCCAGGAAGTTGCTGGAGGTCCTTGAACCAGTGGTCATCATCAAGAAACATTTGCCAATGTCAAAGTCAAATGAAATATAAAGAAGAATCTTTAAACTCACTGTTCCATTTGGGAATCACAGAATTGCAATATGAGTTATACACACACACAGAGGTGGTCTTCAGTATGTCTGAAGAACAAAGAGAAGGTTGGAAGTTTTACTGGAAAGAGAAATGTTATGTTATCTTGAAAGAAAACTCATTGGCACTAGCAAAGTTTTGGGGGACTGGCAAGCTCTGATTGGTGAGTGATGGTGGTAGGTAAAATTAATCTTAAGAGTGTCAGCAGGTTGTTTCAGCAACTGGGCATGTGGACAATTCTTGGGGTAGGTGTTATGTGCCCCCAGTCATTTTCTCCCTTACCCCTTGAATCTTATTTAGTTCAGTATGACAATAATAAATCAATGTGTGTAATTAACTTTCACAGTAAGCGAACTATTGGGTGAAGGTTTTGTACTAGAACTTGGGTCTAAAAAGATATATCCCATTCCTTCCAGTCCAGATAGTAGCATGGTAAATGTAACATGGAAAACAGCAAGGATAAATGCCACAGTTCACAGGAGAGAACAGTGCTTCTGAAGGTGGCAGAATAATTGTAGCAAACTTCTAGATTTTTCAAACTATGGACTAGAAGTTTGTGATTAGGACCTCAAAGGCTCCCAGGGTGAGGTGGCATTAGGGGAAGGGATGGGTAGTTGGACAGGCTTTGTACCACCCCCAAAACCACTTCCCTACCCTCACTTCCCCCCACCTCCAACCAGATGAAAACAATGCCATTTTAACCTGTATTATTTATGTACACCTCTGGATACTACATAAAGACTTCCTTTAAAGAAAGCGGATCTGCAAGTAAGCAAACAATCCACCCACAATAATCATAACAACAACAAAACAAATTTAAAAAAAAAACAGCTTAAAAATCACTGGTCTAAAATTCAAAGGCCTTTCTTCACTGTTGAGGAAGCCATTCCTGGAGAGGAGGAAAGACCAAACTAAGCTGTAGGCTGATCAGTGAGGGAACTGGAATTTGAATTCCATCTAGCCTCTAAAGCCTAACACTTTTGACTAAACGATGAGGCTTATATTGAGCCTGAAAGATAAGGAGTCATTAAATAAAGGGATGAACCCCTTAGTCATTCTTAGGTAAAAAGAGTCACCCAACCAGCAAAGCCTCCCAGAGCAGAGGTGAGGGGAAAAGTTGCTTGCATGAACTTAACCAGCCACAGATTAAGGTTATGTTTTAAACCACGTTTATTGGCAAGGCATTGAGCGCTTGGACAGAGTGACAAACCAGATAGATGTGACAACTCTCTGTGTTCATGGAGCTTACATTCTAGTAAAAGATATGGACATGTCATTATCATTTGAGAAAAGTTACACTGGAGAAGTACAATGTTCTACAAGGGAGTTATTAAATTCTATGCTCAGCACCACCTCCCAGATTATTCTTTCAGCCATGTCTAATTAATTATTCAAACAACTAGTTGTCCCAATTGCATAAAGTCCAGCCTGGCTCTCTTTAGGCCTTTCTCCACCCTCAATGCAGAATGTCATCCAGGATCTCAAGTTGCATTTATTTGTCATGTCTACTCAGTCTTCTGCAATCTGGGACAGTTTCTTAGTCTTTTCTTTTTCATGACCTTGACACTTTTGAAGAGTATGGTCAGCTGTTTAATAGAATATTCTTCAATCTGTTTGTCTAATATTTCCTTATGATTAAATAAAACTCATGTATTTTTGGCAAGAATACCCCAGAAATGATACCATACTCTTCTCAGTGCATCATATAGAGAGTCCATGTTGTCAAAGTGTCACATTTTGATGATGTTAACTTTGATCGCTTAGTTAAGTTAGTCTGCCAAGTTTCTCCACAATAAAGATAATATTTCCCCTTGTAATTAGCTAGTGAAGATAGTCTGAAACTGTGTAAATATCTTGTTTCTAATTATATTTTTGCACACTAGTTTTAACACCAATTGAATTGTCCTTAAAACAATTATTACTGTGCCATTAACCAAATGGCAACTTTATATTTCCACCACTTCTTCTATATTTACTCTTTGGAATTCTACTGTAAGGAAGACACCTCCTTTCTCCCTCATTTATTTATTTATTTGATTATTTGTTTTCATCAGTATGAATTAGTAGATATTTATTTTATTCAATGGATTATAATTCATTTATTTTTTGGCCCATATTGTCCCAGTTTTAGCCTTCAAGAGCTCCTTTAGGTTGGCTTCCAGTCCTTTCAATATGCTCCCATCATTTTTGAGCATTCACATTCTGGCATCACAAGATGATTCAAGGCTAAACGCAGTGTCTCAGGCCTGTAATGCCAGCACTTTGGGAGGCCAAGGGGGAAGAATCACTTGAGCCCAGGAGTTCGAGACCAGCCTGGGCAAAAAAGTGAGACCCAATCTCTTAAAAAAAAAAATTAGCTGGGTGTACTTGTAGTCCTAGCTACTCGGGCTACTTGGGAGACTGAGGCAGGAGAATCGCTTGAGGCCAAGAGGTCGAGGTTACAGTAAGCAGTGATGGCACCACTGCACTCCAGCCTAGGCAACAGAGTGAGATGCTCTCAAAAATAAATAGATAGGTAGATAGATAGATAGATAGATAGATAGATAGTTAGATAGATAGATAGATAGATGGATGGATGATAGATATATAGGTTCAGGCATATCTTTTACTTTCTGCATCCCAGCCTTCAGATTAGCCATTTAACTGAAAAATGGTACTTAGAATTCAAGTTCTGAGTACTAGGATACTCATTGCTGCTGGGGTGTCATTGCTTCTAGTCCTAAGTGAACAGAGCTAAGAAATATATGTATATACAGTTGGTGCTCTATATCTGCAGATTCCAGCCTCAGATCAAAAATAATTCAAAGAAGATAAAAATTAATATAGTACAATTATTTCATAGCATTTATACTATATTAAGCATTGTAATATCTAGAGATGATTTAAAGTATACAAGATGTGCATAGGTTATGTGCAAATACTATGCCATTTTATAAAAGGGACTTGAGCATCTGTGGGGTGCCCTGGAACCAGTTCCCTGTGGATACCTAGGGACAAGCGTATATACACAAAAATATATGCACATCTATAAGTATTTCTGTAACTATCTCCTCTCTCTTTCTCTCTTTCTCACTCTCTCTCTTTCTCTCTCTCTCTCTGTGAGTGTGTGTGTGTGTGTGTGTGTGTATTCAGAACCAGTATATACAGAAACAGTAGTTCAAACTGATATATGTGAATCTAATCCATAGGGGTCATTCTCACCTTCCCCATTTCCTCATCTGTAACTCTTTTGTCTGATAGGGAGAAACTGGCTCTCATTATTCACAATTTGTTTACTTATTTGTTCAATCTTAGAATACATATAGTTTTAGAATTACTGACACATTTTCCTGAGAAGGAAAATGAAAAATGAATTTCCTGAGAAGGGTACAATATTTTTGTGCAGTTTTTTTTTATCTTTGCCCTTATAGAATATATTTAAAAGGCTGTTTTTCAGTATTACTTAGATTCATTCTTTTTTATCCCATTTATTATGGTTGTGGTATTAATTTTGCGTTACATGCATTGGTTACTGTTTGTGTTCTATTTTGGTTTCCCACACATCCTGGTTAATATAAATTAGTTTTTTAAATATGTGAAACACTACTTGGTTCAAGAAGTTAGAAACATCCCAGAAGATGTACTTGCAGAAGTATCCCACTTCATTCCTTCTAACCATTCCCATTCCCCTATTCTTTCCACCCCATTCCCACTGATCTCTGTAAATAACCAATCACAGTAGTTTCTACTTTTACCCTCCTATATTTCTTTTTGTGCAGATGAGAAAATATACGTATATTTTCTTATATCTCTTTCTTTCTCATCTAATGGTACCATACTATAGATATATGTGCACTTTACTTTTTTCACTTAAAAGCATATCCTAGGCCAGGCGCAGTGGCTTACACCTGTAATCCCAGCACTTTGGGAGGCCGAGGCGGGCAGATCACGAGGTCACGAGATCAAGACCATCCTGGCCAACATGGCGAAACCCCATCTCTACTAAAAATACAAAAATTAGCTGGGCGTGGCGGTGCGCACCTGTAGTCCCAGCTACTCGGGAGGCTGAGGCAGGAGAATTGCTTGAACACAGGAGGCGGAGGTTGCAGTGAGCCGAGATCGCACCACTGCACTCCAGCCTGGGCGACAGAGCGAGATCCGTCTTAAAAAAAAAAATTTATTCTGGATACCAGTATAATATCAGTCCAGAGATTCTTCACTCATTTTTACAACACCATAATACTCTCTATGGTGTGGATGTGCCATAGTTTATTCAACCATTCCCCCTAAGTATGGACATTCTGGTGTTTTTCCATAACTTGCATTTACAAACAGTGCTTCAGTGAATAACAGTGTGCACATGTATTTAGTTGTATTGCTGGAGCTGTGCTTTCAGAATAACTTCCTAGAAATAGGATTAATGGGTCAAAAGGTAAATGCATGTATACTTTTGTTAGTTATTGCTAAATTTTTCTAGGGGCTTTTAATAGCTGTTAATGTCCAAGCTGCACCCCAGAGATTCCAATATAATTGGCCAAAGGCTGGGCGTTAGTATTATTTTTTAAATTTGTACCCCTTTGTTGAGATGTAATTTACATACTATAAATTCACTCTAAGCGTAAGATTCAATAACGTTAAAGTTAATTTATACAGCTGTGCAAGCATTACCAGTATTGTTCTTTTCAAAACTCTCCATGTGATTCTAATGATAGTCGAGAGATTAAGGTGACTAAACAAGGTCATTATTGCTGATGCTTTTCACTACCATATGGTGTCGCTGTCCTGCTACTTGAAGGCACAGGGCTTTTCTTAATGCTATAGTGCTCTGCCGTTTTAAATCCAGTGGAACCTATTTCACATTAAACCAGACTCCTCTTTAAGGATATTGTCTTATTCATGTCAATTGGTCCCTTCTGTCCCAGCAACCAGCTGAGCATAATCCTAAAAAAAGAAGTCAACATATATTTTGAATATCACCCACAGGAGGTAGTCTTTTGAGTGACTCCCTTAAGAAGGACTCATACTATTTCGTATATAAAGGGGCTGACACAGACCCAGTCTGGGAAATGCTGGGAATGGTTTCCTCAGGCAGGTGACATTTGAACTCCTTTTTAACTGATGACTATGACTTAACCTGGTGAAACACAGTGGGTAGAGGAGAGCACATTCCAGACAAAGCAAGCAGTACAGGCAATGGCCCTGCAGCAGGGCTGGTGTGCCTCGTGCACATAGAGATTATGGTGAAATATGTTGCTAAATAAGACCAGAAAGGTAGGCCTGAGGCCAGATCACCCCAGCTCTTTTAGGCCTGAAGCATTTTGGTCTCAATTTTAAAAGCACTGGAAACCCACTGAAAAAATTAAGTGCTAGACTAGAGAAGAAGTGGGCTTGTGTGACATTGTCAGATTTATTGAGAAAAGTTCACTGGGGCTGCAGCACACACACACACGCACAAAAGACTGGCAAAAGTGGCTAGTGGAAGACCAATTAGAGGACAAATGTGCTGAAGCACAGAAACATGATTTTTTAAAAATCCTACTTGGCGACCAGAGTGGTGCTAATATTGAGAAAAGCAATAGACTGACAGGACTTAATGATTGGTTGAGACTCTGGGGGCTGAGAGAGAAATGTATCAAGGATGACTCAGGTTAACAGACTACACCACCCACTTCTCCTTGCAGTCATCCCAGGTCCTCTCCTCTTTACTCCTCCTCATTCTTTCGGAGCTTTTAGCTTCCTGCTCTCTGTCATTCTCTCTATGCTGCCATGATTCTTGACGATTTCAATATATATGCAGATACTCCTTCCATTACCCCAGTTGCTTAGTTCCTTGATTTCCTCTTACAATCATTTTGTATTCTATGTCATCTTAGCCACTGATTCCCACAGACATACCCTTGACCTTCCACTACCATTAACTGAAATCCCTCCATAATTTCATTTGCAAACACCCATTCTAGTACCCCAATTCAAGCAATCCTTTGATTCTATCACGATCTATATCCCACTGATTCTACCACAATTGCACTGCCCCTCATCTCATCATAGCCTCATTTTCATTACTAGACAGCTTAAATTATATAATCAATCATTGCAATCACTCTCTTTCATATATTATCAACTCACTCAGACCTCTCTTAATTTGTACAATCCCTTGGCCAAGCCACCATTATTATGATTAAATGGTGCCCTTTAGAGTGGTATAAAAACAAGATGTATACCAGATACCTTTTATTTCCCCCTGATGATCAAATGTCCCTTCTTTTCCCCATTCTATGTTCTGGGAAGCTGATCTTATAAGGATTACACCAACAGAGCCTTATGTCCTCTGTCATTCAAATGGTTCAAACAATGGAGAACCCCGGCAGGAAATAAGAGGAATAGAGAAAAATTGAGTTACAGTTATTTATTTTACTTGTTTCATCCTTGCAAATTCATCAAGAATTATTTGTATCGCTAATTGAAGTCAATTCAGTGGCCTAGTGAAAAGTATTGCCTCTCGTGAATTTTGAATATCTCTTCTTCCACCCATTCCCTTCTGTCTAGAGATATCAGCAGTTCCACTGCTTTTAGACCTGGGTTCCTGCATTATCCCTGTAGTGTAGTTGTACTCTATGAACGACTTTTGTTTTACATTTATTATTAAGGTGAAATTGACATAGTGAAATGCATATAAACCAATCAACTTTAACAAATATATGCACCGGGAAAATGCACATTCTAATCAAGATATGGAACACTTCCATCATACCAGTAACTTTTCTCATGCCCCTCTCCAATCAATACACTCTCTGCTGTGGCAAACACTATTCTGGTTTCTATCACCACAGATTACGTTTGCAGATTTTAAACTTTTATAAATTGAATTGTATAGTTTTTATTCTATTGTTTCTTGCATCTTGCTCTCAATATCATGTCTATAAGATTCATGATATAGTTTTTTCAGTAGTTTGTCTCTTTTTACTGTACTATTGCATTATATGAGTACACCACAGTTCATCTCTTCTACTCATGGTCATTAGGGTGGTTTCTAATTATTTGCTTTTATACACAAAGATGTTATGAATATTCTTGCACAATCGTTCTGTAGGTATATATTTTCATTTGGGGGGATAATTAAAGAGGAGTGGAATTATGGGTCATGGGGAAAATGTATCTTTATCTTTATAAGAAACTTTCAAACAGTTTTGCAAAGTGGTCGAACAATGTTATGTAAGTGTGAGAGTTTCAATTGCTCCACATTGTTGCCAATATTGGGGCTTGTTATGTTGTCTTTATAATATTAGGTATTCTACTGAATACAGTAGTGTCTCATTGTGGTTTTAACCTCCATTTCAAATATTGAGTACATTCCTATGTGCTTACTGACCATTTGTCAATCTTCTTTTGTGAGATGTTCCAGTCTGTGGCCCAATGGGGAAGAGGGCATTTATTTTCTTATAATTGGATTATAAGAGTTCTTTTTATATTCTCATTGCAACACTTTTGCAGATATAGATTTTGGCCAGTATTTTTTTCCTGTTTGGTGCCTTGCAGTTCCTCTTTCTGTAGATTAAACGATAGAATTGTGTCATTGTTAATTTCCTATTTGATAATTGCCATGTAGTTATCCAGTAGAATATTCTTATGTTTAGGAGATGCATACTGAAGTAGGGAGAAGTAAAGAAGCATCATATCAGAGATATATATATGTGTGTATATATATATATATATATATATATACACACACACACATACATATATATGTATATATATATACACACATACATATCTATATGGAGAGAGAGAATGATATAGCAAATGTGGTAAAATGTTAACATATGGGGAATCTGAGTGAAGGGTAATTAGGAATTCTTTATACTAGCAACTTTTCTGTAAGTCTGAAATTATTTCAACATAAAGTTTAGTAAAAAAAAAAAAAGAGAGAGAGAGAGAATGTATGACATTAAAGAAATATAGAAAGAAAGCACTTTAATCAGAAGGAGAGCCTTGTAGACTGAATGTTTGTGTCCTTCCTAGATTCATATGTTGAAGCCTTAACCCTGAATGTGATGGTATTAAGTGGGGCTTTTGAAAGGTAATTAAGTTTAGATGAGGTCATGAGGGTAGAGCCTAGTGATAAAATTAGTCCCCTTATAAGAAGAGAAAAAGACACCACAGCTTCCTTTCTCTGCAGTGTGAACGTACAGCAAGAAGACAGCTGTCTGCAAACCAGGAAGAGGGCCCTCACCAAATACGGAATCTTCTAGTACCTTAATCTTGGACTTTCCAGGCTCTAGAGCTGTGAGAAATAAATTGTTGTTTAAGCCTCCTAGTCTATAGTATCTTGTTACAGCAGCCCAAACTAACACAGAAGTATTCACCAAACTTTTGTTATGGTAGGAGGTCAAATGAGATAAAAACTGAAGAATGTTGAAAAAGTATGCAGATGCGAAGTTGTAGATGTCTTGCATGCCAAACTAAGGGATAATTGACTATATTTCTGAGGACTACAGGGACGATACGGATACAATTAACAATTACTGAACTTGAGGACCGCATGTGTAAGGTATTATTTCAGAAAGATTAATCTGGCAAAGGCATTCTTTGCCAGAGATGGGGAGACAAGATACTAGTTGGAGACATCAGTTAATAGATAATCACAACAACCCAGGAAATGAAGATTTAGACTTGGATCTAGATGAAGATTAGACCACTGGATCAGTGGTCAAAGGGAACCAGATCGAGGCTAAAGAAAATGAGAAATTACTATGATAAAAATGGGAAGCAAACAGTGGCAGAGTGAAGAGTTAAAGTCACTTTGCTATAATCATCACATAGAATGTAATAAACTGGTGAGGTGGGGAGAGAAAAGGACAATTATGTTGTTCCTTTAACTATGGCAGAATGACTTTCCTCCAGTTTGTTTAATGCTAACACACAGAGCATGTCTCTGTGCTGTACAGTGGAAGGTCATGAGGTAGAAATGGCAAAGAATAAAGTACCTCACTGGAAGGTTTTCTGAATAGGCATTTGTTTCCCTCTTAAAGAAACACACTCTTTAAGATATACTGGGAAGTCCAAGATTGAGGTACTAGAAGATTCAATATTGTATTAGTTCATTCTCGCATTGCTGTAAAGTCTCGCATTACCTGAGACTGGGTAATTTATTTTTTTAAAAAAAGAGGTTTAATTGGCTCACAGTTCCACAGGCTGTATAAGAAGCATGAGTGGGGAGGCCTCAGAAAACTCACAGTCATGGCGGAAGGTGAAGAGTAAGAAGGCTCATCCTACATGGCTGGAGCAAGAGGAAGAGAGAACAAAGAAGGAGGTGTCACACACTTTCATACAACCAGATCTCATAAGAACTCTGTCACAAGACAGCACTAGGGAGATGGTACTAAACCATTAGAAACCACCCCCGTGATCCAGTCGCCTCCCATCAGGCCCCACCTCCAACACTGAAGATTACAATTCAACATCAGATTTGGGTGATGACACAGAACCAAACCATATCAAGTATCTAGTGAAGACCCTCTTCCTGGTTTGCAGATGGCTGTCTTCTTGCTGTATCTTGCTGTATGGCAGAGAGAGAAGCTCTGGTGTTTTTTTTTCTCGGGTTATGGTAATGAGAAAGAAAAGGAAGGAACAGAAATGAAAGCATTATGGTACAGTAGCTCTGGTTAGGCCTTATAAGTTTTTTTGTTTTTTTGTGTTTTTTTGAGACAGAGTCTCGCTCTGTTGCCCAGGCTGGAGTGCAGTGTGCGATCTCGGCTCACTGCAAGCTCCGCCTCCCGGGTTCACGCCATTCTCCTGCCTCAGCCTCCCCGAGTAGCTGGGACTACAGGCGCCTGCCACCACGCCCGGCTAATTTTTTCTATTTTTTAGTAGAAACGGGGTTTCACCGTGTTAGCCAGGAAGGTCTCAATCTCCTGACCTCATGATCCTCCCACCTCGGCCTCCCAAAGTGCTGGGATTACAGGCGTGAGCCACTGCGTCCAGCTGGGCCTTAGAAATTTTCAAGCTGCCCAGAAACTTCTGATACATAGCCGGACATGGTGAAAAGTTTGAGACTAGGGAGGTACTGATACCACACGGTGACATTAATGACGACATGACTCCTGGACAGAGGGCTCAGTGGTCAAAGGGAACCAGAAAATGGGAGGTTACTATGATAAAATCTTACGTTTAATTATTGTAAGATAGAACATTAGAACAAAATGAAAATTCAGTGTAATAAATCCACAGAGAATGTAATAAATTGGACAACTCTGTATTGACTGGAAATGGAGCCAGAGATTCGGATGGGGGCTGTTAACATTGTTTAGTACAAAATGTGTTTATATCTTTATCAGGTTATAATACTTTTTTTTTTTTTTTGGAGACAGAGTCTCGCTGTGTCACCCAGGCTAAAGTGCAGTGGTATGATCTTGGCTCACTGCAACCTCTGCTTCCTGGGTTCAAGAGATTCTCGTGCCTCAGCCTCCCGATTAACTGGAATTACAGGCACACACCGACACACCCAGCTCATTTTTGAATTTATTTAGTAGAGACAGGGTTTCACCATGTTGGCTAGGCTGTTCTTGAACTCCTGGCCTCAAGTGATCTGCCCACCTCGGCCTTCCAAAGTGCTGGGATTACAGGTGTGGGCCACTGCACCCAGCCCAGGTTATAATGCATTTTAAGTTTTACCTCATGTATTTAGGGGACAGTATTAATGTATAAAAAAAGTGATATAACACAAACTCTATCCACCTCTGTTCTCTTTCTTCATATCACTCCTTATCCTGAACTGTGAAAATCTCTGTGTATTTTTTAAAGAGTGAAACAAACACCTTTTCAAAAGACCTTCCAGTGATATACTTTGTTCTACGCCGTTTCTGCCTCATGACCTACCACTGCACAGTGTACAGAAATGTTTTGTGCTTCTGTGTTAAACAAACTGGATGGAAGTCACTCTGCCATAGTCAAAGGAACAGCATAATTATCCTTTTCTCTCTCCTTTCCCTCCAGAGAGAATTCAAATAGTCACCAATAATGAATACATTTTTTAAAAGATCAAATCAGGCTAATCCAAAAAGTAAATACATAGACAATGGCATTAAATGGGAATTGCATCAAGTACTTGTCAAGATAGCCAATAAATGGTAGCCTCTCCACCAACACCACCATCCACCATTTGAGAAGGACAAGAGGTAGAAAAAAAAATTGTTGCAATTTTAAAATAAAGTTCATTTATGTTTGCTGCCCACCTCAGTTCTCCCACAGGCAACAAATTCATTTCCATTAGGTCCTGTCAGAGTACAGACTGTTTCCCAAAAGGGGTACAGAGAGGTTACAAAGTAACTTTCAGGAGTATTTTTTGCTTATTGTGGGAGGAGAGAGGGAGAGTAGGCAAAGAACTCTGGGAACAAAATTGTCTCTCCCACTAATTCTATCAATTAGAGATTCAAAGTAGTTAATGAGCTGTTCTTTTAAAGTGTAAAGGTCTTATAGGGTTATGCTTCATTTGCACCTGAATGTCATTAAACAAATAATCAAGATTAGCTAAATTTCAAGGCAGAAAAGCCTGTGGCAGGGGCAGGAGATTTGAAGAGCTTTATAGAGGAGTAATGGAAGAGGCAGCCGGACCCCTGACAGCCAAAGACCCATGGGGCAGTGAGTATCTGAAGGTACGGAAGAAACGGCAGGTGGCAGCAAGATTTCAAAAGGGAAAAGGGCAGTGGCCAAGCTCAGTGTAGACATTTTTGTTCAGAAGTCAGAGAGCAATGGGTGTGTGCCACTCATATTCCAGCGTGACTTTTAGATGACTACTTTAAGATATTCAGACATAAGAGTTTCCCTTATTTGCATACAAAATTATAATCCTTACAACTTGCAAGTTAGATATTATATCCTCATTTCACAATTGAGGAAACTTGCACACAGAGAAATTATATAGCTTGATCAAAGTCCCACTAAGTCTTGTAGATATAAGGGCAAAATTTGACCATAAAAACTTTTTACCACAAAACATGCCTTGCTTTCAAGGATAGCCTCTACACTTGCAGGTTACAAATCTCATTTTCATTCTACTGGGTTCAATCATCCTGGGCTAGAGCTGAATGGACTTTCTAGTTCAACTCAATGTCTTTCTAGTCAACCTATGCCCTTTTACAGGAGTGGGTCAAAAATTAGAAAGAACTCAAACTTTGGATTCCAACACACGGGTTCACAGCTCAGCACTGCCACTTACATGCTATGTAGCTGTTAGCATATTTCCATTTTGTAACATAGATGATTGTACGTAACTTACAGTATTCTTGGTGGATTATCTGCTCCTGCATAAAAAAAAAATCACCTCACATTGTAATAACTTAGAAATGATATGTATTTCACTCATAATTTTGTAATGTGATCAGGTATGTTAAAGATAACTTATCTCTGCTCCACTCAGTGTCTGGGGCAGCTTGAAGGCTGAGAACAAGCATCATCTGAAGTCTCAGTTACTCAGAAGCCAGGCAATTGATTCCAGCTGTTGTTTGAGATCTTAGCTGGTACTGACAACCAGAACATTTACACTTGGCCTCTCCCTGTAGCTTGGGCTTCCTCACAACATGGGGCCCAGATTTCAAAGGCAAGCATTCCAAGACAAAGAGCAGTTAGGTGGCAGCTCTATTTATTTTTATGATTTAGCCTCAGGAGTCACACAGCATCACTTTTGCAGCATTATATTCTTTGAAATAGTCACAAAGACCTACCCAGGATTCAGGGGGTGGGACATGTATCCATTAAAGGGGGAGTGGCAAGGTTCTGTAAGAGCATTGAGATCAAAAGTATTGTGGAGGTCTTTATTGGAAATTAAAATCTGCCACTATCCACTTTCAGGAGACAACAATTCACATCTCTTCCACATGCAAATACACTTAACCCTTTCCCCAAGCCCATCAAGCTTGAGGTTCAGGATCCTGTCATCTAAATCAGATGAAGTTCCTTGAATGTGATTCCTTAAGTTTAGCCCTTTGAATGTCATTCCTCTTGAAATGGAGATCTGTGAACTAAAAGATGATTCATCTACTCCACACACACCTGACATGCAATGTGATAGATTGAAGAAAACCATTAAGAGTATTCACATTCAATAAGGAGAAAACAGATGAAATACAGCGGGTACTGAATCATTCTGACATATAGCCATGTACATATTTCCATTTCCTTCATTAGGAATCAGTCCTGCTACCTAGGAATTCTCCATAACTCTTTACTCTGCCTTTTGAGCTGTTTGACCCACTGACTTATCTTTCCCATTTCATAAAATGTAAGTTGTCTTTGTAGTTAAAGTTTTCTTGGTCTGCTTCCTGCTCATGGAAATTTAGGAGTTAAAATCCTCTTTTAATTTTGTTCTGTCTCCATCCTTTTCAATACTAGATGCTAAAATTCCTTTAAACACTTTGTGGATTTCTTATGAATCAATTTATAATCCACTCCATTAGACAAAAGCCACATGCCCAAATCCCACAGAGATAAGACTTTTTCTAACTTTGGCTCTTTTTAAGAATGCTTCCCTTAAGATTTTGAGAAACGCTATTGTTATATGGAAGTAGTCTGTGAAACACCCCTTAAGGTCATTAGTGGGCTTTTTTCTGTTCAAAATGGTCTAAAATACACTATCTCAAAACTTTATGAGGCCTTAACAAAAGGTTTTATCTTTAGACCATGTTTTCCTGACAGCACCCTGGATTTGATCTCTGCTCAGAAGCCACATCTTAATTTTAGCATCATTTGCCATCTGGAGAGGCTGGGAATGAGAAACAGTTTTCTTTTCCAACCTAGCAAGTCCTGGAGACTTTATATATAACAGTGCTTTCTTTAGCTCATCTCTCTTCCTTGCATTTTACTACAGGCAGCTAGGAAGCAGACAGAAGGCAAAGCACTTTCAACCCTCTTTCTGCAAAACTCTTTAGCTAGAATATAGGTATATTTCCTATTTTCCATTTTACTGCAGGAGACATTATTGCTAAGCTTTCTGCCACTACATGAGTCCCCTTTCCTCCAGCTTCCAAAAACATTTTCCTCTCTTTTCTTCAAGTTCTCACCAACAGCCTTTTCAAGGTCACCAGGCTTCCTCTGATAGCTTCCTTGATCTCTTTTAAGTTTTCAGTAACACTCCCCTAAAGACATTTCCCATTTCCACCTGCCTCTGACCCTAAAGCTATTGCCACATGTATTAGGTTTAGTTTTAGCTACGCTTCAATTCCTGGAACCAAATGTGATCCAGCTATCTACTGCTGCCAATAAAATCACCCTAAAACTTAATGAATTGAAAGCATGACACTTATTTTGCTCAGAAACCTGCAATTTGAGGAGTATTCTGTGTGGATTGCTCATCTCTGCTCAACTCAGCCTTAGCAGGGGCACTTCAAAAACTGAAGGCTAAATTCACATTTTGTCTCTGCTCCATGATATTTGAGACCTCAGTGGGTAGACTTAATATCTGTGGATAACTTGTAGGCTATGACCTGAAATCCTCTGAAGGCTTGTTCACACTCATGTCTAATGGTCGATACTGGATGTTGGCTGAGATCTTACTGGGGCTGTTGGCCAGAACACCTACATATAAAGTCTATGTGTCCTGGGCTTCCAAACAACATGGGTGGCAGGTTTCCAAGAACGTGAGAGAAGTAGTGAGCCAGGAAGAAGTACTGCCTTTTATGAATTAGCCTCAGTAGTCATGTATATGGACATAGAGTGTGGAATAATAGACACTGGAGACTCAGAAGGGTGGGAGGGTAAAGGCAGGGGTGAGGGATAAGAAATAACTAAATGGGTACAATGTACATTATTTGGGTGACGGTTACACTAACAGCCCAGACTTCACCACTAAACAATAAATCCATGTAACAAAACTGCACTTGTACCCCTTAGATTTATATATTTTAAAGTCATGTATGGCACTTCTGAAGCATTCTTTTTATTGAGACAGTAACACAGGACCCATAAGTTCAGGTGGTAGTATTTTAGAAGAGCACGTGAGACTAAAAATATTGTTTCTGCCATTTTTGGATAAAACAATCCATGTCAAAAAAGGTTAAATGAAATAATGTACATTAAGAAAGAGATGCTCAACTGGGCACGGTTGCAGATCCCTTGATCCTAGGAGTTTGAGTCCAGCCTGTGTGACACAGCAAGACTCACCTGAGACTAGCCTGTGTGACATAGCAAGACTCACCTCGTTAAAAAAAAAAAAAAAAAAAAAAAGATACTTACCACATGTCAGTTCCCTGCCTCAAGTAAAATATACATTCCTCTTCCACCTTAATCCAAAGTATTGCCTTAACATGAAGTATATGGATGGTCTTTAAAGACATCTTAGATTGAAGGTAAAATCTCATGAGTGTAAATGTATGTATACTTTTTTTCAATGTTGATCAAACCCATCAAGTTCTTAAAATATCAGTGACCAGGAAAAAATAGATATTTCTATGGTCTGTATCATTGAGAAGAGTATTTTTAAAATATATTTTAGGAAAGTGACCTATTTTCTGTAATGCTGAAGGTCAACTTTACAGATGTTTCCTTCAGAAAAATTAGCAGGTGAAAAAAAGTCACATCAATACAAAAAAGGTTAAATTAAAATTTTTTTTCTAATCCAATAGATACAAATTGCATATACTTAAGCAAACACACATTCTCTCTTTGTTCCATCTTGCCCTTAAATAAGCTCTCTCAACTGAAACAGAAATCAGTTTGCAGTAATGCAGCATTCCTATTTCATTAGAGTGGGCATGAAAGAAGCTACATTATGATGGAACTAAAAGCCACTGGTGATTGCGTCGATCTGCCCCTAAGAGTGGTTCTTTCTCAAATTTCAATATACAAGCTCTGCTTTCATGAAGCCTCAAAAGAGCCTGAATGTAGCTTTATGCTACATTTATATGAGTCATAATTCAGAGGTGACCGAGCCATGTGAAGGAGGAAGTAATGAAGCAAAACTCTTCCTCTTCTAAACCAGCCCTAAGCACTACTGTCCTCATTATCTACTGCTTCTTGAGTAACCAAGACTGGAAAATGGAAGAATACACAAAACTGGAAAGAAAAAGAAGAAAAAGTGGGAGTAAGAAAAGGAGGCACAGTGTCACATTGGGGGCATATCAAGCATCTGCCCCTCCAGCCCCTAACATGCCAGAGGGAGGGAAAATGTAACTATCAGAAAGAAAATAGAAATGTTGAAAGTATATATAACTACCTACATTCATTCTGAATAAAAATCTATGATAATCTGTAAAAACTGCAAATTTCCTAGATAACTAACCTTAAACATACAAGGAACATAGGCACTATAAAAAATATTATATTCCAACCATTCCTACAGTGAGATTGATCATTGCAGGGGTAATTGTGTAGACGTATGAACGGCTTACAAGTAGTCCATCCCTGAAAAGTTGTTATCATTCAGCACCTTGAACTATATGTTGAGGGGTTCCCTCAATATGAATAAATGATTGTGAAACTCTTTTAATCTCTCTCCCTCTCATGCTCTTTCTCTGTCTGTCTCTGTCATATGAACACATTTTAATAAATTGGTCATGTCCAAAATTTTATTTTAGGCATTTATTACTCTGTTGCACTTGACTTGATTCAGTCTCAAAAGACCTAGTCCATAGAATAAATAAGCTTTTAAATCAGTAATTGAATAAACAAAATATAACACATTAAAAATCTTACAAATTAAAACAGGGACTTCTGCTTCCATCCATGACAGGCTATCTGGTACTAAAATTGCCCTCCTGCCATAAACAGCTAAAAATCAGGAGAAAAAAAAGATATATACATATGAATGAAACATATATATATGTATAACATATGTGTGAAATATATGTGTGAAATACGTGTGAAATATATATATATAACTATATATATACACATATAAAATAAAACTCAGGCATTTAACAACAGGTGGCAGCATAGGATTATAATCCCTAAAATAAGGGAAACACCGAGCCCCACTATTGCCCAGGGTCTTTCTTTTCCTAGAGGCACTTCTTGAAAGATTGTGAGGAGAAAGGCTGAACCAAGCTAAGCTATCACATGGCAGTCTTGCTAAGTGAAGGAGACAGATATTGAAGTTTGACAAGTCTAAGATAACTGGTATTTGCAGAACCAGAGGGAGCTTCACAAGGAAGCAACTTTGAAACTCTGCAGTGAGGTACCCTTGAGTCTTTTTCTAAATGCTACGTAGTACCTACTTAGGAGAACCTTCATGAAACAAAGCAAAGAACAATTTTTGAGAAGCAGTAAAAAGAACAATCCCCAGAGTTCACACAGAGTTTGGGAGATGTCTGTGTACTGACCAAGAAGAATGTAGAGAATTTACTGAAACCTGGGGCATTCAGTTGAAATCCAGGAGGATTACACCTTTGTAGTAAGATTAAACTAGTCCTAGCGTTAAAGCTACTCTAGACCTTCCCTTACAAAACTTAAAAACAACACTTAAAAGGAGCAAACTATTCTTCAGTGCTCTTAGATGCCTTCCAAATCAAACTTCAACTCTCCTGAAAGGATGGCAATAAGATCCAGATACTCAATAATGTAACCTTTACAATGTCCAGTGTCTAATAATAAATTACTGGGTATGCAAAGAGAAAAAATATAATTCATAAATGAAAGGGCAGTTTTAAAAAAACAGACTCAGAGAAAGACAAAGATTTGAAAATAGCTATTATAAATATGGTCAAGCACTAAAGCAAATATAGAAATAGTAAACAAATGGAAGCTATATAAAAGAGACAAGTGATACTTCTAGGGCTAAGAAATACAGTATCCAAAATGAAAACTTCACTGGAAGGGTATATTAGGAGATTTTAAAATGCAAAATAAAGGAGTAATAAACTTTAATAAATAAGCAATAGAAATGAATCAAATTGAAGTACAGAGAAAAAAAGAAGCTGCAGAAAAATGAGAACCTCAGTTACCTATGGAACAATATCAAGTTGTCTGATATACATGTATTTGAAGCACCCTAGAATAGAGGAAATAGTGCATGGAATAGAAAAACAACTCTGAAGACATAGTGGTGCACAGAAATTTTGCAGATTTAATGAAAACCATAAACACACAAATCCAAGAAGTTCAGTGGAACAAAAGTAGGATAAAAACAAACAAAAAGCACACCTAAGCCCATTATAATAACATTTCTGAAAACCCATCTTAAGATGGTTTTTCAGAAAAAAAAAAAATCTTAAGATGGCAAAAAAAAAAAAAGTTACAATACAAACAGAGAAAGAGAATTACTCCTGACCTTGTCAGAAACAATGCAAATTAGAAGATAAAACAATGTATTTAATGTGCTGACAAAAATAAGCCAGAAAATCCCCAAAACTGCTTAGAATTCTATGTCCACTGAAAATATCCTTCAAAAATGAAGGTATTTTTAAACTAAAAAAAGCTGAGAGAATTTCATGCTCTATAAGGAATATTAAAAATAATCTTCTGACTGAAAAAAGTAATATCAGTCCAAACTCAGATCTATACAAAGAAGTTACAAGCATCAGCTATAGTAAATATGAGAAAAAAATGTTCATATTAAAAATATTTTCAATGTAATTTATTTAAAATGGACTGTTTAAAGCAAAAAATTACATCGCTACATTGTGAAATTTAAATAGATACAGAAATAAAATGTATGACAACCAAAATAAAAAGGACAGGAGGGAGAAAACTAAAAATACTTTGTAAGATTGTTATTATATGTAATGTGGCATAACAGTTTTTGAAGGTAGATTATGATAAGTTAAAAATGTATATTGTAAATCATAAAACACACCCTAAAAAAAAGCAAAATCACTAATAAGTCATAGAGAAAATAAATTGGAATATTAAAAATAATGAACTAATCAAAAACAAGAAAAAGTAAAAAAAAAAGGAGATGAGCAAAGTGGAAAAAATAGTAAGGTAATAAAATTAAAATTAATTATGTTGATAATTATGTTAACTATAAATGGTCTGTACACTCCAATTTTTTTTTATTTTTCTTTAAGTTTCAGGGATACATGTGCAGAATGTGCAGGTTTGTTACATAGGTATACATGTGCCATGGTGGTTTGCTGTACCTATCAACCCATCATCTAGGTTTTAAGTCCCGCATGCATTAGCTATTTGTCCTGATGCTCTCCCTGCCCTCGCCCCGCAAGCCATGACAGGCGCCGGTGTGTGTCGTTCCCCTCCCTGTGTCCATGTGTTCTCATTGTTCAACTCTTGCTTCTGAATGAGAACATGCGGTGTGTGGTTTTCTGTTCCTTGCACACGCTAATTTTTAAAAGTGAAAAGTTGTCAGACTAGAGAAAAATGTAAGACCCAACTGTACACGATCTACAAGAAATCTACTATAAATATAAGACCCATATATATTAAAGTATGGAAAAATATATACCATGCAAATACTAATCATAACAAAGCTTCAGTGGCTATATTAATATCAGATAAAGTAGCTTCAGATCAAGGAATATTATCCAACATAAAATGGGATAGTTCATAATAATAAGGGAATTCATTCATCAACAAGGCATAATAATCTAGGTGTGCATACATACGCACCTAAAAACAGTTTCAAAATACCAGAAATAAAAACTGATAAAGTGCAAGAAGAAATCAGCAAATCTATAATTATAGTTGGGAATATCAACACCTTTCTTTCAATAATTGGTAGAATAATTAGAAATCAGGATAAAAATATTTGAACAACGCTGTCAAACAACTTGACTTTATATTTACAGAATACTATACACAAAACTACAAATACATATTCTTTTTGAGTGCTCACAGAACACACACCAACACAAGCCATATTCTGGACCATAGAACAACTCAATAAATTGAAAAGGATAGAAACCATTCAGATTCTGAACAACTCAGGACAAAACTATCAGTAAGTAAGAGAACTAGTTTTCGACTCAGAAGATTGACTCTAGTAGCCAGGTCCACTATAACATGCTATCAGGCAAAGGAAAAACACTGCCAACTTCTGAGAAGGTGTCCCTTTTTTTTCCAGGGGCTTATTAGTCAAAATATATATGCAGCAGAATCCATACATGCAGAAATTACTCGTGCCTTTTTGACAAGTAGAAGGCTAATTTTTCTATTTTTAGTAGAGACTGGAATTCACCATGTTAACCAGGCTGGTCTCAAACCTCTGACCTCAAGTGATCCGCCTGCCTCAGCCTCCCAAAGTGCTGGGATTATAGGCGTGAGCCACCACGCCCGGCCACAAGATTTTTAAAGTTTACAAAGAATATATGGCATCTCTATTTTTCTGGGGACTAAAACTTTAATGCTTCACTGATTGAACTTAGACTTTGAGCTAAAATAATCCTCAAGCATAAATTCATTAAATTAAACATATATTTACCAATTGCTTTGTATGTCTAAGCCACAGTTCCCAGTATTGTGGATAAACGAAAGTTGTTAAGGTGAAGCCTAAGCCCTGGGGGAACTGATCTTGTAACATCAATTGTATTTCCAAACATTACCACAGTGGAAAAATTGAAAAATGAAAATTTTAAAAACACCTTTAACAATATTATCTTAAAAGCAGGCAATACTCAGGGAGAAATTAAACAAAATAAGTGCAATACAAATAGATGGGGAGAAAACCTTCAAAATATTGTTTAAATAAATTAAAGAAGATATAAACAAATGGAGAAATATAAAATGTTTATGGATTGGAAGACTCAATATTTTTTAAGGAAATCATTCTCTCCAAATTGATCTATGACATCAATGCAATCCCAATAAAAATCTCTCAGGGTTTTTTTTTTGTGTGTCAAAAATGACAATCTGGTTCCAAAATTTATATGGAAGTTAACAGACTTAGGATAGCACAAAACAATTTCAAAATAGAACAACAAAGTTGGAGGACTTATACTGCATCATTTCAAGACTTACTATAAAGTGAGGATAATCCAGTGTGCAACTGACACAGCAAAGACATACAGATAAAAGAAACAGATAGGAAATATAGAAACAAACACATGACAAATCGAACTTTGATAAAAGTGCCAATATATTTAAATATGAATTTTTTTTCAACAACAGATACCGGAGCAATGAGACATCCATATGGATGTGACCTCTGTCTCACACCATATACAAAACTTAAATCAAAATGTATCAGGGATAAAAAGTTAAAGCTAAAACTGTAAAACTTCTAGAAAAAAACATGGGCTAGGATTCTTCATATTTTTGAAGTAGACAAAGATTTTTGGATAGAGCACAAAACAAAACAAAACCACAAAGAAAAAAATTAATAAATTGGTCTTCATCAAATTTTAAAATTTCTGCTGGGGAGTGAGGGATAAAAGACTACAAATTGGGGTACAATGTATACTGCTTGGGTGATGGATGCACCAAAATCTCACAAATCACCACTAAAGAACTTACTCATGTAACCAAATACCACCTGCTCTGCAAAAACCTATGGAAATAAAAAGATAATAAAATAAAAATAAATAAAATAACATTTCTGCTCTTACTAAAAGGCAAATTACCAACTGCAAGAAAATATTTGCAATGCATGTACTTAACAAGAGTACATACTGTATAATTCCATTCATATTAAATTGATTTTTCATATCAATCTTATATCTTGTGGCCTCACTGAATTAAAGTATTAATTCTAGTAGCTTTTTATTAGATTCATTAGGATTTTTTAATATACACAATTATGTCACCTGACCTCATTTACTTCTTATTTTTCAATCTCTATTTCTTTTTTTTTTCTTTTTTAGAAACAGGATCTCACTCTGTTGCCTAGGCTAGAGTGCAGTGATGTGATTATAGCTCACTGTGGCCTTGAACTCATGGGCTCAAGTGAGCCTCCCACCTCAGCCTCCCAAGTAGCTGGGACTACAGGTGCATGCCACCATGCCTGGCTATTTTGTCAACATTGTTTATAGAGACAGGGTCTCACTATAGTGCCCAAGTTGGTCTCTAACTCCTGACCTCAAGTGATCCTCATGCGTTGGCCTCCCAAAGTTCTGGGATTACAGGCATGAGCCATCACACCCAGCCCCAATCTGCATTTCTTTTCTTTCTTTCTCTTACCTTATTTCACAAATTAGATCTCCAACACAAAGTTGCATAGAAGTGGTGAAAATTAGGGGAGGAGCCAAGATGGCCGAATAGGAACAGCTCCGGTATACAGCTCCCAGCGTGAGCAACGCAGAAGACAGGTGATTTCTGCATTTCCATCAGAGGTACCCGGTTCATCTCACTAGGGAGTACCAGACAGTGGGCGCAGGTCAGTGGGTGCGCGCACCGTGCGCGAGCCGAAGCAGGGCGAGGCATTGCCTCACTTGGGAAGCGCAAGGGGTCAGGGAGTTCCCTTTCTGAGTCAAAGAAAGGGGTGACGGACGGCACCTGGTAAATCGGGTCACTCCCACCAGAATACTGCGCTTTTCCGATGGGCTTAAAAAACGGCGCACCACGAGATTATATCCGGCACCTGGCTCAGAGGGTCCTACGCCCAGGGAGTCTCGCTGATTGCTAGCACAGCAGTCTGAGATCAAACTGCAAGGCGGCAGCGAGGCTGGGGGAGGGGCGCCCGCCATTGCCCAGGCTTGATTAGGTAAACAAAGCAGCCGGGAAGCTCGAACTGGGTGGAGCCCACCACAGCTCAAGGAGGCCTGCCTACCTCTGTAGGCTCCACCTCTGGGGGCAGGGCACAGACAAACAAAAAGACAGCAGTAACCTCTGCAGACTTAAATGTCCCTGTCTGACAGCTTTGAGGAGAGCAGTGGTTCTCCCAGCACGCAGCTGGAGATCTGAGAACGGGCAGACTGCCTCCTCAAGTGGGTCCCTGACCCCTGACCCCCGAGCAGCCTAACTGGGAGGCACCCCCCAGCAGGGGCACACTGACACCTCACACGGCAGGGTACTCCAACAGACCTGCAGCTGAGGGTCCTCTCTGTTAGAAGGAAAGCTAACAAACAGAAAGGGCATCCACACCAAAAACCCATCTGTACATCACCATCATCAAAGACCAAAAGTAGATAAAACCACAAAGATGGGGAAAAAACAGAACAGAAAAACTGGAAACTCTAAAAAGCAGAGCGCCTCTCCTCCTCCAAAGGAACGCAGTTCCTCACCAGCAACAGAACAAAGCTGGATGG
The DNA here is from genome assembly GCF_000001405.40 of Homo sapiens. Taxonomy (NCBI): domain Eukaryota; kingdom Metazoa; phylum Chordata; class Mammalia; order Primates; family Hominidae; genus Homo; species Homo sapiens. The sequence goes on from NC_000002.12 coordinate 157,516,156, forward strand.
AGAATGATTTTGACGAGCTGAGAGAAGAAGGCTTCAGACGATCAAATTACTCTGAGCTACAGGAGGACATTCAAACCAAAGGCAAAGAAGTTGAAAACTTTGAAAAAAATTTAGAAGAATGTATAACTAGAATAACCAATACAAAGAAGTGCTTAAAGGAGCTGATGGAGCTGAAAACCAAGGCTTGAGAACTACGTGAAGAATGCAGAAGCCTCAGGAGCCGATGCAATCAACTGGAAGAAAGGGTATCAGCAATGGAAGATGAAATGAATGAAATGAAGCGAGAAGGGAAGGTTAGAGAAAAAAGAATAAAAAGAAATGAGCAAAGCCTCCAAGAAATATGGGACTATGTGAAAAGACCAAATCTACGTCTGATTGGTGTACCTGAAAGTGATGGGGAGAATGGAACCAAGTTGGAAAACACTCTACAGGATATTATCCAGGAGAACTTCCCCAATCTAGCAAGGCAGGCCAACGTTCAGATTCAGGAAATACAGAGAACGCCACAAAGATACTCCTCGAGAAGAGCAACTCCAAGACACATAATTGTCAGATTCACCAAAGCTGAAATGAAGGAAAAAATGTTAAGGGCAGCCAGAGAGAAAGGTCGGGTTACCCTCAAAGGGAAGCCCATCAGACTAACAGCGGATCTCTCGGCAGAAACCCTACAAGCCAGAAGAGAGTGGGGGCCAATATTCAACATTCTTAAAGAAAGGAATTTTCAACCTAGAATTTCATATCCAGCCAAACTAAGCTTCATAAGTGAAGGAGAAATAAAATCCTTTACAGACAAGCAAATGCTGAGAGATTTTGTCACCAGCAGGCCTGCCCTAAAAGAGCTCCTGAAGGAAGCACTAAACATGGAAAGGAACAACCGGTACCAGCTGCTGCAAAATCATGCCAAAATGTAAAGACCATTGAGACTAGGAAGAAACTGCATCAACTAATGAGCAAAATAACCAGCTAACATCATAATGACAGGATCAAATTCACACATAACAATATTAACTTTAAATGTAAATGGACTAAATGCTCCAATTAAGACACAGACTGGAAAATTGGATAAAGAGTCAAGACCCATCAGTGTGCTGTATTCAGGAAACCCATCTCATGTGCAGAGACACACATAGGCTCAAAATAAAAGGATGGAGGAAGATCTACCAAGCCAATGGAAAACAAAAAAAGACAGGGGTTGCAATCCTAGTCTCTGATAAAACAGACTTTAAACCAACAAAGATCAAAAGAGACAAAGAAGGCCATTACATAATGGTAAAGGGATCAATTCAGCAAGAAGAGCTAACTATCCTAAATATATATGCACCCAATACAGGAGCACCAAGATTCATAAAGCAAGTCCTGAGTGACCTACAGAGACTTAGACTCCCACACATTAATAACGGGAGACTTTAACATCCCACTGTCAACATTAGACAGATCAACGAGACAGAAAGTCAACAAGGATACCCAGGAATTGAACTCAGCTCTGCACCAAGCGGACCTAATAGACATCTACAGAACTCTCCACCCCAAATCAACAGAATATACATTTTTTTCAGCACCACACCACACCTATTCCAAAATTGACCACATAATGGGAAGTAAATTCTCTCCTCAGCAAATGTAAAAGAACAGAAATTATAACAAACTATCTCTCAGACCACAGTGCAATCAAACTAGAACTCAGGATTAAGAATCTCACTCAAAACCACTCAACTACATGGAAACTGAACAACCTGCTCCTGAATGACTACTGGGTACATAACGAAATGAAGGCAGAAATAAAGATGTTCTTTGAAACCAACGAGAACAAAGATACAACATACCAGAATCTCTGGGATGCATTTAAAACAGTATGTAGAGGGAAATTTATAGCACTAAATGCCCACAAGAGAAAGCAGGAAAGATCCAAAATTGACGCCCTAACATCACAATTAAAAGAACTAGAAAAGCAAGAGCAAACACATTCAAAAGCTAGCAGAGGGCAAGAAATAACGAAAATCAGAGCAGAACTGAAGAAAATAGAGACACAAAAAACCCTTCAAAAAATTAGTGAATCCAGGAGCTGGTTTTTTGAAAGGATCAACAAAATTGATAGACCGCTAGCAAGACTAATAAAGAAAAAAAGAGAGAAGAATCAAATAGACGCAATAAAAAATGATAAAGAGGATATCACCACTGATCCCACAGAAATACAAACTACCATCAGAGAATGCTGCAAACACCTCTACGCAAATAAACTAGAAAATCTAGAAGAAATGGATACATTCCTCGACACATACACTCTCCCAAGACTAAACCAGGAAGAAGTTGAATCTCTGAATAGACCAATAACAGGAGCTGAAATTGTGGCAATAATCAATAGCTTACCAACCAAAAAGAGTCCAGGACCAGATGGATTCACAGCTGAATTCTACCAGAGGTACAAGGAGGAACTGGTACCATTCCCTCTGAAACTATTCCAATCAATAGAAAAAGAGGGAATCCTCCCTAACTCATTTTATGAGGCCAGCATCATCCTGATACCAAAGCCTGGCAGAGACACAACAAAAAAAGAGAATTTTAGGCCAATATCCTTGATGAACATTGATGCAAAAATCCTCAATAAAATACTGGCAAAATGAATCCAGCAGCACATCAAAAAGCTTATCCACCATGATCAAGTGGGCTTCATCCCTGGGATGCAAGGCTGGTTCAATATACACAAATCAATAAATGTAATCCAGCATATAAACAGAGCCAAAGACAAAAACCACATGATTATCTCAATAGATGCAGAAAAAGCCTTTGACAAAATTCAACAACCCTTCATGCTAAAAACTCTCAATAAATTAGGTATTGATGGGATGTATTTCAAAAAATAAGAGCTACCTATGACAAACCCACAGCCAATATCATACTGAATGGGCAAAAACTGGAAGCATTCCCTTTGAAAACTGGCACAAGACAGGGATGCCCTCTCTCACCACTCCTATTCAACATAGTGTTGGAAGTTCTGGCCAGGGCCATTAGGCAGGAGAAGGAAATAAAGGGTATTCAATTAGGAAAAGAGGAAGTCAAATTGTCCCTGTTTGCAGACGACATGATTGTATATCTAGAAAACCCCATTGTGTCAGCCCAAAATCTCCTTAAGCTGATAAGCAACTTCAGCAAAGTCTCAGGATACAAAATCAATGTACAAAAATCACAAGCATTCTTATACACCAACAACAGACAAACAGAGAGCCAAATCATGAGTGAACTCCCATTCACAATGGCTTCAAAGAGAATAAAATACCTAGGAATCCAACTTACAAGGGATGTGAAGGACCTCTTCAAGGAGAACTACAAACCGCTGCTCAAGGAAATCAAAGAGGATACAAACAAATGGAAGAACATTCCATGCTCATGGGTAGGAAGAATCAATATCGTGAAAATGGCCATACTGCCCAAGGTAATTTACAGATTCAATGCCATCCCCATCAAGCTACCAATGACTTTCTTCACAGAATTGGAAAAAACTACTTTAAAGTTCATATGGAACCAAAAAAGAGCCCGCATCACCAAGTCAATCCTAAGCCAAAAGAACAAAGCTGGAGGCATCACACTACCTGACTTCAAACTATACTACAAGGCTACAGTAACCAAAACAGCACGGTACTGGCACCAAAACAGAGATATAGATCAATGGAACAGAACAGAGCCCTCAGAAATAACGCCGCATATCTACAACTATCTGATCTTTGACAAACCTGAGAAAAACAAGCAATGGGGAAAGGATTCCCTATTTAATAAGTGGTGCTGGGAAAACTGGCTAGCCATATGTAGAAAGCTGAAACTGGATCCCTTCCTTACACCTTATACAAAAATTAATTCAAGATGGATTAAAGACTTCAACGTTAGACCTAAAACCATAAAAACCCTAGAAGAAAACCTAAGCATTACATTCAGGACATAGGCATGGGCAAGGACTTCATGTCTAAAACACCAAAAGCAATGGCAACAAAAGCCAAAATTGACAAATGGGATCTAATTAACCTAAAGAGCTTCTGCACAGCAGAAGAAACTACCATCAGAGTGAACCGGCAACCTACAAAATGGGAGAAAATTTTTGCAACCTACTCATCTGACAAAGGGCTAATATCCAGAATCTACAATGAACTCAAACAAATTTACAAGAAAAAAACAAACAACCCCATCAAAAATTGGGCGAAGGACATGAACAGACGCTTCTCAAAAGAAGACATTTATGCAGCCAAAAAACACATGAAAAAATGCTCATCATCACTGGCCATCAGAGAAATGCAAATCAAAACCACAATGAGATACCATCTCACACCAGTTAGAATGGCAATCATTAAAAAGTCAGGAAACAACAGGTGCTGGAGAGGATGTGGAGAAATAGGAACACTTTTACACTGTTGGTGGGACTGACTGTCAACTAGTTCAACCATTGTGGAAGTCAGTGTGGCGATTCCTCAGGGATCTAGAACTGGAAATACCATTTGACCCAGCCATCCCATTACTGGGTATATACCCAAAGGACTATAAATCATGCTGCTATAAAGACACATGCACACGTGTGTTTATTGCGGCATTATTCACAATAGCAAAGACTTGGAACCAACCCAAATGTCCAACAATGATAGACTGGATTAAGAAAATGTGGCACATATACACCATGGAATACTATGCAGCCATAAAAAATGATGAGTTCATGTCCTTTGTAGGGACATGGATGAAATTGGAAATCATCATTCTCAGTAAACTATCGCAAGAACAAAAAACCAAACACCGCATATTCTCACTCATAGGTGGGAATTGAACAATGAGATCACATGGACACAGGAAGGGGAATATCACACTCTGGGGACTGTGGTGGGGTGGGGGGAGGGGGGAGGGATAGCATCGGGAGATATACCTAATGCTAGATGATGAGTTAGTGGGTGCAGCGCACCAGCATGGCACATGTCTACATATGTAACTAACCTGCACAATGTGCACATGTACCCTAAAACTTAAAGTATAATAATAAAAAAAAAGAAGTTGTGAAAATTAATATTAATTTATTTCTGGACTTAGGGGAAAGTATAGTCTTTAACCATTAGGTATAACTGTAGGTTTTTCATAGATTTGCTGTGATTTACAGAAAACAATGTAAGATTCAAATATACACATGCTTATTTATTTATCCCAATTATTCATCTGAGTTTGAGGGAAATAATCAAAGTGAAGGTCCTCATTTTGGTTGCACTAGCTTTGCACCTCCCAAGTAAACCATCAACACCTAGACCCTTCCTCAGACTCTCTTTCTAGAAAACTCCGATTAAGACAGGTACCTACATCAAGAATGAATTAGTGAAATAATATTCAAAAGAAGATCATGTTTAAACTGAGCCTGATGAGAAATAAAAGTGAATCATGTGAGTTAGACAGAGACAGGGAAATTCCAGAAAGATGAAAAAATAGTTACATGAAATCCTAGAATTGTAGATACACATGCAGTGTTTATAGCATTGCCAGTAGTTCTAGTTGACAGGTATATTAGAGAAAGAGGTGAGGGATTAGCTGAGGGAGGAGAAAAGGAAGGAAATTGAGTTGCTATGAAATTCTATTTTTGTTCGGAAATAAACAGACAGTTTCAAATTAAGATTTAAAAATATTTTAAAGAGGAAAATAAGGTGATTATACTTATAATTTAGAACAATCACTAGTAGTTATCTGAAAGAGAGTAAATTAATAGGAGTGGAAATGGAGACACAATATGAGAAAAGACCATGGCAGACACCAAAGTAACAACTGGTAGGGGCCTGAAGTGAGACAGTGGTATGGTGGCATACAGATGAAGAGGAAGGATAGATATATTTAGGAAGAAGGGACAATAGGACTGGGTTGTTGGGTTGAACAAGAGGGATCACAGGCAGGGAAACAGGTTTGTCACGAAAAAAATGACTTGATATCTGTCAAATATTTGTATCCAGAATCCGTAAAGTATACTTACAACTCAATAATAAGAAAACAAACGACCAGTAAAAAAGTGGGCAAAATATTTTGATGTACTCCAAATGCACAAAGTCAGTATTTGTAGGAAAAGAAGCTAAATATTATTAGTGATCACAGAAGTTCAATTTAAAATAACAATGAGATACTACTGCACTTCACCAGAAAAGCTACAGTGAAAAACTCTGGAGCAACTATTACTCTCATATACTGATAGCGAGTATAAAATGGTACATACACTTTACACCCCTAAGTATTTACCTAATTCTACTTGAAAGTATTTACACTCCAGCAATTATAGTGTTAGGTATTTACTCAAGAGAATTGAAAACACATATCCACAAAAACACTTAAACATCAATGTTCACAGCAGATTTATTCATAATAGCCCCAAACCGGAAACAACCCAAATGTTCAACAGGTGAATGCATAAACAAATTGTGGTATGTTAATAGAATACAACTGTACCCAGCAATGTAAAAGAACAAGCTGCTGATACATCTAACAACATGACTGAATGTCAAAAACAGTATGCTAAGCAAAAGAAGTGAGACACAAAAAATTACATTTTGACATTGGAATCAGAAGTGACTATGTTATAACCAGGTGGATACATAAAGAAGAGGCTGGACATTAGGGCCTGGATCTTAGAAGATAAGTCTGGGACAAATATGCAGATTTGAACATCACCAGCCTTATTAAAGACAAAAGAGTAGATGAGATCACCAAGGAGGAGTGTTTAGGACAGCCAAAGCTAGATACAGGTAAATATTAGCATTGTAGGGACACAAAGAAAGGAAAATACTGTCCAGGCACAGTGGCTCACACCTGTGATCCCAGCACTTTGGGAGGCCAAGGCGGGCGGGCGGATCGTTTGAGCCCAGGAGTTTGAGACCAGCATGGGCAACATGGTGAAACCTTGTCTCTGCAAGTAATAGAAAAATTAGCCAGGTTTACTGGCACAGGCCTGGTCCCAGCTACTGGGAAGGCTGAGGTAGGAGGATCACTTGAGCCTGGAAAGGTCGATGCTGCAATGGGCTGTGATCATGCCACTGCACGCCAGTTTGGGTAACAGAGTGAGACTCTGTCTCAAAAGAACAGAAAAAAAAAAAAAAAAGAAGAAGAAGAAGAAGATGAAGTGCAGAATGCAGAGAAAAAGAAGAGGTAGGGGGAGGACAATCAAGCAAAGGAAAATAATTATGGGAGAGGACAGTCTGTTGCAAAGGCCAGAGAGGGACAAAGGAAGAAAAGGGTAAATATCTTTGCACTAGACTACTACAAAATACTTAGCACAGAGGAGGCCATTTTACAGGAAGACTCAAAAGTTCCATTGTAGTGGGTCGAGGAGTGAATGGGCAGAGAGAAAATGGGGACAGAGAATGTACCCTACACTTAACAAAAGTTTGCTTTGGAAAGGAAAGAACTACAAAGTCTATGTCTTTGCGAATGTCATATTTCCACCCAAATGTAAATTTTTGGTTATTTCACAAATACCTCACAGTGACTAAATTCTCAGTAAGATGTTTATGGTATCACCCATGTATTTCTGATAAAGGAAAAGCTGACATAGAGAAAAGTGCATTTTATGAACTAGTTCACGTATTATATAAAAGTAAAGATCCAGATTGCAGTATAGAATTGAAATGTGGTTTGCAAATTCTTGCTTTTGCTCTATACAGAAATCCTAGGCTGTATTTCCCCTGTTCCGCTTCACTTATATCTTATATGATTGTCACCTTGTGTTTCTCCATTTAAAAATAAAAGGCAAACTCAGCAGTTCCTTTTTCTTAAACTGCTTCAGTAACCAGCAGTTGCCACATTAAAAGCTTTAGCTGCAGGACTATAAAAATAGTCTAATGCTCCCTAGCAAGTAGCTACATTTCAGCCAGTTCTCTTTTCAGGGATGTAGCAAGGTCAAATCTAATGGCCAGGGAAGGACAGGCTATGAGAGAGAAGGGAAAGCCAGTTGACATTCACAGAGCAAAAGTGCATTGTGCTTGGAATTTTTTGTGTAAATGTTAAACAGTGCCCACATTTAACCACCTGCTTGTTGTTTAGAAGGGTTCAAATGAACAATTTCAAGCACAATTGAATAACACTCAAAAGAAAATCAAGTGTAATTTCCTAAGTTGCTGAAGCAAGGATTCTTCTATGAAACACCATTAGTATTTCTAAACCTGATTTGATTATATTTGAAATTTAATGCATACAGTTCAGTGGCACCTCGAGATTTATTTGTGCAAAGATGGAATTACAAGGTAGACCTTTATAAATGATTGTTTCTTTCTGTGTATGTATTTTTAAAATTCTTCATGTCATAATTGTAATAAAACTAAATGATTAAAGATTAAATGTCATTTATTTTTTGGCTTCCTTATGACAATATTTTGCTTTGCATTTAAGATATATTAAAAAGTAGGGAAAATACACCACATAAAATCACTCACATCACACTGCTTGTATAGCTCATCTTGAAATTCTTCACCTGTGTACTATCTCTAAATATTTATCAGTTAGGAAAGAAAGGGTATGTTGTAATCTTCAGGTTACTTTGATAAATCTCTTAAGAGGGTAATTCTTTTACTGCCTTTATTAAATGCCAACTTCACATGATCGCTGATGCTTTAAAACCTTCAGCGTTTCCCTCAATGACAGGATCAAGTTTAAATGCTGTAATCTAATCCTTACAGAATCCCTCAATCCCAGTTCTGTAGGTTACTCACTGCCATGAGCATCAGCCCCTGTTTTAGACACGATTCCAACCAGGGACAACCTCTTCCTTGTATTCTACTTAAACAAATCTCTCCCATCCCACAAGCTTCAACACGTCAATTTTCTTGCAGCAATGTTTGATAAAGATTTCTTAACTAATATTTGAAGGAAAAAGAATATTAACCTCTTTTAAATATAAAAGTGATTGTAATTACAAGTTTGTTACATACATCATTAACAAGACACAAACAAAAAAAAACTTAAAGCACTCTGTGGGAAAATGTTTCTAATAAATAGATTTTAAAGAAACTATTCAAATCAATGTTTTAATAACTCTCTGCCAAAATATGTATATTTCTTCTAAAAGTCACAGAGCATTTCTTGAAAATCACTTCCAGAACACTCCATAAAACAGCCTGGATTCAGTAATCCCCTAATCTCCAGGAATTTATCCTGATGCAAAAAAGTACCTATCCAATTTTATGTTCACACTGTAGGTAAACTATTGCATCAATGTGAACATTTGCCAAAGTTTGCACATATTAGTGTTTTAAAATTAAGATGCTGAAATTGCAGAATTACAACTGAAGGAAGAAAACACTATTGCTCATGCCACTGAAACTAAAGCATTCATTTTATTTCATGCATAGGTTTCACAATCTACACTGATATTTAATAAATATTTTGCCTTTATCCGCAACTCCAAGCAGCCACTAATAATGAAGCAGTTGAGAACCTGACTTAATGATTGTTAACCAAGAATATTTGGCTAGTGAAGCTGGTTAATACTGACTTAATGCAAAATATTCAGGACACTTATTAATAAACAAACAAAACTGCCCCCAAAATGGAAAAAAAAAAACATAAGCAAAAGAAGTTAAGAATCTATACCAAAAGTAAAACCAATTCAGTGTTCTGCCTCTCTTATGCTAAGTCTCAGAAAACACCAACTTTGTAGGGTTCAGAATGTAAACCAAACACCTAATCTTCTCATAATGTCATTCTGAAACAGCCATCATGAATTAGAAATTAACCTGAACTATTCTTGACTGGGTAAGAAACACAATCCTAACGTTTATTGCAGATATTGGGGTGTGAATAATGAGTTTCAAAGAGTATTTTTTTACTGTCCCAAACAATACATTACTATTAATATTTTAAAACTATATCTTCAAACATAAGTGAAATGATCCCTAATTCTCAACTCCAGTGCTCAAGGATTTAGTCACTATGATACTACATACAAGCAGATATATAATTGAATGCCGATTAATACTAAATGCTGTAAAGAAAAAATTACACAGGGGAAATGGGTAGTGAATGTCAAAATGTGCTACTTTTGAAAGGGTAGCAAGAAAGGTTAATTTGGTGTGATGGCATTCTTACAGAGACCTTTAACATTCCAGGAAGAACAAACAGTGGGAGCAAAGCCCTGGGACAGGCATGTGTTTGGCAAGTTCAGGGAAGAGCATGAAGCCAGGGTCTGGAGAACAGGTGGGGATGAATGTGGGGACACTGGAAATGAAGGTAGAGCAGTTGTCTGGTTCCGTGTCTGAAAAGGCTTGTAGACCATGTGCTTGTGATTTTAAGTGTAATGGGAGCTATTTTAGGTTTGAGAGCAGGTCAACCCAGTAGTCATTTAGCAATTGTCTAAAAAGTGCAAAAAAAACCAGTTGCTTGGTAGAAAAAAAGAAACAAAATCTATTGTCCTAAATGCCAGGTAGAGAAATGGCTACTGAAGAAGTATCCCTTCCAGCTCTGAAATTCTAGAATTCTATAACTCCTTGGTCGAAAGGAACGAAGGAAGTAAAATTCCAGTGCCCACTGGAGCCAGCATTTAAGTCTCCAACACCCTCCGCATACACTGCATACACATAAAACACAATGTAAAAATAATAGAACATAATTATATAAAAACCAAAATACGACACATCTTCCTTTATTTAAAATAGAGTTCTATATGCTTCACAGAAACAAGTGCAAGAAGTGCTTGATTTATTATCTTTCCCACTTTACAAAACAATACATTTTCAGAAAATGCATACATAAAAATATAACATTTAGGCAGATAATTATTTACATCTGAAGACAGATGAAAGTTACACGATAATATTAAAAAGCTTTAAAATAAATACTTTTATGACTTGCTGTTGGTAAAGTTAAACATTTTGGTATAAAGGCTATCACTGAGTTTTTAATAAATTCTAAAACACTATTATTTCTAAATAAAATAAGTCTATACATATTACTATAAAATGCATATTTTCACAGACTAGAAATTAATGAAACATCTGAATATCATTCATTTCTCTTTGGAGTTTGAAATTCTCTTCACCTTCCACATTTAAATTACAACTACTAAAATCCATCTACATATTTTTGATACAGTTTATTGCCCAATTCCTATTTTAAAACCTAATTTATTTTTTCATATTCCTTCCTTATATACATTCCTTTGGGCCTGTCGGCTGAAAGACAATCTTTTTACATACTTAAGAGTATCAGCTAGCTTACAAAAAGTCTTTACAACGGTGATTCTTTTCACAGTAGTTCAAGAGTTCAAGGCATGTTTTGCAATGTCAAAATGCAATGGTTTTGACATTTGTAATATGTTCTTAGGTATAAGAAGAGTCACGCTACCAAAAGAAAAGTATAATTAGTATTAGTACTTTGAAAGTCAATCCAAAATTCCTTTTTTGAGATCTGAATCTAATTTTCTGTTTTTAGGACATTTAAAAACCTGAAACACAGATCAAGTTTGAATAATCTTCTCCAGTCTAGAATCAGAAGAGTACATGAGCTTGACACTAGTCATTGCGGAAAAGAACTAGAATTTAATATTTTGGCTCAGATACTCTCATTTTGTATAAAGAGAAAAAAAGGGCTGTGTCCTTAAAAATACTTAGTTACTATTATTTAGCCTATGGAAGAAATAGAAATATTAGTAAATGTCATTCTACGCTTGCATTTGTTAGACAAAATTTAGGCACACAATCCTCTCTTTACAGGCAAAGTCAGTAATTAGCTCCATGCATAGAATGAAAACTGTATGGACGATATCAAAATTGGGGTCCATGTGCCTTGCTGCAGATTGTCTGGGTTGAAAAATTAAACCAACATGATAAACAATCAATTTCTCTTCTCTCAGGAATGCCAGGATGAAAAGATAAAGTATTATTTCTTCTAAGTTCTTTGTTCAATCTGTAGATGTCAAGAATTATTTTGACTTTTTAATTCTCATTTTCTGAAGATGTATAAGCCAGACCATTCTTTAAACACATATAAGCCAATAAGATGCTTCTCTGTAAAATATAAAATTATGTCTGGGAGCCAATTGCAGTTGGATTTTAGCCCGCACCTGCCCCTCAGCTGGGAAGATTTATATAGAGCACAACAGGCCTGACTGGATGTGATGGCAGTGGGTATAAGGGTAATCTCCTAAGGCACTCAGATTCTTAGTGGCCCTATTAAAATTCAGATTAACATAACCCACAGTAAACTCTTGCAGTTAAAACTGTTAGGTCTGGAGAGAAAAATTTCTTTTAGGACAACTTGGACCAATGATCAGGAAATACAGTCACATCTGAAAATATTAAAATCTAGGATGAAATACAGCTCATATTCTCTCGAATGTATTCATCTACAACTGAAAGAGAAAAGTATGCTGGCAGTTCTATTATTGTTAGGGGAATTTTAAAATAGGGATTGTTACCTAATTTTGCTGTAGTATTATATTCCAAACTAATAGCATAATGGCTTAGTTTGTCAAAAGCAAAACAAAGCAATGGTATGGAACAGCAGAAATAAATTTAACAATCACATTATGGGGCATATATTTCAAATTGTCTTTCCCAGTTACTATTTCTCAAGCGGAATTTAGCATTAAAGCAAAAGTAGACATTCTTTATATGTTAGCTAAAAGCTAGAATACAAATAACAGCTAGTCTTTTTAGGTTTTAAAAGAAAAATCATCTCTGCCATTAACAAATACTCTATAGTGCCAAATGAAGGATTACTGGAGAAGTTATGAGGTGAAACCTCTTATACAGAGAACTTAAAATCTTGTTAAGAAGTTCATTGTGTAGAAGTTTGGACAGGTTAAACGACAACTAAAGAAATACAGGAATTATAGAGTGACTTGGGATTGATGAGATCTGCCAAACATTTTTTAATGCACTAAAAGAAGATGAATGCCAAAGACAAACTAATGAGAAACTGAGGGGAAAAAAAAGAGAAAGAGAGAAAAGTTAGATAATATCCCACTGGACATAGTCCCAAATTCAGCTATCAAATCACCTTTCACCCCCATTCCAAGGTACAAAGAGAAAGAACAGTCCTTACAGAAAGGGTGGGGGATGTCAGGAAGCTTCTCTAATCATTACTTGCACTAAGAAATTCTATACTCTCACAGTTCCTAAATTTTATCCATTAATTTTATCAGCACCCCAGTGGTTGCCTACTTAGCTCAACAACCATTCTACAACTCTTTCTTAGCCTAGTTTAGTTTTTCTCATTGACCTCACTCTGAGTGAGTAAATTATTTTAGTAGAAACCCAAAGAAAAGTGGGATTTTATCATCATCATTGAATGGCACATTACGTTAGTGTGCATTCAAGGTAGGTTTAGATGCATGCGAATTAATTTTTAATCAGTAAAAGTTGGGGATATGGCAGGGAACAGTGCTGGGTGTCACCACCAGGCTTTCATAAGAGTTCTGCTAGTAACTAGTAGTCATTTAATCTCTGATCCTTGGTTTCGTCATCTACACAAAATTGGAATAACTTTATATAATCTCTGAGAGTACTAAGGGATTCTCTTTCATTAGAAGGCTAAATTCCAGACGGTTAAGTTAAATAAGAGTTATTTTTAAAATTAGGAACTAATGATAATGTTGAAAGATAGTGAGGGAATATTAAGAAAAAAAGTGAGAAAAATAATGAAATATAAAGCAAGGCTAGATGAAAAAAAGAAAGTCAAATATCTATATATTTTCATTAAAATGTTTTGAAAAATGCCCATATTATAAAAATTCTATTTAATATTAACATTTTTTAAAAACTTACATTCCAATTAACTTTTTTGTTATTTAGAAGCAGCTCTCAAGATAAAAGAATTACTGTTTTCACTAAAATAGCAGAAAAACTCCATGTAGGTATCAGCACACAGAGCTAGAACAAAGCATTGTCAAACAGAAATAGTATGTTTCACAAAAGATGTTTAAAATATCTTTGAAAACCACAATGGTGCCATTTTAAGATACGAATACTAAACATTTCTAAGTAGCTTGTAATGATGTGTTTGTGAATTTATTTTAAAGGAATGATTATTGAAGACATCAACTGCCAGCTTTTATTCATTTGGTACTGCTACTTTCTTAATTTTCCAGTGGGAAATAAAATTTGTATATTTTAAATACATTTATTTAGCCAAATACATTCTCATACTTATTTCAATCAAAGACTATGCCCTAACAAGCAATTTTAAGTTGTTTACTCAAACTTTGTATAATGGCAAACATCAGCTCCCTGTTTTCAGACGATTTGCTAAGCAGGTTCCCTGGTGCTTTTGTGCAGACTCAAAGACAACCCTGAGTTTTCTCTGCCCCAATAAGTCACATGGTGGCAAAATTCCAGGAAAATAGGAGTAGTTTTGTTTTGTTTTATTAGTAATTCTACAATAGTAGGTGTAATAAAATAATAAATTATTCTGGAACTTCTAACCTAATGAATCTATTGTAGATTTTCATTTTTAAATAAAAGCTAATTTTAATTTTTTCAGATACTGCAACCAGGTTACTATTTTCATACAATCATGGAAATTTAAAATGCAAAGTTAATTGAAAGTATAAAGATGAAAAGCAAGTGCTATGCCTAAAATAGTGCACGACAGTCATGTTTCACTTAACTCTCAAGTCAGAACATAAATTAAGAATTCTAGATGTGACATGCCAAATATTTTAGACATAGAAGAAAGCATACAACAGAATCTGTACCAATTACAAACTTAAAGGCAAAATTTACAAGGCAACAAGTTCATGCTGAAATACTGACAACAAATAATGTTTCTCTTATTTTCAGAAAGTGATGCTGCATTTAAATCCCATCACCACTTTATACAGTACTGAAAATTCATAATAGTGTTTTCCCAAGTCTTGTATTATACCCCAAAGCCAAAATATCTGTAAGGAGTAAAGAACACTGATACTCTGAACATAACCTAAGGAGAATTTTTTTTTTTTTTGCTTATAACAAAATGTAAAAGAAATAAATATTACACAATGGGACTCCATTAAAAACAATATAACATTTGACAGCATAAGTATATACAAGAAGCCTGCCTTATGCTCTAAACTTCATCATCCTATTTTTGTAAGTGAGCATGTTCTATATATAATCCTGTTAAGAGTAAAGGAAATATTACAACTTTTAACATTTTCCTTATCATTTTTGCTGCTCTATTCCCTTTCTTAAAAAATGTATTTTGTAATTGAAATATAAGACTACTCAGTTAGGAGTCATAGTTAAACAACACAAGAACAAGAAAAATACCTCAAAATGTACTAACATACGGATTTCTTCAGAGTGAAAGTTGAACCAATAAAATATGAAATTATATTTAGACACCCTCAAATAAGCTACAAAACATAATGACAAGAAAAATGGAGATGGTAAAAAATCCTCTCTTAAAAATTCAATAAGCATATTTACCCAACATAAGTAAATAAAACAGGAAATATCATTCTTGTTTATTTGAGGCACGTACAACCATAGTAAATAAATAATTTCGTTCTTATATATGCAGAAAAACAATCTATGAGAAATTAGTAACAAGAACAAGCAAGATTACCCCTTCACATAGGCTCTTTTTAAAAATCACTTCACATAGGCACTTTTAAAAACTGATGATATATTTAGATTGTCTGTAATATCCAAATAAAGCTACTTTCTAAATGTGTTGCAAATGAAAGCAATTTTCAGACCTATCCTAGAAACCCACTGTCATGCAGAACTCAAGACATCCCACTTCGTATTTTATCTGTCAATTTAATCTCTTCCCCCACACACTCACATCCCTATTCCCATTCCCAAATTAGACTTTAAAATCCCTGAGGGCAGGACCTATCTATCTTTGTATTCCCTCTTGTACCCGATATTGTGGCAAGCAAGATATGGGTGCTCTATGATTATTTAATAAGTGGATGAGAGCATTAACGAGTATGGAAGTACACGCAAACTCCATAGCTGTCAGTTTTTTGCCTTCCTTATTTCAACTCAGTAAAATGAAGATAGATTCAGTAACATATTTCCATAGTGAAATGAAGCATAATCACTAAATTGTACTCTATGAGAAAATACAGAAGTATATCCTTCAGAACGCTATTACCCAAGCTGTGCTTTGCTTTATAGAACAGTTAAATATGGGATAGTAAAAAGTTTCCCCTCCTCTTAATAAAAGGGTTCCACCACGATCAGGTAATCTGAGCAATCCAGTTTAAAAAAAAATCAAGTAGCATTTCTTTACTGTTATTAGTTTTTTTTTTTTTTTTTACTGTTATCAATAGCATTTACTTCACTCTTCAAAATACATTATATGCTAACATGTACTATCACTTTATAAGCAAGTACCAAAGAACACTTTTGGTCTTGGATCATCTCAGTAGAAGAATGTTCTAAGGAATGGAGTTTGAAAAAAGATGTTTTAGGAGCATAAAAGACATCATGTTAAATCTCGTTTACCAAAGTAAAATTATAGATTTGAAGGGCATATTTAATGTCCCATTAAATATTCATTACTCTGTGTCCACAGAAAGTAGAATGAAGGCAAAACTATCATGAGCATTCTTCTGTACTCACTCACTCACTGTGAAAGGGTAGAGGAATATCTATTTGCTGTTTCTGATACCGTCTGTAGGGTTTGGTTGTTAACACTTCATTGAAGAGTTTTCTTAATTCTTCTCAATATATTCTCAAAATATTTCCTTCCTTCCTCTTCCTTTTCTGTCTTTTCTTTCTAAGTGTGTATGTACAAAGGAAATAGGGACCTCTGAATTGTATCTTAAAGACATTTTCAGACAATGAATATTTATGTTTGATTAATCTTTGGAAGTGTTCAGAAAACATTAATGCTCATTAACAAATGGGGTAACCATGATATTTCTATGAGAAAAAATGTCAACAGATATGGTTCTGAGATTTTGTGCGGGTCCATTATGATTCTGCAAAATAACTCAATATGCCTTCTAAACCACAAATATCATAATAAAAGATATTACATAGGGAGAAAAGCACTATTCAAGGGAAAGTAGGAAGCTAGCTAACCTTACGGTGTTCATTATCACAAGATTTGGACCTAGTGCCAGTTCTGCCATTAGCTGTGTGACTTCAGGACATTTCTCAGTGTCTCAGGATGTCAGGTATCTCTTTTGTAAATGAAAGGAACAAGTTTAGTGGTTCAGGGACTGCTGCAGTAGTGGATTATGAAGAACAGGAGAACAGCAGAAGGGGAGACCAAGCACATGGGACACCCACCTCACTTACATCTTCCACTAAGCAGCTCCACTCTCACGTTCGATATATTAAAGTTTAGAGCAATATTTATTTTTAAAAAGTCCTGCTAACTTAAAAAGGGGGAAACATAGATTGCATCACCTAAAGATAGCATGCTCTAATTTGCATGTTTAATTAATATGTTTTCATCTCAGAAAAAAATGTTTTTACATCTTTTCCTGTTCATTCATGTGCTCTTGGTTCAAGTAAAATAAAAACTTAATGACTATAACATTTTTATAGAGCTTATTTTATACTTTTGTAATATATTTCTTCCTTATTAAATAAAAAGATGAGTTGAGGTGTTGCTTTCAAAATAAAATTAAACATAACATAGAGATTGGATGAAGTCAACTCCTGCCCATGCTTAACTTTAGAGTTATCTTTTCATGCTGCCTTATGGGCACTTAAATACTGTACTGTCTTATCTTTGAGGTAGAACAAAAAAAAAATGGCAAAAACATTCACATAAAGGGGAAAATGGAAAAGAAAGCTATGAGAGATTTCTTTTTAACATAATTATCATCATTAGGCTTTGCAGTCTTCTTTGACACAAAGTTGAGATATAGTCTTCTTAATACGAAGAGCAGTTAGGCGGGCCGCTCCGTTGGCATACCAACACTCACGCATTATTCTCCCCATGACTCGGAGTGCCTTTAAGAGAGAAAAAAAAAATCAAAGACTTTAGCTACTCTACATAAAACAGAGCACAAAAGAAGTAAAGCCATAAATCCAGGAATTGATGCTAAGCTTTTTTTTTTTTTTTAAGAGATGGGGTCTTGCTATGTTCCCCAGGCTGGAGTACAATGGCTATTCACAGGTGCAAGCATAACACACTACAGCCTCAAACTCTTGTGCTCAACCGATATTCCTGCTTAATCTTCCAAGTAGCTGGGACACAGGCATGCACCGCTGTACCTGCCATTGATGCTAACTAAGTTTTGATGAAGAAACAGTAAATTTAAAACAATATAAGAAGATTAGGGTCAAACCCCTTCAAAAATTCTACCAAAACTCAAATACTAACCTTGTAGAGACTAACTAAAAAATGTTTCAATCCACTGATTTCTGGGAATATGGGACATGAAAAACATCAAGGGATATGGGAAGGCTTGGAAATTCCCTGTATCTTGATGTTGGTGATGAGTACACAAGTGTAAACGTACGAAAAAAAATTCATCAATCTGTATACTAAGATTTGTGAGTTTTACCAAATGTAAATTATACTACAATAAAAATTATGATCCAAGTATAAATATCAAAAATCCTGGACTTTAAAAATGAACTAGCAAAGAGATAAGACAAATACTAAGAGGGGAAAACAATGAAAATGCATGAAACCAGAGAAATACAGGAAAACGCTGAAGCAAGTGGCTGCCATAGGGGTATCTGCTACTCTCATGGTCTAGAACTTCGGAACTGATGGATCGCATGTAATAGAGAGTACAGCCCACAGCACACAGAAAGTTTCAGATCAAGATGCCAGCCAGGCGCAGTGTCTCATGCCTGTAATTCTAGCACTTTGGTAGGCCGAGGTGAGAGGATTGCTTAAGCCCAGGAGTTCAAGACCAACCTGAGTAACACAGGGAGACCCTGTCTCTACAAAAAATTTTAAAAACTTAGCCAGGCATGGTGGTCCCAGCTATGCAGGAGGCTGAGGTGAGAGGATTGCTTAGGCCCGGAAGTTCAAGGCTGCAGTGTGCCATGATCACACCACTGCACTCTAGCCTGGGTGACAGTGCAAGACTCTGTCCAAAAAAAAAAAAAAAAAAAGGCTTAGAAAGCCCTCAATTTAAGGATGACTATTTCCCTGAAACCTTCTAAGGCAAATTGCCTAAGTCCTTCTAACGGAAATTGCCTAAGTCTTGGCTCTTGGTGAAGGAAAAAACAAGCCCATGCCTTTAAACATTGCAGTAAACCTGAGCTCATAATGAAAATTCACAAACACATGAGGAAAAAAGGTACCATAAGCAAGAGTCCATTGTAAATAGTAGTTTTGGCCCATAGAAACATTAGATGCTAGAATTAAATGATATAAGTATATAAAATATATTTTTAAAAGGAAAGAGAAATACAAAATATGAGTAAAAAATGAGAATGTTTTAGAAAGTGAAAAAGTACCAATAAAATATCTTGATATCAAAAATATAACAATTGGCCAGGTGCGGTGGCTCACACCTGTAATTCCAACACTTGGAGAGGCCAAGGCGGGTGGATCACCTGAAGTCACAAGTTTGAGACCAGCCTGGCCAACATAGTGGTGCATGCCTGTAATCCCAGCTACTCCTGAGGCTGAGGCAGAAGAATCACTTGAACCTGGGAGGCGGAGGTAGCAGTAAGCTGAGATCATGCCACTGTACTCCAGCCTGGGCAACAAAGCAAGATTCTGCCTCAAAAAAATAAATAAATAAAGTAGCTATGCAGGACCATGGACTAGAGTTCAGGAGAGCACGAATTCTGCCTCCAGTTTTGAGCAACATATACGTTGTTCACTTCTCTGCCCTGACTCCTCATTATCCTCTAAGTTCCATGATGACAGGATTGTGGCCCCCTCATCGGCATATCCCTATGGACTGAGCCAGGCTTGGCACATACAAAGAGTCTAAATGCTCTAAAATAAAGGTTCAGAAATAAATAAATAAAGTAGAAAACTCGATGGATGAGTTAAATGGCAAATTAGACATATCTGAAGGCAGAATTAAAGAACTGAAAAATAAATCTTGAGAGATACATACCATAATGACACAAATATAGAAAATATGAGTGAATAAAAAAAGCAAAGTGTAATGAAAGCTCTAACATGCATCTAATGAGTTCTCCAAAACTGAGTAATAGAAACAATGAGAGAAAAAACTATTTGAAGAACTATGACTCCAAATTTTCCAGAACTGAGGAAAGCCACAAACCACTAGAATTAGATAGTCCAAATATTCCAAGCAAGATTAACCAGAGACATCTATACTGAAGACATCATAGAGAAACTGCAGAATGCTGAAGACAGAGAAGTTCTTAAAAGTAGTCATAAAGAAAAGATAAATTAACTAAAAATTTATTGATTGATTATTGCTGACTTCTCAATAGCACTAATGGAAGATAGGTAATAGTGGAATAATAACTTCAAGGTGTTTAGAGAAAATGACTGTTAACCTAAATTTCTATGGTTAGACAAACCATTTGTTCAAGATTGAGGACAAAATAAAGACATTTTGGATACCCCCAAACTGAAAAATCTTACAACCACTAGGTCTTCTCTAAAAAAATTAAATAAAATACTTTTAAAGGATTCACATCAGGAAGTCAGAAAATGATTTGAGAGGTAAGAAGAAATGTTGAGCAAAGAAAATGATAAACATGTGAATAAGTCTAAATAATGATGGTATAAAATGAGGCCAATATCTATTCCATGAGATTGACATAAAACAAGACAGAAACAAAATACTGGACAAAAAATGCATATATCAGGAATGTACAAAATTGTTCACACTAGAATGACTATGTTGGGTCTATTCCAAGAATGTATATTTGGTTTAACACTGGAAAATCTATAAATGTAAGTCATTGCATTAAAAAACTAAAGCAAAATGCTGTATCATCACCTCATAGATATAGCACATGCTTCTATTGTATGGAATACTACACAGCAATGAAAATGGACAGATTATAGCTACACATATATAATGGAGAGTAAAAACATTTTGAAAAGAATATCTACAGTAAGTTTCAATCACGTAAGTTTCACAAATATGCAAAAGTAAACAACATATTGTTATTCTGGATATATGTATATATTCTAAAAAAATACATATAGTAAAATTCAAAAGCAAAGCAAGAAATTAGTAAAGAAATAATTGATTATAATATAAGTAACCTCTCAGAGGGGTAAGGAATCTTCAAAGGTATTGAAAATGTTCTATTTTTCAAACCTGGTAGTGGATTCACTAGTTTTCATTCTATTATACTTTAAAAACTGTAAGTTTATATTGTTTCGTGTACATAAATTATTAATATTAGAAAATTTTTAATTTAATTTCAATTAAATTATAAATGCTTCAAAATTTGCTTCTCAAGTATGTAGGTAAGACATCTACACAAAATATAAAAATAACAAAACACAAATCTTGTGTTTTGAATTAGAAATTAGAAAAAGGATTGAGAAACATGATTAAATTAGAAAAGGGTTGAGAAACATGAAGGAAGAGAAAAATGAGGCAAAAAGGCAACTATATAAAATATTCCCCAAAACAAAGCCAGACTAAAAGACATCACCTAAAAAAGATCTCATTCATTACATTAAAATATGGCAAAAAAAATAGACAGCAATAACTGAAATGAGAGAGATTAAAGTATCAGAATGGTTCTGGAACTAGTTAGATGGTTTAGAGTCTTTTTCCCACCTTCTACTCTTTTTCCTTGTAAGAGCTAGAAAAAATCTCTATCTTCACATAAGGCATAACAAGCATTGCAATAACCACTTACTATTTGTCTAGTACATTATGGTTAAATACTGGTTTGCTGGAGATGACAAGATAAATAACAATGGAGTCTCTGATGTGAGGGAGCTTTTCTAATGAGAGAATAAGTTCAAACTTTAGCAGGTTAGAGATGAGGTATAACTTATTGAATGTAAAGATGGTTGGAATTGTAATATTCTGTGTGGCAGAGACATTAACTACCCACTGAGTCTACCCATGTTCCCTGCAGTGCCTAGCCCCCCTGCAGGTGGTGGGACCATGTGACAAGTTCTGGTAGGAGCCATAAGTGGAAAAGATGTGTGTCACCTGATGCCAAAGCATTAAAGGGTCAGTGTGTGATCTTCCAGCTCCTCTCTTCACCTGACCTAGAGATCTGGAAACTGTGTCCAAGGATCAGATCAGAGTGATTACTGAGTTACTGCAATGAGAACAGGTGCCATGGAGAGTTGCCTAACCTGCAGAGCAGTTTGTGTAAGCAAGAAATAAAGTCTTGTGGAAAGTCACTGAGATTTCAGGATTTGCTACTGTCATGTAACCTAGCATTATGCATGCACAGCACTAAAGGGGAAAAAATCCTTCTGAAGACTTATAAAAAGACGTATGTCTACATATATGGAATGAATTGGAAAAACTATATGGTCTCTGAAAAGTCTCCCCGATACTCACCTCAAAAATATAATAAGAAAAATATAGATAAAAACATGGCCTTACTTCACAACTTTGCCACTGGTTTGGGATACTTGGTCGAAACTTCTGGTCACAAACAACCTTTCTCATTTCCTCTATCGAGGGATCTGAAGGCACCATGTCATAATAAGGCAATTGGTACTCCTCAACAATTCCTGTAAGAAATTTGTATAATAAATTTCCATGTGCAAATAATAAACAAACATGTCTATTTTAAATAATACCAATTAAGTTTTCTAGGCACAAGTGACACCCCAGGGAACTGGAAAGTCAAGTTTATTAAAATAATGTGTCACTATAAAATCAAGGATATAAGTTTAAATCATCCAGTTGAATAGTTACATAAAGTTAAATTTTGTATTATAAATGTTTTCATAACTGTAAAATTTATATAAGATTATATAAAATTATAATATATAACACATAATTTTATAATTATATAATATATAACATTTCTATAATTGTATAAAATAAATTTTATTTTTCTATTATTAAAATTATGTAAATTTTTACTCAATTAAAATGCCATTATACAATTTAAAAGTGATGCCTACTTTCTTCTGATTATGAAATTTGTAGCACAGCTTCATTGCTTTGTGAATGAAGTACGTATATTTTCCCATCAGATAACTTTTTCAAAACAAAACAGCTTTCTCTCTTTGAAAACTTTTAGGCAATCTTTTTAACGTTGGGTTTCTTACATTTAGACTTTAGAACTACTGAACCTGAGAATGTTCTGGAGAAGAAGCCAAAGGTAGTTGAAGATAGACAGTTCAACATGAAGATTAATATTTAAAGAGTCTCAAAGACAAAGACGACCTCAATTATTAGAATACTACTTAAATTCCAAGAAATCCCTTATAAAATCTTTTTAATTAACTGCAGTGCTTTTAACTTAAAATATGTAAGACATGCCATAATACTAGACAACTAACTACAATTCACGTCTGCTAAATTACTATTTTTACAGTTGAAGAAAAGTTAAGGACAAAATCTAAAAGCAAATCTAGACTAATATCAATATGAAATTTTTACAAAAAATTATTAACATGTTTGAAATCTTGCTATCTGCCGTGCATTGCCTTAAGGCCTTTACAGGTTTTAACTAATCAGTCCTCAAAACTACTGACTAAAGAAGGTACAACATTATTTCTGTTTTATAGATGAGGAAACTGAAGCACAGAATGCTATGAATTTGTTCAGAGACATAGAGCTAGTAAGTGGCAGATCTGGAATTCAAACCCTAGTGTCCATGTTCGGCACCACTATAATTCTATTGCTTCTATAAACAGTTGTAGATCCCTGAATGTTTTATAATATCATCTATGAATAAAAGAGAAAAAGTATGTATGTTTGCTCATTCAGACATAATTTTAACCTTAGAAGCTTTGCATAAAGTCTGCAAGGTTTTTTAAAAAATGAGATTAATGTAATGCAAAATGACATCACTACAAAGTGCAGAAAAAAGACAATAGTTTAATAATGGCAGGTCTTTAATCGAATGTTTACTGTGAACAGGCTCTGTACTAAAAGCTTCACATGAATTAATTCATTAAATCCTTAAAGCCCATGGGATCAGTTTTTGTATTATCTTCATTTTACAGATGAGAAAATTACAACTAAGTAACTTGCCTGAAATCAGACATTCAAGGAATTGCTAAACCAACGCTTAGTCCTAAGTCTGTCTCACTTGAAAGTGGAAACTCTAAACCATTTTCTACCAGCATTTAACTTTTTCTCCACTGATGCAACTGTTTCATCAGACATATTTACAGGGCTTCCCCCTCCCTAATTCTTCCTCTCATTATTAAGTACATTTTTTTTTTTTTGAGACAGAGTTTCGCTCTTGTTGCCCAGGCTGGAGTGCAATGGCGCAATCTCAGCTCATGAGCCACCATGCCCGGCATGCCTGGCTAATTTTGTATTTTTAGTAGAGACAGGTTTCTCCACGTTGGTCAGGCTGGTCTCGAACTCCCGACCTCAGTGATCCGCCCGCCTCAGCCTCCCAAAGTGTTGGGATTACAGGCATGAGTCACCACGCCCAGGTGCATTATTAAGTTCTAAACTACTGGGAGCAGTAAAGGTAGGAAGTTTGTCTTTGCCCACCTCTTCCCATACCTTTATCCAACCCTACAGTATTTATCATATCACAGGGAAGAAAAAAACAAGAAAAGCTTAAGAAACTGAACCCTTCAAGTCCTGTTGCCTCAGCAAATCATTTAACTTATTTGGGATATAAGTTAGGAATACCAGCTTACAGCTTACAAACTCAAATAATTTTCAAGTACTTCATAAAGTGTCACATGGAAACAAAAATTATCAGGGGAACTGTCACCCCACTAAGCAGTAATCACAATATAAAATCTCCATTACATGCAAGATATCCCACTTTTGCCACTGGAAATATATCACCAAAAGGTATTCTCTTAAATACTAAGAAACTGATTGAATATAGTGCTTAGGGGAAAAAGATAGAATATCACATCTTGTATTCAGAGTATCAAGGAAAGGCAAACACAAAGGATATTTCCAAAATTTTACCTCCGACTGAACACCTCCGGGCTATTTCCCAGTAAACCAGACCAACAGAATAGATGTCAGCTCGTTTGAAGGACTCAAAGATATTCACATTCATTGTATCATCAAGCATTTCAGGAGCCATATACCTTCAAAAACATGTACATTTCAGATTCTGTCTATGACTTTATAGCAGTCCAGTAAAACAATCTTAATAAATTAAGATAGCTTATGCCATTTTAAAAGGCAGATTTGAAGCACTATAATAGAATAAAATTAAAGAATAATTATTGGCTCAACCATCAAGTGTGTTCAGCATCACTCCACCCATACTTTCTCTCAGTGAACAATTTTATTACACATTGGCTCCAAAAAAATATAGCCATGTTTGAACAAGAGTCAGTATAAGAAATCTACAGTCCATGGGCCTGACTGAGCCTTGCTGTACTAGGGAGATTTTGGAGATTTCCCAGAATACTGAAGTGAGGATGCAACACCCTCCCAAGTTCTTGCAAGGGTGTTAGATCCCCTGAAGGAATCCAGCATCCAAGGCTTCCCTGAAGGTTCCTGATGTGGGGATAATCAGATGGGCAAGGTAAGGCTTTTCTTGTATAGGGAAAAGAAGTTCCTTAGGGCTGCCCAGTGTGAATAAACTGCCCGGAAGTGTTCCTGGGGCTTATGAAAGTCTCCCAGTGAATCACAAGAGGCATTCACAGGCACTGTCCTGGAATCTCAAATACGGCTTGAAGGCCAGGTATAGCAACTTAGAATTTCTCTACTCTCAAGGGCCTTTAACAACTCCAAGAAAATAGTTTGGTTGTTTCTAATTTCAAGGTCATGAACTCTGGAATTTTGCCAAAGTAATGTAGAGCCTGAAATTCAAGTAAAAATAATTGGAACTAGGCTGGCCATATGGCCACAGGCTGGCTATAGCAAGAAAAACACCAGAAATCCCATTCCTAATGGGCCTGACCTGACACATGTGTGGTATATGTTGTTACTTCATGCTCATTCTTAATCTTCAGAGATTCTGTTCCTTGAAAGTGGGAATTGTATCCAAATTCATATTATCTTAATACATATCAATTTGGGAGATTTAATAATAAGTAAAAATATAGGTAATACATAAATTGTTATATAATATATTTAAAGAATAAGGGAATATAGTAGCACATAAGTGTATTCAGCATATAGAGTCCCTACCTATCTATTTCAACATATTGATTCTGTGTCTGTTGTATAGAATCTGAGTATGTAGAACTAGTCCTGAGTTTCAGTTCATTTATGGGATATAAAGGCTTTGGAGGAGCTACATACTGCTGACATTTTTTTCTTATCTGTAGGAAAATGCATTCTCAGAAAATGGCACACTAAAAATAATACACTACTATCTCTTCCATCATTTCTCTCCACTGGACTCTGTACCTAAATGGCTGCAATCCATATGGCCCAAAGTGCCAGCTCTCCTTGCTTTATAACCATTGCACCCACTAACTTCTCAGTGACCCAGAGAAGACTTCTGGATTTCTTGGGCCCAGTGGTTTCCTATTTGGACCTGAGCCTCCTCCACACACATGAGGACATTCATGCTTATTGGGCACTCTCACATCTTACTATGCTACCCAAGTCAGTCGTCTTACCTCTTGGTTCCCACTTTAGGATTCTGAGGTATGTCGATAGTGTTCAGTATTGAATCATGCTTCACAGCCAACCCTAAGTCCGCTATGGCACAAGTTTCACACTTTTTCACTAAGATATTCTTTGATTTTATGTCTCGATGAGCAATAGCAGGTTTACCTATGAAGCAAAGAAGAACATATTCATTTTTTTCTTTACCGGAGACTGTTCAAGAGAAATCATCCTGAAGACTTAGCTCAAAATGAGCTAATTCAAAAAGAGTTTTCTTCAAAGCTCTTGTCACTATCTAAATTATCTTGTTTATTTATGTACATGCTGAATCATCTGTCTCTCCCAAATAAACTGTAAACGAATAAGGACAGTAGCTGTTTTGTTCATCACCATGCCTCTATTGCTTAGAGCACTAGATGACTAGATCACTAATAAACATTTTTTAATAGATGGGGAAAGAATTAGTACTGCTATGTGCTCATAAGAACATGGCAAATATTGTTTTACAAAATAAGTCTGAAAACTTCTATTACCCCACACCAGCAGTTCTCAATTGTAGCCAAAAGATCCCCAAGGTCCTTGCAACTCTTTTCTAACTACGCATCTGTGTGACGCCATCTTTTCTTCACATATTTCAACCAAAACAACATATGAGAACAGACAGAATGAAGAACAGGTATGAAAATCCAGACATTAAAACAGACATTAAAGGGATTTGCAACAATGTAAAACAAAACCATTATTTTCACTTAATCAGTTTTTGTATTAGAAAAAAAGTTGTTATATTTAAAATATTTATGTTAACATTTAATTGGTTATTTTAAGCAAATTAATAAGTACTTTTAAATTCCTCAGTTTTAATTTCTAATATTGTAAATAGTAATAGAGATAAGCTACATACACAAAAACCTTTGTAGTCCTCAATAATTTTAAGAGTGTAAAGAGATCATGAGTTCAAATGTGAGAACCACTGCCCTGTCTAGACTAATTGACTCTCTAGAGCCAACCTCTTAACTCAACAAATAGAAATGGCAGTAGGTACTATTTAGCTTCAAGTACATGATATACAAATATTTTTTTCAAAATCATATTATACTTTCCAATTACTTTTTAATTATCAAAGGTAAACATTTAAATTATTTGTATTCTCTGGATATAGGACATTTGCCATTAAAGCAAGATCTCTGGGTACATATGCTAAATGGCAAAGATAGAACCACTAGGAATAAATTTTTAAAAATATTATTATGGATAAGATACAAAATAGTGAGCAACTGATGAGAGTTGGCTATATCATGACAATACCTTTAGCTTTAAAAATTACCTTTATTGTTTCTTTACTTTTTTTTTTTTTTTTTTTTTGAGACAGGGTCTCGTTCTGTCACCCAAACTAGAGTGCAGTGGTGCAATCGTAACTCACTGCAGCCTGGACCTTTCAGGCTCAAGTGATCCTCCCACCTCAGCCTCCCAAGTGGCTGGGACTAAAGGCATGTGCCACCACAACCAGATTTTTTTTTTTTTTTTTTTTTTGGTAGAGATGGAGATCTCACTATGTTGCCCAGGCTGGTCTCAAATTCCTGGCCTCAAGTGATCCTCTCACCTAGACTACCAAAATGCTGGGATTATGGGTATAAGCCACCGTGCCCAGCCTAAAGAAATAATAATTAATTACTCCTAATAAATTAAAATATAACTAAGTACCTCTATCCTCATATTCAAAGTGGAAAAAAAATGAAAAGGAAATACATACCTTGTGTACCAACAATCTCCATATGAAGGTGTGCCAGACCACTAGCAATTGAGAGCGCCAGCTTGATCATTCCAGCCACGGTCACTATATTTCTATTCAAATAGTCATATAAGGAGCCCTGTTCATGATATTCAGATACCAGCCAAAGTTGAGTCCAAGTTCCATTATCTAACAAGAAAATGTAATTTTGTTGTTGTAAATACATATTGAGAAAGAAGCCAAAAGCTTTTAAAAATATCAGTGTTTAATCTGTATTGTTAACAAAGCAAAGTTAATTGCTTCAGTGGTAATGCTTACAGTCCAAGTTAGTAAAGAAAAAATTCTCAATGAATTCCTGAAGATATTGATATGTTGGAACTTGTTATATGTGCCCACCATAAAAATAGAAAGTTGTGAGGTTGTGATTGATTCTAACAACTGAACAACTCCTTTCTTATTTCCTCTGTATCAATACCTGCTGGCAATAGTAACCACATTATAGGAGAAACCACTGAGAGATGCATTTAGGCTCAGTGTGTGTTATAAACTACTCTGAGCTTTTAAGAAAAATTATACCAATAAAGATCAGAAATATAACAAATTTATGCAAAGTATTATTTCTATCATAAAAGCTCTAACATTCTAAAAATGTTGATGTTATTCACCTTTCAAAATATAGAGTTGATTATTTTCCCCAAAAGCTTATAGTAAGAGCCAAACACAATTACTAGACATTTTCAAATAATTTACCTCATTTAGCCAAAACCTAATCCAGCTTATAAAAGACTTTTAGAAAAGAAATTACTCTAAAACTTTTCTACATATTAGTAGAGTGAGCTTTAGCTTTTGAAATGAAATGTCTACAGTAACCCTGGGCAGTCCTGACCAGTTCTGACACTCAGGGAAAGGATCTATAATGAACATTTGCTAAGGACCTATCTGGCCAGATGCTGTATATATGACAGCTCTTTGTTATCCAAATATTTAATTTCCAAATCTGGGTAGTGATAAAATTTCCTAAGAATTTAAAAGTCAACATAACATGGTAAAGCTCATTAACATACAACATATAAAAATAACCCTTACTCACACCTCTCTCCCTGATTGACACAAGTGGCTATCTTGCCCTCTCACATCAATGCTTTTGTCAGACAGTTGACTAAAGAGTGAAACTGTCAATGTTGCAAAAGGTAAAGGAATTAAAAAATGAAAGTGAAGTTAGAGATCATTTGGAATCATGCAAAAAGCCACTGACAAGTTAAGAGATGATAGAGGTAGACCAGTTAAACTCAAGAAGAGAAAACCAAGGATAATATGTCTTGTGCATATTATTATTACTATTATTTTATTTTTATTTATTCATTTTTTTGAGACAGCATGTCGCTCTGTCGCTTAGGCTGGAGTGCAGTGTCGCAATCTCGGCTCACTGCAACCTGTGCCTCCTGGGTTCAAGCAATTCTCCTGCCCCCACCTCCTGAGTAGCTGGGATTACAGGCATCTGCCACCAAGCCCAGCTAATTTTTTTATTTTTTATTTTTAGTAGAAACGGGGTTTCACCATGTTGGCCAGGCTAATCTCGAACTCCTGACCTCAGGTGATCCACCCACCTTGGCCTCCCGAAGTGCTGGGATTACAGGTGTGAGCCACCGTGCCTGGCCAATGCATATTATTTTATAATCCAATAAACATCATGATTAAACTAGCCCATGAAGATGATCCATGTACAGTCATAACTGCTTTGACAGCACTGCTGATTAATCCAACCAGTAGGCAGTTCAGCTCAAGATTAGGAGGGAAAAGAAAACATTCTTAACAGCTAAATGAGAAATGTCTCATCCTCAGTGATCTGGATATAGTTTCAAAGTATATGTATTTACAAATTTGGAAAGAACTTTTTTGGTTAGCCATCTTGCCTTTACCCCATTTCTGCTTAGCAAATCAGAAATGGCAAATCATCAGTAAACATAATTATGGCCAAAATGTGTGCTAAATGCTAAGCCTCTCTTTTTCCATCCAATTAATAATGAGTACTTTTATGATTAAGTTTATATTAGATAAAATTAACTATAGGTTCTTAATTTTCACAGGCAATGGTGGATCCTTGACATTAATAGATAATTTGTCTTAACCCTTTTTTAGATTGGGGTTACAATCTTGACTCTACCATAAAGTTCTTCATGAGTATTACTAACTGGAGCTAAAGTTTAAAAGTTGACTGAATCAAGTTTTCCTCACTTTTGTTACCTATTAGGGGCACTAATGAACAGTTAGATGAGTAACAATTTCGTAAAAAAAAAGAGAAAAAGCATAGATAATCAACGAATTTTATATCAAATCTGTGATTACACAAGCATGGGTACAATATTTTATGAGTACTTATTTTATTTTATTTTATTTTTTTTCTTTATTATACTTTAAGTTTTAGGGTACATGTGCACATTGTGCAGGTTAGTTACATATGTAGACATGTGCCATGCTGGTGCGCTGCACCCACTAACTCGTCATCTAGCATTAGGTATATCTCCCGATGCTATCCCTCTCCCCTCCCCCCACCCCACCACAGTCCCCAGAGTGTGATATTACCCTTCCTGTGTCCATGTGATCTCATTGTTCAATTCCCACCTATGAGTGAGAATATGCGGTGTTTGGTTTTTTGTTCTTGCGATAGTTTACTGAGAATGATGATTTCCAATTTCATCCATGTCCCTACAAAGGACATGAACTCATCATTTTTTATGGCTGCATAGTATTCCATGGTGTATATGTGCCACGTTTTCTTAATCCAGTCTATCATTGTTGGACATTTGGGTTGGTTCCAAGTCTTTGCTATTGTGAATAATGCCGCAATAAACACATGTGTGCATGTGTCTTTATAGCAGCATGATTTATAGTCCTTTGGGTATATACCCAGTAATGGGATGGCTGGGTCAAATGGTATTTCTAGTTCTAGATCCCTGAGGAATCGCCACACTGACTTCCACAATGGTTGAACTAGTTTACAGTCCCACCAACAGTGTAAAAGTGTTCCTATTTCTCCACATCCTCTCCAGCACCTGTTGTTTCCTGACTTTTTAATGATTGCCATTCTAACTGGTGTGAGATGGTATCTCATTGTGGTTTTGATTTGCATTTCTCTGATGGCCAGTGACGGTGAGCATTTTTTCATGTGTTTTTTGGCTGCATAAATGTCTTCTTTTGAGAAGTGTCTGTTCATGTCCTTTGCCCACTTTTTGATGGGGTTGTTTGTTTTTCTCTTGTAAATTTGTTTGAGTTCATTGTAGATTCTGGATATTAGCCCTTTGTCAGATGAGTAGGCTGCGAAAATTTTCTCCCATTTTGTAGGTTGCCTGTTCACTCTGATGGTAGTTTCTTTTGCTGTGAAGAAGCTCTTTAGTTTAATTAGATCCCATTTGTCAATTTTGTCTTTTGTTGCCATTGCTTTTGGTGTTTTGGACATGAAGTCCTTGCCCATGCCTATGTCCTGAATGGTAATGCCTAGGTTTTCTTCTAGGGTTTTTATGGTTTTAGGTCTAACATTTAAGTCTTTAATCCATCTTGAATTGATTTTTGTATAAGGTGTAAGGAAGGGATCCAGTTTCAGCTTTCTATTGTCTCAGCCCAAAATCTCCTTAAGCTGATAAGCAACTTCAGCAAAGTCTCAGGATACAAAATCAATGTACAAAAATCACAAGCATTCTTATACACCAACAACAGACAAACAGAGAGCCAAATCATGAGTGAACTCCCATTCACAATGGCTTCAAAGAGAATAAAATACCTAGGAATCCAACTTACAAGGGATGTGAAGGACCTCTTCAAGGAGAACTACAAACCACTGCTCAAGGAAATCAAAGAGGATACAAACAAATGGAAGAACATTCCATGCTCATGGGTAGGAAGAATCAATATCGTGAAAATGGCCATACTGCCCAAGGTAATTTACAGATTCAATGCCATCCCCATCAAGCTACCAATGACTTTCTTCACAGAATTGGAAAAAACTACTTTAAAGTTCATATGGAACCAAAAAAGAGCCCACATCGCCAAGTCAATCCTAAGCCAAAAGACCAAAGCTGGAGGCATCACACTACCTGACTTCAAACTATACTACAAGGCTACAGTAACCAAAACAGCATGGTACTGGTACCAAAACAGAGATATAGATCAATGGAACAGAACAGAGCCCTCAGAAATAACGCCACATATCTACAACTATCTGATCTTTGACAAACCTGAGAAAAACAAGCAATGGGGAAAGGATTCCCTATTTAATAAATGGTGCTGGGAAAACTAAGTACTTATTTTAAATATCAGAAAGCTGATGCTCTGACTTGCTCCATGAAACTCAAAAAATAACAAACACTACTTGGCACCGTTAATGGTGGCCTCAAGATACAAATCATGCTCAAAGTAACATTAATAGAAAAGTTCACTAAAATTGTCTCACTTGCCAGTATTCTAATACAATCAAAAGAGATAATATTTTCAGAAAATTTGAGTCTTGAAGATGAAGGCTGTCATACGGATGAAAAATACAGCCCTAACAAAGTTGAACATTCAGCTAGTATTAATTGGTATGTCTGTATTGGTTATTAAAATATTGAAATATTTCTGTCCTGGTTGGTAAATAGCTGCTATTCAAAACTCCTGGGCCAGGCGGGGTGGCTCAAGCCTGTAAATCCAGCACTTTAGGAGGCCGAGGGGGGTGGATAACGAGGTCAGGAGTTCAAGACCAGACTGGCCAACATAGTGAAAACCCTGTCTCTACTAAAAATACAAAAATTAGCCAGGCATGGTGGCAGGCACCTGTAGTTCCAGCTACTTGGGATTACTTGGGAGGCTGAGGCAGGAGAATCGCTTGAACCCAGGAGGTGGAGGTTGCAGTGAGCTGAGATCGTGCCACTGCACTCCAGCCTGGGCAACATAGTGAGACTCTGTCTCAATAAAACAAACAAAAAGTTCCAATGATACTCCTTTGCCCTAGACACCCTGATGCCTCCGTATCTCTTCATGACCAAGCAGCAACTAATGGGTAAAACTGGCGTGGCAGAGTTCTCCAGGATTCTGTTCTACTTGAGGCTTCTGTTCTGATTAGTTGGTTCCTGCACCAAACCAGTCAGCAAACATTTTAAGCACCGCCCTGGCTATCTGGACATCATGATTTCCCATCACTCATTTGCCCTGCTTCATTGTATGGTTATGTATATTTATCCGTTGGAAAGAGGAAAGGATTTTATATAAATTAGACTTTCATATAGACTTTCTTAAAACGAAGAGACGGGCTGGGTGCGGTGGCTCACGCCTGTAATCCCAGCACTTTGGGAGGCCGAGGCGGGCAGATCACGAGGTCAGGAGATCAAGACCATCCTGGCTAACACGGTGAAACCCCGTCTCTACTAAAAATACAAAAAAAAAAAAAAAAAAAAAAAATTAGCCAGGCGTAGTGGCGGGCGCCTGTAGTCCAAGCTACTTGGGAGGCTGAGGCAGGAGAATGGCATGAACCCGGGAGGCAGAGCTTGCGGTGAGCCGAGATTGAGCCGCTGCACTCCAGCCTGGGTGACAGAGCCAGATTACGTCTCAAAAAAAAAAAAAAAGAAAGAAAAGGAAAAGGAAAAAAAAAAAAAGAAGAGGTGAATTTATTTTTTCTTATCTGATACTAGACAACATTTTTTTTTTGAGACAGAGTCTCGCTCTAGACAGCATTTTTTACTTGTTGAACACAATTAGATTGGAAATACCTTTGTTGTCAGCAGCAATGAAACCAAGGATGTTTTCATGTCGCAGCATGACCGTCTGGTAAATTTCTGCCTCACGAAACCAAGATCTTTCATCTCTGGAGGAGAATATTTTCACAGCCACATCTTCCCCACACCATCTTCCATGCCACACCTCACCAAATCTACCTTTTCCTACTATTTCCTGAAGCACAATCGTCCTTGCAATTGTCCTTTGAACCAACAGAGGTAGACCTAACCAAAGAAAAGATGGAATTGATAATTAAACACAAATGTCAGAAAAGAACTCTCAATAATCACTGTTTTCAGATTTTAAAAAAGCAAACATTTAAATGCTTTAATAATTTTATCTATTTTGAAGGAATAAGTACCATTATAGCAAACTTATTTAATGTCAAAGCATGCTGAAAAAAATACTTCAAATTATGAATATGAATTTGTCTTGTCGTATTCACAAGTAAAAATTTTTTGAACATAGCCTGCTGCTACAGATATCTGATTTCCAAGAATTGCTGCAAATCTCCTTCATTTGCCCATCAAAGCCAGTCAGGTTACTAAGTACACAAGAGTAAAAGCAAAAAAAAAAAAAAGAAGTGTTAGCCTCTAAAATAAAATGTATGGTTCCTGGTACAACTGGAAGAGCAAAATAATTATTTGTGAATTTTTTCAAAAACCAAGCTCAAATTGGAAAGTGAAGAATCAAATACAATGATCATGTGAGATAATGATATTACACTAAAAGCAAGATATAGTCAAATAAGATATCAAATGAATATTTTCTGCAGAACAAAAAAAAATTTTCAAAGAAAATATATCCTGAATGTATGTATAACGCTTATATTCTTTGAACTACTAACTCCACCTCTAGAATTCTGTCGCAAATACTTAATGCAAAATGTAGAAAAATTTATGTCAAGATGTTTAATATCTTATTATTATTTATAGGAATAAAATAAGTAAAAGTGTCAGGTAATGGAATAATTGTGAAATAAAGTGCAGAGATTAAGAGCACAGGCGGATTCAGATTTCAGCTCTGCCACCTGGTAATCATGCACAAGTTATTTCACCTGTCTGCGCTTCAGCTTCTTCATCTGAAAAACTGGGGATAATCAATATTACGCATCTCGCAGAGATGATATGAGAATTAATAAGCATGTTCAGCACCTAGCACAGTATCTGGCATATTACATGTTCAATAATGGTTAACATTATGTTAATCTTAGGATGGCTTACTCAGAGCCAATAATAATGATGATGCTTATGAAGAAGTATCTAATAACATGAAAAAATACTTTTGCTATAATATTAAATAAAAACAGCATAGTACATTTTATTCTTATAAATATAAGTGTATCTAGCTATTCAAAATATGCACAGAAAATAAGACTCAAAAGGAAGCATGCTAAATGTTATGATGGTTATTTCTCTTGGTGAAACCGGGGTGAGTTATGATAGTCTTCTTTCTAATTTTCCACATTTTCTTAATTTCCACAATTGATATTTATTGCTCTTAAAATCAAAGGAAAAATAGTTAAAGAGGTTACAGTCTACATTTATTCTGAAAAGTCACATTTAGTTACTGTTTTTGTACTCAGACAGCTAGGGAACCCTCATAGCAATGACCCTGTCTTGCAGGGGCTTTGGTCCCTGCACCTAAAACTAGTCACTGTTCATTCACATGTTCTCATATGGACATATAAGCACAGGCTAAATAAGCACAGACTACAAATCTGCTGTTACGGATCTCAACAATTAGTCACAAAACCCTACAGGAAGAAAGTTCTTTTGAAATTATCTGGTTCAACCCTATCATTTTAGAGATGGCAAAACTGAGGCCCCTCGATAATCAAAGTCTTTCCCAGGATTATGCTGCTAGTGAGAGGCAGACCTAGAACTAAAACACTGATCTTCAGTGCAAACTGTTCCTGTCTAGAAGCAAACTATAAGACTGTTTTTGTTTGTTGGTTTGTTTTGTTTGTTTGTTTGTTTGTTTTTTGAGATGGAGTCTTGCTCTGTCAGGCTGGAGTGCAGTGGCATGATCTCAGCTCACTACTATCTCCACCTCCCAGGTTCAAGCGATTCTCCCACATCAGCCTCTTGAGTAGCTGGGACTACAGGTGTGCACCACCATACCCAGCTAATTTTTGTATTTTTAGTAGAGAAGAGGTTTCACCATGTTGGCCAGGCTGGTCTCGAACTCCTGACCTCAAGTGATCCACCTGCCTCGGCCTCCCAAAGTACTGGGATTACAGGCGTGAGCCACTGCAACCAGCCTGGACTGTTTTTGCAGGCAACAATCAATTTTACTACTTGACCACACACTAAAAGTTATGCTAACAATTATTAGGCCAAATCTCAATCTCAGTCTCTCCCTTCCTCCTGCTAACCTATAGTCTTATCCACATACATACATGCACACTCACAGAAACATCACTACCAACAACCAGCACTACCCAAAACACAACAAATGGATGGAGAGCTAGATAAGCTTATGCTTTCAAACTGCAAATTAATCAAGTACATAATCAGTGGTGCAGATCAGGAACAAAGTAAGACAACAATATATAAAGTACTCGAGACAGCAATTAAATTGAGACATTAAAACTCAATAAAATTTGCTTTGGTATCTTTCAAAGCAACCACCAAAATGAATCTAATTCTTCTGTTATGCACCTAGACATTTCATTTGAAGATACATGGATTTTTGCTTCTCCCTGTAGGTTCATTTCAATCTTTTAACCAGGGGGTGTAGAAGGTTAGCTTTCAATAATGTCACCATCAGTCAGAATTGTTACACCACAAGAGAAAAGCAGCAACCTACCCAGTTTCTTGGAAGCCATCTGAGACACCATCATTTCTCATCAGTCCATTTTCCCCTCTTGCAGGCATTATGCATGTCTTTGAAATTTGTCCCTGACCAGGTCAAGAATACGCTTCACAGTTTTTGTTCCTCAGCATCTGACAAACTGTCTCACATTTAAAGTTACTGGCCAATTAAGAAAAGCAGAGGGAATCAGACTCCCCCCTCCTCCAATCCCCTCCCTACAGGTGAGCTTTTATGACTGAAGCCTCACTGCGGATACACCCATTCTCTGATTATCAAAGGCAGGGAGGCCTTCTGTTACTTTCAGCCACTGGTCACTGCCAAACGTATGCAACTGGCTTTGGGGGAAAAATGCCTAAAGCTCTTTCAGATTGGTATTTAAAGAAATCATCCATGCTTGGGTACATTTACTACTTTTTTTTTTTTTAAATGAGAGATCTTAGAATAATCTGAAAACGAGAGAGTCCAGAATCAGTAATTCCAGATTTAGGTTTAAACATGCAAAAAACACCAGAAAATGTAACATTAATTTTTGATTTCTGCCCTAGCCCATGACTACTTTCTCAAACTAAATCCCAGTCTCTAGCATTAAAATCTGAATTGCTTTCATTTGAAAGGAAAATCTTTGGTTATCTTAAATGTATTTAAGGAATAGTTCCAAAATGCACGTTTTTATCTAACATCTTCAGATAATTAAAATGGTTTTGGGGATGGGGATTAAGCAGAGAGTTATTTAACCTCTTGAACCTTATAAAGAAATTATATAAGGTTTCAAGAAACTTGCCATAAATCAGAGGTCTCTGTGCCTAGAATGTTGTCAATATTCAAGAAATCAGGGCACAGTGGGCCTCAAAGTGTCAGAGTCAAAGAAGGAAACAGTATTGAATATCAACAAGTTTTAATTTTAAAGAAAAATGTGGCCAGGTGCAGTGGCTCACACCTGTAATCCCAGCACTTTGGGTGGCCAAGGCAGGCAGATCACTTGAGTTCAGGAGTTTGAGACCAGCCTGGCCAACATGGTGAAACCCCATCTCTGCTAAAAATGCAAAAATTAGCCAGGTGTAGTGGGGCACACCTGTAATTCTAGCTACTTAGGAGGCTCAGGTAGGAGAATCACTTGAATCCAGGAGGGAGAGGTTGCAGTGAGCCAAGATAGCACCACTGCACTCCAGCCTAGGTAACAGGGTGAGAATCTGGAAAAAAAAAAAATAAAGAAGAGAGAAAGAAAGAAAGAAAGAAAGAAAGAAAGAAAGAAAGAAAGAAAGAAAGAAAGAAAGAAAGAAAGAAAGGAAGGAAGGAAGAGAGAGAGAGAGAGAAAGAAAGAAAGGAAAAGAAAAAGAAAAAGAAAGAGAAAGAGAGAAAGAAAGAAAGAGAAAGAAAGAAAGAAGGGAGGGAGGGAGGGAAGGAAGGAAGGAAGGAGATGAAGGAAGGAAGGAGACAAAGGAAGGAAGGAAGGAAGGTGCCAGTCGTCTAGCCAATAATTTATTTTAATTTAAATTCTGGTTTTTAAAACTTTGCAGTTTGGGGGTTTTCTTACCAGTATTCTTCCTTTGAAAGATGCTACCTAATGTGTACAGTGATGGTGTAAACATTTAGTC
This sequence comes from Homo sapiens, assembly GCF_000001405.40. NCBI lineage: Eukaryota > Metazoa > Chordata > Mammalia > Primates > Hominidae > Homo > Homo sapiens. Next base: position 157,554,581 of record NC_000002.12, read on the forward strand.
TTCGTCAGTGGGAGGCCAGGTGATTTTGCCCCAGAAGGAGCGAACTATCTGGGTTTGATTATGCTTTTCTTTTCTGATGAATCCAAAGCAGCTTCATGCTAAATATGGATGCACATAGAGATGTTATCAGCCCTCTGTTGCCTACCTCTGTTAATTGTTACTGCCTGGATTTTCCCGAAAGCCATTGGCAAGGGAGTTCTTCAGAATGTTGGGCTACTATCTTAATGATCCTTCCAAAACAAGAAGAGATGCAGGGGCCTCTGAAGTGGCTCACCTAGGGTTACTCTTGTTCGTATTTTCATAAACCATGAGCTGGCAGGATTTCTGGATATATATATATATGGAATCCCCTACCATTTTAGGGAGTTTGTTATTCTGGGGAAAACTGTCCCCCCACTCCGCCAACCTCCTGCCAAAAGATAAAAAAATAAAAAATAAAAATAAAAATAAAAAACCTTCAAATGCTTTGTGTTGTGAGAAAGGCTCATTTAGGCTATAATACAGCCTGGTACTTTGAACGCTTTTTTTTTTTTTTTTTTTTTTTTTTTTGAGACGGAGTCTCGCTCTGTCACCCAGGCCGGACTGCGGACTGCAGTGGCGCAATCTCGGCTCACTGCAAGCTCCGCTTCCCGGGTTCACGCCATTCTCCTGCCTCAGCCTCCCGAGTAGCTGGGACTACAGGCGCCCGCCACCGCGCCCGGCTAATTTTTTGTATTTTTTAGTAGAGACGGGGTTTCACCTTGTTAGCCAGGATGGTCTCGATCTCCTGACCTCATGATCCACCCGCCTCGGCCTCCCAAAGTGCTGGGATTACAGGCGTGAGCCACCGCGCCCGGCCGGTACTTTGAACGCTTTACCTGGGGTTCTGGAGTTCCATTAAAGAGGAAGACAGTCATGTATGTAACCACAGCCAGCAAAAGCCAGCACAGGAATGCTGCACTGCTCTCTTTAATCTTCTGTTTCTTTGCTTTAAGAACATATTCTTGATTTAATTTTAGGTGAGTTCCCTGTTAGCTTCACACACATCTCAGGGGGTGTCTATAGATTCTGAAAATCCTCATACCCACAAGCAAAAGAGCTCAAAGAACACTACTTTGTATAACCAACATCTTTCCCTCAGAACTCAACACCTTAAATACCACAACCCTAACTCTTTTGTGTCCATAAAACATTATCAACAAAGCAACAGTGATTGTTAGTAACCATAATGGGGGGAAGCAGGGAGGAGAGAAGGGAAATTGCTTTTTTGCTTCAGAAATAAATTCTGAAGGAAAGTGAATGTAAGAATCTGAACACCTAAAGCTACAAAAAGCAACTGAGAAGACTTAATTCTATAGGCCACGATGGTTTTTCTCTTCCTCAGGTACTAAAAGGAGTTCCTATACCAGAGCTCACCATGTATCCTTTCAAGACGGAATTCATAATATTTGGGCCCTTTTTGTTAAAAAGTTTTTATTTACTTTTAAATAAAAGTGTTTTCTTATTTTAAAAAAATGGACAATGGTAACATACCAGAGCCAGATCCAGAGGCGGTCACATCATAAATCAGATCTTTCAGAGTTTTTCCAGCATTTACCAGATTGCACTCAGAGAGTGGTTCCTCCACATTTGGTCTCTTTTTCTTCCTGTAGGAGCACTGTCGACCCTGGCATGCCCATACTGTCAGCATCGCAGCTATGGACAGGAGGCAAACAGGCACAGTAATAATGATGGCCAGCTCCATGGGTCCAAGTTTTGGGGCATTTGGTGATGCTACAGTTTAAAGAAGAAAGAACATGACCATAAATCAAACCATTTTAAGTATTTTTGGAATTGGAATTGCAATCACCAAAATTTCACATCCAGAATATTCAGCTACACAGTATGCACTTATGTTCATTGGTAAAGGCTCTCTGTGGTATAAGCAAAGATGGAGAAAAAAAATGAGATTAGGCTGCAGCTAGGAATGGTTATGGCAGATGACAATAAGAAATATGATTAGGATAATGGAAACTAGCACATGGGATCTGTTTTAGGATCTCTGAAGCATTTCACTCTTTTCTGTCTACTATTTTCCCTCCATTATTCAGCAGTACACTTTTTTTTTTTTTTTTTTTTTTTTGAGATGGAGTCTCACTCGATCACCCAGGCTGGAGTGCAGTGGTGCGATCTGGGCTCACTGTAACCTCCACCTCCTAGGTTCAAGCCATTCTCCTGCCTCAGCCTCCTGAGTAGCTGAGATTACAGGTGCCCACCACCATGCCCAGCTAATTTTTCTATTTTTATAGAGACAGGGTTTCACCATGTTGGCCAGGCTGGTCTCAAACCCCTGACCTCAGGTGATCCACCCACCTCAGCCTCCCAAAGTGCTGGGATTACAGGCGTGAGCCACCATGCCTGGCCACAGCAGTCCTCTTTTAAAGCATGTACATTCATTCTTTCATGCCAAAATAATTATTGGGCTCTTGCAATGTGTTGCTGCTATTCCAGGTACTGGAGATACAATGGTGAGGAAAGAGCCCAAATTCCTGTTCTTGAGTCATATATGTTCTCATTCATCTACTAAACAGATGTTTAACACAAAAGCAAGAAAGAATGGTGCTACAAAAAAAAAAAAGCAGGGAAGAAAGAAGGAGTGATGGTGGGATGAAAAGGATTAAGGAAAGGACTGTGAATTTTATTCTAAAAAGTTGTTTCAGGGTTTTGGTAGGTGAGAGACACGATCTAACTTTTATTCTGAGTGGCCGCTGTGTGAATAGACACTAGAGAAGCAAGAATAAAAGTGAATAGGCCAATTAGAAACCTAATGCAAGAAGACAGTTGGGAGACCGTGGTGTTGGCTGACAACCTTACCTAAAATAGCACTTATTTCCCATTCCCTGTACACTCTCAAGACCCTTGTCCTGCTTGATTTTAATTCCTAGCTCTGATCACCACCTGACACATCATATACTCATTTATTGATTACCCAATTCCCTCCAGAGGACATAAGCTTCGGGAGAGGAAGAAGTTTGCCTGCTTTGTTCCCAGCCATATGTCCAGTGTTTACAATGATGCCTGACACATAGTAGATGATCAGTAAATAGTTCTCAAATGACAGAATCACTAAAAGTTCTACTAGTGGTATTCCTATAAGAGACAAGACTTTTCATTTTAGAAAAATAAATGTGATCATTGAAACCAAGTAACATAAGGATATAATTAAATTTGTGATTCTAATTTTAAAAACACATGAAGCCAATTTTTTTGCTTAAACTTCATCTTGCATTTAAGAAATCTTTTTTTAATTTAGAAAAAAAGTGATACATGAAAAATCTATGATGACAGATAATTTCCTGTGTTTTTCAAAGAAGTTATTTTGACACTTGAAACTGACACATTGTTCATTTCCTTTTCGTTGACTAAAGATAGCCTCTGCATCAATCCCATTTCATCCCCTTGTCCTACTACTGTGGTGTTGATTTTTGTTTTTAATAAATCTTAGAGCATATTTGATAGACTATGGGAGCAGAGTCTCCTAGAGGAGACTTAGGTTCTCAAAACATCAAGGAGAAGGAGAGGAATCCAGGTTCTAGAGAGAGAGAAACCACTTCCACCTGTGGGCTACCATCTTCTTGCTGTGAACCTTTGGCAAACTGCCTCCCCAGATGATTCTTCACAGGACAGAGAAAGAATGGGAGACTATGCTTGGAAAGCAATAGCTTGACACCAGCACCTTAGCATCTAAACAAATTGCAATGATAACGGGCCTTGATAGTTTCGCCATTCTCCAGATGTCCTCTTTGCACTGACAATGCTAAAGAGCTTAATATCTTAGACGTTCTTGCACTTTACCTACAATGTGTCAAAAAATACATGACTATCATTTGAAAACAAATATTATTTAATTCTGAAGGAAAAAGAATCAAATTCCTCACAAATGTGTTCATAGAAATTTCACTATAATGCCAAAGATAGTAGTTTATCTATTATCAGTAAGTAAAAGATTTAAAATTGTTAAGTGAACTTCAGAAACAATCATAATCTGTGCTGTTCTGCTACTTTGCCTGATGAATTTTAACTGATTACCAACTTTTCTTCCCCTGAGTGTTTCGGAATTCCTCTGAAATCATTAGTAGTTATACAGGTGCATATGAGGAGAAATTGGTCTAGAGTGTTCTTAGAATAGGTACTAAAAGAATTATCTGACTTGACTTTGCTTTAGTAATCATTAGCCATGGTACTTCCAACTTCTGAAGTTTGCTGTTATAAAATGATTTTATTGTGTATTTCACAATGATCTTTCAAACTGTCTCCATATTTTTATGTCTGCACAAAGGTATTCTAGTTTTTCTAAAAAAGCCACAGAATGCATTTAATCTCCTGCATCTTACATAAACATCTATTTAAAATGTGTTTTTAAATACACAATTCCACTACTGAATACATTTACATGACTAAATTTTATTTTGATACGTGTTATTGGGAACCATCAATATAAACATTAGCATTAACAAGCTTATTGATCGTCATCATTTTTGTAAAGCTCTATTAGGCAGAGCTCAGATCATCACTATAGCAACTAATAAAAAAGCAAAAGGTCAGCAACCCTAAAAATAGAATAATCTCCATAAAAGTGCACTGCTCTAGTGATGGCTATGGCTCTCAGAGATGTTTATTATAGATGAACAATGTTTCTACTTTTGTGAACAAATTTACCGATATGAGTCAGTAAGGAAAAAAGATTACTCAGCTAGAAAAAGTCTAGCAACACCATTCAGTAAGAACTCCTTAAACACTGAGGAATTTTAAAAGCAAACATTTGTAAAACTATGCTTTAAACCTAATGCTGATGATAATCCCTAGGGGGGATAAATGAAAAAAAAAACTGTAGTCTACATCCAGCGAATCAGGGTACAAGAAAACAATCATGCAGCTAAGAATACGTTTCAATAATCATTAACTTTGATGAACATATTAATTTTTCTAGCAGGTTTTAAATTCTTGATCACAGGAAAGCTCTTATTATTTGATGCTTTGCAATTTAGGGGATTTTCTGTGCCAAGTGAGATGCATTCTCCATGGAATTAGCAGCTCCATGGGGGGACACGTTAAATCCCAAAAGTGAGGTGGGAGGAGTGCTGCATTGTTAATTCAAGTGATTTCACTCCTTAGAAAATTAGATTGAAGAGGATGGGGAAAATGAGAGAAAAGCACTAACCCATAAAGGTGAGGGCCTGGCTGACGAATATTTCCCCAAATAAGCCCTACAATATGTTAAACTGAGAAAATGCAAGGGAAGGAATTATTAACAAGACAGCAGGAAGAAAAGGGGGAAGGGAGAGAAGGAGAGAGGGAAGGAAGGAAAGAGGAAGGAAGAAGGAAGGAAAAAGGAAAGAGAGAGAGAAGCAAGGAGGCAGGGAGGGAAGGAAGAAAAGGAGGGAGGGAGGGAGGAAACGAAGGAAGGAAGGAAGGAAATTTTAATTTATCTTTGTGAGTTTTGCAACTCTCCCTGGAGACCTGCGTGGACCTGGTGATTGTGAAAGTCACTGGTGGTTGCCACTGCCCAAGTGAAGACTTAGTTTAAATGCATCAGCTTCTCCCAGAACAGTTTACTATTCCCATTACCTCCTCACTACTTCCTATTTCTTGCTTTAAGGAGAGCCTCAAGATGAAAAGAAAAAGATAAGACAATGTAGGCATGATCCCCACATTTCCTTCTCTGCTCCTTCTTTATTGAAGGTATGAAAAAATATTGATGTTTATGAGATTTACATGACCTTCAAATTAATTAATTTACATTTCTTTAGCATATGCTATAAGAAGGAGATGGCTATGTGAACCTGAGAAAGTCAATCCCTCAAGATGAATCCTGAGTGGTAAACGGGGCCTAAATTTAAAACGGAACCAAGTGGCCATTTGCTGACTAGAGGTTACGCACATACTCTGAGTTCCCAGAAAAGCCATACAACTGCTTAACTTTGAAACTTTCATAATTAACTGTTCTTGCCCATGTTACCTGAATCAACCAATAGGCTGTGGCCTGCATCAACCAATCAGAACTCAGCTGCATCAACCAATCTGAACTAAGCAAGTTCTAATCTTTCATTTTTCATAGGAGGACCTGACTGAAAACCTAAATGGGAACTTTCTCTATAAAAGCCAGACAAACCCTGCCTTTGTTCTCTGAAATGCACCTTCAGTTTAAGCTGAGGGCTATTTCTCCCCAGTTTGCAAACTGTTTACTAGAATAAAATATCTTTCCTCTAAATTACTTCTCAGAACTTTTGCTCACACTTAGAAGTGGAGGTACGTACTTGATCAATTGCTTCAAATAATTCATATGGACTACTGGCATGGAAATCTTCTGGTATAATATCTACATTTCAAATTACAGACACATTCCCCACTATATTAAAATGGTAATCAGCTGACTAAAAACCAAGGCATTACAATGGAGTGACATATTAGAAACCCTCTGAGAATAGAGGGAGTGAAGAGATATGTGCTGCTGGAAAATTGTTTAGAAACAAACAAACAAAGAAAAAACAGAGACCTTCATCCAAACAAAGTCCATTCTTGTAAAACCTTTCAAGGTTAGTGCTTCCATCCCAAAAGTCACTGTCATTTTGCATTAAAACCAATCCCCCTCCTTTTATTAATAGTTTTTCCCAAGTAAAAAGATAACATTTTGCAAGGTCAATTTCATGGAGGTATAACTATTAATATCAAGTCTTCAACTGCTTTCTCACTCTACTTCACGCATAAAAAAGAAAGCATTTCTTTCTCCAGCTTGTGACTTTGAAATGTTCTCAGGTAACACACCAACCAAAAGGGAATATTGCTGGAGATGCCTTTTGATGGGTCTGTTTCTATCCTGGCACCTGGGAGAAATTCCACCACTGTCAACTGAATGACGTGATGATGTTCTGTCCATCCATCCCTATAAACCTATGACACACTCCTGTGAATTCAATTAAAGAGTCTTTATTTACTTCACAGGTTTCTGGGGGAAAATAAGTGGAAATAATATGTACAGCTGAAATAGAAGAGAGAACACACTACCACTACAACATTCAAAGCTAGCTCGTTTATTAGTTCAATAGGAATAATTGCTTTTTGTAAAAAACAGAGTGACATGTTAAGCAATGAGAAATCTCCCAAATCATCATGATGAACCTCCCTTAACCTGCCACTTCACAGCATCCTAAAATGTGGGTACCATTATTTCCAATATTTGCTAGATGTTAATGAGAACACATTTCTAACTGGTTTCTTGATGCTTTACTAAGTTGGTTCAAAGATTAGCTCCAAATGGATTGCTTTGTATGCATTGACTGAGAAAAACTCTCCAGAGGAAATGCCAGAAAAGCAGGGCAGAGTCCACAACCTTGTGGAATTTAAGATCTACTATGTAATATGTGACCCATCTAGAGAACAATTCCCAAGCAACTTCACAAGTGAAAATATGGAGAAGGCTGGGTGCGGTGGCTCACGCCTGTAATCCTGGCACTTTGGGAGGCCGAGGTGGGCGGATCATGAGGTAAAGAGATCAATACCATCTTGGCCAACATAGTGAAACCCTGTCTCTACGAAAAATACAAAAAATTAGCCGGGCATGGTGGCGCGTGCCTCTAGTCAAGCTACTTGGGAGGCTGAGGTAGAAGAATCGCTTGAACCCAGTAGGTAGAGGTGGCAGTGAGCTGAAATCGCGCCACTGCACTGCAGCCTAATGACAGAGCAAGACACCGTCTCAAAAAAAAAAAAATATATATATATATAAAATATATACATATATTATATGGAAAACTTTAAGATTGGGTGAGGAGGCCCAAGACTAAACCAGGAAGAAGCTGAATCCCTGAATAGACCAATAACAAGTTGTGAAATTGAGGCAGTAATACACAGCCTACCAACCAAAAAAATAAAATAAAATAAAATAAAATAAAATAAAATAAAATAAAATAAAATAAAATAAAATAAAAAAGCCCAGGACCAGACGTACAGAGAGGAGCTGGTACCATTCCTTCTGAAACTATTCCAAACAATTGAAAAGGAGGGACTCCTCCCTAACTCATTTTATGAGGGCAGCATCATCCTGATACCAAAACCTGGCAGAGACACAACAAAAAAAGAAAACTTCAGGCCAATATCCCTGATGAACATCAATGCAAAAATCCTCAATAAAATACTGCTAAGCAAACCGGTAGCACATCAAAAAGTTTAACCATCACGATCAAGTCGGCTTCATCCCTGGGATGCAAGGCTGGTTCAACATACGCAAATCAATAAATGTAATCCATCACATAAACAAAACCAATGACAAAAACCACATGATTATCTCAATAGAAGCAGAAAAGGCCTTCTATAACATCCAACATCCCTTGATATTAAAAACCCTCAATAAAGTAGGTATACATGGAACATATGTTAAAATAATAATAGCTATTTATGACAACCCCACAGCCAATATCATACTGAATGGGCAAAAGCTGAAAGCATTCCCTTTGAAAACCAGCACAAAACAAGGATGCTCTCTCTCACCAGTCTTATTGAACATAGTATTGGAAGTTCTGGCCAGGGCAATCAGGCAACAGAAGGAAATAAAGCGTATTCAAATAGGAAGAGAGGAAGTCAAATTGTCTGTTTGCAGATAACATAATTCTATATTTAGAAAACCCCATCACCTCAGCCCAAAAACTCTTTAAGCTAATAAACAACCTCAGCAAAGTCTCAGGATACAAAATCAATGTGCAAAAATCACAAGCATTCTTACATGCCAACAATAGACAAGCAGAGAGCCAAATTAAGAATACACTCCTATTCACAATTGCTACAGAGAGAATAAAATACCTAGGAATACAGCTAACAAGGAATGTGAAGGACCCTGAAGGAGAACTACAAACCACTGCTCAAGAAAATAAGAGAGGACACAAACGAATGTAAAAACATTTCATGCTCATGGATAGGAAGAATCAATATCGTGAAAATGGCCATGCTGCCTAAATTAATCTACAGATTCAATGCTATTCCCATCAAACTACCATTGACATTCTTCACAGAATTAGAAAAAACTACTTTAAATTTCATATGGAACCAAAAAAGAGCCTGTATAGCCAAGACAATCCTAAGTGAAAAGAACAAAGCTGGAGACATCATGCTACCTGACTTCAAACTATACTGCAAGGCTACAGTAACCAAAACAGCATGGTACTGGTACCAAAACAGACATATAGACCAATGGAACAGAACAGAGACATCAGAAATAACACTACACATCTACAACCATCTGATCTTTGACAAACCTGACAAAAACAAGCAATGGGGAAAAGATTCCCTATTTAATAATGGTACTGGGAGAACTGGCTAGCCATATGCAGAAAACTAAAACTGGATCCCTTCCTTACACATTATACAAAAATTAACTCAAGATGGATTAAAGGCTTAAATGTAAAACCAAAAACCATAAAAACCCTAGAGGAAAACCTAAGCAATACCATTCAGGACATAGGCATGGGCAAAGATTTCGTGATGAAAATGCCAACAGCAATTGCCACAAAAGCCAAAATTGACAAATAGGATCTAATTAAACTAAGAGCTTCTGCACAGCAAAAGAAACTATCATCAGAGTGAACAGGTAACCTACAGAACGGAAGAAAATTTTTGCAATCTACCCATTAGACAAAGGTCCAGTATCCAGAATCTACAAGGAACTTAAACAAGTTTACAAGAAAAAAATCCCATCAAAAAGTAGGCAAAGGATATGAACAGACACTTCTCAGAAGATGACATTTATGCAGGCAACAAGCATATGAAAAAGGCTCAACATCATTAATCATTAGGGAAATGTAAATCAAAACCACAATGAGATACCATCTCATGCCAGTCAGAATGGTGATTATGAAGTCAAGAAACAATAGATGCTGGCGAGACTGTGGAGAAATCGGAACACTTTTACACTATTGGTAGGAATGTAAATTAGCTCAACCACTGTAGAAGACGGTGTGGCAATTCCTCAAGGATCTAGAACCAGGAATACCATTTGACCCAGGCATCCCATTACTGGGTATATACCCAAAGGAATATAAACCATTCTACTCTAAAGACACATGCACACATATGTTTAATACAGCACTATTTACAATAGCAAAGACATGGCACCAACCCCAATGCCCATCAATGATAGACTGGATAAAGAAAATGTTGTACATCTACACCATGGGATACTATGCAGCCATAAGAAGGAATGAGATCATGTCCTTTGCAGGGACATGGATAAAGCTGGAGGCCATCATCCTCAGCAAACTAATACAGCAACAGAAAATCAAACACCACATATTCTCACTTATTAAGTGGGAGTTGAACAATGAGAACACATGGACACTGGGAGGGGAACACACACACACCGGGACCTGTCAGGGGGTGGAGGGTAATGGGAGGGAGAGCATTAGGACAAATAGCCAATGCATGCGGGGCTTAAAACCTAGATAATGGGTTGATAGGTGCAGCAAAGCACCATGGCACACGTATACCTATGTAACAAACCTGCCCGTTCTGTACATGTATCCCAGAATTTAAAGTAAAATTCTTTTAAAAATAAAAAAAAAGAGTGGGGGAGGAGGGAAATAAGAAAAAGATTATCACGAGATATTCCATTCATGATGAATCAGTCCAACATAAAAGAATACATAACTGCACTTTGATAGGAATTTGAAGTAGAATGGGCTAAGGAGCTAAGTCACAAACATCAACTTTTTTTGTCTAGTCCTCCCGTGTGAATCTGCACTTACTGGTTGCAGGCAGACACCCCCTCCACTCTCCCATCCTTGACTCCCTTCCCTTACAATGGTCACTTCTTCGTAGTGACCATTGTAAATTTCACCAAGAATCATCCAATTACAAGTTAATTCGCTTAGATCCCTCCAACATGCTCCATTTGCCATGCAGCAAATGGCCTCCCTTTTGCAAACAGCAAACATAATTATGTCAGAGGGGTTATCTGGGATCAATATGAACCTTATATACTGAATAAGGACAGAAGATTTTCTAATCCAGAGATCAAATCAAGCCATGATAGAGGCAGAAATAACATGACAATTATTTCTCCCTTTTAACTGAATCAAACGAGCTATTGATGGGCCATTCCACTGTTTGATGCTCAGTCTATAAACGGCTATTTGCATAAACGATCTTCATCTGGCCAGGTTTCATAATTTTATAGCTGACAGGGAGTGCCACACACAAAAATATTTCCTGGACATGTTCTCCTTGTGTTGCTGGTTTTCTGGGAGTAGATGATGAACATCAAGAGGCTGCAAATCTTCTTTTATCCATTAGCATTGGAATTTAAGAAGAATAACATTTTTACGCTTTAAAGAAACAAGAATCTTGGATTAAGGAATATAATCGCTGTCATAAAAAGTATAAAGAACTTTCACTCAAGCAGAGGTAAGCTTAATAAAATGTAAGCAGAATATAAATAAGTTCCATAATCAGTTTTCTTAATTTCAGGACACATACCTAGCAGAAATGATAGTCTCTTAATCTCTGTTATCAAAACACATATTCTCAAATAATGCATGTCTGTAAATAACTTAGATAGTAATTATTCAAGAAATATTTTAGAGTTCTTTTTTTCTTAAATCAACCCTTTACATAAAAAAAGAAAGTCTTTGGAAGCAGCACCCATATCTCAATCTCTCTGTTTCCCCAGCACATAGTACAGAGCTATATTCACAGAAGACACTTAAAATACTGATGACAAGGGCAAGTTATACTTCTCTGTCCTAAAGTCTATGCTAGCTAGTGGGAATGTGGAGCCAAGATGGCCGAATAGGAACAGCTCCGGTCTATAGCTCCCAGCGTGAGCGACGCAGAAGACGGGTGATTTCTGCATTTCCATCTGAGGTACCGGGTTCATCTCACTACGGAGTGCCAGACAGTGGGCGCAGGCCAGTGTGTGTGCCCACCGTGCGCGAGCCGAAGCAGGGCGAGGCATTGCCTCACCTGGGAAGCACAAGGGGTCAGGGAGTTCCCTTTCTGAGTCAAAGAAAGGGGTGATGGACGCACCTGGAAAATCGGGTCACTCCCACCCGAATATTGCGCTTTTCAGACCGGCTTAAGAAACGGCGCACCACGAGACTATATCCCACACCTGGCTCAGAGGGTCCTACGCCCAGGGAGTCTCGCTGATTGCTAGCACAGCAGTCTGAGATCAAACTGCAAGGCGGCAACGAGGCTGGGGGAGGGGCGCCCGCCATTGCCCAGGCTTGCTTAGGTAAACAAAGCAGCCGGGAAGGGAAGCTCGAACTGGGTGGAGCCCACCACAGCTCAAGGAGGCCTGCCTGCCTCTGTAGGCTCCACCTCTGGGGGCAGGGCACAGACAAACAAAAAGACAGCAGTAACCTCTGCAGACTTAAGTGTCCCTGTCTGACAGCTTTGAAGAGAGCAGTGGTTCTCCCAGCACGCAGCTGGAGATCTGAGAACGGGCAGACTGCCTCCTCAAGTGGGTCCCTGACCCCTGACCCCCGAGCAGCCTAACTGGGAGGCACCCCCCAGCAGGGGCACACTGACACCTCACACGGCAGGGTATTCCAACAGACCTGCAGCTGAGGGTCCTGTCTGTTAGAAGGAAAACTAACAACCAGAAAGGACATCTACACCGAAAACCCATCTGTACATCACCATCATCAAAGACCAAAAGTAGATAAAACCACAAAGTTGGGGAAAAAACAGAACAGAAAAACTGGAAACTCTAAAACACCGAGCACCTCTCCTCCTCCAAAGGAACGCAGTTCCTCACCAGCAACAGAACAAAGCTGGATGGAGAATGATTTTGACGAGCTGAGAGAAGAAGGCTTCAGATGATCAAATTACTCTGAGCTATGGGAGGACATTCAAACCAAAGGCAAAGAAGTTGAAAACTTTGAAAAAAATTTAGAAGAATGTATAACTAGAATAACCAATACAGAGAAGTGCTTAAAGGAGCTGATGGAGCTGAAAACCAAGGCTCGAGAACTACGTGAAGAATGCAGAAGCCTCAGGAGCCGATGCGATCAACTGGAAGAAAGGGTATCAGCAATGGAAGATGAAATGAATGAAATGAAGCGAGAAGGGAAGTTTAGAGAAAAAAGAATAAAAAGAAATGAGCAAAGCCTCCAAGAAATATGGGACTATGTGAAAAGACCAAATCTACGTCTGATTGGTGTACCTGAAAGTGATGTGGAGAATGGAACCAAGTTGGAAAACACTCTGCAGGATATTATCCAGGAGAACTTCCCCAATCTAGCAAGGCAGGCCAACGTTCAGATTCAGGAAATACAGAGAACGCCACAAAGATACTCCTCGAGAAGAGCAACTCCAAGACACATAATTGTCAGATTCACCAAAGTTGAAATGAAGGAAAAAATGTTAAGGGCAGCCAGAGAGAAAGGTCGGGTTACCCTCAAAGGAAAGCCCATCAGACTAACAGCGGATCTCTCGGCAGAAACCCTACAAGCCAGAAGAGAGTGGGGGCCAATATTCAACATTCTTAAAGAATTTTCAACCCAGAATTTCATATCCAGCCAAACTAAGCTTCATAAGTGAAGGAGAAATAAAATACTTTATAGACAAGCAAATGCTGAGAGATTTTGTCACCACCAGGCCTGCCCTAAAAGAGCTCCTGAAGGAAGCGCTAAACATGGAAAGGAACAACCGGTACCAGCCGCTGCAAAATCATGCCAAAATGTAAAGACCATTGAGACTAGGAAGAAACTGCATCAACTAATGAGCAAAATCACCAGCTAACATCATAATGACAGGATCAAATTCACACATAACAATATTAACTTTAAATATAAATGGACTAAATTCTGCAATTAAAAGACACAGACTGGCAAGTTGGATAAAGAGTCAAGACCCATCAGTGTGCTGTATTCAGGAAACCCATCTCACATGCAGAGACACACATAGGCTCAAAATAAAAGGATGGAGGAAGATCTACCAAGCCAATGGAAAACAAAAAAAGGCAGGGGTTGCAATCCTAGTCTCTGATAAAACAGACTTTAAACCAACAAAGATCAAAAGAGACAAAGAAGGCCATTACATAATGGTAAAGGGATCAATTCCACAAGAGGAGCTAACTATCCTAAATATTTATGCACCCAATACAGGAGCACCCAGATTCATAAAGCAAGTCCTCAGTGACCTACAAAGAGACTTAGACTCCCACACATTAATAATGGGAGACTTTAACACCCCACTGTCAACATTAGACAGATCAACGAGACAGAAAGTCAACAAGGATACCCAGGAATTGAACTCAGCTCTGCACCAAGCAGACCTAATAGACATCTACAGAACTCTCCACCCCAAATCAACAGAATATACATTTTTTTCAGCACCACACCACATCTATTCCAAAATTGACCACATAGTTGGAAGTAAAGCTCTCCTCAGCAAATGTAAAAGAACAGAAATTATAACAAACTATCTCTCAGACCACAGTGCAATCAAACTAGAACTCAGGATTAAGAATCTCACTCAAAGCCGCTCAACTACATGGAAACTGAACAACCTGCTCCTGAATGACTACTGGGTACATAACGAAATGAAGGCAGAAATAAAGATGTTCTTTGAAACCAACGAGAACAAAGACACAACATACCAGAATCTCTGGGACGCATTCAAAGCAGTGTGTAGAGGGAAATTTATAGCACTAAATGCCTACAAGAGAAAGCAGGAAAGATCCAAAATTGACACCCTAACATCACAATTAAAAGAACTAGAAAAGCAAGAGCAAACACATTGAAAAGCTAGCAGAAGGCAAGAAATAACTAAAATCAGAGCAGAACTGAAGGAAATAGAGACACAAAAAACCCTTCAAAAAATCAATGAATCCAGGAGCTGGTTTTTTGAAAGGATCAACAAAATTGATAGACCGCTAGCAAGACTAATAAAGAAAAAAAGAGAGAAGAATCAAATAGACACAATAGAAAATGATAAAGGGGATATCACCACCGATCCCACAGAAATACAAACTACCATCAGAGAATACTACAAACACCTCTACGCAAATAAACTAGAAAATCTAGAAGAAATGGATACATTCCTCGACACATACACTCTCCCAAGACTAAACCAGGAAGAAGTTGAATCTCTGAATAGACCAATAACAGGCTCTGAAATTGTGGCAATAATCAATAGTTTACCAACCAAAAAGAGTCCAGGACCAGATGGATTCACAGCCGAATTCCACCAGAGGTACAAGGAGGAACTGGTACCATTCCTTCTGAAACTATTCCAATCAATAGAAAAAGAGGGAATCCTCCCTAACTCATTTTATGAGGCCAGCATCATTCTGATACCAAAGCCGGGCAGAGACACAACCAAAAAAGAGAATTTTAGACCAATATCCTTGATGAACATTGATGCAAAAATCCTCAATAAAATACTGGCAAACCGAATCCAGCAGCACATCAAAAAGCTTATCCACCATGATCAAGTGGGCTTCATCCCTGGGATGCAAGGCTGGTTCAATATACGCAAATCAATAAATGTAATCCAGCATATAAACAGAGCCAAAGACAAAAACCACATGATTATCTCAATAGATGCAGAAAAAGCCTTTGACAAAATTCAACAACCCTTCATGCTAAAAACTCTCAATAAATTAGGTATTGATGGGACGTATTTCAAAATAATAAGAGCTATCTATGACAAACCCACAGCCAATATCATACTGAATGGGCAAAAACTGGAAGCATTCCCTTTGAAAACTGGCACAAGACAGGGATGCCCTCTCTCACCGCTCCTATTCAACATAGTGTTGGAAGTTCTGGCCAGGGCAATCAGGCAGGAGAAGGAAATAAAGGGTATTCAATTAGGAAAAGAGGAAGTCAAATTGTCCCCGTTTGCAGACGACATGATTGTATATCTAGAAAACCCCATCGTCTCAGCCCAAAATCTCCTTAAGCTGATAAGCAACTTCAGCAAAGTCTCAGGATACAAAATCAATGTACAAAAATCACAAGCATTCTTATACACCAACAACAGACAAACAGAGAGCCAAATCATGAGTAAACTCCCATTCACAATTGCTTCAAAGAGAATAAAATACCTAGGAATCCAACTTACAAGGGATGTGAAGGACCTCTTCAAGGAGAACTACAAACCACTGCTCAAGGAAATAAAAGAGGACACAAACAAATGGAAGAACATTCCACGCTCATGGGTAGGAAGAATCAATATCGTGAAAATGGCCATACTGCCCAAGGTAATTTACAGATTCAATGCCATCCCCATCAAGCTACCAATGCCTTTCTTCACAGAATTGGAAAAAACTACTTTAAAGTTCATATGGAACCAAAAAAGAGCCCGCATCGCCAAGTCAATCCTAAGCCAAAAGAACAAAGCTGGAGGCATCACACTACCTGACTTCAAACTATACTACAAGGCTACAGTAACCAAAACAGCATGGTACTGGTACCAAAACAGAGATATAGATCAATGGAACAGAACAGAGCCCTCAGAAATAATGCCGCATATCTACAACTATCTGATCTTTGACAAACCTGAGAAAAACAAGCAATGGGGAAAGGATTCCCTATTTAATAAATGGTGCTGGGAAAACTGGCTAGCCATATGTAGAAAGCTGAAACTGGATCCCTTCCTTACACCTTATACAAAAATCAATTCAAGATGGATTAAAGATTTAAACGTTAGACCTAAAACCATAAAAACCCTAGAAGAAAACCTAGGCATTACCATTGAGGACATAGGCATGGGCAAGGACTTCATGTCCAAAACACCAAAAGCAATGGCAACAAAAGACAAAATTGACAAATGGGATCTAATTAAACTAAAGAGCTTCTGCACAGCAAAAGAAACTACCATCAGAGTGAACAGGCAACCTACAACATGGGAGAAAATTTTCGCAACCTACTCATCTGACAAAGGGCTAATATCCAGAATCTACAATGAACTCAAACAAATTTACAAGAAAAAAACAAACAACCCCATCAAAAAGTGGGCGAAGGACATGAACAGACACTTCTCAAAAGAAGACATTTATGCAGCCAAAAAACACATGAAGAAATGCTCATCATCACTGGCCATCAGAGAAATGCAAATCAAAACCACTATGAGATATCATCTCACACCAGTTAGAATGGCAATCATTAAAAAGTCAGGAAACAACAGGTGCTGGAGAGGATGTGGAGAAATAGGAACACTTTTACACTGTTGGTGGGACTGTCAACTAGTTCAACCATTGTGGAAGTCAGTGTGGCGATTCCTCAGGGATCTAGAACTAGAAATACCATTTGACCCAGCCATCCCATTACTGGGTATATACCCAAAGGACTATAAATCATGCTGCTATAAAGACACATGCACACGTATGTTTATTGTGGCACTATTCACAATAGCAAAGACTTGGAACCAACCCAAATGTCCAACAATGATAGACTGGATTAAGAAAATGTGGCACATATACACCATGGAATACTATGCAGCCATAAAAAATGATGAGTTCATGTCCTTTGTAGGGACATGGATGAAATTGGAAACCATCATTCTCAGTAAACTATCGCAAGAACAAAAAACCAAACACCGCATATTCTCACTCATAGGTGGGAATTGAACAATGAGATCACATGGACACAGGAAAGGGAATATCACACTCTGGGGACTGTGGTGGGGTCGGGGGAGGGGGGAGGGATAGCATTGGGAGATATACCTAATGCTAGATGACATGTTAGTGGGTGCAGCGCACCAGCATGGCACATGTATACATATGTAACTAACCTGCACAATGTGCACATGTACCCCAAAACTTAGAGTATAATAAAAAAAAAAATTAAAAAAAAAAAAAAGTCTATGCTAGCATAACTTCTCCACAGCTAGTATATTCACACAAAGCAGCTTGCTCACTTGGAAAAAACTGATGTGAAATAATCACATTTTGACCTAGCTCACATATAGCTTACATATAGCTCAATGTCCTATACGTAATAATCACCTCAAAAATATTTGAGTAAAAATGTAATGGTATTTAAATAACTGAGAGAGTAAAACCTTATCTAATATGGAATCCTCAATTTAGAATTGGCTGTAAACTTTGCTTTCAATTTCCTATTACATCTCTATGAACAAAATTTCATAATGTAAATCAGTGTACTTGTTTCTGGAGACAAGAAATGCCTCCTATATTAAACTTTAAAACACAAGTCTGACTTTTAGATGCTTATATTTCAGAGCACTTTCCAAACAATAAAAATCATAGCACCTTTCATTTTAGGGGGGAAAAAAGCCTGTCTGGCACACCTGTCAGGTGTGCCCTGTGTCCCCAGAGAGTGAGCTATAAATGGATTTGTTCGTGTGATGGCAGAACAATTCCACAAGGGGTCCAGTGAGTATTTCTCAGCATGCACATGTCACCTTTTCCTGACTAGAGCAATGAATTTATGTCTCAAATAGAAAACCAGAAGAAAGTTAAGAAACAACAATGGGTCTTTTAAGAGGAACGAAAATAGCAAGACTTTTAAACTCCCAAAAGAATAACAATCACTTTCTGAGTCTGCAATTCTTGTAATTACAGTTTGCTTTAAAATTATTAGTTTTTGATAAATTCGATTTTAATGTTTTGGCAGTTTATCTTCTTTCAAATGCAAACCTTTGGTTTGGTTTAAAAAGTCTAATTTAGACATGTGCCTAATCAATATGTATTATACACCTACCACAATTGATTAAATTATCAATTTTCCTTTTCCTCTTTACGCAATTCAGAACAGAACAGGAAGGCAGAAATTGTATTGAAGTTAATAAAGCACCCACATTTTAATGTTTTGTCATATTTTCTTTATTAAAGTAATTATCTGAATTAGTGAAAAATATAATGGCATTATTAAAATAGTATATTGAAATCTGGAGGGAAAAATCAGAAATTATTACTACACTTACCCTTTTAAGCACTGTATGTTTTGGTAGCAAAATGGGAACAAAGATACCTGAAATTTGAAGGGTTTTTTTTTTTCTGTTGAATAGTCTATTTCCATATGAAGGGCTGTAATTAGTGCAAGCATGAACTAAGTAGCAATTCTTATCAAAATTAACCCTAAAAAGTTCCAGTTTCTCTAGCCCAGGCTTCCTGATCTTATTCTGGATGAATTTTCATGGACAATATTAAGGTGCTCTTGGTGCTATTTGACATCATCATTATTTCTCTGAGCATGACTCTGCTATCACCCAGAGTCTACAGAAATCAATTCTGTCACAAACCAAAATACAACCCAGCCATAAAGGAACCAAGCAACAAAATGGGATTCCTTCACATAGGAAAAAAATACTTGTCTAATATTAAGGAAGTAAGATACAAAATTGTATTAAACAGAACAATTCAACTATGCTAAAATATAACTAAACTATTGATAGTGGGAACTCTAGGCCAGTGGATATAAGCACAATACATCATGAATGAATGAAATAAATAAGAAAAGCCCATGCCCGACACAGAAGAGTCAGTCACTATTCAGCTTCGGCCAACTGATAGCATGAGACTTCAAGGATGTCATATCTTCTGAATTTTCAAGACCAGACAGGAATCTGGATTTTTATATTAAGACTTTATCTTCATCCATTCTGTAAAACAGCATACACTGGGTAACTTATAAAGAACAGAAATTTATTTCTCATAGTTCTGGAGGCTAGGAAGTCTAAGATCAACATGCCAGCAGATTCTATGTTTGGTGAAGGGCTGCTTTCTGGTTCATAGAAGGCACCTTCTCCCTGTGTCCTCTTATGGTGGAGGGAGCAAAGGAGCTCCCTTGGACCCATTTTATGAGGGCACTAGTCTCATTCATGAGGGCTCCACCCTCCTGACCTAATCAAGTCAAAAGACTGCTACCTTCCAGTACTATCACCTTAGAGGTTAGAATTTCAACATATGAACTTAGGGGGAACATATTTAGACCATAGCAGACTCTTAATGTTTAACATTGTAAACAAATTCATTTTTCTTTCCCAGAAACTGTGTAGATCAAATAAAACCTGTCTACGGGCCTATCTCATAGACAGGTTTTATTTGATCCACAAACATGAATTCTACCTTCTATGGGCAGGTAGACTTGCTTTGCTGCCTCTCTGGATGACTTGCTTTGCTGCTTTTACGTTAATTAGAATTGGGTTTAACTACAAATAACAAAGGAAACCAAATAAATCAATTGTTTTTCTCCCTCATGGGAAAGAGATCTGAAGATGGGTAGTCCAATAGTAGCAGGATGGCTTCATAAAGTTTTCAGTCAGGCCCCTGTCAGCTCCCTTGTTGCTGTCCTACAGTGAAACCATCATCCTCATGATCCAAGGCAGCTGCTATAACTCCAACCTTTGCATCCAGGCAGCATGATGATGGAGGTATACTCATGTGCCAATTCTGTTTTGTATTTTTTATTTAATTTTTTTAAGAGACAGGGTCTTGCTCTATCACCCAGGCTAGAGTATATTGGTGCAATCATAGCTCACTGCAGCCTTGGCCTTCTGGGCTTGAAGGATCCTCCTGCCTCAGCCTCCCAAGTAGCTGGGACTACAAGTGTGCACCACCATACCCGGCAAGTTCTTTTTTTTTTTTTTTTGACGGAGTTTTGCTTTTGTCACCTAGGCTGGATAGCAATGGTGCGATCTCGCCTTACTACAACCTCCGCCTCCCGGGTTCAAGCGATTCTCCTGTCTCAGCCTCCTGAGTGAGTAGCTGGGATTACAGGCATGTGCCACCATGCCCAGCTAATTTTTGTATTTTTAGTAGATACAGGGTTTCACCATGTTGGCCAGGCTGGTCTCGAACTCCTGACCTCAGGTGATCCACCCACCTTGGCCTCCCAAAGTGCTGGGATTACAGGCTTCAGCCACTGCGCCCAGCCTAATTCCTTTATTTTTTGTAGAGATGCAATTTCACCACCTGGCCAAGGCTGGTCTTGAACTCCTAGGCTAAACAGATCCCCCTGCCTGGGCTTCCCAAAGTGCTAGGATTACAGGTGTGAACCATTATGCCTGGCCAACAGTGCTGTTTTAATGAGTCTTCTCCAAAGTCCTCCAAACACTGCCATTTATCTAATTAGCCAGAACTCAGTTATATTACCACATTTAGCTGCAAGAGTAGCTGCAAATATTATCTGTTAGGTAGACAGCCACATAACCAGCTAAAAAGTCTAAGTTCTCCCGTGAAATGGGTATGGAAGAAAACCAGATGTCTTTGATACACTTATTTGTAGTCATATTAACTTTTGACTCATTACGGTTTTTTTAATTAGAAAAAGAATATATGTGCAAAAAAACAAGTCAGACACTATACAAATTGACAAGGGAAGAGTTAAAGAATGTCCTCTGCCTGTCAGCTGTCTCCAATACCTACTCCAGATATTAACAGAATGTGTGAACTTCCACAGATTTACCTACACTCACACATTACTTTGAAACTTGATGTTTTATTCTTCTTTTGTTGTGAAATATAATGAATATACAGAAAATTATGTACAATATATAGGTAGAAGATAACAAATAATTATAAATGTCCATGTAAATCCCCTCTCTGCTCAACATTGGCACCCCCATTCTGAGAAATCCCCACATGATCACAACCTTATCCCTTCCCCCAAGGCAACCATTATTGTGGCTTGAGGAATAATCATTTCTTTTTTTTTTTTTTTTTTTTGGCGACGGAGTCTCACTCTGTCACCACGCTGGAGTGCAATGGCGCAATCTCAGCTCACTGCAACCTCCACCTCCCGGGTTCAAGCAATTCTCCTGCCTCAGCCTCCTGAGTAGCTGGGACTGCAGGCATGAGCCACCATGCCCCGCTAATTTTTGTATTTTTAGTACAGACAGGATTTCACCATGTTGGCCAGGCTGGTCTCAATCTCTTGACCTTGGATTCCGCCTGCCTCAGCCTCCCAAAGTGCTGGGATTACAGGCATGAGCCAATGTGCCCAGCCTGGAATAATCATTTCTTTGCCTTAAAAAAATAAGTCTATCATTGTGCTTGATCATTTTCTTGTCAACTTGGGTAAACTTGAACTATGGCTCCCAGAGTATCATTTCCTATATGGTTCCAGGTCAAAGTTAGGATGCTTGCACATATGTTCATGAATGAGAATGGCTTGTACTTTTCCTTTTCTATACTGTTTTTGTTTGGTTTTGATATCAAATTTATGCATAAAATGAGATTCCTCCTTGTCTACACTTTGGAAGAGTTTGTGTAAGAATTACCTGTTCCTGGAAGTTTAGCACAATTTTCTGGTAGAGCCTTTTGGGCTTTGAAATTTTCTTTTTTTTTTTTTTTTTTTTTTTTTTTTTTGAGACGGAGTCTCGCTCTGTCGCCCAGGCCGGACTGCGGACTGCAGTGGCACAATCTCGGCTCACTGCAAGCTCCGCTTCCCGGGTTCACGCCATTCTCCTGCCTCAGCCTCCCCAGTAGCTGGGACTACAGGCGCCCGCCACCGCGCCCGGCTAATTTTTTGTATTTTTTAGTAGAGACGGGGTTTCACCTTGTTAGCCAGGATGGTCTCGATCTCCTGACCTCATGATCCACCCGCCTCGGCCTCCCAAAGTGCTGGGATTACAGGCGTGAGCCACCGCGCCCGGCCTGAAATTTTCTTAATGAGAATATATTTTTACTGCCCATTTTATAACTGATTCAAGTTCTTTAATATCGCAAGACTATTCAGGTTCAGTAAATTATAATTTTCTAAAAAGTAGGTTGTTCATAAATCATGTTGTTTCAACCCTGTATATTCTCCTAATTTAAAAAAATCTACTGTAATATCAATTACCAAGACAGTGGTATGCTGAAATCTCCCTCCGAGATTGTGGACTTCTCTATTTATCCTTATAGATCTGTAAATATTTTCTTTATTTTTGAGACTTCATTCTTAAGTACATACAAATTTAGATTTCTTTAAAAATCCCTGGTAAACTGAAACTTGAGATGTTAAAAAGTGATATTTTTAAACTCTGGTAATTTTTTTGCATTAAATTCTGTTTTGTCTTCTATTAATTTAAGTAAACTAACACTTTTGTTTGTTTAATATATGTATGATATATATTTACCATCACAATAATTTCAACATTTCTGTAGACCTTTATTTTAGATACATATTTTAAACATTTAATTGAATTTGTTTTCTACACTCTGATAATCATTGTTTTTTAACTGGAATGCTGAGTCTATCTACATTAAATTATTTACATTTAATTATTACTGATATATTTGGGTGCTTTCTCTTTGTCACATCTTCTGTGTGCTTCCTTTTCTCTCTTTTCTTGGCTTCTTTTGGTTTTTCTGTTTGTTTTGTTTTTGTTTTTTTGTTTTTGTTTTTGTTTTTGTTTTGGAAACAGGGTCTCATGCTCCCACCCAGGCTGGAGTGCAGTGGCAGCCAGGTTGGAGTGCAATGGTGTGAGCACGGCTCACTGCATCCTTGACTTCCTGGGCTCAAGCAACCCTCCTGCCTCAGCTTCCCAAGTAGCTGGGATCGCAGGCACATGCCACCGTGCCTGACTAATTTTTAAAAAATTTTTGTAGAAGCAGGGTCTTGCCATGTTGCCCAGGCTGATCTCAAACTCTTGAGCTCAAGCAACACTCCCACCTCGGCCTCTCAAAGCATCGGGATTGCAGGCTTGAGCCACCATGCCCAGACCTCCTGACATTTTTTGGATTTGTTTTTATTATTCCATTTTTCCGTACTGGAGATTAGAAAGAATATACTTACATTCTATTCTTTTAAAAGTAACACAGAAATGACAACAGGCACATTTTAAAGCATTAATGCTTAAAAATTCTTTTACCCTTCTCCTAGACAGAATAAGGTCCTTAGAACATTTTAACTCCGTTGGCCCCTCTCCTGACACATCCAGTATGTCATTATTACACTGAATGGTTTATATTAATATTTTTAAAGCCCTATATGATTATTACTGTTATTGTCAATAATGTTCTTTAGAATTAGTCACATATTCTCATTTTCTTTGCTTTTCATTCCTCCTTGCATGTCAGAACTTTGATGTTACTTTCTTTCTGCCTGAAGTACCTCCTTCAGAATTTCCTTTATCAAGGGGTCACTAATAGCAAACTCACTCTATTTCTGTTACTTTACAAGGGCCTCTTCCTTACCCTCCTTCTTTAAAAATATTTTTGCTGGATATAGAATTCTGTTGCTAGCTATTTTCTTTCAAAATATTGCAAATATAATTACACTGTTTCTCTTTTCACTTCTTGCTATTGAGAAGACAATGTTAATTCTACCTGGGTTAACATGTTAATAAATGTTCATTGATTAACACTGAATTCAACTTAATTGAATTTAATTAAGACAATTCAAAGGAGCTGAATTTAATGTTAATCTCTTTAGGTGAATTTAATGTTAAATTGAGTTTAATTGAATTTAATGTTAAATTGAACTTAACATTATATTCAATTAAATTGATTAACATTAAATTAAATTCAGCTCTAATTAACTTTTTTTCCTCTGTCAACTTTTAGGACTTCCCTTTGTCTTTGGTGTTCTGTAGTTTTACTATAATGTGTTAAGCTTTGGAAGTCTTTTTATTTGTCCTATTGATATTCATTGACTTTCTTGGGATTGGGGAAGGGCGTTCTTCTCAATTCTGGAAATTTTTGAGCTGTTACCTTTGCAGACACTGCTTTTGCCCAATTTTCTCTCCCCTCTCTTTTGGACTCGTATGTGAAAGCATGTGTTAACTCTTCTTTCACTTTCCTCTATTTGTCATCCTCTCTTCCATATATTCCATTTGTATTCTCTATATACTGCATACAAAATTATTTCTTCTGATCTGTATTTAAGACCCCTATTTCTCTCCTCAATCATTCTTATGCTAATTGTTCTTAAACCTATCCCTAAGTTGTGTAAATTAGTTACTGTATTTTTAATTTTAAGAGTTTTCTTCTGTGCTTGTTTAAATCTGCTAGGTCACTTTTTAATGGTTTCCTATTCTCTAAAAATATTTTCAAGTTTGCCTTTTGTTTCTTTACATTTGGAAAATATTTGGTCTATAATTTTTGTCTGTTAATTCCAATATGTGAAGCCATCATCTGTTTCTGGTATATGCTCTTTCCTGTTGTCCTTATTCATACTGCCTCACATGCTTGTATGCTTGGTTATTGGAAGTACTGAAATATGGAAGTAGGCTGGTGACATTGTCAAGCCTCTTTATTAACAAACAATAGACCCTGACTACTTCCAGATTTCTTGTCATATGAGTCACTGAATTTCCTTATTAAGATATTATTATCTAAATTTCGGATACTTTTATTTATAAATGTCCTGGCTGATACATTTTTTTAACTTTTGCCCATCTAATAGGTGGGAAAAATGGAATACCAGCTAATAGTGAGGTTAAACATCTTTTCAATATTTGACCATTTGGATTTTCTCCTCTGTAAAATTTGTTTATGCCCTTTCATTCTTTTTCATTTAGCATTTCCCCTTTCTCAGTCTCTCTCACGCACCCCCTCTCTTCCCCAACCCCCGTCTTGCAATTAACACACACACACACACAAACACACACGCGCGCACGCACACACGTGCGCGTGCTATTTATCTTTCAAATAGTTATCTTTTTCCAGTCATATATACTACAAGTATTTCTACATTTCTACCCAATATTTAAATTGTTTTCTGGTTTTATTTATGTTATCTTTTATCATTCATTTTTATTTTAGTTTTCATCAAGTCAATTATATCTTTCTTCTCCTTTTATAGCAGCTGGGTTTCCTATCTTATTTAAGAACAGTTCCATACTATAAAGTCATAAAAAATCTTTTTTTCTAAATTTTTCTCTGACATTTAAATTGTTTTATATTTCACAATTAGATATTTAATCAAGCTGTAATTTATTTTTGTATATGGTATGACACTGTGGTACAGTCTTGTTTTCTTCCAGATGGATAGATAATTATGCCAGCATCATTTCAAAAATAAACTATCTTAGAATTTCCATTTTTGCCAAGTTACACTTTAGATGTCCACAGAAACCCTTCTTGCTACAGTACACATAAAAATGCTGAATAAAATATCAATAATTTTTTTCTATTTTATGATAAAGCTGGTGCGAAAATAAATGAATTGCTCGACAGCCAAGAATAAAGTACAAATCCAGAGAGGGGATTGAGCACTGTGGCTGCCTTGATCCTGGAGGCATCTGCCAGCTCTTGGTGGTGAAGTGCTCAGTTTACCACACTGTATCACGAGGCTGGGAAATAAAATATGGTTCCCGAAACAGTGAAAGGTCAGATCAGCGATTCTTGCATAAATCAGACAACTAAGAATGGCACTGCCATGAAAACAAAACAAGACAACAAAATAAAAAGTTCTACAGAGACAGATAGGGTATATGCTTGTGTGTCTCAAGCCCAACTTTGGGTAAAGCAGAAAAAAGACAAAAAAACAATCTGAGAGTTCCTCACTACAAGTGTGTATCCCTTACAGGCAGGCTTAGAGTCAGAATTCACTCTATTACTTTGGCCCCAAAAACCTAATCAAAACACTGAATGGTTTTGGGTTGGTAACACCCCCCAAGAAGCTGGCAGAAGCTAATATAAATCTTCTCTGGAGGAACAAATTTTAAATACGGGCTTCAAAAGTTTTCTTCAGATAAGGTTTCCCAAGACCATGAGCTCACAATAAAATAAATCATTAAAAAACACAAGGAAAGAAGTCACCAAGAATATGAATCAGCAGAATCAAAAACAGCAGAACCAAACCCAGAGAGACTATAGATATTGAAATCATCAAAGATTCAAAACTTTGAAAATATGAAAAAAAGGGTTTAAGAGACATGTTGAATAGAGACAGAAGGCCGAAATTACATGAAATCAGGAAGGAATTGTGAGGAGAATTGAGGGGGACTGATTAGGGGGCTTACAGACAGAAACCACTGTAAGGATACACACCTACTAGGGGGAGACGGGAGGGGAGTCATGAGCTCTAGTCAGGAGAAAAATTTTGTCACACACACAAAAAATAAAACAAAGGCCCAACCATAACAAATAGGATCTAAGTACAGAACACAGGACCAGCTGAAGCATGAGACTGTTACTGCACTTACATCAAGTCAGCTACCCAGAAATGACCCCACCATCTGGGGTGACTGATGAAAGAGCCAGAGAGGCAAGGATCCACTTGGCTTTCAGGTGAAACTGTAAAGGGAAGTCCGAGATTTTGTCCGGCCTCTTCTGGTCACCTCCCGACCTTTCTTCTACTGTGTAGTACATGAACATGATGCAGACTATCAAGTACTGTAGAAATATCACACTGTCTACTTTTCAGAGTACATTTCTATATTTCCTGTTTTGTGATCACTTTGAAATTGACAAATCCCTACAGGCAGAGGGGGAGATGTCAATCACACTCACTGGTGACACAGAAACAGTGGAGTTGTTGGCACTAGCTTCATCATCCAGTGCTCAGCCTGAAAGTCCGCAACTTTTTCAAATAAAAAGGTTTGCATCTGGCCAGGTACAGTGGCTCATGCCTGTAATCCCAGCACTTTGGGAAGCTGAAGCAGGAAGACTGCTTAAGGCCATGAGTTTAAGATACGCCTGTGCAACATTGTAGGACCCCATCTCAAAAAAATAATTTTTTTTTTGAAATTAGCCAGATGTGGTGGCATGTGCCTGTAGTCCCACCTACTCAAGAAGCTAAGGTAGAAAGATCGCTTGAGCCCAGGAGTTCAAGGCTGCAGTGAGCCATGGAGCAAGACACTGCCTTAAAAAATTTTTTTTTAATTAAAAACAAGCTTGAGTTCAATTAAATGTTCCGTAGCATTTCTTGTAGACATTAATTAGTGGCCAGACAACACGTATCTTCCCTATTATAGATAACATTTGAAAACCAATTAATGCAATCCATCATATGAACAGACTAAAAAAGAAAAATCACATGATAATCTCAATAAACTCATGAAGCTACTTTTTAAAAATTTAATATCCATTCAAGATTTTAAAGAGAAACTTTCACCAAACTAGGAATACAAGTAAATTCCCTCAACTGATAACAGGCATCTACAAAAAAATCCACAGTTAACATCATACTTAAGGGTAAAAGAATGAATGCACTCCTCCTAGAATCAGGAAAAAGGCAAGGATCTTCACTCTCACCACTCCTATTCATCATTATATTGGCTGTCCCATCCAGTGCAAAAACGCAAGGAAAAGAAGTAAAATTCTGTATCTTCTATATATCAGAACAGAAGATATACATTGGTCTATATTCATTGATAAGATGATTATGTATGCAGAAAATGCCAAAGAATCTAGAAAAAAGCTACTAGAACTAATATAAGCTATTTTCTTTTCTTTCTTTCTTTTTTTCTGAAATAGTGTCTCACTCTGTCACCCAGACTGGAGTGCAGTGTGGCACGATCTCAGATCACTGCAACCTCTGCCTCCTGGGTTCCAGCAATTCTCCCGCCTCAGCCTCCCAAGTAGCTGGGACTACAGGCGCGTACTAATTTTTAGTAGAAATGGGGTTTCACCATGTTGGCCAGGCTGGTCTCATACTCCCAACCTCAAGTGATCTGCCCACCGTAGCCTCCCAAAGTGCTGGGACTACAGGCATGAGCCACTGCACCCAGCCTATAAGTTATTTTCACAAGCTTTCAGGATATCATAAATAAAATAAGAGGAAAATTACTTTTATTATCATATACTAGCAATTAACATTTAGAAATTGAGATATTAAAAATACCATTCACACTAGCATCAAAAACATGCACTAGAGATAAAGTCAACAAAATATTTATAAGACCTGTTCTCTGATAACTACAAAGCACTGCTAAGAGTAACTGGAGAACTAAATAGGTGAAGAAAAAAAAATACTATGTTCATGGATTAAAAGTTCAATATTGTGAACATGATTATTCTCTGCAAATTAATCTATATATTCAACTCAGTTTAATCAAAATCTCAGCGTGTGTTTTTGTAGAAATTGTCAAGTGGATTATAAAATTTAAATAAAAATGCAAAGGACTTATAATAGGCAAATCAATTTGGAAAAACAAAGTTGGAGAATTCACAAAACCTGATTTCAATACTTACTATAAAACTACAATAATCAAAACAGTTTGACGATAGTATAAGGCATATAGAACAACTGAACAGAAGAAAGAGGCCAGAAATATACCCACATATATAAAGTTACTTTATTTTCAACCAAAGTGCCACCATAACTCAATGAGTAAAGAATAGACTTTCAATAAATGATGCTAGAAGAACTTCAAATCCATATGGAAAAAATAAAACTCCACCTTAACCTCACATAATAACACAAATTAAGTTGAAACTGAATGCAAAGATTGAAACTAATTGTAAAAACTGAAATATTAAAACTTCTGGAAGAAAACATAAAAACACATATGAATTTTGGGTAGACAAAAACTCAGGACATGAAACTAGTAAACTATCATAATTTTTTTAAAAAGATAAATCAGACTTCATCAAAATTTCAACCTTGTGCTCTGTAAAAAATACCTTCAAGAAAACAAAATGGCAAACCACAGAATGGAAGAAAATAGTCACAATTTATCTATCTGATAAAGGACTTGTATTCAGAATATATAAAGAACTCTTCCAATTCAACCAGAAGAAGATAAAAAAAAAAAACCCGCCTCCTGGGTTCACGTCATTCTCCTGCCTCAGCCTTCCGAGTAGCTGGGACTACAGGCACCCACCACCATGCCCGGCTAATTTTTTTTGTATTTTTAATAGAAATGGGGTTTCACCAGGTTAGCCAGGATGGTCTCGATCTCCCGACCTTGTGATCCGCCCATCTTGGCCTCCCAAAGTGCTGGGATTACAGTCGTGAGCCACCACACCTGACCAAAAAAACTCAATTTTTAATAAACACTCAAATAGATACTTTATAGAGGAAGATACATAAATGATGACCAATATGCATATGAAAAATAATTTAACATTATTAATTATTGGGAAATGCAAATTAAAACCACAATAAAATACCAATACAAAAACCACTTGAATGACTAAAATTAAAAAGACTGATTATACCAAGTGTTGGCAAGAATATGTACTAACTGAAACTATCACACATTTCTGTTAGGGATATAAAATATTATAAGCAGTCTGAAAACTATTTGGGAGACTATGAAGTTAAGCATATACTTATCATGTGACCCTGCAATTCCACTCAGGTATTTTCAAAGAGAAATAAAAGCACGTATCCAAAGACTTGTACGTGAATGCTCATAACAGCTTTGCGAATAACAGCCCCACATGGAAACAATCTGAATGCACGTCAATGGATGAATGGATTTTTTAAAATTGTAATATATCCATAGAATGGGACATTATTCAGCAATAAAAGGAGTAAACTACTGATAAACCCAGCAACATGAATGAATCTCAAAAACATTATGCTGACTGAAGAAAGCCAGTTCCTCCCCCTCTTAAAAATGTTTCATAATGACTCCTTTCATGGGAAACTCTAGGAAAAATAAATCCCATCTACAATGATAGAAAATAGATCAGTGGTCTAGCCCTGGTGGAAGTGGGACTGAGAATATTTTGAGGTAATGGAGATGTGGTGGTGGTTACATGGGCATATGTGTGTGTCTAAACTCATCAAACTACATAGTTAAAATGTGTGCATTTTAAATGATAAAGGTTTGAGATTATGAATATGCTAATTACCCAGATCTAATCACCTGCTGTCCTCCCACTGTTCATCACACATATTCTCGATAAAGAAACTATTTTTTTGTAAATAAATAAATAAATAATAAAACATGTGCATTTTATTATACCTAAATTAGACCTTAATACAGTTGATTTTTGAAAAAGAAAGACTGGTTACTGATTAACTTAAGGGTAGAACATATAGACCTCTCAGTACTTTGGTAGAGCTTACAGTTGGGCTGGGAAGGACCTACATTCTAGCTGCATTAGGTACGCTTGATTTGCCCAATTGCATATGAGACATCTTGCCCTCTAATACCTTTTGTTATAGTCAAAGAATGTAGTCTTGAGGATCATTCACTATTGGGAAGATACATTACAAGTCACTGCCACAGCTAAAGAGGAGACTCTCCTTTTTACCCCTAAAATCCTTTGTATTTGGCTATGGAGAAGACCATTAAACATAAGGAGACTTCACTTTAAGGTGTCTCTGGAGCACAGATAAACTGGGGGATAAAATATAAGGAAACAAGTGCCCATAATAGATCCCAGATCACCACCAAAGCAAGGAAGTCTATGGCATCTGAGATAGAGAGAATAAGTGTGGTCTAAAATCCACGACTGCAAGTAGTGTTCAGGGATGAAATATGCCAAGTATAACTTTTGAGGTTGCAATATACATGATAATGCCTTACAACAGTGTTTCCAAGGTTGGGACAAGTACTAGTGCTGGTACATGGAATTACTTTAAGAGTTTTTTTTCTGAGATGAATTGGGATGGCAAACAAACATGATATTACATAACACTGAATCATATTATGATTCCTTCTCTTATTCTCTTAGTTTTTTTGGATTTTGTAAGAAAAAGTCTCCTTTCCTGCTAATATGTCTTTTACACTTCTTCTCTCTTTTAAAAAAGAGAAAATGCAAAATACCTAACTGAAATGCAGGAGCATTGTTTGTTTGTTTACATAGTTATCTTCTATTTAGGGCAAGTACACTGGTTTTTAATTGGTGGTAGTGATATTATATTTTATAAAATAAATGTTTTTCAATTAAAAGGTGGTTAGTTTATTTAAAAAATAGGTAAAAAGTACTTTAGTGGTATACTGATATGATGACATATGAACACCTGAGATTGGATAACATTGCCTTAAAATGTTAATTTGTAAGGAAATATATGTATCTCTGTTATAGATACATCTGTATTGATAATCATTAAATTATTGTTATATTAAAAATCTTAAAGAAATTCAATAGCAGGACTATTTTCACATCATAAACTAGTTTTAAATTCAGAATTACATGTCCCTTAATGTGTCCCAAAGTTTCAGATCCCAGGTTCCTGATAAAGGGCCAGATCAGGATTTTTAGCTTCTTATAAATTGGGATAAAGCACTGTATAATATGACGAAAGGCAGAAATATATCTGAACAATGATGAAGGGTCGAATTCCATTCTGCCTCTATCTCTCTGGGGTGTGCTCTCACTTGAATGTGGGTAGATAAAGAAGATATGCAGAGGATATCCCTGAAAAAAAGATTCTGTCCCCAGAAAAGTTGGCAATCTGCTATTTTTAGTTATGCTCTTTTTCTTCTCAGTATGTATTTCAATGTCTTTTACACATGATCTTAGCCGAAAGGCCAAGAAGCAATCTCAATTTCTTTTTAAAAACTCCATAAAAATTTACATTTGACTTTAGGTTCATTAATCATTTCAAAAATACAATTCACGTGGACAAATTTCTTCAAAATTGTTACGTTATTGTCAATGTTTTGACAATGATGTGCAATTTTTTAAAAACTCAACCTCAGCTAGACTCTAGAGAATTTTACCAGCCAAAATCAAAAAGAGAACTGTAAAACAGATTTTCCTATTTAAAGAAACATAAGACAGTTTGATTCCTACCATTCTTATAGTTTCCCAAGAGTAAAATTAAATTCGGAATGAACAAAGATAAACCCCTTACCTGTTGGAAGGTGCAGTGTTATGTTGTTGCAAAAATCTGTGAAGCAGCATTCGGTTTTGGTAACATTGTTGGAACTATGACAGAAGACTTGAGCATTCAGTTCTGGAAGGGAGACACAGGATTTGATCACCTGCTCTTTTCCATTGGTTAGCATGACTGATGCCCAACATGCTCCTTCTGTTTGGCAGGTGAAGTTTGAAGAATCACACAAAAGACATACACACTTCAGTCCTGGAAAGAGTAAGGCAAAAAGATTTAAAATACAAAAGACATCATGCTACTTTATTTGATAATACCTGGGAATATAAATTCAATCTTAATGAAAATGGAAAAAGGGTTTAAATAAAAACACTTGCTAAACACATGCTAAGCAATTACTCCCTCTCCATCATATATTTCACTAAACATCCTGTCCAATTATCATTTACTTTTGCTAATATTTTTGTGATTTATTCCAGTTGCTACTATATTTAAAGCATTTGCCTCATCCATGCTCTAAATACCCCCATATTAAGTTCAACCAGCTCATTCCTAAATCAATAGCTCCTAGGAAATGCTAGGAAACAGTATCACAGCAACCAAGGGGAGCTGTCCAGCAATACTCATAGAACATTAAAGTGGGGTTATGGCAGCTGTGTAACCAAACAATTCAGTGTGTTCTGTTCATTTGCCCTCCTTCCTTTAAACTTTTAAGCAAATGTGCTAAACGCAAAGCTAACCATAGATATTTATGTCTCTAAAAAAATAGTTGTGACACTTTATATTTATTTTCTGTGACACTTTAACACAATTGTTATTGTCGTAGTTCCTTTGAGGCATTGGTGAGCCACTATATTTCCCCTCCTCACTAAAGAACGTATACTAGAATGAATCATTTGAACAGACACCATGACCTTCAGGTAATTTTCTTTAATGCACACATCTAGTCCATAAAGTAAGGCAAATCAATAATAGAATTTAGAATATCTATACCAATACAACTGTGAAAAATTACACTTTGTTAAACTAATCTGTTCACTGTCTACACCTCCCCAACATTCTCCACTTACTACACACACACACACACACACACACACACACAAACACATTCACCACTAACTCACATGTCCAAAGTGGTGCCTATTTATGTTTTGATGTAAAACATTCGTCAGCATGAAGCGCCTAGTGGTTGAGTTATTTATTCAAATTTCATTTAAATATATTGTTTCTAAATAGTATAATACTAAATAAGCTTTGTATTATTGTTTTAAAATTCTTTAAATTTCAATAGCTTTAGGAGTACAAGTTGTTTTGGGTTACATGGGTGAACTGTATAATGGTGAAGTCTCAGCTTTCAGTGTACCCATCACCCAAATGGTGTACATTGTACTCAATAGATAATTTTTCATTCCTAACCTCCCTCCCACCCTCCCCCACCTCCTGAGTCTCCAATATCCTTTACGTCTCTCTGTATGCCTTTGCATACTCATAGCTTAGCTCCCTTTTATTAGTGAAGACATGCAGTATTTTATTTTCTGTTTTCGAGTTACTTCACTTAGGATAATGGCCTCCAGTTCCATCAGAAGTCGCTGCAAGAGACTATTTCATTCTTTTTTATGGCTGAGTTGTATTCTATGATATATATGCCACACATATATACACAAATACATACACAAACACACCATATATATATATATATATATATATATATATACGTGTGTGTGTATATATATATATGTACATGCTCATACACACACACCACATTTTGTATTCATTTTTTGTATTCATTTATCGGTTGATGGGCACTTAAATTGATGCCATATCTTTGCAATTGTGAACTGTGCTGAAATAAACATACACCTGCAGGTATCTTTTTGACACCCAATTGTGGGATTGCTGGATCAAATGGTAGTTCCATATTTAGTTCTTTGAGAACTCTCCATACTGTTTTCCATAGACACTGTAATAATTTAAGTTCCCATCAGCAGGGTATAAGCATTTGCTTTTCACCATATCCACACCAAACATCTATTGTTTTTTGACTTTTTAATGGTGACTATTCTGGCTGGGGTAAGCTGGTATCACACTGTGATTTTAATTTGCATTTCCCTGCTGATTAGTGATGTTGAACATTTTTTCACATATTTGTTAGCCATTTGTATGTCTTCTTTTGAGAAGTGTTTGTTCGTGTCATTTGCCCACTTTTTAATGGGATTATTTGCTTTTCTCTTGCTGATTCTCTTGAGTTCCTTGTAGATTCTGGATATATCCTTTTTTGGATGTATACTTTGCAAATATTTTCTCCCATTCTGTAGGTTATCTGTTTATTCTGTTAATTATTTCTTTGGTTGTGCAGAGATATAGATGACACAAACAAATGGAAAAACATCCCATGCTCATAGATTGGAAGAATCAATATTGTGAAAATGACCATGCTGCTCAAAGCAATCTACAGATTCAGTGCAATTCCTATCAAAATACAACATTTTTCACAGAATTAGAAAAAATATCCTAAAATTTTTATGGAATCAAAAAAGAATCTGAATAGCCAAAGTAATCCTAAGCAAAAAGCACAAATCTGGAGGCATCACATTACCCAACTTCAAATTATACTATAAATATAGGGCTACAGTAACCAAAACGGCATGGTACTGGTATAAAAGTAGACACATAGACCAATGA
Source organism: Homo sapiens (assembly GCF_000001405.40). NCBI lineage: Eukaryota > Metazoa > Chordata > Mammalia > Primates > Hominidae > Homo > Homo sapiens. The sequence continues at coordinate 157,589,848 of NC_000002.12, forward strand.
AACAGATTAGAGAATCCAGAAATAAAGCTACATACTTACAACCAACTGATCTCCGACAAAGCACACAAAAACTGACACTGGGGAAAGGATACTCTATTCAATAAATGGTTCTTGGAAAAGTGGATAGCTACACATAGAAAAATGAAACTGGATCCCCCTCTCACATTATACAAAAATCAACTCAAGAGGAATTAAAGACTTAACTCAAAGCCCTAAAACCAGAAAAATTCTAGAAGAAAACCTACAAACTATTCTCAACATTCTCTAGGTAAAAAATTTATGACTAAGACCCCAAAAGCAAATGCAACAAAAACAAAAATAAATAAATGTATTATTAATGTAATGAACTTTTCGTTAAATCACAACTGCCCTCCCATAACTATCTAAATGTTCAACTTTTTACCATATAATCTTTGTTAGTAAAACTAAAGTCTTTAAATTGCTAATCACTCAAATTGGAGTTGCTTTTGTAGTACTTATAAAATATTTGATACACAAATGACAACTTTTACTTAACTTCAAATACCGATATGGGAGCAAAAATGGGTACTATTCCTATATAACTGAATATTTAAGAAAGAACAAATTCTATATCAATCATATAGAAATTATTCTCTTCTATCAATAATTTTTCTTAACTGATGAAGCATCATTTCTAGAAACATTTTTATTACTGGTATCCTAAGGGAAATACAATCCTAAAATAAAATACTGTTTTGTTATCAACATTGAACCAAGCATAACAGCTCACTTTCCTATTTATTCTAGTGGTGACCAACATTAATAAATATACTTTTTCATCAATATTTATGTGATACAGAAGAACCATATATTCTAACTTGATTGGGATTCTATAGAGCCATATAGATAAAATCTAGTGCTTTAGAACATGTTTCAAGGCACTTTCCTTGCAAAAAGAGAAGTCATATCATGGGCAAGCATTCATCTAGGTTTCTACTGACAATGAAATCTTTCTAGTATTCTCCAGTTCCAATCTTACAAATCTGATTATACTAGCTTTGTAATCTTAGGCATTACTTTGTCTCCTGTACCTCCATTTTCTTATATGAAAGGCAGGACTAATAATAATATATCTCCTCATAGTGTTGTGGAGAATAAATTAGTTAACCTATATAAAGCCCTTAGACCAATGTCTGGCACATAGGAAATACTATATAAAGACTTAGGGACTATCTCTCCTACTACCGAAGCGGGTAAAGTCAGTTGTCTTATGCAAACAAGCGAAACAATCAAAATATATTTGTAATCCATAAAGGAATAGCCAAATGAACTAGGGTGCAGAGACCATTTAAAAGGCATAATAAAGAAATGCATCTCTTTCCGCTCTGTCAAGAGTGATTTGACTGCTCTCCTTTTTTTAATGACCCAGACTAGATTCTAGACGGTCACACAGCAGGTAGTATCTGGTGATGGTCCAGCCAAAGAATTTGGGAAAAGACAAAGGTCTCAGCCCTCACTCTGTCACTAACTTGCTGATTGACTTTGGAGAAGACATTTAACCTTACAGAGCCTCAGTGTTGTCCTCTGAAAATAGAAAATGAACAGCATAGGGAAAGTGGGTCCAAAAATCTTAAACTCTTACATAACACCAATATTTTATGACCCTACTTATTTACACCTTATGGAAATCTACAATTACAAAATAGGAAAACTCATTTAATGTTAAGAAACTTGCTGCACTATGGTTATTCTTCACTTGCATATTTTAAGGGGCTAAAGGCAGGAAAAAGAGTAACTCTTCTGACACACAATCTCAAACCATTTGTCACTAGACATTTCATCAGAATCTCCTTGGACGCTCTATTTCCAAGAAAAGCTTAGCAACTGACACAACTAACTAAGGAATATGAATCCACAGAGTGAAGACAATCATAAAGCACTCAACAATTAAATATATGTTAGTTTCACATGCATTCGTCATCTCATATAATCCCACTGCAACTGTGGGAGTTAGTTGTCACTATCTCCATTTCATACATAACAAAATGAGGCTCAAAAAGACAAAGTGACTGACTTACGTAACAGTCTCTGGACTACTCAAGCAATGGTACCTTTCATGACTAAGGTGCCATAAAGAAATGGGTAGGTGAACAATTCTCCCACCCCACAAATTTCTAGCAATTGTGAATAAAATAGAATTCTAATACAGCAGAAAGAAGCTGATAACTAATTAACAATTGAAAACTAGGATTCTGATCTGTATTATTCTAATAGCCTTTAAAACACAGTTGGTATTTTTGAAACAAATTCTACCTACCTATTTTCTGAGGGGACATGCAGTCAAATAAAATTCAATATCATGTGCCTTGCATCTAAAATAAACAATCTCACCTTACAGCTTTATCTAAATTCTGTATTAAGTAAGGCTCTGAGTACATAATCTGATACTTTCTCTTTGAAGCACTACTGGCTCCTTATAAAAATGATTACATAATAGTTCTTACCAAGGATTTATGCGGATACTCACTGAATGTTTCACAAGCTATAAAAATTTATCCTGGTTAAAAGTAAAAGTTACAAATCTTAAGAATAATATAGACATAGGTGATATAGTTAAGACAGAAAGTGACACCTTACTTTAAATCTTGCACGATGAAAAACACTGGCAAAATTGAGGATTTGTTAATGATAATGGCTTCAAACATCTGCTACATGTTCCCATTTATTCCAGTTCAACTGGCAGTATGATAGGACTGACAGCGAACAAACAGCAAACTAAATAGGACCTAAGATGAATAAGTAACATACGACATACTCAGCCTCTCATATTTCATTTCCCACCAGTCCACTATATCACTGCATTTGACATATAATTCAACTATATTTATATTAATCATCCTCAACATAGAACCTTTGTGCTGCCAATTACAATATAAGTTGCCATTAGTGATTAGACATGATTTCATATTTTGTCTCTTTCAAAAAAAACTGATGTTCATTGAGTCAATTATACTACAATATTCTGTGACAGAACAAATCTGGTTGTTAGTAGGCAGTAGTCTTGTCTCATGTTTATTTTATACTTTCCCATTACAATGTATTTGAGTCCTATGGAAAGGGACAGCAAATGAGGTTGAAGAAGGAAAACAATTACCCATAATAAGGAGGTTTATTAGATTTTTCACCACAAGGAAGATTGTACTTTGCTTTTGTCTCCTCCTACCCCTTTAATTATCCCCTTTTATCCACTCTTTGCCAATTCGTCTCTAAAAGGCAAGACATCTGTTACCCACAAGACATCTGTTACCCACATCAACTAAAGGATGTGCACATTCCTAACCAACCAGAAAATAAATATTCATCCATATTTACATGTGATGGCTAGCACACCCTGGTGTCCAGAAATATAAAAACCATCTGACTACAAAAAAGAACCAAATTTGTTGATCCGCATTTATGTGCTATTCTTATTAGAAAGCCAAATATTTATTTGGCAAATATTAGGTGTTTTGAATTAGACAGTATTCTCAATATGTTGGTTACATATTACTACGTTTCCTTTGTTTGGAGTCTATATGCTAAAATTAACCAGTGCTTAACATAAACATCTGACATAAACTCTTTCTTCTTTTCCAGACATTAGTTTATTCAATTTCTCTAGTTTTAGACCAGGCTATGAAACACAAAATATTTTTTTAATTCAGAAAACTGTCTCAGATTTGACCTGCTGAATATGTAATCTTTTCATCATTTGCAGGCTTCTGAGTTAACAAAGGGAACAATTCAAGCTTTTCAGTGTGCTGAATATGAAAAGTACAGCAGCAGGAAAGAAGCCAGGAAAACTAGCACTAGCAAATCTGAAGGAAAGCCAGACAGGGTCAAAGGAAATCGGGCAAAGATCTAGCTTCCTTTTCTATTCCTTGTCAAAATTTTATTTTCTTGTCATGTGGTCATTTCAAAGCATTTGCCTTTCTTAACAGTAAGGAAAAACAGAAAAAAGAAAGAAAGAAAGTAGCATTAATAAAATATGGGCAATATAAATGCAAACTTTTTTGGCCAAATGAGCTTTCAATAAAGATTCAGCTGGTAGAAATACTACTTCTCAGGCTGCAACCAAAAAAATTCAGAACTCCACAAATAAGGGAAAACATCCATCACAAAGAAAAACTGTTCCTTTGCACAAAGTAGCAATTACGTTCCCTGTTAAAGAAGGCCTCACCCTTAGAGCTGAGAAGGAATGAAACCACCCTACCAACAGAGATTCTGTCCAGGAGAACTGCTTAAACTTCCAGCTGTAGGGCTCAATTTAGTTAGAATTCAGCATATTGTAAATTATTAGTACTAACCATTTGGAATTTTCTCAGTCCAAAGGCAACACTGACTGACACTGGAGGTTTTAGTTCACCTGACCACCAGCCACCTGAGACTTTAGACATGTTCCCCAATCTCTCCAGATCTTATCTTCCTCACCTGTAAAATGAGGAGGTCAAGAAGCAGGCTAGAAGACTTCTAAAGACCCCTCCAGGTCTATAGTCCTCTGCTACTCTGAACTTGTGTCACAATTCTCAATATAAGTGACTTAAGGATTACCTATGATAGATGAAAAGAGAGAATTGGTGTTGGGTATGTGAACAGGATAGGTCTGTGCCCCCAAATTCACACCCTGCTATTTCAGTGGGTGAGAGAATTCTACTGGTTTATAAATCAACAAAACATCTCTAATTAATATTAAAAATTGTTTATCCTGTACTATATGTATTACATGATAATTGAATGTTCTTTCCAATATCAGCATGAAATTTGGGGGCGATGGGGGAAAAGTGATAGAGGCCTGAAAATGTTCATAGCCTCTCTGAGTTATGTGAGACATCCAGAGACTGTTGATGAGTCCCTCAATCTTAGTGTCCACAGGATTACAGAAATAGTATGCAAGACCAAAAGCGACTCAAAATAGCACCACACTTCAGCAATCTGAATAGTCTACATTCTACTAAGTAGATATTAAAATGTTTCCCAATAATATTTCAATGGCTGACAGCAATTAGAGCTTAAAACTGGCTAGAAGAGTGTTATTTATTTACTTACTGCCTCAAAATTTTGAATACATATGGAAAGGACACGTATGATGGCACAATGTCATAAAGCTTTTAGTGCAATTTAAAAACTTAACAGGAAAATTTCTCAGTTTAGCATTTCTGCTTATCAGCGTGGTGATTAACTGAAATTTTCACCTTTCAAAGAAAGCTTTTTCCAGAAATACCATGAATAACCTTAGCTGCTAAGCTCCTCCAGTGTGGGACAATTATTAATCAACCATAAAGGGATACAACATAATCAAAATGGTTCACGACAAAATTATTTGTGTGGATTCTCTTAAAACATCCCTTTGAAAGGATGAAAATGCAGGATTCTTAGATAGGAAGATGGCAGTCTTCTCCTTCCTGCCTTTGGAAGGCAAGGCATGAGTGGGCAACAGGCTAGCAGGGGTAGCAGTTGGTGATAACCGCTCTTGGGTACATAGCAGTGTCTCCAAGGCTGAATCTTTGTTTCCTTAGGGAGGATACAGACTACCTGGAGTCCTCTGGCCCAGTTTAGACTTTGCAGCCATGTAGGGGGAAAAAACAGACCCTATTTGAAGTGTCAAAGAAAAGAGTATTCCCAATCACAGGACACATTTCCTCTGCTAATCACATATAATCCTTAATTTGAAAGGTTATTTTCTTACCCTGGCAGCCTAAATGGTTCCACATCAAACTGTTCCCCAGTAATTGGGGTTTCTTAATCTATTGTCTCCTGCTTAGGAGAATATTGGTGTTTAATGGATTCCAATTACATTTAGAATAAAGCAAAATCCACAATCATTATCATGACCTGATAGGCTAATAGTCTGGGTTCTTCCCACTCCTCCAACCTCATCTCTCATAACTCAGCCTTCCGGAGCACTGGTCTCCTTTTCACAGCTGTGATATAACAAGTTTCCCACCTCATGGCCTTTGCTCTTCTTGTTCCCTTTGCCTGTAGTATTCTCCCCTTTCTTCTCATTCTCCAGGTCTCAGCTCAAATGTCACCCCCTCAGAGAAATCTTCAGTGACTCCCCTTGCTCAAGGATCTGCTCCCCATCCTTCCTGCTATGTATCACAATCTGTAATTCGCTTTTTAATTGTATTAGACCCACTAGAATGAAAACTTCATGAGGGCAGGGCCCTTCTCCTGTTTTATCTACCATCACATCCCAACGTTTAGAATAGGGTCTGTCAGTGCGGTAAAATCCAATAAAGATGTACTGAATTACAAATTGTAGAAAACTGCAAAGTACAGAAGAAATTTTTGTCCATGCTATTTATCTCTTGGATGAATTTTAAAGTTTCTTCTCAATTTGAAAGAGGTTTTTATAAAGATATAGAATAGAACAGAATAGAATAGAAATAGATATAGAAATCCTTTGTCATATGTGTTACATATAGCTTTTCCCACTTTCATATTTATTTGCTTTTTTCCTAACACATTACCTTCATTATTTGGGGGGTGGGGGGCAGAACGATACTTGCCCCTTGACAAAAAGAAGTCAAGTAATACACATAAAGAAGGAAGTAAAATAAAATACATCACTCCTAATCCCATAACCCCCGAACCACTAATGTATACAACTTCTCCAAATATTACTCCGTGGAGTTTTACACTAGATATGCATAGTGATGTTCTCATTAAAATCCAATAACATGATAGACATAAACTGTGTCTATCAATATTTTACTCTGCAATTTATTTTGCTTTAAAGCTTAGAAAATCTCCCATCCAGATATTTTCTAAATAGTCAATATTTTCTTCCAATTTATGATTTGTTTTTTAGACACTTAAATATATATGCAATTTTGATATGGATCATCCAATTCATAGCTAATATACAAATCTCCTTGACAGTAGTAAATGAATTACTTTATGGCAAGTCTTTAGATAAGTTTTTAAGATCATTATTTAAAGAGTACTTTACTACATGCCAAACTCTTTGGCAAAGAGTCAAGGCAGGGAGGGAGGGAGAGAGGAGAGAGAAAAGACATGCACTAAAGGAACTTGGCCTTGTAGGTTAAAGGATGTTAGGACAGTGTGGTAAACTGAGTCAGGGACACATGTAGGAGCTGTGAGCTGCGTTGGGACACAGAGGTGGAGCACTACTGAATCCGGCTGGGGCTGCGGGTAAGGGACGGGGCAGGGGCGGGAAGGTTTCTTGGAGGTGAATCTTGAGAAGCACACCTGTTCAGCCTTCCTGCCGTTCGGAGGACGAGTCCCAGCCCATCCTCTCAGTAGTCCTCCAAGACGGTCCAGACAGCACCCACCAGCCTGAGGAAACCGCGGCAGTCCTCCCTCACCAGGCAGTGTGGAAATACCTCCTGCTGCGACGCGGCCCTGCATGTGCATTAACCTGCCCCCACTTTGTCAACGGGTTTGGTAACACTCACTGCCCTGATGGAACTCCATTCCCGGTCCCCAGCGCGCTCCCCACCCCAAAAAGGACCTTGGCACCCCGGCCCGCCCCCGGGGAGCTCCCCTTGCCTGGACTTGCAGGTTGGAGCTCGGAGCCCTCCCCCAGAGCAGCGGCCAGGAGCTTCCGCCTCCCCTTCGCCTGATGAATTTGCGAAGGGACACCCTGCGGTCGCCGGGATGCCCCAGCTTTCCGCTGGACCTTGGCGCAGTGAATTCGGCCCCGACGACAGCTCCCGCGGGGCTCGGCCACCTGCCCGACGGCAGCGCAACCCCCAGGAGACGTTCTCCGACGGCTTCCCGGCGCACCCGGGTACCATCTAGTGGCAGCAGAAGCAGGAGGCAGGCTATTTTTTACAGAATGACCTCCACTCCGGATTAGCATTTCTCAAGCATTTTTAAAACCTGTGTGTCTTTAAAATAATCATAAAATGTCGCACTCTCGATTTTCTGTTATTTGAAATTTTAAAATAAAATGCCTTGTCTAGAAGCAAATCAATGCAGTGATGATTTGATGACGCTTTTTCATTTGGAAATAGTGGCCCTCCACTCGTGAACGCCCTTAAAGATCACCATTCTAGCCCGGGAGGATTTGCTAGACCGGTATTTATTGAGAGAAATCTCTTATTTGAACCAAAAGATTCCACCTATCCAAATATTGCCAGTGAAGTCTTTCTAAATTGTAAGAAGAAATGAGAAACTGATAATTAAGCCCCTAATGTGTATTATAATTTGCATATTCACATAGGTCCTATTGGTCTTATAGCTGTTATATTTATGCTCACATAAAATCATACCTGATAATGGTGGTTACCAGATTTGGAAATTTCACTGACCAGTAAAATTTCAAAAATAATTTGGGGACCCAACCAAGGGTTACACCAAATTTTTGTGTTGTCAAGGAAGAACATTGAAAAAAAAAAAAAAAGCATCCTCTATTACTATGATTTCAAAAAAGAAGTCAATTCACATGATTTAATCATTTCATACTGTATACATATCAAAACAACACATTATACCTCATAAATATATACAATTATGATTTGTTAATTAAAATATTTATTAAAAGAATAAAAATAAAATAGCTCACATTAAAAAAAGAAAAAAGAGCATTATACTACCAATCAAGAAAGTAAAGACATAAATCCCAGAATTAAGGTCTGACTTTACCAAAATCAAGGCTATCTTTTAAAAATTTCAAATGTGGATAAACATAATTGTATTTTATAATGTTACATTTATTTTCTTTTAATAGTTTTTTTTTTTTTTTGAGATGGAGTCTCACTCTGTCACCCAGGCTGGAGTGTAGTGGCACAACCTCGGCTCACTGCAATCCCCACCTCCTGGTTTCAAGTGATTCTCCTGCCTCAGCCTTCCGAGTAGCTGGGATTACAGGCGCTCACCACCCACCAGGCTAATTTTGTATTTTTAGTAGAGGCAGGGTTTCCACCATGTTGGCCAGGCTGGTCTTGAACTCCTGACCTCAAATGATCCACCCATCTCGGCCTCCCAAAGTGCTGGGGCTACAGGCGTGAGTCACCTGCCCAGCTTTAACAGTCTTTTTCTAATACAAATTATTAATCTGGGGGTTGACTGCATCAGAAAGTGGAGCTGAGTGTCCAAGCTGTTATTATTCCAACCTATTGTGTTAACAATGAACGGCCATACTCCACATGGAAATGTTGTCTCAAGTGGAAGGGGCAATTTTCTGTAGTGCTATTTTTACTCAATATGGAATATTCTGGAAACTGAAAAAAGCTGAATAGGCCGGTCGCGGTGGCTCAGGCCTGTAATACCAGCACTTTGGGAGGACGAGGCAGGCGGATCACGAAGTCAGGAGATTAAGACCATCCTGGCTAACACAGTGAAACCCCGTCTCCACTAAAAATACCAAAAATTAGCCAGGCGTGGTGGCGGGCGCCTACAGTCCCAGGTACTCTGGAGGCTGAGGCAGGAGAATGGCGTGAACCCGAGAGGGGGAGCTCGCAGTGGGCCAAGATGGCGCCACTGCACTACAGCCTGGGCTCAAAAAAAAAAAAAAAAAAAAAAAAAAAAAAAAAAAAAAGGCTGAATAATAATAGCCACCCACTCCAAGCTACAGAGAAAGCTAATAATGGCAGACCAGGTGTCTAGCTAACAAGGGACATCTCTGCCCACGGAACAGGGCTGTTGAGCTTTCCCGGCTCAACAAGCTCACTCTAGATAAGATGTTCACCTGCCAGAAATTCACTTGGCAATGCCTCCATCAGTACTGGAGCACAAATCTTAACACTGTATTTGATCAGCCTGCACACTTTGGTCTATTTTATAGGACTTGGAAGATAGTATGCGTTTTTTGAATTAGTACAGTCTTGGGTTCAATATATTGTTTGTCAAATCTATGATTTCCTTGATGATTAACTCTGGATCAAGAATACACCATACACTTTAAATATTGTTTCCATAGGAAATGATTACCAATTATAATCAACTCCTGAAGGATACTATTTCCAGCAATATCTTGCAGTGATAAGCAGGGATTACTACTCTGTAGCATGGAGAGGTGAACCTGTGTAAAGAAAAAACACCACAGGATCCCTAATCCAGTCCAGGGCATTTAGGGAACAAGTTAGGAGACTTGGGGTTCTAATCCTAGTTCTAGTAATATGGCCTCTGGGCCTCATGTGTTCAACTGATCTGTTTAAGAAAGAATTCAATTAGATGATCTCTAATGTGCCTTTCAGTTGTAACGTTCTATAACCCCAAAAGCAGAAGGCATCAATGGCCACCATCCAGTATCAGAAAGAGCAATAGGAGTGACAGCATACCCAGAAAACCAAGTTGTTGCCCTAGAATCACAGTTGAGGAAGAAAACTGTTCAGGAGAATCATGTATTCTTATAAAGACTGACATGAATAATCAGAGTTCATATTTTGGAGGTCTGTTAAGTCACTGAAATCTAGTTTTGTGTTTTCAGTCTCTATTAAAGTAGAGAAGATAGCAACCAAATGAGAAAAGAGCAGAGTTCAGTGATGAAAGGAGGACATGGCATACTCAATCTATTTGGGAAATATGCCATGAAATACAAAAAATTAACGACAAAAAACATTAAGTTCCAAACTAAAAGCTAAGAAAGCTCTGACTTGTTAAAAGGAAACAATTAAAAGTAACCAGTAAGTAATAAACAATTAATAGTCATATTACACAGTTACAAGATTGAAGAGATAGAAAAAGACAGAACTATCTGTCTCAAGTTTAGAATGAAAGTAGCAAAGAAAATTGAAAAGGTAAAGTCCTCAAGGGTTCTCAGGGGCTCACTTGTCAGAAATTTTTACCACAATCCACAGTTACATATTTACATATGATCAGATATGATAAAGAATAGATAATTCTCAATGTAGAAATAAAAGGAAACTATCCTAAATAAGAAGCTGATCTAGCTAAAAATAGAGTGGCAAGTTCAGAGTTGAAAAGGGAAGAGAAGGACAAGTGATTTGGAAGGATCTTTTTGTTTTATTAAGGCCGATCCTAGCTGAGCATCTTTCCAACACTGACCATGAGGCTCAAAAGTTTACCCTGGATACTATGAGGAATTCATATATTGTGCAAACATAAAAAGGGCGCATCACCTACCCCTCCCTTCAAAGAATATGGGTGGGAAAGGGAGCTGATGAATGGGGAGCACATTTTTAAAATCCATAATGCTTTTTAAAAATATAGTTCTTAGACTTCTAGGAATTGTCATAAGTATTTCAGAAGGTAGGTTACCGGCCGGCTGCGGTAGCTTGCACATGTAATTCCAGCACTTTGGGAGGCTGAGGCAGGTGGATCACTTGAGGTCAGGAGTTCGAGACCAGCCTAGCCAACATGTTAAAACCCCATCTCTACTAAAAATACAAAATTAGCCAGGCTTGGTGGCAGGCTCCTGTAATCACAGCTACTCAGGAGGCTGAGGCATGAGAATCACTTGAACCCGGGAGGCGGAGGTTGCAGTGAGCTGAGATTGCACCACTGCTCTCCAGCCTGGGTGATAAAAAAAGACAGTCTCAAAAAATAAAAATAAAAATAAAAAAAATAAAAAAGAAGGTAGGTTACCTGGCTTCTCCTGGTTCCTTTTATCTATCAAGATACTGTTAAGTAAAATAACTGCCTGTTTCTTTTTTGCAGCTGCCCAAATATATTTCAAGACATAAAAGTATAAAAGTGAGGAAACATAAGAAAGAAGTTATAGGACCTCCAAAAAGTCTCAAAGAATTCATATTAGCCAGAACGAAAGGAAAGTCTAAGGTAGGTCATCTGAGTCTTGCTGCTTCTTTGATAGTGATATAAAACAAAACAAAACAAAAAACTATAGCAAAGAAACAAACGAAAACCTTGTTTGTAGCTGCGTCTGAGTTTAACATTGTTGGAATTCAGCAAGGTGCAGTAAAAAAGATCCTGCACTTTGGAAGATGCGTATCTGTAGTTCTAATCCTGAGCCACCTCTAACCCTGCTGTGCAGCCTGAGAGGTTACCACACCTCTCTAAATCTGTCCATGCACTGATGAAGTAGGGATAATAATTCCTATCTCACAGGATTAGTATGAAAATTTTAAAAAGAGATATTCTAGATAACACATTTAACACACCACAGATGTTAAAAGAAAAAGAAAAAAAAGAACACCCGAAAATTAAGCTCCTGCTATTACAAGTTATGGGCTATTCAGAGCTCAACATTTAAGGCACAAACCACACTCCTTAAAAATAACTTTCAGTGTTTCTCACAACTTTCTGGTTCTGATTAACGTTTCCCTTGGTAGTGACACTGCCACACTAAGGTGATAAAATCAGCAGCTCCAAATCAAGATAGACATTTTCGTTAAAATAAAAAAAAAATTGACATCTGTACATAACGAAGGGGTAGATGTAACTGGAACATTAACTCACATATTGGTTACCACACTAATTTTTCCCTTTCAATCAATTATTTCTTGGGCCCAATAATTTCAACAGAAAAATGAACAAAGTAGATGAACAGAGAAAGAAAAGCTATCAATAAACATGAAAAATTTAAGTCTCACTAATAATCAAAACAGAAAATTAATGCAAAGACATAACTTTCATTTGCCAAATTGGAAATGATTCTGTAAGTTATAACATGCAGAAATGGTTAGGGGGTTGGTCAATGAAATTTCATCTTCATACACAGTTGGCAGAGTATAAGTTGGTACAAACTTTTAGATGTACAATCTGAAACGTTTATCTCAAGTCCTAAAAATATTTATGACATTTGTGGTTGTATTTCTACTTCTACATGAAATAAACACAAAAGTTTCTTTAAAACTTCCATTAGAGTTATTATTCACAAAAGTAAAAAACAGAAATAGACTAAACACCCCCAAATCAAGTAATATCCTCCTTTTTAGTAATATTTATTTAGGTTGGAACTTGTTCACTATAAATATGAAAAGTAAAATAATTAAACATACAGGATATGAGCTCAATTTTTATATATGCATTGAAATAAATAGAATGAAACACATTCAAATATTAATAGTTGTTATCTCTGAGGTATGGGAATAAAGATGATTTTTACATTTTTCAACACTTTTCCCTAATTTCCTATAAAGAATATATTAATATGCTGTAATCAGGGATGAATATTAATTTGTTAAAGTCATTTCTTGTTCCGTCAAAGTATTTAGTTCACAGGGAGTAGCTAAACATATCACAAAGACATCTTCAGTCAGCTTTTCAGCAAAGGCCTCTAAAATAATCCTGATGGTGGGGTCTGGGTAAACACCCACAGGTTTGACTGCCATACTACACCATAGCTACAGCAAATCTGTTTTCAAGTCCAAAAATTGGAATTTGTGGTCTGAAATAGGCTAGCATACTTGAAAGCAGGGCTGTCCCTGAAAATTCAGATACATCATCATCATAAAATGACTCCTACGCTACATGGAAACTTACCTGATCTCTGGGACATAAATAAGACTAGCCTAGCTTGATGATCTTTCCATAACTTTTCCTCTTACCTTTTAATTGTTGAGACAGGGTTACAACAGACACAGTGACTATCCCTGACTGGAGAAGATAATCAAGAAAATGCTGACTGCCCACTATGTGCATGGCACTGTACTCAACAAGGGGTACCTCTAATCTGACTCAGCAAAATAGGTTTGTTAACACATTAATGATCCTCTGTAGAGACTGCAGATGCAAGCAAAATTCTCCATAAGCAAGCTTAATTCTATAGTAAAGCAAGAAAAGGAGCCCAAGTAGCCCATAAGTGTTCTCCTGTAGGTGATAAATGACCTTTCAAGTCCAACCAAGTGCTTTCACCTAAAAGAACAGGTGAGCAAATGCTGCATTTACAATGAGCTTTATCTGTGTACAGATAATGTCCCTGACTGCAATTTCCTTTGCTAAGAGAAGAAATCACTATTCCATGTTAACAAATTAAACATAACCTAATTTATCCTAATTTGATTTCATTTCTATCTACTTAATACCATTTTGCAGAATGAAGATTACACAGACAAAACACATTTTAATATGTACAGAAATTCCTTACTTTCAAAGAAGTTATAAAACATGGGTAAATTTTAATTATTTGTAATTTTAAAATATGTCTATTGAATTAATGTTATAACTGCATATGGCAAAAAAATAGTACAGGAAGAATTTAAAAGAAAAGCATCCATCTGGTGACCCACATCTCCCCACTCTCACTTCCCAGAGGTACCCACGTTTAACTATTGTTGTTATTCTTTGGGACATTATGTTAGGACATTAATTCTAAAAATATACCTGATTAACCAATTTGAAACATAATCTGCTGATTTCCTGATCTGTATGACTTCTTAGTTTATCTATAGGATCTCCAATTTGGGGAGGAGAGCCAGGTTTATTGAGATGTAATTTACATATAGAAATTATTACAGTAACTATTTTAGTGTAGTTGTATGAGTTTTGACAACTACAATTCCATAATCCCTCCTGCCAAACTTATACTACTTTTTAGACATTTTCTCTCTCTGTCCCAACTGCTGGCAAGCAGTGATATTTTCTTTTCCTATACTTTTGCCTTCTTCAGAATGTCAAACGAATGCAGTCTTTTGAGTCTGGCTTTTGCATTTGGTTTAAGGTATTTGAGATTTATTCACCATGTTGCACACATCAGGAGCTTTTTTGAATGCATATACAACCATTTGTTTATCCATTCATCAGTTAAAGGACATTTGGTTTTTTCCCATTTTTCTGGATTAGAAATAAATCTGTAATAAACATTAATATACTGTTTTTAGGTAAAGTAAGTTTTATTTCTCTTTGCTAAATATCTAGGAGTGGGATTACTATTTTGTATAGAAGGTGTACATTTAACTTTACATAGAATTGCCAAAGTGTTTTCCAAAGGGCTTGTATCATTTTACATTTCCACCAGTAATGTATGAGAGTTCCAGTTACTTACATATTTTGTCCACTTCTTACTGAGTTGTTTCCTTAATATTGAGTTCTGAGTATTCATTATATTTTTTGGATACAAGTGCTTTATAAGATATGTGTTTTGCAAACATTATTTCCTGGCCTGCATCTTGTCTTCTCATTCTCTTAACAGCATCTTTCAAGGAACAGAAGTTTGTAATTTTGATGAAGTCTAATTTATTCAATATTTTTCTTTTACAGATCATGCTTTTAGTACCCTCATCTAAGAAATGTTGCCTAACCTAAGATCAAAATGTTTTCTTCTCTGTTTTCTTTTAGAAGTTTTTATAGTTTTAGATTTTATTCTTAGGTCCATTTTAGTTAATACTTGTAAACATGCAAGAGATTTTGATGTTCTTATTTATTTATTTTTGCTTATGAATGTACCCATGTAATTTGTTGAAAAGGCTATTCTTTCTCCATTAAATTGCCTTTATAATTTTGTCAAAAAAATCAATTGACATATATATATATATGGGTCTATTTCTGGTTATTCTATTCTGTTGATCAATGTGCCTCTCCTTTTGTCAATACCACACTGTCTTAATTATTGTAGATTTATAATGAATCTTGAAATAGGTACTACGAGCATTCCAACTTTGTTCTTGTTTTTCAAAATTGACTTGGGTATTCTCATTCCTTTGCCTTTCCCTATAAATTTTAGAATCACCTTGGTGAATTCTACGTAAATTCCTGCTGAGATTTTGACTGAAACTTTGCAATCTATAGACCAATTTGGAGAAAATTAATAAACTGACAACACTGAGCAATTGATTCTGTGAATATAGTACAATACGTCCTCAATATCTGTAGGGAATTTGTTCCATGACTCCTGAGGATATCGAAATCCATGGATGTGCAAGTCTCCTATATAAAATGGCATAATATTTGCTTATAACCTATGGACATCCTCCCCTATACTTCATTTTACTTTTACTTAAATATTTATTGACACATAAGGTCTTATTTATGAGGTACATATCAGGGTTTGTTACACGCATAGAATGTATAATAGTCAAGTCAGGGTATCTATCACCTTGAGATTTATCATTTCTATGTGTTGGTAACATTTCAAGTCCCCTCTTCTAGTTACTTTGAAATATACAATATATTGTTGGAAAGTACAGTGCCCCTAATCTGCTATCAAACATTAGAACTTATTTCTTCTAAATAATTATATGTTTGCACCCATTAACAAACCCCTCTTCAGCACCCCCTCCCTCTTTCCCTCCTTCCCAGCTTTTGGTATCTATCATTCTATTCTCTATGTTCATGAGAGCAAGTTTTTTAACTCCCACATATGAATGAGAACATATGGTATCTGTCTTTCTGTACTTGGCTTATTGCACTTGACAAAATGACCTCCAGTTCCATCATGTTGCTGCAAATAACATGGTTACATTCTGTTTTATGGCTGAACAATATTCCATCATGTATATATATATCACATTTTCTTTATCCATTCATCCACTGATGGACACTTAGGCTGAATCCACAATGCAGATTTTGAGTAGTGCTGTGATAAACATGTGAGTGCAGGTATCCCTTTGATATACTGATTTATTTCCTTTGGATAAATACCCAGTAGTGGGATTGCTGGATTGAATGGTAGTTCTAATTTTAGTTTTTTAAGGAATCTCCATATTGTTTTCCATAGTGATTGTACTAGTTTACATTCCCACCCACAGTGTATAAGAGTTCACTTTTCTGTGGACACTTTGCCAGCATCTGTTGTTTTTGTCTTTTTACTAATAGCCTTTCTAACTGGGATGAGATGATATCTCATGGTGGTTTTGATTTGCATTTCCCTGATGATTAGTGATGTTCAGCATTTTTTTCATACACCTGTTGGCCATTTGTATGTCTTCTTTTGAGAAATGTCTATTCATAATCTTTCCCCATTTTTAATAGGATTGTTTGTTTGTTTGTTTGTTTTTACTGTTGAGTTTTGGTTCATTTAATATTCTGGATATTAGTCCCCTGTCAAATAAGAAATGTATTAATATTCTCTTTCATTCAACAGGTTGTCTCTTCACTCTGTTGATTGTTTCTTTTGCTATACAGAAACTTTTTTTAGTTTAATATAGTCCCATTTTTCTATCTTTGTTTTTGTTCCTTGTTCTTTCACAGTCTTAGCCATAAAATCTTTGCCAAGACCAATGTCATGAAGTGTTTCCCCTGTGTTTTCTTCTAGTAGTTTTATAGTTTCTGGTTTTACATTTAAATCTGTAATCCATCTTGAGTTGATTTTTGTATACAGTGAGGACTAGGGGTCCAGTTTCATTCTTCTGCATATAATTATCCACTTTTCTCAGCATCATTCATTAAAAAGGGTGTCTTTTCCCCAAATGTGTATTCATGGCAGCTTTTTTGAAGATCAGTTGGCTGTAAATACGTAGATTTATTTCTGAGTTCTCTATTCTGTTTCATTGGTCTATGTGTCTATTTTTATACCAATACCATGCTGCTTGGTCACTATAGCCTTCCAATATGTTTTGAAGTCAGTTAGGATGATGTCTCCAGCTTTGCTCTTTTTGCTTAGAATTGTTTTGGTTATCTGGGCTCTTTTTTGGTTCCATATGAATTTTAGGATTCTTTTTTTATATTTCTGTGAAAAATGACATTTGGTCACTATAGCCTTCCAATATGTTTTGAAGTCAGTTAGGATAATGTCTCCAGCTTTGCTCTTTTTGCTTAGAATTGTTTTGGTTATCTGGGCTCTTTTTTGATTCCATATGAATTTTAGGATTTTTTTTATATTTCTGTGAAAATGACATTAGTATTTTGATAGAAATTGCATTGAATCTATAGATACCTTTAGGTAGTATGGTCATTTTAACAATACCTACTCTTCAGATCTATGAGCATGGAATGTCTTTTCATTTGTTCATGTCCTTTTCAATTTCTTTCATCAGTGTTTTCTGGTTTTTCTTGTATAGATGTTTCACATTCTTGGTTAAGTTTATTCCTATGTATTTTTGTAGCTATTTTAAATGAGATTGCCTTCCTGATTTTTTCTTATCTATTTCATTATTGAAGTATATAAATGCTACATATTTCTGAATGTCAGTTTTGTAGTTTGCACCTTTACTGAATTGAACAGTTCTAGGAATTTTTTTGGTGGAGGCTTTTGATTTTTCTAAATATAAGATCGTGTCCTCTGCAAAGAGGGATAATTTTATTTCCTCATTTCCAATTTGAATGCCTTTTATTTCTCATTTCCAATTTGAATGCCTTTTATTTCTTTCTCTGGTCTGACTTCTGTGGCTGGGGCTTCCAGTACTGTGTTGAAAAGGAGTGGTGAGAGTCAGCATTCTTGTCTTATTCCAGTTCTTAGAGGAAAGGCTTTCAATTTTTCCCCATTTAGTATGATGTTAGATGTTGGTTTGTCACATATTACTTTTATTATTTTGAAGTATATGCCTCCTATGCCTAGATTATTGAGAGTTTTTCGTCAAAATGAGTTGTTAAATTTTATCAAATACTTTTTCTGCATCTGTTGAAATAATCATATGATCTTTGTTCTTCATTCTGTTGATGTGAAGTATAACATTTATCAATTTGTATATGTTGAACCATACTTGCATCCCTGACATAAATCCCGCTTGATTATTATATGTTATCTTTTTGATGTGCTGTTAGATTCAGTTTGTTAGTATTTTGTGGAGGATTTTTGCATCTTTGTTCATCAGGGATATTGGCATGTAGATTTCTTTTTTGGTTGTGTCGTTGTCTAGGGCTATCAGGGTATTGCTGGCCTTAAAAAATGAGTTTAGGAGAATTTCCTGCTCTTCCATTTTTTCTAATAGTTTTAGGATAACTGGTATTAGATCTTCTTTATATGTTTGGTAGAATTCCACAGTGAATACGTCTAGTCCTGAGCTTTTACTTGTTAGGAGACTTTTCATTACAACTCAATCTCACTGCTTGTTATTGGTCTGTTCAGGTTATCTTTCTGATTCAATCTTGATAGGCTGTATGTTTCCAGGAATTTATCCATTTCCTCTATGTTTTTCAGTTTGTTACTTTATAGTTGTTCATAACAGTCTCTGATGGTCTTTTGTATTTTTGTGGTATCAATTATAGTATCTCCTTGTTCACTTCTGATTTTGTTTATTTGTGTCTTCTCTTTTTTCTTAGTCTAGTTAACAGTTTATGACTTTTGTTTATCTTTTCAAAGAACCAATTCTTCACCTCATTGATTCTTTGAATTTCTTCCTTTTTTTGTTATTTAGTTCATTTAGTTCTGCTGTGATCTTTATTATTTCTTTTCTTCTGCTAATTTGGGGTTTGGTTTGCTCTTGAGGTTCATTGAGGTGCCTTGTTAGGTTATTTTAAATCAGGTGTGTTTTTTTTAGTGTGGGCATTTATCTCTATAAACTTCTCTATTAGCACTGCTTTTGCTATATCCCACAGGTTTTGATATGCTGTTTTCATTTTCACTGGTTTCAAGACTTTTTTTTAAATTTCCATCTTCATTTCTTCCTTGACTCAATGGTTGTTTAGGGGCATGTTGTTTAATTCCCATGTATTTGTATAGTTTCCAAATTTCCTCTTGGTATTGATTTCTAGTTTTATTCTATTGTGGTCTGAGAAGATACTTGATATGAGTTTAATTTTATAAAATTTGTTGAGACTTATTTTGCAACCTAACACATGATCTCTCCTGAAGAATGTGCCATGTGTTGATCCAAAGGATGAATATGCTGCAGTTGTTGGATAGAATGTTCTGTATATGTTTGTTAGGTCCATTTGGTCTAAGGTGCAGTTTAAATCCAATGTTTCTTTGTTCATTTTCTGTCTAGATAAACTGTCTAATGCTGAAAGGGGGATGTTGAAGTCTCCCACTATTATTGTATTGCAGTCTTGCTCTCTCTCTAGAACTAGTAATATCTGCTTCATGAATCTGGGTACATACATACTTAGAATTGTTATATCTGCTTGCTGGATTTATCCCTTTAAAATTATATAATAACATTCTTTGTCTTCTTTTTTACTGTTCTTGACTTCAAGTCTCTATTATCTGATATAAGTATAACGGCTCCTGTTCACTTTTGGTTTCTATTTGTGTGAAATATCTTTTTTCATCCCTTTACTTTCAGTGTATATGGGTCTTTACTGGTAAACTGCATTTCTTGTAGGCAGTGTATAGTTGGATAATTTTTTGTATCTATTCAGCCAGTCTGTATCTTTCAAGTAGAGAATTTAATCCATTTCTATTCAAGGTCATTATTGATATGTGAGGTTTTGTTCCTGTCATATTGTTAATTGTTTTCTAGTTGTTTTATAAATTCTTTGTTCCTTTCTTTTTCTCTTAATATTTGTCCTTGTGGTTTAGTGGTTCTGTAGTGGTCCTATTTGAGTTATTTCTCTTCCAAATATGTGTGTGTTTGTCATGTCAGTGAGTTTTATACTTTCATGTGTTTTCATGATGGTAATCTTTTTCATGATGGTTGTCTTTTTGTTTCCAGGTTTAGGACTCCCTTGAGCATTTCTTAGAGTGGTGATAAATTCCCTCAGCATTTGCTTATCTAAGAAGGACTTTATTTCTCCTTCATTGATGAAGGATATTCTCACTGGATATAGTTTTCTTGTGTATCAATTTTCTTCTTTCAGCATTTTAAATATATCATTCCATTCTCTTGTGGCCTATAAGGTTTCTGTTGAAAATTCAGCCTTTAAAAAGATAGGAGTTCCTTTATAGGTGACGAGATACTTTTGCTGTTTATAGAATTCTCTTTTATCTTTGATTTTACACAGCTTGATTATAATGTACCATGAAGAAGACATTTTTGCATTGTATCTGTTTGGGGATCACTGGGCCCTGTATTTGAATGTCTAAATCTCTTGCTAGACTTGGAAAAGTTTTCATCTATTATTTCACTGGATAGGTTTTTAAACCCTTTTGGTGTCTCTTTGCCTTCTGGGATACCAATAATTTGTATATTTGGTCCCTTTATTGTGTCCCATATATTATGAAGAGTTTGTTCATTCTTTTTTATTATTTTATCTTTGTTTTTGTCTGACCAGACTTTTTTGAAAGACGTGTCTTCAAGTTCTGAGATTATTTCTTCTGCTTGATCTAGTCTTTTGTTGAAGCTTTCAAATGTATGTTGTACTTCATTCAGTAAATTCCTCAGTTCCAGGATTTCTTATTATATCTTTGGTAAATTTCTCATTCATGTCCTGAATTGTTTTACTGATTTCTTTGTACTATTTTTCAAAGTTCTGTTGTATCCCACTGAGATTCTTTAAACTCAACAATTTGAATTCTTTATCTGGGATTTGTAGAATTCCTTTTTGATTGGGATATGTTGCTAGAGAATTACGTTCCCTTGAAGGTGTCATATGTCCTTGCTTTTTAATGTTTCTTGTGTTCTTACATTGATATCTGCACTTCTGGCATAACAGTTACTTCTTCCAATTTTTCAAATTTCCTTTTGTAGGAGAGGACTTTTTCCTGAAGATGTATCTATGACATTGGTTGGGTAGGGCCCTTCCTCTTTGACTTTGGGTGCACGCAGTACTGTAGTCTCTGTATGACTTTTTTGCAGTAAACAGCATCAGTGGTATCTGTGATTTCCTCAGTGAGTTAGAGTATGGTTATGAGTGGAGGCTGTGGTGAAGTTGTGCTGATGACAGGAATTCCAGGTGGGTCGGTCTTTAGGCACGAGTGGTGGCAGCAGTGGGCTGAGCATGCCTGTCGTTAGAGCCCAGGGTGGCATATGTTGACTGTGATGTTAGTGGGTCCAGATGGGCCCATTCTTGGGCCTCCAGGTGGCTGCTTGGGATGCTGGCAGGGTGGGTGGGTTCTTGGGCCCCTGGGCAATAGGCTTGTTGTGGGCAATGGCAACAGCAGTTGTAGGACAACTTTCTGGGTCCTGAGCAGTGTGTGCTGGTGTTGGCAGTATCTGTGATAGGCTGGGTAGACCAGTCCCCAGGCTCCTAGGTGGCATGTGTGGGTATATTTTGTCAGTGGTGTTGACAGCAAGCTGGGGGGGCCAGCTCTTAAAGTTCCTGAGGGAAGTGCACAGATGCCAGAGGTGGTGAAATGGGCAGGGAGATCCAGATTCTCAGGCAGCATGCTTGGGCTCTGTGGTTGTGGTGCCAGGGTGGGCAGGTCTGACCTTGGTCCCCTGGTGATATGCAGGGGCATAGGCTGTAGTAGACAAGGTGAGGTAATCTGTGGTGAAGGGTGTGGAGAACATGACTCCAGGACTCATTCTAGAGCAGAGCATTCATGCTATTGGGATAAATGGAGCTGCTTTTATCAGTCTGCTGTGGGTAGCTCTCAGGGTCTGAGAAGTGCACACTTTGTCAATAGCAGTGGCCACAACAATGTGTGGGGAGCCTGTATTCAGGCCACACACCAGAGTACAGAGGCTGTGCTCTTGGTGTGGGCAAAGTTGGTGACCACAATCCCAAACAGGGAGCTCTTAGGTTCTGGGTAGCACTTACTTCAGCTCCTGGCTGCAGAAGTGACTGCAATGTTTTGGGGGGTTAGTGGGGAGGGACCCTGCCCTCCTTGCATGGGCCCCAAAACAGAGGCTACATTGAGAGTGGGGGCTCAGTCACCACTCACAGCCCCAGACAGCCAGCTCCAAACAGGCAGCCCACCCCAGCCTCTGGCAGCAGCAAGGGCAGCTGTGTTGCAGTGGTATGAGTGAGGGACAGGACCCCACTCTTCTATGTGCTAGCCTGAGCACAAGGGCCACATTGCTAGTGGGAACAGGGTTGCTACTCCCAGTCCATCAGCACTCAGGCTCACCCACCTCAGCTCCCAGTGGCAGCAACTGCTGCAGCAGTGTGTGGAGTTGGGAAGGGGTCCCACTCTCTGTTTGCAAGCCCAACGTCAGAGTCCATGCCACTGCTGGGGACAGGGTTAATTCTCACAGCCCCAGACAGGGAACTCTCAGGCTATGGAAAGTATACACTCTGGTTTCCTTTGTGCCAGGAGCCACCTCCTTGGTGTGCTGCACAGTTCCTTCCCCAGAGAGTAGTACTCCATGTGGACTAGAGTACTAAGGAGCACACAACGCTTTTGGGTCCAGCCAGCACTGTGCCCCTGTAGCCCTTTAGCTAGACACTGGGGAATGTCAGTGGAGGCTTCCAGAATGTAGAACTATAGGGGCTATGGTTACCAGGGCAGGATGAATCCAAGTGACAGCAGAACTCTCACAATTATGCCATTTTGCAGCTGCTTAGGTCTCAGGGATGTGTGTGACCCAGTACAAGTTCCCTGTCTAGTGTAATGTTCCCGCAGAGTCTCTAAATCATTGTCCATGTTAGTCTAAGGGTTCATACAGGTAGAGGAGCTCTCCCATGGCAACAGTCTAGTGGGGATGTGGACTGCTAAGGGTCTCTCACTTACCCATTCCCTGCAATAGGAAGCCCCTCTGGGATCCCAGCCAATCTCAGCCACTGGCTGCTCACTTCCTTTTTCTTCCGTGTCTCAGTTGTTTCCTGTGACTTTTCTGTTGATCTCCAGTGATCTCTCCTAGATGTTCTATTCAAGGTGTGATTATCTCTTTGCAATTTTGCTTCTTCTTTCTGGGGAGGGTGAGTGTCTAATGTCCCTAGTCAGCCATCTTAACTCCTCTATACTTTAAATAATCTCTAGATTACTTATAATACCTAATGCTATATAAATAGTTTTAATACTGTATTGGTTTTTTATTTGCATTATTTTTATTGTTGTATTGTTAATTTTTGTTGTGTTTTTTTTCCAAATATTTTCAATCTGCCGTTGATTGAATCTGCAGATGTGAAACCCACAGATATGGAGGGCCAACTGTATAGGATTCCATTCATTTAGGTTTACTTTAAATTATTTCAACTGTGTTTTATAGGTGAGTGTTGTCATCTGGTTTTAAATGCATCTGTTGATATTGTCATATGGTTTTCTTTAGTCTGCTGAAATGGTAAATTGAAATATTCGATTTTTGAATGTTGAACCAGGCTTGCATTCCTAGGACAAACTCCACAAGAAAATAATGTATTATCCTGTTGTTATATTTTTCTTCAATTTAATAACATTTTGTTGAGGATTTTTGCATCTCTATGAGAGATACTGGTCTATAGTTTTCTTTCATTGTGATGTCTTTACCTAGTTTAGGTTTCACTGTAATACTGGTTTCATAAAATGAGCTGAAAGATGTTCCCTCCACTTGCACATTCTGGAAGTTTATGTAGAATAGACATTATTTCTTCCTAAAAATTTTGATAGAATTCACCAGTGAAGTAATGTGAAATTAGAGACTTTTTTGTTAGATGTTTTCAAGCTTTGAGCTATAAAATGAATGTCTTTAATCTCTTTAGGACTATTCAGGTTATTTATTATTTCTTGATTAGTCTTTGGAAGTTTATATCTTTCAAGGAATTTGCTCATTTTACCTAAATTTTTTAATTGTGAACAAAATGCAATATTCCTTTATTTTTAGTTTTATGTCTGTGGGGTGGATAGCAATGTCCTTCTTTCATTTCTAACATCAGTAATTTGTGTATTCCCTCTATTTTCTTTGTAAATCTAGCTAAGGTGAACCACTTTGACCTACAAGTATGTAGAAGTTCATTGCTTAATAAGTTCCTGTTGTTGATTTCTAGTTTGTTTCCATTATATTCAGAGAACATATTCTGTATACTTTAATTTTTTAAAAATGTATTAGGTTTGTTCTATGCCCCCACAATATGGTCTATCTTGGCTAATATTCTATGCACACTTTAAAATATGTGTATTCTGCTGTTGTTAGTTGGAATGTCACATAAATGTCAATTAGGTCAAGTTAGTTAAAATTATTTTTTAGATTTTGTATATCCTTACTAAAGTTTGGTTTATTTATTCTATCAGATATGAGAGACGAGTTTGAAGACTCAAAATATAATTAAAGATGTGTCTATTTCCCTTTCAGTTCTATCCATTGTTGTTTCATGCATTTTGAAGCTCTATGGCTAGAAGCATACACAACATTATGATATCTTGTCAGTGAAGTGATATTTCTATCACTATGGAATATCCCTTGCAGCATCTTATCTTTTGACGTCTATTTTGTTTGTTATTAATATAGCCACCCCAGCTTTCTTATAGTTAGTGTGTGCATGGTATAATTTTTTCCATAGTTGTACTTTCAATCTATTTGTCTCTTTGTATTTAAAGTGCATTTCTTATATTAAAGTGGATTTCTTATGACAGCATATAGATCTTGCTTTTTTACCCAGTCTGACAATCTCAGTCTTTTCATTGCTATACTTAAACCATTTACATTTAATGTAATTATTGGTATAACTGAATGAAATCTACCATATTGTTCATTGTTTTCCATTCATTGTTTTTGGTCCCTTGGATATTTTACCCTCATGCTTTTGGATTAATTGAATATTTTTATTCCATTTTATTTACATTATTAGCTTATTATTTTTACCATTTTAAAAATATTTTTAAGAGATGCCCTTGCAGCTGGGCACAGTGGTTCATGCCTATAATACCAGCACTATGGGAGGCCAAGGCAGGAGGATCACTTGAGGCCAGGAGTTCAAGACCAGCCTGAGCACTGTAGTGAGACCCTGTCTCTACAAGTAACAATAATACAAAAAAAAAAAAAAACACAAAAAGTAGCCAGGTGTGGTGCATGCTTTGAGGTTTTTGTGGGTTTTGCCTGTTTTGAGATAGGATTTCACTTTGTCAGCCAGGTTGGAGAACAGTGACATGATCATAGCTCACTGCAGCCTTGACCTCCCGAGCTCAAGCAATTCTCCCACCTCAGCCTCCCCAGTAGCTGGAACTACAGGTGTGCACAACCATACCTGGCTAATTTTTTTCATTTTTTGTAAAGACATGGTCTTGCTATGTTGCCTAGGCTGGTCTCAAACTCCTAGGCACAAGTAATCCTTCCACCTTGGCCTCCCAAAGTGCTGGGATTACATAAGTTCTTATTTATTGGAAAATGTCTATTTCTCTTTCATTTAAAAAAACTTCATGTAGTATGGAATATTGGGTTGGCAATTTTTTACTCACTGCATTTAAAGTTGTCACTTTATTGCAATAGGACTGTTCTTGTAAAAAAATTAAAAATTAAAAAAAATAAAGTCCCTTCATTGGTTCGTGTTTTGCAGTTTCTGCTAAGAAGTCTGCTGCAATTCTTAACTTTGTTCCTCTTTATGTAAGAGGTATTTTTTAATGCAAGCTGCCTTCAAGATTTTCTATTTATCTTTGAATGTCATCAGTTAGAATATGATGGATATGGTCTATTGGTGTAGGGTTTGGGAGGAGAGAAATTTGTCTGGATTGGGCTCTCCGAGCTTCTGTGCTTGGTGGTTTGATGTCTTTCATTATATCTGGAAATTATTAACCAATATCTCTTCAACTATTTCTTTTGTCCCATTCTCCCTCTGTTTTCTTCTAGCATTCCATTTACACATATTTTATATTACTTGTTATTACCCCATACCTCTTGGATGCTCTGTTGGGTCTTTTTGCTCCTCCCTCTTTATTACCTCTGGACGCTTCCCTCTTTAGTGTAATGGCTTTAAACAAGTATAAGTACACTATTATAAGGTAATTTCTAGTGATACATCTTCAAATTTATGATTCTTTCTTTGGCTGTGTCAGGTCAATTGATGAGCACACCAAAGGCATTCTTCATTTGTTTTTCATATTTAGCATTTCCTTTTGACATTTTCTTACACTCTCTACCCTTCTACTGAAATGCTACAACTGTTCATGCATATTTTCCACATTTTCCACTACAGTTTTTAATCATAGTTATTTTAAATTCCTTGCCTAATAGCTTTAAAATATGCATCATATCTAAATCAGGTTCTATTGAGTGCTCTGTCACTTGTGAGTAGGGTTTTTCCTTAAGTATCTCCTCATAATTATTGGTTGATGTAAATATAACTATACTATTGGTAAATTTAATCATACTATTACAAGGTCTTTATACTAAAACTGGAGGTGTCAGGGTAAAGAGAGAAGCATGAAGTAAGAAGATTGAAGTGTCAGGTGTGAAGAGTAATGAGTGAAATGACACAGTATTGATTCAAAAGGAACATTAAGAAAGAATACAGTTAAACATAGAGCAACCAGTTAAAAATAATAATTAGGGGAGAGAGTTAAGAAATCCACAAAGAAAGTAAAATGAAATACTCAAAAAAATTACTAGTCAAAAAGAGGGCCAAAAAAGAGGAACAGAAGAATAATAAAAAGAAAAATAAATAGCAAGAGGGTAGGCTACCAATTACTATACTAATTGTTAATGGACTAAACATCTTAATTACTGTCCAAGTGTTAAAAGGTAAAAGTGAAGAACTAACTATATGCTGTGTACAAAGGATGCACTTTCCTTATAAAGACACGATAGAAAGGAAAGGAAAGGGAAAAAATACATGCAAATACTAAACATAAGAAAATTGGCATGGTTATATTACTATTAGAGTAGACTTCCAGACAAAGAGTATTACTGAGATAAAGAGGGACGTCTTATATTAATTAAATAGTCATTGCATCAGGAAGGCATGGAAATTGTAAATGTGTATGTGCCTAAGTATTTCAAAATATATAAAATAGAAACTAATGGAACTAAAGGGAGAAACAGACAAATACATAAGTATAGCTGCACACTTCTCTCAGTAAGAAATATAGATGATGAGAACAACACTATCAATAAACCTCACCTAATTGGCATTTACAAAACAATACACCCAACAGCCAAAACTAATCTATGGTGGAATAAAGAACAGCAGATGCCTTTGGGAGTACCGCATTGAGGAATAACTGGGTAGAGACATGAGGGAGCTCACTGTGATGATGTTTATCTTTAATATCTTGAAAAAGATTAGGTGAATGTATTTCTCAAAATTTCATGAGTACACACAAAAGACTTGTGAATGTCATTACATATAAATATTTTATCCAAAAAGAAAAGTGTTGAACTCTGTGTAATAATATGCATGCTGAAGTATTTCAAAGAAAATATACTGCTATGTGTAATTTACTTGGAGATGCATCAGAAGATAACATATATTAATGGATAGAAGGATGGATAAATGGATATATATATGATAAGGCAAAATTATATAATAAAACAATAATGGTATAATCCAATTGGTCAGTATATGGGTGATAACTAAAATTCTTTTAATTCTAGTGTATATTTGAAGCTTAAAAATAAAAGTTGGGAGGAAAAGTAAAGCAAAATCAAACTTTCCCTAAACAAAAATTAATTAGAATGTGTTGCTATCAGAACTGAACTACAAAAACTGAAGGAAGATCTTCAGGTTGAAAGAAAATGACAACAGATATAAACTTTGATTTATACAAAGCAATGAAGAGTACTAAAAGTGATAAACAGGTGGGTAAATGTAAAATAGTATATTCATTTTTAAAATTTCTTTAAAGGTAATACATAAAAGCCAAAATAATAACTATAAGTTTCAAGGTTTACAAAATATTTAGAAGTAAAACATATGAGATTAATAGCACAAAAGACAAAGAGAGGGAAATGGAGGCATATGATGGTAAGGTTCTTAAATAAGCTATGGTAATATTATCAATTTTGGAACAATCACTAAAAATAGAGAGGCATAGCTTAGAAACTAATAGTGAAAATAATATATAAAGCTAATATTTAGTCAATTTAACCAAATGAAGGCAAGAGGGGGAAATGAAAGAGGATATATAAAAATAAGATGACAGATTTATTACATACAACCGTATTGGTAAATATATTAAATGTGTATGTTGTAAATGCTCCAGTTAAAAGACAAGTATGTAAGACAGGATTAAAAAAAGCAGGACCCAAACATATGCTCTCTCTATAAGAAACCCAATTTAAATGTAAAGATATATATGAGTTAAGCATAAGAGAATGGAAAATTTATAATATGTAGACTTTCAGCACAAGAAAACTGGAATAACAGAGTAACTATATCAATAGTTTAAAAAAGTAGATATATAAATATTAACCATAAGAAAGGTGGGATAGTTATATTAATATCAACAGAGTGGACCTCAAGGCAAAGCATATTACCAGTAATAAAGATAAGCATGTCATAATAACAAATATTACCAGGGATAAAGTAGGAGTTTTCCCAGTCATAAGTATGGATAAAGAGGACATAATAATCCTAATTGTGTATGTACCCAAGAACAAAATATTCAAATATAGGAAGCAACAATTAGAAAAAAACAAAAAAAGGGAATACATAAATCCACAAGTAAATTAGAGATGTCAACAATCCTTTCTCAATAGCTGGTGAAACAAGAAGACAGAGAATCAGTAAAGATAGAAAAGACTTCAGTAATACTGTCTAGCAACTTGACCTAAATGACACTTACAGAACACTCCACTCATCCAA
Source organism: Homo sapiens (assembly GCF_000001405.40). Lineage (NCBI taxonomy): Eukaryota > Metazoa > Chordata > Mammalia > Primates > Hominidae > Homo > Homo sapiens. The sequence goes on from NC_000002.12 coordinate 157,619,086, forward strand.
AGTGGAATATGTAGTATTTTCAAGTACATATGGAGTATTCACGAGGTCAGACATGTGCCAGACTATAAAACAAACACAAATGAATTCAAAATAAATGAAATCATGTAGATTCTGTTATTTCATCCCAAATGGATTTAAAGTAGAATTCTGTAAAAAAAAAAAAGCTCTGAAAATTACTAAAATATTTGGCAGTTAAATAACAGACATCCAAATAACACACAGGTGGCTTCAAAAAATTACAAAGGAAACTAGTAAAGATTTTTAACTCAGTATAAATAAAAACACAATATCACAATTTATGGATGAGCTGAAGCAGTTGCTGAGAGGGAAACTTAGAAGTTAAATATGTATATTAGAAGAGAAGAAAGGTCTTAAATTAATAATTTAATGTGGGTCAGCAAACTATGGCCTATTGGCTATAAATAAGGTTTTATTGAAATGCAGCAACACCTATCTGTTTATGTATTGTCCGTGGCTGCTTTCATACTACAAAGGCAGAGTTAAGTGGATGCAACAGTAACTATTTGTTTCACAAGCCTAAAATAGGATAAACTCTGACCCTTTGAGAAAATGTTGCCAACACTTGATATAATGTACCTGCTAAAGAACCTGGAATAAAAAGCAATAACTTAAACCTAAAGAAAGCGGATGAAGAAAATAATGAAGAGAAGAAAATAACTGACAACAAACAGAGAAAATAAATAAAACCAAAAGCTATTTATTTGCAAGAAGTCAATAAAATTGATAAACCTCCGGCTAGACTGATCATGGTAAAAGGAGAGAAAATTCAAATTCCCTATTTCAGAAATATTAAAGGGGCCATCACTACAAATCTTACAAATATTAAAAGGATAATAAGGAAATGTGGCAAAAAAAAACTTCATGGTAATGGCAATATCCAAAGCATAGTTGAGTAAAAGCCATTCTGGGGAACATCATCTTGATTTGGCACAATAACTCTCTATACTTCTAAAGGGGTCCAGTTGTTTTAACGAAGTCAACTTTCTTCTCTCTACATAAGGGAATGCCTTTTCATAGAACATAGCTAAAGAGTAGCTGTAGGAAATAAAGATTTTCAAAAAGAGTTTCATTCAGTTATACATTTATTATTCTATAAGGAATCTTCTGCTAATTATATAATTATTCTGTATTCAACCTGTCAAATTTTGTGTAATGTCTATTTTCTGGAAATACAAATGACAGATTGCAAGTAGAATTTAAGTGAGAACACAATCTCACCATGACTATCAGAGCAAGCAAATGTCCACAGAATAGAATTTTTACTCTTGGAGAACGAAAATGGAGATGATAGAGAAAAAAAAGATACACTTCCAGGGGAGTAGGCCAGGAAAATGCCATCGGATAAAGTTGTGAGATGTGATTACTTAATACTCTTTAATATATTTTGGCTCTGTTGTAAAACAATCTGGTTTTTTTAAGCTGTAGTAATCCGGATTACCAGTTTCTGAATTAACATCTCTTGGATACGTATGCATTAAAAAAAATTTATATTTGTTGTTTTTAATTATTTTTTAATTGACACATAATTGTATATATTTATGGGATACAATGTGATGTTTTGATACATGTATACAGTGTCCAATGATCACATCAGGAGAATTAGCATATCCACCACCTCAAACATTTATCATTTCTTTATGTTGAGAACATTCAAAATCTGGTCTTCTAGCTATTTGAACATGTCCATATCCTGATGAGTTAGATTTTTTTTCTAGTCCCGTTTTTGATCATAGAGTCTTTATTTCAGTCAATTATCAAGTTGCATAAAAAAAGGTATAAGGTGCTTAATCAATATGCAGAGATGTAGCATCCATCCCTGTCTTTTTATTAACCATGAGATAACAACGACAAAATAGATTGGGAGAAAATGTGTGTTTCACTTTCAAAATGGGAGCATCCTAATGATTTTCTTGAAGTGAAAAGTTTAATGAAAAAGTGGATTGATCTAATTTGGGATGTTTAAGTCATTGGCAAATTTAAATTGTTTTAAAAAAATAATAATAAGCCAAGCTCTTGAGTCATACCTAGTGAATCACCCATGAATTCTTGAGATTAATTTAAAACAGCTCCAAAGAAACAGTATCTTTGCATGCCTACTGTCTAAAAGACAGAAGAGAACAACAGAAAGTAGAAGCTATTCTAGAGGAAAAAAAGTGAAGAATCAGGACACAGCAGAGCCGTGTTAGCCTGGCTGGCCAATCAGAGCAGTGAATTCAAGGGGCACATCATGAGGCAATGGTAGCCCCTGAGAAGGAGCAAAGTGTTGGCTTCTATGTAAATAAGGTCTTCCTTGTCTGTTTCATACTCCCACCCACCTCCTCCATCCTTTTACTTTTTACTGGATCCCTAAGTAGGAGGAGTAGTGATTTGTATTGTTCGGGTTTCAGGGAACCAAGTGGCCCACATGCTTTAGGGATCCAGCTTTCAAAGAACAAGAAAAACAAGGGGCTCATGGTCATGGCTATGTCTTCCTTCTTTTCCACAGCAAGTGTGGGAAGGGTACAACCTGCTTCCTTGGTAGAAGAGATCCCGCCACCTCTTTCCACAGACTTTCTACTTTTTCCCTCACCTAGCAGTCGCCCCTGAAATTATTGCCTGGAACTCCTGCCAGTTTCCATGAGACCTGGACTAATGCGAGGTATTGCAAATAGAGGTCCCTTGCTCCACAGCCTCTATGGCTTCATTTTGCCAGGACTGAATAGCCTTTCAATGGTTTCCTGGAGTTAGAATCCAGGGTTCGGGTTTATCACAGCTCCTCTACCTTTATCCTTGGGCTATTTAGTTGTTGAAAAGAAGAGCGTATTCAAGTTTGCCATGCTACTGGGGACAAAAGCTCCAGGTAATAAGAAAAAGTTACTTTGCCTTGTTTCACCTCCTTTTTCTAGATGTCACCTCTTAACTGAAGATGAGACTCAGCAGCTAGTGTTTGGGTATTCCTAGGTCCCATTAGCAAAAGAGTCATTTGTGTATCATTTATGAACATATCTCAATTTCTTAAACATACTATCCCAATTTCTTCAACAAGGTAAGGATAAATCTTGAGATTTTGACTATTGACTGTGAAAAATATAAGACTTAGAAGACCAAAGCAATGGAAAACCAAGAAGATACTATAAGGTATAACTAATGACGTTCTTCACAGAAATAGAAAAAAAAATCCTAAAATTTATATGGAACCACAAGAGACCCAGAATAGCCAAAGCTATCCTAAGGAAAAAAGGACAAAACTGGAAGAATCCCATTATCTGACTTCAAATTATACTGCAGAGCTACAGTAACCAAAACAGCATGGTACTGACATAAAAACAGACACATAGACCAATGCAACAGAATAAAGAACCCAGAAACAAATCCACACACCTACAGTGAACTCATCTTTAACACAGGTGCCAAGAACATACACTGGGGAAAGGATAGTCTCTTCAATAAATGGTCCTGGGAAAACTGGATATCCATATGCAGAAGAATGTAACTAGACCCCTATCTCTTACTATATACAAAAACAGTCAAATCAAAATGAATTAAACACCTCAAACTATGAAACTACTACAAGAAAACATTGGGGAAAATCTCCAGGACATCAGTTTGTGCAAAGATTTCCTGAGTAATAGCCCACCAGCACAGATGCCCAAAGCAAACATGGACAAATGGGATCACATCAAGTTAAAAAGATTCTGCATGGTAAAGGATACAATCAACAAAGTGAAAAGACAATCCACAGAATGAGAGAAAATATTTGCAAACTACCCCTCTCACAAGGGATTAATATCCAGAATATATAAGGAGCTAAAATAACACTGTAGGGAAAAAAAATCTAATAATCCAATAAAAAAATTGACAAAAGATTTGAATAGCCTTTTCCCAAAAGATGACATACAAATGGCAAACAGCACATGAAAAGGTGCTCAACATCACTGATCACCAAAGAAATGCAAATAAAAACTACAATGATATCATCTCACCCCATTTAAAATGGCTTACATTCCGAAGACAGGCAATAATGAATGCTGGCAAGGATGTGGAAAAAAGCGAACATTTGTACACTGTTGGTAGGATTGTAAATTAGTACAACCACTAAGAAGAACCCTTTGGAGGTTCCTCAAAAAATTAAAACTTGAGCTACCATATGATCCAGCAATCCCACTGATGGATATAACCCAAAAGAAAGAAAATTAGTATATGGAAGAGATCTGCACTTCCATGTTTGTTGTAGCCCTATTTACAATAGCTAAGATTAGGAAGCAACCTAAGTGTCCATCAACAGACGAATGGATAACAAAAATCTGGTATATATACACAATGGAGTACTATTCAGCCATAAAAAAGAATGAGATCCAGTCATTTGCAACAACATGGATGGAAGTGGAGATCATTATGTTAACTGAAATAAGCCAGGAACAGAAAGACAAACATGACATGTTCTCACTTATTTGTGGGATCTAAAAATCAAACTCATGGTCAGAGAGAATAGAAAGCTGGTTAGCAGAGGCTGGGAAGGGTAGTAGGGGGTTGGTGGGGGAGGTGGGGATGGTTAATGGGTACAAAAATATGGAAAGAATGAATAGGACCTACCATTTGATAGCACAATAGGGTGACTATAGTCAGTAATAATTACATATTTTAAAATAAAGAATGTAATTGGATTGTTTGTAACTCAAAGGATAAAATGCTTGAGGGGATGGATACCCCATTTTCCATGATGTGCTTATTTCACACTGCATGCCTGTATCAAAACATCTCATGTACCCCATACATATATATATATCTACTATGCACCCACAAAAATTTTTTTGAATAATTTAAATTTTTTTAATGATAAGGCATAATACATAGCACACTCTTTATGCTTAGAATTTTTCCTTTGTTTTGTTCTGTTTACTAATTATACTTGAAAATTAATTCTCTTGTTCTATTATTTATTAAAATAAACTCTTTATATATATGTCAACATAATCTGAGCTTTTTAATGATCCATGCCTGCAGTTGTCCACTTATAGGACACTACAGATCTCAAATTGAAGATAACATTAATCATTTGGTAGGTCAAGACTAAGCTAGAGCAGGAACTAAACAGCTTCAGGATGATATTTATGTATCCAAGCCCCTTCCCCAAAATCTTGTCATTGCTCTCTTAGGAACATGCTCTAAAACTTCAAACTATATCAGAATAACAGGTCCCACAGGGCTCAGCAGCCTCCTTATTCCTGCCTCTATCCAATCTCCTCTCCTCTTAACCTTATTTACGGCAAGAGATGCAAGTAGTGCCAAGAAAAGTACAACAAAGTGGGTCTTGGCTACTGCCTGAAAGCATTTCCCCAAAAGAGAAACATGAAAGTGTATTCAAAAGGAAACTACTCCAAAATCACATCTGAAAATAACCACTTCCAAAATACAGCGAACTTGGGAAAAACCAACTGCTTTCATGCAACAATCAAGGGAATCAAGAGTTATTCTTGTTTTTTTCACCCATATTTTCATGTCTAGATACTCATGTAGGATTGGAGAAAACTAGGTATCCTTTCAGGTTCACACAGAAGAGAGATATCCTGTGCAAAGAGTTGGGAGTGACACATTGGGAGATGCACATGAAGACAGTAACGGAGCTAGAACAGGCGAGGGTTTTAGAGCTGAGGACTAGAAAATAGGTCTTCACTTCTCTTTTTAATAAAAGAGCCAGAAATACATGCATCAGGAATGGTTTATCTCACAACAGGACTTCTTTTATGTTGGTTTGCAAGATAAAAGTACAGAACACCCAGTTAAATTGGAATTAAACAGCAATTAATTTTTAATATACTTGTGTTCCATGTCATACTTGTGACACACTTATACTAAAGAGGTATTCATTGTTTATCTCAAATTCAATCTAACAAGGTATTCTCTGCCTTATTTGCTAAGTCTGTGGCTCTATTTAATGCGTCTTTGAAAAGTTATCAGTAAATGCCCTTGGCTCTCAATTTTTTATCATCAGTCCATATTTATCCCCTGAACTTCAGACCCAGAAAACCAATTGCTTACTTAACATCTCCATTTCAGCATCTGAGAGGCATTTTGAACTCAACATATTCAAAACTGAGCTCCTGTGATCTGTCAGCACCAACCCTTCTCTCCCCAGACCAGCTTTTCCTGCAGTCTGCCCCACCCCAATTAAGGGTCCATTCTTCCATTGCTTGGGTCAAAAATGTAGCATCATCCTTAGCTACTCACTTTCACACCTCAAAGTCCTTTATTTTTTGTATGAGTTTAGCAATTCAGAGGAAATCTCTAAGCATAGTTTCTCCTGGGCCAGAGATGTCTTCCTTGGAACCAGGGAGCCTCTTGCCACATCTGTGTCAATCAACCAATAAATGACTATGCTTAAAGAAGGGCAAAGATGGCAACATCTTTTGCATTTATAAACTCAGTCAGCCCTGAGCTTTCACTTTCACTTCCAGCAACACTGTGGAAAACTCTTAGTGGAAACTGCTAACTATTGTTTGCAGTGGGGGTGAGGGGGTGCAGAGGGGTGCAGGGGGGTGGGGGGAAGAATTTCATTACTTGAAACCCCCACTCTCACCCTGGTTATTAAGGAAATATTTATTCCATTTTTGGAGTAACAACATAGGGCTTTCTGGACTCTTAATAATCCTTTCTGGACCAGAGGACAAAGGAGTTTCAAGAAATTAGAAGAGAATGCACAATATGTAAATCTATGTAACATCCAAATCACAGCTTCAAAGTAGAGAACTCCAGGACATTTTCTGCCACTTCTTTTTTGGGTACACATGGTGAATATTGTGAAGCCATGTCAGGTCTCTCTTATCAAACATCAAGGCATCCAGAACCTACATAACCAGAGCAACTCAGAGGAGCCTGAGTTTTTCGTTGCTCTTGTTTTTAGAGACGGTGCCTCACTGTGTCACCCAGGCTGGAGTGCAGTGGTGTGATCATGGCTCACTGCAATCTTGAACTCCTGGTCTCAAGCAATTCTGTCTCAGCCTCCCAAGTAGCTAGGACTACAGGTGTGTGCCACCAGAACTGGCTAATTGTTTTTAAATTTTTTGTAGAGATGGTGTCTCACTATGTTGCCTGAGCTGGTCTTGAACTTGCTGGCCTCAAGCAATCCTCACACCTCGGCCTCCCAAAGTACTGGGATTAGAGGCGTGAGCCACTGCACCCAGCCAGCCTGATTTTTTTAATTCCAGTCCAGACCAATAAACAGTTTTTCTAAGTCTCTACCAGCTGTTATCTTCTGAGATTCTCAAAAAGGAGCAATGGACACCCCTAAGGTGACAACAATGTGGGGAATGAGCAGCCAAAGTAAAAAAGGTTTACTGGTTTATCATGTGTTCAGATATTTAAAGTCGTAGGCCTGCTCTGCAGATCCAGATGAAAGGTGGTGCCTTCTGTCACACAGTTTCACTGACTATGTCATTACATCAAGAACAACTTCTCATATAACATTCCAACAACAGCAAGTACATGTCATAAATGGCCAATATGATTAACAGTATAATTTGTAAAAGTGACCAGGTAAAAATACAGTTGGCTAACCATGTCATAAAACCAATTGAAAAAGTGAAAAGCAAAACAAAACTACCTTGAATCTTTCTACTAAATAGCCAGAGTTTTATATAAAGTTAAGAATAAATACTATAAGTAGCAATATACATTGTTAACGTGGGACACAGAGGGGTAAAAACTTCTTAAGGAGATTTGAAAATGATTGCACTTGACATAGAAAAGTTTTTCATAAAAGTTCAGCTTCAATAAATACATCTCTACTATATTATTCCATATCATGCATTTTTCTTAGACTTCAAATTTTAAGTGAGCGACTTTGAATGGATTATCTTTTTTTTATTTTTTGCATATTTCAATGTCAAAAGTTTCCATGCCTTTTCAAGAACATGAGGCATGTTGCTATGCTCAAGGTCTCTGAAATTTTCTAAAGATTCTGGGTATACAACAAAATATACCCTTGAAGCTACATTTTAAAAAAATTGAATCTGTTTTGTAGAAATGTGTGCAGCCAAGTTATCAGCTCCTCCAAATAAAAAGAGTTGTACAGACAGCCTCCAGAGGCAGTTTCACCCCATCAAAACTGTGATACCTTGAAGACTTTTTTTTGTAAACTCTATTAAATTGTCAAGAGCACTTTCAGTATCCCAAGTTAGCAGAGTTTTCACCCATTTTTTAAAGACTTTCCCATAGTTGGTTTTCTCCCACTTATAAATTTATTAACTCTAAATGCAAATATTTCACTTTATCCCATCATCTTTCCGACAGTCTTGGGCTGTTTTCCTAAAAGATAACTGGAATGTTTTAATCCTCAGATTTTGTCAATTAATCCTTTTCAATAATCAAATTTATATTTGAATATTGTATTTAGTGATTCTCTCAGGCCATCTGAAACACTGAAATCTGTACATGACAGCAATCATATCATTCAAATCATTCTCTTGCACATGTCACTAAGAGGAAAACGACCCACCATGAATATAGCTATTAATGTCAAACAGATTGTCATCTGGGAAAACAAAATGCATCAAAATCAGCTTCGGACAAAACACAGCTCTATGGGAAAACACCAGATTTTTATGTGCAAATGTCTTCAATGTCTGATAGAAATTTTTAAAGAATGAGTTAGCAAAGAATCTGCTCCTCCTCTGCATAATCCAGGACAATGTAATGAAAATAGTTTTCGAGGTAAAGGGCTTTTAGTCACAGCATATTATGATTTTACCAAAGATGCATTTGCCCCACTTTCTAGTAAACATTATAAAGAAACGTCTGGCTTCTAGATTGGGTAGAGGGCTCTATTTAGCCTATCAAGGCACAGACCTGTTATAAACTCTGGGGCGCTTGCCAGAATTTTTTTCCCCAGGAACTCTGAGTAAAGATCGTACCTCGAAAGCAATGTGCGTTGCAAACCACACAGATTTAAGCTCCCACTCTCGCCTCCATAGCTTGGCATCTGCGGCTTTTGGGGTATTCCCCGCCTCCTAAAACTCAGACTAAATCACCACCTCCCACCACCACCATGCCACCATCCTTGAGCAGCTCTCAGGGGCTTAGCACAGAGCGCGTCCGACGCATACCTGCAGCCCTCCAGGTCCCTGCAGGGTGAACCCAGCTCCCAGCCATGCGCGCACCCACAAACGCTCTCCTATTTTCTCCGCTGCAAACTGCCCACAAATTAGTCACCCACCTCACCCCTACTACTTATTCCCCCACGTCCCTGCTGCCTTTTCCCTCTTCCGGGCGGCTTCGTCCCCAACACACCTGTCTACCCCTACGGCTGCCAGACGTCAGGTGCCCACGCTGCACCCTATCCCGCGCCCCCTCAATCCGACTGGCGCTTCCCTGTCCGCCCCGAAGGTCAGTTTGCTCGGAGCACCCCCTGTCCCCCACCCCCGTGCTCACCCGCAGACCTCCTCCCAGCTCCCACCCTCGCGGGCGTCGGGAGAGAAACCAGCACCGTACCTGGCGAGAGCTCGGCGGCCGCTGCGAGCAGCAGGAGAGCCTGGCGGAGCGCTGAGCAGAGCGCCCGGGTCATCGCCACCAGGCGGCCGCGCCGGGGCTGCGAGGCCCCAGAGCAGAGCGAGGCAGCCGGGGCAGCACGGCCCGCTTTGAAGTTCCCGGGCCGCGGGAGGGGAGCGCGGCACCGACACCCTTTTGAAGTGCGCGGTTGGCTCTAGTCAGTGTGGGCGCCCCCCTCCCCGGCCGCCCCCATCCCACGCCCCCTGCGGCTGGCGGTGCGCGGCGCTCCTGCCACTGGCCCCGCAGCCGGGCGGGGAGCGGGTGGTGGGGCGGGCGGCAGAGCCCGCCCCTGCCGCGCCTCCGCCCCCTGCGCCCTCTCGCAGCCGCCCGGGCCTGCTGCTGCAGGGCAGGCAGGCAAAGGCGGCCCTGTGCCCGGCAGTGAGATCGCCCAGAGCTGGGGCGAAGAAAGAGGGGGCGTGGGGAAGCAGTGCGGAGCCTCCGGGACTAGATACTCAGGAATGGGGCTTCTCACGGGAGGAAAAGCCCCACTGAGACTTTAGGGAAACTTCAACTACGCGGCGATTGCGCCCAGGTGATCCGCTCTATAACCTCCCGCAGAAGAGCCAGCCTCCTAGCTCTCCTGACGTTTGTTGTCCAGGGTCCTTAAGTCCAACCAGGTTGCGCTGTGAGAGCCCCGCGGGCTTCCTACTGGCTTGTCCCACCCCTGCGTCCTGGCCATTTGTGCCTCTGGGGAAGGGCGCCCTCTCTGTTCATCCCTGGAAATGACCAGTTGTCCGACTGCCTTCTGGACCTATAAGCTTTGGTTTAACAAACTTCATCTCTTCTTGGGTGCCTTTTGGGAACCCTTCCCTCTATGAATGGCGACCAAAGCTGGACCACCTGCGCCAGGTGATGTGGCCATCTACAATGTGTGACCCACGTCTGGTGGTAAAAGACCTCACCTATGGAAGATAATTTCGGCAGCTACAACTTCAGCAATTGAAGAACTAAGGGAACATACACACACACACACACACACACACACACACACACACACACACACGGATTAAGGGAAGGGGAAGAATTGTTTAAAGTAGTATATGAAAAACTTGTTTGAGTATTGTTTAATCCCTAGAGGCTAACTGTCAAACGGGTGCCTGAAAATATAAGGCCTGGATTGTGCCTGAAAATATAAGGACAACGGCAACATTACCAATTTATAGAAATTAAATTCAATTCACCTATGGAGCCTGAACATTAAAGTGAATGGGATTATTTCAATCTGAACAACGCGAAAAAGCAAGAATACAATACTGGTGTTATTACTACTGTTGGGGGTTCCTTGAAAAGTGATAGCGTCATAAAAATTGCTTTAGAGTAAAACATTTCTTGCTTCTTCACCTAGCTCAGGACTAAATTATATGCTAGGTGTTCTAAGTTCTATGAAAGACCTATGGTGAAATGTTGTATGTAATTGACTTTATTATCAAAGGATCACAGTATGGGAGATGAGATGGTTGTTGGACTTTGAGATGTGGGTGGCATCCTGAGGATCTTTTCTGCCACCATCTTATATTCCTAAGCACAAAAAAACTTTGTTCTTGTTTTATCCTGGATCCAAACAAACAAAAAACTGGAGATGTGGGACAAATCTGAGCCCTTTCAGACACCCACAAAACAGATGCTTTTTTAAAAAGGCAAGAAACTGCTAGGACACATTATATTTTGTCTGGTTTGGCTTGCTAATTATTTGATAACTGCACCTTAAATTGTGATCTGCCAATAGATCATGATACCGGGAGCCTAAATAGCAGAATGTAATGAACTTTCTGGGTCTGCTTCCTCAAAAGTAAATGGAACTTAATTCCTCCCTATTTCCCAGAACTTTGACCAGGATCAAAAAGGGTAGTGTATGAGAGAGCATTGTTAAACCATACACATTACAACAATGGCAGGGATTTACTCCCCACATACTTATTTTGTCTCTAAAGCAACATCCTCTGCAAGTTGTAAAGCTCTCATTTGCAAAAAAAAAAAAAAAAAAAAAAAAAAGGCCGGTCGCGGTGGCTCACGCCTGTAATCCCAGCACCTTGGGAGGCCGAGACGGGCGGATCACGAGGTCAGGAGATCGAGACCATCCTGGCTAATATGGTGAAACACCGTCTCTACTAAAAATACAAAAAATTAGCCAGGTGTGGTGGCGGGTGCCTGTAGTCCCAGCTACTCGGGAGGCTGAGGCAGGAGAATGACGTGAACCCAGGAGGCAGAGCTTGCAGTGAGCCGAAATGGCGCCACTGCACTCCAGCCTGGGCGACAGAGCAAGACTCCGTCTCCAAAAAAAAAAAAAAAAAAAGCTTATTATTCCAAGAAGTCAAATATTGAATAACTCCAATATTCTACACAAACTCAATGCTTTCCTCTTAGTCTAATGGTGCGTTATCAACACGGTAGCCACTAGCCACATGTGAATATTGAGCCCCTGAAATGTGCCTAGACTGAATCGACATATGATGTAAATAAAAAATACATGCTAGATCCAAAGATTTAGTACAACAATAAGAATGTAAAAAATACATTACTAATAATTTTATCTTGCTTAAATGTTGCAATGATAGTATTTTGGACATAGAGTTGAATAAAATATATTATTAAATCAATATTACCTATTTCTGTTTACTTTTTAGTGTGACTACCAGAAAATTTTAAATTACACAGGTGGCCCACATTACAACTCTACTGGACAGTACTGGTCTAAAGAATCCTTAACAGATGGCAAGGATCCTTACCTTGTCTTAAGAACAGTATATATATAGAAAAAAAAAAGAGTAGTTAGGTATCTTGTCAGTCAGTATATGGCCAGCCAATAAAGGAATCAGGATCTTTTAAATTATTGGTTCAAAGTTCTGTAAAACATCAAGAAAGGTTAGTACATCAAAAATCTAAGTACTTTATTTGTAGGAATATTTTAAACTAGGTCTTTAAATACCATTTTCCCCACCCTCTTGTGCATGTTCCAATATCAGTACTATGAAAGCTTTGCAGTAAGATGTTAACTACTCTCAGTGTATTGAATCCTAATAGCTAGTAAAGTGTACTCTTAGGAAATTATAAATATTCGTTATATGCTTGAGTTCTTAATGCCACACTCATGGCAACCAAGAAAAGATCTTAGTCCTTATAATGTGTCCCAATTATACTTTATTTACACACACACACACACGTCCATGGAAATTAATCCGGTCTTAATCCAATGTCTTTTGAAATGAACCATTAATAAAAAATACTCTTTGGACCATATTTAGTTGTTCATGTCATTGAATATAAACAATAGAAATGCATTATTCAAGATGTGATATAACACGTCTTTCTTTCATATTTTTGCACATAACAGAAAAAGATTTACATGCAAGATTCTTTTATTTCACTGGAAAGAATTTACATGCAAATGTGTTTTTTCAAGATTTAACATCCCCCCCGCCACCTTAATCATCTATTTGTACATATTCATTGCCATAGCAACATTACATCATGACTCCTGTATTCTCATAAACCAAAAGAAAACAACAACAAATAATTGAGGGGTTCATAGCCCATCAGCAAAACAGATTTTGTCTGAGTAAATCTTATATAAGCAAGGAAACCAGGTATAGGAACTGTAAATTGTAAAGATTTGATACATTGCAGAATAACATCCCAAATTAATAAGGCAGAGAATGGTGTGTAATAATTGAGCTTTGAAAAAGACTATCTGTTGGGTGTGGTTTTTTGTTTGGGATTTTTTTTTTATCATGCAGGTTCCTTTTATTATTATCCTTTCCAGAATCTCCAAACCCATGCATCTTAATTTCTCATTTCATCTTGGAACATGAATTTATCATGGAATGAGCATATGGTGAGGAGGCATGCTACAATAATTTGCTATGCACTATCAAGGCCTAATCTTTTCTCATTTTACTGCATTTTTCCTTCCCCAAACTCACATTACCCCTACAGAAGTGCATGGCACACTCAGCTTCACTCATCTCGTCTCATCTCTTAATCCCAGAAATCTTTGCTTTGGGAAATCTTGGTTTCACTTCTATTCTTTTTTTTTTCTTCTTAATTTCCATTCTATGAAAATACTCATGTGTTTCAGGACCTTTATTGAAATTTTGCAATATGTGTCCTCAATGCATCTACTTCATGAGGCAGCTGTGGTTTCATAAAGAAGAAAAATATGGACCCCTCTGTGGACATGGTTAACAAGGAGATATCAAACTGTTTCTTCGCTCAACTGCTGCTGCTAAATCTTTTTTTTTTTTTTTTTTTTTTTTTGAGACAGAGTCTCGCTCTGTCGCCCAGGCTGGAGTGCAGTGGCGGGATCTCGGCTCACTGCAAGCTCCGCCTCCCGGGTTCACGCCATTCTCCTGCCTCAGCCTCCCAAGTAGCTGGGACTACAGGCGCCCGCCACCACGCCCGGCTAATTTTTTGTATTTTTAGTAGAGACGGGGTTTCACCGTTTTAGCCGGGATGGTCTCGATCTCCTGACCTCGTGATCCGCCCGCCTCGGCCTCCCAAAGTGCTGGGATTACAGGCGTGAGCCACCGCGCCCGGCCGCTGCTAAATCTTAAAGTCTATTTTCAGTACTTACATTATCTGTTTTCACCATCTTCCAAAGTGGTTACACTCCTTCACTAATTTTCTTTTCTTTATTTTTAAATTATTTTTATTTTTATAGATTCAAGGGATGTAAGTGCAGTTTTGTTACATGCATGTAATACATAGTGGTGAAGTCTGTGGTTTTAGTGTACCCAGCACCTGAACAGTGAATACTGTGCCCAATAGGTACTTTTTCAACCCTTACCACCAGGCTCCTTCATCCGCCCCTCTTTGGGAGTCTCCAGTGTCTATTTTTCCCATCTTCATGTCCATGTGTACCCTTTGTTTAGTTCCCACTTACACGTGAAAACATGCAGTATTTGATTATCTGTTTCTGAGTTATTTCACTTAAGATAATGGCCTCCAGCTCCATCCATGTTGCTGCAAAGGACATAATTTCATTCTTTTTATGGCTGATTAGTATTCCATGATGTATAGATACCACATTTTCTTTATCCAACCATCTGTTGATGGACACTTAGACTGAATCCAGGACTTTGTTATTGTTAATAGTGCTGTGATAAATATACAAGTTCAGGTGTATTTTTGATATAATGATTTATCTTCTTTTGGGTACATACCCAGTAGTGAAATTGCTGGGTTGAATAGTAGTTCTATTTTCAGTTCTTTAAGAAACCTTCATATTGCTTTCCATAGAGGTCATACAAATTTACATTCCCACCAATAGTGTGTAAGTGTTCCCCTTTCTCCACCTCTTTGCCAACATCTGTTGATTTTGACTTTTTAATAATGGCCATTCTGACTGGTATAAAATGGTATCTCATTGCCTTACTGATTGTTATAGCCTGTTAATACTATTGATAGGGTATTTTCCCATAACTCAAATTTTGTCTGTTTTTTCTTTCACTGATCAATGTCAGTATGCTGGGCTGATAAGCTATATTCTATATAGGACCTATAAAAGGCAGGTCAGAGATTCAGTTCCAAGTAAGCAAGTCGCACCACTTGGATCATATTCTTAGAATGGGCCCATAATTACACCCTACCTGAATGAGGTCACAAGGATGTAAGAGAATTAGATGGCATAGTATAAGTCTATGACTTTCTGGGAAGACTCAAAGAAGTTAGTTTTTAAAAACCCCAGACAAAAACGTGAGGGTTCTGATTATCTTGACTGAAGTAAATGAGTCATTTAAAGCTGCTGTGTTAAAGGTGGCAGCCACCAGCCACTTGTGGCTACTGAGTACTTGAATGTCACTTGTCTAATTTGACATATACTGTATGAAATGCAAACTAGATTTCAAAGACTTAATACCAAAAAAAAGAAAGTTAAAGTATCTCAATAATGTTTATATTAATTACATTTTGAAATGATAATATTTTTGATATTTTGGGTTAAATAAATTATTAAAATTAATTTTACTTTTCTTACATTTTAATACAGCTATTAGATTATATATGTGGCTCTCATTATATTTCTACTGGATAATGCTCATCTAATGAATCCTTATTTAATATTAAAGATTATTTTTCCATACTTGAAATATACCAGCAGCAAGACTGTATGAGTCCATTCTCACACTGTTATGAAGAAATACCCAAGACTGGGTAATTTATAAAGAAAAGAGGTTTAATTGACTCACAGCTCTGCATGGCTAGGGAGGCCTCAGGAAACTTATAATCATGGCAAGGCCAGGTGCAGTGGCTCACATCTGTAATCCCAGCACTTTGGGAGGCCGAAGAGGGCAGATCACGAGGTCAGGAGATTGAGATCAGCCTGGCCAACATAGTGAAACCCTGTCTCTGCTAAAAATACAAAAAATTAGCCAGGCATGGTGGTGGTCGCCTGTAATCCCAGCTACCCTGCAGGCTGAAGCAGGAGGATCGCTTGAACCCAGGAGGCAGAAGTTGCAGTGAGCTGACATCGCGCCATTGCACTCTAGCAAGGGCAACAGCGCAAGACTCCATCTCAAAAAAAAAAAAAAATTCATGGCAGAAGGCACCTCTTCACAGGGTGGCAGGAGAGAGAATGAGTGCCAGCAGGGGAAATGCCAGACACTTATAAAACCATCAGATCTCGTGAGACTCACTCACTATCAAGAAAACAACATGGGGGGAAACTGCCCCCATGATTCAATCATCTCCCACCGAGTCCCTCCCGCAACACATGAGGATTATGGGATTACAATTCAAGATGAGATTTGGGTGGGGACATGATGCCAAGCCATATCAAAGATCTTTCTTCCAATCACATTGCTCCAAATGCAGTTATCTATTACTCTTTTCATTTATTCAATAATAATTCATATTCTGTCAATAAGCAAGTCACATTTATTTTTGTTTTCTGTTGTCTATTATCATGTTAGCTGTTATTACCATAGTTGGAGCTGGAGTAATTTCATACCCGAATTGTAATTACCGACTAAATCAACTCTGTATCTTCACGTTATCCCAATCTTAATGTATCCTCGAGGTTGCCATCAGGACAACTTTCTATTAGCATGACTCTGATTATGTTATTCCTCGCCCTCCAGTCTTTGATGATCACGCTTGCCTATGGAATCAAGGCAAAATTTTCTAGCACAAAGGTTCTCAAATTTTGTATATCATTATCCCTTTTCACACTTCAGAAATTTTAAGGATCCCAAAGAGTTTATGTTTAAGTGGGTTACATCTATAAATATTTGCTATATTAGAAACTAAAATTGAGAAATTTTTAAAACACAGGAATATATGCAAAGACATATTTCATTGACCTTCAGATCAATGACATGATTATACATCATGTAGCCTCTGAAAAATTTCAATGTATACTGGTGTGAGACCAAGAGAGGAAAAGGCAAATAACATCTTGGTATTACTTACAGAAGTAGTTTTCACTTTGTGGACCCCGAAAAGGTCTTGAGCACCCTCAGGGGTATCTGGGCCACATCTTGTGAACCACTGCCCTAGCTCATTTCCATACATTCTTCCTAGATGATCTCCTCCACTCCCACAACTACAGCTTTGATTTTTGTAATGTGCTTAAGACGCCCAAATCTCTGTCTCTAGCCTCGATCTTGCTTCTAAACTGCAAATCTGTATATCCTATTATCTCTACCTAAATGGCCCAAAAGTAGTCAAACCAAACATGTGTCAAGCAGAACTCTGCTCCCCAAACCTGCTCCTCCTCCTGTCTCTTTTATTTCAGTAATTGTCACTAAAGAAGCCAATTACCTTATTTTTCTCCTTATCACTTTCCTCTCCCTCATCCCTCATATCCAGTTAATCAGCAGTTTCTATGGATTCTAGTCTTTATAAAAGTCTCTCCAGTTTTTTCACTTTTTTTCACCTCACGGCCACCAGCCTAGTTCCATAAAAGAGTCTTGCTCTATTACCCAGGCTGGAGTGCAGTGGCACTCTCAGGGCTCACTGCCTTGACCTCCTGGGCTCAAGCGATGCCCCTGCCTCAGCCTCCCAGTTAGCTGGGATCAGAGGCGTGCAACACCACACCCAGCTAATTCTCACTTTCCTAAGGCTCACTCCCTTCTGACCCATTCCAGAGCCATAAGCCAGAGATATCTTCTTCTAGCACAAATGTGAGCATATCACTAAAAACCATCTAAAATATAATGCCTGATCTAACACTGGCATTATTTATTATTTAAACTCTCTAAATTCTAGTTTCCTTATCTGTAAAATGAAGGTAATATTTGTAGCTGCTTCCTCTGCTTGACGTTAAGATTAAATGGCATAGCATGCAAGTGCCAAGGGGCATCTGGCACATGATGAGCATCAATCCACTTTAGCGTGTTGAGTTATGAAGGTGATGTTCATGATCCTGAGGCCACTGAACACCAACTTAAAAAAAAACCCTTGTACCCCAAACTCCCAAGTTGATCATTACATATTCTACACATGTAACAAACACTCATATGTCACCCATAAATATGTAAAATATCGTGTCTCAATAAAATAAAAACAAAAACAAAAACATAAAACCTTCCATGGCTTAATATTACCTTCAGGTAAAAATTGCAAACCTCCTTTTTTGGCTTAAAGGTCCTTTAACATCCAGCAAAATGGGAAAAATCATATTTTCACACACACAAAACATTTGATAATGAGGTAAGATTATGGGAAAGCCTTTTTGAATTAAAAAATTGGACGAATACAAGGAACAGGTTCTTAATTGCTTATGTGAGAAAAAAGAGAAGAATACTAAATATAATTAAAATTTACAAGTATTTAGTTATGTGGTTGATAAACGTCTTTGAAAAATGCTAGATCTCTGTTTTCCTTTTCTGATGATAAGAGTTTATGTACAGATATTGGTTGCCATAAATGACCCATTTCCAAATGAAAGGGACCACATAATTGTGTTTGTTCTCTTCTATTTGCCTGTTTTTGTTTTTGTGTTGTCCGTCAGGAACTTGGTTCTCCATGTTTTTCAAAACAAAATGTAAAAAATGAAACAGATTACAAATATGAAACCTAGTAGGAAAAGAAACTGAAAAAAAAAAGAGCAACAATGATAGAAAACACTACCACCTGAGGTTCCAGAGGTGCAAATTTGAGAATGAAGAGAAAGATGCTAAAAGATCTCAATAAAAATTCAAATCCAATAATATCTGGTTTGATTATCATGTGACCCGATAGCTTTTCCCATTCTACTGCCAAAAAGGATACCTTTCTTCTAATAAGAGCCCCAAAATGTGTCTCTGCTCTTAGGAATTAATAAGTTTATAATAAATCATTATCAAACCACCCATTTTTATTTAGATTAGTCCTACATTAAAATGATGAACTACTATATACAGCACACTCTGACATTTTGGAAGATGAGTGTATTATTTACTTGCTCCCCTGTCTTTGTCTGTTGTATAGAGATGTAAAATAACTCTGATACCTATAGTCATTAATTCTCTGAGAATCAAGTTTTTCTTAAGAAACTCTGCTGGGTTTGGGAGAAACATTCCCCAATACTTGATCCACCACCAAAGCCAAGTTAGCTCAAAGTTTATCATCCCCTACACCTCAGCTACACAAGGCCAAAGGACTTGAGGCAGGGCCCGTTGGCCCAAATCTAGTTAAAAGAAAATATGCCTCAGCCCATGCAAAAAAGTTAAGTAACGCTAGCCCATCTTTGATTCTTTCCAGCCTTTCTTATTCCATATTCTTTTACTCCTTCCTCCCATAAAATGGCCTCCTGATCTCTCACCCATTCCTCCCATGCGAACAAGAAATGTTCAGAAATCATATGTTTATTGTTGATCAATTATATTTCACAATAAACAAGATTCTGTCAGGCTATTACTATAGCCAGCTATTTGTATATTGTGTCTGTAAGCTTGTTTTGAAGAATGAAAATTTATTCTTAAAAGACTTTCAAGAAATAGCAATCCCATTAGACAGAAATTTGAGGTCTATGGAGAAACTTGAAATCTCACTGTCAAGAAGACGCTAAAGGTATTCCTGTAAGAAGACCAGAATCTGCCTTAATTGAGTATAATATCTTCTGAAGTTTCAATGCAGAGAATATTGTCCTGTGGGGGAGAGGTAGATAAATAGACCTCTCAATAATTCATTCTGCCACCAGTACATGAGCCCAGAGTGGGGACATGAGAGACCACAAGTAGAAGAAAATGTTCACCCTCTAATACTCCAGCTCCAATATGGTACAAAATTGTATTCTAAATTCCTAGTATTAAAGTTAACACGGGGCTGGAACATGTCAACAAACTCCATTTAAAGCTCACAGATAATAAAGAAGGAAACAAAACCAGATAGGAACACATAACCAGGAAATATAGTTCATAAAATATAATTTGCTCATGATTTATCTTGTGTTCTTCTAGACAGACATCTCCTCCCCTGCTCCAGGCTCATTCTCCTGTGGCCCAGGCAGCAGAGGCAGCCTCTAACATGAATGGGAGGCTAATTTCTGAGAGCAAGAGGCATTCCCTCTTGCCTTCTTAAAGCCCACCTTCTAAATGCTCATTCTTTTCCAAGAATCCACCTCTTCACCACATGATTGGACCCAAAAATATCCAACTCTCTCAAGTGAGACCCCTCACTGTCCCCCACCCAACATGTGTGGCCTTACCACTTCACAGAAGAACCATATCAGAATAAAAGAAAAGAGCACCAAAGAAGGCTCAGACATACACACCCCCTGCCCCCACTATGACACTCCCCATCCCCACAGTAGCAAAGTACCCAATCCATTGCAGCACTAGATTTATGTCTTTGTGGATGACTGACAGTCAAGTTTGCATGCAAAAGCACCAGAGATGAGTTGCCCCTGAAGAAGGTGGCCTGTTCCATCACCCTGCTGCAGCTGTCCCTTAAGAGACCAAACCTAGAAAATAAGGTAGGAGCTGAGAATTGCACAACCAGTTGTCATCTGCTTCTTCAAAGTCCTGGAACTCCTGGAACATATGCTATAGCACTGATACACCTGTCAAACTCTTATGTCCTTAGGAAAAATGAAATGGAGAAAGATGATTTTCCATATTATTTCATAAACTTCAGAGGTCAAACTATTTGACGGGCCACGGCACAGAGGCAAACAGAAAAATTATGATTTTCTGTATTGATTTGATTAAGATTATTTCCATAAAGTCTCAAAGTCTTACATAAATTGTAAGTTTTCAGGATCTTTATACGTCTTTAGAGTATATTGAAACAGTATTGCTAATATCTTTCTTTTCTTCATTAATTCCATAAATGAAGAAATATTACTGTGTGAAGAGAATCATTTCTTGACACACACATCGAACAGATTTAGGTCATAGTGTCCCCTTTTGTTAACAAAATTTTTAAAAATTGACATAATTTTTCAGACATATTTCTTGAATGCCTTCCACATGGAAGGTGTTATCATAGCCCCGTCATACAGAAGGAGATATTTCTGGTCCTGTTTCAAGGGAGTGGGCTTATTTTTGTTAAACTATGTAATTATTGCCATCTCTACCATGTGAAAACCGTGTAACTATGGTCAGTTTACTCCTTGGGTCTTTTTACTTTCCCATTAATTCACAGTGAATAATTATAAGAATTACATTAGAATTAGTATTCCTTGAATTACTTAAAGGCCTTGTACATTGCAAGTACTCAATAAATATAAATGTTCATCCTCTTAATTCCTGGTTTTTACTAAAATTTGTGCTTAGAATTAGTTTTCCTATAATTACATAGTAGTTAAAAGTTAATTTTTAATAATTTCCACAAGGTAAAATCATATAACTATTTACAGTGGGATTTTCTAACTAATTTGAATGGGTCATCTTTTATTACCTAATTCGTTTAGTAATTTTTTCAACACCTACTCTGTGAAATGCAATATGCCAGGCACTGGGTACATAGAGTGAAAAAGAGAGATGCCATTCCCTGTTCATGGAATTTATGTCAAACAAAAGAGAAATATCTTAAACAAGTAGTTACACAATTTATTAAATTACAATAAGTATTACAAAGAGCAAATACAGGGTACTATAAAAACCATAATGGGCTGAATCTGTCAGAGATGGCATGAAAGATTTTTCTTAGGGAGTGAGTCAAACATATCCTGACAGTAGAACAGACATTAGGCATCAGGAGTGTGTGTGTGTGTGTCTGTGTGTGTGTGTGTGTGTGTGTGTGTGTGTGTGTGTAAATGACTCAAGGAAAGAAGGCAGTTGGTTTTAGAGGAAGCTAAATAAGGCCAATGTAGCAAGATATGAAAAGTGCTAGAGATGACTCCAAAAAAGTATTCAGATCAGGCAGGCAGCTTTTAGGCCATGTTAAGGATTTGAGTCTTAATTTTTAAAGTAATGGGAAGTCATTGAAGAATTTCAAGCAAGGAGATGATATAATTAGATGGAAATGTTAAAAATGTCACTCTAGCTTCTGTATGGAGAGTGGGCTGTGGCTAGGCAAGAGTGAAATCTAGGCCACTAGCTGGGAGGATTATGCAGTCATCTGGGAAAAGAAAAAAGATGTTAACAGAAACCAGTATAAGCAGGGGTGATGGAGAAAATAGAATTATGTTAAGGGAGGAGGAGGAGGTAGGAATCGAGTAGAATGATTCAAGGTATCCCCCAGGATTCTAATGTCTGCACTAGGTGGACAAAGATGCCATTCACTCAAGAGGGAACTCTGAGAAGGGTCAGGTTGGATGTGTACAAACTCCTTTTCCGACCTTAAGTTTGAAATGGCTGTAGATGCCAAGTAGAGCTAAGTCAGTAGGTAGCTATATAGATCTAGGGCTTAGAGGATTGGATGTGGCTGGAAGTAAAAATTTGAGAGTTCTCTTATACAGAAGGTAATTAAAGCCAAGCTTATGGGTAAGATTTTCTGGATACATGTTTTTAGACTAGACATTCAATGAAACTGTCTTGAAGTGCTCCCTGATTTTTCGTAGTCTTCTAGCAAAGCTCACAATTGGTTCAACCTGACTTAAAACATTACCAAGACTCTTGCTATGGCACCATGGTTTAGACTCTTAACCAATTACTTATGGTAACTGCGTAACACAATTTAAAATTCTTTCCTAAGAAAAATGTTGACTCTATGTGTAGATACCACTGTATTGGCCAACACCTGTGCCAGTGTGTTGATTTTTTCACTGAGATAGACTTCAATTTCATGTACTCAAGGGTACACAACTGAAAGGGAAGTCCGTCCCTTTAATGCTGGAGTTTAAAGCATATGACTTTCATTCTATTCACAACACAAAATAGCTACAATACAGCTATTTCCTAGAAAATCCAATCATGAAAGAAATAAATCTATTTTTCCTTGAGAAAAGTATTTGTCCGGGAGGAGGGAAGCAAGATACGTTCCTCTATTAGTTAAATAATCAGCAAGAAAAGTAGCGGTGATTGAAGATATTATTTTAGTCTGTTATATTGTCCTAACTGGGGATTGTTTCCTTGCGTCATTGAAGGTTAAGGTATTAAAGAACAAATTTCTGCAAATTTGAAAAGCTCTGCCTCTTTTGAAGCATGGCATGGTAGAAGAGAAAGATGGAGAAAAAGTTAAATTTTTAATTGTATTTCTGTTTGTTCCACAAAGCATTTGAGATGCTTTATAAGAATACATGGAATAAAATATAAGTATGTATATTCAGAAAAAGGAAAATACAAATTGGAGTAGATGGTTATGACTGAGGGGGAAGTGAAAATGCAACATGTAGGCCAAAGACTCCTACATAGGTACTAAAGTTGGATTGCAGATTTGAGTCTGAAATTTTGGCTTTTGAGTAAAGAGAAACACCATTGTATTCTTTATTATGCATAAGGATTTTTTTTCTCCTAAACACAATTTATTACTTGGAATTTTGTTTTGAAGACACTGAAAGATACGGTAAGAAACATACTCAAAAATGTTCCTGAAGTAAATACAGTAGTATATTTTGTATACCTTTTTCTGGAGAGTTTCTTAATTCCAGACTTAAACTTGATTCCATAACAACTTAATAATAGCAATTCTGTGAGGTGAGAGGAGTGGAAGGAAGAGACTCAGTGTGACCCAATGATGTGACTGTGTAAACGACTAACTTAATTCTGAGCTAAACCCCAGAAGAGCTAGATGACTGATTCTTTGCTGTTTTAAATGAGATCTTCTAAGGGAATCCGATGAAAGCTATGGACCCCCAAAAACACACTCATACACACATATAGAACATAGCATATAAATGCAGATGATTCACAAATCCCTTAAAGCCCAGGTTGAAACATGTGATGTCAAGTGTCTATAAAAAGTAATTTAGAAGTAGCATAAGGGAGTACTTGAGAGTATATGCTAGGCATCAAACAGATCTCAGTCTGATTTTGGGTTTTGCCACTTGCTAGCAGTAGAGCAAGCTACTTAACTTCTCTAAGCCTCAGTTTTCTCATCCTTAAAATGAGGGTCAATAATATTGTTTATCTCATAGGGTAGAAGTGAGGATTCAATGAGATAATGCATATGAAGGGCTTTGCATAATGTCTTTAACACAGTAAGGACTTAATAGTAGCTATTAGTTACTGTCAGCTTTATGAATTCATAATTAATTGAAGCTATTGTTACTGGCTATTAGTTATGCAGTTTCCATTTCCCTACATGACCAAGAACATTAGAGAAGGGGTGATCAATTCACAAAACACTGTGCATATATGTATATGTAAATATAAACTACTTCTCTAGGAAGAATATGTATAATCTCTTTCTGATTTTCAATGAGGCCCCATGATTAAAAAATGTAAAGACACAGTGAAAAGAGGCAAACATAAGTTGGCTCTGTTCTTCGTGAAGGTACTGACTCATAGCCACTGTTCCCCAGTCTCAATTTAGAGAGAACACTCATGTGCTCAGGGCACGCATATATCTTCTATGTGGTTCCCCTAAGAAATAATAGTGGCTTCACTGGCTGTTAATGGCCCTAAGCGTTTATTGTTCTGATTCCATTTCTGGACACTCTGTTGTTGATTTTAATGCTCCTTACTCACCCCTTATGTCCTTGGTTGAGTCAAAGATTTGTTAATATTAGAAATGATAGAAAATCTCCCAGGTAAGTTACTGAGCCATGCAAAATTACTTTAAAATCCCTCCAAAATTGCCAGTAGTCACCAATGCGTCCTCTGTTCTTGTCTGCTGTCTCTCCTTTCCTATTCCCTGAGTTATTTTTCCCCACACCTTTATTGACCTTATTTTGGCCTAACCCTGACTCCCCATTTTTGTCCTTTTTAAAGCTGGCATTTGCAATAAGAATATTCTTTTTTGTTGTAGTTCAGCAGACAACCAGAGTAAATCTTCAAATCTTTACTCTTCTTTACAGTGTTCATTGCATCATAAAGATTCTATTTGGTTTGTTATTGAACATACAGCATGGTTTCTTTTACTCTTTTCCCAATTCAGAACCATTTTGGACACTTGCGTGAGTCTCCCTCCACACAGCTAAGAAGGTAGCCTTTTGACATGAACATCGTAAATCTTTAGGAATTGAAAACTTTTCTAAGGCCTTACAAAATTAGGGTTAGAATCAAGATGAGAATTGAGGATCTAGAGGTCAGTGAGCTTTATTTACTGAAGCTTTCCTTTGCTAATGTGTTTACACATTATGTCGCTCCAATAACAGCCATCTCAGGATAACGCCATTACTATTTTTTTCTTTGTTTCAGTGTCATAATTTCTGTTTTTAACACAATGTAAATATTATAGCCATGAATTTTTTAGCTCAAGTAATTTAATTAAAATAATCAAATAATTTAATTAAAATAACTCAAATAATTTAATTAAACATATATTTAATATTTGGACAATCTCCTCACTGCAGATAAGTCAAACCTCTTATGAGTGCCTATGATAAAGAATAAATATAAGACACACCATATGTTAGTGGCATGCTATGATGCTGTCATACATTATCTCATTTTACCTCTACCACATTTTCCTGAGGATAGTTATCCTTCCCATCTCACAGGTGATATAAACTAAGGGCCAGAGGATTTGGGTGACTTGCCCTTGCTCAGCGAGTGCAGAGTTTCAATTTTTAACTCAAGTTTGTCTGACTCTAAAGCCCTTGCTTCTCTGCCTAATCAAGAAGGAGCCAATTAATTACATCAGAAACAATGAAGGAACTTTACAAAATTATGTATTCTGAGCTCTTCAAGCTTCTAGTTCAGTAAATCTGGGTGGAATCTGGACCTGGAATACTTGTAAGAACTCAATTAATGGTATCTATTGTTAGTTATTAGTGATGCTGCTTTAGTTTTTCTAATAGGACCAAGAACATTAGAGAAGAAGTTATTAATATTCAAAGCATGTTGTAAATATGCAAATGTGCATCTCTCTGGGAAGCATTCCATAACCTTGTTCAAATTCTCAATGAGGCTTTTAAACCCAGAAGGTTAAAAACCACTGGATAGAGGCAAACACAAGTTGGTTTTCTCTATTTTTTAATGAAGGTTTCTACTTACATCTGACCACACCTCATTCACCATTTAAGAACATCAATGTGCTTGGGGCATGCATGTTTATTTTATATACTGTTACTCTAAGCTGTATAGGTCACTAAATGTCTCTTAGCTTTTTTATTGTTCAAATTACAAATACCTTGGGCCATTCCATTTTTCATATTTGTGCTATTCATCCATCTGTAGCCCCTTGGAATTTCTAAAGCCCATGTGACTCAGAATCATAGCCAGGTTTGAGAAGAACTAGAATTTATTGAATATCTTGGTATAATAATAATCCTACTTATTAACTAAAATCTCTTTATTAACTGGCACCAGTTAATGGCCTGAAATAATGGAAATTTTTCAAAATACATCCCATTTGTGCACAGATACTAGAGCAGTCTTTAAATAGAATATGTCTTAACACCACAACTGAATTCACAGTAGTTATCACTCCTGTGCATCTTCTATGCTCCAAGTTGTTTATGAACATGAATCTCTAATCTTTAGAAATGCCATCCAAAGGACTATAAATCATGCTGCTATAAAGACACATGCACACGTATGTTTATTGCGGCACTATTCACAATAGCAAAGACTTGGAACCAACCCAAATGTCCAACAATGATAGACTGGATTAAGAAAATGTGGCACATATACACCATGGAATACTATGCAGCCATAAAAAATGATGAGTTCATGTCCTTTGTAGGGACATGGATGAAATTGGAAATCATCATTCTCAGTAAACTATCGCAAGAACAAAAAACCAAACACCGCATATTCTCATTCATAGGTGGGAATTGAACAATGAGATCACATGGACACAGGAAGGGGAACATCACACTCTGGGGACTGTTGTGTGGTCGGGGGAGGGGGGAGGGATAGCTTTGGGAGATATACCTGATGCTAGATGACGAGTTAGTGGGTGCAGCGCACCAGCGTGGCACATGTATACATATGTAACTAACCTGCACAATGTGCACATGTACCCTAAAACTTAAAGTATAATAATAAAAGAAAAAAAAAAGAAAAAAAAGAAATGCCATCCTTGGTGTGAGATGGCACTCAACATCCTAGCACTAGGACCTGTTCTTTGAATTGATTTCTAGATATGATGTAGCACACACTGTTGGTTATTTCCTCAACACTCACTACCCTCTCCTTTCTGATGTGTTGGTTACAATGCATTCAGCTCCATGGAGTAAACTGTCATTGGTCCAATTCATTCCCTTTTGCCAATGGTTAGGCTTACGACACAGTTTTGTCCAATGATATATAAGGGGAGGGCAGCTAAGGCTTCAGGGTTAGTCTTAGGTCCCTGATATGAGACTAGTGCTCAAGGAGAAAGGTTCTCTTTGCCCCCGCTCTCTGCCTTCCTGCCAGGGACACTCTCATGAGGAAGTAATGTTTAGAGCAGGGCAGTCATTCTGAGACCGTAAGGAGAGACCATGCTGACCCACTGAGCATGGCAGAAGAAAAAGAAAAGAAAAACCTTGGTTCTTTATGACAATGTTGATCTACCAAACCAACACTGAGAGTGCCCACCTCTAGTTTCCTGCAATAAATAGTACATAACTATATAGTTTAATCTGCTTGCTTTCAATCAAAAGCATCTTAATTGATGCAAACAGTGACAAACTATTTTGAACTATGCACATAGATATTCCCAGACATGCCACTTCTCCCCAAAATTGTGACCGACAAGACAGCCTGAATGAGGAATGTAGAATAGCCAGGGGACAGATTGGAATAAAAAGATCTTCTTAGAAATGGGATTGACAGCCCAGGAAAGAAAGTGTTTTTCTTCCTAGCCCAATACTTTAATTAGACCAACACCTACTAGATGACAATTTATGTTATTCAAGTCTCAAAAACTTTCCAGAAGTCCAAGTTTAGAAACCTAGAAGTAATGGTTCGGAGTCCTGATTCCAAACATACTTTTCATGCATGCTCTCTCTCTCTCTCTCTGCCTTCTCTCTCTCTCTCTCTCTCTCTCTCTCTCTCAACACACACACACAAACTTCTTAGGGAAGAAGGTGGGACCATATCTTGGTGGGACACAAATATTATTTGAGCATAGATCCTACACTATGGATCTATGCATAGATCAGAACAGAAACTGCACCTGTATCACCTCTATCCACTCTATCCACTTGCCTGTGCCCAAGATAGACATTACTAAAAGATCACCAATTGTTTTTTTCCCCTCAACCTGGGGAACAGTCTGACAGTCCTCCTCAAATCAGTGTTCCAGGCAGCCACCATTAAAGGATGGGAATTTGCCTTTCAGATAGATCCCATCTACCATCCCAATAATAGCTGATTGAAAGCTAGCCGGAAGCTGTGGTTGAGCTAACTGTATACAGACATTGGGGAAGCTTGTGAAAAATATTGTTTTGAATTTAGTACTTTTGAGTGGGGCCTGAGATTCTGTATTTTTAATAACTTTTACAGGTTGCAAAATGGTGCCCACCATTTGGTTTTCGCATAAGTTTTATAGGGTTGACTAAGTTATTTTTATATTTTATATTTACACTATCCAATATTTAAAAATTGAGGGGAAATTATATAAAATCAAGAAATTTTTAATTTGCTGCTCTTTAAAAATTAGAAAATCTACAACACTGGGCTCTGTCCCAACATGATAACGAAAAACTGGAGCTGAACAGAGCTGCCTTCTTTGGATGGGGCATGCACTTACCATTTTGTCACAGTCCTCTTCATTCTCTGATGCCTCCCTGACACTGCAGATGAATATCACTGATGTTTACCATCGTGTTTGCACTGTCGTTTGCTTATACAAATAGTTGTCAAAAACAGGAAAACAAATGACAGACCCAAAGGGCCAGTCTAAGAGACAGAAAATTTAGTGATATTAGGGCATCAATCTCTTTCTCACGAAATTTCAAGAAGGAAGATTAACAAGGTCCTTGAGCAAGGGCTTTGCCAAACAACTGTAAGTCCGTTTCACAATTTCAATGACAGCAGGGAAACTTTATACTGCCACCGTTTTTCTTACATGTTAAAGAGCAAAAGCTCCGTAGGATTACAGCAGAGAGAGAAAGTCCATTCCAGAATGTGACACTATTTGCTGCAGAGCAGAATTTAGTATGATGGGGCTGGGTGCAGTTTGTCGGCAAAAATCACCTCATTATAACCCATGTGTCCCACTCTAATGAGGAGCTAGGCATTATCTTAAAACGTGCTGCAGCAAAACCAGCATCTATATTTGGTGGTTTGTGAACAATCCTGTTACATGCCCTGAGTATTTGTAATTTCACAATTGATTCTCCAATTGTATTCTGAAAATATAAATTATCCTAGGCTAAATTTTAGAAGCAATCACTCCATTACACATCACAGCAAACAGTATTATGTAAGGTTAACCATGGTATCTTTTTTCCAGTTTATTTACGGAAGCACACATGAATACGTTCTAGTTATAAACTTTTTTTTAACAACAAAGAGGTACAGAGAATAAAAAGTGAACATCTCCCATATTCTTTTACCTCCCCACTGCCCTGCCCTCCTCACTCTTCCACTCTCCTTATTAGCATTCTAAATTAACACTTAGTTGTGTGTTTTTCCAGACATTTTTCTATGTTTATATATATATGACATGTACTTTTGTCTGGAGGATTTCTCATCACTTATGATACTATCACACTATACATTCCTCATCACATACATTTTGTTTTGCAACTTGCTTTTTTACATAATAATATGCTTGGGAAATCTTGTCATATCAGAATTTACTACATGCTTTTTAACCATTATATAGCATTCCAAATCAACCACTCCTCTATGGATGAATATTTAGATTGTTTCTTCTTCTTTATGATGTTGCAATTAATTCCCTCAGTCATATATCTTAATGCACACACAGGAGTATGTAGAAGAGATATCTAAGAGTAACATCTGTCAGTTCAAAGTATACATATATTATTAATTTTTTACTTACTCCCAAATTGCATTCTACCTGCAATGTATGAATACCTAATTCCCCATGCTCTTGGCTATTATAAATATTTAAAGTATTTGCCTATCTATCTGAAGGCCAAAAACATATCTCTGTTTTAATTTGCATTTAAACATTTTCACATTATTTATTAGCCATTTGTAATTCTTTGAATTTCTATTAGGTTGTCTTTTTCTTCTTAATTTGCATGAAATCCTTAGATATTAAAGTTGTTATCTTTTTATGTATATATGTTGCAAAATTTTTTACCAGGTTGACAATTCTCTTTTAACTTTGTTCTTTGACATCAATTGCACGGAAATATTCTGAATTTTTAAATATTAAAATCTGTTGAAGCTTTCTTTTATAACTTCAGAATTTTTGAATTCCCAGGAAGGTTTTACCTACCTCATGGTTATAAATATATTCTCCTTTATTTTCTATACCGTTACCCACCAGGCCTGCTGGCCTGGATTTGGATCTCACAATTAGATGGATGTGAGTCTGCAGCCTTCTTGAAAAGCTTCGTGGACACTGGGCATAAGCAGGACCCTTGAAAATCAAATGATAATGTGCAATGCACAATTAGCGAACAGGTCCTAACCAGCTCTAAAATGCTGTGGCTTTTGTAGTATGGCGTGACTAGAGACAACACCTTAGACAATAACATTCCCACTAAGTGCACCTTTCTTTTTTAGACAGCATTTTGCCATATTGTCCAGGCTGGTCTCTAACTCCTGGGCTCAAGAGATCCACCCCCCAAGGAGGCGGCCTCCCAACGTGCTAAGATTACAGGTGTGAGCCACCTTGCCTGGGCACTAACTGCACCTTTGACATCACTGAAATCCTCTCCAGATCAGCAGAGAAAGCTATCTCATTGAGACTCTACCGGCAATTAATAACAACAACAGTATTATTATTAACAAAAACAACGTTAATAATAATGATGAGGAAGATAACAGCTAACATTACCACTTACTTACTATATACCAGGCATTTAGCATGGATCATCTCATTTAATCCTCACAGCAACCTTACAATGGCGACATTACCACTACTATGGTCATTAGCTTCTACTGACATTTCCTGAAGGTGCCACAGCTAGTAAACAGAGTCATAATTGAAATCAAAGTCTATCTGACTTCAGAAGCCACAATTATAACCAAGGAATTATTCTCTCTCATATCAGATAGTTTGTGAAATAACCCTTTGGGAATATCCAAAAAAACAACCAAGGGAGACTAATGGAATGGCTGATACAATCGAATCTGGTAAATAGGAGTTTGTGGAATGTAAGTTGAGCATTAAATCAGTATAAGTAGATTTAAAACTTGGTATGTAAAAATAAACCAAATAGTTTTCAGACATATGTGAGAACTAAAGGAGAAAAAACTAAGCCATAGAAGTACTAAAAAGATTAAGTGATTTTTAAAAACAAATTGGAAGAGGAAATTAAATATCAAACAAAACTCAGAAACCACTAAAAATAGATGATAAATTCTACTAGATAAAAATGAAAACTTTTTTCATTGCAAAATAATCACAAAGCCAAATGGTACATGACAAATTTTGCTTGAAGGGGGCGGGGTAGGTGAATTTGCAATTAATATCACCAGTAAAAGGCCTTGTATGTTAAGAGTTTACGTGACTCTTCAATGTCCAAGAAATGTCCAAGAATCAAATTGGGAAGAAAAGGAAAAAATATATATACATATATATAAATAGAAAAGATAATACAAATGGTTCTAAAACACATGAATTATTTTTCAGCCTCACTGATAATTTTAAAATATAGAAAACAAAATCATAACGAGGTATCATTTTTTAATCTCTCAGTTTGGACGTGATAAAAAGAGAGGGAGAGAGAAAGAGAAAGAGAGAAATTGTGCTGGACAATTGTAGGGAAAATGCTTTTATACATTCCTGTTACAAAGGTATACAGTTACAACTTCCCCATACGAAAGGTTTAAAATCTGAAATTTTCCAAAACAAAATTGCATATAGTTTTTGACCCGCCGATTCCACATACAGCTGATGCTACAGACATATGGTCATCTGTGAAAATGGCATATGTATAAGGTAATAGAGAAGATGGAAAAAAAATTAATAAGGAACTATTTAATATGTAATGGGTTAAATAAATTACACTATAGACATATAATGGAACACTTCATAATAGAAAGAAAAAAGGCATAGGCGGTTTAAACCAATTGGTCTATTATTAAGTTAAAAAGCAAGGCACATAGGAGTGTATAGATTATGGTAGCTTATGTGCAGAGAAATTTTGTATACATATATACACACTAAATAATCCCCAGAAGAACTCTTTAAAAGCTGAGTGGCTAGGAAATAGGAGTGGGAGGGAGACTTATTTCTTACTGTATATGTGTGTATCTTGGATTTTGAGTCAAGTATGGATTTTAATCAAGTATAAAAATTATTATTAATGTTATTGGGAGACCTACAAGAATCTTTTCACCAGGAATCATTTTATAGAATATAATTCAGAAGATGATTTCAATATCTATAAACATGGAAATGATTTTTTAAAAGATGATAGATGGAATATTTAGCTGTTAAAAAATTAATTTAATCTTCATATGTGGCTAAATTTAAGATTTAAAAAACAGGTTACCACACAGTAAGTATATTCTGATCTCAATGTTTATAAAACAAAAATTTTAAATGTGCCTATAGATGCATATACATAGATATGTTTGTGAAAGACATTCTGGAATTTCATACACTATGGATACCTAAGAAATAGGGAGTGGAGGTGGGTAATCACTTTTTTTAATTCATTTCTGTGTTGTTTGATTTTTATAAAGTAATGTGTTACATTCATGGTTAAAAATGTATATTATTCATAATTTAAGTCATGGAGACATTATTTGTATTCAGAGGATGGATAAGTTAGGGACCCAGAGATTATATAATATTATTATTTTTGTCTGAGTTTCTATGGTATTTTCTACTTGATATACTCAAAATACTCAAACATTAGGAAATACATATCAAATAACTAAAAAATATTTACTTGCTTACCATATGTTAAAGTTTATATGCTGAAATTAACCTATAGTCAACATTTAGACCTCAATGAAAAAGAGCTTAAAAATAAAAGACACTTGATTCGGTCTCAAAACAACAACTGGGATTTCAAATTAAGTTAAGAAAACAGCCTCAATTCTAACTCTGAATTTTTTAGTATGTATTTATTCTTTTGAAGCTCTATGTCAGGCCAATTTACAGATGGTCTGGTGAGCCACAGGAAAATAACCCTGTTTAGCTCATGAATCATAAAGAGTTACTCTAAACAGTTATTAATGCAACTTCTCAAGGCATCTGCCTCAACCCAAGGGAATATTTTACCCATAAGTTTAAATCTTGCTCAAAAGCAAATAGGTAGATTGATGCTCTGCTTATAAGTGAAACTGTCTCATAATGAAGCCCTTTGGGTACTCCATAATCTAAATTCCTCACCACAAAGAAGGATTAAAATTAATTCATTCAAACCAGATTCTGTTCTGTAATTAATAGAACTTGTAAGAAGAAACATGCGCTTTAGTTTTCGCAATTGGATACTACTGAGCACCCTAAAATACTAGAAGACCTTCCCTTCCATATTTTTTAGAATGTCAGCTATTAAGAAGAGGAAAGCTTATTTTCCACATGTTCTTTCGTGTGCTTGACTCTTTAGTTGTATTCAACACCTATTAACCAATAATAATGTTTCAGTTTTCAAAACAAGCAACTTATTTGTCTTGTATACACCTAAGGAACTAATCATGAACTGGAATAGAATGGAGCAAGGACTGAAAAGGCAAGACAAGTCTCGTTCAAAGTTTCTCAAGCACAGTTCAACTTTGTTCTAGGACTGTGAATATTTAAATTTATGGTTATTACATATTAGAAAGGTACACTATGATTTTGTGATATAACTCAATATTACTCAGTTATGAATGATATGAAGGCAATAGATATAAAAATACTGGACTACAACCCTCCAGAATTAAGGATGCTGGAGATAAAATGGCTTCCCTAAAAGGCTAAAAATGAATCATTATTCTATGCTATTTATGAAATATCTTGGTTAACAGGGCCTCACAGGTAGTAATGAATATAAAAATATCCCTAGATTCCAATTTCATCAATAGGCTGAGTCCCCACTCCTACCAAACTTTGTATTTGTGAAAGAGTGTAAAGCTTTGGTTTCTACCTTTTTTCCCTTATGAAGTGGACATTCTGTTGGAGATTATATTACCTAGAAAACAGGGGACAAACCATAATACTAGATCACTGGACTAAAAGTCAAAAAATGTGAATTCTAATCAAAATTCTATCAAGAATTTTGAATGTCAAAGGAAAGCCAGTTCCTTTCAAAGGGCCTTAGTTTGCTCATTTTGCAAAACCAAGGACTAAAATTAAAATTGCCTAAGGTCTCACCAGGTCAAAGGCAATATAGAATAATGTTTAAGAGACTGTCCTCAGTTATATATACTAGGTACATACATTTGGGTAAATTATCAAACTTTTTGCCTCAGTTTCACAAAAATAATCAGGATAATAATATCTACCTCATTGATTTATTGAAAGCCACCAATGAGTTGATATGTGTTAAGTTGTTAACACATGCTCAATAACAATAATGGTGTCTTTGTCTGTCTTGTGCTGCTATAACAGAATATCTAAGGCTGGGTAATTTAAAATGAACACAAATTTGTTGGCTTAAAGTTCTAGAGGCTAGAAAGTCCAGTTTCAAGGTGCTGGCATCTGGCAAGGGCCTTCTTGCTGCATTATAACACAGCAGAAGATAAGAAAGTAAGAGAGAGCAAGAGGGTCCAAATTCATTCTTTTATAAGGGTATGAACCTCACCCATGGGGTGGAGCCCTCATGGCCTAATGTCTTCTTAGAGGTCCCACTTCTTAATATTGTTACAATGGCAATTACATTTCAACATGAGTTTTGGAGGGGACAAACATTCAAACCATAGCAGATGATAATGATGGAGAAGGTGATGATGGTGGTGATGAAGATAATTTTATGTACACAATGTTATAATAGAAGACTGTAAGGTAAAGAAAATATTTAGATAATTTACAAACTACGTAACATTCTATAAAAGTACAAAGTGTGATTAAATACAGTGGTCAAGAAAGAAACTGAGTAAATAAACTTTGTTATATATGTCTAATGTATGTTTATCATTTTTAAGGCAACTGTTGCCTTAAGCACTTAATCACTGGGTAAATAAGTTTCCAATTCTATGAATTTCTTTACATATAAAATTACATCAAATTTAAGCATTTGACTGCATGTATAGGCATTGAACAACAGACAAGCTTTTTATTAGAAATAGAGATTTGAGAGTGAAACCAAATATATTATCTGTGATGACTAATACTGAGTGTCAACTTGATTGGATGGAAGGATGCAAAGTATTGATCCTGGGTGTGTCTGTGAGGGTATTGCCAAAAAAGATTAACATTTGAGTCAGATGTTAGGTGAGGGCAGACCCACCCTTAATCTGGTTGGGCACCATTTAATCAGCTGCCAGTGCAGCTAGAATATAAAGCAGGCAGAAAAATGTGAAAAGACAAGACTGGCCTAGCCTCCCAGCCTGCATCTTTCTCCCGTGCTGGATGCTTCCTGCCCTGGAACATCAGACTCCAAGTCCTTCAGTTCTGGGACTCAGACTGGCTCTCCTTGCTCCTCAGCTTGCAGACAGCCTACTGTGGGACCCTGTGATCGTGTGAGTTAATACTTAGTAAATACTAATATAATATACTACTACTAATATAATACTTAGTTAATACTAATATAATATATATATATATATTCTATTAGCTCTGTCCCTCTAGAGAACCCTGACTAATACATTATCCCTTGTCTTGTTGTTATCCAGTGGTATCCCTCATACCATCCTTCACTCACCGTCTTAACCTAGAGATGGATATTTCTCAATAATTTGGTCATAAAATGTTAATCTTTGAAAAGTGAGCCACTCATCCAAATGGATTACAAAAGCGTGAGACTAGCACATACAAACATGCAGATGCAAGTCAAGCGATCTGCATTGTATTTGCAGCTCTCCCCATTTTGTTACTTACTCTGCTACTCTTGGTCAAATTCTCAATTGCTCTGTGTCCAAATATGGGATTCTTAAAAGTGACTAAAGCACTGTACATCCCTTTTCTATATCACTAAAAAAGACCAGAAATTTATCATTGATATCTCATCTTTAGCATCTTTAGATTCAAAGATATACTTTTCCTTAGGTAACTAACATACTACAATTGTTTAAAATGTGAAAATGAAGCCCTTCCTTTTTACTGCCTCTTTCCTCCCCTCACGAACAGAAATACCATTGGATAGTACTTTATAAAGCCACTCTCAGAAATATTCCTAAAATATTCCTCCAATAAATATTCCCACATATTCCTACAATTAAAAAAAAGCCCTTACAAGTCAAAGAAGTAACCATGTAACACCTGCAAAAGGAAGTTTTTAATGCCAAGATCCATAATCTCTCTGCCCAGATGACCAGTAGTAGTTTCACCCCAGATTTGAGTGTGCCCACTGGTTCCCCTACTGATTCATAGAGCCTCTTTCTTGTTACTCTTGCTGTTCTCTGGAGAAGCCTAGTCTAGCCACTGACATGATGCAACTTAGGCAGCCTCCAGGAAGTACTCCTTTGCCAAAAAAAATGGTGTAACTCCAATTCGAGATTTTCCATTTGAAGTCCAGATCCTCATTAAACTATGGGGTATAAGATTAAAAGCCACTCTCTTTTGGTTTGCAGGAACTCTGTAGTTGGTAATTGACTGGACCTGTTATCAATGCACTAGAACCATTGTCAGTTGCACACACAAATGGAAAATGAGAGGGGATGAAGCAAAGGGTAACGGATGCAGTTGTTTTCAATAAAAGGTATGGTGGCTTTGAAAACAGACTTAAGCTCAATCACATCCTTCATAAGAAAGTCAAATCAAATGTGTTTGTTTAATGCTTCTTGCATTTCTAAAAGCATTTTCAATACTATCTCCCAATTCAAGTGAATAGAACCAGCCCTCAACAAAATTATTAATATTTTGGAAGGAAATCTAATCTCTTCTTTTGACTAATGCCCAAGGATAAGTAGGTTTCTTTTTAAATTTGCTGTGAGCTACAAGCAGATACCCAAACACATTAAAATTTTGTGTGAGATAAGAGTAAATTTGTTCAAACAAAGGCCTGAATTGTTTTTCTGCAAATAAAGCACATGAGCTTTAGTTGATAGACCCAGTGACTTCTATTTTACATGCTCAGAGGCTCATTTTTACTTATTGTATTGCTGTTATTTTTCAAAATTTGAGATTCTTGAATTAATGAGCTGTTGCACCTAATGAGCACATTTGTCATCACCCATACAGTTGTTCAGTCATCTCCGTCAGTCTATTACATCTGCCATGAAGTATGAACATGCAGAAAGCACAGGCTCTGCCTCAGCTCTTTCATACAGGTCCTACGTGGCATGGGCCATGTGGCACTTCTACCACCAACTAAAAGCAACAAAAGAGATTGAAAAAACAACTTGAGTTTGGAATAAAAAATGAAATCCATATCTTCCCGTTTGGCATAGAGTCCATGAGGCCAAAAACAGTGATGCATTTACCTTTGTATCTCCAACAAGGAATGCAGTGTTGGCATATTACATATTCATTGCCTTAATCATTACTTGATGAAAAAATAAGTAAATAAATAAATAAAGCCTTTTAAACCCACTCATAAAACAATGCAGCATGGTGGAGTGGCGGGAACAGCTTCTCTCTGTGAGTCTAGTTTCTTCATCCACAATTTGAGTGGAATAATGCCTATCCTACAAGGTATTGGTAAGGAGTTACTGAAACAA
The DNA here is from genome assembly GCF_000001405.40 of Homo sapiens. Taxonomy (NCBI): domain Eukaryota; kingdom Metazoa; phylum Chordata; class Mammalia; order Primates; family Hominidae; genus Homo; species Homo sapiens. The sequence continues at coordinate 157,656,921 of NC_000002.12, forward strand.
CCTGTGCTGACACAGGACTTGGCCCATAGAAGATACTCTGAAGCTATTTGTGGAAATAGAATCATAGATACTTTTAAGTGAGCTAATAGACAAGGAAGGAGCATGAGTTTCACCCATTCACAGAGTTTATTTGGATCAGAACAGCTCGCTACAGAAGGAGGAGGTAAACTTCCCTCCATATGGAGAACATTTATAGATAGCCCCATTCCCTAGATATGTAGACTGCATTTATAACAGTGAAGGATTTTGACAAGAGCAACATGCAACAATCCAGAATTTTAAATCTGTATAATTGCCCCATTCACCCTGTGCTCCTGAGCTATGGGGCGTCAAGTCATTCAAGGGTAGTATGGAATACGGCTAAAATTTAGAATTGCAAATCTCCTTGGGTCAGCATATCCAGCACTTCCCAGCTGAGAGACTACTTCAATGAATCTACATAACCAGCTTCGTATTTCGAGGGCCTGAATATCCACTTTGGAACATTGAAGTCTCTTTTGTTTCTCTTTTTGTCTTTTAGACACAATTTTTATTTTAATTGATTCATTTGAAACTGCAACAGAGATATGGTAAAGTGAAATAAAGAAAATTTTCAAAACCAATCAAAGGTATTATTTATCAGCTATAGAAATGGTTTTAGTAAGGGCAGAAAAAGGTGACATGAAAACCATGGTTTTTAATCCATGGCCATCTCCTGTTACAGTTATGAATTGAGAGTGCATAGAACTATTATCCTCAGCTTCCAAATGATACAAAGTGTACTTTTACGTAAATTAATATGGTAATACATTTAGAGCATGTTTTCCTCTTTAATAAAGGAATCTGAGCCCAAGGTTAGTGAAATAAAAGACTTGAACAAAACAACAGCAACAAAAACAGACAAACAAAACCAACTTCTGTGTCTTCCTCACTGCAACAAAATGTTATAGTGATGGAGCTAATGAGGAGATTTATTAAATTTCCTAGGTGGACATACTGGGTCTGCCCATTTACAAAAGAGTACTCTGTGTCCTTGATTTTAGGTTTTATTTTGTATTATTTTGGAAGGGTAAACAAATCTCCTCCTCTAAAGAGGGATATCATGTGCTGCTGGAGACACTATCTGCCTTACCACGTAACTCACTTACAGAATATTTCACAGCCCTTGCTAGTAATCACATGGAAGCTTTGTTTGATGGCAAACACTATCACACTGTTCCAGGATTCTTACAGGGTTCCAGGAATTGTCCCCAGTGTAATGTCTCAAGAATAATAAAAAAATAGCCTTCTTCTGCATGACTTTTTTTAAAAAGTTAGAGCCACCAAAATAAATTATGAATAGCAAATGACAGCTTTTTAGAAATTCAACCAAGCCTCTCTTACTCAAAGCTCAGAAACAGTGAAGTGGACAGAGAGTGGGGGTATTTTTGTCGTTGCAATAAAATGGAGCACTGTGGTGTGTAATCAAACAGCCGCACCTTCTGACTAGCATCACTAATGCTCCACAGCCACTCCTAGGCTCAAAAAAGAAAAAAAAAACATGCTCAGAGTTGGCCTTCTTGGCAAAGTGCATGGCTGCCTAATGGTGTGATTTGAGGCATACTTAGAGTCCTTCCATCCTCCAAAATATTCACTTTGTCAGTTTCCATAGTCCTAAGATTCCATTACCAAGGCTTTATTTCTTGCAGTTAAGACATATAGCCTGTTAACGTAGTGATACTCCTGAAAACCATTAATGTTAGGCCACCATCCAAACTATTTGCATATCCTAGAAGCAATGTATTCTCAAGAGTGAGTTCTATTGGGGGTTCTCCTCAGTCTCCAAAGATACTTAGATCAGTGTTTCTCCAACATCGACATGCATATGAATCACCCGAGGATCTTATTAAAATACAGATTCTAATTTATTATGTTTGGGGATGGACCTAAGATTTCTGTATTCATAGTAAACTCCTTCAGTCTGATGCTGCTGGTCCACAGACCACACCTGGAGTAGCAAACTCCTAGACTCTTCCCAAGATCTCCTAGATAAGGACTCAAGACCAGGGCTCAGCAAGCTTTTATTATAAGGGGTCAGATAGTAAATATTTTGGTTTTGTAGGCCACAGGGTCTTTCTTGCAACCACTCAGCTCTGCCATTATAGCAAGAATGTATCCATGGACAGTATGAAAATGAATGGATATGCCTGTGTTCCAATAAACTTTATTTACAAAAATAGGCTGCAGGCTAGATTTTGTCCACAGGTCATGGTTTGCTAACCCCTGCTCTACCTATGCCTAATAAAGGTAAAGAAAAATACATTAGGAAGCCAAGAAAGCAATCAGGAAGAAACCTGGCTTTGAATATCTTTACAGAAAATTTGGAATCCCCTTCAAAAGCCAAAATTTTGTGCTCTAGACAGACAAGACATGAAAGGTGGAGGTGCAAGAGCACCAACCACTTACCCTACTTCACAATTTTACACATAACTTGCCTGTGCTCATCTTGGGCTTTCCCTAGGAATGGGAAAGGAACAAAGCAAGTTTATATTCTGTGAGTTCATACTCCAACAACTCGCCTTTTGTTAATACAGACAAAATCACACAATCTTTTTTTTCATCAGCCAGGAGAAAAGGTATACCTGAAAGGCAAGGTCTGGGTACAAGTAACACAGATGGCCCACCCCTTTGTCTCACTGTTAAACACCCTGTACCTATCCACTCCACTATTGAGGTCTTACATGTGTTGATAATCTACTAGGCATTCTCATATGTCCAAATTTATTCATTTACTCATAAATATTTCCTAAGCATCTATTTGATAACTGAGAGAGCAGTAATTCCTGAGGAAAACATGGAAAAGACATCCCTGATCTTTGCCCTGAGAGTTTATGGTATAGTGATGGCCTCAGACAAATATATGCACAGTTAAGCTTTCATGTGGAAAGAACCATGAGGGTAGAAATACTGGTGTCTGAGTGATGGTAGAACAGACATATAACAGAACTGTGCCATGACCTGAATAATGACCTGCCATTCGCTAGGGTTAAAAGAAGATAAAAAATGACCCAGGAGGAGAGAAGAATATGGGCAATAGACTGGAAGCCAAAAAAGGAGTATGTGTCAGGCATTTATGCGGCCAACAAACATATGAAAAAAAGTTTATCATCACTGGTTATTAGAGAAATGCAAATCAAAATCACAACGAGATACCATCTCACAACAGTTAGAATGGCAATTATTAGAAAGTCAGGAAATGGCCAGGTGCAGTGGCTCAGGCCTGTAATCCCAGCACTTTAGGGGGCCGAGGCCGACAGATCACAAGGTCAGGAGATCGAGACCATCCTGGCTAACACAGTTTCTACTAAACCCCGTCTCTACTAAAAATACAAAAAAAATTAGCCGGGCATAGTGGCAGGCGCCCGTAGTCCCAGCTACTCAGGAGGCTGAGGCAGGAGAATGGCGTGAACCTGGGAGGTGCAGCTTGCAGTGAGCCAAGATCGCACCACTGCACTCCAGCCTGGGCAACACAGTGAGACTCCGTCTCAAAAAAAAAAAAAAAAGAAAGTCAGGAAACAACAGATGCTGGTGAGGCTGTGGAGAAATAGGAAAGATTTTACACTGTTGGTGGGAGTGTAAATTAGTTCAACCATTGTGAAAGACAGTGTGGTGATTCCTCAAGGATCTAGAACTAGAAATACCATTTGATCCAGCAGTCCCATTACTGGGTATATACCCAAAGGATTATAAATCTTTCTACTATAAAGACACATGCACACGTATGTTTATTGCAGCACTGTTTACAATAGGAAAGACTTGGAACCAATGCAAATGCCCATCAATGATAGACTGGATAAAGAAAATATGGCACATATACACCATGGAATACTATGCAGCCATAAAAAAGAATGAGATCATGTCCTTTGCAGGGACATGGATGAAGCTGGAAGCCATCATTCTCAGCAAACTAACACAGGAACAGAAAACCAGACACCATATGTTTTCACTCATAAGTGGGAGTTGAATGAGAACACATGGACACAGGGAGGGGAATATCACACACCGGGGCCTGTTGTGGGGAAGTGGGCAAGGGTAGGGAGAGCATTAGAACAAATACCTAATGCATGTGGGGCTTAAAACCTAAATGACAGGTTGATAGGTGCAGCAAACCACCATGGCACATGTATAACTATGCAACAAACCTGCACGTTCTGCACATGTATCCCAGGACTTAAAGTAAAACTAAACTGAAAAAAAAAAAAAAAGGAGTGTGTGACAGAAGAACTGAAAGGCATTTAGTGATACTGGAGCAGAGTTCAGTTAGGGAATGGTGAGAGATAGGCTAAAAAGGTACATAAAACCCAGATGATAAAAAGCCTTATAAGTACTGTAAGCATATAATCTATTGACCAGTCCAGGACAGTTGTGAGAACTGTTAATAATTGTGCTGAAATAACAGGCATAAATTGAGACTTAAAAACCATATAAAGGAGATAGGTCTATGTACAAAGGGCAATGGGAAGCTGTTGAGTATTCAGAGTGAGGGGTGACATGACAAGATTTGTGCCTCAAAATGATCATTGTGTCTGCAGTTGTAGCAAAACTGGAGGGAGGAAGATCATTAGGCAACTACTGCAATATCCAAGTGCGAGAGGATGGTTGCCTCAAATAGGGTAGTGACAACAAAGATGAAAGAAGTAGGTAGAATCGAGAGCTGCTTCAGGCTTAGATCTGCAAAACTCAGTAACATTAGGCTGGCTGGCTGTCTGGGTGAGGTAGCAAGGGGAAAGAGGAAAGGAGGAGTAAGGATAAATTCTAGGTCTCCACCTTGAGCAAATGGATTCATACTGGTGCTGTTCCAACAACATTAGGAAGCACGGTGGTTGTTGTAGATAAAACGGAACAATTACGAATATAGTTTTATACATACTAAGTTTGAGAGGTTATGGAATATCCAGGTGGAAATACTCATAGGCAATTAGCTACATATATGGATCTGAAGCACATGAGAAAAGGTCAGGCTGGAGAAATGATTGGATTGTCATTGGCTTGTAGATGGTAATCACCTTTGTAACCACAAATTGCCCATGGAGAATGTGCAGTATGAGAAGAGAAAGTGCCTTAAGACTGAGCAGATATGAATTTCACAAGCCCCAGATAAAGGCATGCAAAAATGTTAACTTTCCTTATTTTCGGAGGCGTTGTATTACATTTTTACTGCCTCTCAGATGAATGTCCTTGGTAGAGTGAATTCCTTTATTAATAGTTATCATTAAGTGCATATTCTACAGCAGGCATTTACATAGGCTGGCACATAGTAGGCTTTTTATTGTATCTCTTATGCCAACAAATATCCAGACCACGTATTATTCACAGCAGTGGACCCAGTCATGATCAAATTAAAACTGCCAACTGAGGCAGATTCCTCCCTATAGATCTCCTCAACAGGGCCCACCACAGCAGTACTCAGGCCAGGAAGACTGTTACCGTGTAGTTTCTCATTTCTAAGTTAGATGCTTTGTTTGTCTTTAGCAAATCTGCTAACATTTTGGAACCTACATTTCTGCAACGGGGAAACACTAATACATAATATTGCAATGCTAGTTATCTACTTAGATCCCTCTTAGCCTCTTTTACTTTGTGTTTCACTTCTAGTCCCCTGTTCTCTTGTTTCTTTCTTGTCAAGATTTGACAGAATCAGTGCCACATTTCACCAACACTGGGCAATTTGCCATTATTGTCCAAACCAATAAAACATGAGAGTTGTGTGTAATGACTCATATTTTAAAACATAATCCAAGCTAATACTATTTATTAGGTGCTTAGTTTGCACCAAGTATTGACATGGTGTAGCACAGAGTAGGCCTATGTTACCATTTGATGAGCTTCACACAAAACTCTCCTGGCCATTCTTACCAACCTAAAAGAGAGTTTTATCTTCATTTCACAACTAGAGAAATTAAGGCGTTGAAAGGTTATTTAACTTGTCAAACTCACACGCTAGAAATGGCAGAAACATGTCTGTGAGTCCGTGCTTAGGGTATCTGATACACCAAATAAGTAATTTTGTTGTTTGAGGTGTTTCTTTCTCAGTAACACTTATAGGAAACACTTAAAGGAACACATAAGTAACACAGTAACACTTAAAGGAAACACTGAGAGTAACACTCTCAGAAGCAGTAAGTCCTTGTCCTCTAAATAGTTGTGTGTGGTTTTTTTTTCTGTTCAATTGAAAGTTTTTGGAGATCTTGATACCAGGTGATGTGACTAAAACAAGAGATTGGCACACCGTGAATCCAAAGGCTCCTCTGATCGATCATTATTTTATAACGGCAACAGGGACAAGGTTAATCAAAGCATATCAGGTAGAATACTAGAGAGAAAACGCTATACACAACTCACTTTTAAAAAGTCCATCCTTTATTAATTCAACAAATACTTAAGGAGTCTATTACCTACCAGGCACTATGCTTAGCACTGAGGTGCAGCTGTGAACAAGAAACAGTCCCTGCTGCCAATGGGCTTCCAGCTCATTGAGGAAGATGGCAAGGAAACAGAGGACACAGCACAGAGTGGCAAGTTCTGTGACGGAATTAAATTTGTGTTGCTTTGGAAACATTTAAGAGGGGATACCCAGTCCAGACTACGGGGAAGGAGACTGGTTTCTGATCTTGTCCCAGCAGTCTCAGAGACCATGCCCTTTGCCTCATTTCTGTAAGAGCATTTGTTTTAGATCACTGCCTCAGTTAGCAGAAGTTTTAATATGATCATGACTGGGTCCACTGCTGGGAATAATACGTGGTCCATATGTCCACTGCTCTGTTCTCATAGAGTAAATTCAAATCCTATTTACCTATTGGGCAATCAAGGGCATTGTGATACAGTTTTGAGTAAAAAGACATTTTTTTAAAGCCTTCCAGTTTTGTGGATTTAACCTTTTTATAAAGATCATTTATAATGCTGTTTTAAAATGTGAGGCAATGAGAATTACTTTATGTTGGATCTGAGGAGCCTTTCGTAAAACAGTTTCATGTAGAAGAAAGTGGCAATCCTCTTCTAAAATAGCAATAACTGAAAATGGAAGTGTTAATTTTACCTTGTTTAAGATACCAGGGAACTTAGTAAGTAATATCAAAGCATTTTATAAATGGTATCAAAGAAGAGTCAACATCGATCCAGTAATTTTATTTTGTAACATTGAGGGATAATTGGTTATTAAACAGAATCGTTCAGAAGACTTTACAAACCTTTGTTTCAGCTTTCTTACCTGGAAATAATGTCATTTATAAAGGGACACTTATTTTTTTCCCTTTTTTATGTTGGTTAATATAACACAAAGAGATGTTTAGGAAAATGCTTATTGATGAGGTTTATTCTATCTGTTTTAAAAGCACAGAGGTTGCATTCTAGATAACCTTGTTTATTAGCATGGCATATTTTAATCATTATTCGAGACTATACTGTGCCTGATTATTTTAGCTAAATTCATGGAGATTGCGTGGGACAGGAAAGTACGCATTGAAAAATTTCTAACCATGGTTATTTCAGCATAACCTGAAAACATCTAGCCCAAAGGTAAGTGGCTATTTTCATCACAGTTGCCTATGCCCAGGGAATAAACTGTATTCTTTATAATTGAATTGGTTTTTCCCGCTTCTAACTGGAAACAAAACAGAAGGGGTACCATAAATTTGAATAAGCAGAACATACTGTTCTCAACATACTGTAATCAAAAGGAGGAATTTCAGTGTGTCTCTGTGTGTGTATGAGAGAGAGGCTGTGTTCATGTGTTTCAAGGTCAGAATAGGTTTTTTTTCAACTTGGTCAGTAGAAAATGGACATCAAGTTTGAATAGATAAAGCATGGACAGCCTTATTGTTATTGAAATGCTTGTAGGTTCTGTGCCAATTTTCCACCACTGTTTACTTTGTTGCTATTTAAAACTGTATCAACTCTAACGGAAGAATAAATTATTTGTGATTAAAATAAAAAGAAATGAGAAACTAAAGAGTAGAATTTGAGGTTTTCGTTCTTTATGCATGAAGGAGTTCTCACCAAGAATGGGCAGAATAAGGCCGGGTGCAGTGGCTCAATCCTGTAACCCCAGCACTTTGAGAGGCCTAGGCAGGTGGATCACCTGATGTCAGGAGATCGAGACTAGCCTGACCAACATGGTGAAACCCTGTCTCTACAAAAAACACAAAAATTAGCCAGGAGTGGTGGTGTGTGCCTGTAATCCCAGCCACTCGGGAGGCTGAAGCAGGAGAATCGCTTGAAAAAAAAAAAAAGAATGGACAGAGTAAGACTATATATTTCACATGTAAACATTTGGGTGTGTGCCTTGACAAATTCTTTACATTAAATCATGTGCAACCATTGACAGAGTTCCAATAGACTAGGCAACAGATGACAGACAGATTCTGGAGGCAATTAAAATAGCAATTTACTAGGTATGGAACACTAGAACATGAAATGGAAACAACAACTGTGATATTGCTGCTAAAGAATTTGGCCCACCTTTTTCTTCCCTAATTACTCACATTTCAGAATGAAAGAGAGATGCATCCAAAAGTACTTCAATACACCGAATCAGCAAGTTTCATTCCAAATAGTCTTTCAACCACTAGAGTGGGCTCGTTTGATTTGCTGGCAGGGTGAACATTCCCATAGAGATGACCTCACTGATACAAAGATTAAACAGCCCCTCATTCCAAAATCTCTCCCCCAGATTATTTAGCGGTCTTAAAATATGCACTATTTGTTCAACTTTGTAAGAACTCTTTTAAGAAAACAATCAGAATAAGACAGAGCAGGTGCTTAAACATATGACTGAACAAATGCAATAATGAATAAATGACTCACTGAAAGAAAGAATGAATGAATGAATGAATGAATGAGAGAATAAAATATTTTTGGCCAGAGTGAAGTATAACATAGTAAGGCAGAATATTAATTGTCCTAAGATCCATTTTACTCTCCTTCCTGTGCACATAGCCAAGATGTGGTCACAGCTAAATGAGACCATATGACCAAGTTGGGGCCAACTTCTGTGACATGCGCCACTCCCAGCTTATTTTTAACCTGAAGACAAACTATTTTCTTGATTTTTGACTTTTCTTTTTCACATGGGCTGGAACTTTGATATGATAATGACCAAGGGCTGGTAAAGCTATAATTAGAAGAAATGTGGATCCCTGAATGTCTTTATGGAGCAGAGCTGCTTAAACAACTTAGACCAACTATGAAGACCATTATACGAGAGGGAATCAACTAATATTTTATTTAGCCCACTATGTTCTGGGAGTCTCTATTATACTAGCTAAGCCTTTATAATTAATACAGTAAGCAGCAGTATCAATGAAGATATGGAAGGAGTTGAGGAGCATTGATGACAATCTTGAACTTTTTCACAAGTAAGCACCTCTCTAAGGTTCAAAGGAGATATAATTGATTGCAGTCATTTTCTTCACGTATTTTAAAGCTTTGATGAGAAATAGAATGGGTGAGGACATACAACATTTTGAAGGATTTTGAAGAATCAGTAGTATTTTTGTAGGAGACTTTAAATAGGGAATCAAATAAAGGTTCAAGATTTGGACCTGGAGAATTAAGAAAGTAATTTTACCAAATTGAGAAAGTTGGGAAAGGAAGACAGCCAGTTTGTGGCTGTCCCAATTCTTAACTTGGAAACATGAGAAAGGATTTCAAGCTTGAGTTCCTTTGAGTAACATTTGACTAACAGGTTTTTTAGCACAGTATTTTTCCATACTTTTAATATACTAACGTGCAAGAGGAATCCCAAGAGGGAAGATATAGCATGATACCTAAACTTAGTTGGTCACAGACCATCTCCTCAGAGAAGCTGAACTTGATGTTCCTTTTTTTTTGAAATGGAGTCTCGCCCTGTCACCCAGGCTGGCGTGCAATGGCATGATCTCAGCTCACTGCAACCTCCGTCTCCCAGGTTCAAATGATTCTCGTGCCTCAGCTTCCCGAGTAGCTGGGATTACAGGCGCCCACCACCACGCCCAGCTAATTTTTGTATTTTTAGTAGAGACAGGGTTTCACCACGTTGGCCAGGCTGGTCTTGAACTCCTGATCTCATGATCCGCCCGCCTCGGCCGCCCAAAGTGCTGGGATTACAGGCATGAGCCACCGCGCCCGGTCCAATGTTCTCTTGTTATATGTTACAGCCTCTACCAAAGTTCAAATTTCAGATGCTGTGGCAATACCAGTAAAGGGGTGTGGGGCCTGGCTTTGAAAATGGTTGGATTGATTTTAACATAGTCATATTTTAGGAGACTATTCTAACATTCAACAGTCTCAGTCCTGACCTTGAGAGAGCTATCCCTTTGTAAAAATTAGGCTCTGAGAGGTGAATGCAGGTATGGCAGTCCTGAGAAGAAAACCAGACAAGCTCCTTTGATGGCCCAAAGTGGTATTGTAAAGCACCAGCTAAGGATGGACTTAGAACTTTCTGGAGTGATGAAAATATTCTGTATCTTGATCTAGGTGTTGGTTACATGGGTATACACTATGTGAAAAAAGTCATCAAGCTGCACACTTAAGAGCTATGCTTTTTGCTGTATGTTAATTATACCTCAATTTTTTTTCAAAAGTTAAGAAAAATGGAGGGGGGAAGATTGCTTCTGGTGAATAAAGAAAGCATTTAAATGGATTTTATATATTGACAAAATAAGCAAACCTCACAGTCTGTGATATCTTCTTCCACTCAAGTCTCACACTTGATTAACTAGGATGTCTAAAGTTACAAGGGTCTGAAATTTATCACACATAATGAGATAGAGCCTGAATAGGGATGCTAATACAACTTAGTCTTTGGTCTTTAGAAAGAATTTATTGAGATCTTACTATGCACCAAGGAATACAGAGTTTGGCCTAGATTAACTCATTTAATCTTTACAATAACCCTGGGATATAGGTACTATTACTGTTTCCTATACTATATTACAGACGAAAAAATTAAGATGAAATACATTGTCTACATTTATATTAAATCTAGGTAGACTGTCTCCAGAACTGTACTTTTTACCACTATGCTATATAGCCTCCCAATAAAGATGGTCATTTCTTTTGGAATCCAAATTTACATGAGAACTATAACATTATCCTTTCGATGAGAAACTTGAGTTTGCTTCTACCGCCTTCAAGTCTTCGTCATTTTGCCCCTGGATTGCTGCCACAGGTCTCGAATTTATTCTTCTATTTCCTGCCTTGCCCTCCTCTAAATTTTAAAACATTCTTCACACTACTGTTATTTTTGTTTCACTTATCCATGTCTTCCAATCAGCCAACTTTAACTTTCTTAAGAACAATAAAGACTTTGCCCTTTTTTACTCCATATCCTCAGAGTCCATCACCAGTACTTTGCACTTTAAAAATATTCAATAAATATTTGGTAATTAAACTAAAGCCTGAAGGTGAATGGAGTGGGGTGGGAAGGGAGAATTTTGGAGCCAATAGCATTTAATCAACCGTTAAAGGCCTTTCTCAAATGTTACCTCTCTGCAAAGTATTCCCTAAATCCTGAGGCTGGAGGAATGGTTATGATTAGGTTGGTGCAAAAGTAATTGTGGTTTTTGCTATTAAAAGTAATGGCAAACAGTGTGATAATTTATATATAAATGTGCAATATCCCAAATCCAATCCTTTTCACCTATGCCAAAGTCAGTGACTCTTACTATATATACAACCTGAACTCAAGAAACAGATATATTTAATACATTGCTGACTCCAAATGGAGAGAAAATGTGTCATAACCAGCCTTGGATCCCAGAGCCTAGCACACCTGGAATGTAGTAGATTCTCAATAAACGTTTGATTGCTTAATGAAGGAAAACACTTTTGAAGGTGCTTGGGAAACTGTACTACCTTGTATATAAAATAGCAGCATTAAATTGATTAAATGGCAATCAAAACTGACAAATACACATTAAGATTAGTCAATGTCTGATTGCTAATTATCAGTCTGCTCTAATAGTCCTTGCATTTGTTTGGCTAAGCAAACATTGTTTCCCAAAAATTAACAAGTAATTTTTGAAATCATTAACACAATCACCTTTATGAGTTTTTCTGTCCATCCCCCCAAACTCTACCCTACAACCAACAATCTTGAGGAATCTCTTAATGTGTTTATTTTAATTTTTGCAATACTTGACAGAGGAAAGCATTTTATAATTTTGATTTCCTGTTCTTTGCAGCAACCTATACATTAGTGTTTAGATTTGAGTTCTAGATATTTCCTTAGACCGGTCTACCAAATGTCCTTGTGAGAATTACTGGGGCTATACATCTGCTTCCGTGCTCAGGCCTCCGGCTGACCTTTAGAAATGATTCAGCCCTTTTCCCCGAAGCTTCTGAATCCTCCTCGACACATTGTTCAAGACAGTCTCTACTAAATAACCAGTTGAGGCCTATGCGCTATTTCTGATGCCCAAGACCTATCTGCCCATACTGCCAGCTTACCTTCCAAGCCATGTTTTTCCAGTCATTGTCTCTCTCCTTCTCATTCTTTCATATATACCTGAATCACCTAATAATGCTAAATCTGTAAAGTTGCCATAGCACTCAATGTTCTACTCCACCCCAGAGACTTGAAGTTTTCTCTGCCCCTTAAGCTCTTTCAGGTCTGAAGGCCTTGGTCTTCTGGCTAGATTTTGAATCACTTGCTCCTTTCTCCATGAGTATTTTTTTTTCCTCCTCACGTGACATTCCGAAGATTCTATTCTTAAACTCATCAGTTAAGGTCTTCCAGACTGAACTTCAGTAAGCGCAATTTTCTATGCTTCTGAATCTCCAGGAAAAATAGAAAGTGTGAATACTCAGAAGAACCCTAGGAAACATTAACAAAGGAAAAAACCCAGAAAGAATTCTAAAAGATCCACTAAGTCCTGTTGAACATAGTCTTCAGTCCCTTCATTAGCACACTATGATTGTGAATGCCAGATTTGCTAATGTTAATAACAGGAAGTGGGCCGGGCGCCGTGGCTCACGCCTGTAATCCCAGCACTTTGGGAGGCCAAGGTGGCGGATCACGAGGTCAGGAGATCGAGATCATCCTGGCTAACACAGTGAAACCCCGTCTCTACTAAAAATACAAAAAATTAGTCGGTCGTGGTGGCGGCTGCCTGTAGTCCCAGCTATTCGGGAGGCTGAGGCAGGAGAATGGCGTGAACCCAGGAGGCGGAGCTTGCAGTGAGCCAAGATGGCACCACTGCACTCCAGCCTGGGCGACAGAGCAAGACTCCATCTCAAAAAAAAACAAAAAAAAAACAGGAACTGGGTCTCCAATTAGTAACATAGTTTCATGAGTAGGGTTGTTGATGATGGAAAATTCCTAGAAGATGGGATAGTTTATATATAAATGCATAATATTCCCAAATCCAATCCTCCACCTATGTCAAAGTCAGTGACTCTTACTATGTATACAACCTGAACTCAAGAAACAGATATATTTCATTGTTTACTGGCATAAATTAAGCCAAACTGAGTTGTTCCAAGTCTGTAACAACACTTACTGTCTCTCCATTCCTAGTGCACCTTTTCGCTAAGGAACTGCTTTTCATTCATCCCATGTGATCAAGGCCTGATCAGTCATCCTCTTGCTATCATTACTGGTCCACAAAGTAGGCAGTCAGGGTTCCCTCCAGACTTTTTTTTATATATATGGGCGCTAAGACTGAAGCTTCTCTAATCTTCCAATATGAAAACTCTGTATGGGCCACAGACTCAAGTTGGCCATAATTCCCATCACATGGACAAAGTCTGACTAAAAGTCAAGTCAACACAGAGGAAAGCAGAGCCAGGAGATAAATAAATTTTTGCTGACATTATCTAAGCATCCAGATCCATTCATATCTGACTCATTCTACCAATGACTTTGTCAATCACGTAGGTCAATAAAAATTTTTTTCTTGCTTAAAGTGTTTTAAGATGGGTTTCAGTCAACAGAAGAAACCTGATTAATATGTACATGTATATAAAATATGCTTTATATATATGAAATATGATCTTGAAATTTGGGAAACCCAAACTATATATTAAAATATACTCATTGGAGCTGCCACTATTCTAACTTTCTGTATCTAAACTACTCCCCTGAGTTGCTACCACCAAAGACCTAGGGATGAGCTAAGAAACAAAAGCAAGAATGACTTCGATTTATTTCTCCTTTAGTTGGGTGACTCCACCTGCCTCTTGAGGTAGGTAGGTGGCTCTCCTTTGTTTTTTTTTTTAATTTTTGAAGCACAGGTTTATTTTTCCCTCTTGCAAAATTATTATTATCTTTTTTTTATTATTATACTTTAAGTTCTAGGGTACATGTGCACAACATGCAGGTTTGTTACATATGTATACATGTGCCATGTTGGTGTGCTGCACCCATTAACTTGTCATTTACATTAGGTATATCTCCTAATGCTATCCCTCCCCGCTCCCCCAATCCCACAACAGGACCCAGTGTGTGATGTTCCCCTTCCTGTGTCCAAGTGTTCTCATTGTTCAATTCCCACCTATGAGTGAGAACATGCAGTGTTTGGTTTTTTGTCCTTGCAATAGTTTGCTTAGAATGATGGTTTCCAGCTTCATCCATGTCCCTACAAAGGACATGAACTCATCCTTTTTTATGGCTGCATAGTATTCCATGGTGTATATGTGCCACATTTTCTTAATCCAGTCTATCGTTGATGGACATTTGGGTTGGTTCCAAGTCTTTGCTATTGTGAATAATGCTGCAATAAACATATGTGTGCATGTGTCTTTATAGAAGCATGACTTATAATCCTTTGGGTATATATCCAGTAATGGGATGGCTGGGTCAAATGGTATTTCTAGTTCTAGATCCCTGAGGAATCAGGTAGGTGGCTTTTCTTATCTCCTCTATATTACAACTAAAGAAATGCCATTAACATTCCTATCACTAACACAGCATGCACCCTCCCAATTTATACTCATATTTGTATATTAGGTGGTCCCTCCTTAGCCTCTGGGGTCTTAAATTCCAAGCCCTCCAGTGGATGCCTGAAACCATGGATAGTACCAAACCCTATATATACCATGTTTTGTCCTATACATATATAATTATGATAAAGTTTAATTTATAAATCAGGCACCGTAAGAAAGTAAAAACAACTAATAATAAAACACAACAACTATAACAGTATACTGTAATAAAAGTTATTTGAATGTGATCTCTCTCTCTTAAGTATCTTATTACAATGTACTTACCCTTCTTGCAATGACGTGAGATGATAAAAATGCCTACATGATGAGAGAAAGTGAAATGAATGACGTAGGTGTTGTGATGTATGTAGTGTTAGGCTATTATTTACCTTCTGGTGCTACATTAGAAAGAGGATCATCTGCTTCAGGTGATCCTGGGTCATGGAGCCATGACGATTTTGATGGTCAGATGTCAGGAGCAGATGATGTCGATGACTAACCGACGGGTAGCATGTACAGCGTGGATACGCTGGACAAAGGGATGATTCACATCCTGGGCGGGATGGAGTGGGAAGGTGTGAGATTTCACCACACTATTCAGAAGGGCACACAATTTAAAACTTATGAATTGTTTATGTCTGGAATTTTCCATTTAATATTTTCAAACCGTGGTTGACTGCAGGTAACTGAAACCATGGGAAGTGAAACCGTGAACTGGGGGGACTACTGTAATATCTTTCTCCCTGATGAAATTGTGAGACCCTCGAGGAAAAAGACATATTCGTTTGTGTCCCCCAGAGCCCAGAGTGAAAGATCTGTCTCAAGAGTGTTTTCTGGGGATTTTTTAAAGTTGTCATGTGAAGTATTAGTTTTCCATACAAGAATGCTTCAATGATTTATTATGATTCTGAAGTTTCATTAGAGGCAGCAACTGCAAAGCAATCACTAAAACAGATTCTGGGTGAAAAATAGTTTGCTGTGTTGAATGTAGGCTCAAGCCTACAATTCTGTAGACTCAGCTTCTTCTAACTAAGCACACTCCTTAGTTAAATATTCTGCACAACTGTTCATTTACTTACTTCTGTGCCATAAAGCTAGAATAACTTAGGGAATTAGAACATTCTGGTGAATGTCTTACAGCTAACCTGAAATACCTTCATGTCTACTCTCACTGCTAAAACCTCTTCTGAAATGTCTAAGTTTCCACTTTACTAAGTAAAGATAGAACATAATTTAATGTTTATTTGATACAATATATTTTAGTGCCGTCAGGTCATCATTTGCAATGTCTTTTTGTCATTTAGATACAGAAAGTGTAGAATGTGGCCCCACATCTCTTCAGCCCCAGAACACATACCAGAATATTTATTTTTAAATTTAACTAAATTCCCGGTTGTTACTTTTGAATTTGTTTCTCTCACCTAGAAGCTGAGTGCAGTGGGGAAAATAATCAAATCAGCTGAAGGATTTGCACTTCTACTGTACTGTATTTAGATGAAGTCAAAGTTCATGAATGAGGCCGGGCACGGTGGCTCATGCCTGTAATCCCAGCACTTTGGGAGGCTGAGGCAGGCAGATCACCTGAGGTCAGGAGTTTGGGACCGGCCTGGCCAACATGGTGAAACCCCGTCTCTACTAAAAATACAAAAAATTAGCCAGGTGTGGTGGTGGGCACCTGTAATCCCAGCCTACTCGGGAGGCTGAGGCAGGAGAATTGCTTGAACCCGGGAGGCAGAGGTTGCAGTGAACTGAGATCACGCCATTGCACTCCAGCCTGCACAACAGAGCAAGATTCTGTCTCAAAAACAAAGAAACAAAACAAAACAAAAAAACAAAGTTCATGAGTTCATGAATGAGGCTTACTTTTATATACTATACTGTCAGTCTTTGGTAACCCCTCATTTAAGTCAGAATTGACACATTAAGAGACACAAATGCTATTATAATACACATACATTGAGGGGCCCTACATTTTCCAAGGCACAAGGAACAGTGGAATTGCCACTAGACTGAATGCGGTCAACATCTATATTTGTTAGAGTAGAAGAAAAAGCAGACCTTCAAATATATGTTTACATTCCTGGAAAAAGATTTGGAAAAAGATACCACAAAGAGATCAGAAGAGATCCCAGCCACAGACTTTTGGAAACTGAAAAAGAGATGGATGACTTAGCAGACCCAAGAAGCTAAATCCTAAACTGGCAGTGAGGAGAAGCGAGAAGCAGCTCATTTTACACTGTAGAACTCCTGAAGGCCCAGGAATTACTGGTGCTAGGTACCTCTGGAAGCATGAAGGTAAGGTTAAAATCAGAATGGTTGGTTCTAAGTGTTTTGAACAAACAGTCTCCAAGATTCCTTCCCTCTCTTGGGAGAAAAGCAGAGCTCATTCTCCGGAGAAGGTAAAATAGAAGGTTTTTGGCTGGGAGACTCCAGATAAAATTGACAGTGGGAGCCCTAACCAGAAAAAAAAAAAAAAAAAGAGGATGTGTAAAAGTTTGTATAGTACATTTTATGACCCTCCCAACCTTTGCCTCACTTGGATTCCATAGTATTGGCAGCCTGGCATATACCCTTTAGGTCAAAGATTCTAAGAGTTTTCTCTAGGGATCTGACCAGCTGCTTTGAAGATGATGACATTGAAAGTTTTTTAATTAAATGGCTTAGCCATGCACAAAGAGCTTTCAATTAGCTTTTTGGGGTCCCACTCTTACATATAAGCAGCAAACATTTGGAAAACAACTCTAATATGAAGATAGAAGTTTCAATTAATAAGAAGGGATATAACAGAGAGGAAACAATATATTTTTATGAAGAAGAAAATCTGGAAAATCACACATGAGCCATAATTAATATCTAGAGAATTCAAAGACAAATAGTGCAACCATTGAACAAAAATAAAATGTGTGTGTATGTGTGTACATATATATATTCAGAAACAATAACAATAAAAAAATCCTTTGGGAATTTAAATGGCAGTAGAAATTTATAAAAGTCCAAATAACTCTAGAAGGTAGAGTTGAGAAAAATCTTCCCAAAAAGTAGGCCAATATGACCTAGTATGGAAATAAGGGAGAAAACATAAGAAGATTTCAGGAAGAGTCCAGATGGTCTAAAATCTGATTAACAGGTGTTTCTGAAAGAAAAGACAGAGAAAATGAAGGGAGGGAACCATCAAAGAAATAATTCAAGAAAATTTTCCCAAACTGAACAACATAATTTTCCAGACTGAAAAGGCTCATCAAAAGCTCAGTATGATGGAAGCAAAAAAGACCCGCACTGAATCAGACACCTCTTATGTATCACATCAGATCCTCTTGGTCCCCGTTGTCTCTCATTTCAGTCGCTGTGATGACAACCAGATCTGCCAGGCTCTGCCAAGCTTCACATGTATCTCACCTCATGCCAGTACTGCAGGCCTTTTGACCTTGCCCTAAGGCTTTTGGTTGGCATTGAAGAGCGGGATGCCCCAGAACCCTATTTTACACCACACATGTTCCCACCCTGAAGTTCGGGACAAATCTTTGACCAGTGGGAAGTGGCAGCTCAAGGAGGAACTTCTTTCACCGTTCTTACCTCGGGTAGATGATCCTCAGGTGCACTCTGTGCAATAGGGATAGTTCCATGATGTCAGGGCATTGGTCATTCATCTTCATATTGGCTCTACTTCTTTTCTGTTTCACCCTCCTTGTCACTTACTCTTAATGTCTGGATTTGCATTCCCAATAAAGTAATAGCAAATAAGCCTTTGCCTCAAGTTTACTTTCTGGGAAACCAGTGTTAAAATATATCAGAATGTATCATCAAGAAATTTTAGAACATTAGAGATAAAGAAAAAAATCTTAAAAGCTTCTGGAAAGAAAAAAAAATAGGTCACATACAGGGAGTCCAGTATCACAATAGTAACACTGGAAAGCTAGAAGAAATGGAGAAAAGCTTTCCAATTTCTGAAGAAAAAAAATCTAACCTTTATATTTATTGCTACCGGCAGAAAAGGCATTTGATGAAAGTTAAAACTCATTTATGAAAAAACACTTAGAAAATAAGGAGAGAAAATATCTTCAATCAGATAGAAAGTATTCATAAAATGTAACCAGCCAAACTATTAATCAAATAGGCAGGTAAAATTAAGGCATATAACTTTTTAAAAAGCAAACAAATAAAAATGAAAGGAAATAAAACAAAAAGACTTCTTATGTACCTTTCTCAGTTAATTGCCAGAAGATTTGCTCCACCAAAAAAAAACTTAGTGAACCAAAGGAAAAAAATATGGGATATAGGTGGCCAGGCGCAGTGGCTCATGCCTGTAATCCCAGCATTTTGGGAGGCCAAAGCAGGTGAATCACTAGAGGCCAGCAGTTTGAGACCAGCTTAGCTAACATGATCATACTCCATCTCCACTAAACATACAAAAATTATCCAGGCATGCACGTGCCTGTAATCCCAGCTACTCAGGAGACTGAGGCAGGAGAATCATTTGAACCCGGGAGATGGAAGTTGCAGTGAGCCAAGATTGGGCCACTGCACTCTAGCCTGGGCAACAGAGTGAGACTCCGTCTCATAAAAGAAAATATGGGATATAGGGAACAGGGCTAACCCAAGAGAAAGGCAGAGGTAAACCTTAGGATGATGGTAAACTAAGATGCTAAGACAAATGTTACACCCAGGACTCAGAGGACAAGATCATGTTAGAGAAGGTCAAAAGGCTCTAGAAACTTCTCCAGTAGCATGATAGAAATAACATATCTGAGCTGTTTGAATAAAATAAAAACAGAAATAAAAAACTAAAGGAGATTTGGAGATGAACTTTTCTAGTCCTAGAAAATTAAGCAAATAAAAAAAATCAAGAGTTATCAACTCCAGGAAAACTAAAAAAAATGTATGCAATAAAAATATTATAGTATACCATGAGGCCCAGCTAGGAAAAATATTCACATACCATAATAATGTATACTGACTATTTATCTAACCAAAATAACAATATAATAATATTGAAAGGATGGGGGATGGGAAAAGCATATGTATTGGATAAGTTTGGAGAACATGATAGAGAGTCAACTCTACATTCCCTGGTAGGAAGTAAGTGTTTAAAAGCTAAAGACTTTGCCAGGCACAGTGGCTCATGCCTATAATCCCCACACTTTGGGAGGCCAAGGCAGATAGATTGATGGAGCCCAGGAGTTTGACACCAGCCTGGGTAACTTGGAAAAACCCCATCTCTACAAAAAAAATACAAAAATTAGCTGGCCATGGTGGCACACACCTGTAGTCCCAGTTGCTAATCAATAGAAAGGTTTAAAAGTGATTGCCTTTGGGAGTGAGCAACAGGGTTAAGCACAAGGGAGTGTGTAGTTTTGTTTTGCTTTATAACAACTTTGCAAAACTATTTTACTCTTTAAATTATATGTATAACTTCAGATAAAAATTAAAATTATGACATATTCTTCTGGCCATTAGGAAGAAACAAAGTTTGGACTTACTGCTAGGCCATAATCAACTAGAAAACTGAACAAAATATACGGAACAAAAGTTTTCAGAAACCTACCAATAGGCAGCAGAGAAGGACTGTGATGTCTGAGAGATGGAAAACAAATTAGGTAAGCCCTGTGAGTACCTAGGAGTTCCAACTAGAGGTAATTTCCAAAACTCAGTGCAGAAAGAGGAAACCCAAAGATCCTCCAAAACTCTTACTGAGTTGAAGAGACAGAGTTCAGCATTCAAGGAGGCTTAGAAAGTACTATGCAGCCATAAAAAAGGATGATTTCATGTCCTTTGTAGGGACATGGATGAAGCTGGAAACCATCATTCTCAGCAAACTATCGCAAGGACAAAAAACCAAACACCGCATGTTCTCACTCATAGGTGGGAATTGAACAATGAGAACACTTGGACACAGGAAGGGGAACATCACACACAGGGGCCTGTTGTGGGATTGGGGGAGCAGGGAGGGATAGCATTAGGAGATTTACCTAAATTAAATGACGAGTTAATGGGTGCAGCACACCAATATGGCACACGTATACATATGTTACAAACCTGCATGTTGTGCACATGTACCCTAGAACTTAAAGTATAATAATAATAATAATAATAATAATAAAGAAAGAGTGTGCAAGGAAGAGTAATAGAGAAGAGAAAAAGCTTCAGAAATATATGGGTCCTCTTTAGTCTTTGGCCAAATATTAATCTGCACTTGTACTGGGTAAAATTCTACAAAATTCTGTGCAAAAAGCACTTCTGAAGGGAGACCAGTTTCCAGGGAGCTATAAGAAGAGTAATCATATGGTTCACATGTGATTGGGACTATTTTGAGCACACATGAGCCAAAGTGAAATGTCCTTGTTTAACAGAGACAGCATTCAGTAGAGAACACAGAAGGGTCAACCCTTAGTAATGCTAGCCATAAAGTTAAAACCTGCTATAGACATTCCCTAATAAAGGTTTTAAAAAATAAATCTGGAAAGATTAATCAAATTGATCTGTCAATAATCTAAATGACTGCCAGAACAAAGCCCAAAAACACTTTTTAAAGGAAGACAACAAAATCTAGCCCTGAACATAAAATTTATAATGTTAAGAATCTAATGAAAAATTACTACAAATGTATAAAAAGAGGAAATATATAAACAGGAGGAATGTAGGTCTACAGTAAAAAATCTAGAAATTACAGAGACATGGTTAGTAGACAGGAACTTTAAAACAGCTATGATTATTATGCTTTAGAATTAAGGAAAAAATAAATATAAAGAAGAGGGAAATGGAAGATATATAAAAAAGAAATTCTACAGATGAAAAAAATCTGAAATAAAAATATAACTGGATAGGACTAAAAGTAGATTACAAACTGAAAGAAAAAAAAAAGAGTGGATTTGAACACAATACAAGATAAACTCTCCAAAATGAAGCAAAGAGAGGAAGAAGACTTGAAAAAGAGGAGGAAAAATAAAGAGGAGGAGGAGAAAAAGGAGAAAGAGATGATGATTCTCAATGATATATGGAAAAACATCAAGGTGTCAAACATAGTATATGTGTAATTAGAATCCCACCAAAGGGAATTATGTAAAATTATATTGCCAATATTTTTCCAAATTTGAAGAAAACTGTAAACAAAGACTGAAGAAGCATGATGATCCCCAAACAGGGCAAGCATAAGGAAAACCACAGCAAATCATAATTAAATTGTGAAAAACCAGTTGATATAGTTTGGTTCTGTGTCTCCACCCAAATCTCATCTCTAATAGTAATCCCCATAATCCCCATGTGTTGAGGAAGGGACCTCATGGGAGGTGACTGGACCATGCAGTTGGTTTCCCCCATGGTGTTCTCGTGATAGTGAGTGAGTTCTCATGAGATCTGATGGTTTTATAAGTGATGGTTTCTCCGTGCCCTCTCTCTCTTTCCTGCCGCCTTGTGAAGAAGGTGCCTGCCTCCCCTTCACCTTCCACCATGATTGTAAGTTTCCTGAGGCCTCCCCAACCATGCAAAACTGTGAGTCTATTAAAGCTCTTTCCTTTATAAATTACCCAGTTTGGGGTATTTCTTTATAGCAGTGTGAAAACAGACTAATACACCAATGATAAAGAGGAAAATATTAAGCTGGCTAAATGGAAAAATAAGGGTCCTTATATAAAGTGGAACAAATATAGGAATTACAGCAAGTTTCTCATCAAAAATTATGAAAGCCAGAAGACAATGTAACAATATATTTAAGTGCTGGAAGAAATTTTCAATTTAGACTTCTATGCCCAGAGAAAATAACTTTAAAAAATAAAAGCATTTTCATATAAGCTAAAACTGACTGAATGCATTGCCAGCAGAACAAGAAAAAATATGTATCAGATGACAACTTAAATCTACATATAGAAATAAGGAGTATCAGAAATGTTAAATAGGTAAATAAAAGATACATTTCTTATTTGAAAATTTTTAAAAAGATAGTTGACTGTTTAAAACAATAATGAAAACAATGTATTTGAAGGTTTATAATTGTATAGAAGTAATTGTATAGAAGCCACAAGAGATGAGCAAGAGAAAATAAATTGTATTGTTACAAATGCCTTACATTATATATAAAGTTTTTCAATATTTGAAGATAGACTGCTAAGTTTAAAATGCATATTGAACATCTTAGAGCAAACACTTTAAAAAAAATGAATCAGAAGTATAGTTAATAAGCCACTAGTAGAAATAAGGTGAAAAGTATAAAGGATCTATCTAAAAAGAGGAAAAGGAGAAATAAACAAGGAACAAGTAGGACAAATAGAAAATAGAAAACAATTGCAAATTATTAGATTTAAACTCAAACATAAATATACTAAATGTAAATAGTCTAAACTCTTCAATTAAAAGGCACATTATTGAACTGGGTAAAATGCAAGTTTCAACTATAGGCTGTCTTAAATAAACTCACTTTAAATATGAAGACACAAATATACTAAGAGTAATTGCA
The DNA here is from genome assembly GCF_000001405.40 of Homo sapiens. Taxonomy (NCBI): domain Eukaryota; kingdom Metazoa; phylum Chordata; class Mammalia; order Primates; family Hominidae; genus Homo; species Homo sapiens. The sequence continues at coordinate 157,680,286 of NC_000002.12, forward strand.
TGGCAAAGACATATATTGCAACTGATAATCAAAAGAAAGCTAGAGTGGCTAAATTAAAACCAGACAAAGCAGACTTCAAGACAAGAATCATTATAATGGATAAAGAGGATTATTTCATAATAATAAAGGAATCAGTTCTTCAAGAAAATATAATAATTCTAAATGTGCATAAACATGACAACAGAACTTCAAAATATCTGAAAAAAACTGAAAGAATGAAAAGGACAAACAGAAAAACCCATAATTACAACTAGAAGTTTTAAAACTTCTCTCTCAGTAAATTATAAAACATGTAGAGTACTTCAACAACACTGTAAAGCAAATGGACCAAATGACATGAATAGAACATTATACCAAAAACTATGGAATACACATTCTTACATGCACATGGTAAATTCACCAAAGTAGACTCTATGCTATGCAATACAATAAATGTCAATACTGAAATCATACACAATATTTTCTCTGAAGAAAATGCAATTAAATTAGAAATTAATAAAAATGTCCAAATATTTGGAAATTACACAACACATTTATAAGTAACCCATGAGTTTAAGAAGAAATCTCAAGGGAAATTAGAAAATATTTTGAACTGAATGAAAATGAAAACAAACATCAATGTTTGTGGGATGTAGTGGTACTTAGAGATGTGCTGTCTAATACAGTAGCCACCAGCCATGTTTGACCACTAACATTTTAATTTTAATTATACAAGACTGATAAAATAAAAATGCATGCTCTCTGTCACACTAGCCAGATTTCAAGTGCTCAGTAACCATGTGAGACTAGTGACCACCTTATTGAACAGTAAACCATCACAGAAAGGACTATTGGTCAGTACTCTCTTAGAAGAAATTGTCAATCATCAAATGATAATTTTAGGGAAAAAGCCCAAAATTAATTACCTAAATTTAGCCCTTAAAATACTATAAAAAGAAGAGTGAATTAAATTCAAAGTAAGTGGAAGGAAGGAATAATGGAGAATGGAAATTGATGAGAATTGCTTGAGCCCAGAAGGCAGAGGTGGAAATGTGCCAAGATTGCACCATGGCACTCTGGCCTGGGTGACAGAGCCAGACCCTGCTTCAAAAAAAAAAAAAAAAAGAGACGCAAGATGTCTACAATAAAGAATAAATTACATTACTAAGAAAAATTAAGGCTTAGATTATAAAAAGAGATTTATACCATGTTCATGGAGAGGAGGACTCAATCTTTTTAAGATATCCATTCTCCCTAGATAGATTTGATGCAATTCTGATCAAAATCACAGTGGGCATTTTTGTAGAAATTGGCAAGCAGATTTTAAAATTAATATGAAAGTGCAATGGACCTAGAGTAGCCAAAATACTATACTAGAAAAACAAAAACAGGATTTAAGGGCTTTCACACTTGATTAAGCCACAAGAATCAAGAGAGCTTGTTATTGGCATAAGGATAGACATACAGATAACAGAATACAGATAACAAAAAATAGATTCCATAAATAAGGTCAGATGACTTTGACAAAGGTGCCAAAGTAATTCAATGCGAGACAAGAAAGAGTTTGCAACAGCTGGTACTAGAAGTAAGCATCTTTATGGAAAAATGAGATTCGTGCCTCATATCCTTCAAAATCATTAACTCAAAATGGATTATGGGCCTAAATGCGAAACCTAAAACACTGAATGCTTCTAGACAAAAAAAAAAAAAAAAAAAAAAAAAAAATTGAGTGAAGTATGAGGAAGTCTTTGCCACCTTAGAATAGGCAAAGTTTTCTCAGGACACAAAGAGGATGGATGATAAAAGCAAAAATAATAAATCGGTTGTCTTCATCAAAATTTAAAACTTTTACTTCAAAAGTGACCTAAAGAAAATAAGGCAAGACACAAATCAGGAGAAAATATTCACAGTACATATACCTAAGAAACAACTTGTATCTAAAATATATACCAAACTTACGCAACTCAAAACTAAGAAAACAACTCAATTAAAATAAGCAAATATTTTAACAAAACCTTCACAAAAAATATACAAAATGCCATTAAGTCATGAAATGATGCTTAATATTATTAGTCATCAGAAAAATGCAAATTAAAATTACAGTGAGATACTTCTACTTCCTACCTACTAGGATGGCTAAAATTAAAAAAAAAAAATTGACAATGCCAAGTTGGTGGGGAATATGTATGTGGAGCAACTGAAACATGCATACTTGCAACATGTATCTGCCACAACGACAAATGTGACTCCAAGTATGCAACATAATACTGGAATTTTCTTATAAAGTTGAACATACGCTTAACATATGACTCAGTAATTCTACTCCAACATATTTACCCAGAAGAAATGAAGACATATAACCACAGAAATTCTTGTACATAAATGTTCATTGCTGATTTATTCAGAATGGTCCCAAACTGGAAACAACCAAATTTCCAACACCTGGTAAATAGAGAAACAAATCGTAATACATTCATACAATAGAAAACTGTGCAGCAATTAAAAAGAACAAACTGCTGGTGCACACAACAACCTGAATAATCTCAGAAACATTATGTTAAGAGAAAAAGCCAGGCAGAAAAGAGTACCTACTGTAGGATTGAATTCATATGAAACTCTAAAAGACAAATTTAATCTATGGTAACAAGCAGATCAATAGTTACCTAGGCTATGTTTGCAGTTGGAGAAAGAATGGGAAGAGGTACAAGACTACCTTTTGTGGTGATGGAAATGTTCTATATTTTGATTGTGGTGGTGGATCCACATGTGTACACATTTTTCAAAAGTCGTTGCCTGCACAGTAAAATGTATGCATTTATTGTATGTAAATTATACCTCAATAACATTGATTAAAGCACTAAAATAAAACTGAAAGAAGGTAACAAATGGAGAGATAGGAAAGGAAGAGAAAAAGAAACTGAAATAAAATAAAATTCTGACCAAGTTAGGAAAGGGAAGAGGAAAAAGAAAATTGAACAAAACAAGGAGGCAAAGTGGAGGGAGTCTCAAATTAACTCTTACAGAGATCACTGTCACAGACTTGGCACATTACTACTTCTAATACAACAACTTTGCAAATTAGAGATAATTGCCCTCATTTTATTGAGACGATGAGAGATCAAATAACTTTCCAAATTTTTATATTTTGTCAGTGGCTTCCAAACATTTTCTAAATTAATAATAGCCTTTGGAAGTCAATTTTCACAGGGTGAGTTCTCCAGATGCAGATGCAGAGATGGAGTTTGCAAGCAGAGTATGTATTAGGAATCAACCTCTGTGGGAGTGGGGCTGAAGCAGCAGGACTGGGCAGAGGGGCATGTCAAACTGCAATGCAGGCCAAGAAAGCCTCTGGCAATGTGAGGGGGTCACTGAAAAGTATATGGACCCTCAGAGTGTCCTATGTTGGAGCAAAATAGCCACTTCTTAATATTAGAGCTGTGATCAGTCATTAAATATGGGATGTCCCCGGAAGGGCATAACCTTTGGTGAGATGGCCCCTTGCAGCTCAGAGGTGACAACTGAAGGGCATGTTCTTACAGCTGGGGTGACAAGTCCTTGTTTAAAGAAGAATTTGGATGGCCCATCTCTGTGTCTACCACAACACAAAATATATAGAAAAAAATAAACGACGTAAGAGGGGAAATATTCAGCTTTTCCCAACAGAAAAAGGATTGGGGAAAATGAATTTGTGTGGCCAAAAATGTGACTCCAACTTGGATGCTGATCTGCCATGTTGACTTCTTATTAGCCCCAGTCCTGAGAATGCCTCCTGATTCCTACTTTATTTACTTTCCTTAGTGTAAGAACATGCCAACCTTCATATTTTCACACAAATTATAGGTTATGACACATATAACATGCTCACCTGTTCTGGAGGGTTGCCTTTAATTGTCTTGCATAGAGCACTTATACCCTTTCCCTATTATATATAAGCCCTGGGTCTAGGGGTAACAGGTACAGAGATCTACCTGTCTTGCAGCTGCCCAAGACCATGCTTCCATCTCTAAGTTTCCTAATCAAACACCCTTTACCGACAAACTGGATTTGTCTGCCTTGTTCTTTTTTTTCCATCTCATTTGGCATGTGGGGGCTGCTTTGCATATATGGCCCTTTCACAGAACAATTTGCAACCATTCCTGTCCTCACCTCCCCATGCGCTGTGGCACGTGTTGTCATGCAGGTCTAAAGGGAGGCATCCTCTCCTGGAGAACATCCCCTTTTACGGGCATGATTCCAAGACAAGAAAGAAAGGAGACAAAAATCATATCAATAACTGTAATGAGGAAAACAGTTGCTAATATGTTTTACGCGCCAGGGATGGTCCAAAGCATCATACATGTTTTAACTCATTTCAAACTCATAACAACCCTCCAAGGTAGATGCCAATTTTAATTCTCCACTTGACATTATGGAAACTGAGGCAGAGAAAGATTTAGCTTCCAGCCTAAGGCCACACAGCTAGGAATTGGAAATGTCAGGATAGTATCTTACAGTCTGGCTCCGGGAGGACCCACCTTCTTAGCCCCTCCCCCCCACCAACACGATGGCTCTCCCAGCCTCATAAAGACACCTATTCTTTATTCAGTGACATACTCTAGATATTCTTGATTGAATGCCACCTGGAGTCCCACAGCTCCTCCAAAAAAAAAAAAAAAAAAAAAATAGCCACCCACCAAAGTCCTCAGGTTGCTCTTCCATTTGAAACAAGAGCCTTCTGATTAAACAGTCTTTTTTCTTCAAGCAATCTGTTTTGACCCACTTGGGCTTGAACCAACAGCTTTGCACATAGGAGCCTCCTACAGTGGCTTTAAGTTGTGAGGGAAATGCTCTAACTAAAGCAAAGAGCCACCTGGAGGGAAAACAGAGTGAATTTACTTTGAATTTGAAATGAAAGGTTTTTGGGTACCGATACCCAGCCTCCACTAAGCCCAGATTGGTCTGTAACACAATCTGACTCTTGAATACTTAAAAATAGAGATAATTGAACACCCCACGCTGTGAAGTGGGGCCTTGAAATTCAGTACTGAATTCAGTGGTGGGAGGGCTGATTTGCATTAACTTAGTCATGCCCACCTCATCAACTTAGATAACTGATGTTAGGTCCCTCGAGTTTCCTAGGAACCTAAGTGTGCCTAAGAACACAGTAGACTAGGAATCAGACCACGATTTTACTCCCAGTTCTGCATTTAACTAGTTTTGTAATCTTAGATAATTCACCCTGTTTCTTGGGGTTTCAGTTTCTTCATCCATAAACTTTGGGGCTTGGATTGGATAAGGTCTTTTCCAGGTAGTTCTGCAATTTTCAGAAATCGAGCAGAAAACTTAAAGATCTGAGTACAGGAGATAAAATAATTTAATTGGAAACCGTCCTTCCCTAAAATGTTTTTCTGGGCTTTGCTTCCGTAATGCAGGGGCACATTTTCTGCTTTCACCACATAAGAAGCCTCTTAAAGTGAACAGTGTCCTTAACATTCCTATGTTGAGATAAATGAGGGAACAGACAAGCCACAAAGGGATCAGCCCATTTTCAGGAGGTGGCATGATTTGTGGGAAGAGCCGGGGTTGGGAGAGAACTCTAGTGTAGCTCTCCCATAACTCATCCTACCTTCCTCTCTGTTAAACAGGCTTCACAGTAACGTGTCCTCCCAGGAAAAAGATCAAGGAATGAGAAAAAAGACATAAAGAACTCAGAAAGTAAATTTTGCCTATAAAATGAAGTGAGTTCAAGAACAAATAAAAGAGTTTACTTCACTGAGCATGTAAGATGCATTTTGAGTCCCCTAGATTTTATTTCCAAAATTATAAGACAGGTATTGAATATGGCTACCTTTACTTCAAAAGAAAATTAGAAGAATAAAAGGGAAAGTTAAAATAGGTCTTGTATAGACAAGCTTCCCTCATTTTACTGTTAAGGAAATTGACAGCCAGAGAGAAAAAACTGACTTGTACAGAGTTACGCAGAAAATTAGCTGCAGTTCTATTACTAGAATCTGGGTCTGTATTCATCTATTCATTGAGCACCTTGATAGAAAAGAAACCATCCTACCTTTGTGAGTGGACAATCAAATTCCATCAATACATATAGAATTAGAGCTGTGGCAAGTGACAAGTAAGGCACACAATGGTATGAGAGTGCAGAACGAGAAAGGAGACTGGAGAGGGGTGTTGAAGGTAGACCACAAAAGACCTTGTAGGTCATGTTCATTTATTCATTCATTCATTTACTCAGTCATTCTTATATAATGTATTCATTCAACACATTTTTTGAGCACTCACCAAGAAATAGGTATTGTACTAGGCACCAAAGATTGAGCTATGAGCAAAACAGTCCCTGCCCTCATGGGGATAACATTCTAGTAGGAGGCAGTAAGAAGTAAATTAAAATTATAATGTGTCAGGTGGTGAAAGGTACCACGAGGACAAATGAAGTAGGGAAAAAGAAACAGAGAGTGGTGGTGTGAAGTGTTATTTTAGAAAGAGTGACTGGAAAAGCTCCTTTACTAAGATACATTTTGAGCAGAGAGAGAAGTGAAGGAGAGAGCCATTCAGCTATAGGAAGGGTGCTCCAAGTAGAGGAAACAGCACAGGCAAAGGGTCTGAGATGAAAAACATGCTTTGAATATTTAAGTAATAGCAAAGAAGCCACTGTGCCTGGAGCCCAGTCAGCAAGAGGAAGAGTAAGGATCTGGGAAGAGAACTTAAAGGGAGAGGGTTAAAGAGCCCTGGGGCTAAAGACTTTGACTTTGACTCTGAATGGAATGGAAAGTGATTGGAGCACTTTGAGCGTAAGAATAAGACGATCTGACTTACGTTTTAGAAGGATCATCCCGGCCGTTCTGTGGATATAGACAGGAGGAGAGTATGGGCAGAAGGGGAAAAAATTGTTGGTAATACATTGTAATAATCCAGGCTGAAAAAAAATTTAAAAAGATGATGGCTTGGATGAGGGTGGTGATGGAAGTGACAAGAAGTGGTCAGATTCCAGATGCATTTCAAAGGCAGACACTGCATGATGTACAGATGAATCAGATGAAGGGTGTTAGTGAAAAAGAAGGAGTCAAGGAGGAATCCAAGGTCTTGGCCTGAACTCTGGTTAAATGGAGTTGCCATTTGCTGAACAAGGAGAGGCCACTAAGGCATTTTAAGTTGGAGAGAAGGGTGACATGATTAAATTTGTACGTCCAAAATATCACTCTGGCTGTGATATGGGGGAATGCATTGGACAATAGACAAGAGTCCAATGAACAAGAGTGGATATGAAGTTCTTAGGAGGCTATAGGAGGCTTAGGAGGCAACCTATAGGTTTCCCAGACAAGACATCCATTAATGGATGATTTATGAATATTTTTCCTATTTTAACAGCTTCATTTAGTAGTTATATGTATTATATATATATATATAACTAATATCTATGAATGATATATATTTATATTTATCTATCTTTCTATCTCTCTAGCTATCTAATGAGTATTCAAAAACAGCTAGACACATCAAACCTGTGACTTCAGGAAATTGCTTAAGAAGCAGGGTAACATGGTGCCTTAAATTTTAGGTAAGAAATATAGTTAGTAAATAATGAAGTAGTTGGTACTTTAAAATGGAAAGAAGGCTGAGGCAAGAGAATCACTTGAACTCAGGAGGTGGAGGTTGCAGTGAGCCAAGATTGCGCCATTGCACTCCAGCCTGGGCAACAGGAACGAAACTCCATCTCAATAATAGGAAAAAAAAACTATGTACATACCTTAATTTAAGAATATTTTATCACTAAAAAATATGCTAAAAATCATCTGAGCCTTCAACCTGAGTCATAATCTTTTTGCTGGCAGATGGCCTTGCCTCAATGTTGATGGCTGCTGACTGATCAGGGTGGTGGTTGCTGAAGGTTGGTGTGGCTGTGGCAATTTCTTAAAATCAGACAACAAAGAAGTTTGTCAAATTGATTGACTGTTCCTTTCACAAATAATTTCTCTGTAGCATCTGATGCTGTCTAATATCATTTTACCCATAGTAGAACTTCTTTCAAAGCTGGAATCAACCTTCTCAAACCCTGCAACTTCTTTATCAGTTAAGTTTATTGAATATTCTAAATCATGTGTTGTCATTTACACAATGTTCACAGTACCTTCATCAGGAGTGGGTTCTATCTGAAGAAACCACTTTTTAAACTCATCCGAAAGTGCAACTCCTCTCATCTGTTCAAGTTTTATCACAAGATTGCAGCAATTGGCCAGGCGCAGTGGCTCATGCCTGTAATCCTAGTAATTTGGGAGGCCGAGGCAGGAGGATCACCTGAGGCCAGGAGTTTGAGACCAGCCTGGCCAACATAGCAAAACCCCATCTCTACTAAAAATACGAAAATTAGCCAGGCATGGGGGTGCATGCCTGTAATCCCACATAATCAGGAGGCTGAAGCAGGAGAATTGCTTGAACCCGGGAGGCGGAGGTTGCAATGAGCCGAGATTGCGGCACTGCACTCCAGCCTGGGTGACAGAGTGAGATTCCATCTCAAAAAAAGAAAAAAGATTGCAGCAATTCAGTCACATCTTCTGGCTCCAATTCTAATTCTAGTTCTCTTGCTATTTCCAACACATCAGCAGTGTCTTCCTCCACTGAAATCTTAAATCCCTCAAAGCTATGAGGGTTAGGATCAACTTCTTCCACACTCCTGTGCCTGTTGGTATTTTGACCTCCTCCCATGAATCATGAATGTTCTTAATGGCATCTAGACTGATAAATCTTTTACAGAAGGGTTTCAGTTTTTTTTTTTTTTTTTTCAGATGGAGTTTTGCTCTTGTTGCCCAGGCTGGAGTACAATGGCACAATCTCATCTCACCGCAACCTCCACCTCCCAGGTTCAAGCGATTCCCCTGCCTCAGCCTCCTGAGTAGCTGGGATTACAGGCCCACCACGCCCAGCTAAGTTTTGTATTTTTAGTAGAGACAGGGTCTCACCATGTTGGCCAGGCTGGTCTTGAACTCCTAACTTCAGGTGATCCACCCGCCTCGGCCTCCCAAAGAGCTGGGATTACAGGCGTGAGCCACTGCGTCTGGCTTTTCTTTTTTCTTTTTTTTTTTTTTTTTTGCCTAGATGCTTCAGAGGAATCACTGCGGCGATTGTAGCCTTATGAAATATATTTCTTAAGTAATAAGACTGGAAAATCTAAATTACTTCTTAATCTATGGGCTGTAGAACGGATGTTGTGTTAGCAGGCATTAAAACAATGTTAATCTCCTTGCACGTCTCCATCAGAGCTCTTGGGTGACCAGGTACATTGTCAAGCAGTAGTAATATTTGGAAAGAAATCTTTTTTCTGAGCAGTAGGTCTCAACAGTGAACTTTAAATATTCAGTAAACCATGCTATGGACAGATATACTGTCACCCACACTTTGTTGTTCTATTTGTAGAGCATAGGCAGAGTAGATTTAGCATAATTCTTAAGGGCCCAAGGATTTTCAGAATGGTAAATAAGCATTGGCTTCAACTTAAAGTCACCAGCTACATCATTCCCTAATAAGAGAATTGGTCAGTCCTTTGAAGATTTGAAGCCAGGCATTGACTTTTCTTCTCTGGCTATGAACGTTCTAGGTGGCATCTTCTTCCAGTATAAGGCTATTTCATCTACACTGAACAGACGTTGTTTAGTGAAGCCACCTTCATCAATCATTTTAGCTAGATCTGGATACCTTGCTGCAGATTCTACATCAGCACTTGCAGCTTCACCTTGTGCTTTTATGTTCTGAATACAGTGTCTTTCCTTAAACTTCATGAGCCAACCTCTACCAGCTTCAAACTTTTCTTCTGCGGCTATCTTACCTCTCTCAGCCTTTATAGAATCAAAAACAGTGACGGCCTTACTCTGGATTAGGCTTTGCCTTAAGGGAACATTGAGGCTGGTTTAATCTACCCAGACCACTTAAACTTTCTCCATATCAGCAATAAGGTTGTTTTGCTTTCTTATCATTTGTGTGTTCACTGGAGTAGTACTTTTAATTTTCTTCAAGAACTTTTCCTTTACATTCGCAGCTTGGCTGTTTGGTGCAAGAGCCCTAGCTCTTGGCCTCTTTTGGCTTTGGGCTTTGGTTTCCTCACTAACTTTAAACATTTCTAGCTTTTGATTTAAAGTAAGAGATGAGGGACTGTTCTTTTTACTTGAACACTTAGAGGCCACTGTAGGATTATGAATTGACTTAATTTTAATATTTTGTGTTTCAGGGAATAGGGAGGCCAGAACAGAAAAAGAGAGATGACAGAACAGCGGGTTGGTGGAGCGGTGAAAACACACACAGCATTTATCTATTGAGTTTGCTGCCTTAGATGGGCATGGTTCATGGTACCCAAAAACAATCTTAATAGTAACATCAAAGATAATTGATTACAGATCACCATAACAGATATAATAATAAAGAAAAAGCTTGAGGAAAAAAAGCAAGTATTATCAAAATGTGACAGAGACACGAAGTATGCACATGCTGTTGGAAAAATGGCACCAATAGACTTGCTCGACACAGGGTTGCCACAAACCTTCAATTTGTAAAAACGCAAAATCTGCTAAGTACAATAAAGCAAAGTGCAATAAAATGAAGTCTGCTTGTATTTCCAGAAGTGAGATTGCTGAATCATATGGTTGTTCAATTTTTTAAGTTTTTTTGGAAAACCTCCCTACTGTTTTCCAAGCTGTACTAATTTACAATACTACCAACAATATACAAGGGTTCCCTTTTCTCCACATCCTCTCTAACACTTATCTTTCATCTTTTTCATGATAGCCAATCTACCCGGTGTGAGGTGATATCTCTTTGTGGTTTTAATTTGTGTTTCTCCTATAATTAAAGATGTTGAGTATGTTTTCATATGTCTGTTGGCCATTTGTATGTCTTCTTTTGAGAAATGTTTATTCAGGTCCTTTGCCCATTTTTAAAGAGTTATTTGTTTTCATGCTATTGAGTGGTTTGAGTTCCTTGTGTATTTTGGATACTAGTTCCTTCTTTGATATATGATTTCCAAATATTTTCTTCCAGTCTGCGGGTTGTCTCTTCACTCTGTACATTGTTTTCTTTACTGTACAGAACCTTTCTAGTTCAATGCAATCCCCCTTTGTCTATTTTTGCTTTTGTTGCTTGTGTTTTGGCATCTTATACAAGAAATTATTGCCCAGAACAATTTCATGGAGGTTTTCCCCTATGTTTTCTTCTAGTAGTTTTATAGTTTCCAGTATTACATTTTTGTCTGGAATCCATTTTGAACTTATTCATGTATAAGGGGTGAGGTAAGGGTCAAATTTCATTCTTTTGCATTTTTCCCCAATGCCATTTATTAAAGAGATTGTTTCTTCCTCATCATGTATTAAAAAGAAACAATTTTAAATTATTAAATTTTATTAAAGTAGGTTTAAAAATTAATTGCTAACATTTTTAAAAATCAGACTACTTCACATAAAAATCACTATTGAATTTCCACATTGTAGAAGAACAAAGGAAAGCACATCAAATTGAGAAGCCTATTCCCAAATGAAGTAGGGTTTTGATGTCGTCTAAAAGTCAAAACATTTTGCTTAAAAGTTATTATAAAGCATTGCGTAACTAGATTTCCTCACCTCATCCCTGACCCTACCTTATCCCCCTCAGCCATAACAGCTGTCTCTCAACAGCTGTTATGTCAACAATGTCAGAGAAGGAAAGAAACTGTGGCTGACAGAATCATGACAGGGCTCAATACAGTATATGAAACTGCCCACAGACTGTAAATTGTACATCATTGTTCTATTTCTCGACTACAGTGAAAAATCAGGTATTTTGTTTTGTTTTGTTTTTGTTTATCGAGATGGAAAATATAAATGAAAGAAAAACAATGAGCCATGTTGCTTGCTTGATATAATGGGATTTAACATACAGAATTTTGACATTTTTCTCTTTTATAAAATAGCCCATTTGAGAAATAACCAGAAAATTTTTAATAAAATGCGCTTATTTACCCAAGATGAAATTGGAGAGAGATCGATCATAACTGCATCCAATGCTTGTGTATCACCTGTGAGGCTTTGGAGGTTGGAGTATTGCCTTTTCCCTTAGGGAGGCCCCAGAAAGTCCCAGAGTTCTCTGTTACTCAGGTACTCCCTTAGTAATGCTTCACTACTACTACTACTACTACTACTACCACCATCACCACCGGCAGCAACCACTACTGTTCCCCTCACCACATATTGTGTTTTTATTTTGTGTGAAGCACATCATATGAATAATTTCTAATGTTCACAATAATCCTAGAAGGTAGGTACTATTATAGTCATTTTACACATAGCTCAATGAATACATTTTCTTGAGGCCACAGGCTAGTAATCATAAAAAAATGGGACTTAATACAGGATTATTGGAGTCTTCTCTTTACACTATTTTGCTCCATATGACATCTACTCTCCCACCAAAACTTTTCATCTCATGGCCCACTCATTTAGAACATACTTTCTTTGGTTTATTTGGTAGAATGTTGCAAACTGATGAAGATTTAAATTGTAATTTTTCCTTAGATAATATCTTAAATAAGACCTTCCATGCCCTAACTCCCAGAAGTGATTAATGACAGGAATCCTAAGCCATTACTGCGGCTCTATTTTGGCATTATTTTCACCCCAGAGGCATGTAGCACTCTGCTAAAGTCATGCTGTTTGTGGTCATATCCTCTATTGACATCAGACTGACTCAGCTGGCGCAGTGGGATCTGGAATCTAAAGGTGGTGTCAGCAGATTTTTTTTTTTTATGAAGGGCCAGGTGGCTGAGAGTTTTTGGCTTTGCAGGCCATGCAGTTTCTGTTGAGACTTCTCTGCCATGACTAATGCACTCTGTTGCTGTAGGGTAAAAGCAGCCACAGAAAATAGTATCCAATTGGGCATGGCTGTGTCCCAATAAAAGTTTATTTATAAAAACAGACAGTGGGCCATATTTGGTCTACAAACTATAGTTTGTCTACCGTTGGTCTAAGCTTGGTCTCAGACCAGCTCTGTGATTCTGGGGAAAGATACTCAAACTTTCTGAACTTCACTCTCTTTATCGGTAAACATGGGGATACAACTACAACATCAACTAAGTTATGAAGATGATAAAGTTTTATTGAGGATGAAATTAGATAATTTATGTAAAATTATTTGCTAAACTGCCTACTGATAGTGTAATTGTTTAATAATGAGTATACAAAACATTGAGGCTTAACCAACTAATATTGGCCTCTTGTAAACTATCACCTTTATTTTCCATTCTTTTATCTCTCTATCCAATTCTCCATCTATTTTTCCCTGTCCACTCTTCCTCCTACACATATGCCATTGTATGCACATGCACACACACATGCACACACACACACACATCCCACATTCCTAGTGCTGTATTCTTACTTGCTCCAGCTATACCCTTAGGCCCTCTTTTCCCATCCACTCTCCACTAGGTTTGATTTTTACATGCTCCCTCTCAGTTGTCCGTCTTCAGATTAGAGAGAATAAATATCATTACTGGCCCAACTTTTTTTTCTAAATGGGATGATTTGTAGATAAATGGCTTACTCCAAGATGCCCCTGGAGCAGCTTACAAGAGAAAAACTAACAATTCTAGCAAAGTGTGTGATTCTTTGTAGAGTACATTAGATTACTTCTGAGAAACTCACTTATAACCAAAAGCAGCAATGCAGCTCTAGAAAACTGGAGAAATTGGGCTTAGAGGATGCCATGTGAAGCCACTTCCACACATGGAGTCACATTTGCAGGGTGGAAGCCATGGACAGTGTGCAAAGGCAATACAGCTGGAGAGAAAAGTTGAGTCTGAATTCATCTGCCAGTTGCTGAAATGAACACATTTTAAAAAATAATGAGTTTATGGTAGTGGTGTGCTGCTGAAATGGCTCCCTTGGGGAAAGAAAATAGAGAGAGAAGGAGAGCAAGCCTGATTTGTAGAATTTACTAACTTCCGTGGTGTAAATCGGGCTGTCCAATCTTTTGGTTTCCCTGGGAAGAAGAACTGTCTTGGGCCACACATAAAATACACTAACATTAACAACAGTTGATCAGCTATTAAAAAATCACAAACAAAAATCCATAATGTTGGCTGGGCGCGGTGGCTCACAACTGTAATCCCAGCACTTTGGGAGGCTGAGGCAGGTGGATCATGAGGTCAGGAGATCGAGACCATCCTGGCCTACATGGTGAAACCCCATCTCTACTAAAAAAACATATAAAAATTAGCTGGGCATGGTGGCGGGCCCCTGTAGTCCCAGCTACTTGGGAAGCTGAGGCAGGAGAATTACTTGAACCCAGGAGGCGGAGGTTGCAGTGAGCCAAGATCGTGCCACTGCATTCCAGCCTGGCAACAGAGCAAGACTCCATCTCAAAAAACAAAACAAAACAAAACATAATGTTTTAAGAAAGTTTACGAATTTGTGCTGGGCTGCATTCAAAGCCATCCTGGGCCACATGAGACCTGTAGGCCATAGGCCTTACAAGCTTGGTGTAAATACTTCCACCATGGACAATGTCAGGCTACCAATAATTTAATAACTGTTAGCTCACAAAATTGCTGAATACTTCCCAATCACTTGTTCCTGCCAACTCTGACACACCACTGGCTCCACCCATCACTAGCTTCAACTATTGGGAAGTTTAAATGATATAAAAATTTACCTCTAATAGTCCCTAGGGGAATGAAAGCCCCCAAATTTTCTAGCTCAGATCAAGTAAGTCCACAATCAGAACCTTTTCTCCATTTCTTAATCCTTGTTTCCAAGAAAATGCACAGATATTAAGGTTTTCCTCTGAATCAAATAGCATAAACTATTTCATTCATACACACACACACACACACACACACACACACACACACCCCTTACTACATTTTTTATAGGCTAAACATTCTTTTTCTCCCTGAAGTTATGCACTCCATATGTTCTTTTGTACATGTCAGGAAAATTTTTGACAATTAGAAATGTAGGTTCTTGCTATTCAAAGTGTGGTCCTCAGAGAAGTAGAAGCGCATCACCTGAGAGCATATTACAAAACTGAAATTTCAGATTACACCCTTGATCTAATAAATCAGAATGTGCATTTTAACCAGAGTTGTATGTGCATTAACATTTGAAAAGAACTGCTCTAAGCTCCATTCAATTTACACTTAGTAAATTTTACCAGGGACAAAAAAACCCTGATAAAATTTACTATTGCTCATACCACAAAAACAAATAATCAGTCTTGTCCCTTGCAGTAATTCTTAAAATTCTATATAGATTTTTTTCATCTAAGACTTAAAATATTCTAGAAGTTGTGAGATTTAAAACACAAAAGCAAACTATCTTTTGCAGAATCATGACAGTGTACTCCTAGGTAACTACCAAAAAATAAGGCAAATTAGACAAATGCTCTTGTGTGGGTTCCAACCTTCCTCTTCAACCTTATGTCCATCATTTAATTGTATGCTGTGATAGAAAGAATAATCCTTCTCTAAAATGTCCACTCTTAGTCTCTGGAGCCTATGAACATGTAATCTTATGTAACAAAAGAGACTTCACAGATTAAGCCAAGGATCTTGAGAGGAGAAAGTTACCCTGGATTATCCAGGTGTACCCAAGGGAATCACAAAGTCCTTAAAAGGGAAAAAAGAAGGCAGGAAGGTAAGTAAAGATGTGATCATGGAAGCAGAGGTTGAAGTGAAGCAAGAACACAAGCCAAGGGACGTGGGTGGCCTCTAGAAGCTTGAAAAGAAAAAAAATATATATAAAAACAATTTTCCCCTAGAACCTCCAGATGGAACATGATCCTGCCAACACCTTGATTTTAGCCCAGCGAAATCCATTGCAGACTTCCGACCTCCAGAATTGTAAGAAAACAATGTGTATTGTTTTAAGCCACTAAATTCATGAGAATGTGTTACAGCATCAATGGGACACTAATAGAAATGCCTTTCTCCCCGATTAGACTGTGAGCATTTCAAAGGGATGACTATATCTTGCATATTTTGGTTGACTCCAGTGTTTAGCCAGTAGGTTCTTAATAATGATTTGAAGAAGAAATAAATGAATGATGTAGCAATCCATTCTTCTACACTGCAGTTAAAACTGATCTCATTGTCTTACTGCCTAAAACCCTTCAGTGGGTGTCCATTACTGTTAGAAAAAACAAAACCCTTAACATGCTATAAGGATCTGCATGGCCAAACCCATGCCCACTGGTTTAGCTGTGTCTCCAGCACTCAGTCAGCTCTGTTGACCATTTTTCACGTTGAATCCACTACAGCAAGAACTCTTTCCCTCCCCTTTTCTTGTAGCTCCCCTATAGAGGTTAATACCTATTTCTTTATTCAGATGTCTCTCAAATATCACTTCCTCTTTGCTTCATAGATTATATTCCTTTCTTTTTTAGGACTTATCTTCAATCATAAATATGAAAAGTTTTTTCTTCTCTACTAGATTCTAAGCTCTATGAGAGCAGAGACCATGTCTATTGTACATTTCAGCACTTACTTCAGGGCCTGGCATAGAGTAGGAACCCTGTAATTTGTTGTTGAATGAAAAATATTTGTTAAAAAAATTAGTCATTGAATGTATAAAATAAAAAGAAAAATGCTTTAGTGATTTCTCAGCTTCTAACTCATAAGGAATTATAAGGTAGAAAAACAATTTTAAGAAAAACTGAACTTTCTGGAGTCCTCATAGTACACAGTACCATTTTTAGATTTCATTCTCTAACCCTGATTTAGAATCCTCCACATTGAGCTACTGCCCACATTTAACAGTAGTTGTCATCTTTCTGTTAGGGAGCTGTTAATGACTCCCAAGATTGGTTAAGGTCCTTCAATCAACATTTCCTTCTAGGGCTGTTACTCAGAGCCAGTGCTGTGTTAGAGTCAATTGTATGCATCTCTTTCCAATTTTGCAGTCATTCCACTTTGGTATTTTGAAATCTGCTTTGGTAGGAGTATTTACACACCATGAAAAAGAGCAAATGCTACAAATCAGTTTTTCTTTTCTTTTCTTTGAGCCAGTTGCTAAACATAAACCTACAGACCACTACCTGGAGCCTTTTAGTTCAGAGACTTATTAAGTGGTACAGAGGCTGATATATGAAGTCTTGAGACATTGCCAGGAAATTCTAACATGAGAGCACCAATTCTAAATTAATTGTGTCAGGTCAGGCTCTGAGACAGTCATCTTCCCTCAAACCTCATTCTATCATGAGCTCCAACTTCTCCCCAAAGTCAGCTAAGTTTGAATGGCCTCTGATTCCTCTTAAAATTAAGGATTCTTCAAATTCATACATAGCACTCTTCCTTGATGGAGCTGGGCATTAGGTCCTCCTGGGCTTTGAGGTTGTCAGGAGAGAAAGAAATTGGATGACAAATCCCAAATACTTTACTTTATATTCACAACTTATTTATTTCAATCATTTAATATTAAAATCTCATGGATGCATGCTTATGGGCTCAAACAGTTTAGAAGGTATAATAAAAACCATGGTTAAGTATCTCAATCTACATTTCAAGGAGCCTTCTGGTTTTGGCCAAGCAAAAAAGCCATATTCATTTACCTGCCTCATAAATGTCTTGAACACTCATAGGAGGATAGACAGGACCCTTACAGTGACCACCAGCAGAGCAATACTCTTACATAGTTAAGACTTCTCTCAAGGTGGAAAAGCTCACGTAGTGTTTTTTGGGGGCTTTTGCTTACTAATGATTCAAATCCCATTTAACAAATGCTTAATGCGGTGATAAAGTCTCTTTGAAGTCTGCTTATCAGTGTTCTACACACAGTAGGGTTTTGCTAAATGATGGAGAGTGATTTTAACCATCGTAAGTGCCCATTAGCATCCATTAACATAAAAGTTAATTACACTTTGTTTTACCATTTTCACAGGGTTGAAATGCTTATTCTTTCATCCAGGGTGTTTTGGATGCTGCTTTAGCTCTTAGCAATGGTTATATATATATAATCCAATTCTAAAAGTATTAAGTGTATGAAGGAAAAATTGCACTAGTAAGAAATTAAGTTAATCAGTAGATAAAAGAGAACATACCTTAAAAGAAACAGTAAAATAAAGTTAAAATTAAAAAATTAATTCTGCAATCTGGTTCAAGATGGCTAAGCAGAAGAATTTCATGTCTGTCTCCTTCACCAAGAATAACCAGAGTAGTACATAGATAGTCAAACTTTGAGCACATTACCCAAGAGAAAATGGTGGAATTCAACAGGAAAGTGACAGGAGACACAAAGCATGGAAGGAGGAGAGGCAGTCTTATTGGCTGAGATCAGCTGGGAGCTAGCTGCTCCCTGGGGAAGGGGTTAGTAATAGAATTCCAGCAGCCTGCATTCCCACCTGCAATTGTGCAATCCTGGACACAGGAGAACCCCTCAACTCTCCCAACTGCTGAAACTAACATAGGAAGCTGCCAGGAGTCTGTGGGACAGAATTTCTCCAGAGAGGGAGCTCATGCTGGGCCCCACATCCTTCGTGAGACCTAAGCAGCTGCAGCAAGATGCCATTTTCAAAACTATCTTCTGGCAAACAGCATGCTCTCTGAGGAACCAAAGGCACTGGGACTTGAGCATTACAGAAACTCAGGTTGTCGCTTCTGGACAGCCACTGAAGAGGGTGTAGCTCCCATTGGTGGACATAGCTTGGGTTAGCAGGTGGGCAACATGTATCCCTTTTGCACTTCAGTCCTGGGAGTCCCAGGGGAGTAAGCCAAGAGCACTCCTTCAGCTGGGGCCATAAAGCAAGTGTGGCAGGGATGCAACCCCTGAATCTAACACAGAGAGCTGCCAGGAGTCCATGGAATGAAACTGCTCCAGAAAGGGAGCACATGCTGGGTTACTCCAGCATTTCTGAGACCTAAGTGGCTACAGCAAGGTGTCATTTCAAAACTAGCCTCTGGCAAACTGCATACTGTCCTGGGACCCAGCGGTCCCAGGACTGAAATTCGAGCTGTCACTCCTGGGTCAGAAGAAGGAGCAGGGTGTAATCCCACAGCTGGGAAATGTGTGGGGCTTGTGTGGCAAATGCCAGTATCAAAAAGCAAACGATATGAGAATCTGAGACAAGGACATAAGTGGGGATGAGTTGTCTCTGATAACTGGTTGTGAGCTGAGTGTGAGCTCCTGCAACCATAGTAGGTAGGGAGCAAGCCCTGCCAGGACTAGCGTGTGAAAGGGTCATACAACCCCCACCTGCTGGTCCAGGCTACGGCCACCAATAGTGGCTCCACCCTCTTCAGTGGCAAGGCCTAAGTGCAGCTGCTATTGCATCTCACCTGAGCACTCCTTCTGGGGCCTGAGGATCACCCGGCTCCCAACCATCATGGGTGGTACCTATGCTCACCATTGGTGGGCCAGAGAGCAAGCTGGCTCAGGCCAGCTTTGCCACCTACTCCAAGACATAGTACGTAGCCTCAGGTCCTGGGGATTGTTCAACCCAATCCACTACCTTGGGTACCTAAGCGCTCCTCCCAGGAACCTGAGGATGGCCTAAATTCCTAGTCACTACCACTTAGCTGGCTCCCACCTCCAAGTGCCACCTTTGGGCCTGGAGACTGGCTTCCTCAGCCTATCCTATCTACCACCAACATTAATGCACACAACTTGGGACCCAGAGAATCATCCCATCAATGCTACTCTCATGCCATGCTGGCTCCCCAGGGGCCTACGAACCTGCTGGCCCACTAGGTCTACTGTTACCACTACTGAAACCTGAGTAAGCCACATGGAGGCCCAAGAATAAATCCATCAGTAACTGTTGACACAGGTGTCAGCATGCACTGTCATGGGGCACAAAGATAGGCATGCTCAGCCCACCTCTGCCACCACTGAAGACTGAAGACTGGCATACCTGGCATCCCAGTGTCCAGCACAACTTCACCACAGCCTCTACTAATAACTGCACCCTTGCCCACTGAAGAAATCACAGACACTACTAATGCTATTTACAGCCAAATAAATCATAGACTATATTATTACATGCATCTAGAATGAAAGACAAAATATCCTACCCAACTAACACCATAGATACAACTTCAGGAAAAAGTCCTACCCTGTGAAAGTAAATTGAAAAATAAGAAGAAGTGACTGTTACACTAGATGTTCATATATCAAAGTAAGGACACAAGAAACATAAAAAAGCAAGGAAATATAACACCTCCAAAGGAACACAATAATCTTCCAGCAATAGATATTAAACAAAAATAAAATTTTTAAATCCCAGATATAGAATTAAAATATTAGTTTTAAAGAACCTTGGGGAGATACAAGAGAACTCTGAGAAACAATATAAATAAATCAGGAAAACAATTCAGGATATGAATGAGAAATTTACCAAAGAGATAGATATTTTTAAAAAGAGACAAACAGAAATTCTGGAGATAAAGAACTCATTGAAGAAAATACAAAATACATTTAAAAGCTTAAGGAATGACTAGGTAAGCAGAAGAAAGAATCTCAGAACTGGAAAACAAGTCTTTTGAAATAATCTAGTCAGATAAAAATAAAGAAAAAGAATAAAAAAGAATGAGCCAAGTCTTCATGACATTTGGGACAACATAAGGTGAGTGAATTTACAAATTATCAGTCTCCTTAAGGACAAAGAAACAAAGAAAGGATTAGAAAACCTATTTAACAAAATAATAGATGAAAACTTCTCATGTCCAGCAAGAGATTTAGACATTCAAACACCAGAGGCTTAATGATGCTCAAAGAGATACAATGTAAATAGTCATCCTCATGGCACATTATAATCAGACTGTCCAAAATCAAAGTTAAAAAGCAAATCCTAAAAACAGCAAGATAAAAGCATCTAGTCACCTATAAAGAAAACCCCATTAGACTGACAGCAGATTTCTAAGCACAAACCTTACAGACCAGAAGAGAATGGGATGATATATTCAAAGGGCTAAAAGAAAAAAAAAAAAAAAACTGCTACCCAAGAATACTATATCTAGCAAAATTATCCTCTATAAATGAAGAAAAAATAAAGTCATTCTCAAACAAATAAATGCTGAGGATACTTGTTATCATTAGACTGGCCTTACAAGAAATGCTCAAGGAAGTCCTAAACTTGGAAATCAAAAGATATTTACCATTGTGAAAACACACAAAAGTATAAAACTCATTGCTAAAGCAATCATACGAAAGAGTAAGAGAAAGAACTCAAATTAAACCACTATAAAAATCCACCAAGCCAAAACAACAAACTATAAGGGAAAAAGAAAAGAACAAAGAATATATAAAACAATCAGAATAAAGTTAACAATATGACAGGAACAAAGCCTCATATATCAATAATAACCTTAAATATAAACATTATATTCTCCTTTTAAAGATATAGAATGGCTGAATGAATAAGACATGGTCTGAATATATGATGCTTAAAGAAACTCACCAGTAAAGACACATATAGACTGATAGAAAAGCAATGGAACAAGATTTTCCACACAAATAGAAATCAGAAGTGAACAAGAGTAGCTATATTTATATCAGATAAAGCAGACATTAAGCAAAGGACAGTAAAACCAAGACAAAGAAGGTCATTATATAATAATTAATGGATCAATCCAGCAAGAGGATATAGCAATTCTAAATATATATGTACCCAACACTGCAACATCCAGATTCATAAGCAAATGTTACTAGATCTACCTAGAGAGACTGCAATATAATAATAGTAGGGACTTCAACACCCTACTTTCAGCATTAGACAGGTCACCTAGACAGAAAAGGAACAAAGAAACATTGGATTTAAACTGGATGTTAGATGAAATGGACCTAACAGACATTTGCAGAATCACTTATCCAACAACTACAGAATGAACATTCTTTTCATCAACACACTGAATATTCATTCTCCAGGATAGACCATGTTAGGCCACAAAATAAGCATCAATAAATTTTAAAAAATCAAAATCATACCAAGTATTTTCTCGTACCACAATGGAATAAAACTAAAAATCAATAGCAAGAGGAACTCCAGAAAATACAGAAATACATGGAAATTAAACAACATGAGGTGACTGAATTTCCTGAATGACCATTGGGTTAACAAAAAAATTATGAAGAAAATCAAAAAAATTCTCGAAACAAATAAATGCAAACATAACATATCAAAACCTGTGGGATATAAGGAAAGTAGTGTTACAAGGGATATTTATAGTAATAAAAGCCTACATCAAGAAAGTAAAGAGATTACAAACTAATAATCTAAGGAGGCATTTCAAGAAACTAGAAAAGCAGGAGCAAACCAAACCCAAAATTAGCAGAAGAAAAGAAAAAATAAAAATTAAGCAGGACTAAATAAAGTGGAGACTTAAAAAAACACATACACACAAAGTTGGTTCTTTAAAAAGGTAAACAAAATTGATAAGCTGCTAGCTAGAATAACTAAGAAAAGCAGAAAGAAAAAACCAAATAAACAAAAATCAGAAATGAAAAAGGACTTTGCACATGATACCACAGAAATACAAATGATCTTTAAAGACTATAGAGAATATTACGAACTACACACTGGCAAACTGGAAAGACTTGAGGAAATAGATACATCCCTAGAAACATATAACCTACCAAGATTGAACCAGGACGAAATAGAAAACCTGAACAGACCAATAAAATTAGTGAGATTGAATCAGTAATGAAAAGTCTCCCAACAACAACAAAAGAGCCCAGGACTGCATGGATTCACAGCTGAATTCTACCAAACACACAAAGAAGAACTGATAATACAAATCCTCCTGAAACTATCCCAAAAACTTAAGAAGGAGGGGATTCTCCATAACTCATACTACGATGCCAGCATTACCCAATTCCAAAACAGTAAAAAAAGAAAACTACAGACCAATATCTCTGATTAATATAGATGCAACAATCCTCAACAAAATACTAGCAAACTGAATCAAACAGCACATTAAAAAGATAATGCAAAATAGTCTGGTGGGATTTATTCCAGGGATTCAAGGATGGTTCAACATAAGCAAATCAATGTGATATAACACATTAACAGAATGAAGGACAAAAACCATATAATAATCTCAATAAAGGCAGAAAATGTAGTTGATAAAATTAAACATCACCTCATGATAAAAATTCTCAACAAACTAGGCATAGAAGGAAGATACCTCAATATAATAAAGTCCATATATGAAAAACCCACAGCTAACATCATATTAAATGGGGAAAGTTGAATGCATTCCCCCTAAGAACTGGAAAAAGACAAGGATGCCCACTTCCACCACTCCTATTCAACATTAAACTGGAAGCTCTAGCCAGAGAAATCTAGCAAGAGAAGAAAATAAAAGGCATCCAAAGTGGAAAAGTGGAAGTCAAATTATTTCTGTTTGCTGATTATATGATCTGATACCCAGAAAACCAAAATTCCACCAAAAGTCTCCTAGATTTGCTAAATGAATTCAGTGAAGTTTTGGGATACAAAACCATGCACCAAAATCAATAGCATTCTTTTACACCAATAACATATATCAAGGCAGCAATCCCATTTACAATAGCTACCAAAAAATGCTATAAATAAATTTAACAAAGGTGCTGAAAAATCTCTACAAAGAAAACTACAAAACACTCATCAAAGAAATTGAAGATGACACAAATGGAAAAACAAACCAAGCTCATGGATCAGAAGAATTAATACTGTTAAAATGGCCATGCTTCCCAAAGCAATGTACAAATTCAATGCTATTCCTATCAGACAACCAACATCATTTTTCACAGAACTAGAAAAAACTACTCTAAAATTCATATGGACCCAAAAATGAGCCTGAAATAGCCAAAGCAATCCCGTACAAAAAGAACGAAGGTGGAAGTATCACATTACCTGACTTCAAATTACGCTACAAGGCTATAGTAACCAAAACAGCATGGTACCAGTATAAAAATAGATACATACAGTAAGGTGGCTAGCCAGATGGCCAAATAGGAACAGCTCTGGTCTGCAGCTCCCAGCGAGATCAATGCAGAATGCAGGTGATTTCTGCATTTCCAACTGAGGTACCAAGCTCATCTCATTGGGACTGGTTAGACAGTAAGTGCAGCCCAGAAAGGGCGAGCCGAAGCAGGGTGGGGCATCGCCTCACTTGGGAAGTGCGAGGATTTGGGGAACTCCCTCGGCTAGCCAAGGGAATCCCTGAGGGACTGTGCCTTGAGGAAAGGTGCACTCCAGCCCCAGACACTATGCTTTTCCCATGGTCTTTGCAACCCACAGACCAGGAGATTCCCTCCAATGCCTATGCCACCAGGGCCCTGGGTTTGAAGCACAAAACTGGGCAGCCGTTTGGGCAGAAACAGAGCTAGCTGCAGGACTTTCTTTTTATACCCCAGTGGTGCCTGGAACGCCAGTGAGACAGAACTGTTTACACCCCTGGAAAGGGTGTTGAAGCCATGGAACCTAGTGGTCTAGCTCAGTGGATCCCACCCCCATGGAGTCCAGCAAGCTAAGATCCACTGGCTTGAAATTCTCGCTGCCAACACAGCAGTCTGAAGTCAACCTGGAATGCTCAAGCTTGGTCGGGGGAGGGCCATCGTCTGCCATTACTAAGGCTTGAGTAGGCAGTTTTCCCCTCACAGTGTAAACAAAGCCACTGGGAAGTTCAAACTGGGCGGGAGCCCACTGCAGCTCAGCGAAGTTGCTGTAGACAGACTGCCTCTCTAGATTCCTCAGCTCTGAGCAGGGCATCTCTGAAAGAAAGGCAGCAGCCCCAGTCAAGGGCTTATAGATCAAACTCTCATCTCCCTGGGACAGAGCACATGGGAGAAGGGACAGCTGTGGGCACAGCTTCAGCAAACTTAAACCTCCCTCTCTGCTGGCTTGGAAAAGAGCTCGAGCTCTGCCGAGGGACAGAATGCCTCCTCAAGTGGGTCCCTCACCCCTGTGCCTCCTGACTGGGAGAAAACTCCCACCAGGGGTCGACATGCACCTCATACAGGGGAGCTCTGGCTGGCATCTGGTGGGTGCCCCTCTGGGACAAAGCTTCCAAAGGGAGGAACAGGCAGCAATCTTTGCTATTCTGCAGCCTCCACTGGTGATACCCAGGCAAACAGGGTCTGGAGTGGACCTCCAGCAAATACCAGCAGACCTGCAGCAGAGGGGCCTGACTGTTAGAAAGAAAACTAACAAACAGAAAGGAGGGGCATCAACATCAACAAAAAGGACGTCCACACAGAAACCCCATGCAAAGGTCACCAGCATCAAAGACCAAAGGTAGATAAATCCATGAAGATGAGGAAAAACTAGTGCAAAAAGGCTGAAAATTCCAAAAACCAGAATGGCTCTTCTCCTGCAAAGGATTACAACTCCTCACCAGCAAGGGAACAAAACTGGATGGAAAATTGGTTAGACAAATTGACAGAAGTAGGCTTCATCAGGTGGATAATAACAAACTCTTTCAAGCTAAAGGAGCATGTTCTAACCCAATGCAAGGAACTAAGAAGCTTGAAAAAAAGTTAGAGGAATTGCTGACTAAAATAATCAGTTTAGAGAAGAACATAAATGACCCGATGGAGCTGCAAAACACAGCATAAGAACTTCGTGAAGCATACACAAGTATCAATAGCTGAATAGATCAAGTGGAAGGAAGGATATCAGGGATTGAAGATCAACTTAATGAAATAAAGCATGAAGACAAGGTTAGAGAAAAAAGAATGAAAAGGAACAAACAAAGCCTCCAAGAAATATGGGACTATGTGAAAAGACCAAACCTACGTTTGATGGTGTACCCGAAAGTGACAGGGAGAATGGAACCAAGTTAGAAAACACTCTTCAGGATATTATCCAGGAGAACTTCCCCAACCTAGCAAGACAGGCCAACAATCAAATTCAGGAAATACAGAGAACACCATAAAGATACTCCTTGAGAAGAGCAACTCCAAGATACATAATCATCAGATTCACCAAGGTTGAAATGAAGGAAAAAATGTTAAGGGCAGCCAGAGAGAAAGGTCAGGTTACCCACAAAGGGAAGCTCATCAGACTAACAGTGGATCTCTCTGCAGAAACCCTAGAAACTGGAAGAGAGTGGGGACCAATATTCAACATTCTTAAAGAAAGAATTTTCAACCCGGAATTTCATATCCAGCCAAACTAAGCTTCATAAGCAAAGGAGAAATAAAATCCTTTACAGACAAGCAAATGCTGAGAGTTTTTGTCACCACCAGGCCTGCCTTACAAGAGCACCTGAAGGAAGCACTAAACATGGAAAGGAAAAACCAGTACCAGCCACTGCAAAAACATACCAAATTGTAAAGACCATCAACACTATGAAGAAACTGCATCAACTAATGGGCAAAATAACCAGCTACCATCATAATGACATGATCAAATTCACACACAAAAATATTAACCTTAAATGTAAACAGGCTAAATGCCCCAATTAAAAGACAAAGACTGGCAAATTGGATAGAGTCAAGACCCATCAGTGTGCTGTATTCAGGAGACCCATCTGGCATGCAAAGACACACATAGGCTCAAAATAAAGGGATGGAGGAATATTTACCAAGTAAATTGTAAGCCAAAAAAAAAAAAAAAAAAAAAAAAAGCAGGGGTTGCAATCCTAGTCTCTGATAAAACAGACTTTAAACCAACAGAGATCAACAAAGACATAGAAGGGCATTACATAATGGTAAAGGGATCAATGCAACAAGAAGAGCTAACTATCCTAAACATATATGCACCCAATACAGGAGCATCCAGATTCATAAAGCAAGTTCTTAGATTCCTACAAAGAGACTTAGACCCTCAAACAATAACAGTGGGAGATTTTAACACCCCACTGTCAATATTAGACAGATCAACGAGACAGAAAATTAACAAGGATATTCAGGACTTGAACTCAGCTCTGGACCAAGCAGACCTAATAGACACCTACGTAATTCTCCACACCAAATTAACAGAATATACAGTCTTCTCAGCACCACATCACACTTATTGTAAAATTGACCATATAATTGGAAGTAAAACACTCCTCAGCAAATGCAAAAGAATGGAAATCATAACAAACAGTCTCTCAGAACACAGTGCAATCAAACTCAGTATTAAGAAACTTACTCAAAACCACACAACTACATGGAAATTGAACAACCTGCTCCTGAATGACTACTGGGTAAATAACAAAATTAAGGCAGAAATAAATAAGTTCTTTGAAACCAATGAGAACAAAGACACAATGTACCAGAATCTCTGGGACACAGCTAAAGCAGTGTTTACAGGGAAATGTATAGCACTAAGTGCCCACAGGAGAAAGCAGGAAAGGTCAAATATCGACACCCTAACATCACGATTAAAAGAACTAAAGAAGCAAGAGCAAACAAATTCAAAAGCTAGCAGAAGACAACAAATAATTAAGATCAGAGCAGAACCGATGGAGACAGAGACATGAAAAACCCTTCAAAAAAATCAATGAATCCAGGAGCTGGGTTTTTTAAAAGATCAACAAAATAGATAGACTGCTAGTCAGACTAATAAAGAAGAAAAGAGAGAGGAATCAAATAAACACAATAAAAAATGATAAAGGGGATACCACCACTGATCCAACAGAAATACAAACTACCATCAGAGAATACTATAAACACCTCTACACAAATAAACTAGAAAATCTAGAAGAAACAGATAAATTCCTGGACACATATACCCTCCCAAGACTAAACCAGGAAGAAGTCGAATCCCTGAATAGACCAATAAGAAGTTCTGAAATTGAGGCAATAATTAAGAGCCTACCAACCAAAAAAAGTCCAGGACCAGACAGATTCACAGCTGAATTCTACCAGAGGTACAAAGAGGAGCTGGTACCATTCCTTCTGAAACTATTCCAAACAATAGAAAAAGAGGGACTCCTCCCTAACTCATTTTATGAGGCCAGCATCATCCTGATACCAAAACCTGGCAGAGACGCAACAAAAAAAGAAAATTTCAGGCCAATATCCCTGATGAAAATCGATGCAAAAATCCTCAATAAAATACTGGCAAACCGAATCCAGCAGCACATCAAAAAGCTTATCCAACACGATCAAGTTGGCTTCATCCCTGGGATGCAAGGCTGGTTCAACATATGCAAATCAATAAATGTTATCCTTCACATAAACAGAACCAATGACAAAAACCACTTGATTATCTCAATAGATGCAGAAAAGGCTTTCAATAAAATGCAACAACTCTTCATGCTAAAAATGCTCAATAAACTGGGTATAGATGGAACATATCTCAAAATAATAAGAGCTATTTATGACAAACCCACAGCCAATATCATACGGAATGGGCAAAAGCTGGAAGCATCCCCTTTGAAAACTGGCACAAGAAAAGGATGCTGTCTCTCTCCACTCCTATTCAACACAGTGTTGGACGTTCTGGCCAACGCAATCAGGCAAGAGAAAGAAATAAAGCGTATTCAAATAGGAAGAGAGGAAGTCAAATTGTTTCTGTTTGCAGATGACATGATTGTATATTTAGAAAACCCCATCATCTCAGCCCAAAATCTCTGTAAGCTGATAAGCAACTTCAGCAAAGTCTCAGGATACCAAATCAATGTGTAAAAATTACAACCATTCCCATACACCAATAATAGACAAACAGAGAGCCAAATCATGAATGAACTCCCATTCACAATTGCTACAAAGAGAGTAAAATACCTAGGAATACAACTTACAAGGGATGTGAAGGACTTCTTCAAGGAGAACTACAAACCACTGCTCAACAAAACAAAAGAGGACACAAACAAATGGAAAAACATTCCATGCTCATGGAGAGGAAGAATCAATATCATGAAAATGGCCATACCGCCCAAAGTAATTTATAGATTCAATGCTATCCCCATCAAGCTACCATTGACTTTCTTCACAGAATCAGAAAAAAACTACTTTAAATTTCATATGGAACCAAAAAAGAGGCTGTATAGCCAAGACAATCCTAAGCAAAAAGAACAAACAAACTATAATAGAAGGCTACAGTAACCAAAACAGCATGGAACTGGTACCAAAACAGATATATAGACCAATGCAACAGAACAGAGGCCTCAGAAATAATGCCACATGTCTACAACCATCTGATCTTTGACAAACCTGACAAAAACAAACAATGGGGAAAGGATTCCCTATTTAATAAATGGTGGTGGGAAAACTGGCTAGCCATATGCAGAAAACTGAAACTGCACCCCTTCCTTACACCTTACACAAAAATTAACTCAAGATGGACTAAAGACTTAAACGGAAGATCTAAAACCATAAAAACCCTAGAAGAAAATCTAGGCAATACCATTCAGGACATAGGCATGAGCAAAGACTTCATGACTAAAACACCAAAAGCAATGGCAACAGAAGCCAAAATTGACAAATGGGATCTAATTAAACTAAAAAGCTTCTGCACAGCAAAAGAAACCATCATCAGAGTGGACAGGCAATCTACAGAATGGGAGAAAATTTTTGCAATCTATCCATCTGACAAAGGGCTAATATCCAGAATCTACAAGGAACTTAAACAAATTTACAAGAAAAAAACAAACAACCCCATCAAAAAGTGGGTGAAGGATATGAACAGACACTTCTCAAAAGAAGACATTTATGTGGCCAACAAACAGATGAAAAAAACCTCATCATCACCGGTCATTAGAGAAATGCAAATCAAAACCACAGTGAGATACCATGTCACGCCAGTTAGAATGGTGATCATTAAAAAGTCAGGAAACAACAGATGCTGGAGAGGATGTGGAGAAATAGGAATGCTTTTACACTGTTGTTAGGAATGTAAATTAGTTCAACCATTGTGGAAGACAGTGTGGCAATTCCTCAAGGATCTAGAACGAGAAATACCATTAGACCCAGCAATCCCATTACTAGTTATATATCCAAAGGATTATAAATCATTCTACTATAAAGACACATGCACATGTATGTTTATTGCAGCACTATTCACAATAGCAAAGACTTGGAACCAACCCGAATGCCCATCAATGATAAACTGGATAAAGAAAATGTGGCACATATATACCATGGAATACTATGCAGCCATAAAAAAGGATGAGTTCATGTCCCTTGCAGGGACGTGGATGAAGCTGGAAACCATCATTCTCAGGAAACTAACACAGGAACAGAAAACCAAACACCGCATGTTTTCACTCATAAGTGGGAGTTGAACAATGAGAACTCATGGATACAGGGAGTGGAACATCACACACCAGGGCCTGTTGGGGGTTGGGGGGAGATAGGGGAGGGATAGCATTAGGAGAAATACCTAATGTAGATGACGGGTTGATGGGTGCAGCAAACCGCCATGGCATATGTATACCTATGTAACAAACCTGCACGTTTTGCACATGTATCCCAGAACGTAAAGTATAATAATAAAAAAAATAGATACATAGATCAATGAAATAGGATAGAGAACTCAGAAACAAAGCCACATATTTACAGCCAACTGATCTTTGACAAAGGTACTAGGAACATTCATTTGAGAAAGGACACCCTTTTCAATAAATGGTGCTGGAAAAATTAGATAGTTGTACACAGAAAAGTGAAACTGGATCCCTGTTCTCACCATATATTAATACAAAAGTCATCTCAGATGGATTAAAGACTTAAACATTAGATATAAAAACTATAAAAATACTATAAGAAAACCTAGGAAAAACTCTTCTGGACATTGGTCTAGGCAAAGAATTTACGACTATGACCACAAAAACACAGGAAACAAAAACAAAATCAACAAATGGGACTTAAACTAAAAAGTGGTTGCACATCAAAAGAAACAATCAACAGAGTGAAGAGACAACCTGTTGAATAGGATAAAATATTTGCAAACTATTCATCTGACAGGGACTAACATCCAGAATATAGAAGGAACTCAAACAACTCCACAAAACTCCCAAATAATCCCATTAAAATGTGGGCGAAGGAAACAAATGGACATTTTGCAAAAGAAGACATAAAAATGACCGATATATTCAACTCTGCTCAATATCACTAATCATCAGAGAAATGCTAATCAAAACCACAATGAGTTGTTATTTTATCCTAATCAGAATGGCTACTATTAAAAAGACAAAAAAAAATAACATGTCGGTAAGGATGCAGAGAAAAGGGAACTCTTACACACTGTTGGTGGGAATGTAAATTAATACAGCCTATATAGAAAACAGTATAGAGATTTTTCAAAGAACTAAAAATATAGCTATCATTCAATGCAGCAATCCCACCACTAGGCCTCTACTCAAAGAAAAAGAAATCTATATATCAAAATGTTACCTGCACTTGTATGCTTATTGCAGCACTATCCACAATAGCAAAGACACGAATCAACCTGTGTCCATAAATGTACAAACGTTAAAGAAAAGTTGGTATATATACACAATGGGATGCTATTTAGCCTTAAAAGAGAATGAAATCATGTCTTTTGCAGCAACATGGAGGGAACTGCAGGTCATTATCCTAAATGAAACAAGCCAGGCACATTTGTGTCTTCCAAGGAATTTGTTCATTTCACTTTAGTTACCATATTTATTGGCATAAGTGTATTCATATTTTCTTACTATCATTTGAATGTCTGTAGGATCTCTAATGATATTCCTTCTTGCATTCCTGATACTGATCATTTGTGTCTTACTTTTTTCTTGATAGTCGTGAACTATCAATTTCATACATTTTTTTAAATGTTATACATTTTATTGAGCTTTTTAAAGCAGCATTTTCATTTTGTTTGTTCATTTTATTTTACTGATTTCTGCTCTTATATTTATTTCCTTTATTTTTTATTTTGGATTTAATTTGCTTTTCACCATGTTGGCCAGGCTGGTCTTGAATTCCTGACAAGTGATCTGCCTGCCTCAGCCTCCCAAAGTACTAGGATTACAAGTGTGAGCCAGCACGCCTGGCCTGTGCACAATATTTTCTACTCTCTCTTGTGATTTCTTCTTTGATTTATTGGTTACTTGGTTGTTCAATTCAAATTTTGGTAATTGTGTTAGTCATTTGTGTTGCTATAAAGGAATACCTGAAGCTGGGTAATTTATAAAGGAAAGAGGTTTATATGGCTCACGGTTTTGCAGGCTGCACAAAAGGCATGACAGCAACATCTGCTTCTGTTGAGGGCCTTAGGAAGCTTACAATCATGATGGAAGGCAAAGGAGGAGAAGTAGTGTCACATGGCAAGAGAGTGAGCAAGAGAGGAGGAGGTGCCAGGCTCTTTTTTAAGAATCAGAACTCACATGAATTAACAGAGCAAGAACTGACTCGTTACTGCAGGGAGGGCACCAAGGCATTCATGAAGGATCTGTTTCCATGACCCAAAACCAACCACTAGTCACCACCTCCCATTACATTTTGACATAAGATTTGCAGGGGACAAATATCCAAACTATTATCAGTAATATTCTAATTTTCTTTTTGTTTTGGATTTAACTCTATGGGTGGTCAAGGAACATAAGCTGTATCATTTCAATTATTTTGAATCTATTAAGACTTCTTTTACAGCCCAGAATGTTGTCTCTTTTGGTGAATGTTCCATGTGTACTTGAAAAGACTGTGTGTTCTACAATTGATGATTGGAGAGTTCTGTAATGGCAATTGGGTTAAGTTTGTTGATAAAGTTGTTTAAATTCTGTAAGTCTCTTTGATCTCACAATTACCAAGAGAAGAATATTGAAAAGTCCAATTATAACTATAGATTTGTTACTCCTCTTTTTAATTCTTTAAATCTCTGTTATTAGGTCTATCCACATTTATGATATTTTTATGTCTTCTGATGAACTGACCCTTTGTGAAAAGTCCTTCTTTATCTCTGGATATACTCCTTGCCCTAAATCCACTGTTTAATATTAATAATATGGTACCAGTTTTGTTCTGAATAAAACCTAGATGATATATCTTTTTCTATGCTTTTACTTTTATCTGATCTGTATCTTTATATTTAAAGTGAGTTTCTTACAGGCAGCATAAAATTGAGTCTTGCTTTTTTTAATTGGAACATTTAAACCATTTAGATTTAGATCATTTACCTTTAATGTAATTATTGATTTAAAAATTACCATTTTGCTATTTTTTTCTATTTGTTTTATTTGGGTTTCATTCTTTTTTCCCTCTTTTTCTTCTCTCTTTTGGATAATGTTTTGGAGTTTCATTTTAGTTCTGCTATTGGCTTTTAAGCTATATTTCTGGGAGGCTGGGTTTTTTGTGTTTTTTAGTGGTTAGCGTATATAACATGCATTTTTAACTTATGATAGAGTATTTTCAAATCATATTAATCCCTTCATGTATATGTACATACGCAAGAGTTTATTTCCATTTTTCTCCTGTTGTTGTGTCATATATTTTATCTCTATACATGTTATATACTCAATTATACATTGTGGTATTCTGCTTTAGTCAACCACCTGTAAAGAAATTTTTAAATGACAAAGTCTTTTATATTAACCAATATATTTTATTTACCTTTTCCAGTGCTCTTCATTCCTTTGTATATCCAAGTTTCCACTGGGTCTCATTTCCTTTGGCCTGAAGAACCTCTTTAAAGCTTTTTGTAATGTAAGCTGCTGCTAATTAATTCTTTCAGCTTTGTTTTATCCGAAAAAAGCCCTATTTTAACTTCATTTGTGAAGGACATTTTCACTGGGTATAGAATTCTAGGTTGACATGGTTTTTCATCCACCACTTTAAAAATGTCATTCCAATGACTTCTGGCTTGCACGGTTTCTAAACCATGCTTCTTCTAAAAAGAAGCCTTCATTAATTCTAATCTTTGTTCCCCTGAACATAATGTTTTGGTTTGTTTTTTCTTTAGCCACTTTTTTTGTGTGTGTGTGACAGAGTTTCACTCTTGTTACCCAGGCTGGAGTGCAATGGCACGATCTCACCACATCCTGGTTCACCACAACCTCCACTTCCCAGGTTAAAGCGATTCTCCTGACTCAGCCTCCTGAGTAGCTGGGATTACAGGCATGCACCACCATGCCCAGCTAATTTTGTATTTTTAGCAGAGATGGGGTTTCTCCATGTTGGTCAGGCTAGCCTTGAACTCCCAGCCTCAGGTGATCTGCCTGCCTTGGCCTCCCAAAGTGCTGGGATTACAGGCATAAGCCACAGCGCCCAGCCTCTAGCCACTTTTAATATGCTCTCTTATCACTGAATTTTAGCAATTTGCTTATGACACATGTTGGTGTGTGGTTTTATTACTGTTTATTGGGTTTTGTGTTCATTTGATTTCTTAGGGTTTTTTGAGCTTCTTAGATATGTATGTATATAGCATTCATATATTTGTAAAATTTTTAGTCATTATTCCTTAAAATAATTTTCTTTCTCCTGCTTGCATTCTGGGACATCAATGATAGGTATGTTAGACTACTTGTTTCAAAATCACTGAGGCTCTCTTCATGGTCTCCAGTATTTTTTTCCTCTCTGGACTTCATCTCATGTTATTTTATTGTTATGTCTTCAAGTCTGCTGACTTTTATTTTTACTGTCTAATCTGCTGCTATCCTAGCCTGTACATTTTTCATTTTATATATTGTAGTTTTCATCTTTAGAAGTTTCATTTTGTTCTTTCCTCTCTCATTAGGTTCACCTTTTCTTTTAAATTCACAAACAAATCAGACATATTTAGAATAGCTGATTTAGCATCCGTGCCTCATAATTCCATCATCTCTGCCATTTCGTGGTCTATATAGATTTCTGATTTTTTCTTGGTAATGGATCATATTATCCTGTTCCTTGGGTAACAGATCACATTTTCCTGTTTCTTTGTATGTGTAATTTTTTACTTTATGCTAGACTTTGTAAATTTTACATTGCTGAGTGTGAGATCTTTAAAGAATTTTGAACTCTGACTTGAAGAATATTTATTTGTGAAACAGTTTGCTAATTAGAATGCTTGTTTTTATTCTTTAGAGTAATCCCACAAGACCCTTTATTCTATGGTTAATTTAGCCCTGCTACTAGGGTTTAACCCTTTTGGAATGTCTATGGAATGTTTCATGTATTCAATGAAGATTCTTCATTCTGGTTGTTGTGAACAAAGCTTAGGGAATTATTGGGCTTATAGCTGCCCTATGATCATTTATTCCTTAGCAGTTTTTATTGTCTAGTCTCTTGGGGTTTTAGCCTAAACATGTGTAAATTGTTATTTACCCAAAGGTTCAAGCGCATCCCTATAAACATTTCTGGTGCCCTTTCTCTGCATAGCTCCTTCTTCACCATTATTGTTGCCTCACAAATTCTGGCTGCCTTGGTTTCTCCAATCTCCTCAACTCAGCAATATTGTGAACATATTTTGATTTCTCCATTTCTATATTATAGAAATATATATTATAGAAATATGGTGCATGTGGGCTTACCTGATTTGTAAGGCTTACCTCATTTGACGTTCTGCTTTCTACAGCAGGAAGTGGGTACGATTATAAGGCTGACTTCATTTGTTTTCCTTCCTTAGAGCATCACAGTCCTGTCTGATGTTTAAAACTGACTTTTCATATATTTCGTCCAGTTTTCTATTTATGGCAAAAGGCTAATTTTGAACTTTATTATTAAATACTTTCTCAGAGTCAGAAGCAGAAATCTACTGTGTTTTAGGTGAATTTTATTAACACTTGAAAACAAGTCTAATTTGACAAAACTGA
The DNA here is from genome assembly GCF_000001405.40 of Homo sapiens. Taxonomy (NCBI): domain Eukaryota; kingdom Metazoa; phylum Chordata; class Mammalia; order Primates; family Hominidae; genus Homo; species Homo sapiens. The sequence continues at coordinate 157,715,870 of NC_000002.12, forward strand.
CTAATTTTAAGGTGTATTAATTTTCTACTCACTGCCATAACAAACTATCAAAAATTTATTCACTTACAATAACACAAACTTATTATCCTACAATTCTGTAGGTCAGAAGCTCAGCACAGGTTGGGCAAAATAACAAGGTGTTGGCAACATTGCAGTCCTTTCTGGAGGCTCTAGGAGAGGATGTTTTCTTGCATACTACAACCTCTAGAGACCTGCTTCCTCCATCTACAAAGCCGGAAACATTGCATCTCCCAGGCCTTTCTTTCATAGTCAGATCTCCCTCTGACTCTTCTGTCTCCTTCCAATTTTAAGGACCTTTGTGATCCATACGGTCCCTGTGAATAATCCAGGATAATCCCCCTATTTTAAATTTAGCTGATTAGGCCAGGTGCAGTGGCTCACGCCTGTAATCCCAGCACTTTGGGAGGCCGAGGCAGGCGGATCACCTGGGGTAGGGAGTTCGAGACCAGCCTGACCAACATTGAGAAACCCAGTCTCTACTAACAATACAAAATTAGCTGGGCATGGTGGCACGTGCCTGTAATCCCAGCTACTTGGGAGGCTGAGTCAGGAGAATCGCTTGAACCCAAGAGGTGGAGGTTGCAGTGAGCTGAGATCGTGCCATTGCACTCCAGCCTGGGCAACAAGAGCAAAACTCCATATCATTAAAAAATAAATAAATAAATAAATAAAAATAAAATAAATTTAGCTGATTAGCAGTCTTAATTCCATTTGGACCCTTAATTTCCCTTTGCCATGCCATGTAACCTAACATATTGCCATGTAACAGTTCTGGCAATTAGAATGGGGACATCTTTGAGGGAAGATATTAGTCTGCTTACTACAAATGGTGTTTACAGTCTTAAAAATACCATTGGCAATAAACTTTGTAAAGCATAAAATTAATTTTCATTTTGTATTTTTGTGAATTAGATGTGAAAGTGAATTTAAAATTCCCATTTATATATTTATATGTTGGTCAGTTATTTATCTTAATATACGTTATAGCAAATATATAGACAGATAGGTAGAGATATAAAGAGAGTCATTATAGTTTATCTCCTGTATGGTAGCTACAGATTTTACTATAAAGCTATGTGCTTATATAGATGAACATCTTCATTTCTAAGATGTGGGATCTTTCTGGTTTTTATTTGGTTATAATTCTCCTTTTTGATACTAACATCTAATGTTTTAACCTAGGTCCAATCTAGGGACAATATTCACAACTGGGAATATGGTCTGAGAATGATGTTACTTGGAGGCCATATTAAGTTTTCGTAATAGTTGGTAAAAGCTAATAAGGCTGAGGTCTTGTTGAGTATTAAAACAAGGGAAGAATATTTGACTTTATGTTTTGCAATATTACAGATTGCAATAGTGTGCAAAGTAAATAAGTGTTCATATGTGAGGCAAAACTGGCAGAGACTCTCAGTCAAAAGTCAGAATGCTTGCTTCCTTCTCTGATTTCTCTCATCTCCTTCTCGTTTTGCAACTTCTTTGAGCTTGCTCCCCTGTGGCTGGCTGTGTTTTCTTCCCAAGCCAATTGTACATTTCTGAAAATATAGACAGCACAACTTTTATTTCTTCTTACCTGTTGTTCCTCAGGAAAAGTTACTTATGACCATGACTAGTGCATAACAGGTGTTGCAGAAACAGAATCAGCAAATGCTTCTCATTCTCCTGAAGATGGTGTCATCCTCCAAAACAATCTTAACATATTTCATATGAATGTATGATATTTTCAAAATCATCCTTTTGAAAAATTATTCTTTCAAACCTTGTGTACTGTTATGGGCTTGTAGTAAACATTAATCATGATTACGGGTGTGATTGCAGGCGAAAGGAGTTTCTAGAAAACATTTCCACAAAGCAGCAGATGCCCCAAGAAGCAACTCAACAAAGACATTCCCTCTAACTAGAAAACAGATAAAGTTACCACCAAAAGTTGCCACCCTGCCATTTTGACACCACAATGACAAAGTATCACACTTTCTTAGCTATATCCTATGAACAGCCACTTTAATGAAAGAATGCCCTGTTTGGGCAGTGTGGAGATTTTCTAGATTTTCCCCATCATTCCAGAGCTGTTCTCATTGGTCTCCATCTTTCTCTACCTCATTCTCTCTCCTTTTGAAATCTTTGCCTGTAAGTTGACTCATCTGAATGCATCCCATTTACTGGCTTCATGACTGCTTCATCTGATCTGGTCTGTTACTGGATATCATCATAAACTACTATTTTTGAGTGCTCAATTTGTCTGTGTGTCTTTATATAACAAATCATCTAAAAAACAGAACTGTGATTTACCTTTCTTACAAAGTAAAACATGTGGAATTCATATAAAAAATTTGGACCTCGGGGCTGGGTGCGGTGGCTCACGCCTGTAATCCCAGCACTTTGGGAGGCTGAGGCAGGTGGATCATGAGGTCAGGAGTTGGAGGCCAGCCTGGCCAACATAGTGAAACCCTGTCTCTACTAAAAATACAAAAATTAGGCGGGCGTGGTGGCACATGCCTGTAGTTCCAGCTACTCGGGAGGCTGAGGCAGGAGAATCGCTTGAACCCAGGAGGCAGAGGTTGCAGTGAGCTGAGACTGTGCCATTGCACTCCAGCCTGGGTGACAGAATGAGACTCTGTCTCCAAAAAAAAAAAAAAGAAAGAAAAGAAAAAAAAGAAAAAAAAATTGGACCTTGGATTTTCTGGGATCAGCACAGTGTTTTTAAAAATAGGCAAATTTTACATAATAATCCAGATTCCTGACTTATCTTGAACAACTAGAAAATTTGGCAACATGGGGTCATCATTTTTGCATGGCAGCAATTAGCTGGAAGTGAACAGCAGCTACCTCCATTAATTAGACATATACTCTCCAGTGTGTCTTAGGCCCCACCACTCCCTCTTGTCTTACCCTTAGCCTACCTGATTCATTTAAATGTAAGAGCGCTGAACCAGACAAAGCTGCCAAGTAACGCTGGTACTATAGGAAGGTCCAGCAGCATTTATGACACCTTCATTCAGTATCTACTATGAAGGGAGAAAAAAAATAATATTTATTAGGTATCAAGTACATCCCAAATGATTCTTGCTATCAAGTGACTCACATTCTAGAAGAAGAACCAAGGTGTAATAAAGACAAACAACCCAGATGTAATAAAATATACACCAGGACCTAGCTAAGGTACAGTTTCTTGTTTGCAACTAGTGTTCTTCTAGGCAGACACTGAGTGCTTCCAGAACAAGAAATATACATTTAGACATGGAAATCTGCATGTCCCCAAACTCCAACAACCAGAGGAGACTGTCGCTGCAAGGCAGGAATGAGGATTATCTAAATTCTGTATACCTCAACTTCCTCATCTGCAAATGGAGATAGTCTCTCATCGGGTTGTTGTGAGAATTAAATGAGTTGAGGTATTGGATGAATTAATGGTAAGCCCTTAGAGACTGCTGGCATATATCAAATGGCTTATTAATATTAGTCATTAAATCACAATGATCATACTATAGTAACCTTTAAGACAGGGCTCTAAGGTAAGAACTTGATTATGGTGGTGGTGAGGTGAGGGAATGTGAGGACAAGAGATGAAGGCAGACTTGGTGACAGGGAACATGCGCAGAGTTCAGTGACTGTACCCAGGCAAAAGAGGCTGTACATACCTTGCCAAAGCAATAAAGAGCCCCTGGCTCAGGACTCCTGATACACGGAGAGTATCCTTTGCATTTTTGCATGGCTGTCTCCTTTGAAAGCAGCAAGGATACCTCTTGTTTTTTGTCTCCTGTACCTCCTACAGGCTTGGCTCTTAGTAGATCATCATAGACGATTATAGAAAAATGAAGTATGTGAACGAATGAGGACAGTTCAATCTGCACTGACACCTTAGCCTTGGGAGTGGCCAGGCTGAGCCTAGAATGAGGGTAAATGAGCACCAGCTAGAGGAGTCAACAGCCTATGGGGGAATGATATATGGTAGCTATTTATTCAGTTCCTAAATACTTCAACTTTGGGGCAATTATATCAATTGGGGATGCGTATGTCATCCAGCCAATAGCAAAATCAGTTTCTTTTTCTTTTTACATATATTACATCACTTTCTTGCATGATACAAGGTGTTTCTCAGGTTACCAGTCTTTCCTTCCCAAATTAGCATCTGTCCAAGGACAGCCCCATTATTTTTTTTATTTTATTTTTTATTTTGAGACGGAGTCTCGTTCTGTTATCCAGGCTGGAGTGCAGAGGCGCGATCTCGGCTCACTGCAAGCTCCGCCTCCCGGGTTCACGCCATTCTCCTGCCTCAGCCTCCCGAGTAGCTGGGACTACAGGAGCCTGCCACCACGCCCGGCTAATTTTTTGTATTTTTTAGTAGAGACGGGGTTTCACCGTGTTAGCCAGGATGTCTCGATCTCCTGACCTCGTGATCCGCCTGCCTCGGCCTCCCAAAGTGCTAGGATTACAGGCGTGAGCCACCGCGCCCGGCCAGAGAGCCCCATTATTTTAAAGCGAATAATTTTACCCTGTGGGAAGAAAGAAAGAAACTATTTACAGAAATAAAGAGAGTAGTAACTTTTGTCTCCTTTTCTCTGTTCTTCTTGACTCATCCTTGAATGACAGAGAGGAGAGGAGGGGCCATGATGTGGCCAAGGGAGACAGATCAAGAGGCGAGAGTGAGTCCTTTCAGACAAATCTGCCTGCCTGGGAACCTGGCCCACTGCTGTTAAATGGCCATTTTTCTCAGGAAAAATGCTTTTGCCCAACATTTTTGCAACTCTTGTCCAATACATGCTGCCCTATGGCATGGACTCCTCTCCTCTTTATTGATGGTGCCAACTTCCCCCTGTGGAGCCAATAGCCTGTTGACCAGACAAGGCACCAGGAACTAAGAAATCTCAAAGGCTAGGGACATGGTCCCTGGGCAGTCCCTTAGCTTATTTGCCTTGAAAACTACATGCACAATAGAATTAGTTACTGTTAGTAGTGCTGAACTTTCTCGTATCTCCCAAACTCCCTCTGCTATGAGCTGGGAGGGGATTTGGAGAGAATTTTTCTAACCAAAAAACTTTCCAAGAAGATGTTTTCTATTCCCTATATTCTCTTCAGCTTAAGTAACTCCTGTCTTCTTCAATCATCTGCCTGATTAGGGCCAACCTGGGTGCAGGTAAGATTGACAGCTGCCTGATTACAAGGATTCAAGGGCACTTAAAATGTCTCCTAAGACTCCTTCCCCCACTTACTCAAACTATGATTCTAAAGCACTGGTTCTCAAACTTTAGCATTTAACAGATTTATCCAGAGGGTTTGTTAATAGACATATTGTTGGCTCTACATTATGCCTCCTCACCCTGAGTTTCCAATTCTGTAGGTCTGAATTGTGACCTAATAATTTGCATTTTTATTAAATTCCCAGGTGATACTGATACCATTGACTAGCAACCACATGTTGGGAACCACTGCCCTAAGGTGTCGACTCAAAATCTGAAAAAGTAATCACTTAGTATCACTCAAAACAATATAAAGATTTCAAATGGGACTTTCTGGAGGCAAAGGCCTGTAATTGTATGCACAGTATTCACCTGGGCACTAATCAGTATGTGTGTGAAGAAATTATCTAAAACAGGCTTGGTGGCTCATGCCTGTAATCCCAGCACTTTGGGAGGCCGAGGTGGGTGGATCACCTGAGGTCAGGAGTTCGAGATCAGCCTGGCCAACGTGGTGAAACCCCATCTCTACTAAAAATACAAAAAAAAAATTGCCAGGTGTTGTGGTGGGCGCCTGTAATCCCAGCTACTTGGGAGGCTGAGGCAGGAGAATCGCTTGTACCCAGGAGGCAGAGGTTGCAGTAAGCCAAGATCATGCCATTGCACTCCAGCCTGGGCAACAACAGTGAAATTCCGTCTCAAAAAAGAAAATAAATAAAGAAAAGAAAAGAAAAAGAAATTATCTAAAACTGAAGAAGAAACAAGCTGGAAGGATTACAAGCAACTGCCCTTAGTCTTCACACAGGGCCAGGAATAGCTTTGTTTCTATCAGGTAAGGTTGAAAAACTCATTGTTCATGGGGCACTGGCCAAATTGCATAGAATAGTTCTTGCAGTGGAGAATAACTACTCCTAGGTTGAGCACTGCTGTAGTCCCACCTAACAAATCATAAAAAAAGAATACTTAAAAAATCTTAAAAGCAAGAATCAAAAGGACCAAACTTTCCCAAGTAACTTAATTGTATTCTAGAACAAAGTTTAGGAATATTTATAGAAATACGAAAATATCTGGCACCCAGTAAGGTAATATTCACAATGTCTGGCATCCAATAAAACGTTACTGAGATTGTAAAGAAACAAGAAAATATAACCTATAATGAGATCATTAAAAGTTATTATAACTATATTCCACATAGGCAAAACTTTAATTGGAGACATGGAAGATATTTTTTTAAACACTCAATTTGAGCTTTTAAAGATAAAAAAAAAACTCCTGCAATATGTGAGATGAAAAATACATTAAATGAGATTAATAGCAAATTGGACATAGCAGAAGAAAAACATTAATGAACTTGAAACACAGCAATAAAAAAAATATCCAAAATAAAACAGAGGGAAAAGAGACTTTTTTTTTTTAAAAAAAAAGGTCAGATAATCAGTGAACTGTGGAAAAACTTCAAGCAGCCTAATATCTGTGCTCCCTAATGAAAGTCCCCAAAATAAAGAAGATGAAAAACAAAAAAGATGTTTGAAGAAATAATAAAAATGTGCCAAATTTGATAAAGACTTATACTCCCAGTTCCAAAAATATCAAACACCAACTACAAGCAAAATGAAAGAAAACTCCAAAACACTGACGCCAAGGCACAACATAATCAAATTATCAAAAACAGTGAAAGAAACACACTCTTAAAACCAGTCACAAGAGGGACAAAAAGATATGCTACATAGAAAGGAAGACAAATAAGAATGGCAGCAGATTTCTCACAGGAAACTATGCAAATGAAAAAACAGTGGAACAACATATTTAAAGTACTGAAAGAAAAACTGTTAACCAAAAACACTATACTCAGTGAAAACATTTTTTTTTTCAACTGGACCTTTGAGACATACATAAGCTGGAAGAATTCATTAGCAGATGCACACTATAAGAAATGTTAAAGGAGGAAGGAAAATGACACGAGATGAAAGTATGGATCTACACAAAGGAAAAAGAGCACTGGATATGGTGGCTACAAGGGTGAGTACATAAGATTTCAAAATTAGCATTTAAACAATTAAAACTTACCATCCAGCCTCTCTGGGTAACTAGGAATTATCTGGATGAGTTCTTTTTTCTCAACTTCTCACACCGTCTCAGAAAAAAAGAAGAAGAAGAACAAAGGCCTGGAAGACTGATAGGTAGCATAAAACCCACATGCCCTTGTCTTTTCAATAAAACAGAAAAAATTTCAACATGGAGTCTTAACTTTATAAATAAGGGTTGTGTTTTAATAAGACATGAGTCACTATGCAGTCAGCTTTTACATTTAAACTGACTTTTAAGAAGCTGCCCACTTTCTGGAGGGTTTCAGGTATGCCTTGTTACTCTTCCCAGAAAATTATATTTTCCTCTTGCTCAGGTTCTTATTTTAGGGTTATCAAATCATCCTTTGTCATTCATTTTCCAAAAATCTTATGTCTGTATTATCCACATCCAAATCTATTTTATAAACAAAAATTTTTAGCCTCTTGTTAACCAACTGTAGAAAATCTAGAATTATTAAATGCATGGTTTTCTCATAGAAAAACAAAACAAAAACCAAAAACTATTCACGAGGATTCCTGAGGATTTCTTTGGGTCCCCTCCAACCCCCAGAAATAGCCAGAATCACATTATAGAAATAATCCTTGCCTTCTGGATGCAGGAAATTGCCTCTTTCGGTCTGACCTCTGTTATCATAGCTCCCTTCAAACTTTCCCACTCTATCCTGAGTTCTACAAATTACAAAATGACAAATGTAAAGGAACCATTGTTTGATAGAGAGGAAAGTACATTTTTTAAGCACTCAGGCTTTGGACTCAAACTGACCCAGGTAGTGAAGGCTCAGCTCAGCCATTTAGTAAAAGTATAATCTTCAGTAAGTTTCTAACCTCTCTGAATTTGTTCTTTCCTATGTAACAGAGGACAGATGGGAATTCATGAGAATCAAATTAGAAAGCCTAAAGTGCACTCACAGTTCCTACCATATGGTAAGTACCCAATAAATGGCCACTATTACCATATTCCTGCTCAAACAATGTCCAAACTCCTAACCCTAGCATATCTTTCTCTCTTTTGAACCAAGACAAAGCCATACTTGATCATATCTGACAAATCACAACTTAAATTTTTTTATATCATGTGACATTTATAATATGCTCCATTCGAAAGGCAACTTTGGACACAAATGTTGGAAGTGGAGTGAGGTAAATAGTGTATGTGTATGATATACTCTAAAAAGTCTAGGGGCCGGGCACGGTGGCTCACGCCTATAATCTCAGCACTTTGGGAGGCTGAAGTGGGAAGATCACTTGACGTCAGGAGTTCAAGACCAGCCTGGCCAACATGGTGATATCCCGTCTTTACTAAAAATACAAAAATTAGCCAGGCATGGTGGCACAAACCTGTAATCCCAGCTACTTGGGAGGCTGAGGCACTAGAATCCCTTGAACCTAGGAGGTGGAGGTTGCAGTGATCTGAGATCATGACACTGCACTCCAGCCTGGGCAATATAGTGAGACTTTGTCTCTAAATAAATAAATAAATAAATAAAGTCTTGGGTCAGCATTATTTACAATAGCCCAAATGAGGAAACAATGCAAAAATCTATCCACAGAATGACTACACAAAATATGGTATCCACATACAATGGAATATTGTTCAGCCACAAAAAGAAAGAAAACTCTGACATATGCTATAGCATGGATGAACTTATGTTAACACCATGCTAACCGAAATAAGCCAGTCACAAAAAGACGCTGTATGATTCCACTTACGTGAGATACCTATAGTAGTCAAATTCATAAAAACAGTAAAAGTAGAATGGTGGTTGCCAGGGACTAGGGGGTAGAAGGAAATGAAGAATTGTTGTTTAATGAGTATCCAGTTTCAGTTTTTCAAGATAAAAGGAGTTCTGGATATTGGTTTCATAACAATGTGAATGTATTTAACACTACTGAACTGTACAATTAAAAATGATTAAGATAGCAACTTTTATGTTACACATATTTTACCACAATTTTTAAAAAAGGAATATATCCATGACCTAGATGAACCTTAAAACATTATTAGATGAAATAAGCCAGACACAAAAGGGCAAATACTGTATAATTCCACTTACATGAGGTAGCTAGTATAGTCAAATTCATAGAAACAAAGTAGAATAGTGGTTCCAGGGGTAAGAGGAGGGGGAATGGTGAATTATTTTTTAATGAGTAGTTTCTCTTTGGAATACAAACATTCTGGAAATAATAGCAGTGGTTACACAACATAGAGAATGTACTTACTGCCACTGAAATATACACTTACAAAGAGTTAAAATGGTATATATTATGATTTACATATTTTACCAACATAAAAAAAGCATATGATTTTTTTTCCATTTTCTAACCAAAAGGATGCTTATAATAGAGGAAATTTAGGTGTTATATGTTTTATATCTAGTGCTTTGTCTTTTCTAATTTTACATGTTGATCTACATACAGGGTGCACATTTACATTTTTATTAAATTCTAAGCACCTTCCCCAATTTTGCCCTTTTTGAGAGTGGTCAAAAATAAATTACACCTAATGGCATTTCCCCCTTTTCCTGGCCAAACAGCAGCACAAAAATAAATTTAGGCTGTTTTTTAAGATGCATTTATTTTTGCATATTATTAGATTGTGCCTATAGAACTTTTTGCTAGAGTCTTTATAGAGATGGATCCAGTGGCAAGGACAGAACAGATTTCTTCATAAGAAGATACTTTGCTAATGAGGATTTAGGAAGCAAGCACATTCACTAATGCAGAGAAATAATACGAGAGAACAAAGTTTACTCCTTTCCTCTTGATCAAACAGACATTCATCTCTTGTGTCTGCAACAGCTGGAAGTGAAGCTAGAGAAAAACTAAAAAAAAAAGTCAAAATGAATCAGCAAATCCCAAGAAGGCAGCTGCTTTCCTGCAGGCAGTTGCTTGCAGAGATCCTCTGAGTATCTCATGACCTTGACCACCCAACCACAGAGGCATGAAGTCCTTCACAGTTCTTCAGAGTCCTTCATACTTCTTCAAAGTACAGTTGTAGTTCTTCTAAGAACCAAATGAAAAATTCATTCAACTGCTTTACTGTAAGAAATATAAGATACAAAGGATAAAAGAGGGAACAGGATTTTATGAGTCATGTTGGTCGTCGAAGAGTACAATTTCTTTCTTCAGATGCTCTATGCCAATCACAGTAATCAAAACAAATGGATTGGTGGTGGAGATTATGTTATATTTGGTTTCCTGACTGGTTTAAAAATCTGCTACTGGGAGGTATAGCAGTTAAGGGTCACTTAGACTCAAAGATTGGCTGTATGTCAGATTTCTGTATTTTATAGGCCTCTTTCTGCAGATGAAGCCTCAATATAGTTTCTGTGGAGTTAATCAGGCCCCTAACTGAACTTCAGAGATACTGCATCAATACCCAGTTGGGTATACAATTTCTCCCTGTATTTTTCTAGCTTACTTCTAGTCATTAAGCATAAACTCTCTACCCTTGCTGGCTTTCTCTAACTCCACCTCGTCTGCTTTTCAACCTCATTATAGTCACCCTCACATTTTCATTCCTCTCCCAAGCCTCTGGGGCTCTATATTTCTTCTTCCTTCTTTCTAGAATCTGTTGAGCTCTTCCATATAGTTTGTTTACTCAGGGCCCTGCTCAAAAATCACTGCCTTGACCAATTACTGTCAATTTATACTGTTATACTGCCATATATGCAATGCCTCTCAATTTTTAAAAATCTACCATTGAACAACAAAAGATTGATGTCACTAAATTCAACTTAGGCTCAATTTCTGACTGTGGACTGACATACTGGTTAACTCTTAGGGATTATTTTCTCTGGACCTGAATTTTTACATTTTTATAAGGATAGAGATCATCTTCTGTTACAAACATCCTGGGCAATGAAAACATTAATTCCAATAAACAATTTTCAACCCATCGAGGGAAAAAGAAAAAACAACTTCTGCCATGTGGGTGACTAATGGAATGCTAGCACTGTAAAAGACCTTAAGCTAGATCACTTCTCACCCAGACTTTTCACTTGACTGAAGAGAGACATGAAGAGAAGTCAAGTGCCTTATCCATGTAAGTAATCTGGCAAGGAAATACTTGAACTTGAATTTCCTAATTCCACCTAATGTTCTTTCCCTACCACTTGTTCCAAAATGAATGTGGATGGCAACCACTTTCTCTGAATCACTAAGGTGAGTCAAAAATTACAATCTCCCAGGCTCTAGCCAGAATTACATATCTGGCATTATTATCAAAGAATCCATATTTTTAGGTCCTTAGTTCCAGAGAATCCTGATGTGCAGCTAAGTTTCTAACTACACCCTCCCGACTGCCTGGGATCTGAATTAGTTGACCCAGTGATGATGAGAAAGAGTCCCCAAAATGCAGGCTCTGGGGTCCATACATCACGGAGGTGTACAAGATGATCCACTGGGGGATGGGAAGAAATTTATATATATATATATACTATATACTATATATATTATATCTAGAAAAAAGACTTTAAGCATTACTAATATTAATTCAGGGGTGGGCACTGATAGCCTTACTGTGTCATATATCAGACAAAATAGAGGGTGATCCCCAATGCAGAAGAGCTAACAGAGTAACCCTCCCCAAAGCACTGTTTGCTTTCAATGTATTAAAACAAATTGCTCTGAAGTTTAATTCAGTTATGAGGAGTTGTGAAGTATGTATTTATCTCTGGTCAAATTAGTCATCACAGAATGACAACTGGCTTAAAAAGATTGATAGAAGGAAACTGCAGGTTAAATGTAATACTAGTCATGCCAGTAAAACTGAACAAGAACATCACAAAACTGACACTTTTCCTATTTTAGTTTGAGCTATGCATGAGTCACATTATCAGGTAAAAGTATTATTACCGAATAAGGTTAAACAAGTTAGCCAAGAGGGAAAACCTACAAACAAACAAACAAAAACTACCCAAGATGACTTTTAAACATAGGTAGATACACACTATTTTTAATAATGAACCTGAACATAACTCTTTTTTCCAATCAGCTTTCTAGTATCTTACCCTTAAATATGAATGAACAGTCAAGGATCTTCATCTAGTTACGGAATTCCTCTCATGAAGAACACAGAAACTAAAATAAACAGATAAAGGGGAAAAAAGAAGAATCCTGAAGAAGTGGAAACAAAAAAGGAATTAAAGAAGACTTTAAAAAAATCTGTGACATTCTCAGAGGGATACAAGAAGATGCAGCATCCTGTACAAGAACAAGAATCTTTTTTAAAAAAGTCCTTTCACAGCTGGGCATGGTGGCTTACAGCTATAATCCCAGCACTTTGGGAGGCCAAGGTAGGAGAACTGCATGAGACTAGGAGTTTGAGACCAGCCTGGACAAGATGGCAACACCCCATCTCTACAAAAAATACAAAAAATTAGCCGAGTATGGTGGTGCATGCCAGTAGTCCCAGTTACGCCAGACTGAGGTGGGAGGATCACTAGAGCCTGGGTGGTTGAGGCTGTAGTGAGCCGTGATCACACCACTACACTCCAGCCTGGATCACAGACTGAGACCCCCATCTCTAAAAATAATAAAAATAAAAATAAAAATAATAAAAGTAAAATAAGGAGGTCCTTTCACAACTTTTGGAAATTAAAATATTGACAAATCACATACTAGGAAATAACATATATATTATTAAATATACAATAACAATGTCATAAGGTAAAACTTTATTTAATGTCATAAGAATTCCTGAGTGCCAGGCACTGTTCCAAGCACTTTACAGATATTAACTCATGCAATCCTCACAACAAATCTATGAAATAAGTACTATTCTATAATTATCCTCCATTTTAAAGAGGAAGAAACTAAAAGCTTAAAGAAGTACAGTGACTTGCCCAAAGTTAGACAGCTACTAAGCAGCAGGACTAGGACTATAATTGCACCATCGTTTAGTAGAGTCAATGTTCTTAATCTTTATGCTATACTGCAAAGATAAAGATCTGGAAAACAAGAGAGAAGAGATTTTCTAAACATTAGAAGATCAGCCCAGAAGGCCCAACATCCAAATAACAGGAGTTCCAGATTGAGAGAACTAGGGCTCTCTCAAAGAAAAACATCCTACAAATTCTGCTGAGAAAAGATATGTCACTTGTAAGGATTTGATAATCAGATACACAAGACTTCACCATCAACAGGGAAAGCTGGGTGATATAGTGATATCTTCTAAATTTTAAGAGAAAAGTCCAACCTAGAATTCTATATCCCACTGGGGATACAGAACTAATTAGTTGTGAAGGTAGAATAAAGACATTTTCAGATCTGAAAGGTCACAAAGGATCTTACTGGAAGATGCACTTCAATAAAACAACAGAGTAAATGATAAGGAAGATACCAGAAACCAGGGTTCCTACATAAAACAAACCAGGGGAACTGTTTGGAAAGTGTTTGGTCAGGAATTAATGATAGTACACTAAAAACTTAGCAACTGCAAATAAAAGAAAATGGTTGACTACAGGGAAGACAAAATGCCTGTATAGGAAAGGAAATGTAATCACTAGTGAATTAATATTTACTTGGTGACAATAAAATAAACAGCACACGTTGACTTAACTCACAATTATACTCTGTAAAGCTATATGAAGGAAGAGATTTTTACTTGTTTTGCTCACTGCTTTTTCTTGGCAATCAGAGTTGTGCCAAGCACATAGTAGGTGCTCAATAAGTATATGTTGAATTTAAGAATAAATACGACGAGTCTATAAGAGGGAGGATGTATATATGTGTGTAGCATGAGGGTGAGGAAATGATGGTAAAAGAGCTCCATTAATGTTTACAACTCACAAAAAAAAAAACAATAAACAGAAGGGCAAATATGCTATTTTGAAAATCAAAGCAAAGACCAGTAGAGATCATTTAAATAACAGAAAATGTTCCAGGTGCCACTGGGGTAGAGAATAAAATACCTAGGAATACAACTTGCAAGGGATGTGAAAGACCTCTTCAAGGAGAACTACAAATCACTGTTCAGCGAAATAAGAGAGGACACAAACAAATGGAAAAACATTCCATGCTCATGGATAGAATCAATATTGTGAAAATGGCCACACTGCCCAAAGTAACTTATAGATTCAATGCTATCCCCATCAAGCTACCATTGACTTTCTAGACAAAATTAGAAAAAACTACTTTAAATTTCATGTGGAGCCAAAGAAGAGCCTGTATAGCCAAGGCAATCCTAAGCAAAAATAACAAAGCTGGAGTTATCATGGTACCTGACTTCAAACTATAACAAAAGGCTACAGTAACCAAAATAGCATGGTACTGGTACCAAAACAGCTTTACAGACCAACAGAGCAGAACAGACACCTCAGAAATAACACCACACGTCTACAACCATCTGATCTTTCACAACCCTGACAAAAACAAGCACTGGGGAAAGGATTCCCTATTTAAAAAAAGGTGTTGGGAAAACTGGCTAGCCATATGCAGAAAACTGAAACTGGACCCCTTCCTTACACCTTATGCAAAAATTAACTCAAGATGGATTAAAGACTTAAATGGAAGATCTAAAACCATAAAAACCCTAGAAGAAAACCTAGGCAATACCATTTAGGACATAGGCATGGGCAAAGACTTCATGCCTACAACACCAAAAGCAATGGCAACAAAAGCCAAAATTGACAAATGGAATCTAATTAAACTAAAGAGCTTCTGAACAGCAAAGGAAACTATCATCAGAGTGAACAGGCAACCTATAGAATGGGAGAAAATTTTTGCAATCTATACATCTAACAAAGGGCTAATATCCAGAATCTACAAGGAACTTAAACAAATTTACAAGAAAAAAACCTCATAAAAAAGTGGGCAAAGGATATGAACAGACACTTCTCAAAAGAAGACATTTATGCAGCCAACAAACATGAAAAAAAGCTCATCATCACCAGTCATTAAAGAAATGCAAATCAAAACCACAATGAGATACCATCTCATGCCAGTTAGAATGGCAATCATTAAAAAGTCTGGAAACAACAGATGCTGGAGAGGATGTGGAGAAATATGAACACTTTCACACTGTTGGTAGGAGTATAAATTAGTTCAACCATTGTGGAAGATAGTGTGGCAATTCCTCAAGGATCTAGAACCAGAAATACCATTTGACCCAGCAATCCCATTACTGGGTATATACCAAAAGGATTATAAATCATTCTACTATAAAGACACATGCACATGTATGTTTATTGCAGCACTATTCACAATAGCAAAGACTTGGAACCAACCCGAATGCCCATCAATGATAGACTGCATAAAGAAAATGTGGCACATATACACCATGGAATATTATGCAGCCATAAAAAAGGATGAGTTCATGTCCTTTGCAGGGACCTGGATGAAGCTGGAAACCATCATTCTCAGCAAACTAACACAGGAACAGAAAACCAAGCGCCGCATGTTCTCACTCATAATTGGAAGTTGAATAATGAGAATACCTGGACACACAGGGAGGGGAACATCACACACTGGGGCCTGTCGCAGGATGGGGAGCTGGGGGAGGGATA
The DNA here is from genome assembly GCF_000001405.40 of Homo sapiens. Classification (NCBI taxonomy): domain Eukaryota; kingdom Metazoa; phylum Chordata; class Mammalia; order Primates; family Hominidae; genus Homo; species Homo sapiens. Next base: position 157,731,659 of record NC_000002.12, read on the forward strand.
GCATTAGGAGAAATACCTAATGTAGATGACGAGTTGATGAGTGCAGCAAACCACCATGGCACGTGTATACCTATGTAACAAACCTGCATGTTCTGCACATGTATCCCAGAACTCAAAGCATAACTAAAAAAAAAAAAATAGAAAATTGTTGCTACTGGGGAAGGGGAAAATGAAAGCAGAAAATAGCCCAGGATTGCTGGGTTTTATTATAAACCTTGTAGAACACTATAGACCACCTGACATCCCAAATCAGCACAATACTCCCATAACTTCAACCTTCCAAAATACAATCTCATTTTAGAAAGATGAAAACTACAAAAAAAATGAAGAAATAACACAGAGCAACACCACTCAGAGATAATCATGTTAAATATTTTGGTATAACTGGATACTTTTTTCTAGGCATTTTTTCAACAACTGACTTCCTATCTGGCATGTAAATTGGTATCCTGAATTCATTTATAAAAACACTAAAACTAAATAAGAGGAAAAGATCATTTGCCGGAAAAAGAAAGCCAACCTCTCCCAATTCATAACACAGCAATTCAGTATGCATATTCTATTGAAAAGAAGTCGATAACATTTTCACGCAAAAAAAAGTAGAAAAAATGTGTAATCTCTTTTAACAAACAGCAGCATACAGCATATTAATTAAGAGTCCAGGTGCTAGAATAGTCTACCTGGGCTCAAATCCCAACTCAACTGTATTTTTGGTTGTGTGATGGACACTATTATAACCTCCACAAACCTCAGCTTCTCTAAATGTAAAATAAAAATAATAATAGTACCAACCTCCTAATATTTCTATGAGGAATACCTGTTCAACAGTAAGCAAATAACCCAGCATGTAGTAAATGCTCAGTAAACATTAGCATTGTAATTATTATGATTAATATCTATCTAACGGGTGAGACAAAACAAAAATACGTAAGGCCAGCAGAATAAACAAAGGGATTTAACAAAGCCAAACGCAAAGGGTCACCAGTGTGAGAGGAAGCACAGGACAGAAGCCTCTCTTCTCTGGTATTTGACACTAAAATTTATTTGTCAAATAAGTGAATCATGGATGCACTTTAAATTCCAAGCTGAGGAGTTTCCAAGCAACTTTAGTGACCTCATCCAATAAGAGAGAGTTGCATGGAGAGGGTAACAGTTATTCAGAGTGATTCGGCTAATGGAAACTGTCAAAATGACAGTGCAGCAGGTCACACTCTACAGTGTAGGTCTTGCACAATAGGACACTCCTCAAAAATGTGAATTCATTAGGTTTTGAAATACAGCTGACCCTTAAACAGCACGGGTTTAACTACATGGGTCTACTTATATTCACAAATTCAATCAAAAACAGTATTCGCAGGATGTAAAACCTGCATATAGGGAGGGCCAACGTTTCCTATGCAAGGGTTCTGCAAGGCCAACTGTGGGACTTGAGTGTGCATGAATTGGTGTCCTGGGACCAATCCCCTGCGTATACCGAGGGACAAGTCTACTGTATCCTCGGTCCCTGGCAGAAGGAGAATAAGAGTCAGAATGCTTTGAAAAGAAAGCTTGGGACCCAAAGAAGTGCTCACATATAACACAGGCCTATAGCGATTGAGAGAGTCCTTCAGGGCATTCCAATTTCAGTGAAGAAATTATTTTGGGATAGGGTGAGAGGCAACAGGAAGATCATCCCTTCTTGTTGGGGAGCAAATATTCTAGAAAAAAAAGAGATTTGCCCAGGACTTGTGTCACTTGATCTTCCTGTGAAATATAAACACATTAAGAAATAAAACAACAAATGTCGGGCCAAATGCCCTTTATTTTCTTAGTCCTTCTCCTAGGGAAATATATAAACTGAAAGGCAAGGGTGGGGATAGAGGTGAAGGAGTCACAGGTAACTGAGAGAGCTCTAGCCTAAAAACGTAGTAATTATCTGATTTTAGTTCTGCTACTAATAAGCTGAACAATCACACTTCATCACTGCAGCACTTTCTGGTGTGTAAATTGGAGATATAACACCTGTTCTACCTACCTTAATGAGTACCACAAAAGAGATAATGAATGGGATAATGCTTCCATCAGTCCAAGTCCAGTCAGGATACTACATCAGTTTTTTGTTTTTCAGTAGAGAGAATAGTTGACTAGGAATAACAAATTATTAGTTACATAACAGAAAAGGCCAAAAAGACATTAAAGTGGCATGGAGATAGCCAGGCATAGAGGTGCACGCCTGTAGTGCCAGCTACTTGGGAGGCTGAGATGGGAGGATCACTTGATCCCAGTTTGAAGCTGCAGTGAGCCGTGATTGCACCACTGCACTCCAGCCTGGGTAAAAGAGTAAGACCCCTTCTCAAAAACAAAAACAAAAAGTACCACAGAGGAATCAACTAGAGACAGCAGCTTGGTATGGTTGTGTCCCCACGCAAATCTCATCTTGTAGTTTCCATAACAATTGCAATCCCCATGTGTCATGGGAGGAACCCAGTGGGAGGTAATTGAATCATGGGAGTGGTTTCCCTCACGCTATTCTCATGACAGTAAGTTCTCACGAGATTTGACGGTTTTATAAGAGGCTCCCCACTTTGCTCAGTTCTCATTCTTCTCCCTGCCACCATGTGAAGAAGGATGTGTTTGCTTCTCCTTCTGCCATGATTGTAAGTTTCCTGAGGCCTCCCCAGCCATGCTGAACTGTGAGTCAATTAAACCTCTTTCCTTTATAAATTATCCAGTCTCGGGTATATCCTCATAGCAGCATGAGAACAGACTAATATACAGCTACACCAAGGCTAAAGGAACAAAGGGAAGTGGTTGGAATTACCAGAACTTTGAGGTTTAAAGGGGAGCACCCAGAGAGCTGATCCTTGGGCCTCTGAGGAGGAGGTCCTGTTGAGCTGGTACTGGTGTCTCTGAGTTTGAAGGCAGGGCAGCCGTCTGAGGTGTGAACCCTGGTCAGTCAATACTGGCATCTCTGAGGTAAGGGCACAATAAAGGTGCTTCTGCAAATTTTAGAACAACTGCAAACTAGATTCACCTACTGCTACTGCAAAAAATGGCTGCTGCCGGGGTTAAGAAAGGAGGCTGGGGTGAGGCTGACAGAACAGGAAGCAGGATGGAAGGGCCAAGTCTCTTCAAAAAGACTCGCTTGAGGGGAATGGTAAGAGCTCTTTAAATAGAATGAGTTATTCACTCTCTCCCATTTGTGTCTTTGTTTTGCTGAAATATGCATAATACTCAACAGAAAGACTAAAATGAAAAGGAAGGACATACTGTTGAAGATGGAGACTAAAATGAAAAGGAAGAACATACTAAGTACTGTTGAAGATGCAGAACCAGAACTCTCATAGTCGGCTAATGGGAATAAACACTGAATAACCCTTTGTGAAGAAGATGGTTTGGTAACATCTACTAAAGCCTAACATACACTGGACCCTATTACCCAGAGAGTGCACTCCTGCATGCACACTTCTGGTATGATTCCATTTATAAAGTCTTCAGTAAGAAAAGAATATGATCAATGCTTTTAGAAGTCAGGAAGGTGGTTACTCTTGGGGTTGGAGAGTGAGGTAGCAGCAAGAGGGAGACTTCTGGCATGCTCTGCTTCCTCATCTGGGTGCTGCTTCCATGGATGTAATAAATTCATAAAAATTCATCAGGTTGTACACTTTTATATATGTATACTTTGATATATGTAATATTTTAATAAAAGTTAAATGTAATGCCATTCCATTTCTGGGCATATACCCAAGAGAATAGAAAGCAAGAACTCAGACATTTGCACACTCATGTTCATGGTGGCATTATTCACAAAAGCCAAAAGATGGAAGCAATTCAAGTGTCCCTCAGTGGATGGATGGATAAACAGTTTGTATATACAAATGTGGAGTATTATTCAGCCTGAAAAAGGAAGGAAATTCAAACACATGCTACAACATGAATGAACCTTGAAGATATAATGTTAAGTAAAATAAACCAGTCTCACAAAAGGACAAATACTACATGATTCCATGAGGTGCTTAGAGTAACCAAACTCACAGAGACACAGAGTAGAATAATGGTTGCCAGGGACCAAGGAGGGAGGAATGGGGAGTTACTGTTTGACAGATATAGTTTCAGTTTCACGTGAGTTCTGTGGATAGATGATGGTGATAGTAGCACAAGGTGAATGCACTTAACATACACTTAAAAATTAGTAAGTTTTATGTTATCTGTAACACAAATTAAAATTTTGATTTGTAATTTAAAAAAATGTCATTCTAATATATACCCTCCAAGTAAATACATCCTAATGAAGTTATTAACTTACCTCTGGAAGACATTCCGGCATGTTCACACCTCTTCTCTTATTGGGCTACTGTTAACTCTACCTTTTAATCTTGTGTACAAGCAGTGAAAAAACCGAGAACGGACTCTCCCAAGCAGCAAGGGCGGATGCATAAGACCACTTTACACTCACGTGGAACCTTTCACTCAACAAAATGCTTTAACATCCTCCTTCCCGTTTACACTCACAACACCCCCCTGTGAGAAAGGCAGGTCAGAGAGATTTGTTACCCTCACCTTACAGCTGGAGAAACTGACTGAAAAAAAAACACAAAAAAACAAAAAAATCACAGCCAAAGGAAGAAACAAATTTTCTTATACCAAATTCAAGCTGTAAGACATCCTTATGATGTCTTACATAAGTTCATGAGTAGATTTAAAAAGCAAATTCAATTTACAAATTAGTTTTGTGCTTCTATTGCTCCCATAAGAAAATGCATAATGTTACACAGATCTTTTTTATATTTTGAAAAACAATTTCACTGTTTGACTTGAAAACAGTTTATTTAATTTATACAAATAACTACTAAATACAAAAAGTAGATTAAAACAAAATAGTTATTTTTTTCTGGCAGAGTTTAAATGCACGTAATGGATAATTCTGAAGAAAATGCATTTTCCCCGTAGCGTTCAGGACTAAAATTCTACTGAAATCTTTGCTTCTAAATCAGTAATATATTCGGTGGTGTCACGTGGGTAATGGCTAAATACGTTCTGCATATGAACTGAAAAAAAGTTACAGTCTACACACATACAAATGTGAAGCACTTAAAATGTGATTTTAACTGATAATAAAAGAAAATGTCCATTTTAGAGTATAGTGTTAAAAACATTTCTGTAATAAAATCATAAGACCACATAAAAATAAGCTTTAACATATGCACAAAGCAGTTTTGTAAAAACTACTAAGTGCACAAGTAATAAATAATTTGCAAAGTTGTGTATAAACAATTCCTAATGTTCGGCATCATTGTAAACATCAGCACATGTGTAAAATGCAGCAAAGTCTGACATTACATTTTGTTTTGCCAAATTGAATTCCTATTATCCAAAGACAGACCAGTGGAGTACGCAGCCAACATTTTGGCAAGTTGGGTCTTTAAAATTAAGAGTAACAGTGCAAGTAAGGAATGCAAAGAATTCCTAGTGCAATAAAGAAGAGAAGCACAGGCAATATTGCTGATTAAAAATTCACCACCTCCTTGAGTTTCCCGTGGGGAGTGTCTAGGAGACTTGTGAAAGCTATGCAAAGCCACTGACTTAATGCCCAGATCTCTTTTAGGATTTCTCTGTGTTCCTCCAGTCCCTACCTTTGCAACAGTGTCTGTCCAACATTAGTCTCTGCAGTGTGAACAGTTCGTGAAATGCCCAGTTCACAGTCATCGAGCGAGGTTAGGGTGGTTTTGATGTCTCCCCAACACATGGCTGGGTACGACGTCTGCCTTGTCAAAGCAGCCATTTGGGGAGGGAGACAGATGGATTCCATTCTGACAACCAGTCAGGCCAGCATTAGGTCCCAGCTGGACAATGACAACAACGTCAAATCTTCCTTCTTGACACTATGAAAATGTCAACAGTCAGTTTTCAATTTGTCGAGGGAATTATCAATTTTGGTCAAAGTCTTTTTGATACGCAGTGCTGTGAGTCTTGCGGATGGATTTTGATACCAGCATTCTTTCATTAGCTTGGCCAGAGAGGTTAATGTCTGAGGAGAGAAAGAACAAACACCACAATGACAAACTGGCTTTTTAATGGCCCTGGAAGCTGGGCTGATATCATGTCTACTATTCTGAAGAACTCGCAGGTCTTGTGAAATTAGAGTTATGTTACTGTCATCTTCTTCAAGCAAATATTCAACCTTTAACCACTGATAAAGAGGCCATTCTTAGAATTTCATGAACTCTGTCCTTTGGACTCTTAATGCTACCAATTTATTAGGTAAACGACATAGGCCAGATTGGACCCCTTAATGATTTTATGGGTGCCAAAAGCAGCAATACTAACCTAGAGATAATCCTGAAATTTCCAAATAGGGTCATTTCTCATTGTTTTATACCTGCTACTACTTATGAGTAGCAATACAGGATCTTCAGCATCCAGCAGCTTGTGTTTGGGATTTCAGATATACAGAGATGGAAAGGAGGTTAAAAGCTTCACTTAAAGTCTCTTGGTTTATACATGCAGTCTTAGGGCTAATAGCAGTAGTCATGAGTCTCCCGATTCCTGAAGCTGCATATTCACAGAAATTCTTACAAATATTGTCATTCACTAGCAACCCCTATGAGATATGGCTTCTTCAAGAATGGAGTATTTTTCTGAACTTACTCTTCTAGATCTAAACCCTTCTATATAAAATAGGAAGAGAAAACAACAGATCCACGGGACAGATCACTCAGATGCAATACCAGTTGAAACTCAAAGGGAAACAAATAGCAAACAATGGAAAAGAGCTCTAAAACTGAGAAACTGGCATTCTTACCGGGTCTGAGAACCATCTGTTGGGTATGTTTGGCCTTTGTTGATCCACACAGACTACCTTCCTCATATCTTCAAAACTTGGGTCATTGGGAACCACATCGTAGAACGGTGGCTTGTAATCCTCCACTATACCTGCACACAAGGACAAGAATTGTGTTCGGTTAGCAAGAGAGTACAGGTTGCCCCAAGGTTTCATTGATGGGTGTCACAGGTTATAATGTGACAGAAGAAAATACTAATCACCTTCCTCATACCTCAGGGCAGTCCTGGAAGCTAGAGGTAGGTCCTAAAACAGGTGGGAGAAAAAGGCAATAAATACACACCCTGCATGGTATTGGAAGAAGGATAATTGTTAGAAGGAAATACGTGAAAACTTCTCATGTAATCATAACTATTAGCAAAATTCTCCAACAGTGTATATTAACAGCTCTGTAACGCCCAACAGGGCACTGGAGACATAGAACAAAAATTCCTTTGGTGATAAAAACCACCCAAGCTACCTATGGAAAGTACCTGAATCTAGTGGTTTCAAACCATAAATAGAAATAAAAAGTTGTCCACAAACTAGAGCTAGGGAGTAATAAACCAAGACCATCATCAAAATACCCCTTTCTTTGTTAGAAAAGTATTTTGTTAAGAAAAACATTGCTATAAATTAATCTCTTCCATTAGGAGGGATGCAAATAATATCATAGGAAATACTCATTTCCTCATTCATTCATTCTACATGTACTGAGTACCCTCTAACTACAGGCACAGCTGTCTGACTGATGGCTCTATTATTTACTATCATATTGAAGGCACAAAATAAAATGTAAAGAGGATAGCCATGTGGGAAGGCAGAGGAAAAGAAGGATAAATAATGAACTCTTCCTCTGCCCAAAAGCAAATATGAACAGTAGCTAATACCAGCTTCTGCCCCTGCATGATTTCCAATGGCCTGGAAACTTTTTCTTTTCCAGCAGAATTATATCAACTCCTTAAACAGAAAAATTTTTAACTTCATCATTTGGAATTAGAAAATGGATTCTTCCCCTTCATAGAAATAAAACCAAGACATCTATTATTTCCTTTCCCTCAACAAAGGGTTCAAACAATGAGGTAATAACTTGGTTTACTGCTCTCTTTTCTTCCTCCAGGCGACTTTCTTCTATTCCTAAATACCTAAGAAGTTGTTGGAGGCGACAGAAGGAGTGTGAGGAAAGTTGTAATTCGGTTGTTCTAGTTCCTACAAGCCACCTGAAAAGCTTCAATTCCCTTTTCATTTATCACAGAAATTACTCAACAGTGGGAATCCATCCTTACAAATTCCATACAAATACAAACCATTTATGCAAAAGATTAGATATAAGGAGCATCTTTTCAAGAAATGCTACATATCTTTTTAAAACTTCACAAATTTGGCTAAATAAAGGTTTATATTTGAGATGGAAACAAGTCTAAATTATATTTTTTAAAAATCTAGGCTGGGTGTGGTCGTTCACGCCTGTAATCTCAGCACTTTGGGAGGTCGTGGTGGGTGGACCACTTGAGGTCAGTGTTCGAGACAAGCCTGGGCAACATGGCAAGACCCTGTCTCTACTAAAAATACAAAAATTAGCCGGGTGTGTTGGCGCGTGCCTGTAGTTCCAGCTAACTCAGGAGGCTGAGGCACAAGATTTGCTTGAACCCGGGAGGTGGATGTTGCAATGAGCCAAGATCAGACCACTGCACTCCAGCCTGGGTGACAGAGTGAGATTCTGTCTCAAAAAAAAAAAAAAACTAGTTAATTCCAAATAACTTACCCACATTGTGTAACTGCATTTGAAATGCATATCAGTCAGTGGATTAAAACCTTTCCTGGCAAATCATAAACATCATATTGGGTATAAACTGCTACTCTCAGAAATCTTGGAACACCTCATCTTAGAGGCCCTTCTTCTCCTGTAAGGATCCCAGGAAACATTCAAACAAAAATCTTTTAATTATTTTCAGTACTAACAGACACCATCTAAAATACAGCTGAACATGGACCTAGAGAGATATTTTATGCGTTTTCTAGGGTCACAAGAATTTACAGAAAACAGTAAGACACGTGCCCTTCACCATCTCTCAATTTTTCTGAAAGAGAATATATTTAATAGCCTGGCTTAATATTTAAAAATCTAGCATAACAGCCATCTTTTTGGAGTAATTTACCTGTTGAGCTTAGAAAGGGTTATGTGAATGTGAACGGTAATACAAAGTTGAAGTTTTCTATAAATGCAAAAGGAAACAAAGCATGGCTGGATTTTTAAAACATGAGATCTGGTGATACCAAACAATGAATTTCACTATACAAAGCTGAAGTTTGCCCTTGTGTTTCCGTTTCCCATGTTTCAATTTTATTAAATGTCCCCATGTTTTAATAAAAGGAGTCAAGTATTTTTAAAAGACCATTTAACTGATTATCCCTGGGATTTAGTCAAGCCTCTTTTTCCTCAATCATTGGCCAACTGTTGATTGTTTTCACCTGACGCTGGCCATGCTTCTCCAAAATAAAATAAACCTGGGATTAAGCTCTAACAGTCACTACGAACTCCCTCTGATCAAGCAATAAATCAGTTGAAAGTGCATTACTGCTATGGTAGGATGCCGTATTAAATGCTGAGAGTGATAAAAATATAAGACATGCTCTTGTTTTCCAAGGAAATCAAAAGTCTAGTGGAAGAGCAGGACAAGTCTCTCATTTTTTTTTCCCTGAGACAATGGAAATCTTGTCAAAAAGAACCTCAAAATCTTTTTTCACCCATTTACTTTGTACCTTGAAAGGCAAAACTATATTAGAAATTCTCATTCTACTTTCACTTGTGAGATCCTAAATTGACTCAATGGCCATTTTGATTAGCTGGGTGTGCCCGAGGCTGTGCTTGGCAGGAGGGATAAAAGATGAAAAAACGGTGGCTCACGCCTGTAATCCCAGCACTTTGGGAGGCTGAGGTGGGCAGATCATGAGGTCAAGAGATCAAGACCATCCTGGTAACATGGTGAAACCCCGTCTCTACTAAAAATACAAAAATTAGCTTGGTGTGGTGGTGTGTGCGTGTAGTCCAGGCAACTAGGGAGGCTGAGGCAGGAGAATCGCCTGAACCCAGGAGGCGTAGGTTGCAGTGAGCCGAGATAGTGCCACTGCACTATAGCCTGGTGACAGACAGAGACTCTGTCTCCAAAAAGAAAAAAAAAAAAGAAAAAAGAAAAGAAAAAGATGCAGTGTTGGTAATGAGGAGCAGAATAATGAGAAAGGTGAAAGAAAAAAAATTACAGACTAGCTTTAGAGGGAAGAGAACAGAGAAGACAGTGGGGAGGGACAGTGGCACTTGGCAGGGCTCAGAGGAGGAAACACCTCCATGGTATCACAAGTCCCCATATATAAACTGGGTGCCGTGGAAGCACAGGTAAGCCTTCCAGGAGGGAAGTGGGGCATGGGCAGAATAGAAAGGTCAAGAGTTTGCAAGGCAGAAAAGATGACAGGGAAGAGAAACCCCTACGGAGTGGGTGCATTCCAGGCAGAGGGAGGCTATGGGGCAAGGACAGGAACTGACAAACCATCCTCTGACGTTGGAGAGGTGGAGAGAAGTTCTCTGGGGCTGAAATAGGTGCATGTGGTGGCAGGAGAGCCGGGGGAGAAGAAGGGGACAGGAGGTGAGGCCAGACTGCGAGGTGACACCTGCTGTCAAGGTAGGAAATGACTGATTTACAACAGTGCCTCATTTCTGCCAGAAAGCGATAATCAGCGTAGCCAGGCAAAAAAGTGAACTCTAAGTCCTTTAGAGGCAGCACCCAAGAAGTTACTGCCAAATCGTGAGCCAGCAAAGAGCACAGCATGAATTCAGGCAAGTAACTAAAAATACAAAGCACTTCAAGTGCCAAATGAGCAGTGCAAACAACAAATGACACAGGAAGGCAGGGGAAGAGGCGCTCTTAAATGGTGGCCAGGGACGGAACAGACTGAGCCAGGCCTCGCCTCCCATGTAAGGCGGCCAGCGTGACTCAAAGGGCCACGAGAAAGAAATAAAAAACATTATTCATAACCTACTCCCCCACAACTTTTGGCAGGGGTGTCTGATTTATACAATAGTTTTTTCCTGGGCATATGTCTAGTTGAAAGTTTTCTCTTTTTTGGGGTAAGCCTATCTTTATCAACCAATATCCCTCCCATTAGTTTGCTATATGGCTCTGAGTAAACCCCTTAGCTGCCAGGCCTTAGTTTTCCAATACCTTTAAAGCACACACCACAAAGCCAACGTGCAGATCAAATATGTCCTAGACATGCACTTTGAAAAGCATGAAACGCCAGTAGCCTCTCAAATGTCCAGAAACAAGTCCTTCCTCAAGATCTTGCCCCCGAGGTCCTGAACTAGACAGCCATCTTCTTTCCGCTTGACAGCTGCATGTGGGACCCGCAGGTCTCTCTGCATCAGTCCTCCCCTGCCAACCTCCACCCTATCCCACTGCCCTCAGTGAGATCTGTAGGAGAAAGCTGAAAAAGGAGTTCACCGTGCCCCTCCTCTGCATGTTTTCCATCAGTGCCGTCCATGGGAGCCCACTCCCTCCCCACCAAAGTCCATTCCCCACCACTGTCCTTCACATACCTGGACATCAGCCACACCAGAATTACTTGTAGTTCCATCAACAGGGCACCTTTATGGGATCCTTCAGCCTACCTTTTGTCTGGCATACCAACTGTCATCGTGGTCAAGTTTTATTTCTCATTCCCACCTGCACCTCACATCCTCCCAAGCTTGTCCAACTAGGTTCTTATTCAACCCACAGATGACTCAATTCATGCTTCTCACCTTCTGAGAAGACTGTCCCATCCTGCTACCACAACACAGGGGCCTAGACAAAGTTCAGTGCCCTCACCCCCATACTCAGTCACTTTCCTGTATACCTCAACCACAGTGACTTGATCTATTTATTTATAATAATTTGACTCTTCAACAAGAATGTGAGCACCTTTAAATCGGATATTCTGGGGATTTTTTGCCCAAGTGCTTCCCCAGAGCCTAACACAACACCTAGTGTATTACAGACACTAGATACACAAATAAATGTTGATTATATATGTCCATAATCCTTTTTCAAAACTCTCAAGGTTAGATGCATTTGCCAAATTTGGAACTTTTTACATTTTATAAAGGTAATAGCATACCCTATATTTTATGTAACATCCCCAGCAAAGTCTAAGGAGTATCCCCATGATCAAATATATTTCTTCAGCAAAATATATGACCAGTCACACTAGATGGAATAAATAAAGGTTATACACTGACACACGTCCATTCAGGTCATGTTTGACTATCACATGAGTTCAGGTCAAGTGTTCTGTCAAATAAGTTATGAAAAAGCTTTCGAGTTTCAAAGTTTTGGGGACTTCTCAGTTGCAGATAAGAAACTGTGGACCTGGCTATGCTTTGAATTAGCCAAAGGTAAGGGAAAGAGGAACTGATGGGAAGTTAGAGCCATGAGAATTCCATCCTTCCTTTCCTTCAAAAGAAATTGAGGGTCACATTGGAAAAAGTACTTTTCAAGTTCACAGCTAATTAATGGCAAAGTTAAACTAGAATCCAATTTTCTGTTTATATTCTAGAATTCTCCCTTACAAGCCACCCATGGGATAATGAAAGACATTTCTCTCTCTCCTTGCATCTCATGCCACAGTGTGCCTACTTCTCATTACAAACTCTCTTCATAATCCTCCAACTTGGGTAGTCACATCAGATATCCAGGTAATGAGGACAGAGTCTCTGGCATGTATATCCATACAAAGAGCTATTTTTAACAATTAACTCCTACAGAAGCGCTGAAATCCTTCAGAGGACAGAGCATTAGAAGTAAAGCTATTTTAGAGAGGGAAAAAAAGAAAATGGCCCATATTTGGCATCTGAGAGCACTATAAGTGAATACAGTGTTTCCTTCAGGTGTGGCACGTGAGAAAATTTGATGTGGTTCATGGACTAAACTTTTTCATCTCATTAGTTACATATTTATTTTCATAGTTATCTTCCATTTTATGCCATGTGATACTGGTTTTCCATTTCCAGCAGTGATAATAATTTCCTTTCAAAACAAAATTAACTTTGAAAAGAGTTAGCCAATTTGAAGGAAAAGATTCTGTAAATGATGGCACAAAGTAGCATTTGGATATGGAAAAAAATGATGAGGGCAGTATGAATGAATTGGGAAACACTGAGTTCACAGAAAGGCATCATTCTTCCTGGTGAGACATGATTCAAAAAGGTATATCCAATATTTGGGTTACTTCACCTAACATACCTCACAAGAGGGCTTCGAGATATTTCTCATGCCACGGCACAGATAAAACATGACTAATGAATAAATGGATGAGGCTGTTCATGGCAGAGGGGATGACAGCCCGAGTTCTGGCCGCTTGGCCCGGCCACACTGCCAGAGGGTTATGAGAATCAGTACCTCAGGCATTCCTGTAACTCATGGCAGGCACTTCTTCCTGAAAACAGGAGTTGGAAAGACAGCCTTGTCCCATGCTGGGTAAAGTACATGCTGTGACAGCTGTGTCCTGCCCCTCTAGCCCATTGTAATTCATGGGCTTACGGAGCCATGTACATTACTCAAAGTCCAAACTAATTGCATTCTCAGGAATCTGTTAAAATTATAAAATTAATTTCTATTGTTGGAATTCTCATCGATGTAACACAGCAAAAGTAAATGGTTTATAGATTACTGTGTAGTTGGACCCTACTAAAAGCATGTGTCAATATTACTGTAAGTTGTCAAAGGAGAGGGCAAAAAGCCTAGAGATGCTGCATGGCTATTCCCTGGGTTAAACTATGAACAAGACAGCCTTAGAGCTTGCATACCTCCAAAATCGAGAAAGAGAGGAGCACCACAAGAGTTCCAAACATTTGGTAGCTATGAAGAAAGGCTTCTTCAGAAAAATGTATCATTCACTGAATGTTGTGGCTGTTACAAGGTTTAGGATACAGATATTTCTCTTGGTGAAAGACTGCTTTTAGAAGTGTGTCAAGGAAAAGAGACTACTAGTCAGTAAACAGCAGCCAATAAAGTTTTGCAGCCTTCAACTTATTTTGTCATGAGGTTAGTTGACTACTCTCCTCTGTTCTGGATCTCTAAATCAGGGACATGAAATTCCAGGAAGTCAGGGGGAAAATAATTCTTCCCTCCCACCCCACCTCCATATTCCTGCCCCCAGTCATTGTCCTAAATGTTAAAACAAACAAAAAAACTGAAATTAATGAATACAAAAAATTGGCCCTAATATGATTTATCCTCTTATGCAAACCTTAATACACACAAAAGTAGGTAATTAACGTCATGAAACATGTTGGATATTGAGTTGCTGACAAAAATAGGAGTTGTCATGGTTTCCATACACAAGCCCCATTGCACTTAGGAGCAGAAGCACAAGCAGCTCCCTGGCTGACTCAAAGATTCATTAGAAGAGGTTCTTTTTTCAAAGTAAGTGCACCAAATATAAGCTTATTCTAACAAGTATGTCCTAGTCCCCACCCCATAAGAGGCACAACTTGGTCAGCAAGGATTTTTCTACAAGATACAAATGGTTTTTGACACATTTTAACCCTGGATTCCATCACAAAATAATCAAAGCCAGTAACAGTGAAACAAGAGTATGTCCACAGAGCCTTCCTGTGGGCAGTGAAGAGGGGAAACAAATGTACTAGGGCCAAGAGGTAGCAAAACAAGAGGCAGAAGACGGCCACTGTGATCTGCAAGCTCCTGGGTGGCCTTCATCACCCATTTTCCGTGGAAAGGAAACCATACCAAAGCACTTTCTATATGCCAGACACACATGAGATGCTTTACATATACGATCTCATTTAATCACCATAACCCTTTAAAGTAGATATTATTATTTTTTAAATAACGAAACTGATGTAAGTCATCGAGTCAGAGAGTATGACGTCAGACTCTGGAATGTTAGTGATTCCACTTCACTGCCTCCCACAGACCCAGCACAAACCCCACACAGCTCCGGAGTGCACTCTTCACACAGACTTCTGTATGCAGTGCAATGGCCCTAAGAGAACCACAGCAAGGAAGACAGAAGCACATCATGCTAATGTATCCAACCAAATTGGTGTTTGTCTATTCAATCTGGGTACACCGTCTTTTTTCAAAAACTCTCGTGTGTATTTGGCTGGGAGCCTCGGCATCACATTTTCTTACCCTAGAACTACTAAATCAGAAATGCTGGGGCTGGGCCCCGGGAATCTGTGTCTTCAGTACTCTAGGTGACTGTGATGCACATTCCAGTTTAAAAACTATCGATCCGAGTGAACCCCTGCCTTAAGTTCATATGGAAAATTCACACAGGGAAGGTAAGAAAGCCGTTTTCTTTCCTACCAATTCCAAATTCAATGTCAAATTAAACACCAAAAGTAAATTCCAAAGGACACTATTGAGAAATGCTCAGATGCAAAAATGGACTTAACTCTCATTTCCTGTAAAGAAACAGCATGAGGTTTATTATTAGTAGCAAATAAATGTAAAATTCCAATAAAAAATATAAAAATGCAACATATTTTTATGCTCATGGTTCACTTGAGGATCATATTACTCCAAGAGATCTATCTGGTCATCAATTTTTATAATGCATTCAGAAACTCAAAGGATGTATCATTATAATGACCTTCCTCACAGAAGATATTCATATATTTAAATGAGATACATTTTATATGCAATAATTTCAAAAATATATATTCTTTTAATGACAGTTCCTAAAGCTGCTAAGAAAATGAAATAGGCACATCACACCCTAGGGTATGGGGGATATTGTAAATTAGTACAGCTTTTATGAAAAGCAACTTGGCAATATGTGTCAAGCCATAAAAACATCCACATTCTTTGACCTATTAAGTCTACTTATTTTCAGATTAAGAATCATTTCCCTGAACGAAATCATCATGTGCACAAAAATGTCTACAATAGGCCCCAAATGGTGGAAACAGGATATCTAACAATATGGAAATGGTTAAGCTAATAAGATGTCATGTGACCATTTAAAATAAAAACAGCCTATTAAGCAAGATTAAAAAAAATACGAATAAAAAAGATGATACGGAATTATATCTATATATGATTACAACTAAGTTTTAAAAATGGGTGCATACAGAAGTAGAAAAAGATGTGAATGTTAAAATTTGAAGGCACAATTTCTCCTACTCATTTTTTTTCTGTTTTGGGAGAGTAATAATTAAAAGACTAACAGTAGTAAAACAGGTTTGCAAGCAGCATTGAATACTTTCAGGTTTAAGTTTAGATAAACTGATTTGTGTGTGGGGGGGTGTACATTGTGTGTATACACACGTGAATGTTCATAGAAGAGGGAACAGAGAACAAAAGAGAAAATATCAAATTAGTCATTGCCAAAGGACAGTGGCTGATTTTAAATGAGACAGGAGATACCCTTATCTCCCCTCTAAAAAAATCAAACCACATTACAGCACAGAAGCTCAACCCACAACATTCTGGGAACCAGTTAACAGTCTTGGTGATGATGCAAGGGAGAGATCAATAAATTAGAAAACAATCAAAACATTCTCCCTTCCTCTACCTTCCTTTTTTTTCTTTTTCTTCCAAAAATAATGTTAAACACAGGAACTACCAAGCAAGCCACCATTTGTTGAGCTAAATTTTAAACTGATGACTCTGACTTCCAACTGACTACTATTAATCACAGCTGATCTTTAAAAGCCACTTGGGTTTATGCCTGCAACACAGGGAACGGGTTTGCAACACGAGTTCTTACAAAGCCTGAATCCCAAGTCTCTGCTGAGCAGGCCTGCTTGGCTCAGCTCTGGCACCCCCACAGCTGGAAATGCTACTGTCTAGCTATGGAATGCCAACTTCCTCTTCATTTGGGGCAAGTTCCACATCATACAGTTTATTTGGACACCAATCCTTCTCTAAATTGTTTGTTAAGATAAACTAATCAGAATTAAAATTTTCAGTTCGAAGGTGTTTAAGAATGATTGGGGAGGGGGTGAGGAAATGAAGCTGACGTGCAATTTCAGGCAAAGTTCAGAACTTTATAAATCTGCAAAACAATTTCTCTGTTGCAAACAATTCTCAAGGGGCATCAAGGGCAGAAACTGCAAGGCAGCAGCTCCCAGTGGTTGAGAAACAATTACCAAGAAAACGTTCATGATTCCATTAAAAAAAAAAAACAACTTTAAAAAGAACTGTCAATTTACAATCCATGTATGTTTAATCTGAACACCTACTTTGATACCCTCAGAAGGTTTGTTCAAAGCAGATCCACTCTGCTATTAGGAAAAAAAACCACCTAAAGGCATGCCAATTTTAATTATTGTACACTAAAACTATATAAATTACCCCAATTCCACTACCTCACAGAAAGTCCTCATCTCTGGCTGTGCTATTCATGAAAATTATGATTGCCCACAAACCTCAATCCTTAGGAGAAAACATCAGTGGAATGTGGAATGGAAACAGCTATTAGAGACTTCATGCATTATTTCTTCTAATCCAGGACTCCAATGGGTCACAGGAGGCTAAAATGTAAAGCATCTTTTGGAAATGAACATTAATCTAAATATATGGCATTTTCTTCTGTTTTCCTGGAATAGTTTCAGACACATGCTCTGTGAAATAAGATTTTCAGTTGTGAAGATATGAAGAGGTTCATCTAGTTAATTCAAGGGATTCTGCTATAAAAACCACTTTGTGGGTAGTTGGGGCATGCCCAATTTGAAAGAGTATACTTAGTGCTTTCAGAATACAATGTACTTAAAGTAAAGTTCAACAGTATATTTGTGGCTGATTTGGGTACATGAAAGGCAAGGGTGAGAGCGCACTGTGGGGGACATAGGTTAAAAATGATTGACAAGTGCTTCTTTAACTGCTAAGGCATCACCATTTAATAAAACTACTTATAAACAGATCAACATAGGCCATCTATCCAGGGCTTCCTGCATTTAAATTTGACTCTTTCAGTAGGTACAGTCTGCTCATTATAAATAAGTGACTTCTGAGTGCAAAAACTGAGACTTTTCTCAACAATCCAAACTTAACAAGTCAAAATACCTAGAAAATAGCAGAATTCACCCTCAGATTCACTTGATCATTCTCCTCAAGTTAAAACTCCCTTGTGAGAAGAACAAAAAAGGAAGGAGGGTGGGAAGAAAGGTAAAACAGGAAGCTGGAGAAAGACAAGAATGAAATACGGACCAGTCCACCTACTATCCCTGGTGTCTACAGGCACGATCAGGGGGCTCTGAAAACAGGCCTGCCCCACTCACCTCTAGGGCCCAAGCATGCCATCTGGAGGTCTGAAGAAAGGCTTCCGCCACCAAGAGTCACCACTTGCAGTGCCTAAGCACAATTTCGAAGGGTCTAGGGATCAACTTGCTCCACCCACCACAGCCTGCACCCATGTGCACCAATGGGAGGCCTGAGGACAGGTTCATCCCGCCCAGTGCTGCCCCTGTCAGGGCCCATGTGCATCATCTGGGTGCCTAGGGATTGTCTGCTCAGCCTGCTGCCACCACTGGTGTGTGTGTATACCTTCTGGGGGATTGAGGATGAGCCCGCCCAGCCTGCTAGCACCCGCACACACATCATCTGACAGCCTAGGGAATGACCTGCCCTGCTGGTCACCACTGGAGCCTGAGCATGCCTCCTGGGGACCTGAGGACTGGCCTTCCCAGTAGGCTGGTACCCAAGCTTGCTGCCTGGAGGCCCAATGGCTGGCCCATTCCACTACTGTCATCATCAATGCCACACAAGCCACCCAGAAGCCTGATGATGAGCCTGTCTACCACCGCTGCCATTGCTGGCCCTTGAGCAAGATGCCTGGAGACACAAGGATGAGTCCATTGCATTCGATTCCATTGGTGCTCACATATGCCATCCAGGAGCAGAGGACCAGCATGCCTGGCTTGCCGCCACAACCACTTGTGCCCAAGGACCAGTCTTCCTGGCATCCCTATCCCAAGAAAACCCTCACCACAGCCTCCATTAATTTCAGCCTAAACCAAAAAGGACTCACAGACACCACTGATGCCAATTACAGCTGAAGTAATCATATGGATACTACACTAGTGAACACACCCAGAATCAAAACCAAAGCGCCCTACCAACCCAATATAGGAGACAGTCTTTCCCTACAAAAACCAAACCATAAAATTGGGAGAAACAAAGGTTATACCAGATGTGCTGATATCAACGTAGAGACACAAAGAACATGAAAAAAACAAGGAAACATGACACAGTAAAGGAACACAATAAGTCTCCAGCAACAGATTCCAATGAAGAAAAAATAGGTAAAATGCCCGAAAACAAATTCAAAATAATATTAAAGAAGCTCAGTGAGATATAAGAGAACACAAGTTAAAAATACACAAATAAATTGGAAAAACAATTCACGATCTGTGGCAAATTAAAGAAATGGGTATCATTAAAAAAAAAAATCAAACAGAGGTTGGGGAAAAGATGGCAGATAGGAGGCCTGACTAAATTGCAGCTCCCACTTAGATGGACAGAGCAACGTGTGGAGACTCGCACCATAAACCTTTGCTCCAATAACTACTCCAGGAATATACCAGGAAAGCTGAAAGAATCAACGGACCCTTTGAAGGAAGTGGACTGCTCCTGCAGGACCTGGGAGACAGTCCAAATACTCTGAGTGCCCAAACTGTGAAAGTGGGAAAGGAGGACTGACTGTCCACCCCCAAACACACACCCTCACTGGGGAACCTGAAGGTCCAGATTATGGAAGAAGGATTTGACCTTACCTGGAGCTGAGACAATTTAGAGAGCTGAATGAAATACAGGGGCACAGGAAGCAGCAGGAAATGCCCTATGGGCTCTCTTGGTCCCTGGGGAAGCCATTTCTGACTTGTCTTACAGCGGTCCTTGGGAAGGGCTGCCGGAGGAACTGGGAAAAGACCACGGGGAGATGGAAACCTCCAGCTGAACTGTGTAAAAATTCTAACCGAATGCAAAGTTTCCTTGCCCGAACTCAGGGGAGGGCAGGAATCCGGTGTCCAGACTCGACAGGTGGGAAGGCGTGCAAGCCCTGCTTGCTTTCTCAGCTGGGAAGCTGGTAGCCTGGAGCAATTCTCAGCCCTGCTGGCCCACTGCCTGGAAACAAACTTGGTGCTGTTGAGGGGGTGGGGAGCACAGTGGGAGTGAGACAGGCCTTTTGGGTTGTGTGGGAACTGGGTAAGGCCTATAACTGCTGGCTTTCCCCTACTTCCCTGACAACATGCATGACACAGCAGAGGCAGCCATAATGCTGGGAACATAACTCCACTGACATGGAAACCACAACCCCATTCCCCACAGCAGCCACAGCAAGCCCCACCCAAGGAGAGTCTGAGCTCTGTCACGCCTAACCCTGCCCCTACCTGATGGTCTTTCTCTACTCATCCTGGTAGCTGAAGATAAAGGTCATATTCTCTTGGGAGTTCTATGGCCCTGCCCACCACCTGATCCTCCCCTATACTACCACAGCTAATGCTCTCTTGAAAGCGCCACCTCCTGGCAGGAAGCCAACCTGCACAAAACTAGCACATCAAACGACTACAACTAAAGACCCTCACAGAGTCCATTTCATTCCCCTGCCATATCCACCAGAGCAGGTGCCGGTATCCATGGCTGAGAGACCTGAAGACAGTTCACATCACAGGACTCTGTGCAGACACCCCCCAATACCACCTGGATACTGGTAGCCCTGTGTGGGTGGCTAGATCCAGAAGAGAAATAATAATCACTACAGTTTGGCTCTCAGAAAGCCACATCCCTAGGAAAAGGGGAAGAGTACTACTACATAAAGAGAGCACCCTGTGGGACAAAAGAATCTGAACAGCAGCCTTGAGCCCCAGACCTTCCCTCTGACATAGCCTATCCAAATGAGAAGGAATCAGAAAAACAATTCTAGTAATATGACAAAACAAGGTTCTTTAACAACCTCCAAAAATCACACTAGCTCACCCGCACTGGATCCAAACCAAGAAGAAGAAATTCCTGAATTGCCAGAAAAAGAATTCAGAAGGTCGTTTATTAAGCTAATCAAGGAGGCACCAGAGAAAGGTGAAGTCCAAATTAAGGAAATCCAAAAAATGATTCAAGACCTATCAGATTAACAGCAGATTTCTCAGCAGAGACCCCACAAGCTAGAAGGGATTGGGGCCCTATCTTCAGCCTCCTTAAACAAAACAATTATGAGCCAAGAATTTTGTATCCCTTGAAACGAAGATTGATAAATGAAGGAAAGATTCGGTCTTTTTCAGATAAACAAATGCTAACAGAATTCGCCACTACCAAGCCAGTACTAACAAGAACTGCTAAAAGGAGCTCTAAATCTTGAAACAAATCCTGGAAACATATCAAAACGGAACCTCTTTAAAGCATGAATCTCACAGGACCTATAAAACAAAAAAATACCATAAATACATTTTGAAAAAACCAAGGTATTCAGGCAACAGATAGCATGATGAATAGGAATAGCATCTCATATCTCAATACTAACCTTGAATGTAAATGGCCTAAATGCTCCACTGAAAAGATACAGAATTGCAAAATAGATAAGAATTCACCAAGCAACTATCTGCTGCCTTCAAGAGACTCACCTAACACATAAGGACTCAAATAAACTTAAGGTAAATGGGGTTGAAAAGATATTCCATGCAAATGGACACCAATAGCAAGCAGAGGTAGCTATTCTTGTATCAGACAAAACAAACTTTAAAGCAACATCATTTAAAAAAGACAAGAGGAACACTAAATAAAGATAAAAGGCCTTGACAGCCGGGTGTGGTGGTTCACGCCTGTAATCCCAACACTTTGGGAGGCCGAGGCGGGCAGATCACAAGGTCAGGAGTTTGAGACCAGCCTGGCCAAAATGGTGAAACCCTGTTTCTCCTAAAAATACAAAAATTAGCTGGGTGTGGTGGTGGGTGCCTATAATCCCAGCTACTCAGGAGGCTGAGGCAGGAGAATCGCTTGAATCTGGGAGGTGGAGGTTGCAGTGAGTAAAGATTGCACCACTGCACTCCAGCCTGGGCGACAGAGCGAGAATCCATCTCAAAAAAAAGAAGCCTTGTCCAGCAGGAAACTATCACAATCCTAAATATATATGCACCTAACACTGGAGCTAGTAAATTTATAGAACAATTATTACTAGACCTAAGAAATGAGATAGAGAGCAACACAATAATAATGGGGGACTTCAATACTTCTCTGATAGCACTAGATAGGTCAAGACAGAAAGACAAGAAAGAAACAATGGATTTAAACTATACCCTAGAACAAATGGACTTAACAGATATTTACAGAACATTCTACTGAACAACCACAGAATATACATTCTATTTATCAATGCAGGGAAATTTCTCCAAGATAGACCATATGATAGGCCACAAAACAAGTCTCAATAAACTTAAGAAAACTGAAATTACATCAAGTATTCTCTCAGACCACAGTGAAATAAAATTGGAAATCAACTCCAAAAGGAACCTTCAAAACCATGCAAATAGATGGAAATTAAATCTCCTGCTCCTCAATGATCACTGGGTCAACAATGAAATCAAGATGGAAATTAAACATTTCTTTGAACTGAATGATAATAGTGACACAACCTAACAAAACCTCTGGAATACAGCAAAGGTAGTGCTAAGAGGAAAGTTCATAGCCTTAAAATGCATACATCAAAACATCTGAAAGAGCACAAACAGGCAACCTAAGGCCACACCTCAAGGAACTAGAGAAATAAGAATAAACCAAACTCATACGCAGCAGAAGAAAAGAAATAACCAAGATCAGAGCAGAACTAAATGAAATCGAAACAAAAAATACAAAAGATAAATGAAACACAAAGCTGGTTCTCTGAAAAGATAAATAAAAGTGATAGGCCATTAGCAAGATTAACCAAGAAAAGAAGAGAGAAGATCTAAATAAGCTCAATTAGAAACGAAATGGGAAATATTACAACCAACACCACAGAAATACAAAAGATCATTCAAGGCTACTATGAATACCTTAACGTGCATAAACTAGAAAACCTAGAGGAGATAGATAAATTCCTGGAAATATACAACCCTCCTAGCTTAAACCAGGAAGAATTAGAAACTCTGAACAAACCAATAACAAGCAGCAAGCCTGAAATGGTAATTTAAAAAATTACCAATGAAAAAAAAGTCCAGGACCAGATGAATTCACAGCCGAATTCTATCAGACATTCAAAGAAGAATTGGTACCAATCTTACTGACAATATTCTGCAAGATAGAGAAAGAGGGAATCTTCCCTAAATCATTCTATAAAGCCAGTATCACCCTAATACCAAAACCAGGAAAGAACATAACAAAAAAAGAAAAGTACAGACCAATATCCGTGATGAACATAGATGCAAACATCCTTAACAAAACACTAGCTAACCAAGTCCCACACCATATCAAAAAAATAATCCACCATGATCAAGTGGGTTTCATACCAGGGATGCAGGGATGGTTTAGCATATGCAAGTCAATAAATGTCATACACCACATAAACAGAAATAAAAACAAAAATCACATGATCATCTCAACAGATGCAGAAAAAGCATTTGATAAAATCCAGCATCCCTTTATGATTAAAACCCTTAGCAAAACTGGCATACAAGGGACATACCTCAATGTAATAAAAGTCATCTATGACAAATCTACAGCCAACATTATACTGAACAGGGAAAAAGTTGAAAGCATTCCCTCTGAGAATTGTAACAGGATAAGGATGTCCACTCTCACCACTTCTATTCAACATAATACTGGAAGTCCTAGCCAGAGCAATCAGACAAGACAAAGAAATAAAGGGCATGTGAACTGGTAAAGAGGAGGTCTAACTGTCGCTGTTTGCTGATGATATAACCGTATACCTAGAAAACCCTAAAGACTCCTCCAAAAAGCTCCTATAACTGATAAAAGAACTTACCAAAGTTTCTGGGTGCAAAATTAATGTACACAGATCAATAGTTCTGCTATACACCAACAGCAACCAAGCTAAGAATCAAATCAAGAACTCAATCCCTTTTACAACAGCTGCAAATAATACCATACCATACCATACCATACCATACCATACCATACCATACCGTACCATACAATACAATACTTAGGAATATACCTAACCAAGGAAGCAGAAGATCTCTACAAGGAAAACTACAAGACACTGCTGAAAGAAATCACAGATGACACAAACAAATGGAAACATATCCCATGCTCATGGATAGGTAGAATCAATATTGTGAAAGTAACCATAATGCCAAAAGCAGTCTACAAATTCAATGAAATTCCCATAAAAATACCACCGTCATTCTTCACAGAACTAGAAAAAGCAATCCTAAAATGTATATGGAACCAAAAAAGAGCCTGCATAGCCAAAGCAAGACTAAGCAAAAGGAAAAAATCTGGAAATAATACATTACCTGACTTCAAACTATACTGTAAGGCCACAGTCACCAAAACAGCATGGTACTGGTATAAAAATAGGCACACAGACCAATGGAACAGAATAGAGAACCCAGAAATAAACCCAAATACTTAACATCCAACTGATCTTTGACACAGCAAAAAAAAACATAAAGTGGGGAAGGATGTCCTATTCAACAAATGGTGCTGGGATAACTGACAAGCCACATGTAGGAGAATGAAACTGGATCCTCATCCTTCACCTTATATAAAAATCAACTTAAGATGGATCAAGGACTTAAATCTAAGATCTGAAACATAAACATTCTAGAAGATAACACTGGAAAAACCCTTTAGACATTGGCTTAGGAAAAGACTTCATCACCAAGAACCCAGAAGCAAAAGCAATAAAAGCGAAGATAAATAGGTGGGACTTAATTAAAGAGCTTCTGCACAGCAAAAGGAACAGTCAGCAGGGTAAACTGACACCCCACAGAGTGGGAGAAAATCTTCACAATCTATACATCCGACAAAGGAATATTATTCAGAATCTACAAGGGACTCAAGCAAATTAGCAAGAAAAAAACAACTTCATCAAAAAGTGGGCCAAGGACATGAATAGACAATTCTCAAAAGAAGATATACAAATGGTCAACAAACATATTTTAAAAATACTCAACATCTCTAATGATCAGGGAAATGCAAATCAAAACCACAATGAAATACCAACTTACTTGCGCAAGAATGGCCATAATCAAAAAATCAAAAAATAACAGATGTTGGCGTGGATGCGGCACAAAGGAAACACTTCTACACTGCTAGTGGGAACGTAAACTAGTACAACCACTATGGTAAACACTGGAGATTCCTTAAAGAACTAAAAGTAGAACTACAATTTGATCCAGCAATTCCACTACTGAGTACCCAGAGGAAAAGAAGTCACTATACGAAGAAGATACTTGTACACACATTTATAGCAGCACAGTTTGCAACTGCAAAAATATGGAACTAGCCCAAATGTCCATGAATCAACAAGTGGATAAGAAATTGTGAGCTATCTATCTATCTACACGTATTTTTTATATATATTTATATATATATATTTGAGATATATATATTTGAGATATATATATATTTGATATATATATATATATATATATAAAATAGAATACTACTAACCCATAAAAAGAATGAATTAATGGCATTCACAGCAACCTGAATGGAAATTTAAAAATGCAATCCGGAGACTAAATCAAGCAGAAGAAAGACTTCTGAACTTGAAAAGATGTCTTTTGAAATAGCCAGTCAAACAAACAAACACTCAACCAAAAAGGAATGAACAAAGCCTACGTGATATATGGGACATCATTATACAACCAAATATTCAAATTTTGGGTTTTCCAGAAGGAAAATAAATGGGCAAAGGCATAGAAAACTTATCCCTATCCCCCAAAAAAAGCTGAAATTTCCCACATCTTTCAAGAGATAAATAGACATCCACATATAGGAAGCTCAAAGATCCCCAAAAAGATTCAGCCCAAAATGGTATTGTCCAAGGCACATTATAGTCAAACTTGTAAAGTCAATGACAAAGAGAAAATTCTAAAAACAGCAGTAGAAAAGCATCAAGTCATATATAAAAGACTCCCATCAAACTAACAGTGGATTTCTCAGTGGTAATCTCACGGGCCAAGAGAGAATGGGATGACATATTCAAATGTTGAAAGAAAAAACAAAACTGTCAGCCAAGAATACTACACTCAACACAAAGCTATCCTTTCCAAATGAAGGAAAAATAAGGTATTTCCCAGATAAACAAAAACTGAGGGAATTTATCATCACTAGACTGGCCCTACAAGAAACACATAAGGAAATGCTATATCTGGGTGATATATGCCATCACAAAAAGACATGAAAGCATAAAACACTGGTAGAGCAGACACAAAAATGAGAAGGAGAAAAAATTCAAATTTAAGGAGAAAATATACAAACACACACACACACACAAAAACAAACAGTAAAAGGAGAAGAAATGAAGGATATTCAAAACAACCAGAACACAATTAATAAAAAGGCAGAAATAAGTCCTCACCTATAAATAATAATTTTGAATGTAAACAGATTAAATCCCCCCAATTAAAAAATATAGACTTGGTTAAATAGATTAAAAACAAGACCCAACTACATGATGTCTTCAAGAAACCCACCTCACTTGTAAAGGCACATATAGACTGAAAGTGAAGGGATAAAAAAAGATATTCCATGCAAATAAAAACCAAAAGCAAACAGAGGTAGCTATACTTCTATCAGATAAAACAGACATTAAGCCAAAAACTGTAAAAAGAGACCACAAAAGGTCAGTATACTGTGCTCCCTCAGTATACATGGAAGATTGGTTCCAAGACCCCAGTCTAAACCAAAATACATAGATACTCAATACCACAGTTCGTCCTGTGAAACCCACAGATACAAAAAGTAGGCCCTCTATATACTCAGTTTTGCATCCCACAAATACTGTATTTTTGTTGTTGTTGTTGTTCACGTGTGGTTGAAAAAATCATGCAGTTCACACCTGTGATGTGCAAGGTCAACTGTATAATCATAAAGGAAGAGAGAATATCATGATTCTAGATATATATGCACCCAACACTGGAGCATTTTTATACAAAGCAAATATTATTAAACCTAAAGAGACAAATAGACTCCAACACAATAACAGTTGGGGACTTCAACATCCTACTCTTAGCACTGAACAGATCATCTAGACAGAAAAATCCAAGAAACATTGGATTTAAAATGTACTTTAGACCAAATGGACCTAACAGGCACTTACAGAACATTTTATCCAACAGCTACAGACTACACATTATTCTCATCAGCACATGAATAGACCATATGTTAGGCCACAAAACAAGTCTCAACAAGTGGAATAAAACTAGAAATCAGTAACAAGAGAAACTCTGGAAACTGTACAAACACATGGAAATTCAAAAACACACTCCTGAACAACCACTGGGTCAATGAAGAAATTAAGAAGGAAATAAAAAAAATTCTTGAAACAAATAAAAACGGAAACATAACATACCAAAGTCAATCGGATACAACAAAAGAATTGGTAACAGGGAAGTCTGTAACAATAAATACCTACATCAGAAAAGCTGAAAGATTCCAAATAAAGAATCTAAAGATGGGCCTCAAGGAACTAGAAAAGCAAGAACAAACCAAACCCAAAATTAATAGAATAAGAAAGGTCATAGCAAAACTAAACAAAATAGAGACCAAAAAGTAATCATACAAAGGATTAATGAAATAAAAAGTTAGTTTGTTGGAAAGGTAAAGAAAACTGATAAACTGTTAACTACACTAACCAAGAAACAAGGAGAGAAGACTCAAATAAATAAAATCAGAAACAAAAAAGAAGACATTACAGCTGATACCACAAGAATACAAAAATCATCAGAGATTATTACAAACAAATTGGAAAACCTAGAGGAAATGGATATAATCTACCAAGATGGAACCAAAAGAAAATTTAAAATCTGAACAGACCATGAATAACAAGATGGAGTCGGTAATAAAAAGTATTCCCACAAAGAAAACCTCAGGATTGGATGGCTTTACTGCTGAATTCTTCCAAACTTAAATAGAACTTCTTCTTGAACTATTCCAAAAAATTGAAGAGGACTGAATTGTCCCTAACTCATTCTGAGTCCAGAATCACCCTGATACCAAACGAGACAAGGAAACCACAACAAAAAAAGAAAACTACAGGCCAATATCCTTAATGAACACAGATGCAAAAATCTTAAACACAATACAAGCAAACTGAATCCAACAACACATAAAAAAGATAACACATCATGATTAAGTGGGATTTATTCTTGGGATGCAAGGAAGGTTCAACACATGCAAATTAATTAATGCGATACATCACATCAACAGAATCAAAGACAAAAACCTCATGATCATCTCAATATATGCAGAAAAAGTTCTGTGTCTATTCAACATCCCTTCATGATATAAACTCTCAACAAAGCAGGTACAGAAGGAATATACATACTTCAACATAATAAGGGCCATATGCAACAAACTCACAGGTAAATTTATACTGAATGGGGAAAAGCTGAAAGCCTTTTCTCTAAGAACTGGAACAAAGACAAGAATGCCTACTTTCACCATTCTTATTCAAAATAGTACTAGAAGTCCTAGGCAGAGCAATCAAGCAAGACAAAGAAATAAAATACATTCAATGTGGAAAAAGGGAAGTCAAATTGTCCCTCTTTGCAGGTGACATAATCTTTTATCTAGAAAGATAAATACAGCCAGTTATCACTCATATGTGGGAGCTAAAAAAGTTGATCTCATGGTGGTAGAGAGTAGAATCATAGTTACCAGAAGCTGAGAAGGTTGGGGAATAGGGGTGAGGATAGCAGTGGGATGAAGAGACGTTGGTTAATGGCTATAAACATAAGAGCTGGATGGAAAAAATAGGTTCTAATGTTCAATAGCACAGTAGCATGACTATAGTTGACAATAATATACTATGTATTTCAAAATAGCTAGAAGAGACTATTTGAAATGTTCCCAACACAAAGATAAAAGTTCAGGGTGATGTACAGCCTAAATGTCCTGATTTGAGCACTACATATTACATACATTTATCAAAATATCACATGTACCCCATAAACGCAAGTATTACGTATCAATTTTAAAAATTTAAAAGAAAAGAAATCTGGAACAAATCCAAAGAAAAACCAAGGAATGGCTGGTCTCTTCCAGAAATACTGGTTTTCAACCATCACTTACTGTGGTATATTTCAAACATAAAAGCCATTACACTCCATCTACCAGCCATAAATCAAATATGAATGCCTATAACTCGACACGTACGATTCAAAGAACAATGTGAATTTCAATAGTCCCTTCAGCCCTTTTAAAGGTAGCTGGATCAAGAGAACTTGGATTAAGACAATATTATATTAGATTAGATACCTACCATTGCTCACCATCCGCCTGGCCACTTCCCACAAAACAAGTCCAAAGGCCCAAATATCGACCCTTTTATAAGAATCGAAACAATCCACCTGGATGGTTTCATCTAGAACTTCGGGGGCCATGTAGCGCTTGGTGCCCACACGGGGATTGTTCCCCACATCAAGCTGATTGGTGCTCTGGGAATGCATGACTGCCAGGCCTGAAAGGAAGAAGATAACAATGTAATCAACCCACTTCCTTTCTCATAAGAGGCTGCTGAAGGATTTTAAACCAACCCCAATCAAAAGTGCCCTCTTGTGGATCCAGGGTCACTGTTGCAATACACTCAGAATGATCCCTAGAATGCCCTTTGTGATTATTTCCGGGGTGAGAGCAGAAAAGGGACTAAATGTCAGAAACATTCTAAGGCTATCAGGTTAATATATGAACCTCAAAGAGACAAAAAGTTTTGGGTAAATTGTAGACCAATGCACTAAACCAATGTGGCCTGTGTTTGAGGTCCACAGGAAAACAGGCTCACATGTTAAATGTGAGCCTCTAAGTGGCTTAACAAGAAGCAAATTAAGCTCTCAAGCTCCACCACTGCTCTCACTAGTCTCCAAACACAAATTTCCAACAGTGTGAGATAGAGCATTTAAAGTAATTTATCACTACATAAAGGGCAGATTGCTATAAGCACTGCTTTATTCCTAAAGGAAGAGCTGCTTATCTGAGCAGTAATGCTGACCAAACCCACAGGCCTTTTCTCTAGAATCATGGAAACAGACAGCATTTAACTGGACCTCAATTGAAAGCACAACTCTCAGGTTAAATGGCTTTCAAATGCTTTCTTAAACCATGACTCATTCCAGAATTCCTCAGTCAATTAGGGAGACAGGCTTTCTTCACTGGCCAGTGGGGAGACACATACATGCATGCTTTATTTGTGGATGATTTTATGTTACTGATGCATATGCAGACTGACTGAAAATGATTCCTATAACATTTGTTGTAATGAAAAGTGCCAAATTGGAGCAAGCAGTCCCTGTAAACCACTGCAATGCAAATATCCCTTGTTGATCTCTCAAGCCATCTACAGAGAATGCTTCACCTTCCACTCCACGGCTTTGAATGTGGGGGATGACAATTTCATATAACATCAGGGAGCTAGCACACCTTATCTCATCCTTAATAATTAGCAAAGATACTGGCAACTGCATTACACTAAAACAGACAGGTTCCTCTTTCACCTATTTTTATAATCAACCCCAAGATTCTATGGACACTGTGAACATTTCCCAAATCCTATGCAATAGTCCCCCCACTTATCCTTCAGTTACCCGCAGTCAACTACAGTCCAAAAATAGGTAAGTACAGTACAATTAAGTATTTTGAGAGAGATACCATATTCACATAAATTTTATTATAGCATACTGCTATCATTGTTCCATTTTAGTGTTACTAATGTTCATCTTTTACTGTAGCTAATCTATAAATTAAACTATAATAGGTATGTAATAGGAAAAAACATAGTATATATAGAATCTGGTACTATCCTGAGTTTCAGGAATCCACTGGGAGTATTGGAAGGTATTTCTCAGGGAAAAGAGGGGACTACTGTATGCCCCTCCACCATTTGCAGAACCAAACAGTCAAAATATCAGAATATTTAAAAGGTGCAGGTTAAATAGAACATGGAGATATTCTGAAGATGGGAGAAGCTTCAAAGAACTTGTGGACATATTTTAAAGCCACCACTGCTAGGATCTCCAGGTGAGGCATAATTCCCCATCCCTTGAGTGTATGCTGGACTATTGAATAGACTATGGCATAAGTGACAGTGGGTATCTTCACAGTTAGGATATAACAGATGTTATAAAATTATAAAAGGCTTCCTGTTTGTCCCTCTCAGCTCACCATGCACCATGTTATAAAGACACTCAAGCAACCCTGTGGAGAGGTCCCCCTGCAAGGAGCTGAGACCTGCCGCCAATCATGGCTTTAAGTGTGTCCTCACAGAGTTGGAAACTCCAGCTCTGGTTGAGCGTTCAGATGATTGCAACCTCCACGAGACCCTGAGCCAGAACCACACCGCTAAGTCATTCCAAGATTCCTGACTCTCAAGAGACTGTGTGAGATAACAAATCTGTGTTGTTTTAAGATGCTAAATTTTACAGGTGATTTGTTCTTAGTAATAAGTAATTTTTACACTAAAGATGACAAAACAACCGGATGCAATTTGTAAACTTTGGCTGAGTTCCTCTTTGAAAAAACTGAAAACATCTGAAAATGAATATAAAATGATACTAGAGAATTATCAATAATCTGTAGATATGAAAAACTGATTATGAAGAAGATGCATTTTTAAGTATTTTCAAGGGATGAATTTTGAAGTATTGAGGGGTAAAGTGTTGTGATGCCTGTAACACTTTATTTTCAAATGGATTGGCAAAAATATACACATGGTCACAGATTGATAAAGCAAACATCACAAAGTTTTAACAATTATTGAATCTAGGTGTTCGGGATTTAAGTGATCATTATAACATTTGAATTTTTTAATAATAAAAAGAAAAACAGACGAGGCACAGTGGCTCACATCTGTAATCTCAACATTTTGGGAGGCCGAGATGGGATTGTCACTTGAGCTCAGGTGTTCAAGATCAGCCTGAGCAACATAGTGAGACCTCATTTCTACTAAGAACAAAAAAAAGTTAGCCAGGTGTGGTGGTACACACCTGTAGTCCCAGCTGTTTTGGAACGCTGAGGCAGGAAGATTGCTTAAGCCCAGTAGATCGAGGCTGCAGTGACCTATGATCAGCCTGGGCAACAGAATAAGATCCTCTCTCAATCAATTAATCAATATAATACTGATCTTTTTGCAGGATTAATCATAGAACACTATTTCTAATACATGATCCTTAATTGCTAGGTATATACTGGTAAGTTATATACAAATTATGGTCTTATAAGAGTTGTTTCCTGCACTGCATTGTTTTACCATATCCTGAATAATAACGCCTTAACAGATTTTTATACAAACCCATATATCTAATTGGAAGGTTACAAGCCAAAAGAAATGTAGTTGAAGAATTAATTAGCTGGACTTACTGCAAAGTTCCCCTCAACTCCTTCCCTACCAAGTCCCATAAACCAAAACCAAGAGCCACCTCAATTTGTCCACCCTCCCCAGACCACTGGATTATAACAGAAGCTACAACTTGAATCCTTATTGTTTACCAGACATTTATAATACTTCTGGGCCTTACCAGAATCCGGTGAGGTGGGCTTATTTTTTAGTTACATGAGTAATATATGATCACACTATATATATATTTTTTTTTAGACGAAGTCTCGCTCTGTCGCCCAGGCTGGAGTGCAATAGCGCGACCTCGGCTCACTGCAACCTCCGCCTCCTGGGTTCAAGCAATTCTGCTGCCTCAGCCTCCCCAGTAGCTGAGATTCCAGACGCACGCTACCACGCCCGGCTATTATTATTATTTTTCTTTTTTTTTTTTTTTTGTATTTTTAGTAGAGATGGGGTTTCATCACGTTCGCCAGGCTCATCTTGAACTCCTGACCTCAAGTGATCCTTCCGCCTCGGCCTCCCAAAGTGCTGGGATTACAAGCGTGAGCCACCGCGCCCGGCCACGATCACACTGTTATGCAAGTTTCTAACAACGCAGAAGTACAGGGCACAGCGTCAAGCCCTGGAGTTCCTCTTGGCTAACTCCCAACCCCATCCGCCTTCGCCCTCACTGTCCCTGTCTCACTGAGTGAAAGCAGTGTCAGCACTTGGGCCAGGTAAATAGATAAATAGACTTGCACAAAAATACAGGGTAATTGAGAAAGCCAGAATTTAAACCCAAATCGCCCTGGCTCTAAGAGCCATGGAATAAGCCATAAAAGTCCTCTACACCACAACTAAAAATGCCTGCAAAAAACTTTAGGGCCATGCTCTTTCAATGCTTATCCTAAAATCTTTCGTCTCCTACTTGGGAAACATTGTAATTTCTCAATGTAAAAGCAAAGACTTTAAAGGGATTCAAAGGAAATAAATTTTCCTAACATGTCAAATCCCTTATGTTTAAAAACAAACAAAAATAAACTTTGTTATTTACATAACTAAAGCTATTTTTGTCTAAACCTTTATCAGGCTAACAATAATTGCAATAATATAAATATCATATAAACCATGTTTAATCAAGTAGAGGGCCCTGAATTCTCATTAGCACAATTATTTAGCCAATATTCTAGGAATCCAGGAAGAACATGGTTTTATATAAAATGCCACTATAAATGAAAATACTCTTATTTATAATGCAACTAAAGCTACACTGAGTACTACTCTAACACCATAAGAATGAGCTATCCTAACAGGGAAAAGAGTGAATCAGTTCGGGGATTATTTTCCTATTTCTTAACTTGATTCTTTTGCCTTGGTTACAGAATGATTTTAGAGACCACTTTTAAGATAAACTAATTCTATAGAGTATTTATTGTGCACCTACTTTATGTGAAGGTTAGTGAAACCAAAATGCAACAGTACTGGTTACTTCTGAGGTGGGGTGTGGCAGGGACTGACTGAATGAGCCTGAGGTAACTGTCAAGAGTAATGGGAAACTCTGTATCTCGACAGGGATTTGGGTTTTACAACATTTGTCAAAACTCTTAAGATTTGTATATCTCACAGTATATAAATTTTACCTGAAAAAAAGAAAAAGCAAATAATGCATTCTTGTCAATGATATACTAGTGTACATGCTGAAATCATCAGAAGAAAGAATTCCTTTGTCTGCAATTTACTTTCAACTCTATCAAAGGTTGATATGGACTGATGGATGGGGAGATGAATAGATGAATAAATACATAATAATGCTTAAGGATAGTAAAATGTTAATGTGAGAATCTATGTGGTGGGTATAAAGGTGTTCATTGTAAATGTTCAACTTTTCTGCATGTTTGAAATTTTGCATAACATGTTGTGGGGGAGAGATGCAACTCACCTAACCATTGAAACAAAAATAAAACTGGTGAGGAAAAAAATATTTTTAGAAATTTACCCAAATCTGCTATGCAACACTGTCCATTCTTCTTAACCAGAATATTTTTGCTCTTTAAATCTCGATGGGCAATGGCTGGTTTCCCTTGGGTCCCAAATATCTCTATGTGCAAATGTGCAAGACCACTAGCTATGGACAGCACTATTCGAAGGCAGCTAACTGTATCCAGAGTAGTAAGCTGAAGATAGTCGTACAACGATCCCATTTCATGATAATGTGTAATTAACCACAGCTGGGTACTGGAGTGTCTTGATGTCATGTCTGAAGCAATGAAACCTGGAGAGAGCAAGAAAAAAATTAATATACATGAGGATTCCACATTATAACTTAAAGTATTTAGAAATAGCGACCTACACAGTAAATGTCATCTGTAACAAAAAGTAATTAAACTGACCAATTGCCCTAAGAGGAGGTTTACAGAAGCATCAACAGAGAAAAATAATAGCATTTATTCCTTAAAAGGGCACTGCTAATAGGAAAATTTCATATTCATTTCATTATAAGTAATACTTTAAAAGATATTTTACATTCCTTAAGTTTCAGATAGCAATAATATCTTTGTGCTCACCCATAATGATAGTGCCAAGCCCTTCAGCATGTTGATATTTTAGGAACAGACCATTCATCAACCATCCTAAAAGAACATCAAATCTAAAACCTGAGTACTGTATTCTAGTCCTGACTCTGCCTGTGATTTACTTGTCTAATACTGGGCAACTCAGTTAGGCTCCTTAGCCTATATCTGCTCAGATGTAAAATAAAGGGGGCAAGTTTACATTAAATGATTGACTGATTCACGAAATAAAAAAAGAAACCAACCAAATATATGAGTATTTATGATGCTATCTGTCAGTCACACACAGAAAAACCAAGATGATAGTGTTTGCTGGCTAAAGAAGACAGATGTAAAAACGAAAACACTACAATAAAATACGAAAAGTACTATAATATATATCTTCAAAGGGCAACATGAGCCCAGAGCAGGAAATTATAGTAATTCAGACTAGGTGTTACAATAGGCTTCCATTAGGAAGTGGCAACTCAACTGGTCTTGAAGTAAAGTGAGTGACTGACAAATGTGGATGAAGAGGTTGGAGAAGATTTTTCTTTTTCTTTTTCTTTTTTTTTGAGACGAAGTTTCCCTCTTGTTGCCCAGGCTGGAGTGCAATGGCGCGATCTCGGTTCACTGCAACCACCGCCTCCTGGGTTCAAGTGATTCTCCTGCCTCAGCCTCCCGAGTAGCTGGGATTACAGGGGCCCACCATCACGCCGGGCTAATTTTTTATATTTTAAGTAGAGATGAGGTTTCCCCACGTTGGCCACGCTGGTCTCAAACTCCTGACCTTCAGGTGATCCACCTGCCTTGGCCTCCCAAAGTGCTGGGATTACAAGCGTGAGACATCGCGATCAGCCCGGAAGAGATTTTTCTAGACATCTGGAGGGAACTTTTGAGCATGCAGAAGACTGTCTGGAAGTTAGGGGCACTTCCTATCTTATGAAATAAATTGTGACGTGTGCTTGCCTTTTCTGCTACAGAGGTGCCTTTCTAGGATTATTCTCACATATATGAACCACGCTGGTAGACAGTGAAGTTTGGGACTTAAAAAGAGGTGAGAAAAAAAATTTTTTAAGACGGATATGGCTTGAGGAAGAATTAAATGACTTATGAAAATGTAAGAGAAAATACATTAAAATGCTTTATACTTGCATAGTACTTTATATAAAATTTATGTCACTTTCACATATATTTTCTCATGAGATTTTTCCCAACAAGCTGGTAAGAAAGACATCATTATGCTCATTTTACAGATAATAAAGTTGGTGCTGGGAGATGCCAAGGATCACACAGCTATTTAAGTTGCTATCAACTCTGAATTTAGTGCTAGCTGTCCTGATACCTTGCATAGGAAGGCTCTGTGAGCCAAGAAAGGTCCCCTATTTGATCATCATCATCATCGGCAACCACAACAGAGGCAGCTAATAATTATTGAGTACTACATGCCTGGAACTTTATATGCAATCCTCCAAAAACCACATGAAGTAAGTAGATCGCATAATTGATATTAGGTTCCTGTAGGTCTGATTCTAGAACCCAGACTCTTACTGACTATGCCATACTGTCCCCAAACAAACTGATTTCTACTCAGAGAAAAAATAATTTCACATTTTCACCTATGGGACATATGCAAAGCAAACTGAATAATATTTTAGCACCTTCACCCTCTACTTCTTTCTCTCTCTTCCTCTAAGCCTATTCCCATGGCCAGCCCTGAGTCTCCCACTCCTTCCCTGCTCCCCAGTCTGCTTTTCCCCTCGATGCTGCTTCTCTTGGAGCCCTTAGCTGGCCACAATATGCATCAAAATGTGTTCTTGGACATTAGTTATTCTTAATAAAGAAAATGTTTCTGCTTTAACAGTTTGAACCAAATAATACTAATCTTTAATGATTTTCTTAAAAAATACCCCAAACTCTAACAGCACCACTCAAAAGAAATTAAATTACTGTTATATATCTGTGTAGCCTCTACTGATTTCCTCTCCCAAGAAAAAGGAGCTTCTGATTAAATAAATAAATAATAAACGAATACATTTTTATTATCTCACCTTCACTAAGCCCCTTAGGTCTTAGGGAAGAAGTTTATCTGTCCCATTAATTATGCTCTAGACCATCAGGAAAAAAATTACTTTTAAATAAGCAGGGTTTTCTTTTTAACTGTTTATCTCTTAAGCGTGAATTATATAACTACCTTTGCTTCATGATTCTAGAGTACTTTTATAGAATGTTTGTGTTTTGAGTACAAAACTGTGGTTAAGAGTTAGGCTGCCTGATGTAATTTCCACCTCCACTATTTAACCTCTCTGTATATTGGTTACCTCAACATTTAAAACTGGGAAAATGAGAGTACCTATTCTCTTATGGTCATGGTGAAGATTCTGTAACAAAATGCACATAATGCACCTGTGGTTACCGCGTAGTAATGATCCATTGCATGTTTATTGTTACTACTGTTGCTATTCTTGTTACACAGAGACGTTTAACTGCAACACAAGGCAGTGTGTGGTAAGAGTTAGAGCAGAGGTACAAAGTCGGGGAATGCAGAAAAGCACAATTAATTCCACTGGGCAAAACTAAAAGGGGCCAAGAGGTTTTGACGGAGGAAGGAATGGTTGGAGGATGTGAAAAGGATAGTGAGTGATCAAGAGCAACCTGAGAAAGGACAGTGAGACCTAAATGTTTGTGGCGATCTCAAGGAATGGTCAGTATTAGTAGTAACTGAATGGGGCATACTTGTAAAGGATGGTTAAGTGATTCCTGGGAGCCCCAAACCAGGGAGTCTTGAATACCAGTCACAAGTGTTGCAGGAAATTTGGGAGCCATCAAAGACACTGAACAGAATGATCTCTGCTCCCCAGTGGAAGACAACTCCAAGTGGAGAGATGAATTGGAAAGGGAAAGCTGACAGCTGAGGTGAGGAGGATTAAGTGATGACTAGGACCCGATGGGTAAGCAAAAGTGAGAAATCAACTACAGAAACTGAAAAAATTTTGAGATGGAACATCACCACCACACCACGGAAGCAAAGCTTTGAAGCTTTGGACAACTGTCAAATCATTATTTGCAGACAACTTGACTCATTTAAATACTAAATTGGCAGTGCTAAAATAGAAATAAATTTTGGCAATGGCCTTCCTATGAGCCAGACCTAATCCAATAGCCATAAGGTGGCCAACACTATCCTATACAGAGTTAAATTCTATATAAACTTTATATCCACTATTGAAGAAGCACTCCAGGCAGCATTCACCATACATGTATCAGTATAAACACACTTAGAGAAACTTTTCAAAAATACAGAAGTCAATGGGCCTAAGGAGTGTGCTCACCCTTTATACTGCCATAGCAGTATTTCAACGGGCACTTTACATATTTCACAAATGTTGCTAAGCTTTAGTTTCTAAATTAAAATGTATCCTGAATCCCTCTGCAAATCTGGGTTTTAAAAATGATGCCTAGTTTGAGGGAATGTGCATTTAATTACGATATCCCTGGGAGCTGTGAATCTCTAGGAAATAGTCCAAAGATCTTTCTTAGTTTGATTCAAGTAATAAATATTCAAAAAGGGTGGGGTGAGTAGAACAACCAATGAGCCTTGAAGTGAACAATATGGGGCAAATTTTTGTTATTTAAATAACGATCTGCAGATGTAGGAATAAGAATTAGCACTAGTGGATTTCCTTTTCATCATCCAGAGAGTCTTAAACTTATTTGCAGATTTAAATAAGAAACTGGTGTTTGAGAAAATTAAACAGCATATAAATGCTAAGGATCCCTATATTGCTTTTTAGGAGACACTCTCGAATTCACATTCACCAAAACGGAGAGAGCAAAGGCAGACAATTGTTTCTCCCTAGATACAATTAATGAGGGGGTTATCCTTGTACTTACCTAAGATATTTTCATGCCTCAGCATCACAGTGTTGTACAATTCCGTTTCCCTGAACCATGACTTCTCATCACGGGAGGAGAAGATCTTCACGGCAACATTCTCCCCTTGCCAGCTGCCCCTCCACACCTCACCATACCTGCCTTTCCCTATGAAAAGCAAAACATAGGTGACACAGAACAGTAGTCATTTTGGAGGCAGCCAGCCCATCATTAAGAATAATTAATTTAGTGCATGCAACTCTTAATCCCTCCATTGCTTACTGGAGAAACTCAGCTTGGGAATATAAATATCACAACCTTTATTTTTTATTTTTTTTGGCCTATAAAGACATACAAAAATAAGGTGGAAGCTGCCCCTCTCATCTACCATATTGTGATAACAAACTGCCTTCTGTATCTGCATTGTATAATTAGCTGCTAATTACTCAGTTTACATTTAAATTCCTCTGTTGAAAGGTATAAAATGCATATGACTTTTAAAACACATGAAAGTAAAACTTAGGAAATGGTACAGATTATTAAATTTCAATTGTGTTCTGAAAGCCAAAAAAGTGTACATCAGTAAACTGAATTCCTTCCTTGGTTCCTTCCCTTCACACAGGATCAACATAGGCACTGTCCAAATTGGTGAATTTAGATATGCATTTTTTCCACAAAGGAGAACAATTAAGTTTAAAATGTGTGTTCTAAGGATTAAAAAACAAAAACAAACCAAAACACAATGCTGCTAGAAGATCGACATGCAGCCACTGCATCCATAAAGATTTCTTGGCGGAAGATGTATTTCAAAAAGAGGATTTGCAAAGTCTTAAATACATAATCCCAGAAGAGTTCTGACTTCTTCTGATACTGGTCATGGGTATTTGTTTGTCAGACAGCTCCTGTGATGCTACAAGTGGGCTACACTGAAAAGGCTACTTGGAGAATACATTTTGGAAAACGTGGCAACTCTACTTGTGATCTAATCTGTTTGGTGCATGGCCCCCTCTTGCAGCAGCAACACACTTGTCAGCTTGTCAACTACATGCTCCCTCTTCCATTCTTCTCTTTAATTATAGGTAGGGGTGATCAGGGAGGTTGGAGGAGGAGGTAATTACCACAAGACTATGAGGATCAACAAGGGGTATAATCAGCCTAGATAACAAGGCAAGAGATATAACTTGCAGGGCAGTGGGGCTTTCTACCCAGGCAAGTGACTGCTGGAATCACACAGCTTCTAATAAGCAGCTGCAGCACCACCTGCATATACAGGAATACAGTTCTTTGCTGGAACACTAAGTCACTGAAAACCCAAACATGGAGAGAGAAGCAGTTCTGTCCAGGAGACACACCTGAATCATAATCACAACCACTAAATCTAGATTACCTGACAAGAATATCATGTCCCTATTAAATACCAACAACTAACCCAAAAGGATGTTCAATGTGGCTAACAAGTGCTCATTGTGGGCCACTGTTGGGTCACACAAATATAATTTAGTACACGATTCCTTTTAATAAAGCCATAGCAATTTGCCAGCATTTATAGCTCAAGATGAGGCCTAGTGCTAAGATACTACAAATACTGGCTGCCAGAAAATGGTATGCTAATCTTTTCCTGCCTTTGGTTCTGTTTTGTATCTTTATTTTCCCTTTGTCCTCATTTTGTCATTAGGGATGAGAGCAAAATATCCCAGGGAATTATGGATACAAAATTACCTCAAATCCTTTTTTTGGTTGTTGTTTTAAAGAAAACAGAAGATGAATGTCGAGGTAGGTAAATTAAAATAGAAATATTGTTCAATGGTTTTCAAATGCTTTTAAGTTGTTAAATGCTTTTTGCAAATTCATCATTATGCAGAAGCCCCTAAAACAAAAGCAGAGCTGCCCAAAAGCCCTGGCCATGGAGCCCCACAAAAAGGCTCCCTTAAGGCACCTGAAATTTGTAGTTTCACTGATCGTCATCCAGAAATGACTCCCCTAACCCAACTTCCCATGTTTTTGAACCAAAAATAACATACCATCCATGCAGTTCATCACATATATTTTTACTAAAAGCTGTACCACATGAACACACTAACTACAAGCTAATGAAAGGCACTGCTTTTATTAAAGTCTTTAGTCCTAACCCAAGAAAATGCAATAATGATATTTATACTGTTTCAAAAGAATGCTGAGGAATATCTATAGAACCAGAAACTACATACTTTAAAGGTGCATTACTATTTTGCCATTTGGACTCTGGAGCCAATCTCTGAAGACTAATCTTGAGATAGCTTGCATGGAATAGTAGTGGAGAGGGGAGATGAGACAGGGAAATGTACCCCTTCAATGTCTTCCCACCACTATCCAGATAATCTTGTTCATAATCAAATAAGATACTAGTTAGTACAAGAGGACAACTCTGGTTGAAATTAATGAGCACATTTGGGGCTTTTCCATCTTTATTTTCTCCATTCACAATCTGCCGTGGAGGAGAAGCGAGAAGCAGCAAACAGTGACAATAGCCGTAGACCTAGAGAAAGGACAACCAAGCTCCCGCTGGTTACTCCTGTGCCTTGGGGCAGCAGCCACTGCTCTTCCTACCTCTGCCCTTCCCCGTTTCTACTACTCAGACTGGGGGTGTCCCTCTTTCCATGAAAACAAGAAGAAAATCTGGAGAACAGCAGCCAAGTGGTGGGGGCAGCTTATAGGTCACCTCCCAAAAGCAAAAGATGCAACGGCAGGAGCTGCAAAATCCAGCCCTCGGAAACCATGAGCACTAGGAGGAGGGTGTGGAGAGGTTGCCAACCCATTATTGCTACTGCAGCCATCCCTGCAAGCCGTCTAAAAGAGAAACTTAGGAAAATGATTATGGAACTTGCAAATACCTACCACATAAAAGTAAAGCTAACAAAAATCAGGAAATAGGCACTTTGTACCATCTTCCAAGAGAGCCAATCAGCAGCATATAAAACAAGCTGTAAAAAACATTTACAAATTTTGACCCAGGAACCCCCAGTTCCTGGGAATTTTTTCTGAGAACTCAAAAGAAAGAAGCAATGTGTGCAAAATCTTTTTCAAGCAGTATGGTTATAGTTACACTATCATTCCACGGACTGCTACATAATCTTCAAAAATATTTGTGATGTGTACAAACACATGAAATGTTTATGAGCTTAAAACTGAAAAAAGGGACATAAATTATATATACAACATGATTATGTCTACATACAAATATGTTCATGTATTGGGAAAATGTGAGAGGCCATGGAGAAATGTATATAGCTCATATTTAAATAAAGGAGTTATAAAGATCCCTTTGCTAGAATTGGTTTCATTAATTATGTTCATTAATTATTGCCATTAAAAAGAAGAAAAGAATGAGAGGAATTAAAGAATTGCAATAAAGAAGTTCATTGTCCAAAAGCCTACTTACTTCAGAGTATCCAATACCTATGGTAAGGAGCAACCATATCAATTCATTTTTTGGGCATTCTCTCATCATCCCAAAGGGTCCACTTACAACTGAAAGCTTTTGACTCTGCATTCTCTGTACTCATTAGTGATGGACTCCTTTGATAAGAGCTTAAACAAGTTCAGGTGCTCCAACATTAGTCATACAGAATAGAGACCACATCTCATAAGTTTAATAAGGAAACAACAGGTAACAAAAAGCAGATTTTCCAAGTTCCATCTTTTACTTCAAAAACAAAACTAACATTGCATATTACCCACAAAGAAAGGAAAAAAAAGAATTACCGACACACTCCAACAGTGTAATCTGGCGAGCCACTGTTCTTTGTACCAGAAAAGGAAGACCAGAGCCACTTCCTGATGTACACGAATGATCCAATAAATCCTGTGGTTTAAGACAAGGGGGAAAAGAAACGATTGAGCAATATAGCTCCCACTTTGGAGTATTA
The DNA here is from genome assembly GCF_000001405.40 of Homo sapiens. Lineage (NCBI taxonomy): Eukaryota > Metazoa > Chordata > Mammalia > Primates > Hominidae > Homo > Homo sapiens. The sequence continues at coordinate 157,774,252 of NC_000002.12, forward strand.
GCATGCATGACATTGTAACTCACATGAAGGGCAGCAATCCGGGACACGTGGCCTGTTAGTGTACATGTAAAGCTCCTCTGGAAGAAGGAAGAAGGACTGGTTTTATTGTTTTGTATTTTTTATTTTTTTTGAGACGGAGTTTCACTCTTGTTGCCCAGGCTGCAGTTCAATGGCGCAATCTGGGTTCACTGCAACCTCCACCTCCCGGGTTCAAGTGATTCTCCTGCCTCAGCCTCCCAAGTAGCTGGGGTTACAGGCACGCGCCACCACGCCCGGCTAATTTTGTATTTTTAGTAGAGACGGGGTTTCTCCATGTTGGTCAGGCTGGTCTCAAACTCCTGACCTCAGGTGATCTGCCTGCCTTGGCCTCCCAAAGCACTGGGATTACAGGCATGAGCCACCACGCCTGGCCAGGAAAAGTTTTATTTCTTCGGAATACTAGAAGCTAGCACTTCACCTAATATATGATAGGTTTTCCCGAAGGATAAGTAGTCCTTTCTTATACACAGAGTTTCCAAATAAAATATATAATGAAAGAAGCTGAGCAGACAAAGTTGAAGGTGTAAATCAGAAAGCCCAAGAAGCAGATATGATCTCAAGGAAAGCAGTAGAGAGAATAGCAGGTGGAACAGAAAAGGGTGGGGGGGGTCCTTTCAACTTCAAGAACTGGGTATAATTTACATATTTTGCTATTCTCACTAAGTATCTGTCAAATGATTCACTTTAGTTGCCATACCAACTAAGGAACTCTAATTAGGAACAAACAAACTAGGAATAAGGAACAAACAACTCTAATGTGATTTGTAACGAAAAGACTCCAATGACCATGTGGATCATTAAATTGGTAAGCGCAGGCAGCAACGGGCTGCCTGGATGGAGGTTTCCTTTTAGGCAGGTGAGGAGCAAAACTATATCAACACCTACTTATCATTTCTTAATGTGAATCACTCACAAATCAGAAAAGAAAACAAATAAAGCTTTCATTGAAAACATAAAACCAGTGCCCCAAGTCAATGTCTACAAATGAAGGTGTTGGCAAAAAGATTCCCAGTTAGTTCATTGATAAGGTTTTCCTTCTTACTCTCAGCATAAGCCAAGAAGCAGGTATCAGGCATAGATTATCTGTAATAAACAATATTGTGCCGATGGGTGATAAAGGTAGAGTTGCAGTAATATTGACTTAATATTCCCCAAAGCTCATCCTTTCCCAAACATTTTGGCTGGCCTACTAAAGCAATACATTGATTTGTGTGAATTTCATCTTCTTTCACTTCTTCTGAGCACCACTGTGAAGTACTGTTGATCGGCAAAATTACCAAAAGCTGAGCATCCAACGGAAGAAATTTAGAACCCTTAAAAACCACAAAAGGGATAATCAACAAGAAAATGAGTGTAGATGAAGCAGAGTTTCATATCTCCCTAACCATTTTCTCTCTTGCGGTTCTTTTTGCTCCTTATTCATTCATTCTTTTTCGAGAAGAATAATTCTGAAAATTAAACTAATGTGTTATTTTTTCCATAATGTATGATCCTGCTTCTAAACCCTGTTCACAGACCTAAGGAAAGAAAAATAAAAAATCAACCCAAGACTAACAAACGTATATCCCAACTCTCAGATGCCAAGCCTTCTTTTTGTTCTTTTCTTTTCTTTAGTTCAAGACAGAGTTTCACTATATTGCCCAGGCTGGTCTCTAACCCCTGGTCTCAAGTGATCTTCCCCCTTGGGCTCCCAAAGTGCTGGGACTGCAGGCATGAGCCACCATGCATGGCCAAGGCTTGTTTTTCAATGTAGACGTGCTGTTTAGTAAGGGCATGCTTTGTTGAAACATACAAATGAGCATATTGCTTAAATAAGCAAGTATGTAGACCAATAATGACAACTTGTTTTAAATAGTGTTCTTTACTGTGTTATTATATCATGATACACTGTCACATGACATGGTTGAGTTTAAAGGACTATTTTGGCATATGCTCCATTCCTCTCTCAAAATTCTAAAAGCCATTTAAACAGTAATTTATACCAGATATTCCTATTATTGCCCTTGGTAATTAGTTATGTTAGCAGCTCTGAGGAATGAAGTTCTAACTAACCTATTTTAGAATCTTGCTTTGCTAAAGCTTTGTCAGGATTCATCCTCACATCTTCTTGCTACTAACTCAATAAACTCATTTAATTTTCCTTAAAGCTTGAAATAGACTTCTAAGTATATATCTAACAAAAAAAATTGTATTTCTCTACTTTTTGAAATGAAATGTCCTTATACTGCATTCTCTTTCCCCAGTTCCACTGTACCACAGTTTAAACAGTAGGTAAATGGAAGCTACAGAAGGTTACTTCCCCCTTTTACATACCAAAAAGTGGCCCAGTGATGGATGGGGCAGGCAGTAGAATGGGATGTTTCCCAGCCCATATCAGGCACTACCAAATGTCTGTGACAACCTGCCACAGGTGGGTCCTGCAATTGTCCAGGTGTAGCATCTGTGCTACCCAGATGGTCACTGGTGAGGGGAAGTCTTCTCCAGCATAAGGGGAGCTGCAGGGCAAGTGTAACTGCAGAACTATCAGACACTTTGAAGCTTGCTGTCTAGCAGAACAAGACTTACTGCAAAATGATTTCAAATACACATGGGCAATGGCATTAAGTAAAACTGAATCACATTAGAAAGTTATTACTTTGATTGTCTTTCAATTAATCGGATTGTGACAAGGAGTCTCAAATTGGTATTGGCATGTCTCTTGCACTCACTTAACACCCACAAATCTCAAATTTTTCAGAGTAGGCATCAGACTCAGCATAATATCCATGCAGAATGTTATTATTTTTTCTTTTGCACTTTATGATAACCTTCTATTTAGAGCAAGTGATACCCTTTCCCCACTTAAAGTTCAAAGCGTCTTTAAAATGAACACTTGGTAAGCAATTTTAAAAGGTAAATAGAAGGAGATAGTCATTTTTTAATGTGATTTTATCATTTAAAAATATGCAAAAGAATAATTTTTTAATGTATAAATACAATAGTTTCTAACACTGTGCAGTCCAGCGGGTTAATCACTAGCCACACATTGCCATGAGCAAGTAAACTGTGGCTGGTGTGAATTGATATATGCTATAGGTGTAAAATACACACAAGATTTTGAAAATTTACTTCAAAAGCAAAAAGAATGTAAAATTTACATTAATAATTTTTTAATCGATTATACGTTGAAATGACAAAGATGGTATGTATTTGGTTGAATATCTGTTAAAATTAAATCTACTTTTACGAAACTTTTTGGGTTTTTTCATGTGTTTGTTTTTAAGGTGGCTACTTGAAAATTTTAAATTACATGTGATGCACATGTTTCTATTGGACAACACCGGTTTAACCAAATGACTGCACTCCACAAGAGGGCACCACAGGAGCATACAAAATTTAAAAGCTGCTTTTTTGGATGTCAAGTTTTTAAGCCTTAAATTACAGGATGCTGAAATAATCTAGAAAGGAAATTAATATTTAATATTCAGCAAAAGGTGCCTTTTTAAAGGAGCACTTTTATGGCTAAAAATAGAGTAACTGAAGACCACAAATTCCAACCCTCCAAAACTGTAGGCAACCATTCTCTGTCTCTTTTGCTTTACCCCTCAGAGAAAAGTAACTAACTACCAACACTACTAAAATAAATCCCATCCCTTATTTAAATGTCTATCTAAAATGGCTGTTCTGATATGGGAAGACTACACAGGTGCCAGCATGTGCTTGTTTAGGACATAAGTAACCAACAGCATGTGTGTACACTGTTCAGTCACTCATTACTGGTTAGCGTTTCATGCTCGAAATAAGAACGTGTCTCCAGACACCTTCCTTATGCTTGGGATTTCCTGTGGGGTCATGACTTACTGCTAAAGTGCTGTCTCCAACATTGGTGGTGATGAGCCCTTCGATAGTGCCATACTCCACGTCTCGGGGATTGAGGCGTTCTTGGTTGCGCCTTTTAAATTTTCGGAGAGCAACTCCCAGCAGGCAGGCTAAAAGACATACTGCGAACACTACAGAGAGAATAATGAGGCCAACCTCCAAGTGGAAATTCTGTGTTCCAGGGAAGGATTTTCCTGGAGTTGGAGGGAAAAGGGGGAATTAGTTGTAAGGATCACTGCTTACTTATTATTAGCATAACCAATATCCTAACAAGTAGCTCCTGATCCTGACCACACAGTCTCACAACTCACGAAGTATTAAAACTAAAACACTTCCTAATGCCTGGCCAATGGCCCAGACATTTTAACCATCATTCAATTAGACACAACTAGAATTTGAAAAAATTCCACTGAGAATCAATTGCATTAATGTATGAATGTGAGAGTGCTTTTAAAATATAAAGTACTGTACAAATCTTTGATATTACTCTCATTAACTTGGATTTGGTATGTTTCGCCATCAAGCCCTTACAGACACTGTACTATCCTTAAGAGAAAGGGCTACCTGAGCTAAAACCAAATTACCCATCTGTGGTCTCTGTCTTTAATATATCCTGGGTGTCTACTGCTGGTTTCTCACTGATTTTTTTACATCACAATTTCTGCCTAGGAACCCATTCATTCCTCTCTTCATTTACTCGCTTATTCAGACATTCATTCACTGATTCACTCCCTGGGTTCAGACCTCTCCATGACATTATGTCATCAGGCCCTGTTCTTCCCTACAGAGGCCTTACCCATTTCCATATTACTGGTCTCTTCAGCCATCCAATCACAAGCTTAACTTCCTTTACGTATTTGTTTAACTTTCCAAGCCCAACTAATCAACAGCTTGGCATACATCATACTCCATGGCATATGTCATTTGCATGAGAAAGTGTAAAACTAACAAAATGCAACGCTGAATTATAAATACTGTGGCCACGCTAATCAGATTAGAATGTCCTTAAATTCAAAAAAAAAAATCTTCTATTAAAACTCAAGGTCTAGCAGAGTGATCTGCAGATTAGAAACTTCACAGTTGGTATAATAATGTTTGTATGAATTCAGACATTTGTTTATGTCCATCCACCCAATTAATAAAAATTTAACTCACAAAGTATAACAGTAAATTTTATTCCATCAAGGACCCTTTTAGTTTTAACCATGTAAATACTTGATCTCCTTTAAAACCCTCTTTGATTATTCAATCCTATTTGCTTGTCAGAATTTAACCTTTTCCATATGCCTTAAAGTCATCACCATAACTTCAAAATTACTAGAACATGATCTTGCATCAGCTTTTTTGTTCTTCTGCCTCCTTTCTTGCTGGCTGACATTTCTAGTTTTGGATGCTCGTCGTTACCTCTCCTCCACTTTTTGGTTTGTTTCTTTTTTCTGAGTGCAAAATTAAATAACTAAACCTATTAAAAATGTACTATATGGTAAGAGAATAAATTTGGCTTGGAATGAGTTTACATAAATGTTTGCAGAGACTTTAAGATTGCAATTTAGGGCTCATTTAATAGGGAAACAGTTTCAGAGCTGGACTGGTTTCCTTAGCATATGCAATCTGTACTGATGGTAGAGAGAAGATTCCACAAAAACTACAGGGTTTGTGCGAAATCTCATCCTGCTTCAAATTTCAGTGATAGGGTCACTGGGCATCAGATATGGGAGAAGAGGTCAGTGAGCCTTCTTTTATCTCCTTCCTCATAAAACAGGAAAGGCATTCCACTCAGTCACCAGTCCGTTCTGTTTTCCTCCCTACACACTTGACACAGAGATGAGTATTTACTAGCAGAATTGTTTCAGAAATTATGAATGACATCATGGGTCAGTAACATAAAAAGGTATTGGGAGCTGTTCACCTGAGTCACAGCAACCAAGAGAAAGCTAACTGGTCAGCTAAGCTGTCCCCAAGATGGACATCACCTTGCTTACATTCCCCAAAATGCCCATCCTTCTTTTAGATGCCAAAAGGCTGTTCCTTTCTCTTCTTCACCCAGGGTGACCTTCCTTGTAGCTCTTCGCCTCTGATTCAAAATGTAGGTGGAATGCCTCATAGCTACTTAGATCTTTAACCCACACGGACCCAGGACAACACTAACAAAACCCCTTGATCTAGAAATAGAAAAGTCCATGGGAACCTTTAGTGGGCAGCTGGGCCGTGATGTTCCTGTTACACCAGTCCCCTTGGCAGCACTCCACGGCTTGGCCAGGGGACGGCGGGGTCTTACAGGTCATCTTTCCCTGCTCATAAACCTGGAAGCAGCCTTTCTGGTAGACGTGGAAGCCATCGTTGATGCTCAGTGAGGAAAAGCACTGCTGGCCTTCACAGTGGTCCTCATTACCGCAGGAGAGACCTTCACACACACACATGTAGAGTTTGGGGTTGACCTTGGGCTTCTCATCTGCAAAGGAGAGAAAGGAAGGGGAAAAAAAAAAAAAAGAGGAATTACCGTATGAGTTTCACCTTCATTGAGGGAATGACCATTCCAAACACCTCTATCAACAGAAAGTCAAGCTAAGCATCACCATCAACCATGAGGTCCACATTCTGTCACCTTGTCACCTAACCAACCAACAAATAATAATTGCCTCTCAACATAGCGATTCATTTATATAAGCTGTGCACCCTTTTAGATCATATTAGGACAAAGACTGGCTATCATCTGTCCACAGACTTCTGAAAATGAGCTTCTCCCCCTGTGGTGTTCATATAACCTTCAGCGTGATTGGCTCTAAGATCCCAATTACTGCATCAAAATAAAATGTTTTACTGGAACATAATGTTTATCACCTTTATTCTATTCCAAAAAAAAAGCTCCTAAATATATGGCAGCTATTAATACTAATTTTTGCTAGCTCTGTACAAATCCCCATCAACTCGTAAAACAAGGAATGCTGACATTCTTGCAGGTACATGGCAGAAATATACTACAAACTGAGTATCCCTTACTCGAAATGTTTGAGACCAGAAAAGTTTCAAATTTAAAAATTTTTCTGGATTGGGGAATAGTTGTATTTATCCTGGCTGAGCATCTCAAATCCAAAAATCCAGAATTCAAAATGCTCCAATGAGCATTTCTATTGAGCATTGGGTCAATGCTAAAAAAGGTTTGGATTCCAGAGCAGTTCAAGTATCAGGTTTTGGGATTTGAGATGTTCAACCTGTAATATAATAAGAGTTTGCAAGGCTGTACAATCTATAATTACAATCCATGGTACCAATATTTCCAGCTAGATGCCTAGACTAACTTTTTCACTAGTGGTAACACTAAAGTTTACATAGATTATAGTGGGAATTAACACCTGCTTAAGAATTTTTGGCTGGCAGGAAAAAAATGGTGCCAAATATGGAGAATGAGGGCACAAGGAGACCAAGAGAACCGAATAATGTTTGAACAGTAAGGTGACAGGTGGGACCACTGGAAGAATACACACCTAGGGAGTTCAAGGTGCAATGGAAAGAGGCAGAAACGGATGATCAGGGAAGCACATCTAATCACTCTGCTTAATTGTCTCTTTCTGAGAATACTTATTTGCATCTGCATTTTCACATTACTCTTTTCTCTTCCCTTGTCAGTATGATTAGTTTAGACTTGCTGGTCCCACAGTTTCTACTAGTGGGGAAGGAAACAGAGGATAAAATGTAAACAGCCAAGTCCTAGAGGCCACTGATTAGTTAGCTGAGGCCACTTTTGCCGAAGCACTGTTCATATTAGGAAATTCAGCTTTCAGAGCTCCCTCCAAAGGTCTATGGCACATAGAGGCTGCCTTCTAATCCCTGAACCCTCAGTAGTGGGTCTAGGAGATAAATGCTTCTTTCTTAAAATAACAGGTTGGGTGGCTGTGCTTTCCAGAGGAGACCTTAAGGTAAGGTCTTTGAAAATGTCAAGTTCATTTACACAGATTTGTGTGGGTGTGTGTAGAGATGTGGGTTATCTCAAAAAGAGAAAAGCATTCTTAATCTTTCTTCTTCCCTCTTCAAAGAAGTGGAAAAATAGTTCACTGCCCACTGTAATGTGGGTGCCTCGTCCCACAGAGTAAGTGCATGCAGACACACAGACACAGCCTTCTATTTATAATTGACTTGCTAGTTCCTTTGAAAACCACAAGGGGCTCATCCAAGAGCAAAGACATGCCTGAAAGCAGAAAATCCAAAATAGCCGCTGACAGTCTATGTATGTCACCAGTCTCACCCCTGAGAATCAAGAGCCCTCAAACATTCTTAATGAGCAAAAGTTTTAATGAGCAAAGAGATAGTCTTTATGTTCCTTGCCTGGAGAAATCCGAAGGAAATTCCAGCACCAATCTATTTCTATGAGGATGAGAAACATGTATATCTGTTGACATAATCCAGCAAAAAGTTTACACTTGCCAAAAGAGAGCTGAAGGATAATATTTCCAGGGAGTCTAGACATGCTTGCCACTCTTGAATGGCACAAAGCAGGCTGAGGGCTGCCAACTATGCTGCCCAACAGGTGATGATTCTTTGGAGGGAAGTGGATGGGTGGAGTGAGGGGGAGAGTTCATGGTGTCAGACTAATTTGCTTGTGATCTATGGCAGAGAATTGAAAAGACTATGCTTAAACCTGAAATAATGCAATTTATGTAAATTTGAAACACAAACATGTATTTTAACATCCCGAGTACTTTTAAAAGATCATAGATACCCCAGGATATATACCTAACCCATTGAAGAGTATGTGCCTGTTGACACTGGTTTGGGGATAAGGGGTTAGCACTGGGATGAAGGAGCAAAATAAAAATAAAGTAGGAGAGAGCTGTTCATGGACTGACAATGAATTGACGAGTATGATTTACTCAGCTCGCTGAACGTATGGGCTGCTAAGAATAACAATAAACCAGCAACGCTAGACTAGAAGAGAGCCTGCTCATCATTGGTCCTAAATGGTCCTAAACGGACAGTCCAGGGAACCAAAGGATTAAGGACACCCATGCTTGTAATTTAAAAATGCCAAATTTTAAAAAAATAAAGTAACAACAACAATCATTTCTCTAATGTGCTCTCAAAATAAACTGTTTTTAAAGTTCCATCCCAAACTAAATTCTAAGTACACAGATGCAGGAAGGGGCACTGCTTTTCCAAGGTCTCTAGTTTTTGACAGGCTGTGCAGGGAGCCTGGCAGACGTTTGGACTATAACCTAAAGAGTTTGCCAGACGTGACAGCCTCAAGTAAATATCACCTTCAGTAAAATTTAACTCATTATACCTAACTCTGTGGTGTACCTAGGCTTTAATCCTGCAGGGTCACAAACTAAATCAAAGAGATTCATCTGTTTATTAAGCACTCTCCTTAAATTCTTTATATACTTCCTGTAGTTGTATGTGGACAACCAGGGATTAACTGCCTGTAAGTTGGTGATTCTTTTCAGTAAGATGTGAAATACCAGGGTTTTCATAACCTACCCTCCACAACTGGGGAAAAAGGCAAGGAAAGACAACTGTTAATGATACGTAATAATTAACTCAATCTCTGATATGAAAGAACCCTGAGCTGAGTCTAACAGCTAACAGGGAAGTACAAAACCTTCACTAACTTCTCTTTCCTATTCTGTTCCTCATCCACTGTTCAATCTTCTTACTTTGTATATTCCCATATAACTAATTAGCAAAGTCCTTCATCATGTATTTATTTTTTATATATACCCAAATATAAATGAAGACCCTAAATTCATAAGAATGACAGGATGACCACACAGGTGCACACACATGCATGCACACACTCACATTCGCTACGTGCCACCTTGGCAATTTCATCTGACAGAGTGGAGTAGATGGAAGTATTTTCTGAACTAGAATTATGAAGTCAACAAAGAAGGTTTAAAGCAAGGTAGTAATAGCATTCTCGGATCTTAATATCCACAATTCTAAGGAAGACAGCGGGACTCCAAATGTCCATGACTCACTTTTTCAGTCTTGTCAAATTTAGGAATAAGCATAACATGTGTGGGCCTGTGATATTTTATTTGGTGTGGGAGTGGGGGTGGGGTTCGAGAATGATCACAAAACCCCTTTCAGGGCCACAGGTATGGGTGTGTGGACTCCTAATCTTTCAGGCTGTGATATAAATACAGTACACATCAAGGAACACCAAGGAACAGATAATCAGATTCTGTGACTGATTTTCAACAGTACTGACAGGAAGCACCGTATCTGATGTAAAGTATTTTACACTTGCCTGTGCGAATATCCAGGAAGTGCCCTGGCAGAAGGCAGAAAGTCTACTCCACCTAATTGACATTCATTTGAATAATTCAGTAATTTAAATGTCAAGCCAGAGGTATTCCCTCTCTGCAGAGCTCACCCACATTGTTTGTTCTAGAAGGCACCTCCCGGCATTACTCAGTGTTATGGCTGGCACTGCGTGCCCTTTGTATCACCAGAGCCAGAGCCGTGTGAAAACACTCGCAGCCTGGGCTGGCTGGGAACAGCAGGGAGTTCTGACCACAAACAGGGACTGCTTCGGAACCGCCAGGGAGAATACGGGGCTGGCTCCACAAACCAGCGGTGCAGGCTGGGAATCCCAGGAGTTCACCATGGCCAGCTCTTTAAAAAGATTTTTCCTGCTCTGTATGATCCTCAGTTCACCACCTGGGCACACCTCCTCCGAGTCTAATGCCGGACTAGCAGAGAGAGAGGCAGACCAAAGAACATCGTGGACTTTTAAAAACTGTCCACAATTTGGTATAATCTTGTACTTCATGGTAAAAGTATTCACATTTATGTTTAAGTGGGACTTTAGCAATCACAACACTGTGGACTTACCTATTCACGCCTGCCCAGTCATGCACTCTGCAATGCTTTAAGGCATTGAAACTGAGTATTACTCTAAATGGTGCACAAAAACCAACATTTCCCACTAATGTCTTTGACATAAAAGACAAATAAGAAAATGCTACAAGTAAACAAACCGGCCCATGGCCATGATTTGTCCTAGAGGGCAGCAAAAGGAACAGGCTGAATTTTTTACAAGTTCACCTCAAAGTAGTACAAATCATAATGCAGAAATTAGACTGTAATTATAAAAGTCCAATAGCTCAAAATTTGTATAGCTAAAAAAGGAACTCAAGTATCCCTGGACTCCTTCCAACACTCTAAACAATTCATTCATTTGAAATGGCAAGCTTATATGAGGTTTATAGATTATAGGAGTCCTTCCATCGTCTCCTAATCCGGGAGCACAGTTTGGCACCTCTCCAGAATTGAAAGCATTTGAGATCTCTGGCATTAAACAAAGGCTTTAAGAAGGATTTTGCAATGCTAGGTATCACTGCCAGCAAGCCAGCTCCTAAGACAGAGACACAAAGGTCCGTCTGGAATGCCTAGTGAGGGGCATTTGATCCTCTGACAAGAGGACAGGCTATACATTCAGGGATAAAATACACCCAGTGCCTAAATAATCTCTCATTATAAAACACTCATTTAGGGAACTCAAATCATTTTTTTTCCTTATCCGAGAGACTGACACCTAGTTGTTGTAAAGCCAAGAAGAAAATGTATTTCAGCAGTTATGGGGGCAAATAGAGGCATTCAAAGAAGATTGCATATAAATTGAATATCAACAACAAAAACTTCCATGATTTTGAACTCCAGATGTATTCTTCCGCCAATGTTCCCTGCCTCAGGAAATGGCATTCCCATTCATTCAGATACACAAGCCTGACTCTCTCGGGCTTCCATCACACTCAAAGTAGAGACCAGTCATTAACCTGGCCTACAACTGCTGGCTGACCTGATCCTTGCATGCTCTTCAGTTTCCTCTTCAGTTACTGGAAGTTCTTAAAAGACCTCTTCTTCCTGCTTAGGGATCTCAGGTCCTTTTAAGTATGGAATTCCTTCCACTTTGAATGCTTATCTCCCTCCAGTCAACACCTCTCCACCTAGTCAGTGCCTTTCTACTGTGCAGATTTCACCTTACATGTTACTTCCTCAGAGAAGCCTTTGTTCACACACCCAGATTTAAAGTAGGAACCCCCCTTTAGCTACAGCCATACTTGTGTCTGCATGGCTGTTGAATGTCACCTTTCCTATAGATTGTAAGCACCATGAGGGTGAGTTGCATCTATTAATACTTTGCTCACCGTTCATTACATACCCCACAACAGCGTCAGTGGTTGGCAGGAGTGCAAGCCTGACGAATATTTGCTTCAGAATGAATTTTCCCTTCACAGAAAGGATTTAGAGGTGGAAAGAGACCTGATGCTGGTTTTCAGAGCAGGCTGAGCCCATAAAGTCTTTAAATGTCAGCACAGATCTTAAGGCAGGGCTTAGTCACCAAGCCGGCATGCCTGAGCAAACCATTTCTTCCTAGAAGAGCTTGCCATACCATCACATCTGTTCACCTACTTGGGCTCACGAATATAGAAGATTAATATTTTGTGGTGTGGTAGGTTTATTGTTTGCTTGTTAATTTGTTAAAAGAACAGGTAAAATACAAGTGTTCCTTAAAAAAATGAGGAACTATTTAATACATTAATAGAACAGCTGGGCTCTGTGGGTGGTCCTTCTCTGGATGGTTGATTTGAGGACTCTGGGCTATGGTGATTAGAATCATCAAAACACAACACATACCTGCAACTCGTCAGCTTGGAGGGGTCAGTGCAGGACTTGGCTGCCTAGTAGAGAAAAAGCTGCCCCTGCTCCTTGCTGTCATTTTTTCCCTGGTCTTTGCTGCCATATTTTATCCCTATCGGTGAAATAATGGCACCTTCAATAGGGAGTGGGGAAGAGAGAATTACATCATCTTCCCCTTCTTGCTCTGCTGAAGGTGATAAGGATTCCTAAGTCATCCTGCACTTGAACTGCTGAAGCTGAGAAAAAAAAAAAAGTGCCATCTGTTTATTTTGTGTCTGGGCTGACTCCTTGTCTCTGAAATAATCCCTGTAAATTAAGCCTATTGCAGCAGCCACACCTTCTATTTAGAAGCCAAAAAACTCAGCCTGTTTTCAAGTGACTAACAAATTAAAGAACACTGTGAGGTAATGACCTAAGACGATATTCGTCTGTCTTTTCCATGCCTTTTATGATTCTCTGAATGTTGCAAAGACTTGGCTTTAACAAATACAGCATATTAAGGAGTTGTTTTAACTCCTTAATACGGGAGAAAATAATGACCCCTTTCTTCATTCTGTCTTCAAACTTCTTGAATCTCTGCTTTGGAGAAACAAAGGATTACAAGGCCTACCGGGAACTGCCTACTGAGGAATACTTTAAAAACCAAAAAATACTGTCTCCTCAGCGTATGTGCCAATGGCCATGTCTAAGTGGAGCTCTAGTTATAGGGAGAGTAACAGAGAGTAGAATAATCTGGAGGAACAGGGAAGAAAGTCCCAGTGAATTGTAAACACTTCAGAAGTCATTCCTTGTTTAGTCTTAGGAGAGAGCCAGGAATGTGGTTCCATCGATTGAATGTCTCAGGCTGGAAGCTCTGTTCGCGCCACAGGAAGAATGGTTGATTCTGAGGAATCACTTTTCGTTGTTTCCCCCACCTCCTCGGGCTAACCAGAGAGTGTATGGCATTTCAGTAAGGGTTTCCTACCTGGGCTCTACACTGAGAATTTTGGTTTTACAGGAAACATTTAACAATGGGCTCTAGATGAGATAGAACAGTGGAGAAAAAGCCAGCAGGTGGCTTTTGTGCTTAGCTCTCCACTTCAATTTCTCTTCTTGCCTCCTACTCTACCTCTCTCTCTGGGATTCATGGACTGGGCCTCCTCCAAGGTTGCCAATCTTAGCTGTGGTTACCATCAGCGAGCCTCCACCACACCCCTACAGCCTTTCTGGAAGCTTTCAAACTACAGAGACAAACCCTTCAAAAGTTAAGCAGGGCTCCAATTTGTTTAACAAGTCTTGAAATGCAGCCTTTAGGCACTGTGACACCCACAGCTAAAGGTGAAAATGTCCTGACTTAGTTAAACTCCCCTTCCCTAGCTCCACAACCTATCCTGCCCCACAGAAAAGCACAGAGTGAACAAAGTAACTTCCAGACTACAGTAGTCCCCACTTATCCCCCCTTATGCACCGTTTCACTTTCCACTATTTCGGTTACCTACCATCAACCACAGTCCAAAAATATTAAGCAAAAAATTCCAGAAATGAACATTTCCTAAGTTCTAAGTTATATGCTGTTTGAGTAGCATGATGGAATCTCACGTTGTCCAGCTCCATCCTGCCCAGGACATGAATCATCCATTTGTCCAGCGTACCCACACTGTAGATGCTACCATCCTGCTAGTCACTGAGCAGATGTCTTGGTTACCAGATCCACTGCCATGGTATTGCAGGTGCGTTCAAGGAACCCTTCCTTTACTTAATAACTGCCCCAAAGCACAAGAGTGGTGATGCCAGCCTATTGTTATAATTGTTCTATTTTACTTTGCTATTGTTGTTAATCTCTTCCTGTGCCTAATTTATAAATTAAACTTTATCCTAGACATAGGAAAAGATGTAGTATAGATAAGGTTCAATACTATCTGTGGTTTCAGGCATCCACCGGGGGTCTTGGAATGTATTCCCCATGGATAAATAGGGGGTTACTGTATTTACTTTCCATCCTAGATGAAGCCAAAGCGATTTTAAAATAACAGTCAAAAGGGTAAAAACTTGGGGCAGAGTCCAAGCCTCTGATAATGCTACTTCCCTATCCTCCAATTTCCCCATTCATTTCCCAAGGCCCTACCAAGTCCAGAACTCCATGAAAGGTTAATGAAGAAAGGAATCCCATGTCTTCAACCCCAGGAAGATGTGCCTGTGCCTCTGTATCCCAGCCTTTATAACTTGATCTTTGCTTTACATATCTTCTTTCCCCTATCAGTCTAATTAATATAGTCCAAAACAATTCATTAATTCTCAGGTTTAACATATTGAACAAGATTGGCTTATCAGTCACAGAATAAAGATCTTACAGTCACAATGAGACAGTTAAATTTGAGTCATTTTGAGCTTGTCCTTTTTTACCCCTGGGCCCACAGAAAGGCTCCAGGTGCCTACACTCCAGGTAGAAACAGAAAGCATCTCATTTGAGTGCTGTGAAGCTGAACTGGCTTTTCAAACACACAATCCCTCCCCTTCAATCTGTGCCATGGCAAACCATTCCCAGTTTCCACAATAATCTTGGACTTTGGCAGAAGAAAGCCAGCTAAATCTGAGATGTGTCACGAGGCCACTGGCTGGGGAGCAAGAATATCTAAACACAAATCCAGGCGAGAGCAACAAACAAGAGTTTCCGCAGATTCCCTCTGGCTCCTGTAGCTGCAGATCACTGACAGCCTAAAGATAACCCAAGTATCTACAAAGGGTCACTTTTAAATAGTAGCTTTAATGCCACCAGTCATTTCAGAAGCATTTCCTTCCAGAGCCTGCTTCCATCCACACTGGCCACCAAGTCTGTCCAACAATGGCAAGCTTACTGAGGAGATTAAAGTCCAGAAGGAAATGGAAGAAATCCCAAAAGGGAACAGACAGCTCCTGACATGCTGGGATTCTATTCTGTGATTGTACTTGTGCCAATATTTGGACTACTGAGAAATAATAATCTAGCAAAGAGACACCTTGTAGAAATGACTAACAATCACTAGGGATTAAAGAGCAGGTATAAAATGAAACAAAATAGTTTAACTCCAAAACTTTCTAAAGCTGAGGCTGTATAAACCATGGATGGCTACCACTAGGAGACTTTTAGGAAAGCCTTTCTCTCAAAGAGAAAACTTACTTAGTTTACTGAACTGCTGTAAGGAGAACAATATGAAGTCTTCAGGCACATACTGTACATACGTAGCCAGTGTGGCCACCCACTAACCACAGAAGCACCAAATGGAACTGCTCAGAAGCCTGCTGCTTTTTTTTTCTTCCTTTTAAGTAGGGCCAAAGTTCCCAAGATCTTCCTCAGACCATTAAAATCTGCTCAGCACCTCACCTGTCTACTAAGTAAGTCCACATTGTCCTAAATGGCAGTCGGCCAGGGGCTGGTGTACAAGGGACAGGTGCTCAGTGGGCTTTTTTCAGTTGCTGTCAGCTCAGTCAGGAGCTGCACATGCTCAGTAGGCAGGCAAGTTTTGGTTCCGTTTCGAACTCTGGGCAGCCAAGAGACATACACCTTCACAGCTGCCAGGGCAACCAGCTGCCCAGTGCTCCTCCCAAGATGGGAGCAATGAAAACAGTGTAACCTGGCCAGCCAACATGCCAGTGAGCAAGCTGTACCTCTCATTTCACTGCCTGGGTTATTCTGAGCTGGGCTTATTGACACTCCATGGCAACACAGGAACAAAGGGCCAGCTAGAGGGATTTAAATGTCCTGCAAAAGTTGTTAGAAAAGTCAGCAGCTCTGGCTTCTGCTTTCATAATAAAACTAGCAATAGCATTATTATTAGATTATTGTTGTTTTGTCACTGTTAATATCATTTGTGAGCCACCTGTAACAGTTCTACGTTCGCACTAAGGCTTTGTTTTTGTTTTGTTTGCCACCATTTAGTTGCTACAGTTGGGATGCCTTTGAAAATGGAGTATGTGTGCCTGCCTGTCCCTAAACTGCAGGAGGATTAGTTTTTCCCATCCCTTTACTTCTCATCTTGCCACACTCTATGATCCACTTTCACCACACACCACTCTTTCAAAACACAAACTGCACCTACTTAATCTCTCCACAGTTCTCCATTGCCTTCAGGATAGAAGACAAACACCTTAGCATAAGGCTCTGCCATGCCTGCAGGGCTCAACTCTCAACCTTAATTCCGTCTCATGACATGGTGACCGCTCATGATCTCATGATCTCACGTCTCTGGACTTCACCCTTCCCCTGCCTGCAATGTCCTTCTTAGTCCCTCCTCGGCTGGTCTAATGGCTACTTATCCTTCAAAACTTAGCTTCCCTGCATCACCAGCCCCAAACCCAGCTCCATGTGGAATGCAGGCCTTTCCTGTCCATACGCCTCATGCTATGCTGTGACCTTTGCTGTATCCAACTGGACTATGACTTCTTGAAGCAGGAACCACTTCTTGCTTATGTTTACGTCACCAATGCCTACCAGTGTTGTCAACTGGTACTCCTGTTTAAATTGACTAAAAGAACATAAGTTTGTCTTATAACTGATTCACTTTTCCCAAACTCATAATAAATTATTTGAAAGAGTGCATGTGATCAGCCCAGATCAGTCCCACTGTCTCTTATTATCTTTTCTCTAATACCATAATTATTATTCTAGCCAACATTATTTATTCATTTGTCAAATATTTATTGAGCACCAACTGCACACCAGGTAATGTCTTAGACACTAGGGATAAAACAATGAATACCTCCACATTCTGGCCTCTCACGCTCTAGGGCTCACTGTGTGCCGGGCACTCGGCATGTAGTCTCATGACTCCTCCCAACAAGGTGGGTACCGTTATTGTTTCCATCGTACCAGGTGGCAACAAGCACAGAGAGGCGAAGGAGAATATACGCAAAGACATAGTGAAACAGAGGATGACTAACGGTGGTGTTTTGGCCTTGTCTCTTTCCTGAGAAAGGCTTGATTCCTATGCATGGCCAAAGCCTTCCTTTCAGAACACATTCTTTGACTCTGACCATCAATACTATGTCAAACATGATCCTAACCCTCTGCAAAACTGAAATTTGAAGCATATGAACTGGGACGTGAAGTTAAGGATAAAAAGAAGTCATTACTGTAACTCTACATGGCATGCTACAGTATTATATATATCAGAGAAGTCAAATTCTAAACTGGACTGTTGGTAATTTTTTTTCTACCCATTCTTTGTAACTTTTCTGAATGAATCTGTTTTGCTGTTGTTTTTCAACTAAAACTAATTTGGTGTAGGTACCATAATTCAGAAGACAAAACAAATGCAGCAAGAAATAAAACGAAGGAGTCATCCCCACCCCAATCCCCCAAATCACCAATTTAAAAAATACTGGCAGGTTTTTTTTTTTAAGGTGAATGTCACCATCATGTGCCCAAGAGGAATTTCTCATTCTTCCTTTTATTGTTTCTCTCCTTCCCACAACTCTCCTCCCCACATCCCATATACATATTCTCAGCAAAGTCCATGTTCTGTTCTAGCCCGTAACAAAGAATTAGATGTAGCATTAACCATGGCTCTAGGAAACACCCTGCTTGCAGGGCTCAGATTCAGCTGATGAGAATCAGGCCACAGCTGCTCCAGTGTTATGACCCAGGCTGAGAAGGTGCAAATGTAAACTTCCCTCTTCCTCCCAAATCACTGACTTAAAGAGAAAGGATGGTCAGGCTACATGGAGTTGTGAAAAAATAAAAGGTTCTAGACCAGCTTTGTTGAGGAATACACCAGATGACCTATGGTCAGGTGTCAGAGCTGTCACATGAGGGCAGTAGGAACACCTGCACAGTGAACCCTTGAAGCAGACTGGTGTTGTCTTTTTTAATTTCAATATGGGGTATGACCCACTATTGGGTAGCAAAATCAACTCAGTAGTTTAAGACAAGGTTTCTTTCTGTCTTTTCAAGTGAAATAAAACTGAATAAAATTTAAAAAGACAAGAAATAGGTGCACATTAAACATAGTAAGAGTAATTACTGTTTCATGAAATTTTCATTTCAGATGTGTGTGGGCACTATCTATGCAGTGGGTCTTACTCCAAAATGTTTCTTGCTGTGAGTCACAGTCAAAAGTTTGAAAGCCACCTCGCCTGTGTCTTACACTATCTTGGAATGACATGAGTTCTGAGTCACTATGGCTATTAGGAATAAACATTCTGTATGGAATCTTGCCTGAGTTCATCCCGGGCTGCAGAGGAAAGTTCCGCAGGACAGTTTGCAGTGTTTTAAGAGTTACAAATTAATTTTTAAGTGTGTTTTATTTTCCTTGGTGTTTTCAAGAGTGAAAGTGGCATATATGACATGCCTACAAACCTTCTGCTTTACAAGTTTTTCCATAAAGAGGAGATGGCATTCATCCTCTCACTCTGGAGACCTGTCTTTATAAAAGAGAACACTTAGAAGTGACTGCACTGCACACTGTTGACCACAAGGAAATCATTTCATGAGCTTAGGTGTTGAATTTGTTTTCTCATCTGTTCAATATTTGACTTTCTTTGAATGAATTTTTAGCATCCTCCCACACCCTACTGCTATCCATACCCCTCTTATACTGTCCACTAAAAAAAAAACAAGAAAGAAAAGAATGTGGCACTAGTTTAACTACTCATGGCTGAAACAAACACTTCCCAGGAAGGAAAGGCTAAAAGGATGCTTTGTCACAGCTCACCTTGCATCAACTAGTATAGGATCATTTTGTAAAATAAGAAAACTTGATAATAAAGAAGCAGTGTCTTAAAAGTATGATGCTTCATCAGATATTTACATTCTAGGTCCCAGTAGTAGCAAATGCCTTAGTATGTCATCCCTTTCCCTAAAAACATCTTCCGTTTGATGATATGCCAAAGAAAAAGATTTTATTCTGAACAAGAGATACAAATGTAATACTAAGAAGAAGAAGAAACAAATGTAATACTAAGACATTTCTCTTCCATTCATTCACCCCTTCAAGAACTTCCTGAATCCCTAATAATGAGAAAATCAAAGAAAGGCTTATTCTATTCTTCCCCCCAGCAGCAAAGAGGGGCACCTTTGTAACCCTAACAAAAAGTCCATTGAAGTTATCTCCTTCCTTCCATCATTGGGTAGTGGGGCTGGAAAGTCTGAGTAGTGATGGCTTTGTAAATACTAAAATCAAGATAACTCAGAAAATAATTTAGTACCTAGCAGTCTTCTCTAGAACAGGCCGAAATCTCTTGCGAAAAAATTCTGCATAAGTCTGGCCTTCCTGGCTATAATAAAATCTAACTGTGGCTTACAAATTTAATAAAATGTGGGTCGTCTCAGCTTTGAAATATTTCCAAAGGAGCAATATTCCCTTTAAAGTAATTGTGTCATAGTCTTCACCTGCAAATGTGTACAGGGACAAAAGAAAAGCCAAACATGGAGGTTCTGCCTTCACCCTGGTGGTATAATAGTAGTATTAGAGCATGATTAGTCTTATTAATGGGAAGGAAAGGGAAGGATATACAGGTAATTAGGACTCAAGTGCTCTTCTCTATGAGAGCAAATAAAACTCTTCCTGCAGCTAGAGTTGTATATATAATGAACATGAAAAATGATTACTGGTAGGAGAGACAAGAAAAGTAAGAAACACAACCCCAGGTGAAGGGGCCTCATCATTTGCTATTACAAACTCTCTTCTCACGCTCTCAAACAGACTGGATCGAGCTGGATTCTAGCATGCACCAGACATAATATGAATGTGGATGTAGCTAATTTAGGGCAAAAAAAAATGAAAAATTTTGAAGAGGACTGATAATGACTGGAGCTCTTGAACACCATTCCTCAAAGTATATGATGCCTTTTGTTGGCTGTGTAACCTTAAGCAAGAGCTTTAACTAATCCAAAAGCACATCCAAAAACAATGTATCTTATGAGGGCACTTGTGAGGATTATAGGAAATTATGCATGAAAGCTAGCCCAATATCTGGTGCATTTTAAGCACTCATTAAATATTACCTATAATCATCAAACAGGCCATTATATTGGAAAGCATTTTCCAAATATAAGTGGTGAAAAAATCTTTTATTGCCCAGAGCATTTAGGATTCCATAGAACTTGAGAAATGTTCTGAAGTACACTCAAACTCTACCAAAAAAAAAAAAATCACTGTTTAGAACTAATATTTGAAATGTTACCACTATTTCTAATCAATATTTATTAGACATTTCGGAGACAAAGGGGTAAAAGTTTTTTTTTTTTAAATAGACTAAGAAGAGTACACTACCCAACAAAATGTATTAGAACAAAATCTCTATGACTCTCTTATTTATGTCCCAAGAATGTGATCTAGCTTCATTACAGCACAATTAATAGGATGCCTATCTGTTCTACAAACATCAAATATGGGTCTATTTCCTTTTAAACGCAGTCGTCTAAAGCTTGCTCAGCAGTAGACAAGCTACACTGCTATTACAGATTTCTGTTATCGGCCCCATTATTTATCTCTTTTGGATTAAGTATTAGTACTTAACATTTGCTTTTTAACCAAGGTTGAGGATACTAGAGTGTATTATAAATAGGGTTTCTCTTTGGTTTTTAAAATTTTCCTACTAAATATATAAAAACAAAATGCCTTCCATAGAACACACACACACACACACACACACACACACACACACACACACACACACACAAACACAATAGGGAGTTGAGTCACAGAGGAAAGACGGCACTAAGGCAACTGCTATTATGATTAGAGTATGCTAGGCTATAGCACTCACTGGATATTCCATTTTTTTAAAAAAACAGCAATTGCAATTAAAGTATGATATGCTCTTTTCCATACTTGTAAACATCCTAATGGTGGTGGTATATTAAATAGCAAAACCTTAAGGGTCGATCTATTTCCATTTCCATTTCAGCCTAAACTAACTTTTACATGTTTTACATGTCTTCACTGTGGCATTAAGAGGTTATTTCAGCTTAAGAGCTGAAAGCAGGATTAAAAAAAAACAACCAACGGCATGGTTATTAGCATTGCTCCATAACTGCCCTTTTTCCGCCCCACTCTTTTCCCCATTCTCTCTCTACCTCTCCTTCTCTCCTCATACTACATTTCCACTTCTTTGTCTCTTCTCTCTTTTTTCATACCTTGCCTACATCACAGGTCCACCCATGATATCATCTGAACTGCCCCATACCACAGAGGCAGAGTGTGGTGGCTCACGCCTGTAATCCCAGCACACTGGGAGATAGAGGTGGGCGGACTGCTTGAGCCCAGGAGTTGGACACCAGCCTAGGCAACACAGTGAGACCCCAGCTCTACAAAAAATACAAAAGTTAGCCAGGCATGGTTCCCTGCCTGTGGTCCCAGCTACTTGGGAGGCTGAGACAGGAGGAATGCTTGAGCCCAGGAGGTTGAGACCACAGTAAGCCAGGATCGTGCCACTGCACTCCAGCCCTGGTGACAGAGTGAGACTCTGCCTCAAAAAAAAAAAAAAAAAATTAAAAGGCAAAATATCATACAGAATCGATAGCCGGCCAAGGTGGCTCAAGCCTATAATCTCAGCACTTTGGGAGGCCGAGGTGGGTGGATCACTTGAGCTCAGGAGTCGGAGACCAGCCTGGGCAACACGGCAAAACTCTGTCTCTACTAAAAATGCAAAACAATTAGCTAGTTGTGGTGGCACAAGCCTGTGGTCCCAGCTACTCAGGAGGCTGACGTAGGAGGATCACTTGAGCCTGGGAGGAGAAGGTTGCAGTGAGCTGATATCACACCATTGCACCCCAACCTGGGTGAAAGAGACCCCGTTTCAAACAACAACAACAACAAAACCGTAACAACAAAAATATCATATAGAATTGATATGGTAACTAAGGAAGGCAGTGAAATTTGGAGGGACTTTAGTTCTCAATATTCCTTAGATTTTTAAATAATAATCATTATTTACCAATTTAAAAGAGGTAAAAAAAAAAAAAGTCCTAGAAACTTGACTGTTAGAAATGTCTCCAGCAATTATCAAGTATCCCCTGGGGGATAAAACTACCCCAATTGAAAAATCACTGTTAACTCACCAAATCCTCCCAGCTTTAATATAAGCCCATTTCCTCGTATTAATTCCTTCAACATTGCCACTCAGGATCCCTTCCCCATACCTTCTTGGCACTAACTGACACAACTGCCATATTATGGGAATATCTTTAACAACACTGCTTAGAGTGGAATATAAACTAGATATCTAAAATGGTCTATAACAGCACTGGCCAACAGAAACAAAATGTGAGCCACCTAATGTAATTTAAGTTTTATCACAGCAGTAGGAAAAAACAGGTGAAATTTACATTTTTATTGTCTTCAAAATCCAGCTTGTATCTTACATTTACAGCATATTTCCACTCATATTAGCCACATTTCAAATGCTATATGTGACTATCAGCTACCATATAGGACAATGGAGAAGTATAATATATGTCATTAAGTATGAGAAGGAGATAGGAACAGATCAAATATTATGAACCTAATATATAATGAAATAGATGTATAATATTCTAAGTACTGATTTTTTCACATTGTTGGCTATACTAACTTGTCAAATTATATGCCTCCTTGGAAACTCATCATTTATATAAAGAAGACCATACCCCAAAGAACCTGTAACAAGGGCATTAGTCTTACTGTCCCATCTGATCATAAAGAGGTTGAGATTCCTACAATAAGCACCACTCTTCATGGAGGAACACTTGTAAAATAAAGTGGGCACTGCTCAATGTGCAATAGAGTAGAGTTTAGGCTTTCTCTATCTAGAAAGATATATAACAACATGTTAAAAGCAATTACATGTAAGTGAAGGGAATGATGAGTAACTTTTACTATCTTTCTCTCTTGATTATCTATTTTGTCCTTTTCAACAAGGGCAGGACCATCCCTGAGCAACTTTTTGGAAATGAGGGGATGGGAAAGTGAGTAATGAAAGTAAGTAAGCAAGGGTCAGAGATGCCAAAGGCACTGAAATGCCTGGGTGGTGCCACACAACTAAGAATTAGACTCCTAGGGCCTGAATGTTTGTGTCTCCCCAAAATTCATGCGAGTATCTTAACTGCCAAGGTGAGGGTATTAGGGCAGACCCCTCAGGATTGGGATTTGTGCTGATATAAAAGAGATCCCAGAGGGCTAGCTAGCCCCTTCTACCATGAGACAACACAGAGAAGGTGCCGTCTATGAGGAACGAGCCCTTACCAGACACTGAATCTGCCAGCACCTTGAACTTAGACTTCCCAGCCTCCAGGACTGTGAGAAATAAATGTTTAGTTTTTGATCCACCCAGTTTCTGGTATTTTTGTTGTAACATCCCAAATAGGCCAAGACATGGCCGTTGCACTACAAGTATCAACTATCCCACCGAGCATTCATTTTCATGAATAATCTTTGTAGAATTGAAACCAGCACCTAACCCTGTCATACATAAAAACACAAAGTATGTATGTCTTACACTGCCTTCATGTATACTAAATATTCCAAACATATAACTAGTATATAAATCAAGGGCCAACGGTTCTGGTTTTTTTTAATTCTACCAAAATCTGTTCACCAATTCAGAAAATTCAATCACTGAAGGTAAGAGACCACTTATGACAACTAAGCCACCAATATAACACACCAGTACCAATCTATTTTCGAAGATGTTGAAGATTATTACCTATATAGGTGCAAGCATGTATTACTTCATCATGTCTTCTTGTAGACTCATGCCCAACTACACCATAATATATCACATTTGGGCTTTTTTGGAGGGGGTGGGGGGTGGGGGTTTGAGATGGAATCTTGCTCTGTTGCCCAGGCTGGAGTGCAGTGGTGTGATTTCAGCTCACTGCAACCTCCGCCTCCCAGGTTCAAGCGATCCTCCCACCTCAGCCTCCCAAGTATCTGGGATTACAGGTACACACCACCACACCCAACTAATTTTTGTATTTTTAGTAGAGATGGGGTTTCACCATGTTGGCCAGGTTGGTCTCGAACTCTTGACCTCAAGTGATCCACCTGCATTGGCCTCCAAAAGTGCTGGGATTACAGGCATGAGCCACGGCACCCAGCCTCGCATTTGTTTAAACACATGTTTTATTGTTAATTACAGAATTTTCTCTTATTTCTCCTTTATATTTTTATTTATTTATTTATTTTTGAGACAGAGTCTCGCTCTGTTGCCCGGGCTGGAGTTCAATGTCGTGATCTTGGCTCACTACAACCTCCGCCTCCCAGATTCAAGCAATTCTCCTGCCTCAGCCTCCCAAGTAGCTGGGATTACAGGTGCCCGCCACCATGCCTGGCTAATTTTTGCATTTTTAGTAGAGACAGGGTTTCACCATGTTGTCTGGCTGATCTCGAACTCCTGACCTCAGGTGATCCACCTGCCTCGACCTCCCAAAGTGCTGGGATTACAGGCGTGAGGCACCATGCTTGGCCCTATATTTATTTTAAGTAGAAAATTAGGTTGAATTTTTTAAAAAAATAGGTGTATGTAAATATTCAGATATAATGTATATAAGAATTTCCTTCAAAATAGTCAATAATCACCAAATATTTATTATAAAAAGAGTGTTTTAAGTTTGATAGGCTTAAGAAGTAGTTTATAGTAAGCCAAAAAAAAAAATCACAGTATACTTATCTTAACCCAAAAAGATGTGAGTCACTTACCTTCCATACTAGGGGAGGGGAGAGCAATCATGATAAGCACAGGAAGAATCATCACTCCATCTACCATTGTACAACTGTAAAGGGAAAAGAAGAGATGTAAGTAAAGCATAAATATCTAACTGCAGGAAGACAAATTAAGCATACCACCTTCAAACTGCCATTCAAGGCCCTTCTTACTAATCACCCTCAGATATATTGCCTTACTTCTTACTACATTTAAACACATACCTTTTATGTGGACCTAAACATATCACTTTAAAGAGTTAGTCATATTCACTTCTAACTGGTAGTCACTCCAAGGATAGTTTCTAAGTCTACTCTCTTACAAAGAAATCAATAAGGAAACAAAAAATTTTCAGCTACAAAGTGAGGCAGTCCCAAAAGATTTTAGGTTTGAATTTTATCTTACCCCATTGAATGCAAAATTGGTACTAAATTAAAAAACCTGAGAAGCATGAATAGACTATTTTAACATGATGTTAAGGATTAAACGACTGAATAATTCAAGCCAAATTACTATGTTAGAGTCTTACTTCTCCTTTAAAAGGACTGGAGGCAGAGCAACCTACATCAACATACAGACCTACAGCAAAAACAAAGAACAAAAAAATACAAACTTTTACCCCATCTAAGGCAAAGCAATGCATTTCTGCATTAAACAAATTTAACAAGGATAGACAACAACTAAAATCATGTAAAAATAAAAACAAACTTTTCCATTTGAATAATGTGAAACATCAGGAATGTGATGGGAGTTTGGTTAGTTGCAATTTTCTGGATGGTAAAATAAACAAAAAGCTGGTAAAGTTCTTTAATGATAGGTTAGTGTGCTTGTACTCTTTCAGCTTTAAAGCAAAGAGTGGAAGCCCATTGCTATCTAGCATGTCTGGAGTGTTGACCTTTAAAATCAAATTATTTAGGCTGGGTGCGGTGGCTCACAGCTGTAATCCCAGTACTTTCGGAGGCCGAGGTGGGATGATCACTTGAGCCCAGGAGTTTGAGACCAGCCTGGGCAACACAGTGAGACCCCATCTCTATTTGTTTTTAATTATTTTTAAAATTAAAAAAAAATCAATTTTTTTGGCTGGCGGTCTGTTTACAAACCATACCTCCATCATATCTTACCACCCTTCACTTAAATTTATTTCTCTTTGGTTCCATAATTATAGTTCAGTCAATCCCTTTCCTAAAAGCAAGGTAAGGGAGGAGGTAAAGGGGATTTTTATTTACCTTCCTTTTCTATTTTTAAAAGCATATGAAACTTGAGGAAGATCCTACTACTGTTGTTGTTTTTATTATTTCCATGTTCACATAGATCTTTCCTATAGTGGATCCTTTTGGGGATATACAAATCCTTCATCTTGGCCCCTCACAACCAGAATGTGACTCCTCCAACACATCTCTGTACCTTTGGACATGAATATGCTTTTTGTTCCCCTCTGCTTGAACTGCCCTGAGCCCCCTCCTCCACCCCTCTCCAACCCCATTGCCTCCTCCTGTCATACATGATTCCGGCTCAAAGGTAAGCCCTTGGTGAAAAACCTCTCCCTCAGCAGTGATATCAGCCCCCGGCATGGAATCATAATCATCTGTCTAGGGCAGTCTCCAGCACTGGTCCACTCATCTCCAAAACAGGTATGCACATCCAAGGACCAAGCAAGGGTCATTCATTGAGCTATGGAATGAAATTATTAAACTGTTTTTTCATAAGAATGTTTTAATCTAATAAAGTAGAAAATAACTTGAGACTTAATCTGGTCTCTATCTCAGTTCTCTATGACAGTCTAGTACAGGAGGTATCTTTCAGAAAGACTAGGAGTTACATAATGTTAGCGTGGACATGATTTATTTACAGAGTACAACCATGTACTTGTAGTTCTGAAGGTCCGTTCAAGTGGAATTACAGGTTATATTGGCTACTTACAGTGAAATGAGCCTTCCCAAATGACAAGTGTTCTAAAACCATTACAGAAACTAGAGATTGCACATATTATTAATGCAAGCACCAAAGAAGAGTAAGAAAACAGTAGACTTAACATCGCTTATTTCTACTGGTTCTTCCTTAACCACTTTACTAGAGAAAAGTAGTAATATTCAGTTCAATCTGACATGAAACAATCTCCCCAAATTCAAAATTTGAAAATATTTGAAAAACGGATTTGCAACTACTGTCATAGATAGTAAACATTATCCTGAGTGGCTTGAGACTTTCATTGATGATAGTATGATTCCACTGCCATTAGCAACACCTTAAATATTTTATCCTTATTTAATTGCTATTTTATGTATGTTTTATAATATGTACTTATTTATTTTATATAAAATGTATGGCCAATTTACACATTGAGGGTGCATCAGAAAACTTTTTATGGGATATGTCATCACAAACCATTGAAAATTGCTGAACTAAACTATTTCTTATCTCAGTCTTATCTGAATTCCCAGTCCTTCATTAATGCATTCATGCATTCAAGAACTACTCAAAACCTACTATGTGCTACATATTAGGAACCTAAAATAGTAAATATAAACAGGGTCCTTGCTATCGTGGCACTTACAAGATATGTCTATGGTGGTAATCAAATAATCATCCAAGATTCCATAATTAAAAACTGAATA
The DNA here is from genome assembly GCF_000001405.40 of Homo sapiens. NCBI lineage: Eukaryota > Metazoa > Chordata > Mammalia > Primates > Hominidae > Homo > Homo sapiens. The sequence goes on from NC_000002.12 coordinate 157,802,046, forward strand.
AGAGTTGGGAAGAAACATAGTTAAAATAACTGTGTTAACAAAACAACTTGAGACTTTCTGGAGGGTGCAGAGGTTCCCTGGGGAGGTAACATCTGAAAAGAATCAGGAATCAGAAGGATGAGTAGAGGTACTAGGAAAAGGGTAAGTGTGTTGGGAGGTGTGGTGGGAGAGGGTGAATACAGGACACAGATAGGGTAATATTTAAGGGAAAAGGCACTTCTATTGAGGTGCCTGTGGCCAGAGCAAGCATGGTGTGTCCTGAGGACTTAGGGCAAACCTCAGGATTGAAAAAACGCAAGAATGGCCAGGACACAAAGGGTCTGGAAGAGTCACAAAGAGTCGGCGAATACCCAAGAAGGCTAGAGAGGAAGGCAAAGGTCAGAACGGAGGTAAGGCACTCTAGGCACTCTACTCACCTATCTTCATTGCCCCCTTGGCTCTCACCATCATTCCATAGTTCCTCAGTCCCCACTACCCATTATTATCACCCCCACCAGCCACTTTCTGTCTATCTCTGGACATCTGTACGTGATGCTCCCTATGATTGGGCCCTTCTTTCAGGGCCCAACCTACTGAATTCCTACTCATCCCGTAAGTCTCAATGGCTTCTCTAAAGGCTACCACCTTCTAGAAGCCTGTCTAAACCCTTAAGTACTCTCTGCTCATTCTCATAGATCACTTTAAGTTTCACTCATACAAATCATCCTAATTAATAATTATGTATTCATAACTGTGTGTGCTTTTGAACATCTGTCTCTGTCACTAGACTGTGAATTCCACGGGAGGAAAATCTATAGTCTATCTTGTTCATCACTGCCAGAGCCAAGTAGGTGCACATTTAATAACAGTTTAATTAGAATTTTTCCTGAATTAATCAACTCAATTTAAGTTTAAATTCTAAAGAATTAGTAGCATCCCTTCCCCACCATGCACACAGACACACACAGAGAGACCTGCAAAGGAATGGCAAGATTAAGAGATTTATCATCTCTATAACTTTAATCTGTAGAATTTAGCTCAAGTAATAGTAAAAGTCAACAGTTAACAAGCTTCAAATCAAGACTCCTTTTACTATTAAAAAAAAAAATCTAAGAAACAATCACCACTGGCATATTTTCCACGTCACAAAGCCAGCAAAAGCCCACGTCCCAAATACCTATTAACAGATTATCATTGTGCGAACAAAATTAAAACAATAATTTAGGCTCATAAATAGAAGACAGAAAAAGAATTATAAATTCAGACCCTCAAACAGTAGGGACTAATTCCGTCTCTAGTGTTTAAAGACAGCTCAAAATCTGCCAAAAATCTTTGGGAAAAAAGTCAACTTACTGGTTGCCATTTTGTTCAGGGTCTGCAGTGCTTATCCTGACCAGTAAACTCAGCTATTAAAAACAGCACCCCCAAAAGGAAAGAAAAAAAGAATGTGGAAAGGGGAATGTTCTGGTATTTCCTGACCATATTTCAATTATAAGAAACATCAATACGCTAAAATCTCAACCCGAAGTCCCAAGGATCTATTTTTAATTTTAAAATATACTAAAAAGAAAATTGCATTTTTAAAAGTAAAATTTCAACTCTCCTGCTCTCAAATATTTTTGGCTAAGGAGCGTTCATATGTAAGTTGGCAAGAAAGAGAAACTAGTAGTGGAAAATGGGAGTGGCAATAATTCAATAGTTCTGGGATTGCCTTACTCCAGTATTTTTTAAATGTTTTTGGTCTCAGAATCTCTTTAAACTCTTGAAAATTACTGAGAAGCGTGTGTATGTAGGCTACATCTCTTGATATTTACAGTGTTAAAAATTTAAACAGAATTTTTAAAATATTATATTCATAATAAAATAACAATAACATACTACCTTATTTTTTTTTTATTTTAAAAGAGCTATGATGTATTTTTAAAAAACATGTTATGAGAAAAGTGGCATTGTTTTCCTGCTTTTTAGAAAATCTCTGTTCAATAAAACACAGCTGGATTCTCATATATGATCTACATTCATTCTGTTACAACATGTACTGGCTGAACTATATATAGAAAATCCAGTATCACACATATCATTGGAAGAAGGAGGACCTTGTGAAACCCCTGAGAAAGTCTCAGGCGCCTTTGGAGTTCTTGGACAACACTTCAAGTAACTGCCTTAGTCCTTAAATGCTCAGTCTTTGTACTATATCAGATAACCAGATGGTACCAGATATTTTAGACTGAGCACTTAGCGGATACCTGACAAAAATGACACTGTTCTACAGTTTTAGAAATTTCATTAACCTCTCTAACATCACAGACGTCAACAAGTCCAACAGTCAAGGAAGAAAGCTTTAATTTTTTTTAATGTTGGAATAATATTTTATGAATACAGCTAAATATTTTTGAAATGGGATATAAACTTGTATGAAGGTAGTCATAGCTGCATATCTTGCTTGGGTTCAACTAAATCCTTGTGCAAGGCTGTAATGCCAAAATCTCTAACTGAAAAATCACAGGCTACTGGGGACTGCAAAATATTATCTGAAGGGTTCAGAGTATGAATCCGTGCCTCTCGTGTACGCACATCTCCCTTCTGTTCTTGGATAAGACCGTCTATCCCTGGTAACTGATTTTAGTATGTCAGACACAAGAAAAATCGCTATTCAGAAAATGGTTAGAGACCTCCTGCCTTAACTAAGGTACCCTCTTTAAATCAATACTGTTTCTTACAATGTCTCAGGCCTACTTTCTTAGAAGACAGAACATTCCCATGATATTCTACTAAAAACAGACACATCACCAGGGTAGTACAAAACGACTTTCCAAATCCCATGTTACTTTTCAAATTCCACTTAAAGATCAGACTGTATGTAGTTAAGAAGCTAGCGCTTAGCTCAATTTCTAATGTATGTGGGCTTGAAACCAAGTTTGGCACTTTTTTTGCTCATCACAATTTTACAGCTAGATAAAGCCACAGATACCCCACAATGTACTACCCAAAATTTTACTGTGGTATTGGTCACAGAATAACTGAGAATATAATACACTTCTATATGCAACTTTCAGAACCCATATCAGGCAATCTAAGTGCTAATCTATAATACAGCATGTTTCTGAAAACTAGACTTATGGGTAGCATACAGTTAACTATAATATTGAGGATGAGGGGAAAGTTGTAAGATGAACTCTAAAATTCTTTCCCATTGGAAAATTTGACAAAATGTTCATTTATCTTGCCTGATGGCCTAAACTCATTCTTCAACACATACTTTAGTGAGTACCTTCATTCAATAAGGACATTCCTGATACTCTTCTCAATTCAATTTCTAACAATCTGTGAATTAGAAAGAATCTTGGAAGACAGGTCATACAATCACCCACCCCTATTTTGAATGACTTTTACATCATCCACGTGAAGACACTTTCTAACCTACGCTTGCTCACCATTGGTAAGGGCTCTCACTATGATTCCATCACAGTTTTTTTCTTTATATATCTTTAGGCATTCTGTACTATGCCTTCCATAAGGAAAAAATAATAATTCTCTTTAATATAAAAGGCAGAGGCAATGTGGAAAAATAATTTATGGAATCCTGCTTTTTCTTAGTCTTCTGGGAAGGTAGAAGAAACTTGCCTAAGGACACAGGTCAAACCGCAAACCACCAGATCAGAACATTCAGGTCTTAACCCACCACCACTCTACACAACTTTCACTTAACTAGCTAGCCACAGTTTAGCAATCTTGTTCTGTCATCCTTAACAGTTTTTTGTTTGTTTGTTTGTTTGGGTTTTTTTTTTCTTTTTTCTTTTTTTTTTTTTTTTTTTTTGAGACGAGGTCTTGCTCTGTGGCCCAGGCTGGAGTGCAGTGGGATAACCTCAGCTTACTGCAGCCTCAACCTCCTCGGCTCAAATGATCCTGCTGCCTCAGCCCCTCAAGTAGTGGGGACTACAGGCACATGCCACCATGTCTGACTAATTATTTTTGTATTTTTTGGTAGAGGTGGGGTTTCACCATGTTTCTCAGTCTGGTCTCGAACTCCTGGGCTTAATCAATCCCCCTGCCTCGGCCTCCCAAAGTGCTGGGATTACAGGTGGGAGCTACCATGCTCCGCCATCCTTAACATTTTATTCAAGCCTCAATTCTTCTGAACTTCAACTGAAAATCTTTATTTTCCTCTTAAAGAACAACCTTTACTCATGGTTATTTAATACACCATTCAATCATGCCTTCTTTCCATTTCCCTAACCTTAAACAATTTCATATTACTCTGTGACCCCCAATCATCTCCTCCCTCCCACTGCCCCCAGAAAAGATGTTGATATCATAGAAAAAAACAAGCCTCTTTGATAGTGCATCAGTGGTTTCTAGCCCCCATCCTCCATCCCTACTCTTCAGTTCTCTTGTAAACTCACCCCTCAAAATAAAAACGGAAATTAGTGTAAGGCATATTTAGGGGCAAAGTTAGGCCCAGCAAGGGAAATTGTAGACATGAAACTTTGAAGGAAAATAGACTTACATCAACCACCACGAAGAGGGGCCAAAATCAGCCACTGTAACTGATTAGATAATACAAGAACAGTCATATCTCTTCTATGCTCAAAAGGCAATGAGCTAACCCAAAGGCAGCTTGTGCCAAACTACCTGGGCCTTTGGGAGGAGTGAAATGAGACATGGGCTGTCAGTAATAGCTGCAAAGAAAGGTTAAACCGAAGCTATCATACCATGTAAGTTAAGTCAGGGTCTTTTCTACGGTTCAAAAATGACCTGTTAAATATTTTTAACACCACACTCTGTCGGAACTGGCAATGTGCAAATTGCCAAGGCTTGGTTTTATATAGACTTCACTGCTGCTGGAGGGTTTCTGGCGGGGTGTTACTTTCAGAATATTAGCATGTAATTTGATCTTTCATGATAGATGAATACAAATAGCTTCTTGGACAAGTCCTATAGAACTGAAAACCAGGCCCTGGATCCGTTTATCCTGTAGTTAGAGGAAATAATTATGGATTATTTCAGGAAAGAATGGGTTTTGACTGAGTTACACTATAAACATTCCAGCTGTAACAGATGGACCCTAGATATGGTTTGGGAAGGAAGGGAAGCAAACAATATGATCTGTAAAATGAAAAAAGATGAAAAAAAGATAAGGCTTAATGTGAAAGGAAGTGAAAGGTCTAGCTTAGGCTACTATGTAAGAATCAAAGGCTCCCCAGTAAATTTATTTTAACTGTACACAGAATGAAATTGACTTTGTTACACCCCTTCCAGATATACACAGAATACCTACACTAAATTTCTGAGAATCCAGTGTTTTGATCACTTGCTGCGTGCCTTACTCGTACCTCAAAACTAGGTGTTATTTCACCAGGCTTGACTATATGGAGACTGTCCCTCGTTTTCCACTTCATTCCTTTGTTTCAAATAGCCACGGTCCACCTGCTTTGTTTCAACTGCTAGGACTCCATCATCTCCCTGCTATTTTGCTACATTCTCCAACGCAGCTCACAGCTCACTCCCTATCCCTTGTTTGCAAACTGTGACTGGACCATTTTTTTTTTTTTACCTATTGGTAGGAAAAGCCCCATTATCCCTTCCCATAAAGCTCTTCTAGATATGTAATTCTGAAGTTCATTTCAAATCCCGCTTCTTCCCAAAGTCCTCAGGTAGACACTGTCTCAGTCCTCTGTCTCATTTCTAGCTGTGCCTGACCTGACGTTTCCCCTCTAACCTAACAGTGCAGACCTTTCTTTCCCTCCCATGACTTACAGTGTTAGAAGCACTGCTCATCTGACACAGCTGTCCCAATTCTCAGGCTAATGTGATTAATCTATAATAATTTGGGGGGGGGGGTGGGTATAAGATGAAAGGAATGTCAAGGCCAGAGAGGTACATTTCTCTCTTTCTCTCTCTCTCTCTCTCCCTCTCTCTCTCTGTCTTTACTGAGAGACACTGGAGCACTTTTCTGTGGTAGTGAGAAACACCACCCTTTATACACTGGCCTAACCAAAGCCTTCCGTCTCACTCCCACACTCCAAGCCCATTCCTGTCTCAGACCTTCTCACCCACCCCCATAAACTATATTATCCCACCATATCTTCTTCTTAGCACTTAACAACTAGGTGAGATTTGTCACTTACTTACTAGTTTAAAATAAAATAAATAAATTTTTTATTGTGTTTCTCCCTCTTCCACACACCAAAATGTAAGCAACATGAGAGTAAGAACTCTGCCTGGCTCATGGCTACATACTCATGCTTGGCACCTACCAGGTGCACAATATAAATTAAAACATATTCATTTTAACATCTTAGCCTTGGCTACACTTTGGTGTGGAGAGAGGAAGGTGAAGTTTAAGTTTTATATAGCCTAGCAAGGAAATGGGGGGCAGGGGTGGGTTTGTATGTCCCCAGTTTAATATAGTAGCAAGCAGATATTTGAGATAAATTAAAAGATATCATTTGTAACTTGGATTCCAGTTTTCAAGGGTGTCATCCAAGAGAGGCAGCCAAACAAAAAGACGGCTGGCAGACCTTGGGTGTACCAGACAACTCCCTGGTGGACAATATCCCAGTTGGAAGGGATTGCTTGGATCTCTAGTTGCAGACACCAGCTGATAGGCCCAGAGCCATCCCTAATGACCTCTGAGACAGCGTCTGTCTCTTGAATATACATCTCCTACAAGTCAGAAATTGACATATTATCTCCCCTGAAGGCTTCTAACATTTATTGACGCTATTTGGAAAGCCATGCTTCCATGCCTATTAATAACCTTCAGAGAGAACCCCAAGGAAGTGTCAGGAGAAAAATAGATCCGGCTGATGGAAGCCAAAGACTTGACCAGAGGTAACAGTCAGTAATACATTTAAAAAAAAAAAAAAAAACAGAAAGTAGTAACATTTCTGAATTAGATGTTATCTTTTCAGGAGGCTTCAAACAAAATACTTAGCCAATGAATTACAGCAATGTGAGGCAAGAACCCTGGTCTTTACAAAAAGGAACTCTTGAAAGACCCCTTATCTATTTAAATAGACCAGCAGCAGCAACTAACTTTATCTGCACATCAATTTATTCCAAGGAATTTTGCCTACACGGCTGTTATCATTAAACCTTTCATAGTTATTTTTACAGTTATTTAAACTTTGTAAAGTTTCTCCAAGTCACACATTAAATAGCAACCAGATCAACCTACTCTAAATAATGGAATCACTAATTAACATTAACCTTGGAAAAGAATTCTCTTAGTGGTCTGTCTCCTCTCCCCTCCCCCGAATAGAATGTGATTAATGGAATTCTCTCACAATTTAGCTTGAAATATGCTTTTGCCAGTCAAGCAGCTAAAGCAGAATCAGATAATTGTGGTATGACTCAACAAACACACAGCTGTTCATTTAAATATATCCATCAAAAGTATAAATATGATCATGAGAAAGAAAACGAGCCATGTACCAGGGTCAGTGCACAAGTTGAATGGGTTAGCATCCAAGTAACCACAACAGAAAACAAGGAGGAGACAGGGAGAGGAGGCAGGGAGAGGTTCTGGATGGATACCGGGTGGAGAGAGACTGGAGAACGGATATAACCAAAAAACCACCCACTCGACCAGAAACACTCACTGACCTAAATAAGAAAACAATGTTAAAAGTAAAAATAAATGCACTCTATGAAGTAGGGAGAAAGAATGAAATCTTAAAAATAGGTGATGCGCCCAAGAACACAAAGGTAGAAAGCCGATAGAGTAGAAAATTATGAATTTGATCTGTTATTAAAAATAAAATGCAGTCAGGCACAGTGGTTCATGCTTGTAATCCCAGCACTTTGGGAGGCTGAGGCAGGAGGATCACTTGAGCCCAGGATCTCAAGACCAGCATGGGCAACACAGTGAGACCCCATCTCTACAAAAAATAAAGAAAATTGGCCAAGCGTGTTGGTGTGGGCCTGTAGTCCCAGCTGCTCTGGAGGCTGGGACGACAAGATTACTTGAGCCCAGGAGTTCAAGGTTACACTGAGCTATGATCATGCCACTGTACTCCAGACTAGGTGACACAGTGAGACCCTATCTCTAAAAAATATGTAAAATTAAAACTAAAAATAAAACAAAGACCCCAAGGCAGTGGAAAAGAGGAGAATAGTATTCTCACCTCAGTCCTTGTCCACAACCTTCAAACACTGTGATTATGAAATCATTGTGGAAACGTGGGAATCCTTCCAATAGTCCAAAAGTATAATGACTGAAAAACACCACTCTGTACCAGGCAATCCCTTAAGGAGGTTCTACATATACAAGACTGCCATTTAACATGAGGCAAGGAAATGGAGAAAGAGAAAACTGTAAGAACATGATGGGGGACAGGTGGCAGGGAGGGGTCCCTGTATCCAGTGTGCCAGGCCCCATTCCTTCCTTCTTTCTCAAGGATGGGCCAGAAAGGCCCAATAAGAACTTGAGAAGGAAAGGCACTGAGAAGGCTTTGAGGCCTCTCCTCCCTTAATATGTAATTCAAAATGCTAACAAGTGAAAGAAACATCTAATCCATGATGAACATTTCCAAGCTTTCCCTGAACCATCAAAAATCTCTCTTTCCAAAAAATAATCTCTCTGGCAGTGGGGGGCCTAAGCACATGTGTAGCCAAACTACTCAGTTATCCTGCACTGAAAACCACCCACATCCTTCCCATTTATAGGCAATCTCTCTTACATCATCATAAGCAACAATTTCAACTACCACCACCTCCTCAGCCCCAAGGTCTCCAATATCCACCCTCTTCATCCTTTCACCGAACACTTTCTAGAACAGCAACTACACAGGCTTCCTCCATGTCCCCCATCCAGTCTTCAGTCCACAGTGTTCTGCCTTAGTCAATCCAGTGAAATACCCCTTGTTAAGGTTCTACGTCGTTTTAGTCTTACCTTATCCTTCAGGTTCACAAGGGAGCTTCCTCAAAATATGGATTCCCAAGCCTCACCCCCTAGAGATTTTGATCTGTGACGAGGCCTAGGAATCCCCCACCCTCCAGCAAATCGGGTGATGCTGAGAATGACAAGGAGGTCTCACTCACTGATTATGTAGGATGTGGTGTTGTGACCACCTTCTTCCCTTGGCTTCCTCCCTAGCTGGGATTTGTGGGCTGCACTCTCAGGTATCTTTACTTTTAATGCTTTGATCCTTCTCAGTTTCCTTGCATAGAAGCTTCCTCTTCTGTCACTCATGCCTTAAATCTTGGTTTAGGCCCCACAGCTCAGCCTTTTCTTTTCACTCAAGATGTTACTCGTTTTCTTAGACTCGGGAACCACTGTAGGCCACCAGGCTGGACCACCAGGTTGAGAATGAAATCACCCATTCTTTAGTCATTTCCCCACTCCCTGTCTATTCTTTCCTTATTACCCTCCTCCCCATATGTTCTTTTCTTTTCACTGTTTATAAAATTAATATTTAAATTTTTTATTACAGATAGTTCAAGTTACATAGAAACAGAAAGCGTAATATGCCTTCTTTTAAAATCTTCTAGTTTCAAAAATAAGCAACATTCTACCCCCAGTTTCAAAAATAAGCAGCCTTATTTCCTCCATTCCCATTTTCTTCCTGAGGTATTTTAATGAGAATCACAGATGTCATATCATTTCACCCACAAATTCTCTGACAGATAAGGACTTTTTCTAAACATAACTAAAACCCAACATCTCACCCAACAAAGTTAAAATTATTCCTCCTTCAAATATCATCTAAGAGCTAATCAGTGTTAAATCTGCCCAATTTTCAACAACTAAAACACCCTCCAACAACAACAACAACAACAAAAAGAAGGAGAATGGAAATAGAATACAAAAAAGAAATTGTTTTCAGTTTTCATAACTAGCAGTATAGTGTTAGCATTGTGGCACTTCTGAGAATACTGTGTGTATAATGTGGAAGAAAGCAAATAAGTACCTATGAAGTATTCTATCACCCCGTTGTGTTTGAGGACTAGAATTTTGTGTCAAATAAAGGAGATAAAGATGTTATATAGAAAAGGTTAAGTTAAAACCTTATAAACTGAATTTGAATCACAAAGTATCAGAATGAACTCATGAAGTATTTTATAAATATTTAATTCCTGGTTCGGTCCACTAAACGGGCCTAGAAATAAGGACCCACTCAGTAGCAGTGAGCATCCCTGGTGCCCAGATTGTGGTGTTAATATAACATATGCCACTAAAAGAAAAACAAATTGAATTGAACCATGTGGATGCAATCACCAAAATCTAGCAAGAAAGAAGCTGGAGGTCAAATGGCCAGGTTCTTCAACAGAGAAACTGTAAGGGAAAGAAAGGGCTGGAGGGGGAAACCCCAGGTTTAAGAGACTTACAAAACATAAAGAGATAATACGAGACCAATCTGTAGGTCTGAACACCTGGTTGATGGACCCATTAAAAAAAAGGCAAGGAGGCAATTACTATAGTGTATATACTACATAATATACTATTTCTTGGCCTGCATGGTGATCACAAAAAAAATTCACCTTGTAATTAACTAAACTATGTATGCTTCTTTTCGTGTTTTATTTTACATTAAAAAAGGTAAAAAGGAAAGGACAAAAGCTGAATACATGTTGTTACAAATATATACACACATACACATACACTAAGCAAGTAACAAGCACTGTGCATCATATATACGCAAACAATTAGCCCAGGTTGGTACATTACAAATAAGTTTGTGCAATACACTTCTGAAATATCAACTCTTCCTTATCTTCAAACTGAAGAAATTGTTTTTACAAGTTCCAAGTTTATTTTTAATAGAATAGCAAAATAAGTATGTTTCCTGGTCATAATCAGAAATCATGTATTAAAATAAAATTAACACATCATATAAAGTGGTCCTTCCTCCCACGTACTTCAATAAGTGTCATGGGTCAAAGGATATAGAAAGTCTAGGGTTCAGATCAGTGTTTTTCAAAGGAATTGTGCAACACTATTGTCAAATAAGAAAAATGAACATCATAAAGAGTGAACCTTCACTAATGAAGTCTATACATTTAACAAAATCCCAAAAATAATAGGTTTTCTTCATGGGGGGAGAGGGTGGTAACTGGGTATGATTCTTTTAAAGTTCCTATTTTTAAAACACAAACACACACACACAAGTAATAAAATTCTGTGAAATGGACTTAAAATGGGGAGACTTACCCCATGAAAAAGAAAAAAAAAAACTAAGCCTCAAAAGTTAAAACAATGCGATTCTGCTGCATGAATAGGCAGACAGATTAATGAAACTAAACGGTTATCCCAGAAATAGACCAAAATCTATATGGGAATTTATACTATAAAAGAAACCAAAGGAGAAAAGTTGGGACTGTTCAGTAAAATTGGAATGACTAGCCAATATGGCAGAGACTGCTAATTTTCCACTAAAATCCCTTCTTTCCTTCTTCTTGGGTACAAGGCGGCCAACACAGACTTCACTTTTCAGTCTGCATTGCGGCTAGATGTACCCATATAATGAAGTTCTCATCACTATAGTTTTCATCTGTAGTGATGTCTGCCGTTTCTGATCACTAGCCCTGGACTTTCTTCTTTGCCCTTCCCATGGAGAGGACCCAGATACAGCAGCAACTCAGATATGACCATGCAGATAATCACAGCAACAATTACTAGAACCACAGGACAGAAGGAACTCAAGCCTCTGAATGATCAGTGGATGTGGGAGGTTCTGCTGACCTGTTTTGCTTACACAGGGACTGTTAAGTGAAGAAAAAATAAACTTTTGTGTTCTTTGAACCATAGCATATTTCAGTCCCTTGGTTACAGCAATTCAACCTAACCCTAATTAATACAGCATCTAGAGAAAAATTCATTTGAATTCATACCTAATATTTCAGATGGATCAAAGACTTCAATCTAAAAAAACCCCACATGACATTAGAATGAACCAGGAGATAGTAAGTTTTTAAATCTAAAAATGAAAGGTCTTTTAACTACGATACTAGGATGTTGATCATTTCCTCCAATGTAAGTAAGAATGTAACTTCCGCTGTGGAGCAAGAATTAGGGTCTGTTTTTTACATTACTGTATAGCCTGGTGCTTAGAACAAGTTCTCATACACAAGAGGCATTCAATAAATAATTGTTGCTTGAATAAATTGGTGATTTTAACTATATAAAATTTGTAATAACCTGCACAACAAAGTAATAATTATTTCTATACAAATGGCCAACGGAGAAAAATATAAATAGCACATATCACAAGGATAAAAAGGGGGGACCAATAATTTTGATGTCATATTTTGATAATAAAAATCATAACCAAACAGCAAAATAGACAACGAACACAAGCATAGAAAGATAACTAGAAATAAAAGTGGCTTTTAAACTTATGAAAAGATGCTCAATCTCAATCAAACTAAGAAAAATGCAAATTAAAGCACATTAAACTGCCATTTTTTACCTATTGCTTTGGCAAATAAATAAAATAATCACTTGGGAGTCATACTTGACAGGCAAGGGCATGAGAAAACTGTTCTCACCCATCGTTGTTAAATCTAAAATCTGTCAAGGTCTATAAACAGAGCAACTTGGCAATAAATTTCTACCAAAATTATAATGTGTATAACCTTTGACCCAGCAATTCTACTAGAAATGGATCCCATAGATACACTCACACGTTTGAAATGATGTATATTCAAAGTTATTCCCTATAGCTTTGTTCACGATAATAAAAACTGGAAATGATCTATATACCCATCAATATTGTTAAGTAAATGACAGCACATCTCTACAATGGAATACCAGGTATTTACTAAAAATGAATGCGCCCGACACGGTGGGTCACACCTGTAATCCCAGCACTTTGGGAGGCCGAGGTGGGTGGACCACCTGAGGTCAGGAGATCGTGACCATCCTGGCTAACACGGTGAAACCCTGTCTCTACTGAAAATACAAAAAATTAGCAGGGCGTGGTGGCGGGCACCTGTAGGTAGTCCCAGCTAATTGGGAGGCTGAGGCAGGAGAATGTCGTGAACCCAGGAGGCAGAGCTTGCAGTGAGCCAAGATGGCGCCACTGCACTCCAGCCTGGGCAACAGAGCAAGACTCCGTCTCAAAAAAATAAATAAATAAAAAGAATGCAGCGCTACTATGGAAGAACTTCCAAGAAATATTATTTCAATAAGAAAACGTATAAAACCGTGGATACTGTTACCATGTGTGTAAAAGAAAAATTGTAATATATGCATGTATATTATATGCATGTATATTATATATACTCTGAAATCACTGAAAGAATACACAAGAAAATGGTAATACAGTGGCTGTTTCTAGAAGGGCCACTGGGTACTTGGGAGACAGAAAAGGGAGACTTAGTTTTCACTCTACACTCTTTTGTGCCTTTTTAATCTTGTATACATTAATTACATTACCTTTCTAAAAATAAATACTTTATAAAATAAGAAAAATACAAATATTCATTGCCAACACCAGATACCGGAAAACTTCTCTGGTGACTCTCACTGTTAACCACATTAGGAAACTACTGAGCTGAACAATTTTAACCCTGTTTCATAATTAAGAATCACAGGGGTAGCAATTAACTACAGCCATCATCTCCTTCTCCCTCAAATAAACATATACACAAAATAAAGTCTGTCTCCTAATTCCATTTCTGTTATTCATTACTTCCTCTTAAAACTAATTCAACCTCACACCACCTTAAATGGGCATAGAAGTGTCTCAAAATGCTCAAAGGATGGTAGCCAGAACTAACAACTATGCTAATATATTAACAGCCTCCAAAAAATAAAAATTTCACAAAACTGACACCTTGGCAGCAGCCCCAAGCCGTGCATCGTCTGCCTTGGAAAATAAAAACATACATCCTTAGTGACCAAAAGTCCAATGTCAACAGTCATGGCCTTGGTTTTGTCCCTAATGTGAAAGGTCTCCCGCCTACCCCCTTTAAATTATGAACTAACCTCTCACTTGAGGACTGGTGATTATTACAGTATAGCCATTTAAGGGACACTAGGCAGGCATTACTCACCCTGAGATTAAATTCTGCTTAAAAGGAAAAATATCCACAATATACCAAGTCAAGCCAAAAAGCAAGTTGTAAAATAGAATGTATGGTCATGTTCCACCAATTTTTAACATAATTAATATGCATATTTGTTTGTATATAAAAATATCTGTATAAGAAAAGGTTTGTAAATGGGAAAGTTTGTATTCCAAGATTTTAGCCAAAGGTGAAAGAGAGAAGGGAAGAACTTTTATCTCTATATATGGCTATACTTTATACTGTTTCGTATTATCTGAAATGAAATAATCAAAATTAACTTTTACATAAAATATAAAGCTATGGGGGGCTAAGGCAGAAGGAATACTTGAGGCCAGCAGTTCAACACCAGCCTGGGCAACATAGTGAGACTCTGTCTCCAAAAAAAAAAACAAACGACAAAAAAAAAAATAGCCAGGCGTGGTTGTGTACATCTATAGTCCTAGTTACTTGGGAGGCTGAGGCAGGAGGATCCCTTGAGCCCAGGAGTTTGAGGCTGCAGCGTGCCATGATTGCATCACTGCTCTCCAGCCTAGGCAACAGAGTGAGACCCTGCCTCAAAATAGTAATAATAATAATAATAATAATAAGGCTGTTTTATAATAATACATTGGACTTTCCTTTAAAAAGAATGCACCTAACAGCCACATCAGAGACTTTCCTCAAAAGCGTTAAATCTAAGGAGGCTGCACAGACCAACCCTGGCAGAATTTAATCCCCAATCCCTTGCTTCTGTCTCCACATACATGGTTCAAACCATATCTGAGCAACTCAAATGTTAAATTCAGAAAGACACACACATCAACATTTTGCACTTCAGGCTTCCCCTCACAAAACATCTTACTGACTCTATTCCAAGTAGGTATTCATATTACCCCCATAACTTATCATACTCTTAAAAGCATTTCATCCTGGATAGCGAGACATTTTTTTTTTTTTTGATACAAGGTCTTGTTCTGTTGCCCAGTCTGGGCTGCAGTGGTGCAATCACGGCTCATTGAAGCCTCAACTTCCCAGATTCAAGTAATCCATGTGCCTCAGCCTCTCAAGTAGCTGGGAATACACGAACCTGCCAACACACCTGGCTAATTTTTTTTTTCTTTTTTGTAGAGACGGAGTCTCACTATGTTTTCCAGGCTGGTCTCAAACTCCTGGGCATAACCAATCTTCCTACTTTGGCCTCCCAAAGCACTGGGATTAGAGGCATGAGCCACCATGCCTGGCTCAAGGCTTCTTTATGCTTTCAAAGCACTCCACGGGAAATGTATTATTAAAATGTAGTTCTGGAAAAGGTAAATGCAAGGACACAGCAAAAAGCCCAGTGATTGCCAAGGGCTAGTGGGGATGGGAAATGAATAGGTAGAACACGGAGATCTTTAGGGCACTGAAACTACTCTCTATAATATTATAATGGTAGATGCATGTCATTACTCATTTGTCCAAACCCACAGAATGTACAACACCAAGACTGAGCCTAATGTAAACTATTGCCTTTGGGTGATAATGATATGTCGAAGTAGGTTCATTGATTGTAGTACATGTACTACTCTGGTGTGGGATATTGACAGTAGGGGAGGTGTTGGGGAGATAGATGAGAACTCTTTCTATTTTCTGCTCAATTTTGCTGTGAACCTAAAACTGCTCTAAAAGAAATAAGGTCTATTTTAAAAGAAAAAATTAGGGCCGGGCACAGTGGCTCACACCTGTAATCCCATCACGTTGGGAGGCCAAGGCAGGTGGATCACAAGGTCAGGAGTTCGAGACCAGCCTGGCCAATATGGTGAAACCCCGTCTCTACTAATAATACAAAAAAAATTAGCTGGCTGTGGCGGCACACACCTGTAGTCCCAGCTACTCAAGAGGCTGAGGCAGGAGAATTGCGTGACCCTGGGAGGTGGAGGTTGCAGTGAACCGAGATCACACCACTGCACTCCAGCCTAGGTGACAGAACGAGACTCCGTCTCAAAAAAAAAAAAAACAAAAGAAAAGAAAAACTTAATGTAGTGGCCCTGTAAGGTGAAAAGGATGGCAGGGGCATTTTATAGGCAGGGAAACACTGGTAGTATTTATTTGAAAAACTTGGCCAAATTTAAAGAATAGCTGTGCAGATCCACCCAACAAAGCCTACTATGAAGGCAACGCCAGAACTAAGAACTATTAGGCTGGTCCTAACTTTCTTATATTGGATTCATATAAAAAAACAAAATAATCATTTGTGGCAAAGAATTTACCCTGTAGATTTGATCTCTGCCAAAGAGTATTAAAAGAAGTGATTTGTTGAAGTGGCTGCACTGCTGGTTCTGGCAATGCCGTTCTGAGAGCTCCTGGGTAAAGCTTACTCAGCTACCTTAATGCAGGCTCTTGGTCACATCTGCCCACAGTCCTTCAAGCCGCGTGCCCTCGTTCAGAGCTTCTCTCACTCTGGTCACTGGGGTACTCGGAGAGTAGAAGAGGCGTTCCTGGGATTATGAGTTCTCCAGCAGCTCTCACTTTGGCAGTGTGACGCTTACCAATGCTCCAGGCTGCAGAGGGAAAGAAGAAAGAAAACCAGCTAAGCAGAAGAAAATCCTGCAGTTGTGAATGTGGTGGCTAAAGGAAGTGCACATTTGGCACGCCTTTCAATTAGGACCACAAAACAAAGCTGATCTACAAGTGCAGCAAGTACAGAAAAGTTTGAAAACACTGATAGGAAGAGTGTGGAGGTTATGGATCTGTACTGGTCTTTAAATATTTTTCTAAACACAAAAACCAGTAAGATCGGCCGGGCGCGGTGGCTCACGCCTGTAATCCCAGCACTTTGGGAGGCCGAGGCGGGCGGATCACGAGGTCAGGAGATCGAGACCATCCCGGCTAAAACGGTGAAACCCCGTCTCTACTAAAAATACAAAAAATTAGCCGGGCGTAGTGGCGGGCGCCTGTAGTCCCAGCTACTTGGGAGGCTGAGGCAGGAGAATGGCGTGAACCCGGGAGGTGGAGCTTGCAGTGAGCCGAGATCCCGCCACTGCACTCCAGCCTGGGTGACAGAGCGAGACTCCGTCTCAAAAAAAAAAAAAAAAAAAAAAAAAACCAGTAAGATCTGCAGTCAGCACATTTCAAAATCAAGTTCTTTTAAAGCCTATACACTATGTACTCTAGCCCTTTCCTCTCTTTCCCTTGCCACACACAAAATCAAACAAAAATTTTGACCCTGCATGTACTATTGTGTGCATTTGAGGGAGGCGGATCATGAGGTCAGGAGTTCAAGACCAGTCTGGCCAATATAGTGAAACCCCGTCTGTACTAAAAATACAAAATTAGCTGGGTATGGTGGCGTATTCCTGTAATCCCAGCTAGTCGGGAGGCTGAAGCAGGAGAATCGCTTGAACCTGAGAGGCGGAGGTTACGGTGAGCCGAGATCACGGTGAGCCGAGATCACGCCATTCCACTCCAGCCTGGACAACAAGAGCGAAACTCTGTCTCAAAAAAAAAAAAAAAAAAAGTTTGAGCAGTACAAACTACAGAATGAAAAGTCTTTCTCCCGTTCCAAGATCCCTGGCCCCTCCTAGAGGCATCCAGTATACCAGAGTAACCAATTTCTTGTATATCCACTCAAATATATCTGATTTTGGTCTATTTTCAAGCAACAATTCTCTGGCATAGACAGATCTGGTTCAAAGGCTCATAAAACAATGGTGGGGAAGGAGTACAAAGCGGAAGGGAAGAGGAGGGGAGGCTCTAGATAACTAATAAAAAACAAAAACCCACCCAGGCCCCATTTTCCTTTAGGAAGACTTGAAAAACATCAACATTTGCCAAAGGAAGAGGAAATTTTTATTAGAACCAAACTTTCCCATTCAAATAGTTAAGTAACACAAAACACTGAAGAACTTACTGCCTTCAGAAAACAGCGCCTTTTTTTTTAACCTCAAGGAACATTTTGCCAAGAAAACCTTCACGTAAATAAATCTAACCAGAAAACAAGCCCCAAATGCAGCATTCTGCAATAATTATGGGGAAAAATCTTCCCATCCACCTTGGAATTCGAGGGAAATGTTTTACAGATACTATCAAACCGTTCCTCACTTCAGCTTAAATTGAGGCTCACAATCTATTTGAAAAGAAAATCTAGACACGTAAGGCACAGTAAGAATAAGACATGTAAAACTATCTTCCATAGGGAGGTCAACCAGAAATTTGTCTTTTTCAGCAATCACTTAGCAAAGTGAAAGAGCAAAAATGCATTTCTAAAGTGGGCATCCTTAAAAACAAACTCGCACCCGCAAACCCTTGAGTTTCAGAACAAACTGCTGAAATACTGGTATTTTCCAAGATGCTGGGGCCAGGGAAATCTGGCAGATTCACACTAAAGCTGCTTTCCCCTCTGCCAAAGTCTAACCGCATTTTAAGAGGAGGCCAGTGTTCAGCTGTCCTGCCTAGGGTCAACCATGTCTTTAAGTGAGAGTTACTGTACTGGTAGGAAGAGGTTTAGATAAGCCAGAAAATAAACACTGGTATATATTTTTCTGATTCTCTTTTTAAAAATCAGAGACTCTCTCTCTTTTTTTTTTTTTCTCATTATAAAGGTGCTACTAATTTGCCATCCAACATCCCAGCCCCATCATCTTCACTGCATGGAACTCCTTCTCATCCTTCAAGACAGTGTTTGGGTTCTCCTGCCTCTGTCCAGTCTTCTCTAAAGATTCTTATATTTCCCAGATCTTTCTAATTCCCCTGGTATTTATATTCTATATGACGAACAACCTAGCACTTAATTCTCTGCCATGCACTGGGTTTCTCGAAACCAATTCAAAACTAGGTAAAGATCACATATTATTCTTCACTGTTTGGCCCTCTTTCACGATACTTAGCATATACTTGGTACTCAAGAGTTAACTAGATAAAAATTAAATCTCCAAGTTAAATATAATTTAACATTTGTTTTAAAATTCATTGGACTCTCAAATAAACCATGGACTGAAATCAAAACTGTGGTGTACTATAAGAAAGACAAGGTTGGTAAAATGGGAAATAACGTGAACTGGATACTTAACTCTTCAAATGTTCTACTTGGCACCCATCTCCCCACAAATACCCTTCTATCAATAGGCAAGCTCGGCACACCTGAAAGGTAGCTAAAAACTGTTGTGTTCAAAATCCCAAGAGGGACTGAAAATATAAAAACCAACTCCCCAAAAAGATATACACACTAATTAAAATCAGTGCTATTGTTCAGGGGCTGTGGCTCATGCCTGTAATCCCAGCACTTTGAGAGGCCGAGGTGGGTGGACCACCTGAGGTCCAGAGTTCAAGACCAGCCTGGCTGACATGGTGAAACCCTGTCTCTACCAAAAATACAAAATTAGCCTGGCGTGGTGGCAGGCACCTGTAATCCTAGCTACTCGGGAGTCTGAGGCACGAGACTCGCTTGAACCCGGAAGGTGGAGGCTGCAGTGAGCCAAGATCAGCGCCACTGCACTCCAGCCTGGGGAACAGAGGGAGAATTTGTCTAAAAAAAATAAAAAATAAAAAAATAAAATAAAAAAATCAGTGCCATGAAATGAATATCTATATAGTAAACTCTAGCAAATTTTCAAAAACCATTCATTGAGCTGAGTTTTTTTCCAAAAATTTAGCCAACTTATTTGGCGATGGAGTTTCAATTCTTGGCAGCTAATCAAGCTGTGTAAAAGTCTGACCCTAAAGGGTCAAAGACACATTCCTGTGCAGGTGGTTGGAGGATGGCCATGAAGAAGGAGAAGGAAAATCCAATCAAATTTTCTAACTCTAATTTTGGGCATTTAACATTACAGTACAGTTTTCTTCAATCCAGTTTAAAAGAACATGCATAGTTTCTTAAAAGTTGTTGCAATATGATGGGACCTGAGTAACAGGCAAGCATAAAAAGCACTTAAAATCAAACAAGCTCTTGGCAGTCCACACAACAGCTAAGCAACAGGGGAAAAAAAAAATCAAGACAAGTTTTCTCAGCTCTTTAGTTACAATCATATCCTTGGCTTCTAGAAACTGTGGCTTCTAAACATTGAAAATCCTTACCCTTTCAAGAACCATTCCATACTCTCCCTGTCTGTTCACCCAGCCCATAAACCAAATAAATCAAGGTGTATCTTGCCGTGGAATTGCCATTAACCAGAACTACTTCAGAAAGCAGGATATGGTAGCAAGAACATGGACTTAGGAAGCAGCCAAACTCAGTTTTCCAACCTATTAAATGTGACCTCCGCAAATCATTTAACCCCTGAGTTTCAGTTTCCTTTTCCATGAAATGGGGTAAATACTCCCCATCTAGTTACTAATTATAGCAGCTATCATTTAGTGAGCTCTTAGTTCTATAACTGTGTTAACCACATTACTTGCATTGTCTGACCTAATCCTAACAATGAAATTGAGAGCTTATACTATTCCCAAATTATACATAAGAAAATGTGAATGACCATGAGAAATGGGAATTTCCAGGAATTTCTCCAGAATATATTCTTCTTAAAATACTTGCATTCTTTACTCATTATTTGGATATCCAAAAACATTGTTAAATGGGAACTATCACACTTAGTAGGATTTACAAAGAATTGTAGCATAGCAAATACTAAGATCCTGGAAAATGCTAGTGAACATTATTGGATGTTATGCCAGTAGCGGGCAAAATCCAGCCCACAGTCTGGATTTGTAAATAAAAGTTTTATTGCAACAGGCACACTTGTTCATTTTAAGTATAGTCTATGACTGCTTTCACACTGAAATGGTAGAACTGATAGTTGTAACAGAGTCCGTATGGCTTGCAAAACCGAAAATATTTACTACCTGGCCCTTTAGAAAGAGACTTTGTTGACCACTGCAATAACCTACATTCAGATCTACAAGCAAATTAACAGTACTACACAGATTCGTATGTTGAAGTCACCAATTTAAAGACTCAGTTTACTTCTAAAACTTATTTCTTGCAATACCAAGCGTAGGATATGTATACAGTATGCTATGCATATAAACTTATTTTATTTGCAAGGATGACACATCAATGGTAGTAGCAGATTGGGCCACAAAGACACATTTCTAACATGGCAACGGCGAGAAGAAATCATGACCCATTCTCTCCCACATGCTCCTATCCTGCACTGGCTCCAAAAAAGGTGGATCTTATCCTTCAACTCTGCAAGTCAGCTTTTCCTGTTCTTGCTTTCAACTTGACATCAGTGAATTCTTTCTACTGTCATTGTGTTGACTCATACAATTCTCACAGGAGGATTATAACACTTTTTCCCATTTACCTCATAAGTGATTTTTCTAGGGATTTGGAAAAACATATATATTTCCCAAGAAATCCTGAGAAGGAATTCTGTGACAGAAACACTGTTCTCTCCAGGTGTATATCTAGAGACAGAGTAGGAATCAAATATGTCAGACTTCTAGATAATGAAGAAAAAAAAGCCGGGGAACGAGGGCAGAGCATGAGGAAAAACAAAATCTCCAAGATGTTTTAAGGAAAAGATTCAGGTCTGCCTTACAGCCTAGAAAGACAACCAGGCCAAAGTGGAAATACAGTGAAGATGGGCTTTCCTAATGTTTTGGCCGAAATATTAGAGCACCTTTCTCCTCCAGAATTTAAAGTACAATTTGGCTAAGACAAAAGGGGCCCGCTATGGTTTACTTAATTACAGAGTGTAATTAAGTACCAGACTACACGTTTGAAGATAATCTGCCTACACTCCGTAACCTCGAAACCCTCAAGTGAAGTGGTTTGGTGGTCCATCAAAATCCCTTTCATCTGTCCAGCCAAAGATTCATTTACTCCTGCCAGAAATATAAAGTAAGGGAATCAAGGAGAAAACTTGAGGCAACAAAGGCAGTGAGTGGGCTACAGTAGCATAAAGAAGGTTCCATGCTTGAACCAACAGGTTCTGAGATGGGTCCCAGCCCTGGCCCATGTAATCTTTTCCTGCAAAACAGGCGTCATGACTCCCTTGCAGAGCTGCCACGTATGAAGTACATGGCACTCAGTGGATGCTAATAAATGGTAGCTAATGTTGTAAACTCAATATTTAAGGAGCAGCTATAAGAAGAGAAGTGACGATTACCAGGGTTGAATTATTAGGTTGAATCCTATGCAAAATTGCTGAGATTTGACCATTTTGACTCATCAAAATAGCAATTTAGGGCCAGGCACAGTGGCTTATGCCTGTAATCCCTGCACACTGGAAGGCCAAGATAGGAGGATTGCTTGAGCCCAGGAGTTGGAGACCAGCCTGGGGAATATGGCGAGACCCCATCTCTACAAAAAATTTAAAAATTAGCCTGGCATGGTGGTGCACACCTGTAGTCCCAGCTACTCAGGAGGCTGAGATGGGGGGACTGCTTCAGCCCAGGAGCTCGAGGCTACAGTGAGCCATGTTCATGCCACTGCACTCCAGCCTGGGCAACAGAGCAAGATCCTGTCAAAAAAGTAATAATAATAATAAGCAACTTTGAAATAAATATTACAAAGGGCTCCATAGGAAGCCTGAAAAGAGAACATGAAAGACTAATAGCCCAATACTCATTCTTCCACTGGTGGTGACTTAGAAAAAATCCAGACACCAAACAGGAAGGCTACAGACTAAAATAGAATACCCCCTTAAGTCAACTTCTCACCAGATATGAGGTGTGACTTCAGAGAAGATCAGATTCCACAAAAGACAGACACACATGCACTCCTCACTCATAAGTAACCCATGTCACTCACTCCTTTCTCTTTTTTTTTTTTGAGACAGAGTCTCACTCTCTCAACCAGGCTGGAGTGCAGTGGCACAATCTCCACTCACTGCAATCTCCACCTCCCAGGTTCAAGTGACTCTCCTGCCTCAGCCTCCTGAGTATCTGGGATTACAGGCGTATGCCACCACGCCTGGCTAATTTTTGGTGGAGATGGGGTTTTGCCATGTTGGCCAGGCTGGTCTCGAACTCCTGACCTCAAGTGATCTGCCCACCTCAGTCTCTCAAAGTGCTGAGATTACAGGAGTGAGAGATTACCACGCCCAGCCACTCCTTTCTCTCTCTCTTCTTTATTCCTGCTCTCTCCCTTTTCTATCCTTATTTCTTTCCCTATGCAAGGCCCACTGAAATCTTTGATTAACTAGTTTAGGAAGGAAATAAACACAGCCTTTCTGGTTAACTGATGTTACCAATTACACAGGAGGCCTTTCTATAAGCCTTTTAGAGCAGCTAGTAGCTCAATATAGACATCCAATGGATCCATCACACTTTCCCCCTATTTTTCTAATTCTCCTTCATTTTTTTCAAGTTCCATCAGCCTTTACCCAGTTAACAGGTCTGTGGTGGTTCCATGGAGTCAAATCAATTCCTGAGTGAGAAATGAGTTTCATGACAACTCATCAGGCCAGGGGTCCCCAACCCCCAGGCTGTGGACGGGTACTGGTCCATGGCCTGTTAGGAACCCGGCCGCACAGCAGAGGTAAGGGGCTGGCAAGTGAGCATTAGGCCTGAGCTCTGCCTCCTATCAGATCAGATCAGTGGCAGCATTAGATTCTCAGTGGAGCGAACCCTATTGTGAACTGCACATGTGGGGAATCTAGGTTGTACACTCCTTATGAGAATCTAACTAATGCCTGGTGATCTGATGTAAACAGTTTCATCCTGAAACCATACCTCTTCCTCCCCACTACTCCATCCGTAGAAAAAATGTCTTCCATGAAATCAGTCTGCTGTCCTGGGCTAACCCCAAGTAGCTTTAATCCAGCTATATGTACATCTCCAAATGGTTCTCAGCGAAGAATCAGAGCATCTTGAGTGAAGAGGGATTGAGAACAAGTGGAAGAGAAGAAAGAAGGAAATGGCCACTTCTTCCATTCCCCCAACACACGACTCCCTAAACAGAATCAGACTTCTCTGGTAATTAGATCGCCTTTCTGTCTGTTTGGCTCAGCTTTCACGTGTGTACACCCCATTGCAGCAGCACTCCAGCTCTCCTCATTACCATGAGACATCCGTGTTGTAACTGTTGCCTGGCAGGAATGTGGTAATCCTTGGTGATTATACTCACACATAAGACTATACAGGCTTTCATCAGCTCATGATCTCAGGCACTTTTACAAGAGTTCGCAAGACTGCCACCCACCAGGCCAGGACCAGATTTTCTGGTTTTCTAATGGAGTGTCTGGCATTTTGTTTCTCCTAGGCTGTACTATTTACCTTCACTAGACAGATATTTAGCAAAACTTCAACGAGGAGCCTCTTGAAAGTAGGAACTCTGTGTATTCAATGTGCTGCTATATCTCCAGTGCCTGGTCTAGCATCATGCCAAACTACTTAAATATTTGTGGCATGAATGAAGTTTAAAATTATAGAAAAAACAGGCTGAGCACAGTGGCTCATACCTATAATCCCAGCACTTTGGGAGGCCAAGGCAGGAGGATTATTTAAGCCCAAGAGTTCGAGACCAGCCTGGGCAATACTGTGAGACTTCATCTCCAAAAAATTAGCCAAGCATGGGTGGCACATACCTGTAGTCCCAGCTATTCATGAGGGCGAGGGGGGAAGGACTGCTTGAGCCTGGGAGGTGGAGGCTGCAGTGGGCTATGGTCACAGCACTGCATTACAGACTGGGCGACAGAGTAAGACCCTGTCAAAAAAAAAAAAAAAGAAACAAAAGAAAAGAAAGAAAAAGAGAGAGAAGGAAAGGAAAGGAAAGGAAAGGAAAGGAAAGGAAAGGAAAGGAAAGGAAAGGAAAGGAAAGGAAAGGAAAGGAAAGGAAAGGAAAGGAAAGGGAAAGGGAAAAGGAAAAGGAAAGGAAAGGGGAGAGGGGAGAGGGGAGAGGGGAAAAGGAAAAGAAGAAGGAAGGGAAAGGAAAGGAAAGGAAAGGAAAGGAGGAAGGTAGGAAAAGAAAGGAAGGAAGGAAGGGAAAGAAAGAAAGAGAGAAACAGAGAGAAAGAGAAAGAAAGAAAAA
The DNA here is from genome assembly GCF_000001405.40 of Homo sapiens. Taxonomy (NCBI): domain Eukaryota; kingdom Metazoa; phylum Chordata; class Mammalia; order Primates; family Hominidae; genus Homo; species Homo sapiens. The sequence continues at coordinate 157,826,971 of NC_000002.12, forward strand.
AAAACAAAAAGCATTAATAATTTCAAGCTCATAAACTTGGTAAAGAAAAAGAAACTTCTCTATCACTCTTACCATTTCTAGGGTAGAAATGGCTAAATTTCTACCCTAGGCTTAAATTCAAAGCAGTAGCAGAAAGTACCAAATACCTTCCTGCAAGTATTTATGTCATTACCAACCTAAGAAAAATTTTCACCAGATCATGCTTCCTAATTATGATTGAACAAGAATAAACTGAAAAAAAGACAATCAATATTATTTTTTATTATTTGGTTCTATTTATTGTTTGCCCACCAGCATGTAGGCATTTCTAAAGCTAGTCTAGAAACTGATTGCCCACTGTGCAGAGAGAACAAGGTAACAAGCAAAAAAACAAAAGAAAACAAAATCCAATAAAGTTAGGTAAAAAAGAAAAGAAAAATGAACAATGTTTTATGTGGCCTCGTTTTCTCATTGGTTTTGTGTGTGTATATACTACATACCCATAATTATGTCAGACAAGCCATGAATTGTATAAGTGTTTGCCAGTCCTGTAATGAGTTAATCTGAAAAATTAACCTGCACACTTCTTGAAAAGAAAAATAGTCTCTTACTTATCTCTGATTGTGTAATAATTGGGGTAGTATCCCTTCCATACTAACCAGTCAACAAATACTTGTTGGCCTATGAACAGTGAGTTAATTTAAAATAAGATTAAAGTCAAGAATTTAGGCAACTCTGGGTCTACCGCTGACTTGGTGGTCTTGAGCACTAGTGTCTTTCAACTCAGCTCTATCGTCTCTATGGGACTGAGCAGGGAGTCATCCAGGTCGATGGAGGTAACACTGAACCGATGAGCTAGACATGCCCCCGCACCACTGCTGTGTGACACTCAGAAGTCACTAACCCTTCTCACTCACCCTTCTCTGTTATCCTTTTATCCTAACTATAAAGAAAGAGCAGTGGCCCAAGTCACTACGTTTCCTTCTAGCTCAAAGATTCTTCTTAGGTATTTCTTTCATGATTGTTACTAGGATTCCTCAAGAATTATGCTAACAGCAAGGGGTATTCTTTAATTAAAGGTGCTGTTTTTGGGCCAGGTGTAGTGGCTCACGCTTGTAATCCCAGCACTTTGAGAAGCCGAGGTAGGCGGATTGCTTGAGCCCAGGAATTTTCTGGGCAACATGGCAAAACCTCGTCTCTACAAAAAAATACAAAAGGCCGGGCGCTGGGGCTCACGCCTGTATTCCCAGCATTTTGGGAGGTCCAGGCAGGCAGATCACCTGAGGTCAGGAGTTCAAGACCAGCCTGGCCAACATGGTGAAACCCCGTCTCTACAAAAATACAAAAAAAATTAGCCAAGCATGATGGCGGATGCCTGTAATCCCAGCTACTCGGGAGACTGAGGCGGGAGAATCGATTGAACTTGGGAGGCGGAGCTTGCAGTGAGCCGAGATCACGCCACTGCACTCCAGCCTAGGCAACAGAGCAAGACTCCGTCTCAAAAAAAAAAAAAAAAAAAAAATTAGGTGGGCATAGCAGTGGGTCCCTGTAGTCCCAGCTACTCAGGAAGCTGAGGCAGGAGGCTTGCTTGAGCCTGGAAGGCAGAGGCTGCTGAGATCATGTCACTGCGCTCCAGCCTGGGCAACAGAGGGATAGCAAAACTCTGTTTCCAAAAAAAGATAGCTTTCCAATCTACCTCTGTACTGCGATGGCACCCAACCCACTAATTAAAGAAAAAAATGTAAAAATAACATAATACTTTTTATTTAATTTAGCAGTTTCATTCTTAACTCAGAGATTAGTTTTTTGTTTTTTTGTTTGTTTGTTTGTTTTTTGAGACAGAGTCTCACTCTGTCGCCCAGGCTAGAGTGCAGTGGCACAATCTTGGCTCACTCCAACCTCTGCCTCCCGGGCTCAAGCGATTTTTGTGCCTCAGCCTCCTGAGTAGCTGGGATTACAGGCACCCACCACCATGCCCAGATAATTTTTGTATTTTTAGTAGAGATGGGGGTTTCCCCATGTTGGCCAGGCTGGTCTCGAACTCCTGACCTCAAGTGATCCACCTGCCTCAGCCTCCCAAAGTGCTGGGATTACAGGCGTGAGCCACTGTGTCTGACTGAGGTTTGCTTTTAATTTAATTTGCTCACCAATCATTTGCTCTCCAATTGAAGGATAACTGAGTACGAAAATGTACAAACAGAAGTACAGTAACAGTGGGTCTACCAAGAACAGTCTCTCAAGGGAGCAAAAGAATACATCCAGGTTCCCAAGACTGAAAGCATCCTGTCCATGTCACCCACCATCCCAAATCTACTAATCTTTCTTTATGTCCTATCTTCTGCAATGGAACCACTGAAGAATCTTGTAGACAAAGCCAGAAACCAAGTTTGCCTTACAAACCCCATCGCTGCCTACAACCCAGCCCAGGACCTCTCCCACCAGCAGTGGCCCAACTGACTCCTTCAAGGTCTCCTCTACATCCCTGCCATGAGTGTAGTAAATTGTTCATTGAGTAACGCTCACTAGTGCCTCTCCTCTGCTTAAAGCCATCAATGGTTCTCCTAGCTGGTGTAGATTTCTTGATTTTCATGATCTGGCCCCAGACATCTCCAACATCATCGAGTTATCATCTCATAGGTACCCTCACCCTAATTGTATCTTACAGCTCCCTGGGGACACCATGACCATGTTCACCTTCTGCCTTTGCACTTGTCTGCCTGAAATGTCTTTTTTCATCTGGCAAACTCCTATGCTTCAGGATCAGCCCCAGCATCACCTCCCAAAGCCCCCATGTCTACATCCTGTCTGAAATATTAACACATGCCCCCTCATCTGTTTTTCCCAAACTTAACTATTGTGGCCCTTAAAAGTGCATTTTAATTTTTAAATTTTACTATTTCCCTGGTGAGTCTGTGGACTCTTCAAAGTAAGAGTATTTTTCACCTATGAAACATCAAGGATAGTCATAAACAATAGGCCAAGAGGCTGGGCGCAGTGGCTCACGCCTGTAATCCCAACACTCTGTCTGGGAAGCCAAGGCAGGTGGATCACCTGAAGTCAGGAGTTCGAGACCAGCCTGGCCAACATGGTGAAATGCCATCTGTACTAAAAATACAAAAATTAGCCAGGTGTGGTAGCAGGCTCCTGTAATCCCAGCTACTTGGGAGGCTGAGGCAGGAGAATTGCTTGAACCCAGGAGGCGGAGGTTTCAGTGAGCCGAGATCATGCCATTGCACTCCAGCCTAGGTGACAAGAGCAAACTCCGTCTCAAAATAAAATTAAATAAAAGGCCCTTCATAAATGTTGATAATAAATGATGTACCCTGATAATGGATTCAAAGCAGAAAAGATACCATCCAAGAGAAATATGAACAATTTAAAAAATGAAAAAGAAATAATAATGCTAATGGAAAAAAGGAGGTAGACCTACTGGAACCCATTTTCAGTGTTGTCATGGCTTTTAACTCAAACTAAAAAACAAAACAAACTTCCCCAAACCCTAAGTTATAGACAAAGAGAACTACCAACGTTTCTGATTTCATACAAAAAGACAATGTGTAAACTAAGTGTATATACTCAACCACAGCTTCCTTGTGACTTACATTTGAAAACAAAGTATTCCCTACTCTAACATTTTAGGACATAATCTTTTTTCTAAATTTTATATACACACAGAGAGAGAAAACAAAACTTGAAATACTTATATACCATGCTAACAATGTAATATTACTGGAAACTAAATTGTTATCAATAAAATGTAAGAAGGGAGATGCTTTGTTTCACCAAAAAAAAAAAAAAAAAATGTAATTTTTTCCCAGAGAATTATTCCCAAGATGGTCACTTGGACTCATGCCCCCATACAATTCCCTTGGCTAAGCTCTCACTGGCTGGCCTGCTTCCAGATGTTGTCAGTCAAGGTGACTGAGGGAGCTCAAGTAGGAAAAAGAAGTGTTCTTCCTCTCACCATGACAATGTTACATTTGCTACATTTTTTGTCTTAGAAACAGGGTCTCACTCTGTTGCTCAAGTTGGAGTGGAGTGGCAGAAACATAACTCACTGTAGCCTTGAATTCCTGGTCTCAAACAATTCTCCCACCTTAGCCTCCCAAAGCACTAGGATTACAGGAATGAGACACCACACCTGGCCTTTACCTTCTTAAAGGTTTTTCCCCACCCCACTACCCATTTTCTCAGCCCCAGACTGTTTATATCACACTGGGAAGAAAAGACAAATAACACACATTGCTATATAATGTTATTCAATTTACTTTAATAAGCATGAAAAAGGTAACAGAAAGGAGGCAATGGCCAAAGACAAATGTTAAAGAAAAGAGTAGGAAGATCCAAGGAATAATAAATGGCTGTTATTAGCATTTGCTGGCTGGGATCACTTTTACACATGAAATTGCTTAATGCGTGAGTCATCTGAACTCATGACTGCACTGAATCATTTCATGTGTTCAAGCAAACCTGCAATGAAAATAACCCAGAAGTCTTGAGATGCCAATGACTCTCCAATCAAAATAATGAGGGTGGCAGATCTACCCGAGAAAAATCAAAAAACAAATAGGTGCTTAGAAAACAATTTTAAATCCTATTGTTTTCATAAAACAAGTGGGCAGAGTAAAGTGAGATTTTTTAGTTTACCAAAATTGGGACTGGGTTAAAATTTCAAAAGTTGAGAATTCACTGTTCTGGAGGATTCTGTGAGAGTCAACACTGGTGTCTACTCTGTGCCCACTGCAGGGTTGGGCCAGGAACTGGTTTCTACCCTCACTCAGTTCACAGGATGATCAGGAGAGCCCAATCCTTGGCTTCTACTCCAATAATGTTAGCTTTAAAATTAGTCTTACATGCTAATAGTTTCTCTGTCAGGGTGGTGAAAATGTTCTAACATTAGATAGTGGTGTCAGTTGAACAGTTCTGTGGCTACACTAAAAACCACTGAATAGTACATTATAAAAGGGTGAATGTTTTTGGTATATGAACTAACTCAATAAAACTGTTATTTTAAAAATCAGTTTGAAAGGTCTTACAGCCTTTTTTGTACAACTTAGACCTCGAGTACATGCTGGGCTGTACTCCTGGACCTAGCTTCACCACCTGGACACAGCTTGTCTCCCAGTTAATTTTTGTGAAAAGAGCAAAAGCTCTGGAATCGCACAGCTTGAGGAATGAACCTAGGCATGTTACTTCCCAGGCATTGGTATCTTAAGCACATTACTCTCTGCCTGTGTCCCATCTATAAAACAGGCAGACACCACCCCCCAATCAGATGAGAACTACTACTGAGAATCTGCAAATCACCGCCAACTTCAGACTAACATTAGTAAATGGCAGATAATTAAAATGAAATTAAATAATTAAAATGAAACAGCCTCTACCAAAGGACACGTGAGGTATCAGAAGAAACTAACAGGAAAGACAAAAACGAGAAAGGATGATGGCAAGTCAAGAGTCAGGACTGAGGCCAGCCTACCTGGAATCCTCTTTGGGATTCCAGTGATGCTTTGCAGTAGGGGTGATATGGGGTGGGAAGATGGGGATGTGTCTGCTCCCAGAATTATGTGCTATTATCAAGATGACCTTGTCTATGATACATAAATCTCTGGACTCTTTAATGCAAGACCTTTTATATGAGTAACCACAAAACAGAGACATTTTCTATACTTTACTCTCCTCAAGTGTCACTCAGCATTCAGTCCACTAATGGAATTTTAGCCTCTTGATTTGGGTTACTATTAATTAGAACACATAGCTTTGCATCAGAATTCATTTTTTATAGATTAATTCTATAACATAAAACATGCCTGAATTTGACTGTTAGGAGTCTTTTCTTCACAAGCCTCAAGATTCCACACCTGTGATTAATTTACATAAGCACAGGTTGAAACATCAGCTTTTTGATCATTTGTGATATTGCAACTCTTAAGAAGCAACTTACCCGACAATTAATACAATCTATATTTATCAATAACCCAAATTCCCAGAATTTGGGCCAGAATTTCTAATGTGAAATTAATTCTTCATAGCCATTTTAACACCATTCTCATTTAAAATGTGCTCTATTTATCCAAGCAACAATGAAAGGAATATGTGTGTATAAACCCACACATATATAAGCCTTTTGTCACACATTTCTACCCTTCAAAAGCAATTCAAGAAGAGCTAGAGACTAGCAAATTGTCAGCCCTATCCTTCCTCAGGTAGAGGTGATACTACAGCCAGCTGAATTCTCTCAGAAGTTCCTCCAGAGACCAGTAAGTTAACAAACTGTCTCCATACTGCACAGGTTGGCTTCCTGTATCTTTGTATATCCTGATGTCCAGCATATACTTGAGCTCTGTGGACTGAAGAGGAAGGGCAGACAAGCATTACCCAAAACCCCAGGGTTAAAGGACTAAATGAGCTCAGTTGTTCTCACCCTTGGCTGTACATTAAAAGTGCCTAAGAGTGCTCTCTGGTGGAAATGGAGGATGGCCATTGTCCCAACTCTCCAGGTGACTCAAATGAGCAGCTGGGAGTTGAGTATCACTGAGAGAGACATGGTAAGAAACAGTTAATACTTTCAGGATTGCTTCAATATGATGGGACATGAAAGTACAACACACATATAAAAAGGAAATAAAACGTTAGCAATTGTCTCTGTTTACCATTCACACTGTCAACAATTACAAGAAAAATTCAACGAGTTTCAGGTCACTAAACCTTAGTCCATTTCATAAACATTTGTCTACCTGATTTTGTTTTTTTTTTTTACTTTCTAAATCCAAGAGGGAAATGATAATCTTCTGTAAGTTTTAGAATGGCTTATTTTCTAACACTGTCAGGAAGGAAAAGGCTAGCTCCTGTTAGTTTTAATTTTGAATGCGTTAAGTATTGGTGGAGGTAACTCTTAGATAACAGCTTTTTTAAAAATCCATTTTAGTTGTTTCATGTGCAGCACTTTTGTTGGTTCTGCCAGCACTGCTGTGCACTCAGGCTTAAGACAACACATACTAGCATGAATTCAACTGAGTCTCTTAGAACTTCTAACCAAATTTAGACTGGTTTAACACAACCATGAGGTATCCTTCCAGTTTTTTAATAATACTTTGTTCATACAAAGGGCAGGTCACATACATGTCTAGAAGCTATTTTCTTTTAAATATAATTTTGGATTAAATTTAAAATCACCTGTCGCCCAGGCTGGAGTGCAGTGGCGTGACCTCGGCTCACTGCAACCTCTGCCTCCCGAATTCAAGCGATTCTCCTGCCTCAGCCTCCTGAGTAGCTGGGATTACAGGTGCGTGCCACCATGCCCAGCTAATTTTTTGTGTTTTTAGCAGAGACGGGGTTTCACCGTGTTAGCCAGGATGGTCTCGATCTCCTGACCTCAGGTGATCTGCCTGCCTCGGCCTCCCAAAGTGCTAGGATTATAGGCGTGACCCACCATGCCCAGCCTGGTAATTTTTTTTTAAGAGGCAAATAAATGTGAATGCTACACAGAAGTAGGGGCATTCCAGGGTTGAAAAAAGCTTCCATATGTGAATATGCTCTTTCTCTAGAGGTAGATGCGTAGGTCCCAACTGTGGGGTTTATTGTATGAATACATCAGACAGCAAGAATAGAGAGCTATATATATCACACACATATGTGCCATTTATACTGCCATTTCTCAAATACAGTATGAATTCATGCAGATGTATATCAAATAAATAAATATATTCATATATACATATATAAAAACATATAGTATATGACTATATCTATTCAATCCATGCTATGGTCTAAATGTTTGTATCCTCTCAAATTCATATGTTGTAACCTAATCACCAATGGGATGACATTAGGAAGTGAGGCTTTCGGAGGTGATTAAATCATGAAAGCAGGGCCTCGTGGGATGAGTGCCCCTGTGGATTTAGTCCCCTTATAAGAGAGACCCCAGATAGCTACCTTATCCCTTCCACCATGTGAAGACAGAGCAAGAAGATGCCAACTATGACCTAAGAAGCCCTCGCCAGACACTGAATCTGCCAGTGCTTTGATCTTGAGCTGCCCAGCCTCCAGAACTGTGTAAAATAAACGTCGGGTCTTTATAAGCTACACAGCCTCTGGAATTTTGTCACAGTAGCCCAAATGGACTAAAACAATCCATATAGACTAAAAATGCAACTAAAACCTTTAGTAAGGGTCCTGATGTTTCCTTTTTAGGAAACTGCCAGCACTCCACATCCCACCACATCCCATGTGTCCTCAACCACTATGCCCCCTTCCTCCCCTACACTGTGGTTAAAACCCAGAACTGAGCCAGTTAGAACTGCGGTCCTGCCATGCGCTATCTTTAAGGCCTCAGGAGCTAACTTAATGTGCCTCATTCCCTTCATCTGAAAAATTTCAATTAAAAATTATACCTGCCTCACAGAATTATCCTAAGAATTAAATGAGTTAATATATGTAAAGCACTCACAACAGAACATGATATAAGCACCATTAAAGGGTAAGTTATTAATATTATTGATGCTCTTATAACCATAATGCTGACTTTTGTGATACTCATTTCTTTCCTTAACACTTTTTCTTTTTCTTAATAGTATATTTTACTAACTAAAACATACAGTTCTTTGACTTGTCTTTGAGTTCCATTTTTTTCTCACTCTGAAAGACATAATGGAACACATGGGAGAGTATTGTGCTGAATCAGCTCCAACGTATGTCAAAATTTCTTTACCTCAATAATGAATAATAAATTACTTAGCAATACTCACAATGCACTGCAGTGTAGCTCTGCCCCACAGTAGGGCTGAAAACCAGTGGTTGAAAACAAGGATCTGTTAACCAGTAGGGTTTACTGACAGAACAAAGGGAAACCTTCACATTGATAACCAGTATGCAGATTACATCCTCCAAGCATCCTCTAGTGAACAGAAAACAGAAAGCAAGTCACTGCCAAACAACCAGCCAACAACCCTTTAATTTAATATACTCTACTGTTCTTCATCAATATGGACGCAGACAAGCATCTATCAAGAATACCATGGAGCCTTTCAACTACTATGAAATGTAAAAATGAAAACCAAAGTGTTATACCTGGAATTCACCCAAATCTTTTAAACATATAAAATTAACAGTGACGACCTGACATTTAGAAAAAGACAAGCTGGCACAGTAATGCATGCATGACATGTTAAAGGCCATTCAATATCTAATATTCATCATGGGGAGTCGTATTTCCTCAGAGCAGGCTCTCTACTTTGCTGTGTAAATTAAAACTGTGTCAGAAGAGGCAAATACTTTTTTGGAAATGCCTAACATAAAGGCTTTATCTGTAAGAACAAGGTTTGCCCGTGACCTTACTTTGCCATCTTTAGTGATGAGAGAAGAAACCAGGCTTGAGATACTGTGGCCACTGGCCACTTGGTGTGGCCTGAGAGTGAGAAGTCCGCAGCCAGGAACCTTGAGACAGCTCACAATCTACATGGGGTTTCCAAAAAGGAAACACAGGTTGTACCTAAAAGCATTCCTTATTGCTCCTCCCTACACATTTTATCCACCACCTTATATCTGCACACAAAGTCCTCCATTTCAGGAAGGAAACCAGGACAAGCGTCACTCCCAGCTGAGCTCTTCGCCAGGTACTTTACTCAAGATTCATCTCCTCCAGGGTGCTTGGATACCCACCCTTGTTCTCCCTTCCCATGGCTTTCCCAACCAGGAAATCATCACCACCTTCTGACAGCAGAAGGACTTTGTCCTCTTTAGCACTGAGTCCCCAGTCCCTACCGGGGTGCCTGACACAGTGAGCACACTCAAGGGGGTGTGCTGCAAGATAAAGGAATGTCTCTCCTCCTCTGTGAAGCCTTCCAGGATTTATAAGGCTTCCAGAATTTAAAAGTAATGTGTGCCCTTACCCCACAACACCAGCATTCTGAAGGGCCTAGATAAAGAACACTCCATCTCCTCTTCTGGATATCTACTGTAATTAGGTGGAATAAATACCAGATGAATTGGTTCATATCATGTGCTTCATTACATCTGCACCCATGAACAGGAAGAACAGACTTTGCAGCCTTGAGTAAATGAGCTCCTTAAGATTTACGTTTCTCTCGCCTGTAAAATGAGGCTACAGATACCTACTTCCTAATATACATAAAGTTCATAGCACAGGATGTGGCACAAAGATAAACACTCAAATATCTTTTCCCTTCCCCATGTATAGTAATGAATAAAAGTCAAAGTAATTTAAATTTTACACTCACATGTAACAGAGGCAGAGCTAGGTAATCAGCTCATCTCTCTTTTGAATTTACAGGGATGCTTTTCTAAATCACTCAAACAGCATGTCTTTCTTTCCCTTTGGAGATCGAAGGATTTACCTGACCATGAGGCAGTAAGTTCCCAAAGTCAGGTCTCGTCTGAGCACAGCCTTACCTGGCCCACAGTCACAGAAGAGAGCTTCACTCAGAGAACGGGTTCAGGAAGTACATATAGAATGAAAGCTGACTAAGGCAAGCCTTTACCATTTTCCATTATCTTCTAAAATGAGATGCTTTTTTAAAAAAAACTTTTAAATTTTTTAATTTAATTTCGAGCACGGAAATTTAAAGATATTTGAGGGAAAATAGAGCGGTACATCTGTGATAAGTGACTGTTCTGTCAAAGTTTAAGGACTGTAACCCTCAGATACATTTTATTCAAAATAACAATTTCTATTGTCACACACTCAAAGCAACCCAGACAAACAGGCTTGGAAACTACCAGCCAACTTCATTCTGTGAGTAACCATTAAGTTTTAATCAGATGTGGTTCAATTTCTGGAACAGTGAGCATTAAGAGGGGCTCATCAAGGAAAATGGGCAAAAGTAGGAGGAGAAGGAGGAGGAGGAGGAGAGGAGGAGGTAGAGAACAAAAGAACTGCCCCGCAAGCCAGTCATTGAACGTGGACTCTTGACTCGAATTCTCTGCCCCTCTTTGCAGCTGTTGTCTCCTGCAGTTGGCACGAAGCGTTGCCAGTCTGGGACCGGCTTCCAGTGAGGACAGCATTGTTTTATTGGCTACTTAGGCAATGCACACACCATTAATGGAGTTTTTATCTCTCCATTTTCCTGTCAGTACAGAACCAGCCAGTCTGACTCTGTTATTATCATCAAGAAAGCTTTTCCCCCCCTCCCCACACACACTCTTTAATCCAAACAACATCTGGGAACTTCAGCCTCTATCATGTAAAAGCGAAACAGATTTAGAGGGAGAGCAGGAGAAAGTACAGTTCCAGTCGCACTGAACAACAAACGAATTCCAACAGGAGAACTAACCTTGAGCCGCCCAATATCTCTGAAACGCTATTCGCTTCAAAAAGGCAAGGTACTTCCCGCTGCATTGCTTTAAACTTCCGATAGACCCTTGCTATCAAGAGGTGGGGGAAAAAAAAACAACCCATAGTGACAAGTTGCTTATTGGTACTGTTTTCCTAGAAGGGAAGTCCTGTTGTGAAATAAAAGTCAAGAATAATATTTAGGTGATTTTTTTAAAGAATGTCTTTTTTATTCAAAAAGGAAAAAACAATAAAGACCCTTTAGCAGACATTACTAGTAAGTACATCCCCAGTGTACAAACTATTAGGAAAAATGTGGCGCCATTAAACCCAGAAAATATGTCCTTCTGTAACAGACAGCTGTCTCCTCTGTAGTTTAAGTGTGCTTTCTGCTTAGCTCATGCTCCGTGAGTCATGGAATCAATACAGGAAGCACACAGAGCCAGCCACACTGCAGATTCCGAGGAGGGTCAAGCCACACAGCTCCTCTGTTCCTCTCCTCTGCTTGCTGCATGGCTCTTCCAAGTATGTACATCTGGGGAGAACGCACAACCCCATTTCTACTTCATGTTTAAACCTGCCTCATAAGGTCTCCAATCCTGGTCCTTTCAGCATTGTTTCTAGGTAAGTAGAACCTAAAAATTACAGCCCTCCAACATGCAGGTGTCAAGCAATCCATCCTGCCCCTCAGCCCCACTCCTTTTTGAGTTTTCTGCAATGCACCAATAACTATACTTAGGTTAGAAGGGACTTACTTCCCCAGAAATGCTCATCACCCAGTAGAAGACAAAATCAGAACTGAACATCTGAGTGTCAGCAAAGGTTAATGGTTTATTTTTAATTTATTTATTTTTGTTCCATTCAGCAAAACAGGGGAAAATCACTCACTGTCTGAGCCACAGGCTCCTGCTCACTGGAAGCTGTGCCCAGAGCCCCTTGCAGTCTGTTGTTAATGACAGTCTCAGTAACCTGATCCTCTCACAGTGGGAGTCTTGAGTAAGCACTGGCCTCTCTCGGGTCTCGCCTTTCTATTGTCCCACCCTGCAGGGCCAGCTGTTTCTGACAGCCAAATTGCTGCATGCTAAGCAATGAATGCTGTCAGATAAGGAATTTTCATTTCTATAATGCATAGGCCTCCATGGACAAATTATACAGCTTATGGTGCTGGCTGCAGGATGCTGCTCCAAGCTTGAAGCACTGCCAAAATGAAGCCTGTCCTCCCCTCTCCCCAGCCCCAGGCTGACAAGACAGTCACCCAAAATGAATCTGAATGGCCCAGGGAGAAATGGAACACGTGTTTTCAGAGACAAACAAAACATATGTTGAGAATAGCTGTCCAGCGACACTCTTTGATGTAATGGCGTACAGGGAAAGCTAATTGATCTAATGTCACACCACACAACTACCAGGCATGGCATCCATTATGACCTACTGTAATCTGATACCATGCAGTGAACATCCCAAGGGCATCAGGAAAATCACTGGCTCCCTGCTTCTGGGGGATGCCAGACTTACCCAGAAACCACACAAGAACTTAGTACTTTTTGAGAACCAAGCAACACTGTATGAGGTCCCAAGAACAGTGCTCTTTTTATGAGAATGAAAGTCCCCAATATGTGCTTCATGGAATCATTCTGCAGAAACTCTATGCTTCCTCAGTTCCTCCCTCTCTCCTTCTCGGCAACAACTCCTGAACTGGGTCTGGGATACACCCCCTCCTATTCTGCATGCTGAGGTGTGGTTGAAAACCAATCATCACACTGCACTGGATTCCAGGGTGTGACGTGACCTGAGCCCACCCAATCAGAGTGACTCTTGGGATTTTACAGGAACTACTAGAAAAGAAAGTGTGATTTTCTCATTATACTTGAATGTAGGATATGCCATAGCCATTTTGCTACCTTGAAAAGAGAACCTGCTGAGGATGGAACTGACAAAAGAAGAAGTGGAGGGGAAATAACAGGGCTCTAGGGACACTGCTTGAGCCCTGAGTCAACCCAGATCTAAAACCTGTTTTACCCTGGACTCCACAGAATGGCAGCCATTCCATGTTCATCTTATTAAGGCTCGCCTGGGTTGGAGTTTTCCATCACCTGCAAACGCAAACGAACGCATAAATTATCACTCCACCATTAGAGCATCCAGGAATCAACATAAATACGCATATCATACATTGCTATGAAAGCAAGAAAAAAGTTTTCCTTTCTTGGTTATTTCTTGTGAGAACTTACTTTTTCACCTTTTCCTTCTAGTCCATATACCTTAATGTGAGCTAAAAGTGCAAAGTGTCACCTGATCTTGGCCATTTTTGCAAGGCAAATCTAGATATTTGACCTGAACTCAGAGAGATGAGGAAGCTAAATTCATGACCTGTTATAAATCTTAACCTGACATGGCACATGTGGAATAAAGAAAGTGGACTCTGGTTAGCGAGTGGTCCATCAGCTCCATGTCAGTGAAGCCAGCTGAGAAAAAGGCCAGGAAGCCAGCATGGGGGCAGGGAGCACCTGCTCTCCGGCTGGGTTCAGGTCAGCCAAAGCACAAGCACCTGCAGGCTGTGAGCCGCCAAGGCGATCACGCGCCACATCCTGCAGCCGTCCACTTTATCATTAACTACTGTCTGGCCAGCAAGGGCAGGGTCCGCTTCAAGAACACTGGGAACTTTAAGGCAGGAGGCATATTCAGAACCATGGTGGGCTCACAGCCACTCACTACAGACTATAAATAGCCTCCTGGCTGTGATCCCGACGGCAACCACAATTCCTGTTCCCCTGGTGGTAACAGAACTTCAGGCCTTTTGCCCAAGAAATTCAGCACAACCTACCAGGTATGGCAAAAATTATGAAATGTACATACATGCTTACTCAATGCCCTGGCCACTCTCCTCTTGTCCATACTTGGCTTCTAATCCCCAAAGATCAAAAAGTGGGGATATTAAAGTTGAAAAAGATATAAATAAGATTTCAGTTTGATGCTGAGAAAAAAAAACTATAGAATACACAGGCTCAAAATTGACATAGGAAGGTAGGGAGGAAAATAAGACCCACTCACTCTCAACCCTTCTCCTTCGACAATCACAGGGATTTCAAATCCTTATAGTCATTATTTTATCTGAAGTTATAAGGGGATAGGATGAAGCAGGGGGGAAGACTTGCCCTGACTTCTAACTTGGGAGGAGCAAAGGAAGACCAAGAAGGCCACTAAGACTGCTTAGACATGTATTTTAACGACCGCATTTACCTAGCTGCTTCTCAGGGACAATAAAATGAAACAAAATTGTCAGGACTTACTTAAACTTACAGTTAAAGATCCACCCAGAGCTGGGTGCAGCAGCACACACTTGTAGAGCCAGCTATTAGGAAGGCTAAGGCAAAAGGATTGCTTGAGCCCAAAAGTTCAAGGTTGGAGGCTATAGTGTACCATGATCTTGCCTGTGAATAGCCACTGCATTCCAGCCTGGACAACATGGCAAGACCCCATCTCTTTATAAAAAAAGAAAATTGGCAGGGCACGGTGGCTAACACCTGTAATCCCAGCACTTTGGGAGGCCAAGGCAGGCAGATCATGAGGTCAGGAGATCGAGATCATCCTGGCTAACACAGTGAAACCCCATCTGTATGAAAAATATTTTTAAAAAATTAGCTGGGCGTTGTGGCAGGCGCCTGTAGGGTCAGCTACTTGGGAGGGTGAGGCAGGAGAATGGCATGAACCCGGGAGGCAGAGCTTGCAGTGAGCCCAGATCGTGCCACTGCACTCCAGCCTGGGCGACACAGAGAGACTCCATCTCAAAAAAAAAAAAAAAAAAATTAACAATTAATCCAATCCCCTGAACTCAGGGATCACTCTGCTACTTTAGGGGGAGTCATTCTAGGGAAACATCCCTTGTTACAATCACTGTCAAAAGAAAAAGTAGAACCCCCAACAGTCCAATACTGAAGAAGACCTTGGAAAAGGTCTTTATACCATATCATCTCCAGGACTGGCACAGTGCTGGCACACAGCTGATGTTCTAACATGTGGATGGATCTCTCTTCCAACCAACTTCCTGACCCTTAACAAAGGCCAAGCCAGAAATAAACTGCATAAAGTACAGAGTACAGAAAGCGTTCTGAACTGCAGCAAGTTCACTGCCTTTCCTTCCCATATTCATTCATGCCTTTGGCCAGGAGGTACTGAGCACCTACAATGAGCCAGGCACTGATTTAGGCACTGGAGGTATGACATCAAATGCAATCAAGTTCCTGCCCTCAGAGTTTACATTCAGGCAGAAAACTCCACATGGAAGTTCTTTCATGCATCCAGCCCTGTATCTCCCGCTGTCAGACTCCAAATCTTAGAAGATTTCCTCCAAGTATGAACACACGACCCTGCATAAGGAACTCTTCAACTCATGAATCAATGAACTCTGGCAAAGTCTTCAACATCCAGTTACAACATCAATATTTAAGGTTCAAAGATGATGCAATTTACTCAATTTCTAGCATTTTATGTTCCTGCTTCCCCCACCCCCTGAAAATTTCAGAAATAATCTGCTACACAGAGGAATTTAAGGAATGTAATTTTAATCTAAAATATTAACTCTGGGCAGGGGACTGTTCTAAGGTTCATCTACTATGATTTTTTTTCTTTGATCTGAAAACCAGCGAGGCAGTGTACAGATTCCAGGTTTCCTAGTACAAAGAACAGTGTATTTAATCACATCTCTATTATAAAAGCCATGTGATACAGAATAAACCTCTCAGACTTTAACAGTCACAAAATTATTCTTAAGAATACAAATTTAACACTAATAATTAAACCATACTCTAAATTCTATCCTCCCATTGAATTTGGAGGTAGAGGCCTTGAACTTAGAGGAAGTATAGCTTTACACAGCTAGCATGATAAATGCTTCAGATCAGTAAGAAAGTCAGTAAGTGTGCTTTTATTCATGTCATTTGTCTATCTTTCTGCAAACTAACCAAATAAATACCATAGAGCCAGACTGCAGTAACTGACATATTCAATACTGCATTACTCAACACACTAATAGTCTGTTTTCTAAATCCCACAAGTTAGACTTTTACTGTGGGTGACTTGGAAACATTCCATAATTATCACTAGTGCCTTGGTTTTCCCTAAAAAATGAGTAATAATAGCAGCCACAGTTTTTTGAACACTTCCAAGGTACCAGACACCACTGTGACGGAGATTTGCATCCATATTACCACACTTAATCCTCCCAACACACATAATGACATAATAGCAATTATCATCTCCATTACACAGGTGATAAAACTGAAGCTCAGAGAGGAAAAGTAACTTCCTTAATGTCACAAAGCTGGGATGTGACAGAATGAGATTCAAACCCACACTTGCCTGACACCATAGGCCATTCTTACCCATTATGTCACAGTCTCTGGATTCTTTTCCAGCCTTTCTTTTCTCCCATGATATCATGGGAAAGGATTAACATGTACCTTCTAGGCCAACCCTGCAATAGAATACTGGCACTGTAAATAATGGTTATGTTGCACAGACCTGAGCAGTTATATTAGGATTCATGGATATAGTAAAACTCTAAATGAAGATAACCATTGAATATGAGCCTGAACATACCAAAGGCTGAAAATCAGTCACCTTCAAATGCTTAATACAAAAAACATGAGAGCAGTACTTAAACTTTAATGGGGTTAGACTGCCAGCATCCATTCAAAGACGAAAAAGAAAAAAGGAGCTATTCGCAGATAATCTTGAAATTAAGCCAAATAAAGAAAAGAGAATAATTGGGAAAACAGCCTAAGACCCATGCTCACTGGTAAGCTTCAAAGAGCAGCTGTGCTTACAGGGCAGGCAAAGGAGGCCCTGTCATGCAGAAGACATTGTGAAACCATCATCTCCTTATGGAAAGCAAGGCTGGGGGCCGCCCTCGGCATGGCCCTCCAACTGTGCTGTGGGAGATCAAGTTCAAGTGCTCACAAGAGTGTCTTCCAGGTTTGTAAAACCCACTGGAAAGGATTCCAGTGAAGATGAAGACTGCCAAGAGCCCAGGTAAGACAAATTCCCAAGTAACAGTGACAGCTCTGCCCCCAAGACTTCCAAGCTGTATCTGGCAGATCTCCAAACCCACCCTGTCCCCACTGGGTTTGCTCTTCCCTCCAGAGGCCTTTCTCAGCTTGGCTACTCCACCATCAGCTCTGCTGCCTACTCACTTAAGGTTCCAGGGAATCAAAAGTGGTTAGTTACTCCACACCAAAAGTACAGTACCAGAAATTAACAAACAAACAAAAAAAACTTGGGATGAGAAAAATCTCCTGTGATATTTCAAGTTAAAATTCTGATAATCACACCAGGATTTTTACTTGACACTTTTCATTTTATTTAAAAATAAAAAAATTGATCATCTGATAGATGCTGTTTCTGAAGCACCACAGAGCTAGGACCCTGCTAGGAATTGAGGGTTTCAGAGCAAAAGAAACCCTTTTGACCTCAAGAGCTGCTGTGGTCTGAATGTTGGTGTCCCCACAAGAATTCATACATTGGAACCTAATACCCAATGAGATAGTATTAAGAGGGGGGGAGCCTTTGGTGCGTGATTAAGTCATTAGGGAGATTCATGCTCTTATAAAAAAAGAGCTCCCTGGGCCCCCCCTTCCACCATGTGAGAACACAGCAAGAAGGTGCCATCTTTGAAGCAGAGTGAGCCCTCACCAGACACCAAATCCTGCCCACACCTTTATCTTTGAACCTCCAGAACTGTAAGCAATAAGTGTCTATTGTTTATAAATTACCCAGACTAAGGGATTTAGTTACAGCAGTACAAATGGACTAAGACAAGGACTTATGATTTAGTGAAAGAGGTGAGAATTATCCAAAAATAGTAAGATAGAGATGATGGGGTCCCAATAAGTTGTGTAGGCATGCCAGTCATGTCAAGAGGTCACAGAAATAAGTTATGACTGCTGACTGAGGTAGTGTAGTGGGTTGAACAGTAGCCTGCCAATCAATTTGTCTGCGTTCTAACCTTGGAACCTGTGAGTGTGACCTTATTTGGGAAAAGGGTCTTTGCAAATGTAAATAACTTAAGAATCTTGAGATGAGATCATCCTGGATTCTGTAGGTGGTACTTAACTCCAATGACAAGCATCTTTATGAGAGACGCATGGAGAGGCACAGAGAGAAGGTCATGTGAAGATGAAGGTACACATTGGAGTCATGCTGCCACAAACCAGGAAACACCTGGAGACACCAGAAGCTGAAAGGAGCTAGGAAAGAGTCTCCCCTAAAGCCATCAGTTAGAGCATAACTCTACTGGCACCCTGATTTCAGACCTCAGGCCTCCACAACTTTGGCAGTTACATTGCTGTTGTTTGTGGTAATTTCTTATGGCAGCCCTAGGAAGCTAATACAGATGGTGAGGGGAATGCTGCTGGGAAGGCCTGAAAGGGCCCCACAGGCAGGAGGAAAAGTCAGAGCAAGCAAAGACAAGCCGGTCATGGAGGCAACAATGAGAAAATGCATGCTGCTGCATCCATGATGAAAGAGGAGGAGAAAAACTTGAAATGTGACTTGGGGTTCAATAGCCATCTGAATGTCAGTCTAGGCCCTATTAACTGTATTAGCCAATGGGGAGTCACCAAAGATGTTTCAGCAAAGAAATAAAATGTACAATGTGCTGTTTTAGAAAAATTAATCTAGCATTAAAAAGGAGAATAAACTAGCAGGAAATATATAGCAGACCTTCCCTTTATGAAGAAAGATCCTTGAAAAACAAAACCAAGTATCCATGCCCTAATCCCCAGAACCTGTGAATGTTATCTTATGTGACAAAGGGACTTTGCAGATGTGATTAAATTAAGAGTTTTGAGATGAGGCGATTATCCTGGATTATCCGGGTAGGCCCTAAATATAATCACAAATGTCCTTTTAAGAAAGAGACAAGGAGATTTAACTTCACAGAGGAGAAGGCAGTGAGACGATGGAAACAGAGATGGAAAGAATGTGCTTTGAAGATGGAGGAAGAGCCACAAGCCAAAGGAAGTGGATTCTCCCAAGAGCCTCCAAAACTGGAAGAAAGTAAATTTGTGCTGTTTCAAGATACTAAATTTGTCATGATTTGTTACAGCAGCAGTGGCAAACTGAGTTTAATGTTTTCCCTTCTGAAATTCAAATAAACCTTGCTTCTCCTGAATTCTTCATGAAATGACTCCTCTTTGCTTTTCCCCTTGGCTCACTCAAGCTCATCCCATTTAATTCTGCCAAAGCTCACATTCAACATCCCATCTCCCTGTTTTAACACTTCCTAACTCAGATGCTTCAGACCTTTGCGACCTTCAGAACTAAACATTATAACCTACATATGCCATATGAAGGAATCAGAGAGAATCTACTAATTTACTCACACCACCACCTTGTTCCAGAAACAATTTAAGAATAAACTGACCTCCTCTGGATGGATGAAATTGTTTCTACATCTTCATCTGCAATGATACTTATAGGGATAAATACAAATGCAAAAAATTATTGAGCTGTATACTTTAGATTTGTACACTTCACTGTATAGATTCTATACTTCAATAAACACATAAAAGAAAAAAGAAAAGAATAAGCTAATTCCACCTCCTGGCCTCGAGGGCAGGAGAGTAGGTATAAAGTCTCCAAAGGAGAAGAGAAAACATAACATGTGCTATTCTAGGAAACTGAGAATAGCAGTTATATTCCTCTATTATAAAAAGAGGCTGGATAGGTAAAGATTAAAGGAACATGTGTGCATGGTCCCCAGAATCGATATGTATGTATATAAGCCCTCAGAAAGGAAACCAGAAGAAATAAGCTAAAACAGAAAAAGCCAAAGAAATGAACCAGAACATCAACAGTTTAGAATGATGTTGCACAGGAGAGTATCTTTCAAAAAATTTTAATACCTATTTTACATTTGAACTTATTATACACATGCATATAAAACTGAAACACAAATTTAACGAAACAATTATTACCCTTGCAATTCACAAGCTTTATTCAAAACTTCAATTTCCTTTTATTTCTAGTCTTGGGTGTGACTCCCTAAACTGATCCAGTAATGGACTGAGATCTAAAGTTCACAAAAAAACACTAGGACATGCCTATCAGAGATTGACCTGAGCAGGAAGATGTTGATAATATCAAAAAAAGCTACTCTCTTTTAATTTTATGGCTAAGGGAGAAAAAAATTAGAAGTTTTACTCTACAACAGAGAGTCCATTTTAAAAGCCTTAAAATACAACATCAGAAACGATGTTTTTAAGGAATGTTTTAAATTTTCTCATTATATTTTCTATTTAACCACTGTTAAGTCCCAACCCATCTGGGTGTCAGATGTGAGACTCAGTTTGATATTGAATGTTCCGTTCAAAAAACCTACCTGCTATGAGATATGCAAAGGTAAGCAAGACATGGTTCTTACCTTCAAAGAGTTTATAATCTACCAAGAAAGAAAAACACTGAAAAATAACCACACAAGAATTACAAACAGTAATACTATGGGAACACAGAAGAGAGAAAAACTGATTTTAGCCAGAGGATGAGACATGACAAAGACTGCATGGAGAAAGAGATGGAGTTTGAACTGGGGAGGGGGCGAGGAGTGGAGACAGAGAGCAGCTGACAGAGAGACTCAGAAAGACAGAGAAGTCTGGTGAATAGTAGGATGTGGCCATTTAAAAATATCCCCCCACCACCCCATTCTATAAAATACCAGAGCTGCATTCTTAAAACTGTCATGGTGTTCAACAACAAGGAGAGTTTGAGAAACTATCACAGCCAAGAGGAACCCTAGGGGACATAACAACTCAATGTAATGTAACCTGGGTGAGATCCTGTAACTGAAAAAGGACACTGGGGAAAACTAAGGAAATCTGAATGAAGTATAGCTTTGATTGTTTAAAAATGGCCCCCAAATTCTTTGGCTCTCTTCTCATCAAGAGGTGGGATCTATATCTCCTTCTCTTTAACGGGGCTCTGTGACAGCTTGACCAACAGAATATGGTGGAAGTGACACTGTAACAGCTTCCAGAACCAGATCTTAAGAAACTGGAAGCTTCCACTTCCTGTCTTTTGAGACACTTGCTCTTGGAACCCAGCCGCCATGCTATGAGGAAGCTCAAAATAGCCCATGCAGAGAGACCACATGTAGGTGTTTCAGCTGACAGCCCCAGCTGAGCTCCCAGCCAACAGCCAGCATCAACCGCCAGACATGCGAGTGAATGAGCCTTTGGATGATTCCAGCCCCCAACCTTCAAGAATTCCCAGCTGAGGCCCCAGACATTGTGGAACAGAGACAAGCTGTCCTTGCTGTGCATGTTCCAAATCCCTGACTCACTAAACTGTGAGCACAATAAAATGGTTGTCGTTTTATGCCATCAAGTTTGGGATAATTTATTATGCAGAAAGAGATTGACTGGACCAGCAGGCAGTCTAGTTGGGCTATTGTCAGGAGCAAAAGAGGACATGGAAAAGAGTCTGAAAGAAGTCGCACCTCATATCTTAAAAGTCAACCTAAGCAGTTTAATATTTCTTGTATCTATATAATGGTGAGCAGTTGATGGTTGAAAGTCAAGGGAATTACATGATTGGATTAGAAAGATGATTATTAGCAGCAATGAACATGAGGGATTTCCAGCAAGCTCAAAGAAACAGCTGACGAAGCTACAACAAAAATGAGTGTTGCTGTCATAACTACACACATTTTACAAATGAAGCAGTTTAGAGGGAAAGATAATCTAGAATAATCTGTCATCTAATCTAGTAGCAAATCCCATTGGCTCTGTCTTCAAAGTATATCCTGATTCCAACCAATCTCTTCTCATACTTTCAAGTCTGGTCCAAGAAATCACTACCTCTCACCTAGACCAGTACTTATACAACTAAATTACTATCTGTAATGGACCAATACTTTTGTAAAACTCCTTGTTCAATGGGTTGAATCCACTGATCACAGGTACTGATGGCAATGTCAAATTACCATAACAGTCTCTAAACACTATCTTAATTTCTGTACCTATCACATTATCAAAAGAAACAAACAGTTCGTTGGACAAGCACTATGTACTATTGTTTCAAACTCTCTATCAATATCAATCTTCAAAATTTGCAGGGAAAAAATTGGAATTTCTGAAATTATAAATTATTTTTTAAATACTTCCAATAGTGTTCATTCACTATTATAAACTTTTTAAACTGTTTAATAAAAAATGTGAAGTATAGTAGTATATATCAAAACTGTAGCTTACAGAAAATATCCAAACACTAGGAAATGCCTACAAACATTATTGTATAGTATTTGAATAAGCTAGCAAGTTTAGCAGTACTACACAGAATCACGCATCGAAACTGTCAATTTAAGAACTTACTTTGCTTCCAAACCTCATTATCTTTTGGCACACTACACATAGGCTTTTATTAAAAATATTCTACACATAGATTTATTAATATTTACTTTATTTGCAATAATGACTCATTGTTAGCAGGAGACAGGGGCCAGGAACATACACGGATAACCTGGCAACAGCCAACAAGCAAGTGTAACTAGTTAAATTGTGGCCACTTTCCTGCTCCTCTCTCCATTCCTGGAATAGTCAACCTTAACCTCCTACCCAGGTGTCAGTGTTTCCTGTTCTGGCTTTCAACTTGAAATCAGCAGATTCTTTAAACCAGTAACATTTCTATGTTGACTGTGGCTAGTAGCTACCTTACTGGACAATGCAAGCATAGAGAATCTTAAAAGATGCGATTGAAAAAGAGAAGAAAAGCAACCTCAGAAAATTCCAAAACTTGGAGAAAAGAGGTCAGCAAAGAATGAAGTCAGAAAGGAACAAGTAATCACTAGATGCTTCAGAAAAATTAAAATGAGAAGGCCGGGTGCGGTGGCTCATGCCTGTAATCCCAGCACTTTAGGAGGCTGAGGTGGGCAGATCACTTGAAGTCTGGAGTTTGAGACTAGCCTGGTCAACATGGCAAAACCCTGTCTCTATTAAAAATACAAAACTTAGCTAGGTGTGGTGGTGCACACCTGTAGTCCAAACTACTCGGGAGGCTGAGGCAGGAGAATCATTTGAACCCGGTAGGCAGAGGTTGCAGTGAGCTGAGATCGTGCCAATGTACTCCAGCCTGGGCGACAGAAAAGACTCAGTCTCAAAAAAAAAAAAAGAGGGAAAAATGCCAACAGACTACATAGACTCAGACCAAGTCCCAGGCAAGACTTGAGAATGTATTTTAAACACTTAGAAAGTAGTAATCCCTGCAAACCCTAATAGTAAGAACAAATCATACAAGATTAACCCAGTTTCCTTTTCTCGTTAAGATTCCTAAGCTGGCAGTTCAAGGGAACATATACATCTAGACTTGACAACATCTCTTATGAAATATTTGTGATCAAGATAAATAAAAAGTCAAAAGATAAAAAGAAAAAGAAGTTTACTTGGACAGGGGCAGTGCCTCACACCTGTAATCTCAGCACTTTGGGAGGCCAAGGCAGGCGGATCACTTGAGGTCAAGGGTTTGAGACCAGCCTGGCCAACACGGTGAAACCCCGTCTCTACTAAAAATACAAAAGTTAGCTGGGTGTGGTGGTGCACATCTGTAATCCCAGCTACGCAGGAGGCTGAAACAGGAGAATTGCTTGAACCTGGGAGGCGGAGGTTGTAATGAGTCGAGATCGCGCCACTGCACTCCAGTCTGGGCAACAGAGTAAGACTGTGTCTCCAAAAAAAACAAAGAAAAGTTAGCTTAGCAGATCTGTTAACTTAACAGATCCATCTTAACTTAACAGATCTATCTTAACAGATTAGACAGATCTGTTAAGTTACTACATTCAAAGGGTGCTATTTCAAAAAACCCATATCTTCCCTAAAATGATAGAAATGGAATCCAATGCAAACTGCTATGGGCAGGACCTAGCAAACGGAAAGTTAACTTAAGGTAAATTTAAGATCCCATATGCAGTAAAGAGAATAAAAGACAAGGGTATAAGCAGACAAGGAGAGGTTGAGGAAGACAGGACCTAGCAGTACCATCTATGGAAAAAAACTGAGATTTCTGTGGGTGATCAACTCTTCAAGTAAAACCAAGTGGCCACCTGAAATATAGCAGTTTGAGCTGCATAATACAAGCATGGAAGTCAAAAAATCAGGAGAGAAAACCCAGTCAGGAATATTGCAATCAGCTCTAGAAACCAATTTTTAAAGACTCAATCAAACAGAAGTATGAGCAACAAGGCAGGCAGGATGGTGACGACCAGTGGAAGCTATGGAGACATTCTTAGAAAAAAGATATTAGGGGTGAATATGACAGCTCTAATCACATAAAAATACTATTATACTCTATATTCTGTATAGCTGAAAAGAACTGTGATCAAAGGATAAATAGAAGCTACATTTATTATAGGCCAAAAAACCCTCTGTCAGTCAGATTACTCCAAAGGCAGAGTGGGCTCCTAGTAGATATCGCATCCCCTAACTTTGTAGAATTTCAGTGAAGGCTGAGGATTCACTCAGAGGGTAAAATGCAGAGCAACTGCAGGTAATGGAGAGATGGGCTAAATAACTCTTCCCAATCTTGTGACCCTACCACTAAAAAGAGGACTCCTGAGAGGGAGACAGAGAAACACACACACACACACACACACACACACACACACACACACACACACACACACACCACCCCCACCCCACCCGCCCAGTCCTGGCATTTGGTAGGCACTTCCGAAACATGTAATACATGGGAGCAATGTAAGATTATTATGTTCTGAAGAAGACTACAGGCTGAAGAGGCAAGAGCATTGAATGTGGATTCATTTTTTAAAATGCTTCCTCAGGAAGGGGCTTATGAGAGGTATAGGCATCAAAACACTTTAAAGGACAGAATACTTAAGCCTATTTCCAAACTCAAGAGAAAAGGCCAATAAAGAGGACAAATTAGAGAGAATTGGGGAGAAAGAACAGAGTTGAAAAAAATAAAGAATAGGCCAGGTGCAGTGGCTCACACCTGTAATCCCAGCACTTTGGGAGGCCGAGGCGGGTGGATCGCTTGAGCTCAGAAATTCCAGACCAGCCTGGGCAACATGGCAAAACCCCATCTCTATAAAAAATACAAAAATTAGCTGGGCATGGTGGTGCATGGCTGTGGTCCCAGCTATAGGGAGGCTGATGTGGGAGAACTGCTTGAACTAGGGAGGTGGAGACTGCAGTGAACAGAGGTCATGCCACTGTACTATACAGCCTGGATGACAGAGCGAGAGCCTGTCTCAAAAAAAAAAAAAAGAAAAAAAAAAGAGCAAGACCTTGGAAAAAGAAAGGGAAACTAGACTCAAATATCAGGCACAAGTTAAGTGCTGCATAAAATGTTGAAGACAGATCTTCAGACATAAAAACAAAACTATGAAAAATATTATTTTAAATAGTTATTCAAACATACACAAGATAGGTACCAATTTTATCACAAACATCATCTGCCATAGTTATATGATCCTCTAAATGGTATTAATTCCCACAGAACTCCTAAAACCATCCACAGAAGATTCCTTTAAAACAATATAAATGTCATAGTATCAAAATTAGATAAAGCAGAGGGCTGTCGAACAGATTTAACACTCAGGCACTAGGTACTGAGAGTTCAGCTGTACCAACCTGCTGACCGGAAAACAATGAAAAGACCCAAAGCCTCTATAGTAAAGGGCATCAGTGGATTACTTTAATAAAAGGTAGGATGTGGAGATGTTCAAGGGAGAAAATTCTCTCATAAAACTTATTGTAGCTAGTAATATCCTAACAATAAGATCTCAAAACTAGAAGTTCAGTTAAATAACGACTTGTTCCATGCCCAAATATTTTTAAATCAAAATAGAGTAGCCAAATTATTGCTACTTACTTGAATTACTATAATATCCTTCCTGTTCCTAGTTTCACAATTACCCAAAAAATAAATAGATTGTATTAGTCTACTCAGGCTGCCATAATAAAACATCATAGATTGGGTGGCTTAAACAGAAATTTACTTTCCCACAGTTCTAGAGGCTAGAAGTCCAAGATCAGGATGCCTAGTGTCAGGTTCTAGTGAGGGTCCTCTTCCTGGCTAACAGGGGCAGCCTTCTTGCTGTGTCCTCATGTGGAAAGAGATAGCAAGTTCTCTGATATCTCTTCTTACAAGCTGACTAATCCCATCAGGAAGGTCCCGCCTTCATGACCTCACCTAAAGCTAATTACCTCCCAAAGACCTCATCTCCAAATAGCATCACACTGAGGGTCAGGGTTTCAGCACATCAATTGGGAAGGACAAAATTCAGTCTAAAGCTCAGATGAATAGACACCATTGAAAAAGAACCTTCTTAAAGCTGCTGCTCATAACCGTTCCAAAATCCAAATCTAATCTGATCCTTTTCCTCCCTAAAATCCAATAGCTAGCATATTTCAGGATAAGACCTGAATTGTTTAGGAAGCAATAAGTAGTCTTCATGACATAGCCATTACCCACCTCTCCAGCCTTATGTCACATCAATTCCCACAGGCACCCTAAGCTACAGTTCAACTAAACTACCTGCATTCCCAGCTGGTACTATGCTCTTCTTATGCCTTCTATCTTTACAATGAAGTTTCCCTATGCTAAAATGCCCTTCCTCTACATTACCAGGCTAACTTCTACTTATTCTTCAAGTCCTCACTTAATATCTTCCAGGGTCAGAAGCTTCCCTACATCCTTCTCCCTAACGCAGGTTAAGTTTCCCCCTCTGGGTCACTGCTGTACATTGTGCACACCCGCATTTGCCAAGCTGTACTGTAATCACTGATTTACGTGTTCCTTTTACTAAGCCATGAATTCTCTTGAAGCCAGGAATAGCACCTTTGGTCTCAGTGTCACCAACACATAATCAACACAGAGCCTAGCACATAGTTAGTATTCAAAAAATTTCAACAAATAAAAAAGCATGAATCAATCAGACCCTAAAGGAGTAAAAAAAAAAAAAAAAAAGAAGCATTTTTTTCTTCCTAACATTTCATACCTATCTTCCACACACATATTTCTAGCTAGTTATCTCTCTTGATTTGCACAAAGACTTGGTGATTATTTGATACCCAGCAAAATGGAACACAACATAAAAACATCACTGAAAGATCAAGAACAGAGATAGAGGAAGACAATGACAGTGTTCTGCCATCACACTGGCAAATCCAAAATGAAAAAAGAGTGTATCGGCCGGGTGCAGTGGCTCACGCCTGTAATCCCAGCCCTTTGGGAGGCCGAGGCGGGAGGATCACGAGGTCAGGAGATCAAGATCATCCTGGCTAACACGGTGAAACCCCATCTCTACTAAAAATACAAAAAAATTAGCCAGGCATGGTGGCGGGCACTTGTAGACCCAGCTCTTTGGGAGGCTGAGGCAGGAGAATGGCATGAACCCGGGAGGCAGAGCTTGCAGTGAGCCGAGATTGTGCCACTGCACTCCAGCCTGGGGGACAGAGTGAGACTCCGTCTCAAAAAAAAAAAAAAAGAGTGAATCTTTTTCAGGCCGGGTGCGACCGATGGCTCACACCTGTAATCTCAGCACTTTGGGAGGCTGAGGTGTGTGGATCACAAGGTCAGGAGATAAGAGACAATTCTGGTCAACATGGTAAAACCCCAACTCCACTAAAAATACAAAAATTAGCTGGGCATGGTGGTGCATGCCTGTAGTCCCAGCTACTCAGGAGGCTGAGGCAGAAGAATCGCTTGAACCCGGGAGGCAGAGGTTGCAGTGAGCCAAGATCGTGCCACTGCACTCCAGCCTGGCAACAGAGCAAGACACCATCTCAAAAATAAAATAAGTATATAAGACAAACCTTACACTCTCCCAATGTTACAGGCTAGTACACTGACTTTTAGCATTTTTCAAAAATGCCAACGAACTGGCCAGGCACAGTGGCTGACGCCTGTAATCTCAGCTCTTTGGGAGGCCAAGGAGGGCAGACTGCTTTGAGCTTAGGAGTTTGGGACCAGCCTGGGCAACATGGTGAAACCTCGTCTCTTAAAAAAAAAAAAAAAAAGTGTGTGTGTGTGTGTGTGTGTGTGTGTGTGTGTGTGTGTATATATATATATATACACACACACACACACACACACAAAAATTAGCCGGACGTGGTGGCTTTCATCTGTGGTCCCAGCTATTCAGGAGGCTGACATGGGAGGATCACTTTAGCCCAAAAAGTGGAGGTTGTGAGCCAAGATCGCGCCACTGTACTCCAGACTGGGCAACAGTCCATGCCAATGTCAATGAACAACTGATGAGTCCTCACAAAGGAAAACTCTGTCCCATTTGAATTACAGATGGCATTTTTAGGTTTTAAATCAAAGCACCTTCCCTAGAAGAATAACTCACTTGTGCCCCCCTCATCAGAAGTGCCAATGTTATACAAAGAGTCAGCAACACCGTGAGTGGTCTTGAGGGGGAAGAGCTTTATAAACTGTAAAGTCTGGGGGAAGAGCTTTATAAACTGTAAAGTCTGCCTCAAATGCCAGTGGTCATTACTGTCTGAATTATACTTGCAGGGTCAATGGTCCTTCAGCAAAAGGGTGGCTGCATCGAGTGGTGGGAAATGACTTGATGTTTTGTCTGACTCATACTTTTTTTTCCTCCCAAGAGGAACATGCTCCTCATGCTACATTTTCTGATGACCAAACATTAACTCATCCGCCTAAATCTCTTCAATGACTAAAAAGTTCCTCGCATCATCATGAAATAGTAGCTTGAAATTTTAATGTAAACACAAGGAATCAAATGCTTATTCCTCTTCCTCAACCTACGACACCCCAAAAACTTAAAAAAAAAAATACATTTCAGTGTAGTCTGAAGTACAGATTCTTTGACAAGACTCTACGAGACAGATTATATCCTCCCAGCCCTTAGTAGAGGTAGAAAAAAAGTGCTATAATGTGCTTTTTTCCTGTGGCTATAATTAAAGTTGAAAAAAGCCTTCAGTTCCCCCACTAAGATATCATCAGCTCTGCATTACTCCAATCTCATCCTCATATCCGTGCGGTCTGCTGTCTTAAAAGTGCCTCCACCTATTTCCAGTTTCCCCTGAGCAACTCCTGCCTGCTTTCAACTATTCACTCACTCAAAACTTCTCATCTCTTGTCCTAAAACTTGCTGATCCCAGTTCTGTATTCTCTTTCATCATTCTCCTTCCCCAAATCCTAGTGCCATATCTATAATGACTCATGGGAAAGATCATTACAAAAAATTAAAACTTGTCAGTGGCCCATTGTGATAAATGTGGAGAATGTTTAACACAAAACAACACCTCCCTCAATTCAAACTAACAAGTATTTATTGAGTGCCTGTGGTGTGCCCCGTGGTGGTTACAAAACATCATCTTTACTGGACTTGAGCTTTGTTACAGGGGCTAGTTCATTTTCAGGTCCTTCCATGCACATACAGAGAAGGGTCCCTTTGAAGTCCAGAGAGGTTTGGGCCGCTTCCACTATAGATGATTTCTGGTATCAAAAAATATTTTTTAAATGTAAAAATAGGATGACAAAAATTGTGTATGTTTTAAATATTTACAAAACATGCCAAGCAATACTATTGGGCTGGTCTCAAGATAATTACATGGTCCGATACTGAGACGCAAGTTCAAGGTTACATGATCCATGCTACCTTCTTTCAATCCTGTTGAAAATATACAATCCTGGGCCAGGTACAGTGGTTTACGCCTGTAATCCCAGCATTTTGGGAGGCTGAGGCAGGTGGATTGCTTGAGCCCAGGAGTTCAAGACCACCCTGGGCAACATGGTGAAATCCCGCTTCTATAAAAAATACAAAAATTAGCCAGGTGTGGTGGTACGCACTGTAGTCTCAGCTATTCAGGAGGCTGAAGTGGGAGGATCACCTGAGCCCAGGAGGTTGAGGCTGCAGTGAGCCATGATTGTGCCACTGCAATCCAGCCTGGGTGACAGGGTAAGACCCTGACTCAAAGAAAAAAAGAAAGAAAAAGAAAATACACAATTCTGGATATTTCTGGGACTCTGTGATACAAAGGTAATGTCAAGACAATGTGAAGTCCTTGTGTGTGGTAAAGCTTGGACCAAAGGGCTCTCCTACCCATCTCCGACACCCACGGTCTCAACAATGAACACATGGTCCCCGTCCTCAAGGAAATTATAAACTAATTGGAAAAAAAAAAAAAGAAGAAGATACCCTTCCCCCGTCTTCCTCCACCATAAGGAAGAAATACTGTACCAGAGAGACCAGAATTGCACCCTGGATCCATCACTAAATCATTCATCATCAGCAGGTCCTCCTTAATATATTTAAACCTCAAAGGCTTTTTTCTCCCTGTAAAATAAAATAATATCATTTTCTGCCCTGCCTCCGTACAAGGTTATTAAGAGGATCATGTAAAATGCAGTGTTGCTTTGGTAAACTACAAAGCCCTCCAGAAATGTGTACCACATATAGACAAAGGCTGAATACTTAATCACAAGCAGCCTTGTCAGCACCGTAAGAAATCCTAATGACATTTATAAGAATATCAATTCAGAAATTGAGATTGTTGTGTCTAGAGAATAACAGAGCAAACTTTAGGGAAGATGGAGAGAAAAGGTGAGTAGTTATGATTTCAAAATAAAGGGATTTTATGGAGCCCCAGGTAACTCTGGCACTTTTTCTGTGAATGTGTGAATGCTCCTTGTAATTTTTTCTTCCTTGTTGACATAACTTCCATGAGTAACCAGAAGATGACTACTCCCCAAACAAACCCATATTTATTCCCTAAGGTCCCACACTATGCCAGGCTTTTTCGTCAGTAAAAACTTAAAAAAAAAAAAGTCACTCGATCTAGTGGTCTCCTCCCTCTCAACCCACTAAAAGTTGGTTTCCTCCTTTATGCTAAACTTACGAACACTACTAATGATGACTAACTTACCAACAAAATGCCCTCTTGAGCTCTTCTCTTACTGGGTTCTCAGGGCTACCTGGGAGGAGCCTTCCCTTCCTCTCTATGGCGATAGGAGCCTCTCTTCAGTGTTCCTCCTACCTCTCAGGCTGTTCCCAGACTCTTCTCTCAAGGTCCTTCTCCAAGAACTCATCCCTTGGACCAAGGTGACAGATCCACCCTCTCCCCTTTCTCTCAGGAAATTCTGATCCCCACTTGAACTTTACCGCCTCCTGTACCAGGAAGCAGAGGCTCTCATCTGTATCTAGCCCTTTCCTCTCTAAGCTATTAAATATATTAATTGTTTTTCTTCTTTTTATTTTTATTTTTTGAGACACAGTCTTGCTCTGTCACCCAAGCTGGAGTGCAGTGGCGCAACCTTGGCTCACTGCAACCTCCATCTTGAGGGTTCAAGAGATTCTCCTGCCTCGGCCTCCCAACTAGCTGGGATTACTACTGGTTATGGATTACATAACCATTACGCCCTGCTAATTTTTCTATTTTTGTCGAGACGGGGTTTCACCATGTTGGCCAGGCTGGTCTTGAACTCCTGACCCCAGGTGATCCGCCAGCCTCAGCCTCCCAAAGTGCTGGGATTACAGGCCTGAGCCACTGCACCTGGCCTATTTTTAATTTTTTTAATAGAGACAGGGTCTTACTATGTTGCCCAGGCTGATTTCCTACTCCTGGCCTAAAGCAATCCTCCTGCTTCGGCCTCCCTAAGTGCTAGAATTACAAGCATGAGCCAGCATGCCCCATCTGTTTTTCTTCCGACAACTCACCAGACAGCTCTACTTGGACATCCCAAGTCCTCTCAAATACAGCCTGTCACCTTACTGCATTCCCCACACCTTCCTGTTCTGTTATGTGATTGTCAGAGGCATTTGAATCAGAGCAACTCCATCTTGAATAGGGGCTGAGTAAAATAAGGCTGAGACCTACTGGGCTGCATTCCGAGACAGTTAGGCATTCTAAGTCACAGGATGAAATAGGAGGTCGGCACAAGATGCGGGTCATAAAGACCTCACTGATAAAACAGGTTGCGGTAAAGAAGCCAGCCAAAACTCACCAAAACCAAGATGGTGACGAGAGTGACCTCTGGTCGTCCTCACTGCTATGCTCCCACCAGCGCCATGACAGTTTACAAATGCCACGGCAATGTCAGGAAGTTATCCTATATGGTCTAAAAAGGGGAGACATCAATAATCCACCCCTTGTTTAAAAAATAATTCGGAAATAACCACAAAAATGGGCAACCAGCAGCCCTTGGGGGGCTATGCCTATGGAGGAGCCATTCTTCCTTTACTTTCTTAATAAACTTGCTTCACTTTACTCTATGGACTCGCCTCCAATTTTTTCTTGCGCGAGTCCAAGAATCCTCTCTTGGGGTCTGGATTGGGACCCCTTTCCAGTAACATGATCATCATCTACCCCCAGATTGCCTGCAGTTATCAGATTCTCCTTTTCCTACTCTATTCCACCCTACAGATCAGATCAATCACCACATCTCATGGGCTCAGACTCCCAAACAGCCCTGAAATCTGCAATATCCTTTCCAGCCACACCACTCACCAAATAAGTTCCAGCCCCCTAATTTGTGCCCACACTTCGATTATCCCCCTAAGTGTTTCCCAAAGTGTGGAACATGTACAACTGGTGGTCGCCTCACATGCTGCTAGGTGATTCTTCAACTTTTTTTTCTTTTTAATGGTCGTTTTTTGTATTATAGATTATACTTAAGAAATAAATTCTTAAGTAGCATCTCAAGACTACATTTCCACAGGTATAATTGCTTTGAACAAACTTTCATGACGTTTGAATAACCTGAGGACCTTTTGAAAAGTCTACCCCATACCCCAAGGGCCAATACATACCCCAGACCAATTAAATCACAACCTCATGAGGTGGGCACAGGCTCAGGTCTAGAAACTCCCCAGGTGCTTCCAATGCAGACAAGTTTGGGGACCAGTCCATGAAAATGAGACTGAAACAGGAATTGAAGGAAAGAAGGCTGAGCCCACCTAAAGAAAATAAAGCAAATAGTAATATATGTGGTAAACTGCCAGGAAGGGTACCCACCAACTCCACCCCAATTTGCCCACTTCGGCAGTGAAAGTCTGGCATCCCAGGATATCCCTCAGTCTCCGCTAAACCCGGACAGTCAGTCACCCTACTCAGGTAAGGCAAAGTGTCTAAGGTTTAGGAAGCAGCGCTGGCATTCTCCAAAATGTGTTCAGCAGAATGCTACCCACCACCCCTAGGGTATTAACAGCTGTGAGGCTACAAAGACTTCCACTGTGGAACAAATGTGGAACACCCTAGGGATATTCCAGGATAAGTGGTTAAGCTAATGGTTTTCTTCAAAGCCAATTTCTCAAAACTTTCAATTTACTATGATACTTTACATTGTCCAAGAGAAGAATATAATATCCTGCATTTTTCAAACTTATTTGAGGACCTTTTTTGGTGAAGCACCTTATACACTATTAAGGTTTCAAGAAAGCTTCTTGGCAGATGCTGCTCTACATATACTTCCAGACAATTTTTAGAAAATATAAATCTAATAATGTCACTTCTTCATTATCAACTTTTTGCTAGAAAAAAAAAAATCCAATCTCCTTTGCAGGTGGTCGACTTTCCAAGCTCTCCCATCCTTTACCCCTTCCTACGCTCAAGTCCAATGTTTCTCAAACTTTTAGAAGCATTCAGATCACTGGGGGATACTGCTGCAAAGCTGATTCTGATCCAGCAGGATTTGAGGTAAGCCTGAGACTCTGTGTTTCTATTGATGCCATCACTGCTGACCCAAGGACCACACGCTGAGTAGCAAGGTTCTAGCCATATTCAGTTTTAAAGGTTGCTGTCTCTACTGAAAGCCTCTGTGCCTAGAAGGCCCTTTCCCCACCTGACAACATCCTACTTAACCTTGAAGACACTCAAGAACATCAGTTCCCTGAGATGACCTCCAGTGCCCTCAAACAGAACTGTACATCCCAATTTTATGTTTAGAGCTCTAATGTGGCACTTCACTTTACTGTACATTGGCTATTTCTTTTTCTGCCTCTGCCAAGCTGAGCTCTCTGACAGCCTTTCTGTCTATATCCTCAGTGCCTGGCACACAGTAGCTACTTAATAAATCTATATAGAAGGATAGAATGGCCATGAAAAGGAGATAATATGTGAACTTTGTTGAAGGAGACGTTCAGAAAATAAGGCTGTTATGCAACATCAAGTCTGTCAGTTCGGAGTTGTGTGGTTGGGGACCTTCAGCAGGAGACAGAATGAGATTCTATGCCATCATTGCATACAGTCCTATCACAAAGGAATAGCACCACGCATTTTTATACTATATAAAAATAAAATAAAATTCCCAGGTTTCTTGACATGAAAACTAAATCCAGGTAATCTTCTGTTTAACATTTAACAGACTAAAAATCAACAGGCACAGTAGGAAATGAACCACCATTTCACCTCTAAATCTGTGTTCATCCACTTTATGGAGAATCCTTCTGACAATTCTAAGTTTAAACAAATCTTTGTGAAAAGAGTATTCCAGCAGGTTTAATGTAGTCACAGCTGTCAAAATCACGGGCAATGCATCATACTTAAGAGAGCATTTGAAAATGTGTCAATAATTATAATTACACACTTGTAGCAGATCTAATATACTTTCACCACCCTTTAACTTCAACTGATGTGAAATTAAAGCTAGTTACTTAAAAATGCAACTCTTAGATCATAATTTAATCCTAAAGTAGATATAAAACCTGTCACACTAGAGAGGTACAGTACATTTTACTCAAGAGGATAAAAGGCCACGGCATTATAATACATCATTTTAGGTAAGGTGACCACCTTTAATGTGGAAAGGGTAAAATACATTATCTAGCTGACATAATTTTGAATATTTACTTTATCCATTTGTATTTAAAGATTGTCTCTTCAAAATTATGCATGACCCACAGCACAGAGATAACTGCTAAACTTTAGGATTATTTCCTACCAATCTTTTTTTTCTCTACATCCATATATATACGTTAACTACAAATATGAAAGTGTACTATGTTTCATGTTTATGTTTATGGAACTGTACTACAGAACTGTACATAATTTATATGAAAGGAATTATACTATGTTTTGAGTGTCCTGCTTTTTTCATGTAATATTTTGTGTACTCTCTATAGTCATTCATTCATTGCAACAATTTCTGTGTGCCTCCTATGCATAAGACAGCATACTAGGCACAGGATAAACATATACACATACACACACACACACACACACACACACACACACACACAGAGTACAAAACAGACATACCTTGTATTTACTAATATATATATAAGGTAGTATCTGTAAGATACGGAAAATAATTAAGGCTCAAACTAGATGGAATAGCCAACAAAAGCCTCTTTGAAAAGGTAACTACTGGCCGGGCGCGGTGGCTCACGCCTGTAATCCCAGCACTTTGGGAGGCCGAGGCGGGCGGATCACGAGGTCAGGAGATCGAGACCATCCCAGCTAAAACGGTGAAACCCCGTCTCTACTAAAAATACAAAAAATTAGCCGGGCGTAGTGGCGGGCGCCTGTAGTCCCAGCTACTTGGGAGGCTGAGGCAGGAGAATGGCGTGAACCCGGGAGGCGGAGCTTGCAGTGAGCCGAGATCCCGCCACTGCACTCCAGCCTGGGCGACAGAGCGAGACTCCGTCTCAAAAAAAAAAAAAAAGAAAAGGTAACTACTTTTAAAATGAGATCTGTCTCTGAAAATTCATCAAAAATAGTATTTTTAGTGATTACATAAAATTCCATTCTATGAATATATATAAACCTAACCGCTGCTGTAGAACATTTACTTTTTTTTTTTTTTTTTTTTTTTTTTTTTTGAGACAGTCTCACTCTGTCACCCAGGCTGGAATGCGGTGGTGCGATCTCGGCTCACTGCAACCTCCATCTCCCAGGTACTCCTGCCTCAGCCTCCCAAGTAGCTGGGATTACAGGTGTGCACCACCATACTTGGCTAATTTTTATATTTTTAGTAGTGATGAGGTTTCACCATGATGGCCAGGTTGGTCTCGAATTCCTGACCTCAGGTGATCTGGCCTCCTCTGCCTCCCAAAGGGTTGGGATTACAGGCGTGAGCCACCATGCCCAGCCTATAGAACAGTTAAATTGTTTCTCTTTTTTTTTTTTTTTTTTTTTTTTTTTTTTTGCTACTCTACACCTAGTTGAATACATTTGTATACTTACAGAGATTCAGGCAGGGCTCAGTGGCTCACGCCTGTAATCCCAGCACTTTGGGAGGCCGAGGCCAGCGGATCACCTGTGGTCAGGAGTTCGAGACCAGCCTGGCCAACAGGGCAAAACCCCATCTCTACTAAAAATACAAAAATTAGCTGGGTGCAGTGGTGCATGCCTGTAATCCCACCTACTTAGGAGGCTGAGGCATGAGAATCGCTTGAACCCAGGAGGCAGAGGTTGCAGTAAGCCGAGATCACGCCACTGCACTTCCAGCCTGGCAACAGAGCAAGACTCCATCTCAAGAAAAAAAATAAAAAGAGAGAGAGAAAGATTTAGTAAGTGATTTTCCTAAAATGAGTAACTAAGGGCTCAAAAATTTTCCAGAAGAAATGCATTTATATTAACAACCCAAATTCCAAGTCTTTTAACTTGGAATCCAAATACATTGCTTAATGTTGCAGGAGCAAATTCTTTTTTTTTTTTTTTTTTGAGATGGAGTCTCGCTCTGTCACCCAGGTTGGAGTGCCATCTCGGCTCACTGCAACCTCCGCCTCCTGAGTTCAAGAGATTCTCCTGCCTCAGCCTCCCGAGTAGCTGGGACTAGATGCATGCCACCATGCCCGACTAAATTTTTGTATTTTTTTAAATAGAGACGGGGTTTCACACCATGTTAGTCAGGATGGTCTCGATCTCCTGACCTCGTGATCTGCCTGCCTCAGCCTCCCAAAGTGCTGGGATTACAGGCGTGAGCCACCGTGCCCTGCCTTGCAGGAGCAAATTCTAAAGAAAAAATGCAGTATGGGAAATAAAGAAATTTATATTATTTTTTTTTTTGAGACAGGAGTCTGTCACCCAGCCTGTATGGGGTACAGTGGCATAATCATGGCTCACTGCAGCCATGACCTCCCTGTTCAAGTAATCCTCCCACCTCAGCCTCCTGAGTAGCTGGGTCTACAGCCACATGCCACCACACCTTACTAATTTTTAAAAAAATTTTTGTAGAGACACAGTTTTACTATGTTGCCCAGGTTAACCTCAAACTCCTGCACTCAAGGAATCCTCTTGCCTTGGCCTCCCAAAGTGCTGTGATTACAGGTGTGATCCACTATAATCACACTTGGACACCACACTTGGCCAAATTCCCATTAAATTTTGTTTACTTGGGTTTCAGTTTTTAAATAGATCTAGTTTGACAATCAGCAGGAAATCCAATCATCTTTTTAAGCAATACTGGCTAAATATCTCAAAATTTCCAAAAATTCCTATTTTACCTTCACATTACAAAATATCAAAAGCTCAAAAGATCAAATTCAAAAGATCAGTTCAAAAGATCAAAAGCTACCTCTTATGGTCTGTTCCGAAGTCATAAATAAAATTTTGCTGTTTCTTAAAAACTGTCTATCATAGCCCTACTGCTTTTTTTACAGCTATTATAAAAATAAAACTTTTTCCTTAAGTCTAAAAATCCATTGCCTCCACTCTTGATCAATAATAAAAAGCTGACTATATGAGTTTCCTGGTCACTAAATGCCTACTTACCACTCACCATATTTTTTTTTTTTTAAAAAGGTGATCAGCCATATAAGCTCTGCTTTTAATGTAAAGCACACACCAGACATAGTGCTTTAAAACAATCAAAGTAAAGCTGTGCTTAGCAAGGCTTCCAAAGCCCAGAGTTCTTTATAGACTCAAACTTACACAGGAAAAAAAAAAAAAAAAAAATCATAAAGCTCCATTTACTGGAAGGACCAAAAAAGAGTGAGACTGAGAGAATCAACAAATTACTAAACTTTAGAAATAACTAAGCCTGTGCCCTTCTTAACAAATGAGGAAAGGAAAGCACCACAAAGACAAAGGTTAAGAAAATGACTTTCTTAGGCCACACAATTGGTTTACACCAGACAACAGGCTAGCATTTGAGTCTTAAGGGTCATCCTCTCGTTATCACCACACCACATTGCTTCACAAATAAAAAGCAAAAATCCAATTCACGGCACAACCTATACTGAAATTTAAAATGCAAATATCCCTTGATTCAGCAATTCCAATCCTTGGTATTTATCTCCAGATACACAGGAGATAGATGATTGATAGATAGATAGACAGACAGATAGGCAGGGCGCGGTGGTTCACGCCTGTAATCCCAGCACTTTGGGAGGCCGAGGCGGGCAGATCACCTGAGGTCGGGAGTTGGAGACCAGCCTGGCCAACATGGAGAAACCCTGTCTCTACTTAAAAATAAAAAATTAGCCGGGCGTGGTGGCGCATGCTTGTAATCCCAGCTACTCGGGAGGCTGAGGCAGGAGAATCACTTGAACCCGGGAGGCAGAGGTTGTTGCAGTGAGCCGATATCGCGCCACTGCACTCCAGCCCGGGCAAAAAGAGGGAAACTCCATCTCAAAAAAAAAAAAAAGAAAAAGAAAAAAGATAGATAGATAGATAGATAGATAGATAGATAGATAGATAGATTGACTGATTGATTTCTGCAGGCGTGGGGATATATTTCAAGACCCCCAGTGAATGCCCGAAACCTCAGGTAGTACTGAACTCTATCTATGGACAGTCCCTGAATTAAAACGGTTTCACTGTACACCCTTCCTGTACTTCAAATCTTGTATTGTGCACACATATTCCTGTCATAATATGACTAGTATCAAAAACATAAAACAAAATAATAAAGTTATTTTATTTCTAGGAAAAAATGTATAGGAACTCATATTACTGTGCACATGTAATGAAATAAAGCTATCTAGGAACGAAAAACAAAAACACCAATTTGAATTAAACCAAAAATGTCAGAGTTGTATGGCCCCAGAAGGAGACAAGCCTCTATGAGAACAAAAGAAATGCCCTCCTGGAAGATTTCCATGTACAACACTCACATCTGAGACAGATTCACCGCACTTGGGCTTAGAATGTCCTAAAACAATAAGACTTTTAGGGATCAAAAGGGAACCAAGTAGGAGAAGAGAGAGGAGCTGAGGTGGACACAGCTGATTAAGAAACAATAAGTTGGAGGGAATCCTAAGCAAACAAGCCAAGGGAGGCGGGGGGGAAAGCTTCTCTGAATTTGAAAAGGACATTCCATTCTAAACTGGTTAAAAGCAAGGATAAATCTCAAGCAGAGAGCATTTTCCTCTGGCATTTTTTTCCCCATCTTGGAGCTCCGGCAACTTCTTTTTCACATTTTATATCATCTATGATACCAAGAAAAGGTCACTATTAGAATCAGTTTTACCTTAATAAGGCTCAGTGAAATAGGCACAGACATAAGATACAGGTGTCACCCATCAAACAGCATGTCTGCCTTTGATTCTATGAGCAGATGTTTTATCAGTTTCCCATGTTCAAAAGTTGGAGACTGTTATTTTACTCCTCTATTCGGATAAACATTTGATTTATTTGCAAGATATGGCACTTGACCCCAAAAAGTCAATAACAGACTTTGAACTGTTTGTAGCTGGTTCATTTTATCATTCAGACCTCAACCCACTTCTTCCCATTTCCAAAAGGAAGCTCTCCCCCAGGACATTCTCATCCTCTCACCAATCACCAGTACAAATCCAATAGCCAATACAAAGCCAAAGCCCCAAACCCTATCTCCAGAGTTTCAGTTCCATTTTCCCAGCTTCTCACAGGGCTCAAGTAAGCATTCTTCTGGGTTCTTGCTCTCCCAGAACCTCAAACCCAACGCCACAATCCATTCCAACCCAGGTGCTCTTGGCAACCTTCCATTTTCTTTTAAGAGCAACACCATTCTCCCAGTCATCCAGGTTCCAAAAGTCACATATGTTTGCCCAACCCCTACCCTCCCTCTCATTGCAAAAGTAATTTATTCACCAAGCCCTATGGCTTCTCCAGCCCAAGGCTAAAACCCTAGTTCCATCTATTCTCATTTCCTCCTGGCTTCTGGGCATCCCACTCCACTAGACCAATCATCCTTGGCTAACAGAAGGCTATGTGCCAAGGCCTCAAACTCATACACCTATAGGGTCAATCCAGTTAGCCTACAGGAACAAACAAACAAACCTGTCAGTGCAAGAACAATAAACAGCAACTAACACCGAGCCTCAGTGTCTGGGAGAAAACAGGATGAACTGAGACAGTAGCAGCCACAGCACACACATCTCCCTCAGACAGACATGGTCAAAAGATCTGGCAGTTTCTTGCAGGAAGGAATATGGCCCTGGGGCTGCCAGAGTTTTCAGTGTTGCAGGAGCAGCTGGACATTTCGATTTTTTTTTTATGAAAATGTCCCCCATTTTTACATGTTAGCAACCATGTTTTTTTTTTTTTAATGTTTTAAATACAGTATCAAACAGGACAGAACTCTGAGGTATACTGAGCTCAGAGACCACCAGTTTTCAACCTCTGCTCTGGTGCACTGATGGTGATGTGGGAATTTACAGCCTGAGTTAAAGTTCAGATGTGTAACCTTAGACATTCATATCACCTCTCTATGCCTCAGTTTCTCCTTCTATAAAATGGGCATTAGAGCAGGTACTTCATGGAGTGTGAGTGAGCATTAAATGAGATAATGAAAGGGGCCAGACCAAGGCCTGCTTTCATGCCTTAACTTCCAGCCTGTCATTCAAAGTAAGCCATAATGTGCCTCTAAATCTCCCTTTCTAAGCTTGCTCCTATGGTGCTCATCTTGATGTGCTCTACAGAGTCAAGTCACATCACAAAGCACTTTTAACTGTGAATGTGCTGTTCCTTTCGGTTGTCTAAGGTCTCGCATGCCACCCTGAGAAGCTGCATCCCAGGACACATAGTCTGAGACTAGTGATTAAAAATATGTGCAACTGCCAGGCACGGTGGCTAGCGCCTGTAATCCCAGCACTCTGGGAGGCCGAGGTGGGTGAATCACGAGGTCAGGACTTCAAGACCAGCCTGGCCAACATGGTGAAACCCCATCTCTACTAAAAATGAAAAAAAAAAATAGCTGGGCATGGTGGTGAGTGCCTGTAATCCCAGCTACTCGGGAGGCTGAGGCAGGAGAATCGCTTCAACCCAAGGTGGAAGTTGCAGTGAGCCGAGATCGCGCCACGGCACTCCAGCCCAGGTGACAGTGCGAGACTCCATCTCAAAAAAAAAAAAAAAATCTGCAACTATCTTTTCTATAACTTGGCCTCTAAATAAAAAACAAGCCCCTTATATTTACTTGCCCCATTCTCTCTTTTTGGAATGTTGCCTATGCTACAACCTATACACATACAGATACCTCTCAAAATAACATCCAATTGGTACCTCTTTCAGAGGCCAGCCAAACAGCCACCTCCTTAAAGGTGTTGGTTGATCCTCTGTAACTTGTGACCAAGATATTCAGAGTTCTGCCACTAATAGTTACATGTATAATTATTCACTCCCTTACTCAAGTGCACCTTAATATTAACTTGACAATAACTGAGCTTTCTATGCCCAACCTTACCTAGAGGAAGACTTGATAAATGCTCAATAAATAAGGGACAAAGAAGACGGGAAAAGATGAAGGAAGAGGAAAGCAAGATTTTAATGATAAGGACAATGACAACAATTAAGCTCTTGTGTCTTTGAATGCAAAGAGCTGTCCCTACTAACCACATGCTTTCATTTTTTATTTCTGAACAATATATGGGGGTCATCTTCCCCACCTCCCTCTCATCCTTTGGGTGTGTGTAACCTCAGCTTCCCCTTATTCCTGAAAGTCAACAACCTCTTCAAGTATAATCTAAATAAACAGGGAGTTAAGTGGCTCCTGCCACCATTCTAAATGAATCAGCCCCACCTTTGATGCTGATGGGGATCAAGATGATGATGATGATGCACACTGGAGCTGGTCCAAATCACGTATTACTCACTTTAATCTGATTTGGAAACAATACACAGAAAAAATAATCTGGCAAGGGAGAGGGGCATAGGGGTAAGAACTTTCTATAGAATGACAGAAATCCACACAAAAAGAAAACGAAAGTCTCATCCAGACTAGCAACTATTCAATAA
Source organism: Homo sapiens (assembly GCF_000001405.40). NCBI lineage: Eukaryota > Metazoa > Chordata > Mammalia > Primates > Hominidae > Homo > Homo sapiens. The sequence continues at coordinate 157,869,379 of NC_000002.12, forward strand.
ACAAACTAAGGCTAATTTCCACAATACCTAGAACAGTTTTTTCTCTAACTGCTTATTAGGACCCATTAGCAAGTTGTAAAATCAGTTTAGTATATAAAGACTAGAATTTTTAAAATAAAAATTGAATATTAATTAAAAAGCATTATAATATTTTTGTAGAACTTGTAATTCAGCTTTATTTTTAACACCTGTGCACATGCATATGTGTTTGTGTGTGTACCAGGTCATGATATAAAATGTACTGCTGAGTGTTAAAATGTTTTAAAAATACTGAAATAGAACATTTATGTTTATATAAAGTAATCTCTGCTGACTGAGCTTTTCTGTTTTTTACTAGGCCATCCTCATAATATATTTGTTCTTGCCACCTATTGTTCACAACAACTTGGGTTCTTCAAGTTCAAGATAAGCATATGAAAACTGTATGAAAAATAGCACTGGGCACATGTGTCCCTTACTCCTGAAAAGGAAGGTGTCACTCTAGATAACCACCTACACTTTCACTCCTATGCATATTTCTATCTTGTGTAAGTCCCTGACATCAAGACAAGGGATATTCATCCCTAAGCTCCTGCCTTTATGGTCATGTTTGCTTATATGCATTAACTCACTACTTACAGAGAGTAAATCAAGCACATCTTACTTTCACCCCAAGCGTAGCCAACACTCATCAATAGCTGCAATAGTGGAAGTTTCGGAACTTGGTTTAAAACATCACTCAACCCATCCCTTCTATTCCAGAATGCTTTTTCTCAAGTTCTTCTTATTGCACATTTTCCTCAGTACCCACGTTCCAAACTCTCAAGTATCGTCCCATTTCTAATATCCAACTTTGCCCAAGATCACCCCACCTTCGTTCTCCCCTCTGTACATTTCTAAAGTTCAAGGTTATATTTTGGAGGGCCTATCAATATTCTTCCAGAACTGGCTAAAACGGAATCCCCCAAATCAAAGTAATCTTGCTTTTCGATGGCATGGTGATATTAATAGCCAATCTTGGCTTTCATAGATGAGCAAAAGCACACACCCATCAAGTATTCAAGATGAAAAGTTATATGTGGTATGTCCACTGATTTCAGCCCTTAAAAATCTCTCAAAAGAGGAGTTTACTTTGGATTCCACCCATTTTCCAAAGAGGTCACCTACATTTTTCCACCTCTCACATAAGCATGGCCCACCACTACGTTTTCACTGTCAACTGTTTGGAAACATATGCAACAGGAAAAAGTCAAGAGTAAAGTAATTGATTCACTGAGTGTCTGGGTCCTAACTATAAATAATGAAGGATTCCCTGCTCTGTGGGATATAAAAAATTAGTGAGATATTCTTCTCAAAAATGGAAGCATCACTCTTAAATATAAAAAGAAAGAAAGAAACATATGCTGAAAAGAACACAATAAATGTTTGTGGAATTGACTAAGCACAGGTTACAACATTAAGCACTGAGAAGAGGTATCAAAAGCAGTTCCTTCTACATAGAATGTCTTTCGTCCCCACTTTCCAAACTCATCCTTACGGACCACAGTGACTGGTATCATCTTGTCAGCAATCTCCCTGGTTCCCTAGAAGACTAGGTCCCTTTGCTCCCTTAATATGCAATCATCCATTCATTCTCTCGGCAATTCAAAAACAATTTATTGACTGTGTGGTCTAGGCCAGGCATTGTGTTAGGTGCAAAAGTTACACAAAAGATGAATAAGACAGTCCCTTGCCTCAAGGAGCCCAGGGAGAGAATTTGAAAGGTTTTAAGTTGGTGAAGAGCAATGACTTGTGTAGAAAGAATCAATGGAGGAATGAACAACTTGAAGTCCTTGCCCTCAAAGAGATCAATCACATCCCAGAATAAGAAATGGGGATGATAAAACCTAGGAGACTGTCGAAAGGCAAAATGGCAAAATCCAGAAAGCATTCTTGCTTGCAGTAAGATTACTCTGAGCCTTGAAGAATCTGGGTCCCCCAAAAAGGAGGGGAGTGAGGGGCAATGCAGAGACCAGAACAGCCAGGGTTTGGCCTCAAGATGAATGAGAACTGACCTTGGGTGATCCCTCAGGACACTTATGCTAAAAGTGGTCTCACCCCATCCCCCTCTTCAAAACAACTTTCACCTACTGCACAAACCTCCACAAAATTTAGGAAGACTGAAATTTAAAGTTACTTTCCCAGTCACAGAAATAAAGGCCAAATACCCAGAGTCAACAATGAAGTAACTCTAATGGGCAAAGTGGAATGTTGGTCAGAGAGTGAAACCCAAAAATCAAACAACTGAATAGCCGTGGCTCTGGAAAACAAAGCTCTGATGGATCACATAAGAGCCTTTATACATATAAACAATCTCACATTTCCAGAACTGCCTAGAAGCGCACAGGAATAGTATTCGAATGTGTGGTTAGTTTGAATATTAGGGGCAGAGGGTGTATTTGTGTTAACTCAGAAAAGGAAGCTGCCGAATATCTTATTAGTTAATTTTGAGAGTGTGAGTTCAAGCAAAACTACCTCCCATCTGAACCAAAGGCTGTGATGTGCCAACCACACCAAACTGATGAGGCTCTTTCAAAAGGAGTCTTTCATTTGAATGTCCTTCCAACAGACAAACCCTAGTTTAGAACTTCTGATTCTTAAACTTAACATGGCAAGCAAGAGCATTCTATGGCCAACTGCTAAAAATGAGGAGGTAAATCTTCCATTTGGTTCTTCTGAGAGCTGGAATTGGCCACAGAAAGAAACACAAAGTTTTCACTCCAAAAGATCAAAGAAGGTATTTTGTACCAGGAAACCCAATTCCAAATCCTCATTTCCAGGAATAAAGCCACAGTGCCCGGTGCTTGCTTGGGAAAATAAAACAGGAGATTCTGCGGATTCCAATTAAAATTTCTGATGGCTTTATTTCCCAGCCTCACCAGTTTAATGTTGTTAACATTTCATCCAGGCCCTGCTTTAACTTAAATACTGCTTCCAGCTCTGAATGGTCACACCTTACTACTGGGTAAAAAGGAAGGTGTCTTAACACTTCATGACAGTATTCTTTGCCCCATCCCAAGTGCTAGATATATAAGACAAGGTGATGCTGAAAAGTGCTAGCTTCAGCCCAGCCTGTGTCTCCCATAACTACAGCCAGGTGAAACCTCACTGCAGCCCACACTATTTAGTTGCAATATTGGAAAGGAGAGTAGAAGCAGGAGAAAATAGGGGAGGAGGGGGACATACCTCAACCTTATTCAAATATAACAAACAATGAGCTTGCTTTACAATTATTTCCTGGGGTCTTATCGATCAGCCAGTAGTTACTGTGTGCCCACTGCAAACAAGGCACCAAGCTAAATCTATAGTCAGCATAGTGCAGTAAAATATTCCCTAAGTAATCATTATGTTAATGGTTATGTGTTTAATTTTCTTTATCATTTTAGAAAAAATGTATTGTGTATGTAGGTTATAAAGTCTAAAAATAAAATCAGCACCTATGAACCCATCACCCAATCCAAAAACCAGAACATCACCAACACTGTATCATCTACCTACTTCCTCCATTTTTATTCCAGGTCCCTGCAACATACACACACTCCACATAATCATTATTCTGAAGTTGGGGTTTCGGTGCAAGTACAAACGCATATTTATGACTACCTCCTATTCCTAACAAGTGAGTTGGCTTTCCAAATATGGTAGTAATACATAATTTCCTCTCAAAAAAATGATGTCTTTAGGTTCTTTTCTTTAAGTGAATCATTGCTTTAAAGAAAAATATTAATAGAGTAAGTGGGACTCAGCCATGGTAAACTCAGGAAGACAGTATGTGAGTGAATGAACTTTGACAATCACTGGCAAAAGTGGCCAAGAACATGAGTTCTGAAGTCCTGCAGACCTCTGGTTCAAATCCCCATTCTACCACTGAAATTTGCCAAGCCTCAATTTCTTATTGTAGGACGGTAAAATAATAATAAGACATATGGTGTTTGTGGAAATGTCATGAAAAAGTACCTGTGAAGAGCTGAGCCCAGTGCCTAGCACATATCCAGCACCCCTAAACTATCCTGTCATTAAAGCCACCCAAACATATCAAAGAGTTTTGCCACCATCAGTGGTTTGCTTCTCCAGAATTCCTACTGAGTTGGGCATGAGATCGCTTCACATAAAAATAAATCAAGATGCAGAGATCCAAGAGCAGAACAAGCCACAGACTACAGCTCCCAGCCCCAGCATTGATTCCATCTTCACCTCATGACCTTGAAGAGCAGAATCATTTTTCAAATCCATTTCTGTCCTGTCCCCCCTCCCTCAGAAGACTGGACTACTCAATCCAAGCCTGAGAATTACCTAGAAGCCTATCATGACAATCATGGGACTAGTTCAGTCCAATCTAGGGCAAGATAGAGGCATAACCTCTATCTCCTGACTCAATCTCTGTTATACCTTCCTTGGACACATGAAGAAAACTGGCAAATCACTACTTTGAAAAAAATTCGTTACAAATCTATTAATCAAATTAAGTTCCTCACTTCTGAAATTAATACATTACATTCCTGAATATGGCATCTTTACTCTGAATCCTTAATATTCCTTTAAATTCCTCACAGATAACAACAAACTTGCTAGAATTCAAATGATCACTCTCTTCCAAGGTACAAAAGTTGTAAGACTACTATCTAAATCAAGTTTTATTTAAAACCACCCTCTCCATTTCAAGTAAAACTCAACAACACAGCTGGAAAAGGAGGGCATGAACCCAATCTATAATCATCCCAATCCTTAGTCTTTGTCACCTATCCAGAATTTATCTATCCATCATTCACCACCTGTGAGTACCTGCATAAGGGGTAATAGCAGAAATGCTATTATCCAACACCCAGTTACATCAACTTAAGGCCTAGATTTCAGCTTCAAAAGAATTCCATTTTTTAAAATTCCAAGACAGAAAATAAAAACAAGTGAATCATAAAATAAGTGATCGAGGTCCCATCCAGGCATAAGATAACCTCCTGACCCCTATGTCCCCATCAGTGAAATGGATGAGGCCCATATTTCAAACTTAAGCAGTCTGCACACTATGAAGCTGCATGGCGAGGCCGATGTCTGAGGTCAGCACAAGTCTAGTGTCTGCTGGCTGCCCAAGCCTGGGCCCCTGGCCAGCAACCCACCTCCAGAGACAAGTGCCAGGACATACTATAGTGTTTCCATTTAAGGCCCGCCACTTGGATCAGCCCATCTCTGAAATTTCTTAACACCACCTTTCCAGGAAGAATTTTTTTGGGGAAAAGGGAGGTGGTGTCTATTTTTTGCCACCGCCTTCCCTTGGGCTGTCAGAGCAATCTGCATCTCTGGGACAGGATTCTTTAAAACCACTGGGTTATGTCTCAATTCATGGGCCTCTTCTCAAAAATATGTAAAAACATGTATGGAACGGGCCCCTTTGCCCATCATCTAACTCTTATCATACATCCCTCAAAAAAGAAAGAAAAGCCCAATAAAATTGACAAGTCCATTGTATTACCTTGCTGCCTCTCTCCAAAAGCCAAATTCATGACAACTTTTTAACCAAGACTTTTCTTCTGTTACTAAGTGGAACGTTTTCTTCTCTAAGTAGCTTTTCTCCCATGCAAGCAGCGTTCAAATCTCCAGGGGAAAGGAGGGGTGGGGAGGGGGTGGGAGACTATCTGGCACAAACTGGACAGAGCCGAGCCAGTCTAGAACCCGACGGAAGTTACTGAATCCAGCGGCCCCAGAGGCCCACATCTCTTCTTAGTGCGCCCGAGGTTCTAGCCTCACTGTTTTGGTTACAGTGTTGAAGGAAGGGTTTTAAACTTGGCAAAGTACCGTGCAACATCTGTAACCACATTTGCCTTCTGGGGATCGGAAGATGAATCCCACATTCCTGGCTTTGAAGCTTTTTGAAACTGCAGCTAGGAAGAACCGAGGGAGGGAGGGAGTTGAGCAGAGTTTATTGGCTGTCTCTCCAGCAGAAAATTCCTCTTGGAAGAGATGGATATTTTGAGGGTGGGGGAAATTCGCCTATCTATCTCCTTACTCTCTACAAGCTCAGCTAGGAAGGTAAGCCCCGTGGCCCCGCGGCCAGATCGATTTACAAGTCAGAGTCGCACACCCTGAAGGAGTTCACAACACACACACACACACACACGCACTCACACACACCCCAATACAAACCTGAGACCCCCGCTCCACGCCTCTGCCCCCCCACCCCCCATATCCCACCAGCAGTTCAGGCCCAAAGCAAGACAGTTTTGTTCCGCGGCTGCTTCCCCCACGGAGAGGGGATCAAGCTTGGGGGAGAAAGGAATGAAAGCGAGGGGGAGGCACCGCAGACGCCCACCCTGCCACCCCCGATCCCTGCCTCTTCTCCCGCTAGGCTACCTCCTCCCTCAGTCCTCCCGGCTCCAGCAGGCGCGGCCGGCGACCTGCGCTCACCTCGGGTCCCGCCGCGGCCGGGGGCTGAGCCGGGGGAGGCGGAGTGCGAGGCAGCCGGGCGCTGCAGGTCGGCGCGGCGCGGGGCGGCGCGGGGCGGGGCGGGGCGGTGCAGCCGGCGAGGGAGCCCGGAACTCTGCGGGGCCGGGAGCCGGGGGCCGAGGGCCGGCCCAGAGCGGCGGCGGCTGCGGTGGCTGCAGCGGAGCGGTGCGTGGGGCCGGGAGCTTCCCGGCCCTGGGGCCGGCGCGGCTGGCCGAGGAGCAGGCTGGCAGCGGCAGCGGCGGCAGCGGCAGCCACCCGGGGGAAAGAGCCGGGGGAGGGCGGGGAGGCGGGGTGAAGAGGAGGAGGAAGGGGAGGAGGGCGGGCAGAATAAACTTCCCGAGGCGCAGAGGCTCGGGCTGGGAGCACGACCGCGGGCGGGGCGGGCGGACCAGCTGGGCTTGCCCCCGGGGGCGGCGGGGGAGACCGTCACAGAGAGTAGAAAAGTTCCCCCTGCGCCGAGGGGGAGGCTGCGGCGGCGGCGGCGGCTGCAAAGAGCAGGAGCCGGAGCGGGAGGAGCGGGAGGAGGAGGAGGAGGAAGTGGCTGCGGAGCGCTCGGCCAATGAGTGTCTGGAGCTGTGATTAACCAGGCAGCAACACATCATTTCCTCCCGGCGCGGATCCAGGGAGCCGGGAGGGGAGAGAGGAGGCGGCGGGGCGGGGCCGTCCCCGCGCCCCCTGCAGGCGCCCGGCCGAGGGCGAGCCCGCCGAGCCCCGCCGAGCCTGACCGCGCCGCCCCCGGCGCGCCTGGCGCTGTCTGGCCGGTCGCTTGGCCCGGGTGGAAGCTATGAGCGCGCCGCCAGCGGGGCTCCTCGGAGGCGGCGGGGCAGGCCCGAGCTGGGCTCCTGTGGCCGGGGTGGGAGGAGAAGAGGCCGCGCGGCACGGGTGAGTGCCCAGGTAGGCGCGGGCGGGGCCGTCTGGACAGCTCCCGAGGGCGCGCGGGGCAGGCGGGCGGACGGGCGGGCATCCCGGGCCCGGCGACTGCGGGCGGCCACCTACTCGAGCCCTGCATGTCAGACTTGGGCTGGATTCTCAGAGAGAAGCCTTAGCATTCTCATCCAGGCCATCTCTGACCTGCCTTCAGATCCCCTTCCACTTTGCTCATTTCCTTGCAAGGTCTAGGGTTATGACAGAGCTTGCCATGTTCGCCTTTGGCTTCCTTAGTAACAGAAATAAGCATGGAGGGGCTTCTGCAGTGATCTAGCCCTGTCCTAGGCGCCATGGGAGCTTACAGTGGAAATGCAGGAACATTCTCCGCTGCAGAGAGTCTGATAACCTCGGTCCTTAGATACACAAAAACACCCCAGTGTGCTAATATTACCCAGAGCATCAAAAAGGCATGCAAGGATCAAATTTTGCATGGTTCCTGCTGAGTGTAAAGGAAAGCACTAAGCCATTTTCTCTGCCCTCTAGAAGCTTATAATGTACAGTCCTATCACAAAGCAGAATAAAAACATGAAACCTATAAATGGGAATGCCATAAAGTATTTTTATCTCTACAGGTTCATTCATGCAGAGGGCATTTATTGGGTGACTGCAGTACTGCAAAAGGTTGCAAAGGAAATGGAAGATCTGGTCCCTGCAGGTTGGGAGTTTACAATCTAATTAGAAATACAAGGCATATATACGTGAAAAAACTAGAATCCCCAGCTGTAAGCAAAAGGATGGAGTAGGTGGGAGCATTTTTTTCATAAAGAGAGCTTTGTACCTGTATGATTGGTGAGGAGCAGGAGAGGCAAGTTCAGTACCAATCAAGGCAAGAGCACCTATATGTATCCCTGCTCTATAGAATGATGTAACAGGGCCCTCATTGTCACTTGGCTGAAGTGTCAGCTCTGCCACTTACAAACTGTTTTGAACTGGGGCACATTTTTAACCTAAGAAGGGAATACAGGTTGTCTCGTGAGGTGGTTGTGCAGTTCAAATGAGATTACAAACGTGAAAGCTTGTGAAGCTCAATGATGTACATTCATGGAGTCCTCATTGTACAAACTGGCCCTTCTTGGTAACCTTTAGAGTTCCCTCCCAGGCTGTAAGCTGCAAGAGGGCAGGGACCAGGTCTGATTGTATTCATCATGTATCACAATGTTTAGCAGAAGGGTTCATGTGGGTGTTCAATAAAGTTTTGCTGAGTAGGTAAATAAATGAATTAATGAATCCTGTTATGCTCTGAACAGTTCCTATTATTTGTTCCTTAAGCAGTTCCTTCAATAGTGGTCTTATTGTATGGCTGGCTCAGTGAAAAACACTCTAACTCAACCTCCTGTGACTTACTAGTGTGCCAGGAGACTGGGAGAATTCTGGATGGTACTGTCAGAGGCATTCAAACCAGAGAAACTCCATTTTGAATGAGGGCTAGGAAAATGAGACTGAGACTGGCTGGGCTGCATTCTCGGGAAGTTAGGCTTTCTTAGCCTCTAGATGTTTACAGCTAAGGGAACAAATTAATAGTGTTTACTAAACAAACCCAGACTTGGGAGTGTCCAGATATCCCGATATCTGGAGAACAAAGGCATTCCTAATTTTGCTTTAAAGATAATATTGATTCTTGCAAAATATAGTAATTTATTTATTTATCACAAACTCTTGTAGCAGAGCACATCTCCCTATATATACGAGCGATGTACCTAGCATGGAATCGTTCCTCCTCTTACTTTCGGCAACATCCTACTTTGTCTATGGAGTAGGTGTCCTTTCACCACTTTGCTTTCTTAATAAACTGGCTTTTACTTTACACTGCGGACTCGCCCTGAATTCTTTCTTGCGTGAGATCCAAGAACCCTCTCTTGGGGTCTGGATTGGGACCCCTGCCCTAAAACATATTCCTGGCAACCACAGAAGGGACTTTAGTGCAGAAACCCTGACCCAACGGCTACCTTTGGGTAAGTGTTGGGGTCCTGTAACAGTACTTGTGGCCTTTCGACATAAAGTGTGTGTGTGTGTGTGTGTGTGTGTGTGTGTGTGTGTAAAGCAAGAGGCAAAAGGCTCCTCCACTCCTCCAGCAGGATACAGCCTTCCACACAAGCCCTGTGCACACAAGGATACAGCCCTTTGGCTTGGACACCTTAATCCGGGGTTTCTCAACCTTAGCACTATTGACATTTTTGGCTGGGTAATTGTTGTGAATGCTGTCCTGTGCATTGTAAGATGTTTAGCAGCATCCTTGACCTCTACTTACTAACTGCCAGAACACCCTCCCGCCACAGTTGTGACAACCAAAAATGTCTCCAGACAGTGCCAAATATTTTCTGGGAGGGGGTGCCAAACTACCTCCTGTTGAGAACCACAACCTTACTCTAATTCATTGATTGAACTCTGGTGGAAAATCACACCAGTAAAGTTACTTGGAGGAAATATATCTTCTGTTATTCTAAGATTTTCAGATCTCCTCAATCATATGTTTCAAGGAGCACGACTCTTGCTAATTAATTGCCTGCTGCATTGTGAATTGGCATCTCTTCTGTTTTCTGCATATCCTCCTCCTTTACGCCCAGATCAACATGTTCATTTCTAAAAGTCAACAGCTTTCAAAAACTATTAGGAAACAGGGTCTTGAGCAACCTAAGAGTCCTGTATGATATTTTTCTATAAAATTGGGGGAATTTATTTTATAAATAAATAAATTATAAATTTTATAAATAAATAAAAACAGCTTCTCTGTTACAGTGTGTTAAGCTTTTAGACTTACAAACAATAACCACATCCTCTTTGTACTGAGATTGTAAGTGATACGATAAGTAAGTCATAATTTTTAAAAATTATTTAACATATTTAACCACACTGAGTACTTTTCTTTCATCTTGGAACCATTTCTTTTTGGTTTCAGAGAGAGGTTTTATTTCATAATGGGATAAAAGAACATGTTTTCTTAGCTGGCTATAGTGGCTCAGGCCTGTAATCCCAGCACTTTGGGAGGCCGAGGCAGGTGGGTCACTTGAGGTCAAGAGTTCAAGACCAGCCTGGCCAACATGGTGAAACCCTGTCTCTACTAAAAATACAAAAATTAGCCAGGCGTGGTGGCACGTGCCTGTAATCCCAGCTACTCGGGAGGCTGAGACAGGAGAATCGCTTGAACCCAGGAGGCGGAGGTTGCAGTAAGCCAAGATGGGGCCACTGCACTCCAACCTGGGCCACAGAGCGAGACTCTGTCTCCAAAAAAAAAAAAAAGCATGTTTTCTTAAAATCTGTAAAGCAAAAATCAGCTTAATTATCAACTTCCAGAAGCAAATTCTTCAGAATATTGGTGGGATATTTGACAGCTGGTGATAATTCATGAAAATCCTGATGGATTGATGTGCTGTTCAACTAATAAAGGTTTCTTGAAGAAAAATAAAGATTAATAGTGGAAGGAAGGAACAAACAAATCCAGATAAGTCTGTTCACTAAGTAATGGGCATGTAGAACCAAAAAAAAAAAAAATCGCTGCTTATAGAAGACAATAGTACCATGTTTGTGATGTGAACAGACACTTTTGTTGAGCAAACAATATCGTCCGTCTCATTAAATAAGGTTATTTGAAGCATAGGTTTTATAGTTTTGTTTTTATTTAGCTTTAGTTTCATAGTTGTATAATGGTTACAATACATGCAGATGAGTTTATACAGTAGGCATCCATACAGCCTAGAAAAACAGCAAAGGTTGAGGGTTGAATGTGGTATATGGTAAAATAATTTTCCAATTTCTGTTTTGTTAGACTAGAATAATGACTTATATATACTCCTAGGGAGATCTCCAGGTTCTCTATGAATTCTTGAAATTTGTGCTTTTGCGTCAATCACAATGTTTTTACAACAATATATTAAAGAATTTAATATTGGGTATATTGTGGATCATATGAGTGTCTACCGTGCAACCATGACCCCATTGTCTTTTTTGCTATGTGCCTAAAAGGACATGCACCTTATTTAAATGATGTTTTAATAAAAATAAGGCATTACTGAAGGTTCATGGTCCTTTTTTTTAAAAGGTACATACATTTTAAAGCTGTGTATATCAGTCAAATGTGAGAAATACTAGCCCAGATGCATCATAACTGTTCTTGGAGAAAAATGAATTATAAGGCCTTGAGATCTTAAATTTAGTCCTAATCCTGAGGCCCTAAGAAACCAATATTATATTCTAAAGATCTAAGCAACTCGATCAAAATAGTAGGGGGTGGAAGAGAAAATCATAAGCAGAAAGGATCACTAAAAGTCGTGTCTGACTTGGCACCCTTTTTCTCAAAAGGTAAACATTTAAACCAGTCAGGACAGACATTTGTTTATCTTCCAAGTTAAACTTTCCCAGGTGTATCAATGACTCATTAATTGTGCATTTCATATAAGAGTTCACTGGCCACCTACCATATTCTGGGAACTGTGAGAGTTATACACAGAGTCCTCAAGCTGCCTATAGTTGAAATGGGTGTCAATGCAGTCACTCCTGGCATAGGAGGCTACGTACAAACCACTGTGTGACTATGGGCCAACAGTGTGATATAAGAGGCATTACAAAATTATGCTGATTATTTATTAAATGGTATTGAGGCACTTGGAAAAAAATTCTGTTAGTGCCTCCCCTCAAACCATTCCTGAAAATATTTCCAAAAGGAATAAAAAGTTAAATATATATACATATATTTAATCATAAAATTAACTCGAAGCAAATGTAGGTAAATATTTATCTTTAGATGGGAAAAGAACTTTCTAAATAAAAGCCATGGAAGAATAAAAGTTGATTTGCTTTACTATGGGAAAAAATTTCCCTAACATTTTGATTTTTGTCCAAAATGTTCCCTAAAAATTTTTAAGGAACAATCAAACAAAAGAAGGTATTTTCTACTTTGTTTTGTTTTGTTTTTTTTTGAGGCGGAGTCTCACTCTGTCACCCAGGCTGGAGTGCAGTGGCGTGATCTCGGCTCACTGCAAGCTCCACCTCCAGGGTTCACGCCACTCTCCTGCCTCAGCCTCCCGAGTAGCTGAGACTACAGGCGCCTGCCCCCACACCCCTCTAATTTTTTGTATTTTTAGTAGAGACGGGGTTTCACCGTGTTAGCCAGGATGGTCTCGATCTCCTGACCTCGTGATCCACCCACCTCGGCCTCCCAAAGTGCTGGGATTACAGGCGTGAGCCACTGTGTCTGGCCTTTTCTTTGTATTTTCAACAAATGCTCAAAGGATTAAAATCTTTAATTATAAAAAAACTTCAAATAAACAAAATGTACCGTCTAATAGAGCATTAAGCAAATAGTATGACTAGACAAGGAAAATTTAAATTATTACATATAAGATTTAGGAAAAAAGTTTACCATCTCCAAAGTTCTAAGAAAAGATAATACATACAAACAAAACTGAGATAAAATATTTAATATAATTATTTCACACAATTTGTCAGCAATTAAACATATTCTCTATTGGTAAATTTGACTTTATAAAGGACATAGTTGCTATGGAGAGTGTAAACTGGAAAACAATTTCTGGAAGATAATTAGGTGATATGTATCAAATATTTTAAAAGATTTATACCCTTGGACATTTTAATCCCATTTCAGAAATTTATGCCATGAAAATAATTATTATTAATCGCACAAAAATTTGTGTAAAAGAATAATTACTATCTAATAACTCTGAAATTCCAACAATAAAGCCTAAGTTGAAAAAAAAATAGAAGACAAAGGTAATATTCCAATTCCATAACCCTTATAAGCACATTCATCCATCAAATGTATACACAAAGAAAAAAGACTAGAAGGAAATATTCCAGGACGTGCAATACTTACATGAACTACGACTGACTTTTATTTTCTTCTTTACACATCTATGTGTTCCAATTTTTCTATAACGTACCACTTTTATAAGCAGAAATAATAAACATTATAAAAATAGAAATGCACATATTTTTAAAGGGTCTGACAATCATGGGACAAGACCTAACCGGTGAGGAATGCATATGGATTTTTATCTGTGAAGTGGGAGGTGCGGTGTTGTGAATGGAATTCAAATTTGACATTTTTGTTCTCCGGTAGTAAGTCCATCTCTTTCAGAAGAAATTTTTTCAAAGAACTCATAGAGCTTTGACTTGCTTCTTTGCCTGCATCTCAGGCTCTTTGTGACAACCTCCTTGTAGCCTCGAGGGATAGATGCCCATCGGGACTGTCCATGGTCTTGCTCACATTCTGAAGCTCCTTGAGTTTCTAATTTACTTAACTACTGTTAATTTAGCTACATTGTTGAGATGTGGATTTTAAAAGCTAGTCCCATGGCGGGAAGATCAAATTAATTTCTTCCTCAAATTAAACAAATGCATTTCAAATATAACTGTGTGGCTCTTGGTAGAACCCAGCACTACAGTGGCTTTTCAGTTTTAGGAAGCATTCTTTTTCCTGATGGGTCCTCTGAGCAATGGCATCATGAAGACATTTTCATGGATAAGAAATCAGATTAATTTTCTAAGTCCTAATGTAGCCCCATTCTACCAATATCTAAAATCCAAAGGCTTCCTTTTTATTAACCTACTTTTGTTCAGTGAAACTCCAGAGAGCAACTGCTAAGGTTAATTACATATATGTAGTGGAGAACTAGCTGTGTGACCCTAGGCAAGTAACTTCAGATTTCAGAGCCTAGTTTTTCCTCAGGTGTAGAGTGAGGGGTGGGTTGCACCTTGGAGGTCTCTGCATTTTGAAATTCCTCAAGTTAAGTTGGAAATCGTAGGAAGTTAATTGTTTGACATTGCTGATACTGCATTTGACGTTTCTGAGGAAGAAGAGCTTAAGATTTCTAGGAACTTAGTGAAGACCAGTGTTACTAGAGTGAAGTGAGCATGTGGTGAAATGGCCATGGAGGAGGATGAAGTAGCCTAGCCAAATTATGCAGGTCGCACAAGTCACCATCAAGGGAAGTGATTAAAAGGGTTTAAGTGAGCCAGGTGCGGTGGCTCACGCCTGTAATTCCAGCACTTTGGGAGGCTGAGGCAGGCGGATCACCTGAGGTTGGTAGTTCAAGACCAGCCTGACCAACATGGAGAAACCCCGTTTCGACTAAAAATACAAAATCAGCCGGGCGTGGTGGTGCATGCCTGTAATCCCAGCTACTTGGGAGGCTGAGGCAGGAGGATTACCTGAATCCAGGAGGCGGAGGTTGTGGTGAGCCGAGATCACGCCATTGCACTCCAGCCTGGGCAGCAAAAGCAAAACTCTGTCACAAAAAAAAAAAAGAAAAGAAGGGTTTAAGCAAGGAAGTGAGTGACAAATTTGCTTTACATCACTTATCACTGTACCCAATACGTCCATATGTCTCTGTTAATCGTTTTTTCCTAATAATTATTTTACTGTTTAAAAAAAGAAAGGTTGGGCGTGGTGGCTCACACTTGTAATCCCAGCAGTTAGGGAGGCCAGTTTGGGCAGATCACCTGAGGTCAGGAGTTCAAGAATAGCCTGGCCAACATGGGAAAACCCCACCTCTACTAAAAACACAAAAAATTAGCCGGGCATGGTGGTGGGCTCCTGTAGTCCCAGCTACTTGGGAGGCTGAGGCAAGAGAATTGTTTGAACCTAGGAGGTGGAGGTTGCAGTGAGCTAAGATCGCACCATTGCACTCCAGCCTGGGCGATAGAGCAAGACTCTGTCTCAAAAAAAAAAAAAAGAAAGAAGAAAGAAAGAGAGAGAGAGAGAGGGAGGGAGGGAGGGAGGAAAAGAAAAAAAGAAAAGAAAAGAAAGAAATGCAAGTATGCCGGTGCAGTGGCAGATGCCTCTAATTCCAGCACTTTGGGAGGCTGAGGCAGGAGGATTGCTTGAGCCCAGGGCTTGGGCAACATGGCAAAATCCCATATCTACAAAAAATACAAAGACAGGTGCGGTGGTACAGGCCTGTAGTCCCAGCTACTCGGGAGGCTGAGGTGGGAGGATCGCTTGAGCCCTGGAGGTCAAGGCTGCAGTGAGCCAAGATCATGTCACTGCACTCCAGCCTGGGCAACAGAGTGAGACCCTTTCTCCAAAAGAAAAAAAGAAAAGAAAATACACAAGTACAAAAGGATATATTGGATTCGGAGTCCAGAGTGCTAACTTACACCATGGAACCCACAAAAGGATATATTGTATAGTGAAAAATAAATTCCTGAACCACCATTGTTTCCCAACTACTGATTTCCCTCTCAATAATGCCAGCTTCCATGTATCCTTAAAGAGATGTTCTAGACATATGAAAGTACACATGTATTCTCTTTTGTCTTAACACAGATGGTAACATGCTATCCACACTCTTCTATCCTTTGCTTTCTTTTTAAAATTAAACCTAAAAGTTTATCTTGAAGATTAGTAGTTCTCCATTGATAAACAGTCTTCATCATTTCAACACAGTTGTTACATCCAAGTGTGTACTGTTGTTATAGTGCCACCTCCCTCAAGGAAGCACAGAACTCTAGACTTGGAAGCGACAGAAGATCTTATTTAGTCCCAGTCTGCCTTTTACACAGAAAAAGTTTGTTCCTGAAAATCCATGTGACTCTTCAGATTCCATAGCTAGTTAAGGCAAGGCTGGAACTAGAACTTGGTTCTTCTGTGATTATAAAGTTATACATGTTGTAATAAAAAATACTTTTTTGTTGTTTTAGAGACAGAATCTCACTCTGTAGCCCAGACTGGAGTGCAGTGGTGCTATCATAGCTCACTGTAGCTGTGAACCCCTAACCTCAAGTTATCCTCCCAATTCAGCCTCCCAAAACCCTGGGATCACAGGCAAGAGCCACTGTGCCTGGGCTAAAAATACTTTTTAAATGGTATGCCTGGTAAGATTTAATTTTTATTCTTTAAACAACCATATATGATGCACACAAATGAGCTTGGAGGGCTATTTGCCAAGATGCTGACAGTGGTAATCTTGGGATGATGGCAGTGCTGGTGATCTTATACTTTTTTGGATGTTTTTCTTTTTTTGACGGAGTCTCACCCTTGTGCCCAGGCTGGAATGCAGTGGCACGATCTTAGCTCACTGCAACCTTCACTTCCTGGGTTCAAGCAATTCTCCTGCCTTAGCCTCCTGAGTAGCTGGGATTACAGGCATGCACCACAATGCCCGGCTAATATATTTTTTTTTTTGGTAGAGACAGGGTTTCACCATGTTGGCCAGGCTGGTCTCAAACTCCTGACCTCAAGTGATCAGCCCGCCTCAACCTCCCAAAGTGCTGGTATTACAGATGTGAGCCACCACTCTCAGCCTCTTTTTTGGGTTTTGGTAGCAACTTTATTGGGATATAATATACATATACATACCATACAATTCACCCATTTAAAAGTGTACAATTCAATGGTTTTTCACATATCAAATAGCTGTACAACCATCATTGCAGTCAATTTTAAAATATTTTCATTACCCCAAAAAGAATCCGTGCAGCCATTAGCAGTTTCTCAACATATTTATACATTTTTTCCGCAGTTTAATTTTTTTATTTGTATAAATTTAATGGGTACAAGTGCAATTTTGTTACATGGATATATTGAGTAGTCATATGTTTTTTATTCATATCTTGTATTTCCTAAAATTCTTGCAATAATTGTTACTTTTATAATAAAAATAAACATCTGTTACAAATAAAGTTAATGCAACATATACTATAAAAATAAACATAGGCTGTGCACAGAGGTTCATTCCTGTAATCCCAACACTTTGGGAGGCTAAAGAGGGAGGACTATCCTGTAATCCCAACACTTTGGGAGGCTGAAGAGGGAGGACTATTTCAGATCAGGAGTTCAAGACCAGCCTGGGCAATATAGTGAGACCCCTATATCTTTGAAAAAAGAAAAAGAAAATTAGCCGGGTGTGGTGGCACATACCTGTAGTCTCAGCTACGCAGGAGGCTGAGAGGCTGAGGCAGGAGGATTGCTTGAGCCCAAGAGTTCAAGGCTGCAGTGAGCCAAAATCGTGCCACTAGACACCAGTCTGAGCAACAGGGTGGGACCCTGTCTCAAAAAAAAAAAAAAAAAAAGAGAAAAGTATTTCAATAAAGGTAAAACTGATTTTACTGTCCAATGTAAATAGATATAATATTTTAGATAAATTTATCTTGCTTTTTTCATTATTCATATGTTATATATAAATATAAATATAAATACACATGGTTTTCTGTGACTCTTCTAGTTTTATTGTGAGCATTGTCCCAGATCATTAGATAGTCTATGAGAGTACGATGATGGGGAATGTCATCATCTCCTTAGGATAGATTCTTTTTTTTTTTTTTTTTTTTTTTTTGAGACAGAATCTTGCTCTGTCGCCCAGGCTGGAGTGCAGTGGCACGATCTTGGCTCACTGCAACCTTTGCTTCCCAGGTTCAAGTGATTCTCCTGCCTCAGCCCTCCAAGTAACTGGGATTACAGGTGCGCACCATCACACCTGGCTAATTTTGTATTTTTAGTAGAGACGGGGTTTCACCATGTTGGCCCGGCTGGTCTTGAAATCCTGACCTCAAGTGATCCACCCACCTTAGCCTCCCAAAGTGCTGGGATTACAGGCGTGAGCCACCACACCCAGCAGGATAGATTCTTAAAAGTAGGAATCCAGATGATATTTCCAATTGTCCAGTAACAGGAACTCTCTCCAGTGGCTTGTCCATCTTACCACATCATCTTTGTCACCACACCTTCTATTATCGTTGCCAGTTTGGAAATTTTAAAAGTTAGCTACTTCAATCTGAATATATGATTGCTGATGAGATTGTAACTTGTTCATAAATATATGTTAGCTGTTTATTTTTCTAATTTTCTTTTTCATTAAAGCCCTTTGCCTACTGTTCCATTAGCACTTTAGTATTATTTTTATTGAAAATAGTATAAAGAGGTTTGGGTTTTTTTCCTGCTGAGGAATGACCAGGTAGAAATTCTAATCTGCAAACAACTTTTAAAGATTATCTTAGTTTCCACTTGTTATTTTTCCCATCTTTGCAGTGGGGCTGGCTGCCTTTCTCTTGGGAACTCTTTTCATTTCTATTGTACTGAAGGAGTCACCAGTGATGAGGGAGGGAACAGTCTGAAAAGTTTGTTTTATTTTGATAAAATGGTTGTTTGCCAATTATATTCTAAAGCTCCCAAAATAATATTGTATATACTATCAATAATATAAAAACTGCATTAAGTAATGTTTGATTTTCCTAAGTAACCATAAAAATTGTGTTCAACCAAATTCATCTATCCCTATCAAGGTTAACATCAACACCAAGCCAAATAGTACTAGACTATAAAATGCACCAAATCTTGCTTTACTTTTCTCTTTGACAAACATGAGTTTTTAAACCAATGAACGGTCTGAAGTTTGACTATGACTCAGTTCCTCCTAGTGCTCTACAACAGAGTACAAAAGGTTACCAAATCCTCCAGTTTCTGACACAGAAATCCAATTTGGAATGAAGGAAATAAACGTCCCACTCTTTAACAGCTAAAGATGTTACTGATGACATCTAAGAATTTGGAGTTTCAAAATGTGAATTGTGAAAACATTTGAATCTCTTCATAATGGAAAGGACTTGGAAATGGAAAAGAAATACGCATACTTGAAGGAAAAAAATTGTTGGTGCCAGTGATTATTCCTAGATAGAAAATGGCCACATAATCTATTTGGTGAAAAAGGAGAAGAAAAAGGCAATTTATTGATCTGGATGAACATGTTCCATACAACCTCTCGTAGAGATGAGATGAGCTTTTAATTGGAAAAGCTTGCTCTGTTGCTGCTAAAGGTCAGAAGTTCCCTGTTGGCGAATCAAGTGCGGATTTGTTGGCAAATCAAGTGTTCATCGGAAGTTTTTCTGCAGTGAATTGTCTGCTTCCACTTGATTCTCATTTAGATAGATATTAGGCACCAATGAAATTGAATAATCGTAACACAGTTTACTTAGATACTATTTGATCTTGAAAATAAAACAAAAATTGCTTTAGATGTTTACAATTATCACTACTCAGCCTTTGAAATAGAATGATTGAATTTTCTATTTTGAAGCAAATTTTGAACTAATTTAATACAGCCCTCAATTTTTTTGTGTGAATTTGATGATATTAGGGTTTCTGTTTAATGAAGTTTCAAACATAAGCAAAAAGAGAAAAAATAGCATAATGAATGCCAGGTATCTATCACCAGGTTGAACAACAATCAATATCAAGCCAGAATTGATTTACTTGATTTGTCTGTTTCCCACTTTCTTTTTTTTTTTAAAGTATTTTAATATAAAGTTCAGCCATCATGTGATTCCATCCCAACATCTTTCACTAAGCATCTCTAAAACATATGGACACCTGGGTGCCATGGCTCCCACCTGTAATCCCAGAACTTTGGGAGACCAAGATGGGCAGATCCCTTGAGACCAGGAGTTCAAGACGAGCCTGGCCAACATAGCGAAACCCCATCTCTGCTAAAAATACAAAAAATTAGCTGAGTGTGGTGGTGCACACCTGTAGTCCCAGCTACTTGGGAGGCTGAGGCATGAGAATCACTTATACTGGGGAGGTGAAGGTTGCAGTGAGCCAAGATAGGGCCACTGTGCACTCCAGCCTGGGTGACAGAGCAAGACATTATCTTAATAAATAAGTAATAAATAAATAAATAAATAAATAAATAAATAAACAAGCATGTAGACATTTTCTTACACAACCATAATGCTATTATCACATCTAATAAAATTAATGATTCTTTGGTATCCTCTAATCTCCAGTTCAGATTCTAATTGCCTGAATATTCTCAGAAAAGTCTTCTGTCAAATCAGACTCCAGACAATGACCACTTATCGCATTTATCTGTTTGGCCTTTTAGGTCTCTTTTAACTTTGAGATCAGTTAGTCCTCCCTATTCCCCTAACCCTACCCATTTTTGTTGTTGTTGTTGATGATGATGATCATGATGGCAATGCCACTGACTTGATGAAACCAGGTCAGGGGACTCCACCTCCATTTTACTTTTTTTTTTTCAATTACTGAAGAAATAGAGGCTTAAAGTTTGAATGAATTCCTCCAAAAGAGTAGTTACCCAATGCAGAGTAGAATTCAGGTTTTCTAATTCCATTCTATCATGCTCTTTTCTATAATATATCATATTGCCATGCCATAATTTTACAATATCTATGATTTTAGTGCTATGGTGGTTCAGAATATATTAAACACATTTTAAACTCTCCTTCTTCCATATTTGTTTACATTTACAATTCCTAGTTTTTTCCAAAAGGTAGTCGGGATTTAGAATTTGCAGCTGGCTTTTCCCCAGAGCCTGACCCATTGAAGTTACTCTTTCAATGCTACTTTCTGAAAATATACCAAAATTGATAGAAAAACTTAAGTTTTCCAAGAACCCAAATAAAAAATCTCAGAGTAAATCAATAAAAAGTATTAGTGCTGTCACTCAGATTTTGTAGCAAGACTAATTAAAGAGTATGCACATACCCATGCACCAAAAATTAAGATTAAGCATTATCAACTTAGAAAAATTCAAAAACAAATGGGAGTTTTCATTGACTTACTGTATTCTATCTTAGTTAAGCAGGGCACATAGTTTTCTGTTGGTGATACAATCAGTACATGAAATAAAGTATGGTGTGTGAAATAAAGCCTTTCCGTGTGCCCAGGAAGCACAAAAGTGGAAAGGACACAGAGGCATTGAGGAGAGACAGCAAATCCTTCCTCATCCATTTCTTAAAGTCTCCAGAGAAGACAGGGAGAAGCACAAACTTAAATTCATTTAAATGGTTCTAGCTTTGCCCTTTTGGACTTTAAGAAAATCAACCAACAAATTATTTTTTAAAAAAACAGTTTTAACTAACAACTTTTATTTGCATATGCTCTATTTTTTTTTTTTTTTTTTTTTTTGAGTCTGTGTTCTGGAATTCTGTTTGTTGCTTTCAAACACCACAACTTTCTCACGTAAAAATGAAAAATTCTTGGCCACACTTTTCCCCTCAGTCGTTATAAGGCTGTTAAACCAGGGATCACCTATCACTCCCTGGTGTGTGTTTGTTTCAATCCCCAGATATATTTTAAGAGATTTTAAAACATTATTTGTTATTGTGGAGTAGCTAATAGATTCTGTATGGTTGCTGCTGAATCTTTTTATTTCTTTGAGAAAGAAGGAGAAAAACCACATTGTTTTGAAAAACATGTTTTAAAAATAATTTTATAGATTGCAGATTTTGTAAATGATCAGTTAATTGTTGGGAGGGGGTTCCCAACCTTGTTAATGTCCTCTTAGCATTAGGCTTTTGTTCCCCAGTATTGAATATGTCATTTTCTCCCACAGACTGCATTTCTAGGGGTATAATTGCTGTCTCCATGTAAAAGACAACTCATGTGCATAAATTTCCACTCGCTGAAACAAGACTCTGCCTCCCCTCATTTTAATGCAGATGTGATCCAGGGGGTAGAGTTACACTTACTTCCCCAAGCAAATGAAACAGATTACACATTAAATATTGTCTTTGGAACCAGGTGCACAGAAACAACCAATTACCTAGACAGCTCATCAAGGCCTGATATGTTTACCACATTGTTTTTGTTTTCTCTTTAAACACTTGGCGAATTATTCTGAGGCTTTCATTTCTCTATAATGAACAGAATATGTTTATTAATAAAGGCCCCCTTTGTGTGATTCACTAACAGTTGACTCACAAAAGCCTTTAAAACCATGTTTGAAAGTTTCTGAACTGAACTTGAGTTCCTGAGAAGACAAAGCCTCATTACTACAAAGAAGATACTCTTCTGGTTCTTCTTGGCTAAATAATTGATATCTAAAATGACTTAAAGGAGGGAAAGGGTCATTAATTTGTGAGGAAGAGAGAGAGAGTGGGGAAGGCATCTGTTCCCCCTTTAGATATGTTTTCATTGTTTGTAAAGGACAGTATCTATATAAATTTATGAGATTTTGGCCACTGCCAATTATATAATCTTGAATTTTTATGCATATCATTGTTTCTTTAGGGATTTTAATTGGCCTAAAATGCAGATGAACTCAAGAGCTCTTTCAAGACTTGTTTGTGTTATTCTAAGAGACTTTTACCACTTCCTGAGGAGGGGCTGTTTCAGATTTCCACAAAGTCATTAACCTCCCAAAGAATGAGAATAATAAGTGGAGTGGCAGGGCCCCAAAGATGTAGTTGGTGCAAACTATCAGGAATGCTGGAGGCCAGGGCTTTGCAGTGGAGATGCCTGACAGTGAGCTGATGGAGGGAGGGTTGGCAATGGGGAACAGGGAAATGGTATCAGAGACCCCTCGGAAAGACTTCATGGTAAATGGCTTGGAGATGAAACATCAGCTCTTTGAGTGGTTAAGCAGGACTGGCTTGCTGATAGAATCCCAAGCCCTTAAACCATTTATCCTCGTAGCTTCCTTTCAAAGTTGGGGGAGCTCTAAGAAAAGTAGGTAAAAATGTACAACAGAAAAAAATTCTGTATGTGTGTGCGTGCCGGATGGGGCCAGGGGAGAAACTGATTGTAAGACTTTTGGTTATCTGTTGTTATTTTTTAGAGTTTTTTATAGAGAGAGTTGGAGAAGGGTATTGCTGTGTTGCTCAAGCTGGTCTTAACTCCTGGCCTCAAGTGATCCTCTCATCTCAGCCTCCCAAGTAGCTGGGATTACAGGCACAAGCCACCATGCCCAGCCCTTTGTTTTTCTTTTTGGTAAAGCAATTTAAGACATTCTAGAGAGGATGAAACTTCTAAATGTGAGAGTAGAAGAAGACTTTGAAATCATCAAGAATACTGCAAGTTACTCTCGTACATTGTGGTCAAAGTGGAAGTTGATACAAGGTCCGTGGAAGGCAATTTTATATTCTCTTGCAAAATTATAAATTCACATACACTTTGACCTTGGAATTTCATTCTAGGAATATTTCCTACACATATACTCACCCAATTCTGAAATGACAGATGTGGGAGGTTTTCTTTGCAGCACTATATATAAAAGCAAAAGATTGAAAACAACCTGCCTATCAATAGGATATTGAGTCAGTAAATTATGAAACATTCTTACAATGGAACACTATGAAGCTGCTTTTTAAAAATAATAATAATAATAAAGTTGTTTTCAATGTATCGATATGAACTGAGCTCCTCAATTAGCAGTAAGTAGGAAAAAGAATCCTGCAAGGTTCAGCAAAATAGATCGTATGCTACCATATGCTATCATTTAAATAAAAAAAGAGATATACGTCTATGTTGGGTAGTATAATTGGACACAAATCCTCAGAAATGGATGGGGCTTTGAACAACGAGAAGGAAGGAAAGGACAGGGCAAGATGTTTCACTATTTTGAACAGAAAAAAAAGACTATGTGAACAAATTACCTATTCAAAAGTTGAGAAGAAGAAAAGGTTGTAGGGTCTGGAGCGAGGCAGTCCTGGTCTGTATACTAGTTCTAGCACCTTTCTTTATATATTTATGTATATATTATTATTATTATTTAGAGATGGAGTCTCACTGTGTTTCCCAGGCAAAGCTTGAATTCCTAGGCTCAACCAGTCCACCCACCTCAGCCTTGTGAGTAGCTGGGACTACAGGCACGTGCCACCATGCCCATCCGGTTCTAGCACTTTCTGACACCATAACCTCAGAGTCCTTTTCTGTAAAGTGGAGTAGATAATATTACCTGCCTCATGAGCGAGAAGGCATGCATATAGCATGCAGTGGAGGTGGCACAGTGCCTGGGTCCAGTAGATGCCAGGCATTACCATGATCTTTCTGATTAATATTATCACCAACCTTCTCATAAATAACTGAGTACTTGAAGAACAGTGTGCAGTATCGTGGTGGGAGTTATGGAAGTGATTACTTAAAATTTTTCAGCTCCAAAGACATATGCTGAAGGAATCAGTATCATCAGAAGCATGTATAGAACCCCATGTCTGCACCTAGTGCTCTTCTCTGCAGAATTAACAAACAAGCACCCCCACTGAGTTTCATGTCATGTACCTCTCTTTCCAAGTTCTGATGTGGGAAGTGGAAAGATGCTGATTGGTCTGGCTTGGGGCAGGTGCCTGTCTCTGGACAAGTGAGAAAGAAATAGCAGTGCTCACAGGTGCAAGCCGTTGAAGGGAGGAGGAGCAGATCTCAGTGGATAATGAGGTGAACTGGGCAAACAGCAACTGGTCCCGGCTACTGACATTTTTGTAGCATCTCTGTTTTTGAAAAGGCGAAAGTGGGGAGGTGGGTGGGGGGTGGATATTTTCCGTAATATCTACATGATCCCAGGCAGCAGGCTGGGTGGTGCCTGCAGTGAGGGAAGATGCTGTTCCTTGCAGAAATGTAGTAGGTGTGGCTTAAAGCCTCAGCTGCTGGCTGGCCTGTGAGCTTAAGAAAGCAGAGAAGCAAGTGGACACAACCTTGAATGCACCTGAAACTTCCAGAAGCCCACAGATGCACTCCAAATGTTCCTGAAAACCTAGAAATTCTATGTAAGTTTGTCTGTATATGGGAATATACATTTTTCCAGGGAAACCCATAACTTTCATCAGATTCTCAAAGAGGGGTGCTATCCATTAAGGATTCTGAGCCCCTGCTAGACCAATGATAGCATATGCCATGACCCAAGGATTATGATTAATCCAACCCTAGAACGAGAGGCCCACACCATAAAATAAAGCTTTCCACAAAACATAAAGAATAAAAGAACCACTGCCTTGATATAGTTGCTTTTTAAGCACCCATTCTTGTACTCTCTGTTTTGCCATATTCACTTTTATTATTTACTGAATATTCCTCTTTAAATTTGTTCACTTTTTAAACTTACATGCCCAGTTTAGCCTCTTCTTAAGCAAAAATAATTGTGAAATCAGGGTTATATTTTGCTATTGCCAGTTTTCTTCCTAATGTATATTAGAAGAAATTTATTACTATTAAAATTTAAAAATGTTTGTATCATTTCCAAAATTATTTAGTGCATACAACAGAGATGGGCTTATGGCACTCAGGAAAACACTGTCTCTAAATATTCCTAAAATTCACTTCAGGCATCCCTTTCACAGAGAAGGAACCTGAGGCAGGAGACAATTAATGTAACTTATTAGAGATTCTAAGCAAATGTGGAAAAACTTTGTCAGGTATTGGGCAACATTGTTCCTACTAATGACTCAGCCCTGTGCTTATTTTATTGCAGACAGTTTAAAGAGATGTTTTACTGTTCTCACGTTTCCCCGCTACCCCATAAAGAGAACCAACTAGACGAGAGTAAAAACTTGATCAATTTAATACTCTGGTCATGATCCCAGCAACTAAGGAAGGGGGCTGTGGGGGGGAAAGCCAGCGAGTTTCTTTCTACTCAAATTCCATCTCATTTTTATTTTCTCTTAATGTTTTTTTGAATCCCAAGTTCCAAAACCTGTCCCCTATTATGCAGTGCAAACGAGAACAGATGGGGAAAAGTTATGTTGGAAAGGGCTTTGGAGGGCCACAGAGAAGAGAAATATGACTACTCAATGTGTCACACACCAACTTGCAGCTGCCACCAGCCCTTCCACACAACGAGCTGCGTATGGAACCAGCCCGGGTGCTCAGGAGGAGCGGGCTTACTGCAGGAAGGGAGCGCAATTAGAGAACATTCGCTTTACTTGTGTTTCCTTGAAAATATGAATAAAGAGCGTAGCAGCAGCACAGCCAACAAAAAAGAAATAAATCCAAAGGCTAGCCTGGCAAATGGTTAGCTGTACCTCAGAGTTTCCCAAATGTTAACCGATCATCGGCTTTCTTCAGCCTTTTTATTTCAGAGAAATGCCTTTTCATGTCTCAAAGTCACCATTCAGTTCTTCTCTCTGTCTAGGAATTATTATTCTAGAAAGGTCATACTAGCTTTCATGCATGATGTGGCCTTCCAACCAGTATTTTTCAGTATTCACAGGGTGCTTATGAGTTCACTAAATATTTCAAGTGTGAGGCAGGTGACCTGGTTTTAAATGGCAACTCTGCCAGTTACTAGCTGTGAGGCTTCAGGCGAGTCACCTAGCTTCTCTGAGCCTGTAGTACATCCTGTCTGAAACAGAGCTCGCTTGACTGACTTACCTTCAAGGCTTTTTGTATTCAAGGTAATGTATATAAATGTCTGACAGAAGAACAATGTTTAATATATAAAAACTATTATTACTGTGATTATCAGAAAGCACAGAAAATGTTATTCTCTTTTCTTTGACTATAATATAAAGATACTAAGAATATATATAATACCATATATGTAAAGATAAATTATATATATTTGGCTAGGAATCCCTAAGAATCTATGCTGAAAGTAATTGTAAGGTTAATGTGGTTTAAATTATTTGATTCAAGTAGTGATTCAGGTCATATAGACAGTATCTTTGAACAAATATCAGTGTTGTAAACAGTTGTGTTATTGAGTCCCGCAAGGACTTCCTCTGAAATTGTGCCTGTCTTTGTAGAGTGATTATGCAGGAATTTTTCTATCAAGGAAATACTGTTTTTCTTCCCAGGGTAATTTATAAATTACCTAGATCAAAATCTTTACAGGAGGATGTTAAAATGCAGTTTCCAGGGCCCATCTCAGACTGTATTTTCAGCATCTCTAAGGCATATAGTTCAGGGATCTGCATTTTATTTAAAAACAACTGGTAATTCTTAAGCACACTGAAGTTTGAGCACCACTTTCTTAAGGAATGGAGATAGTGATAATTCTAATTCTGAGAGGTTTTCAGCTACCTTCCTTCTTTCACCACACACACTCAGGCCCAGAAATACAACAACTGCTAGTGAGACAAAACGGTTGGAATTTGGTAGATTTAGCTTCTCTCCCCCACAACCTCTGTTCTCTGTCTAGTTAAGGCTGGACTATTCTACTCATACCCTCCTTGTCCATAGGAGACATTAGCTTGACTATAGTTTGTTCTAAATGGGTGGCCATACATCCCAGTGTGCCCAGCATAATTATTAATAGCACTCTTTTTCATCTCAAAAGTGTCCCAGTTTGGATGATAGATTATACACCATTACCCTAGGCCTAGAAGACATTTGATTAACACGTGTAGGACACGAATGAGGACTGGCAAAATTTCTAAGGTATGTTATTCATGAGTATGGGGAAATATACCCAGATACCATTGACGACAATGAGAAATGCTTTGGGAAGTGACATAGGAATGATCAGAGAAAATTATATTCTCAAGTTATCCCATAAATTCGCAGCAAGAAAGGCAGGACATAGAAAAACTAGGAAGTCTAGACAGGTTAATATCTCCTCTCTCACCAAGCAACTGAGCCCCCCTCCCCTGACCAAAAAAAGCATGAATCTCGTCACCGTACAGAGTTGGTTATTTTCCTCCTTTCTGCTTAATGGCTATGATCTTGGGCAAGTTATTGAGTATCTCTGAACCTCACTCTACTCATGGGTAAAAAAGATAATAAGGCTTACTTCAGTTTTGGGGAGTTACTGAAATAGGTGTGTAAACCAGCTGGCACTGTGATTAGGTGCTCAATGGTAGCAGTTCCACCATTATTCTTTCCATCATGGCCACTCTGCACTGTAGTCTCACCAGAGTCACATGACTTTTAAAATAAAGTGTTCCTGTGAGAGGAGCCACAAGGAGGCTGTGGAAGTGGGAGTTGATTCTTGGGTTTAAAGACTTTTTTTGGTTTGTTTTTGTTTTTGAGAGAAGGTCTTGCTCTGTTGCCTAGGCTAGAGTGCAGTGGTATGATCATAGCCCACTGCAGCCTCAACCTCCCGGGCTCAAGCAATCCTCCCACCTCAGCCTTCTGAGTAGCTGGGACTACATGTGCACCATGCCCAACTGATTTTTGTATTTTTTGTAGAGACGGGGTTTCACCACATTGCCCAGGCTGGTCTTGAGCTCCTGGACTCAACCAATCTGCCTGCCTCAGCCTCTCAAAGTGCTGGGCTTGCAGGCATGAGCCACCATGTCTGGTCTTTCTCTTTCTGTCTGTCTGGCTTGCTTGCTTGCTTGCTTGCTTGCTTGCTTGCTTGCTTGCTTGCTTGCTTCCTTTCTTCTGTTCTTCCTTTCACTGCTTCTCTTTTTTTTTTTTTTTTTTTTTGACAAACTCAGTCATAAAGTCTTTGGTGAATGAAAAAGAAAGTGAAAGATTAAAGGGAAGAGCAGTAACTGAAAAACAGGTGCCGTGGTGCACACTTGTAGTTCAAGCTACTTGGGAGGCTGAGATGGGAGGATTGCTTGGACCCAGGAGTTCGAGGTTGCAGTGAACTATGAAAAAAAAAAGATCACTGAAGATGGATCAGAAATGGCAGATTTATAGACCTATGTGAGGCAAAAAAAGAATGGAAAGAAAAGGAAGGAAGGAGGCCAGGCACAGTGGCTCATGTCTGTAATCCCAGCACTTTAGGAGGCCGAGGCTGGTGGATCATGAGGTCAGGAGATTGAGACCATCCTGGGTAACATGGTGAAACCCCATCTGTACTCAAAATACAAAAAAATTAGTCGGGTGTGGTGGTAGCGCCAGTAATCCCAGCTACTCGGGAGGCTGAGGCAGGAGAATCGCTTGAACCCGGGAGGCGGAGGTTACGGTGAGCCAAGATTGCGCCACTGCACTCCAGCCTGGGTGACAGAGTGAGACTCCCTCTCAAAAATGGAAAGGGAAAGGGAAGGGAAAGGAGAGAGGAAGGGAAGGGGGAGAGAGAGGAAGGAAGGAAGGAAGGAGGAAGGAAAGAAGAAAAAAAAAAGAGGTGATGAGCTGTAATCTCTAGTCAACAAAACCTGACTAGAATGTTGCCTGAGAACTTCTATAAAGGGTCCTGCAGGTTTTTTGAGGAATATGGGTCGGGTGGGGAGTAGCCCATCCTATGGAAATGATACTACTGTTCATATAACTGTTGCCTCTCAGCCATCTAGACTGCTGTTTGGGTGGGCGGGATGGAGAAATACTATTCTGTTAAAACTAAGAGCTTTGAAGTGGAGACAAACACAATCTGGTAGTATCACAGAGGCATTATTCACCCTGATGACTCACACTCTGGCTCCCACACAGCAGAGGCAAGAAGTAACATTAGTGACCTTGAAGATGTTGGCCAAGTATAGACCCAGCATTAAAACCTGAGTTCAAATGAACGTGTGTGTGTGTTTGTGTGTGTGTGTGTGTGTGTGTGTAGAGAGAGACAGAGACAGAAAGAGAGACTAAGAGAATACATGTTAAAGAGAATGTATGGTGAACAATTCTAAAAACCAGTATAAAAACTTCATATTGAAAGAGCTAACTCAACTAAATAATAAGTACTTACAAGGAAATAATCATTATGTGAGTGGGTCTCAGCTCAAAGCATTGATAAAGTTGTTCAGAGCGAGAACATTTAAAAGCATCATTGTTAGTGAGGAGGTAAATAGGAAACCCAGTCCCTATTCCTGGGCTCAAATCTCCCTCATCATTTCCATTCATCATGACTCTTTATGAATCCAGTTTGCTGAAAGTAATGTTTTCTGTGTTCCCAACCACACACTGCTCTATGTTCGGAGCCCTACAGACAAAATTCAAACAGATGCAGTCCCCAGGCCTTTGACAACATGCAATAGAAAGCAGACAATAATAAAAGAATGCATCGGAACCTACAGATGTGCAGGCAGCTGCACAAATGGCAAACAGAGTCATGACCTTAGACCAGATGGTCCCTGTGGCTTAGTAAAAAATTATCAACGTAGAACCCAGGCACAGTTTCAGGTTGATAGAGATAGCTAGTTCCTGGAATTGTACATTGAAACCTCAGAGAAAAATAAAAGCAAAACCAACCATGAAGTCATTTAAAGCTGACGAGAAGAGAGAACTTTAGGAGTTATGTACTAAACAGCTAGAATAGAAAGGGTTTCCAGTTACGGAGTTTGCCACATGGAAAAACCAGGGGATGATAGTGGAGCACACCATTGTAAACAGTGAAGAATCTCATTGGTCACCATGTTTGCATGGACAAAAGAAGAGGACTGGAGTGCAAGGGCTGTAGAGGATGGCTTAAAGGTAGACTTGAGACAAGTGTACTCAGAGTTTGTTTCTCGTTTAAGTTTCCAAAGGTTTTATGGTTATGTTTCGGGTTATATTTGTCCCTCAGCATTTCTTTTTTTTTTCTTTCTTTCTTTTTTTTGAGACAGAACCTCTCTGTGTTACCAGGCTGGAGTACAGATGCGCAATCCCGGCTCACTGCAACCTCCACCTCCCAGGTTCAAGCAATTCTCCTACCTCAGCCTCCCAAGTAGCTGGGACTACAGGCACATGCCACAATGCCCAGCTAATTTTTGTATTTTTAGTAGAGACAGGGTTTCACCATTTTGGCCAGGATGGTCTCGATCTCTTGACCTCGTGATCTGCCCACCTCGGCCTCCCAAAGTGCTGAAATTACAGGCATGAGCCACTGCACCCGGCCCTATTTTTTTTTTAAAGTGTTTACCTTTCATGGGTGCATATAATAGTTACAGGAAGTAAGGTGTGGTTTACTCAGAATTCATAACTATAATTAAAACAACAACAACAAAAAACCTCTTAGGATCTTTTCTCTGCAATTAACAGTAGCCCAACTCAAAATAGCCTAAGGAGAAAAGAGACTATCATAAGAAAATCCATGTGTTTCCCAGACTCCAAGAACTGGAATGTAGGTGGGTCGCACTTAACCACACTTAAATACCACAAGCACTCTCTGTCCATCTTTTGTCTTTGTTTTGCCAGTTGGCTTCCTTCTTTGCTTGCTGCCAGCTAACCTGCTGTAGTGTTCATGCGTGCACATGGGAAACACAACTGCCAATAGGCCACATCTTATGTTTCTTCCTTTTCAAACAGCAGCAAGATTGACCTGAGTCTTAGTCTAATTCCAAACTCCTGGGAAAGGGTTAAGATTGATCCCATTTGGGTCAGGTAGCCACCCCTGAATGAATTAATGGTAGCCACTGGGTCACAATGTATTAACTCAGCTCCCATCGCTGCCATATTTGTAAACATGTGGAGGGGACAGTTCCTAGGAAAGAATGGTACTGACTAGACAAAGGGTATTTATGTATCAAGATGCTTTGGGCTGGGTATTTATTATGTCACATAACAAAAAGTCTTGCCTGCAATTTAATGAGTCTGAGATTCAAGTCAATGCAATTTAACCAGTACTTATTGAGCACCTACTAAGTGCCAGGCACTGTTTTTGGTGCTGGTGATGTATGAGTGAATAAAGCAGGCAATAATCTCTGCCTTCAGGGAGCGTATATTCTATGGTTGGTTAATTCAGTGACTCAGGAGCATTAACAAGTTCTCAGATTTTTTGTTTGTTTGTTTTAACTCTGCCAACCCCAGCAAGTCAGCTATAACAATCCCTGACAAAAGAAATTGAACCAAGACACACAAAGTTTTAGTAACTTACCTAAGGTCACACAAGAGCCTATGAAGGAATCATGAGACCAGACTCTTAACTGAAATACAGTGCTGGTTTTTTGGCTCTGGGGCTGGAGAAGGACCCAGCTTTCCTGAAGCATGTGGCTACCTGATGCCTGAACAAAATCAGGGGTCTATGACCCAAGAATAGGTGGGGATGGCTTCTAGAGGGGAAACTACCATGACTTCTATAGCCTGCTGCACTGGGACCAATGTATCTTTAAATCTGAGAATTGACTGAGTTGGTAAAAACCACTTTATTTATAGTTAGAAGCTCTCCCTGAGGTCGTGGTTAGGAGATCAGGATAGAACTGGAGGTGGCTTACGCAGAATACAAGGGGCTTGTAAATCAAGGTTTCTATTTGCAAAGATGTTGATCAGCACAGAAGGGATAGAGCTGATGGTTACAGCAGGGGGCAGTCTCCTAAACTGCAGAAAAGGCACTTTGATGTAGCAGAAAGTATATAAAGTCTAGAATTTAGAGACTGGGTATCAATTCCTATAATGTAACAGTCAGAAGATTCTTAAGGTATGTTGGGGTATCATTTTAGCAGAGGTTGAGGAAAATCGTCTTCATTTGACTTTAACCAGGAAAGGTGCTTTTGGATCCCACATTGGCAAACCTGCTATAGCTGATTACCACTCAGTGATGGAAACTAGGAACTTCTGGAAAGAAAAGGCATAAATTTAAACAGAATTTCTGTAAATCTGAATAATGTAGAAAGAAGAGGAGGAGGAATCATAGATAATTACTCCTATGAAATACAAGCTGGAGATATAACATCCTATATAAAGAGAACAATAATAAATCTTTGTATTAAGAAACAAGGAAATTGCTGGGTGCAGTAGCTCACTCCTGTAATCCCAGCATTTTGGGAGGCTAAGGCGGGCAGATCACCTGAGGTCAGGAGGTCGAGACCAGCCTGGCCCACGTGGTGAAACCCTGCCTCTACTAAAAATACAAAAATTAGCCAGGCATGGTGGCAGGCGCCTGTAATCCCAGCTACTCGGGAGGCTGAGGCAGGAGAATCGCTTGAACCTGGGAGGCAAAGGTTGCAATGAGCCAAGATCGCACCATTGCACTCCAGCCTGGGTGACACAGCAAGACTCCATCTCAAAAGCAAAAAACAAAAAAGAAACAAAAAACAAGGAAATCATCAAGAATGCTGATAAATACACAGATAGGACTTTGATTGTATTTGCTTTTTTTTTTTTTTTTTAAGATGAGAGCAAGTGATCCTCCCACCTCCACCTCCCAAGTAGCTGGGATTACAGGCTCACACTGCCACGCTGGCAAATTTTTTATTTTTTAGTAGAGACAGAGTTTCACCATGTTGCCCAGGCTGGTCTCAAATGTCTAGTTTCGAGGGATCCGCCTGCCTTGGCCTCCCAAAGTGCTGGGATTACAGGCATGAACCACTGCGCCTGGCCTATGTTTGCAATGTTTTATTTCATAAACTGAGTGGTGGGCACATGAGTGTGTTTTTTTATTATTCTCTATGCTTTTTTTTTTCCTGGAATATTTCATTAAAAAAAAAACAAGCTTGGTATCATTTTGCCTTTTTGGAATCTGTCATTTGTAATTTGATGCATTGTCATTAGTGAGTGGGGAGGTGCAGAAGAGGAACTGAGTTCTGATGTCTTCTTCCTTCCAGAAGGAAGGACCAGATCTGAGATCTTAGATCATCAAGAATATTCCTCATATCATGTTTGTGGTCATGGCACTACCCTCCCCTCCCTTTCTCCTGCCCCCTCGCAGTTTTTTCCTGTACATTTGGGAACTCAGTTGCATCCTACAATTTGCCACTGCCCCAGTTGCACCAAGGAGTGGGTGTAGTAGAAATTCAGTATCCACTGGTATGTGTCATTGTTCCTGAGTCAACTTTGCTTTTCAAAAACACAATATGTTATTAAACAAAATCTCTCCTCTGTTCTGAACAACAGACTAGCAGTTGGGCTTTTTAATATATACTTAAGAAAAGTATACATGCTTAGTCCACTTGAAGGCTAATCACCTGCCAGGGTTTATTGGGAGTTGCTAGGGTGGGTCCCACCCACCCCTCAACACCAATTCTTGAGTCACACAATGGCAACATTTTGCTATAAAAATGCTAACTTCTCTTCTGTTGTACTTCTGCTGTTATTCAAAAACAGCCAAATGGATGTTATTGAAATCCGGTCCCAAGAAAGGTTGAAATTGCTCCCCAGCTGGGCCTGAGACCCTGTGTGCCAAATTTCAGCCTAAAGAGAATTCTTATATTTGAGTCACTCCGAGCAGCTGAAAATATGAGGTTTGGGGTGGAAATGCTAACAGACTCTTAACTATCATTTTGCAAACCATGTGATTATAACACAATGCAACCCCCCTCTGGAGCAGCTCTCTGGCAAAAGCAACAGAAACAAGACGTCTGGGCCCGAAAGTTCTGCCTTTACAAGCTTCTGCTGGGCTAGCAGCAGGCAGGGGAAGCCTGGTGATGCCATTGTCGACATTGCTGTTCTAGCTGACGTTAAAAGATGGGCCTCATTGGTGAATTTCTGTTAAATAGCATGAGCGTATACAGCTCATTCCTTTGCAGGGTGCCTTGGAACGCAAGTTTATGGTCACCCTTGCCTGTTCTGGAAGTGTTATCACCAACACAGTGCTTGATTCCAACCAGACACGAATTGTTTGCCACCTCTAGTCCCATTGGCTTAGTCACACTTGCTCCCATTCCAACTTGGCAAAAATGCCTGCACTGCTTGGCCACTTGCTTCTATCATCTGGCATTTAGATGTGGGCTGAATCTCTCCTCAGTAACATTCGGGGCCACAGAGATGCTTTGGTTCCAGTCTCCAAACACATGTTCCAGACAGTGAGTGTCCAAATGTAGGTAGAGTTTCCATGGGCTGATTCATTCATGGAACCCTCACAGGATGGAGGGCAATCAGAGCTTCTTGGAGGCAACCCCCTAGAGCACTATTTCTAGAAGAGTCTCTCACCATACCTGCCAGAACACTCAGCCCTCTATAGGGTGGTGACAAAAGGCAAATTTCTCCCAAGGCCCAGTCAAACTGTGGCTTATCTGTTTCTGCTACTCACCAGCCAGTCTACTTTGGGCAAAAAAATTACATGCATTGATGGGTAAATCTCAGTTTCCTACGGGACAGAACCTGCCTTCTGTCTGCTTGTGAAAATCATAGAATGTGAGAGTATTTTCTAAACTGCTATGCACCATATACATTTTTGGCCATGATATCTCCAAAATTGCATTGTAGCTTCAAAATTCAAATTTCAGCTAAATTACAATTGAAGTCAATAGGAGTGGATTTTAAAGATCTGCTTCCATTAGAAATAGCAGGCCACAGGTTCTCAGAATTAGTATTTGTCAGATGTCTGATACATACTCAGTTCTCTGTTAAGGACTGTGAAGGTGGCTGCGCATGGTGGCTCGCACCTGTAATCCCAGCACTTTAGGAGGCCAAGGCAGGTGGATCACTTGAGGTCAAGAGTTCAAAACCAGCCTGGCGAACATGGCGAAACTCTGTCCCTACTAAAAAATAACAAAAATTAGCTGGGCATGGTGGCAGGTGCCTGTAGTCCCAGCTACTCAGGGGGCTGAGGCACGAGAATCTCTTGAACCTGGAAGGCAGAGGTTGCAGTGAGCTGAGATTGCGCCACTGTGCTCCAGCCTGGGCGACAAAGTAAGACTCTATCTCAAAAAAAAAAAAAAATGACTGTGAAAGATACATGGTAAGTGAAGACATGATTCCTAATATTAACACGATTATGATTTAGCATAAAACAAAAGATACTTTGATAATTAAGTGAGAGATGCTATAGATACAATAACAATTCAAAAGTAAAGAGGAGCTGTGAGGGCTGGAGAAATGGGGTAGCTTCATGGATAATGCATGTGATAGATTCTGTCATTTGTGTCTGTCAAGGACCCTTCTTTAGGGATATCTTAGTCCATTCCGCTATAACAAAACACTTTAGACAGGGCAATTAATAATTAACAGAAATTTATTTCTTACAGTTTTAGAGGCTGGGAAGTCTAAGATTGAGGCACCAGTAGATTTGATATCTGGTGAGGGCTTGCTCTCTGCTTGAGTGCAGTGGCACAATCACAGATCACGGCAGCCTTGACCTCCTGGGCTCAAACCATCTTCCTACCTCAGCCTCACCAGTAGCTGGGGCTATAGGCACAAGCCACCATGCCCAGCTAACTTCTGTATTTTTTGTGGAAACGGGATTTTGTGGCCAGGCGCTGTGGCTCACTCCTGTAATCCCAGCACTTTGGGAGGCCAAGGCAGGTGGATCACTTGAGGCCAGGAGTTCAAGGTTGGCCAACATAGCGAAACCCTATCTCTACTAAAAATACAAAAATTAGCCAGGCATGGTAGCACACGCTTGTAATCCCTACTCGGGAGGCTGAGGCACGAAAATCACTTGAACCCGGAGGTGGAGGTTGCAGTGAGCACAGATGGTGCCACTGTACTCCAGCCTGAGCGACAGAGTGAGACTCTGTCTCAAAAAAAAAAGAAAGAAAAAAAAAAGAAACGGGGTTTTGCCGTGTTGGGCTGGTCTCAAACTCCAAGGCTCAAGATGATTCACCCGCACCTTTTCTTAAGGGCCCCACATCTTAATACTATGTTGGGCATGAGGTTTCTGTTCTTTTTCTTTCTTTTTTTTTTTTTCTTTAGAGACAGAGTCTTGCTCTGCTACCCAGGCTGGAGTGCAGTGGCAGGATCTCGGCTCACTGCAACCTCTGCCTCCTGGGTTCAAGCAATTCTACCACCTCAGCCTCCCGAGTAGCTGGGATTACAGGCGCCCACCACCATGCCTGGCTAATTTTTGTATTTTTAGTAGAAACGGGGGTTTCGCCATGTTGGCCAGGCTGGTCTTGAACCCCTGACCTCAAGTGATCTGCCTGCCTCGGCCTCCCAAAGTGTTGGGATCATAGGCGTGAGCCACCGCACCCGGCCCTGGATTAGGTTTCAACGTAAGAATTTTAGGAAGACACAAACATTCAGACCACAGCAAGGAGATTTGATCTTCCACACTCCATGTGGTTTTAATGGGTTTGACAGTCATAATACTCTACCTCCCTGGCTACAGATGTGGGCGTATACCCTGGGCTTAGCTATCATAGTACCCCACCATTCTAGATGGAATGATTGAACAAGAAAATGCCATTTGGTCCAAATCAGGCCAATGAAAACTCCCCCGCTCTCGCCCCGCAGCCAGGATATTACAAATGGAGGATGGGAGAGAGGAAGTCTTTTGTGGGTTACGCATAAGATGTTGTAAGTGTGGAGCTTTCTGTGGCCCTGTGCTGGTCCTTCAGTATGGAGGCACGATGTCTACAGAAGGAGAGAATTCATCCAGTGCAGGGTAAAGTGAGACTGGATATGAGAAGAGGGACCTAATAGCACTGTCTAGGTCCCTGGCATCTCTGAAGCAAGCTGTTCTGTTTTTCGTAAAACCAAATTTCCTTTTTGTGCCATAGAAGTTTGGTTTGGATTTTCTTTCATTTGACCCAGAAGGAGTCCTAACTCTTGGAGAATGGGATTTGACTTGTGTATTTTAAAAATGGGCAAGATATTGATATGCCCAGGGAAATGATAGGGTATTCTGGGCAAGCAGAGCTGCTTTAATGAAGGTCCAGAGATAAGAATGAGCATGGTATATTTGGGGAATCTGAGAAAATCAGCCTGAATGAAGTAAATTGGGAATAAGTAAATTAGGTGGGTTATAAAGGAAGAGGTCAGTTTGGGAGTTTGTTTAAACTAGATAAGAGTCGAGGCTTGATTAAAAGGAAACAAAGAGTTTCTAAAATTAAAATAAAGAAAAACTACATCTGTTTAAAGGCAAAATTTTAAAAGTCTGTTGCATTAATCTGCTCAGGCTGCCATGACAAAAATCTCACAGACTGGGTGGCTTAAACAAGAGACATTTATTTTCTCACACTTCTGGAGGCTAGAAGTCCAAGATCAAGGTTCTGGCAAATTCGGGTTCTAGTAAGGGCTCCCTTCCTGGCTTATAGATGGCTAGCTTCTCACGGTGTCCTCATATGTCCTTTCCTTTATGTACACATAGTGGGGAGAGGGTGGGAGTTGGGTGGAGTTGTTGGGGGAGCTTTAGTGTCTCTTCCTCTTTTTTTTTTTTTTTTTTTTTTTTGACGGAGTCTTGCTCTGTCGCCCAGGCTGGAGTGCAGTAGTGCAATCTCGGCTCACTGCAAGCTCCACCTCCCGGCTTCACGCCATTCTTCTGCCTCAGCCTCCTGAGTAGCTGGGACTACAGGCGCCCGCCACCACACCCAGCTAATTTTTTGTATTTTTAGTACAGACAGGGTTTCACCGTGTTAGTCACGATGGTCTCGATCTCCTGACCTCGTGATCCACCTGCCTCGGCCTCCCAAAGTGCTGGGATTACAGGCGTGAGCCACCGCGCCCGGCCTCTTCCTCTTTTTGTAAGGATACCAATTGTACAGGATTAAAGCCCCACCCTTATGGCCTCATTTATTTTAATTACCCCCATAAAGGCTCTATCTCCACATGCAGTCACATTGGGGGTTGGGACTTAATATGTAAATTTTGGAGGGACACAATTCACTTTATAACAATAACATCTGTCAAAACTAAGAACAGGAGAAAATGAAGGTAATGGAAACACTGATACACTAGTGGGAAAGTAAATCATCACAGCTACCTAGGAGGAAAATCTGGCAAAATCTACTCATGTTGGAACATGTATGTCCAAAACCCATGAATTCTACTCTGATTTTGGGAAATCTTTTACACCTGTGCACCATGAAGTACATTCAAAAATGATTTTTACAGCATTATTTTCAAGTGTCCCCAGATCAAAAGCAACCTAAATATCCATCAAAAAAAAAAAAAAAAGGAAAAACAAACTATTTAATTAATTTTTTTCTGAGACAGGGTCTCGCCGTGTTGCCCAGGCTGGAGTGCAGTGGTGTGATTATAGCTCACTGCAGCCTCAAACTTCTAGGCTCCAGTGATCCTCCCGCCTCAGCCACCAGAGTAGCTAGGACTACAGGTGTGCACCACCATACCCCGCTAATTGTTAAACTTTTTTTTGTAGAGAAGGGGTCTTGCTACATTGCCCAAGCCAGCCTTGCACTCCAGAGTACAAGTGTTCCTCCTACTGCAGCTTCCCAAAGCACTGGGATTACAGGCATAAGCCTCTGTGCCTGGCAGGAAAAATAAATTTTGGTGCGTTCATACAATCAACCCTACATAGCAGTAGAAGTGAAAGAAAAAAAAAAAACCTAGACCTGCATGTATCGACATGAACAAATCTCAAATATAATAATGTTGAGGAAAAAAATCAAGTTAATGAAGAACATAATAAATCAGTGGGGTGCCAGAGCTGGCTTACATGTATTGGGGTCATCTCTTCCTAACTTCTTGTTCACTGACACAATGTGGTCATTTGAATTTGGCCATGCTGGGAGTATGTAAGCATGGAAATTGGCAGATGCTTTAAATTAAGTTGTCTTTTTTCTCCTAGAGAACCTGTTGTTAAACAATTTACCAGGATATCACTGGATAACATTTTTTTAGATTATCTCATTTAATCCATACATCAACACTACTAGATATTACTAGATATTATCACCATTTCACAGATGAAGAAACAGGCTGAGTGTTGTAAGTAACTTGCCCAATCCACACAGGTAATAAGGACAGACCAGAGATTATTACCTCATAGTTAGAGTTTACATGTATATACAAAATACGCACATATTATATACCTGACTTTTTGGGGGTTTTGACTCTCCCTATTACTCTGTTCCTATTATAGCTGCTACATACGTATATTTTAGCATTTGCCATGCTGAATTGCAATCATTCACTTATTAATACTCCTTATTCAATTATGAGCCTCCAGAGAGAATAGACCATACCTTATTCATGTCTATGGTTCCAGAACACAGGCTAGACATGGCACATCTACATAAATTCCTTGTTAGTAGCCTAACTCTGCCTTTGCAGCCATTCTTTACTAACTGCTCATGGGTGATGAATATTACAGGACCATTATTGAATGATTAGCCATTTCTTTAGCTCCAAGATCCCTAAGCAACCACCATCACAAGGTGGGCTCAGCAGGAAGAATATTCAATACAATCAACCCCTGTTTGTAGGGCTGTTCCTAATACTTTAAACACCACAAATGTGATGTCTAGGGCTTTTTAAGTTTAAGAACTGCACTCACATCAGTCTGTCCCCAGCAGTTCACACATATTACAATAACTAAATGACAGGATAGCACCATATTCATAGAATATACAAGAATAAAGGAAAAATATGAGACAATGTAGATCAATAGCATAAGATAAAGTCTTGCCAAAAGCTATCTTTTTATTATGATAGAGCCATAGGGTCCAGAGGGGCAAGACCGCACAATTCAGAAGCTTTCCCACACAAGAAACTAACAGAGTTGGTTGTTGATGGCATTTTGAGGCATAACATTTTTATAAATATTAAAATACTTAAAACAACACAATATACCATAGTATCATATAAATACAAGTATTTGGTATAATAAATACCACATTCAGGATAATGATTACTTCTTAAGAGGAAGGAAAGGAAGGTAATTAATTAGGAAAACAGAAGAGCTTCAGTTGAATTTGAAATGTATTTCTTTTTTTTTTTTTTGAGATGGAGTTTCACTCTTGTTGCCCAGGCCGGAGTGCAATGGCGCAATCTCGGCTCACCGCAACCTCTGCTTCCCAGGTTCAAGTGATTCTTCTGCCTCAGCCTCCCTAGTAGCTGGGATTACAGGCATGTGCCAGCACGACTGGCTAATTTTGTATTTTTAGTAGAGACGGGGTTTCTCCATGTTGGTCAGGCTGGTCTCGAACTCCTGACCTCAGGTGATCCGCCTGCCTTGGCCTCCCAAAGTGCTGGGATTACAGGCGTGAGCCACCGCACCCAGCCAAGATTGAAATGTATTTCTTAAGCTGAGGAGCAGGTATGAATTGGTGATTGTATACTCTGTGCTTTCTGTTTTTCTAAAACATTTAGTAGTAGATCAATGAAATATGGCAGCCAGTTCTCCCACAGAGTGTAGAGTTACATGGGCGAGGTGGGAGGAGGCACTAGACACAGTCTCTATCCTTATGCCATCCCACTAGCTCTGCAGTGAGGGGTAGCTCCATGGCTCCTAGATTTGGCCGTGGAGGTGGTGGGGGAGCAGGTGCGTTTTTAGTATCTCTGGGGCTATACGCAGTTGCCACATTTGGTTCTGAGTTTCCGAAAAGAAAGAAGGAATAAATACCAACACGATGGGGAGGTGAGAGAATCAGGGGAATCATTCAGGTGGTGAACATGACCATTTCAGGATGACCCTTCAGCTCCACCTGACCTCTGTGGGCTGCCTGGCAGGCAGTGGGTATATTTGGTTACAGACAAAAAATAGAGGATGTATTATACAGATGACTATTTCTAGTCAACTTGGGTCATAATAGAATTCAAGTTCTCCTAGAAAGGGGCGCAAGTAGGAAATGTTAAGGGCAGATCTACAGCTAACATCGGTCAAGAGATGCTAGGAGGGGAGGACTTAGCTCCTGAGGGAAAGATCCTTTAGCCCTGCTGCTGGGGTTGGTGCCATGTTTTCATTCCTAGGTAAGATGGTCTAAAGTACTCTACTTTAGTTCCATTCCCTTGGTGCCTGAAAGCAAGTTAATAAGGCATTTATAGGCTGCTCTGGATTCTGTACCTCTCCCTGACCTCCCTCCTCCCCTTCACATTTCTGATACTTAACTGTACGCTAAGCACGTCGTGCTGTTTCTGCACATGCTGTTCTCTGTTCCACCACAGTCCTTCTCTTTCTTTAAGTCTTTTCTCTATCTTCAAATCCTTTACCTTTCTTCCTGTGTGAAAACTTCCCCACTACCTCTCCACATCAACAGAGGCATCTCTCTCTCCTCTGGGTCCCCTTCCTAGGACACGCCTTTATCGTTTCTTGCTATGCACAGTATGGAAGTTGCTGCTCATATGTCCAGTCCATCTCCCCTGCTGCAGTGCTGAGCTCCTTTGAGACAAGAAGCCTGTGTTACTTTAACTTTGTA
This sequence comes from Homo sapiens, assembly GCF_000001405.40. Taxonomy (NCBI): domain Eukaryota; kingdom Metazoa; phylum Chordata; class Mammalia; order Primates; family Hominidae; genus Homo; species Homo sapiens. The sequence goes on from NC_000002.12 coordinate 157,911,214, forward strand.
TCCCCCAGGCCCACCACAGACCTGGCGCAGATATTGAGTAGGTGCTCAGTAGAGGAGAGAAGAAAGAGAAGGGAAGAGAGAGCAGGAAAAACTACCTGACTCTTCACTTCCTTTCTTTAGACATTCTCTCATTCACTCTATCTTTCCTTTTTTAAACTATGTGCTAACACTCATGCAGAGTTCAGTTGTAGGCAGAGAAGCAAGGCAGGAAGTATGGGGTATGCCAAAGATAAGGAAACTGACACTAGTGGGCACAGGAGGTCTAATTCCATTCTTTGGTGCAACTTCATTTTACATAATGCCATTTGTGGGAAATGAATGACTCTATATACAAAGGCTGGAGGTGCACAGAAGGCAGAGGTCAGGGATGATAACAAAGGTCCTGGCACCTTTTCTTCCCCCTTAACTGTCAACCTCTTCTGCTCTGTTTTTTTTTTTTTTTTTTTTTGGTCTCCTGACCTGGTCTGGGATCTCCTGAATTGCTGTCAACAGCTAGCAATTTCATGTGTGTTATGCCATGAATTCTATTCTGAATACAGCTATAGCAGGTTCCACTAATTAATTAAATTGTACTTCATAGACTTGGAGTCAGGTCTCTTGAATACAAGATGCAAATTTATGCAACATATGCAAATCACTCATGTTCTCAAATTCCATGAACAAAATCTGGTAGCCTTGAGATAAAAAAGCCCCTGCCAAGCATCATCTCTCCTAATTATTGCTTAATTTCCTCCTCCCCCCACCCTTTAACATTGAACACTTTCAGGCTTGGCAGAAACTGGAAGAAAACACAATGAGAGCTGGTTAATAAACAGGAAGTTCCTCAGGGGCAAAGACCCTGCAATCTATTTATTTTATGCTCTCCAGTGGCTCCTAATATACTGCTGAGCACACACAGTCTTGCATAGGGAACACCACCAGTCCTGACTATCAAATTATGGATATTTCAAGATGAACAAGTTGAGAGCCCCGAAAGCTTTGCAAAACATGCCATTTAAGACTAGAAACAGGAAACTGATGACCTGTACTATATAATGCATGTAGCTATTAATTTATTTAAATTAAATAACATTTAAAAATTTTGTTCTTGGCTGGGTGTGGCGGCTCATGCCTGTAATCCTAGCCCTTTGGGAGACCGAGGCAGGAGGATCCCTTGAGCCCAGGAGTTTGAGACCAGCCTGGGCAACATAGGGAAACCCTGTCTCTATTAAATTAAAAAGAAAAAAAAGGAAATAAAAATTTTAAATTTAATTCTCAGTCAAGCCACATTTCAAGTGTTTAGTAGCTAGATGTGGCTAGTGACTTTCATATTGGGCAGTAGAGGTATAGAACATTTCCATTATCATGAAAAGTTCTACTGGACGGCACTGATTTCAACACTTGGTACTCAAAGTCCGGTCCTTGGAGAGCATATTGGGCCGTGTATTGAGAGCATATTGGAAAATGTAGAAGCTCAGGTCCTACTCCAGATCCACTGAATCAGAATCTGCCTTTTAACAAAATCCTCAATTCATTCACATGCATGTAAATGTGAGAGAGGCATTGGTCTAGATCTAGAATAGAAAACAGTGGTTCTGTACTCACTTCAGCAGTATATATACTAAGAAGATTAGCATGGCCCCTGTGCAAAGATGACATGCAAATTCATGAAGGGTTTCATTAAAAAACTTTTAAAAAAGAAAAAAGGAAACAGTGGTTCTCCTCAGAAATAAAGCCATGCATCTACAGCCATCTGATCTTTGACAAAGTCAACAAAAATAAGTAATGGGGAAAAGACTCTGTATTCAATACATGATGCTGGAATAGCTGACTAGCTATATGCAGAAGAATGAAACTGGAGCCCTACATTTTACCATACACGAAAATTAACTCAGGGTGGATTAAAGATTTAAATGTAAGACCTCAACCTATAACAATCCTAGAAGAAAACTTAGTCAACACCATTCCGGACATTGGCTTTGGGAAAGAATTTATGATTAAGTCCTCAAAAGCAGTTGCAACAAAAACAAAAATTGACAAGTGGGACTAATTAACTAAAGAGGTTTTGTACAGCAAAAGAAACTGTCAACAGAGTAAACAGACCTACAGAATGGGAGAAAATATTCACAAACTATGCACCCAACAAAGCTCTAATATCCAGAATCTATAAGAAACTTAAACCATTGAACAACCAAAAAACAAACAACCCCATTAAAAGTGGACAAAAGTCATGAACTGACACTTCTCAAAAAAAAGACATACAAGCAGCCAACAAGCATATAAAAAATGCTTGATATCATTAATTATCAGATGAATGCAAATCAAAACCACAATGAGATACCATCTCACACCTATCAGAATGGCTATTACTAAAAAGTAAAAAAAGAACAGATGCTGGTGAGGCGGCAGAGAAAAGGGAATGTTTATACATTGTTGGTGGGAGTATAAATTAGTTAGCCACTGTGGAAAGCAGTTTGGAGAGTTCTCAAAGATCTAAGAGCAAAACTACCATTTTACCCAGCAATCCCATCACTGGGTATATATCCAAAAGAAGGGCAGGGCGTCATGGCTCACATCCATAATCCCCAAACTTTGAGAGGCTGAGATGGGAGGATCGGTTGATTCCAGGAGTTTGAGACCAGCTTGGGCAATGTAGTGAGACCCCATCTCTTAAAAAAAAAATATAGCCAGGCATGGTGGGCATGCCTGTAGTCCCATCTACTTGGGGGGCAGAGGTGGAGGATTGCTTGAGCCTGGGAGATTGAGGCTGCAGTGAGCCACGATCACACCTCTGCATTCCAGCCTAGAAAACAGAGTGAGACCTTGTCTAAAAAAAAAAAAAACCAGAAAACAAATCATTCTACCAAAAAGACACATGCACTCATCACAGCGCTGTTCACCATAGCAAAGACATGAAATCAACCTAGGTACACATCAATAGTGGATTGGATAAAGAAAAGGTATATATACACCATGGAATACTACACAGTCATAAACAACAAAATCATGTCCTTTGCAGCAACATGGACACAGCTGGAGGCCATTATCCTAAGCAAATTAACCCAGGAACAGAAAACCAAATACCACATGTTCTCACTTATGAGTGGGAGCTAAACATTAGGCACTCACATGGACATAAAGATGGCAACAACAGACACTGGGGACTACTAGAGCAGGGAGGGAGAGAGAGGGGAAAGGATTGGAAAACCCTTTGCTCGCTACCTGGGTGATGGGATCATTTGTACCCCAAACCTCAGCATCATGCAATATACCCATGAAACACACCAGCACATGTACCCCCTGAATCTGAAATAAAAGTTGAAATTATAAAAAAATAAAAGGAAGGAAGGAAGGAAGGAAGGAATCAATCAGTGATTTTCTAATTTTAGTATATATCAGAATCATCTGGGGTACTTATAAACACAGATTGCTGGGCCCTAATATATGAGTTCCTAACTCAGTAGGTGTGTTAGTTTCGTAGGGCTGCCATAATGAATTACCACGAAATAGGTGGTTTAAAACAAGCTCCTATTTCTGGATGCTCAAAGTCTGAAATCAAAGTGTCAGCAGGGCCACACTTCCCCTGAAATCGATAGGGAAGATCCTTCCTTGCCTCTTCTTAGCTTCTGGTAGTTTGCTGGCAATCTGTGGTGTTCCTTGATTTACAGGTATATAACTTCAGTATCTGCCTCTATCATCTTATGGAGGTCTCCCCTTGTGTATCCGTGTCTCTCTCTCCTTTTCTTATAAGGACATCAGTCATTGGATTAAGGGCCCACCCTACGCTAGTACAGCCTCATCTTGGCTTATCTAATTACATCTACAATGACCTTATTTCCAAATAAGGCTACATTCTGAGGTACTGGGTGTTAGGACTTCAACATATCCTTTTGGGGGACACAATTCCACCCATAACAGGAGAGCTAGGGTGTGACCTGTTAATCTGCATTTCCAACAAGTTCCCCAGATGGTGCTAATGCTGCTACTGGAACTACACTTTGAAAACCACAGGTCAAACAATTAGCAAAACAGAATTACTTGGAAAAAAAGTTGGATCGTATCATGAAAGTAACTGTGTTCCACTTCCCAAACGTGCAGAATTCCATGTTTAGGCATACTTGGGAGATGGTCATCCAGTCAGTGCATGAATACTTCCAAAGACAGAGTTCCCATTACTAGCAGTGCAGCTTTCTTGATGGCTATGCTCCTGAAATTTGTGCACTTTGAACTTACCGAATATCTGATATATCTAGCTGATGTATGGCAGCAGAAAGTCTTGATATTTTTTTCTGATGGCTGCACAAGGTCTCAACATTGAATTTTACATTTCCTCTTTGTGACAGTTCTCCAAATCCTTTAGATTCTGGTTTGCTCTGAAGAGCACACATGTTGAGGTTTTTAGGGATGATAATCATGTCCGCCTACCCCCGGTTATGAGTTAATTAGAAATAGATATAGGAATCCAACAGATGAAGATCAAAAGATCAACTATATTTCCAGTAAGCATAGAATGGAGGGTAGAATTTGGACCTTGACCACAATCAGCCTTCCTACAAACCCCCACTTGATTGAATTTATGTGATATGATCACATACAAAGAAGCAGGACAATTGAATCCACAGCACTGTGCAAGGTTTTAAGGGTATGAGTTACAGCTATTGCCACATTAAGAAATGTAACAGCACTAGGAGAGATTAGGTTTTCCTGGAAGAGAGAAAGGAAAGATGTCTAAGTCCACCCATCCCAAGAGACCTTCCTTCTCCCAGGGTTGCCTCCTTAGCATCCTTCCCACCATTTTCCTTTTTTCAAACAGAACCCTAATGTTATTTACAAAAGCCCCACTGCAACCCCATTCATGGTGCCCAAGTGTCTCAGGAAGCCAGCCCTATCCTCAACTGAAGCCAATCCTAGTAACTCTAATCTCCTTGCAAGTGATTGGTTTCAGAATTTAGGCTTCAGTGAATCAGTGCATGGCATGACTCCTAGAGACTGCTGTTGGATCAGAGATGGGCAAGTGATACAGACGAGCCTAATCAGACTACTTTTGTTCAAAGGTAGGAGGAAAGATTTTTCTTTTTTTTTTTTCTTTTTTTTTTTTTTTTTTTTTTTTTGAGACGGAGTCTCACTCTGTTGTCCACGCTGGTGTGCAATGGCGCGATCTCGGCTCACCCCAAACTCTGCCTCCCAGGTTCAAGCGATTCTCCTGCCTCAGCCTCCCAAGTAGCTGGGATTACAGACATGCACCACCACATCTGGCTAATATTTTTGTTTTTTTTTTTTTTTAAAGTAGAGACACGGTTTCACCATGTTGGCCAGGCTGGTCTTAAACTCCTGACTTTAGGTGGTCCGCCCACCTCAGTCTCCCAAAGTGCTAGGATTACAGGCGTGAACCACCACACCTGGCCTATAAAGAATTTTCTAATGAGGAAGCATGTTGTTCCAAGAGCTGATGGCAGTCACCAGAAGGAATCAACCTGAAGAAAACGCCTCTATCTGGAGGATGAGGGAGCACAAAGAACAGCAAAGCAATAAATCCCCAGCTCCAATTATAATACTTGCTCTACCTTTGGCTTTTGTTGTTGTTATTTAAAATAATACTAATTTTTTTTTATTGTTTAAGCTGGTTATGTCAATGTCCCTGTCATTTCCAGCTAAAATAATTTCTGCCAATAAAATACTTAAATATTTTTTCTATGAGTTAGTAGAAATTGCCTCATGGGGCTGGGCATGGTGGCTCACGCCTGGAATTCCAGCGTTTTGGGAGGTTGAAGTGGGTAGATCACCTGAGGTAACAAGTTCGAGACCAGCCTGGCCAACATGGCAAAACCCCGTCTCGTGGCCGGGCACAGTGGCTCATGCCTGTAATCCTAGCACTTTGGGAGGCCGAGGTGGGCGGATCACAAGGTCAGGAGATCGAGACCATCCCGGCTAACACGATGAAACCCCATCTCCACCAAAAATACAAAAAATTAGCTGGGCGTGGTGGCGGGCACCTGTAGTCCCAGCTACTCAGGAGGCTGAGGCAGGAGAATGGCGTGAACCCGGGAGGTGGAGCTTGCAGTGAGCTGAGATCGTGCCACTGCACTCCAGCCTGGGCGACAGAGCAAGACTCCTTCTCAAAAAAAAAAAAAAAAGGTCTCTACTAAAAATACAAAAATTAGCCAGACGTGGTGGCACACGCCTGTAATCCCAGCTACTTGGGAGGCTGAGGCATGAGAATGGCTTGAACCCGGGAGGTGGAGGTTGCAGTGAGCGGAGATGCGCCTCTGCACTCCAGCCTGGGCGGCAGAGCAAGACTTTGTGTCAAAAAACAAAACAAAAAAAAGTTATACTAGAAATCCTAGGAGAAGAGAAAAGGATGCTTCAGAGGAAAGAGAAAAAGAAGAGTTAGAATTTGACGGGTCCATGATGCCCCTCTCCAGAAGAAGCAGCAAGACTGTAGCAGGTGTGGTTTCCAGCCTCACTGAATCCTTCTGACAAACAGAGAGCACCAAGCTTCTATGGACCATGTGGAATGAACGAGAAGACTAACAGAAAAAGCCATATGACCTGAAGATTAGATACATTGGTACAGATTGCTAAATTTTATCAATAGATATTTCTGTTTACTGGGCACACAGTTAAATTCTATTTCTCTGCCAGCCTCCTTGTATCAACTTACAGCTAAGTGGTTGAGTCTGACTGATTGAATGTGGGCTAAAGTAATATATACCACTTTAGGGCCTGACTCGTAAATATATCCTTATGATCTCTCTATCTCTACCTCTAATTCCTTTCCAGTCATAGTGGTAGGAAGCAAATGATTTCAAAGCCCAGATGATGACAGAGACCCATCTTGGAAGGGGCTTGGATCCCTGAGTCACTGCTTGGAGGAGAGCTGCCTGAGATGGCTTCCTGATCATGAACATCCACGTTGGACTTTGCCTGAGCAAGGAATAAACATCCTATCTTAAGACAATGTGATTTGGAGTTTTTGGCATATGACCAGCTTCAATTACGCTGCATAATTTACATGTCTTTTCCCTCTTTCCCAGGTAACTCATATGCCTCCCAGATGTTTATATTTGGAAAGAGGGAAGAAGACCCAAATAATAACTGAGATCAAATTTCTCACCAACTCACTGGGACTCTGAGAGATGCATTTCATTTGATTTAAAGAAAATAAATTACTTTGAAACTAGACTTGACATTATTCCTCCATCTGTATTACTCTTGATTCATGGGTAAGACATAAATTGAGTAATTCTGGCCTCTCTGACAGACAAGGTTCCCCAACACATACCTAATGGTGGTCCCTCCCACCAAGATAAGTATTGGCTTCTTGACCTTTCACTCCCATCCTGTTACTGTCAGACCTGCTCCCTTCCTCAGTATGGTCAGGAGTCTTGGAGGTCTGCATAGCAAAGAGTTAAGCCCTTCTTTCAGGTCTTTTTCTCCTTCAGTCGATTAATTAGATTGAAATTTCAACTTCAAGCTGCTCTGCTGGTCTCTAGCTAATGCTGTCACCTGAAATACTGCCCACCACACAAGAGCTTTTGACAGCAAGAGCCGCTCAAAAGCCTCTTCATGCCTCTATTCCAGGAATAACCCAAGGAAAGGGTTGATAGCTGTGAAAGCTGAGTACTGAAGCCCTCTCTGTCCACCGCTTCAAAAGAATAACTACCATCGCTCTGCCTTTATTTTGTATTTTAGCTCCTCTTTGTCAATGAAAAGTTCCTGCTCTCTATTCATTATAAAGAATAAAGAGCTTTTCAAGTGTGAGTTGCTAAACCCAGAAGGGAACAGAGCTATTTTTAAGAGGGTTTCAACTCTGAGCTGTTACATCGACCAGCCTGCCGGCAGCAGAGGTCTTCCAGGGAGGCTGAAGGCAAGAGCGGCTTCTCTTCAGGTGGGCATCTCGGGGAGGAAGCTCCTGGGGCTGAAATGGTCTAGCTCTTTGGCCCACAGGCAGCCCTGGTGCCTTCGAACCTGGCTCCTCAAGACAGAGCTTGCAAGGGGGTCAGGGGAGTCACTGTGATTCTCACCTATTTGAGGTCTGCCTGCTGCCTTAGGTTTCTCACATCCACTTCCTCCACGTAGGAAACAATCTGCTTGATTTTCCTCCGGGGGCACAGGGAGGTGGGGGGTGTCTTTATGTCCTCTCCTATCTTCGTCAAGCCATATGCAACTGGCAGCCGGCACGCTTCTCTCTGTGGGAAGAGGATCATCAGAGCTGGATTCCTGACTGAAAGGAGGAACATGCAGAGTTGCCTGCCTCCTGGCCAACGGGAGTGAAATCCTCTTGGCTTGGGTCTGTCTGGAGCTCTTCTGAAGTCCATGCACTGTAGGGGCATGGATGGGCTCTCAGATTCAGAGTTAGAGGACCTGGATTCAAGTCTCACCTCTCTGAGCCTCTGTTCTCCAAGGCTGCAATGAGGATAATAGTACTTTGCTATCAGAGGTGCTGCAGGGAGGATGACCCATCCTCACATGTATATGGATAGTCTGTGAACCCTGCAGTGTCATGCGTGGTGATCATTGCTCTGAGGGTCAGTGAGATACGTGTTACAGTGTCTTTTAAGAACAGAAAATGATGCCATTGGATGACAGAGGAGATATTGAAAATATGAGAAACTACTAATGATTAGGAGGAATGAGAATCTGTTATCTATCCTCCCATTCCATTCAGTTCCCCCACCAGAGAAAAGGGGCAGGGAATTAAAACTATTCCTTTGCTCTGATAGCTTTTGGAAGTTAAAGACATGCATGTGTACTAAAATACTAAGAGGGAACCAAAAGGATCAACTAATTTTGTACAGAGTGGCTAAATATAATAGAGAAACCTACGTGATTATACTATATCTTGTACTACAGAGGATTTATGAGCGCCTGCAGTAAATTTTAACATTTTTATTATTTATTTTTATGTTTTTAATTGATACATAATAGATATACATATTTTAGCGGTATGTGTGATCATTTGATGCATTCCTATAATCACATCAGTATAATTAAAATATTCATCACCTTAACTATTTTTCTTTATGCTAGGAACATCCTAATTATTCTCTTCTAGCTGTTTTGAAATATACAATAGACTAATGTTAACTACAGTCACCCTACTGATCTACAAAACACCAAGTCTTATTTCTTTTATTGTACTGAGTATTTGTATCCATTAATTCCCCTTTCTTTATCACCCCACCCCTCTACCTTTCCTGGCCTCTGGTAACCACTAATCTACTTTCCATCTTCAAGAGATCTACCAGTAAGTTTTTTTTTTTAAGGAAAACTTATAGACAGAAAAAATATAGGCAAAATAGGATGATTAGGTCCAAGAGAAAAGAAACTGCACATATAAACAGGTGACAAGGTTCTACTGTTACAAAAACAGGGCAGCCAAGTAGGCTCTGAGCTTCCAGGAGGCCAAAGCAAAAAGGGAATATGATCTGTCACCAAATTTATATCTTTCTTGAGGAACCCCTTCACCACAACCAATTTCTCATCCTTTTTTATCATAAGACTTATAAACGTGGATATTTATCTTCAAGAAGAGAATACTTAGGGAGTTTCATTATGGCCTTCCTCAAGTATTTGATGGGCTTCCAAGTACAAAAAAAAAAGATTGCTTTGGGTAATTCCAGACCACAAAACTAGAATCAATGAGTGTAAGTTAAGGGGAACAGATTTGGGTTAAAAATAAAGAACTTTCTAACAATTAGAGTTGTCCATAAATGGAATGAGCTGTCTGGCAAAGAAGTGAGCTCCCTGTTACTGGAAGTGATCAAACAGAGGCTGGCTAACCATCTGTTAAGGATAAGAAGGATTTGTGCATAATGAGAGAATTATGCAACAACATAATACAAGGCTCTTCGTGACAGTTTTATTTATAATAGTAAGGGAAAAAATAGAATCAACCTAAATGTCCAACAAAAGGGGATTAGTTATTTATGGTACTTTCCTATGATTTGTTTTTTATAGATTTTTCAAATATTAAAAATCAGTAAGACAAGGACATAGAAAAAAAGCTGATGATCTATTGCTAAGTGAAAAAGCAGCCTACTGAAATAGCGTACATACTGTGACACAACTTTGTAAAGAAAATTTTTGTAAACAAAGCTACATTTTTTCATTTTGTTATTTTTTTCATTTTATAAAGAAAGATAATATTAAGGAAAGTACACACATGAAAACATTAATAGTGATTATCAGTATTACTTGAATTATGGGTGATTTTTCTCCTTAGGGCTTGTCAGAGTTTTCCAAGTTTTCTACTTTGAGCACTTACCACTTATGTAATTAGAAAAAAATTTAACAAAAATCCCAGAAGAACCCTTCATTAGTCATTAGTCTATAGTTTTAACTAGTTGATCCCTGAAGTTTTTCAAACCTAGTATTATATGATTTTCATTTTATACTCAGGTCATTTATTTTCTCTTATAAAATAACTTGTTTTTCAAGCAGAACTCAACCAAATATAAATACCTCCCCAACAAATAAATAGTGGCTTAAATTATGAGGCTTAGGTACAATCTAATGCATTTCTGACTGCTAGAGCCATTTTTATCTGAAATCTCTTTTGGAAATATGTTGAATATAAACCTAAAAGTCTGTACAATAGAGTAGAAAGAGCTGAGACTTGGAGTCAGACACACTCAGGTCTCAAATTTTGGCTCTGCTACATACCAGCCTTAGTTTCCTCAACTTTAATATGTGATAATAATAACAGCTAAGATTTGTAGAAAATTCAGAGTGTGCCAGGCACTGTTTAAGTGCTTTACATGCAATGGGATCCTCAAAACAATTCTTTGAGGTGAATTCTATTGTTATTTTTCAGATGATAAAAATTAAGCACAGAGAATTTCAATATATTGCCCATTTCATGCAGCTAGAGAGTGATGGAGTAAAAATTCAACCTCAGACACGTTAACCTTAGGATCCCTGGCATTAACCACTATACTATACTGCCTTATAGAGTGGTGGAGGGATTCATTAAATTAACATACATGAAGTGCCTGCTTAACAGAAATATGGGCAGTCAGTACGTTAGTTTTCTCCCTAAACTTTTCCATGGCTATTTGGCCCCAGGAAGACTTTTGATTACCTTCCCCAAGACTGTGTGTATTCCGCCAATACACTGGGGTAAGTGTGGCTCTGTGGTAGGTAGTTTTACGACAAATTTATTATCAATGATACTCATGTCAAACTCAGCGATATTAGAAATCATGTCCCACAGGCCTCCATTCTGGGGCTGATTCTTTAATATTTCATCAATGATTTACATGGATAGAACAGAAAATAAGCTCCTAGAGCTGACAGATGATAGCATGCTGTTAGCAGATGACACCCATCGTCAGTTAGGAAGGCGAGCATCCAGGACAGGATTAGAATTCCAAATGGTCTGGCAAGATGGGGAAGAGGTGGAGGCAGAAAGAATGAACTTCATTAGCAACTATCACAGAGTAATACGTTTATTAAGAGGGAAAAACAGATTATACCAACATAGCAAGAACAGTGACTAGCAATGAGTGATTATTGCCTGAAAGAGTTAATGGTGGGAGTTACTCATAACTGGAAATGAGACAGAAAGTCAAATATGATTCTAGAAAAAGGACCAATAAATAGCAGTATGTCGAAGTAAATCAATTTTCCCAATATATACTGTATTTTTAAAAATCCCTTTTCGAGTGCTGTTTTTTTCCTCAGTGTTGTTCTGGACATCTTTGAAAAGGCACACAGAAAGCAAAAGCAGTCTTTACAAGTGCAGAATGTAATCTGGGAGGATGGTGAAGTCACCAACATCCTTTAATTGAAAATGAGTCAGTTGCTGGCAATTCATTTGAGAATCATTTATTGAGCACCATCTATGTGCCAGCCTTTGTGCTGGGTGCTGAGGACAAAAAAAAAAACAAAAACAAAACAAGACTTGATTTCTGCCCTTGAGGCACTCCAAGGCAAGAGGTTAATCACTTTTAAGTTTATAAAGACTGGTTATTTAGAAAGGGCTGAGAACTGTAATGTGTGTCCTTTATGGCCAACTCCTACACATCTCTTTCTTTGATCTCCTCTTTATTCACTTATTCCGCACTTTCTCTTCTTTTTTCTTTCCCTTCTTTTATGTAGTCTTTAGATCTGTGATTGGAGCCCCTGGCATGGCAAGTTAGCCAGATGTGTTCAATGGAGTCCCTTCTGAGACTATGCCAAGACACCAAGCACCTCTCTTTTGACATTTCAAGGTGTTTCTTTTTTTTTTTTAGAGGTGTGAAGTGGGAAATCAGGGGTCTCACAGCCTTCAGAGCTGAGAGCCCCGAACAGAGATTTACCCACGTATTTATTAAGTGTTTCTAAAAAAATTATTTTTTGCCCTCCATATACTCTGATTAAAATGCAGACAATGAAGTAAAACCTGGGGAGAGTAGAGTAGTTTCCTAGGATGCTAAGTAGATCAGTTTGGCTGGAGAGAATGCTAGACTATATATATTATGAATTGAATCATATTAAGGAATTTGAACTTTATCTTGTTCATAACAGAAAGTCAATGAAGTTTTGTGAGAAAGCGTTTGTGTTGTTTTGTTTACATTTTCTGTAGAGACAGCGCCTCGCTATGTTGTCCAGGCTTTTCCATTTAAGGAGAATATCTTTCAAGTTCTGAGTCACATTCTCGACCCATTGTGAGTGCTTCTCTGACCTCCTATTGCTTGTTTCTCTTCATTTGTGTTGCTTGCTTTGAAATGAAGGTTTGTGAGAAGGGGAGTGACAAGATCAATTTAGGGTTTTAGGAAGAGTAACCTTATTGTGGGAGATAGAATGGGTTGTTAGGGGGCAGGCCTGGCAGCAACGGTCCTGTTAGGAAGTGATTACTAAGGTATAAAAAAAATAAGGGCCAGAGTTAGGCAGCAGCAGTTAGATAAGGCAGAAGATTTGTGGATGTGAGAAAAGTGTAAAAGAAAAAATTAATAAGATTTGGTGCCTAAGTAAAGATAAGCATTAAAGGAGAAAGGAATTGGAAACAACCTATAGGTACTAGACAAGGACTTTGGAAAATGAAAATATCATTATCCAAAACAGACCAGTGGGAATGTGAAGGTGGTTTGTGGCAAAGAAACCATGATAGGTTCAGGGCTAGACGGGTTGTCTTTGTTTTGATGGGATATATAAATAAAAGCCATATATCCAACGGGGATCTAGGAATAGATTTCCTAGGAGATCATACTCACAGAGGTAATAGTGTGTTTTGGACCTCTCCACCTGCATATCCCACTGACACATCACAATCTACATGCCTAAAACTGAACTTTACTGTCATTCGGAAATGCAAATCTCAATTTGCATTGCTCTTCAAGGTGAATCATGCTTTTAAGTACCCAGGCTACCAAACTCAGTTACCTCTAGTGTCTTCATCTCCCACTTGCCCCTCTCCCACAAGCAACTAGTCACCAAAACAGTGGATTCTAAGAGTCAAATATGTTGTGTGTCAATTCTTATTGCCATAATTAGTACTTCCATGATTTGTTCCCTTGGCTATCACGACAGTTTTTGTGTTGTAATATTTACATTTTCTGCAGAGACAGGGTCTTACTTTGTTGCCCAGGCTGGTCTCAAACTCCGGGGTTCAAGTGATCCTCCTGCCTCAGCGTCCCGAAGTGCTGGGATTAAAGGTGTGAGCCACTGCACCTGGCCCACACCAGTTTTATAACAGGTTTTCTTGCCACATAAGTTTATTTTTCCACTGCTTAGAGAATGGAATTCAAAGTCTTTCTGGAATGAACCTACCTGTCCAACCTAATCCCTGAGAATCTTTATACAGCCCCAACACAAAAGCCCCACCAGCTTCTTCCTTTTCTTTCATGATGCCAGGCATATCTGTGCCTGGGGTGCCTCTATTGATGCTATTTTATTATTTTGGAATACCTTTTTCACTTAAGGAGAATATCTTTCAAGTTCTCAGTCACATGCTAGACCCATTGTGAGTGCTTCTCTCACCTCCTATTGCTTGTTTCTCTTCACTTGTGTTGCTTGCTTTGAAAGCAAGAGCCTGAACCAGGGAGGTGGGAGTAGACGTGGGAAGAAGCAAAGGGCATAATAAAAATCTAAGCAAAGAATTGTGGGGCATAGAGAAGGAAGAAGTCAAAGAAAAACATATCAGTCTTGGCTGCTCTTGGTTGACTGGGAAGAATTACGGTGTACCAAAAACAAACAAACAAAACAAAACAAAACAAAACAAAAAGAAGGAAAGATTAATTTCGTTCTGAGCAGGTATGGGATGAGATACTAGCAATGAGTGTAAATTGGGCTAACTGATAAGTGAAAAGTTTTACAGAAATGAGAAGGGTGTTTCAAGCCAGAAAAAAATATTTGGAAATTATATGCAAAGAGGTGGTACCAGATGTGTGATCTCCAAAGAAGAGGCCGTTAGAAGACCAGGTCTGAGGAGAGAGCTATAAGCATGTTATCAATCTCAAAGGTGAGAGGAGGAAGTCCTATCAGCAAAAGAGCCTGTCATAGACTGGCCATGGAGGTGAAACGATGAATTTTTTAGTTTTCTTAAAAGGTAATTGTTTTGGTTTTTAAAATTTTATGAGAAATTTCCAATTTCTGAGATGTTGTGCTTTTCATTTGAAGAAACTGCTGATTCTTTGCTCAAATTGAGATTCTTTTGATTGTAAATCTTAATAATTAGTGGTATGAAAATTCATTGTTTTTCCTTCAAAAGAGGGATTCCCTTCTTAAGTGAAGACATCTAACTAAAGTTTTGTAAGAAAAAAACAAACCAAAACTAACAACCATCAAAAATTAGGCCATAGCTGGGTGCGGTGGCTCACGACTGTGGTCCCAGCAGTTTGGGAGGCCGAGGTGGGCGGATCACCTGAGGTCAGGAGTTCGAGACCAGCCTGGCCAATATGGTGAAACCCTGTCTCTACTAAAAGTACAAAAATTAGCTGGGCGTGGTGGTGGACACCTGTAATCCCAGCTACTCAGGAGGCTGAGGCAGGAGAATAGCTTGAACCCAGAAAGTGGAGGCTGCAGTGAGCTGAGATCGCCCCACTGCACTCCAGCCTAGGCGGTAAGAGCGAGACTCCATCTCAAAAAAAAGAAAAACCTGGCCATAGAATTTAAAACAGAGTTGGTTAGTAGGGGCTGTTTTTTCACATGATCTGTAACATACTGGGGTGAGGTGGTGGGCTAGAATAAGATGTGTTAAGAATTGATTCAATTTGGTCAAACCATAGTTTCTGGAAACGCTACTGTTCTTTTTTTTTTTTTTTTTTTTTTGAGACGGAGTCTTGCTCTGTCACCCAGGCTAGAGTGCAATGGTACAATCTTGGTTCACTGCAAACTCCACCTCCCAGGTTCAAGAGATTCTCCTTCCTCAGCCTCCCAAGTAGCTGGGATTACAGGCATGTGCTACCATGCCTGGTTAATTTTTGAATTTTTAGTAGAGACAGGGCTGGCCAGGCTGGTCTCGAACTCCTGACCTTAGGTGATCTACCCACCTCAGCCTCCCAAAGTGCTGGGATTACAGGCACGAGCCACCGCGTCTGGCCTGAAAAGAACCTCTTCTTAGCATGAGATTCTTTGTTGTTTTTATAGATTTATTGAAACAAAAATATTATTAAAACTACATATTTTTATTGAATATTACAAAGAAATGTTAAAAAAATAAAAAATATGTTTGTTGTAACAACAACTTAATCCACAAATATGGAAGTAAGCCCCACTACCATATACAATTTGGAATACACCCTTTTAGACTTTTCAGAATACATACACAATCACATATACATATACCTTTTCTGTATGTGATTTGCCCAACTTCCACCATCTTATTTCCTATTTCCTGCTAAAAGTAACAAGCTACAGCAATTAACAACGACATTAATAAAGGTTACATTTGTACAGCATATCCACACATATTATGTTTCACAAGTGTTACAGGTTGAGTACCCCTTATCTGAAAAGCTTGCAACCAGAAATTTTTTGGGTTTGAGATTTTTTTCCAATTTTGGACTATTTGCATGTACATGATAAGATATCATGGGGATGATACCCAAGTCTAAACACAAAATTCATTTATGTTTTATATACACCTTATACACATACCTGAAGGTAATTTTATACAACATGTTTGGTCATTTTTGTGTATGAAACAGTTACATTGAAACATCAGAAAGCAAAGGTGTCACTATCTTACCCACCCATGTGGACAATGTGTGGTTTTTTGGCATCACCATCATTCTTGACTTTGACTTTATATGCTACTGATAAGCAATTGTTTTCTTACACTTATTCACACATACATACAGGAAAAAGTATGACACACAATTAATACAGGGAAAAAATGATGTGTTTGGGGTAACTGAGCGGCACAGCGACATCATCAGGATATTTGTACCAACTGTCAACAGCAAAACAAACAACTGTGGGCTTTCTGTCTCCACCTACAATTAAAAGGTTTGGATTAAAAGGTTACTGTACACTGTACTTTTTTTTTTTTTTTTTTTTTTCTTCAGGTGAGAAGAAACATCAGAAGCAGTTGAGGGACCAGGAAGTGGGTCCTCTAGCAATGAGGAGACATTCTGCTGGATAGCTTTTTAAAATGTTTCCTCCAAAGTCATCTGCCTCATTAACAATGGTTTTTGTCTTAGAAGCCTCTGATTTTATTAACTGACATGACTTCTTGTTCTGTTATGAATACATGCTGCTTTCATCCTTCAATAAGCCCATCACACATTTTCAGCATGCTGCCTATAGGTACTTTTTCTGCAATGTTAAGATCAACTTCATTGTCACCATCATCTTTTTGTTGTTGTTGTTTCTTTAATTTTCTTTGTAGAGACAGGGTCTCACTCTTTCATCCAGGCTGGAGTGCAATGGCTTGATCACAAATTATAGATCATAGCTCACCGCAGCCTTGAACTCATGGGCTTATGTGATTCTCCCATCTCAGCCTCCCAAGTAACTAGGACTACAGGTGTGTGCCTCCATGCCCAGCAAACTTTTAATTTTTTGTAGAGATGGGAGTCTCCTATGTTGCCCAGGCCAGTCTTGAACTCATGGGCTCAAGTGACCTTCCACGTTGGCCTCCCAAAGCACTGGGGTTATAGGTGTAAGCCACCATGCCTGGACTATCACCATCATACTGATTCAGAGTCATTTCAGCTATTTCACCATTGGTTGATAAATGAACAACTGGAGACTTATTATTCATGTTAAAAATTTCTTCAATATCCACTTTTTCCAGCTTACTTACAACAGCCTCTGAAAATATATTTTTTGCATATGTAAGAAGGTCAGAGACATTTTTTTCTCACTTGACTTAGGGAATTCTTCAAAGTCACCACTTTGTTCATCATCAACTCTGAACATAGTGGCAGGCCAGAGGTTGTGTCAGGCATGTACACTGTGCCTTTAGTCATTGTGTTGTAAGTGTTGGCAACAGCATATATGTCATCTTTCATGCTAAACTCCTCTTGAAAATCTTCCACACCCACACCTCTGTTCACTGCTGCTAGCATATTGTTCAAGAAAATGTTTTTATATTTACTCTTCATTGACCTAAAGATACCTGAGTCACATGGCTAAATTACTGAAGTCACATTTGGGAGAAAGTACATGGTATAAACATTATTTCTGGTGAGAATTTCAACTAAGGATGAGCAGAACTGTTGTCAAGGAATAGCAAAATCTTGCAGTGATCATCTAGTTTAGCACAAGCCATCTACAGTAAGCCATCTACAGTAAGCACAAGCCACTGGTACAAAATGTGAACCCAATCAGAAAAAGATTCCATGGTGATCCATCTCTTTTTGTTAATATAATAAAGAACCAGTAAGAAATTCACTCCTTGAAAACAGGGAGGATGTAAGCTTTTGCCTATCACAGTAAGTTTACACTTATGCACGCCTGCTGCATTAGCACATCCCAGCACAGTTATTCTGTCCTTGGCAGCCTTAATTCCTGTAGATGCTGTCTCATCAGCTGTAGTCAATGTCTTTCTGGGACAATAATGCCAGAGCAGCAATGTCTCATCAGCATTATAGACTTGTTCTGGCATCCAATTTTCATAACCAATGACCTTGGCAAACTCATCAAAGAGTTTCTCCACTGCTTTGTGATTAGCAGATGCTTTACCACCACAATTTTTTTTTCTCTTTTTGAGACAGTCTCACTTTATTGTGCAGGCTGGAGTGCAGTGGCATGATCTCGGCTCACTGCAACCTCCGCCTCCCAGGTTGAAGTGATTCTGAGTAGCTGGGATTACAGGCATGTGCCACCATGCCTGGCTAATTTTCGTATTTTCAGTAGAGATGGGGTTTCATCATGTTACTCAGGCTGGTCTCAAACTCCTGACCTCAGGCAATCTGCCTGCCTCTGCCTCCCAAAGTTCTGGGATTACAGGCGTGAGCCACCGTACCTGGTATGTCACCACAAATTTTCGAAAACTTAATGCTATGTTTTTTCTTAAATTTCTGGAATGAATTTCTTACCAGTCCGTTATTATGCTAACAAAAAGACATGGATCCCCAGGGACATCATTTTTGATTGGTTTCATAAACATTTTGTACCAGCCTGTTGAATATTCACCAGTTCCCTTCAATTTTTAGTTTATCATGATAAATCTTCACTTGTTTTATGATCAGCATATTGTTAAGTGGCATAAGTTCACCACGACACTGACAGACCTACTCTTTCAGTACATAATCAAGATCTTCATTTTTAGCTTTATGCAGTGTTTTTCTATTTTTCATTGACTTCTGTTCATCACTTCAGCATAGAACTTAAACAGTTTATCCTTCTGTTCCTTCAGGTCACATATGGAGGTCATTCCAACACCATACTCTTGTTTAAGACATTCCACACTTACACTGCTGTCCAGTTTCTCCAACAGCTTGACTTTCTGTGTACTTTGGATAAACATAAATGCTTCCTCTTTTTCTTATCACTGTTACCCAGAGGAGTTATCTGCAGGCACTTTTGACATGTTCAACAAATTTTCACACCACAAAGCAGAGAATAAGCAAAAACCCACAGTGAGTAATGCATGTAGGTTTTGGCCTTGTGTAGGGCATCATGGGGAATCTGCCATTGGTGTGTCTGGCCTGCACATGTGCCATTTTATTAACCTTGGTGGGTGTGCTTGTGTGGGGAAGTCTGGGTATGTATGGAAAAGATGTCAAAGTTAACGAGGGGCTGAGAGGGTCTTTTTTCCTTTGGGAATGCTGAAAAACTCTGTGTTATGTGCCTGTGTTTTGACCGCGACCAATCACATGAGGTCAGGTGTGGAGTTTCTATTCGTGGTGTCATGCCAGTGCTCAAACAGTTTCTTATTTTAGAGCATTTCAGATTTCAGATTTTCAGATTAGGGATGCTCAACCTGCATATCATAGATCTTCACTCTGTTGATCAGAAGTAAGCGGGGTAGGATTATTAGTGTCATTTTATAGAGGATGTCACTTCCCCCAAGTCTCATAGTTACTTCTGTTGAAAAGGTTGCCACTGGACTCAGGTTCTTCACACCAAATTCTGAATTTATTTTCTACATCACCCCATTTTCCACAGGGTGGTTTCCACAGTCAGGTCTCCCCAGCCTCTACTAAGGTGTTCTGCAGAGTAGGTCAGCATAAAACTTGGATTAGGTTAGAAACTGAACATTACCATACAGTTGCCTAGTGGTTTTCTTTAGTTGGGAGAAGGGTGACCTTCCCAGCTTGATCTGCCAAATATCTGGATCACATCTTGAAGTGATGACAATGGAAGGTACAATAAGTGCTACAGGACTCCAGAGTGAGGTATCTGTACATGATCTAGCTAATAAATAATGCTGGCAATGGGCACATCTATCATTGGACAATGTGCTAATGAAAAGAAATTTGGGGGGAGATACATGATGTAGTGTAGTGGAAAGAGCGCTATTATCTTTTGTTTCTGAGACATATAATTTTCTTACGTTTTAATGCTTGGAAATAGGCATTACAAATCTTACAAATCCATGAGTCTTTGATTTGGTAAAAAGCAGTAAATGGAAACTCATTAAAAATAGCTTCTTTGTCTAAACTCTTACATTTCCCCATCTTGGGCAGGCCATTTAACCTCTCAGTGCTGTGACATGAGGTGACATATATAAAGCTCACTACGGGCTACACAGGAGGTGCTGTTAATAATAACTAACATTTATTGAGGGTTTACCCTGTTCCACTGACTATTCTTAGCACTTCGAGAGGATTTTCTCATTTAATCCTCACAGCAAAACTCTAAGGAAAGCTCTATAAATATCCCAGTGTTCTAGATGAGCAAAGTGAGATTTAGAAAGTTCAAATGAATATAGCTATAGGTTAAAAGCTGGTAAGTGGCTAAAATGGGAATTGAACCAGGTAGTACCAGGCCAGAGGCTCCCTCAAACTCCAGTGCTGTTTCCCTACTTGCTATGTGTTAGTTTACAGCATTTTCCTGATTCCTTTCCTACTCCTCTGTGTGTTTGCTAGCAGATTTTGATTTATTATAAACTCAGATGCCCTCGGGATTATAAACATGGAGCTGGTAAGGGATGGTAAACATTAGGGATGGTAAACAATATGGACCTAATTCAGTACACACACACACACACACACACCAGACTGACCTTTGGATTGCCTTTTGCACAGTGGCAAAAAATTAAACAACAAATCAAATTAAACAAACCAAACAAGAAAAAAACAAAAACAAAAAAACCCAAATAAACTTGCACTGGCTCTTTATGAAGTAAAACAAAGAAAAATATGAAAAAAGCAAGCTAAGGATAAAACAATAAAAGTAAAGCAAATTAAATTTATTTAAAAATCTTGTGATGTCCAAACAAATGTATTGACTTCAGCTGCCTGTTTGGGAACTTTCCTTAAGTCTGCAGTAAGAATACATATCCTAGATTGATCACAGAAGTACCTGGAAAAATTTAAAGGCAAAAGAGATACTAAAGGGAAGGAGAAGGCAGCCCAGAAGGGATTTGTAAATTCCCAAAGAGGTCTCCACAAGACTGAGTATTTCCTATCAAATAATGGGTACTTTCTCTGCCATTGTCTTACGCATCTTTGCCTTGTCTCTGTGGAGAAGGGATTGAGAGTTCCATTTTACAGATTACTGGATAAAGCCTTTAGGTAGTGAGACACTTGCCCAAGGGCTTTGAAGCCTCAGCTTTTCCCGTATATTCAGCTGGGGGTAGATGTGGATATATCACAAAGCTTGTCCTCAGTCGCACTAGATCTTTCCGAAGCCCTGAACCTGATTTTATTCATAAGATTCTGTTTCTTAATTTGGGGAACCCTCCGAACTGTATAAATGTAATACCCCAAAACCCAGATCTACACCTGTATGGAAGTCAAAGGCTGTGACAACATGCTATTTTGAGCAAGTCAACCTCAACTTTTCCTTCGGGTGTGGAGAATGGCAGGAACGCAAGGATCTCTGGCCAGCTTCAACGATGGCGGGACTTTCCCGCATTTCACCTGGATGTCCTTCCTGTAAACTTAGTATTTAACGATCCTACACTGGCTCAACTCACAGAGTTGCTTGGTGGGCAATGTTGACGATATTTTTACAGCTCTGGTTTTTCTATTAATTGCAAAGTTACCCCTAGTCTGCAGGAAATGAGATGCCAAAAGGAAGAGGAGTGGATCCCTTCCAGACCTCCACAACTCTTAGATTATACTAAACCAGGAGGAAAAACCCTCTTTAGCATATGAAAGGGAAGGCAATTGTATTACTAAGCCTCACTCCACCGCCTCCAGACTTTTCTCAGTCAGAGAACAAAGGGCAAAAAGCAAACACCACTTCATACCCCTATTCACTGGAGGTTAAAAGAGACCTCCCACTATACAAAAGTGTTTCTAAAGGTCAGTTTGGGAGTGTATTGAGGAGGAGGGCACTGGCTGGGGAACAAAATGTTTACCATCACCCTCAGGCGGGCTGCTTCTGTTTTTCTTTCAGCACGTGCATGAGGTCCATCAGTCAGAATTGGACATTTTCATCCCTGATTAGCTGCTGGTGGTCAAATTATACTTCCTTGGCCCTCTGAGGTCTTTTTCTGATTCTTGATTCCAGTTGAACTAAGAAAGTGGGGCCACCCTGAGCCAAGACAACTCCCAGGGAATGATTATTCATTCATATTCATTAAGTCAACAGATACTGATTGAATGCCTAATGTGCATCCAGCACTGTGCTAGGCCCTGAAAGCATGTAACAATGCACAGAGCCGATACAGTTGTTTGTATAACTTCAATTCAATTGGGAAGACTGACATTGAATGATGAAACACACCCTTCATTATTTAAATACAACTGTGATAAATGTTTAAAGGAGCATGATGTGCAACGAGAGCTTAACAGGAGAGCTGCTAATCTCATTTGGGCTGTGAGAGAAGGGGCTTTTTTGAGGAAGCAAAAGAGTAGGAGTTAGCTATATGCCAGGGCAGTTGAGATCATGCTGGGTATAGGGGTGGACAGCAGGCAAAAAAGGCCCCGAGTTGGAAAAAATATAGCCTGGCACAGGAATTGGAAAGAGACTAATGTGGCTGGCGTCCACAAGGGAAGGCAGAATGGGGCTGGAGACTAGGCAGCGGGGGAACTTCCGCAGGGCTTTGTACTCTGTAGGCTTTTGCATTCTGTCTCTAAAGCAATGGGGAGCTAGTTATGGGCTTTAATGAGGGAGGTGACTTATGAGGTTTGCAGTGTAAAGGAAGAGTTTTAGGGGGCCAGAGATTTACTTTGACATAGTAAACTATGTCAGAAGACGAGAAGAGAAGTTCTCAAATTTTAAAGAATTTTGCCTGGAGACCTTGTTAAAATGCAGATTTCTGATTTAGTGGGTCTCAGGTAGAGCCTGGGATTCTGCATTTTTAACAAGCTTCCAGGTGCCGTGCTGCTGGTCCACACTACAAACACTTGAATCACAAAATTTTAGGTCAGGGTTGCAATGGAGATGAAGAAAAGCAGATAAATTGAGAGTTATTATGTGGGAAGTGAGTGAAAATACCAAGATATCTTGCAGGTCTCTAACTTGGGTAACTGAGTGGAAGGGGGTGGTATTTACTGAGATAGGATTCACCAAAGAAGAAAGAGCAAGTTTGGGTGGGAGGTGAAAAACTCAGTTTTGGATACGTTGACTTTGATGTGTCTTAGGAATATCCAAGTAGGCAATGGTACATATGGATCTGAAACTCAAGGCAGAGGAGGAAGCTGGAGATACAAATTTAGGAGTCATCAATATGTAAATGGTAATTAAAACTATAAAAATGGATACTATCAGCCTAGGGAGCATACAGCAGGGGTTAAAAACTCAAATTTGGCCTGTTGGCCATCTGTTGGCCTTCTTTTAAATATCTTGGAAAGAGAAGAGGACCAGGACCAAGCAAGAATTTAACAACTCAGTGGGATGAGGATGTCAGCAAAGAAATCTAAGAAGATACCAAGTTGGAAGAAAAACCATGTCAATATCCAAGAGTTGTTTCCTTTCTTTCTTACTAACAGAACAGGTTTTAGACTTGAAGATGGCTTTAGATCCAGGAAAGCAGATCCTTCCTTAGCCCCAGTAGCTGAGTCATGATTATCTAAACCATACATGATCATCTCGTTCCACTTTACCTGAAATTCTTTCAGCAGTGGGCTCTGGCCAAATTCTGACCAGTGAGATAAAGGAAGTAGGCTTGGATGAGTGAAGATTCAAGGAAGGCATTTTTCTTTCCAATAAAAAGGAGAACAAGCAAAGAGCTTCATGGTACCACTGCCTGCATACACCACCACCTCAACCCTTTTCTTCCTGCTTGGAACTCAAACGCAATGTCAGAACGATGTCAGACATCATAGGACTGAGAAGAGATAAGATAAGGGTGAAAACAGCTAAGGGTGACAGAATAAAAAAACTGAAGAGTACCTGTGTTGCCAGAGCTGAGCTACTGACTTGCTCTGGAACTACCTCTCTTCAGTCCATGGTGTTAAGTGAGATGGTAAATGCCTATACTGCTTTAGCTACTGGTAGATGGTTCTGTCACTTGCAGCTGAATATATTTCTTATGTTAATTAGTGTATATCTTATCATGACATTGAGTAATGTAGTTCTGGAGCTAGATAGACATGGTTCAGATAGATACAGTATTTTACTTTGGACATTTTTTGTGTTTCCTCAGTTTCCTCACCTGCAAAATGTAGATACTAAATATTATCTCTCTCAAGAACTCTCATATACTGTTGGTGGGAGTGTAAATTAGTAAAGCTACTTTGAAAAGTAATTTGGCAAGATTTCCTAAAACTGAAAATATATATAGCCTAAGGCAATTCTACTTCTAGGTAAATCTTAGAGAGACTGTTGCACAATGCATGGAGAGATGTGTACAAGATTATTCATTGAAGTTTTTTTTTTGTATTAGGAAAGAATTAGAAACAGTCTAGATATCTGTCAAGAGAAAATACCTAAGTAAGGTACAGTATATTGATATGATCACATACAATGGAGCAGTTTAAACAGATGAACTAGCTCTCTCTATATATATCAACGTGGATGAATCTCAGAAACATAATGCTGAGTAAAAAAAGCAAATTGCAGAGTGAGACATACAGTATGATTCATTTATATACAGTTTAAAAGCAGACACTATACTACATATTTTTACGGATCTGTAAGTCTATGGAAAGTAGATTGGAAGGACACACATTAGATACACTTGGGGATGAAGGATAAAGAAGATAAAAAATAGGGGTCATGTCTAGACAGATGATTATATCATGCCCGTAACAGAAAAGAATGACTGATTGAATCAATTCAGCTCTGAGACTCTGCAGCTCAACCTTAGATACAAAATAAAACAAAACAAAACATAATAGTATTGCTCTTCCAGGATTAAGTGACATAATAGCCCAATGTCTGGCACATAGTAAGGGTTTAACAAATAGTGGTCATCATTATTATTATGCTCGCCTGCTGTGCTCTGCCTTTTTGCTTTCCATAGGCTCTTTCTAATACAATAATCTTAGAAGGGGAGTGTGGTTGGGTACTTCTCTGTGCACCTAAATTTCCAGTTCTCATTTATTAGCTTGAGGGTTATAAAAGCCAAAGGCTTGGTTTGGGGCCAGGTATTGATGTGCATTGAGGCTACTCTAATGGGTTAAAAAAAGTGCTTCCAGGCACATACACAACGGCAGCCCACATCAATTCACCAAATAACCACAAGAAGAGAAACACCTTACTAGCATAAGTCCTTGCATTTTGCATAAGTAGCTTATATTAATCAGGACTAGATTGGGCAAAAATGGAAATTTATTGGTGAATATATGAATTGGGAAGTTCAAGAAAAATAACTGGCTTCAGCTTTCTAAACTACACTGGGGAATTCTCATTGCCTTGCACCTAATTCTGCTATTTCCACAGCAGTTCTGTTGCTTGCAGTGCTCACTCCCAGCTACCATTGCTGAATCAGTTCTGCAAAAAACTGAAAGAAGCTCTGACTCACCTAGATGGAAAAAGGAATTTATTGGAAGGACACTTTATAGCTTACAGAATTAAAGGAAACACTGATGAGCCAGGTCTTGGGAAGAAAGAGGAGCAGGAAGCTACCGAATCTTAGTCAGAAATATACATACCTTCTTTCCTTAGGTCATGCCATGAGAATAACCCCATTTCACCCACCTAGAGTCTCTCTGTCATTCTCCCTGGAGAGTCTGATTGGCTTGGTTTGGTAGAGGGCCCTGTGCTTGACTTTTTTTTTTTTTTTGAGACGGAGTCTCACTCTGTCACCCAGGCTGGAGTGCAGTGGCGCGACCTTGGCTCGCTGCAAGCTCCGCCTCCCGGGTTCACGCCATTCTCCTGCCTCGGCCACCTGAGTAGCTGGGATTACAGGCGCGCACCATCATGCCCGGCTAATTTTTGTATTTTTAGTAGAGATAGGGTTTCACTATATTGGCCAAGTTGGTCTCTAATTCCTGACCTCGTGATCTGCCTGCCTCGGCCTCCCAAAGTGCTGGGATTACAGGTGTGAGCCACCGCACCGGGCCTTGACTTTCCTATTAAGACTGCCTAGATGGGTGGATCACCTGAGATCAGGAGTTTCACACCAGCCTGGCCAAAATGGTGAAACCCCGTCTTTACTAAGAATACAAAAATTAGCTGGGCACGGTGGCAGGCACCTGTAATCTCAGCTACTGGAGAGGCTGAGGCAGGAGAATCACTTGAACCTGGGAGGCGAAGGTTCCAATGAGCCAAGATCATGCCACTGTGCACTCCAGCCTGGGTGACAAAGTGAGACTCTGTCTAAAAAAAAAAAAATACTTCCTAGAATTGGAAAGCTGCTTCCAAAATAAGGGGTACGGATGCTGGTTGTCTTAGTTGGCTTGGGCACCAACTATAACAAACACCATAGACTGGTGATTTAAATAACAGAGACCCTTTTCACAGTTCTGGAGGTTGGAAGACCAAGATCAGGGTGCTGGCATGGATGGCATGGTTGTCTTAGTTGGCTTGGGCACCAACTATAACAAACACCATAGACTGGTGATTTAAATAACAGAGACCCTTTTCACAGTTCTGGAGGTTGGAAGACCAAGATCAGGGTGCTGGCATGGATGGCATGGTTGTCTTAGTTGGCTTGGGCACCAACTATAACAAATACCATAGACTGGTGATTTAAATAACAGAGACCCTTTTCACAGTTCTGGAGGTTGGAAGACCAAGATCAGGGTGCTGGCATGGATGAGTTCTGGTGAGGACACACTCTTGGCTTGCAGAAAGCTGTCATCTTGCTGTGTCCTCATGTGGCAGAGAGAGCGCTCTGGTAACTTTTTCTTCTTTTTATAAAGGCATTAATCCCATCAAGAGGACTCTTCTCTGATGACCTTATCTAAACCGAATTATCTCCCAAGGGCCTTATCTCCATATACCATCACATTGGGGGGTTAGGGTTTCAACATGTGAATTTTGGGAGGACACAATTTAATCCACAGTACTGGCCTAGCAAAAACATCAGCTGTCTACTACATGGCTAAAGTAGTCTGCATCTTATCAGAGAGTTCCAAAGGTCACAGACTGAAAGATATATTATAGTTTCACTATCAGCTTGCTTAGTGACTTGGGGAACTTAACGTCACAATTCTATCTCTTCCTTCTTTCACGCTTGCAAAATAGTGTTTGAGACACATACTTTTTTTTTTTTTTTTGAGTCAGAGTCTCGCTCTGTCACCCAGACTGGAGTGCAGTGGCATGATCTAGGCTGACTGCAACCTCTGCCTTCCAGGTTCCAGCGATTCTCCTGTCTCAGCCTGCCAAGTAGCTGGGATTACAGGCATGTGCCACCACACCCAGCTAATTTTTGTATTTTTAGTAAAGACGGGGTTTCGGCATGTTGGCCAGGCTGGTCTCAAACCCCTGACCTCAGGTGATCCACCCGCCTCGGCCTCCCAAAGTGTTAGGACTACAGGTTTGAGCCACTGCACCCGACTCCTCACTCTTTTTTCATGTCTGAACCTGCTCCCCTGGCCCAGGGTGGGCATTTGTCCCAGGCAAAGCCAATGATTGTGGCTCTGTCCCACCAGGGTGAGATTAAGTCTGCTTGGAATTCAAACTCTGAGTGGAAACCCACAGAGGTGAAAGGTCATCTAGATAGTTATCCAATGATAACTGAGAAAAGCACCAAGAACTGAGTTCTTCACACTTGAACTGCTGTTATTTCTGTCCTTACCAACCCTGTTTTTGCAGCTCTCCTGATTTGTGAGCCAGCCCAGAGGCCTTCCAATTAATCTTGTTTGCTTGTGGTGGATATAATCAAAGAGCCTTAGTGAGTCAAGCTACCTCAAAAGTTTGCTTTGAAATTAAATAGGACAATACATGAGAGGCAATTAGCACATTACAAGGGATATAATAAATGCTCAAGAAACGTTAGCTAGTATTATTACTACAATTTGACTTCCTACTTGGATTCTACATGGTTACACAAATAAATCCCTACTTATTACTGAGAAGTCAGCTATAGGGAGTTGCTCATGTGAGAAGCAGACTTCCTGTGAACTGAAGCCTACACATCAGTGTCGACTCTTATGCCTTTAGTCAGGGTAAGAATCAAATGCAGAAATTCTACTCAATAGGTTGAGTTGGGGAGGCAGAGCTCGACTTTGAAGCCACCAATTATTTTCTCTAATTGGTGTCTTAATACATACCATAGCTCTCTTCTGATTGACAGATACACGAAACTGCTATTGTTTCTCAATTTTGGGTTCTCTAGAAGCAGACTGCTCTTTGAAAAACCAGAATTCCCAACATTAACTTCATGTGTGTTGCATGTTTTAATTCAGTCCATCTGCAGTAGGCTGAATGGCTCCCAAGCATGTCAAGTTGCAACCTCTGGGACCTGTAAGTGTTAATTGATAAGGATAAAGAGTTTCTATAGATTTGATTAAGTTAAGGATCTTGGGATGGGGAGATTATCCAAATTACATTTACGGTGGACCTTAAATGGAATCTCAAGGGCCTTTATAGGAGGGAGGGAGAGGGAAGTTTTATCTACACAGAGAGATGATGTGAAGTCATAGGAGAATTGGGGTGACATGGCCACAAGTCAAGGAATACTGCCAGCCACCAGAAACTGGAAGAGTCAAGGCCCCTAGAGCCTTTAGGGGGAGCATGTTCCTGCCAACACCCTGATTTCTGCCTTATGAATCCAATTTTGGAATTCTGACCTCCAGAACTGTGAGAGAATAAATTCCTGTTGTTTGAAACCACCAGGTCTGTGGTAATTTGTTACTATAGTAGCTACAGAAAACCAATATGTGATTCTAAATACCTTTGTCAAATGTATTGAAAATCTGTCTAATCAATTGTTTTAACAGACAGAAACTTAACTTTATTTATATAGATTATTTTGCCCTTTCCTACCATGCCGATGTTCCAAAAAGCTGTGAAGAGCTGTTTCTGCACAGATACACCTCCTCCTGTGGTGTCACTCATGACTGTCCCTAGTTGAATCATCCTTCTGCAATGTACCCAGGTTCATATGCCTCTCATGTGGTTCCCATGGTCCCTGGATCAGAGCTGCAATCCCCAAGCCCTTGGGCCCTTTCTGAAGGAGGAATGAAAGAGTATGGCTGACTACGGACAGTAAGCCCCCTTCTCCTCATTCCCACCTTCTCCAGGGGCAAGGAAATGACTCATCGCACAAGCTCTCAATGCCCATCACCCATTCATTCTCTCCTCTTGGGT
This sequence comes from Homo sapiens, assembly GCF_000001405.40. Lineage (NCBI taxonomy): Eukaryota > Metazoa > Chordata > Mammalia > Primates > Hominidae > Homo > Homo sapiens. Next base: position 157,940,380 of record NC_000002.12, read on the forward strand.
TGGGTGAAGTGAGGTCAAACTTCTTAGGAGAGAATAAAGGACATGGCTAAAGTTTTCTTCCCTCTTCCAGTTCTCTTCCCCTACGTTGATTGATCCTTTTACTTTTCCTAATACTTTAAAATGTTATACAAATATTTGCAAAAAATATTTAGACATGGAAGAATGTATAGAAAATTGTGCAAATTTCTTTCTCCAAAGCTTTTCATTGTACTCTCCTTCATGTATTTAACCAGTATTAAAAGTTTGATATTTTCTTCTAGAGATTTCTTTAAATTCATATTCACTTCATTGGATGTACATGCATGTGTGTACACTTGTACACATACAGACAGAGAGGGCTTTTTTCTTAATTAGTAATAATAATGGCAAGAAAGGAAATGCAGAATTAAAGCAATTCTGTTATGCTAAGGTTAGGGCCAAGATTAGGAAAAACAGGACACTGTCCCTTGAGCTGGGGAGATTTGGGTGAATGTCATTTAAGATTTTGAACCCCTAGGCTTCTTTGAATTCTCCTGGTCTGCAGAAGTGACCATCCCTCTCCAAGAGTTAGCACATCCTTCTTGCTTGAAGACAATGGAGAGGGCTTTTCCTGTAGGCACATGATTTGCCTCCTGATTTGCTCCCATTTCCCTTCCTGGCCACTAGATCTATAACCAGGGTTAAGTTCCAACGTAATACAGCTTCAGATTTGCTGGGCTTGATAAGGATGAAAAGAAGCTCTACCCAAAGGAATTGCAAGACCTAAACAGAATGTATTGGTTGGCATTATTGGCACTGGATTCTGAGGGTGCACCATTAAGCAATCTGGAACAATATATTGGATAGGAGAGACTTTATTTATTTGGGGCACTCTCCAAAAATACAAGATTCAATACTCTGTCAAGGATCTGAGGAGACGGTAGCAACTCACTACTAGTATAGATCCCAGAAGCATGCAGAAAATAACAAACCATACTAAAGTTGAAATGCCAGAATTGCTATGGTAGGCAGTGGAGGAAAGGATTAAAAGCTTAAGGAAATGGGCATGCTGAAATAGGCATTAAATATCTATGTAATGCTGAAAGACTCACCAGATGATTATGTACCATGAGAGGGACTATTGTGCACACCATTAGCAAGGCCATAGTAATGCACAGGTGAGAGGGGTACCAGCATCACTAAAATGTTTAGTGCTGGGATTTCTTTATTAGACAGGGTTAATATTAGGAGAGGCCATTACAGAGTAGACTCAATAAAAGCAGTGGGGATGTTAGGATTCCAAAACAATAGAGGGTGTGTTATGGTAGGAACTGCCAGAAGCCACATTGACATAATTATCTAAATGAGTAGCAGACTCATAGGGTTATAACCAAAAGGGCCTGACCGTCAGAGAGTAAAGGAGATGGTTGGAATACAGTATCCATAGGGGCAAAATATATTGACAGTAAGAGTATAACTCGGCCTGTACTATCAGAAGAAATTGAATATGGGTGACAACTAAATTGAGAGCAATTTAGCTCCTGGATCTAAATTCGTTTTCAGCTACAGAACCCATTGACTGAAAAAAGGGCCAGGCTTCCAGAAGGATAGACCCTAACCTCATGCCAAATATACATTTTTTTGTGTGTTTGTTTCTTTGGTTTTTGAGATGGAGCTTTGCTCTTGTTGCCCAGGCTGGAGTGCAGTGGCGACATCTCTCGGCTCACCTCCGCCTCCCAGGTTCAAGCGATTCTCCTGCCTCAGCCTCCTGAGTAGCTGGGATTAGAGGCATGAGCCACCACGGCCAGCTAATTTTGTATTTTTAGTAGAGATGGGGTTTATTCATGTTGGTCAGGCTGGTCTCGAACTTCTGACCTCAGGTGATCCACCCACCTCGGCCTCCCAAAGTGCTGGGATTACAGGTGTGAGCTACTGTGCCCAGCCAAATATACGTGTTAATAATACCTGCTAGTCTTTCTCCAAAGGGACAAATGCCCACTTACTCAGGTATCCCAAATATTTTGGACATTGTGGGAGGCAAAGGTCTGAGGTGACATCAAAATCCAGAGACCCAAAGTAACATCATGGTCTCCCTGTTAGAATGAGGCCTTACAGTGTTATGACCAAAGTCTTGCTTATAGCAGGCCTATTGGGTTTGTTTTCCCAACTAGCTGTCATTCCTCTGGTTCACAAAAGTATAATTGGGATTGCCCTATGTAGTACTTGGCACAACCCTAACTTTGGGTCTTTGGCCTGTAGAGTAAGGGATCTCATAGTGGGAAATGCCAAGTGGAAGCCTCTAAAAATACCCCATCTTCTACTCAATCCCATCTGATACGGTCTAAATGTGTCCCCCAAAATTCATGTGTTGAAACTTAATGGTTAATGTGATAGTATTAAGAGGGAGGTGTTTTGTTTTGTTTTGTTTCTTGAGACAGCAAATTGCTCTGTTGCCCAGGCTGGAGTGCTGTGGTGTGATCTCAGCTCACTACAACCTCCACCTCCTGGGTTCAAGCAATTCTCCTGCCTCAGCCTCCCAAGTAGTTGGGATTACAGGCATGTGCCACCATGCCTGGCTAATTTTTGTAGTTTTAGTAGAGATGAGTTTTCGACATGTTGTCCAGGCTGGTCTTGAACTCCTAACCTCAAGTGATCTGCCAGATGGAGGGCCTTTTGGAGGTGATTAAATTATGAGGGCAGAGCCATCCTGGATAGGATTAGGACTTATAAAAGGCTTTGAGGGAGCAGGTTTATTCCCTTCCATCTCTTCCACCATATGAGGACGCAGCAACAAAGTGCTAGCCTGGAAACAGGGAACAGGCCCTTGACAGATATCAAACTTTCCGTCACCTTAATCCTAGACTTCCTAGCCTCTGGAGCTGCAAGAAAATAAATTTCTGTTGTTTAAATATTACCCAATATGTGGCATTTTGTTGTAGCAGCACAAATGAACTAAGATATCATCAAAGGACCAAAAACAATATAACCACCCCAGGTTGGTAGATGGCAGAAATTAGTACTACTTTTGAGGATGCAGAGATAATAGATGCTCTCATATTTCCATTTAATTTGCCAATTTGGCTCCACAAGAAACCAGATTGCTCCTGGAAAGTGTCAGTTTACTGCAAACTTAAATAAGTTGTTTCCCTAATTTCAGCCACAGGACTAGATATAATTAATACCTTTGCTAGAGGAGATGAAAAGGGTTTCAGGTACATGGTACATAGCCACTGACTTGGCAAAAACATTCTTTTATATTCTGATCAGAAAGAGTTTGCATTCTCATGGTATGGGTAAAAAGACATATTTATGGTTTTGTCCCAAAGCTATGCTAATTCTTCTGCTTTCTGTAATAATACAGTCCAGAGAGATATGGACCATCTGGGCATCCTATAAAACTTCACAATGACCTACTACATCAATGATATTATGTTAATTGGAGCTAATGAATAAAAAATGGCTAGCGCATTAGAGGACTTAGTAAGATACATGTGCTCCATAGGATATGAGATAAAGCCTATAGAGAACCAGGGGCTGACATGTAAGCAAAATTTTAGGAGTCCTGTAGTCAAAAGTATTAATATATCAGGGCACATATTTCAAAGTAAAAGACAAACCATTACATCTTGCACCTTTCACTACAAGGAAGAAACCTCTATGCATAATACGTTGCCCTCAATTCTGGAGATAGCTTATTCCGCACTAGGGAATACTTCAGCCCATGCACCAACTGATAAGAAATATTGCCATCTTTAGCCTGAGCAACCTTGCAAAACCTCATCTGTACAAAAAATAAAAAAAATCAGCTGGTGTGGTGGCATGAGCCTGTAGTCCCAGCTACTCAGGAGGCTGAGGTAGAAGAATCACTTGAGCCTGGGCAGTTGAGGCTGCACTGAGCTGTGATCCCACCATTGCACTCTAGCCTAGGCAACAGAGCAAGACCCTGTCAAAAAAAAAAAAAAAAAAAAGAAAAAGAAAGAAATATTGGCATCTTTAAGAAGGTCCTAGTGCAGAAAAGATTTCTGTACCAAATCCAAGGTGGAGGACTAGCAGCTCCACTACTTGGACGACAAGACTCTGCAGATACTGTGGTATTAGAAATACCAGTAGCAAGAAAAGATACAAAGTGGCAATGGGGCTACAGTAAGCCCCAGCAGGAGAATAACAGTGCCAGCTTCTGAGATTCTGGAGCAAAGAGAATTATATACTTGAAAAAACCAAAACAAAACTCCTGGGATACTGCCCGGCATTCATAGAATTCATAAAAATGCCTGACCAGGAGACACCAATGGTCATGCCTCCAAGAAATGCCCAACATGAGCTTGATTCACACAGAATCTCCAAATCATAAGGTTGCTTAAGCGCCACAGCAGTTATCTAAAGATAAGCATGAGCTCCAAGCATAAGAAGGACTAGCAAAAAACAAGCAGCATAAGCATGTAGCCCAGACCCCCATGAATTTCACCACTGCATACTAAGACCTCTCCTTCACCTCACTATGATCATATTGGGAATCTCTCATGACCAGCTAATGGAAGAACCAAAATCCAAAGCTTGATTTAGAAATGGAAGAGCTTAGTATGTGTTTCTTAAAAATGGAAACAATTGAACTGCAGTCTCATTCCGAAGAGGTTTTAAAAGACTATAGTGAGGGACAAGGACAATCTTTCTAATAGGTAGCTTGGAATGATTCACCTGTTGATCCACTTTGTGTAAAAGGAGTAGCGGCTTGATGTAACAATAAATCCAGACTCATGGGCAGGAGCCCATGAAAGAGTAAGATTGAAGGAATGAGATAAGGAGGTGGTTGAACAAATGGGAGTAGGAATGAAGTGAGAAAGTCTTTGTATCACATATCCACCAAAGAGCGTTAACCATGGAGATTGATCTAAACAGCCAAGTAGACAGCATTACTACACCAGTTTCTGTCATCAGCTACCCCAGTGCTGGCACAATGGGTTGATGATGAAATGGGCATGGTAGGAGAGACAGATGTTATGTATGGGCCAGATAGTATGAGTTCCCACTTACCAAGGTGAATTTAGCTGTTGCTGGCATCAAATGTTCAACTTGCCAGGGGCAGACACTGATGCTGAGCATCTGATATATAGTTTCTCAAGGAGACAATTTAGTGGTAAGTTAACTACTACAAGCCCCTTAGAACTTGGAAAAGCCAGAGGTTTGTTCTAATAAGAATAAACACACGTTTTGGAAGTGGGTTTACTTTTCCTGCATGCACAGCCTTAGCTACCATCACCATCCAAGAATTTGTGAAATGTTTTCTCCTTAGGAAAGGATCCTTTCCTGACACTGTTAGAGCAGGGAGTTCACTTTACTGCAAAGGAGGTATAGGAGTGAGCCTATGACAATTGGATCCACTGGTCATATCACATACCACACCACTCAGAAGCTGGCAGTCTGGGAGATTGAAATGTCATGCCGAAGACACAGTTGAAATGCTAGCTTAGAGACAATACTTTACCAAAAAGGGGTTTCATTCTCCAGAAAGAGCTCCAGCTACTGGGCATCAGGATAGATTGGCTTCCATCTCCCAGAAGATTGAATCAAAACATTTTTACATGACACTGTATCTCCAGTAAGAAAAATCAGGGGTCCAAGAACTAAGGAATAGAAGCAGGAGTGACCCCACTTACCATCACTCCTAAAGACTCAGTGGAGACTTGAACTTTCTCTCCCCACAACCCTAGGCTCTGAAGGGTTAGGGTCCTGGTTACCAAAGGAGGCACGGTTTTGCTAGGAGATCCAGCAAATGTAGACAACAACCACCACCAGGCATTTCATGCTTCTTGTGTCCAGGGACTGGCAGACACGAAGAGAAGTTATCATCTTGGCAGGGATCACGGACCCTGTTCTTTAGGAGGCAGTAGGGCTGCTTTTACACAATGGGGGCGGGAATAAATATGTGTGCATCCAGCTAATACACTTGAGTGTTTTTTTGTATTCCTTTGCTCAACTGTGATTTTATTTGTACATTCAAAAATTTTTATTTTAAAAAATATTTATTTTTCAATTTAATAGAGATGGAGTCTCACTATGTTGCCCAAACTGGTCTCAAATTCCTGGCCTCAAGTGATCCTCCTGCCTCAGCATTCCAAAGTGCTGGGATTATAGGTGTCAACCACCACACCCAGGCCTAACTACACAATCTTGTCCAAAGTATTCTCTGTTCAACAGAAAGCCTCAATTTAGGTGTAATCAAATTACTTTACTTTTTTTCTTTTTGTTATAGCTTGTGCTTCTGAAGTTTTGTATAAGTAACCCTTCCCTACTCCTAAGTCACAAAAATGTTCTATATTTTATTTTATAAATTTATAGTTATAACATTCATATTTATTCTTTTATTTATTTATTCATTCATTTATTTATTTATTTGAGACGGAGTTTCGCTCTGTCACCCAGGCTGGAGTGCAGTGGTGCGATCTTGGCTCACTGCAACCTCCGCTTCCCGGATTCAAGCAATTCTCTCCCTCAGCCTCCCGAGTAGCTGGGACTACAGGCGCCCGCCACCATGCCCAGCTAATTTTTTGTATTTTTAGTAGAGATGGGGTCTCACCATCTTGGCCAGGCTGATCTTGAACTCCTGACCTTGTGATCTACCCACCTCGGCCTCCCAAAGTGCTGGGATTACAGCATATTTATTCTTAAATCTATCTGGAGTCCATTTTTTATTATGTTGTATAAAGATCCAGTCTTTGTGTGCATATAGCTAGTTTTCCTTTAGTGTCTATTAAGTTTCTGTATAAACATGTCCCTGGCACTCACTTCTGTTTTTTGTCTGTTTGTTCTTGAACCAAACCAACAATACAATATTGTGATAGCTTTGAACTGTGTCAGATTAGTTTTACTGGAATTACATTTCCTGTAATTATTTTTTCCTTATGGTCCTCAGTTTGTTTTGGCCACAGGAGGCATTTTGTGTGATACTTGAAAAGTGGTAAGTGAAGGGGCAGCTATCTGTCTATCTATCTGTCTATCTGTCTATCTATCTATCTATCTATCTATCTATCTATCTATCTATCTATCTATCTATCATCTATCTGCTCTGAAGGTCCTCAGAAAGTGCCATGTATAGCAACATCTTGCATGCATTGTTACTGATCTGCTGGCTTATCTTATTGAATCAACTGAGACATCCAGCTCCTCCAGCTCCTGTCAAATCTCCACCAGATTCTCCAATTTCTGCCCCAAGTATGTGGACAGTTCCATGGTGAAAGGTCCCACCTTCTACTGATCACTCATAGCACTGATGTTGGAAATGGCAAGAGACACACACTGGTTCTGCTCTGTCTTGTGGGTTCCAGTTCCAGCTCCAGTTTGTCTTCACTGGTTCCAGTTTGCCCATCTTCTCAGCCACAGCTAGCTTTCCTTTCCATCTGCTAGTCTGTCTGACCTATAAACGCTTGAGGTCAACACTAGATGCAGATGCAAAAGCTTATATAGACTCTTCTGCCAGCTCCCATAATTGCCTAAAGCTTAACACTATAGTAAATCCATTATTCTATGAATAGAAATTCTGCTTCCCTTTTCAATTCCTTATTCAAATAAACACCATCCTGCTCCTTATTACTACTGTTTATGTTTTAATATTACAAAGTAGGAGTCTACATTTAAAATGGCAACTTAGTCTAGGAAATTAGTTGGCATATAAATTCTAGAGTATAAATTTCCTCACGAAATCTAACTGGAATTTTAATCAACTGCTTTACATATATTAATTGATTTTTACGTTAGTGTAATTAGATATTTAAAATATTATGTTTGAGACTATAAAGTCTTTTCATGTACTAAATTCATATCTGTGCCCTTTATAAAAGTCTTAAAATTTCCTCCATAGATGTCTTGTGTATTCTTGGTCAATTGGCTAATGTTAACAAAATATCTGGGTTAATTTAAGATACTTTATTTTTGTTGCAAAAATGAATGGCATAATTTACAAAATACTCTTATTTTGTTATTGAGGCTAAAGGCAATCCGTTTTTTAGTATAGTCTTGCGTCTGTCAACCTCGCCCAAATCCCTTATTAATTCTGATAGTTGATTGATTCTGTGTTTGTGTGTGTGTGTGTATTTGTGTGACTGATTCTGATGCTTGCCTACCCATTGGCCAGTCTACCTTCTCTCTTATAGTAGTATGTCTAATCCTAAGACATGAATTAGGATTGGTTTACAACACTGCCATCCCATTTCTCTTTGTGTTGGTCTAGGGGCATGCTACTAAGTTCTGTTGAGTAGTTTAGAAAAAGACTGTCCTCTCAGTTAAGAGAAAGGCATAGAAAAAGAAAAGTCTCTCTTTACCCATATCCACTTCCTTCCTGCTTAGGTATTGATAGGAGCTGATGTGTGAGAATTTTGTGCTGGGAGCTCCAGCAGCCACCTTATGATCAAAATGGGAAACTTGGTCGACATGCAGAGGATGGTCCTCTAAGCAGGTGGGAAAAGTGTGGGCCCTTGCTATGTCATGAGCTCCCCACCCAACTGGGGATCACCTACCTCCAGATTGCTGTCTGTTGAGGAAGAACTTTCCTAATGGTTAAGTCACCATTTTTTAAGGTCTCTGTCATTTACAGCTAAAATTGATCTGTTTGATATAGTGACAGTGTAGTTCATAGCAATACCACCTGAGCATTCCCCTTCACATTCTTTCTTTTTCTTTTATGTAGAGATGGGGTCTCACTATGTTGTCCAGGCTGACCTCAAACTGCTGGTCTCAAGTAATCCTCCCACCTCAGCCTCCCAAGTAGTTGAGATTACAGATGTGTGTTACTGTGCCTGGCTCCCCTTTACATTCTTTAATTTAATTTAGAGACAAGGTCCTACTCTGCTGCCCAGGCTAAAGTGCAGTGGCATAATCACAGCTCACTGCAGTCTCCATCTCTTGGGCTTATAAATCATTCTCCCACCTCAGCCTGCCAAGTAGCTGAGGCTACCGGCCCACACCACTACCTCCAGCTAATCCTTTACACTCTTAATTATAAAATGTATAATACATATATTATTTTCCTTTTGTCCATTTTCTACCTTTTGTCTCATATTTTATCTCCATATTCTCCACATGTTTTCTTACTTTAGCTCTGGACAATCTTCACAGGCAAAACAGGAAACAGTCCATATCATCAAAGCTCTGTTGGATCCCCGGTAGAATCAGCTCTGTCTCTTTCCCTTTATCCTCCACCTAAAATCACAGGCAGTTTTACAGGCTCAGTTAATACCTGGGATATTATAACCCTGTTGTGAGTATTTATAAAGAGCAAACAATCACAGATATGAAGCTAAAATGAACTGGAGTATAGAGAGTTTCAGACATTTGCCCAAGTCTTAGGCAAAACGTGTCACATTGCCTTTAAAATTTCTCGTCTGATTCTAATAATTTGCTTAAATGAAATTTGTCTGGTAGAGCCAAATGGAAAGATCCCAGTATAAAAGGGAAGAAACCATCAGGTATCCAGTAAGAGAGCATGACGTTGCATGAGTGGGGAGTGGTAACAAAATCAGAGGAGACCAAGTATAATTAGATAATGAAAACATTTTAAACCCATAATATTAATAAGAGTTGAACATTGACTCCTTTGTAAATACTTTACTATATCAAAGAAGCTTGGCTAGAACTTAAGGAAGCTGAGCTTCTACCTTGTCAATTAATAATTCTGTGACCTTTGAAATTTTCTTTCCTTTACTCTCCTCACATATAAGGAACTTATACAAGTGAAATTATAGTTGGTCCTTTGTTGTGTCTGTGGTTCCCCATCCATGGATTTAACCAGTCTCAGTTAGAAAATATTTGGAAAAAAATAATTAAACATAACAAGACAATGATAAAAAAGAATGCCAATTCAAAAGAATGCAATACAACAATGCTTCACATAGCATTCACATTGTGTTGGCATTATAAGTAATCTAGAGATGATTTAAAGTGTATAGGAGGATGTGCTCAGATAATAAGCAAATACTACACCACTTTATATCAGGGACTTGAGCTTCCATGGATTTTGGTATCCTCGGGGGTCCTGGAACAAATCCCCTGAGGATACGAAGGGATGACTGCACTTAGAAAAAAAGAAGATTCAATGGGAGAAATGTGAGCCACCTTTTCTTTCCCTTTTTTAACTGATGACTAAAAATTGTATATATGTATGGTGTACAACATGATGTTTTGATATATGCATACATTGTGGAATGGCTAAATCAAGCTAATTAGCATATGCATTACTTCACTTATTTTTTTGTGCTGAGAACACTTAAAACCAACTCTCTTAGCTACTTTCAAATATTCAATATGTTATTAACAATAGTCACCGCAACATACATCTCCTGAAGGTATTTCTGATAGTTAACTCAAAATTTATATTTCTTGACTTTTCTTGACTAGCATCTATATCTCCAATCCTGCTATTTTATGTCATGACCTTCCCGACCAACGGGGAACCATGAGCCCCTAATAACCACCATTCTAATTCTACTGTCTGCTTCTATGAGTTTGACTTTTTCAGATTGTCTTTCCGTGCCTGGCATATTTCACTTGACATAATGTCCTCCACGTTTATCCATGTTGTCACATGACAAGATTCCCTTCTTTTTTAAGACTGAATAGCATTCCATTGTATAGATACACATTTTCTTTATTCATCCATTGATGGACACTTAGGTTGATTCTATATCTTGGTTATTGTGAACAATGCTGCAATAAACATGGGCAAGCAGATATCTTTTTGACATATTAATTTCATATCCTTTGGATATATACCCAGAAGTGGGATTGCGGGATCATATGGTAGTTCTATTTTTAATTGTTTTGAGGAACCTCCATATTCTTTTCTATAATGGCTGCACTAATTTACATTTCCACCAACAGTGTACAAGCGTTCTCTTTTCTCCACATCCTCACCAACACTTGTGTTTTCTATTATAGCCATTCTAACAGGCATGAGGTGATAGATCATTGTGATTTTAATTTGCATTTTTCTAATGATTAGTGATATTAAGCATTTTTTCATATACCTGTTGGCCATTTGTATGTCTTTTTTGCAAAAATGTTTATTCAGGTTTTTGGTCCATTTTAAAATTGGGGCTGACCCTGGGCCCACTGCCTAAGAATTAGCTCTGCAAGGAACAGCAAAAAATAAAAATAAAATAAAATAAAATTGGGTTATTTGTTTTCTTACTATTGAGGTGTACAAGTTCTTTATATATTTTGGACATTAACCTCTTTGTATGATTTGCAAATATTTTCTCCCATTCTGTAGGTTGTTTCTTCACCCTTTTGATTGTTTCTTTGTTATACAGAAGCTTTTTGGTTTGATGTAATCCCATTTATCCATTTATCTATTTTTCCTATTGTTGCCTGTAGTAAGCCACTTTTTTTAAGTTATTAAACTTCAAGAGGAGAGAGGTCTTTCTGACCATACACAGATATTCTCATGTCTTTTTTTTTTTTTTTTTAATAGAAAACAGGCTGGGCATGGTGGCTCATACTTGTAATCTCAGCACTTTGGGAGGCCAAGGCATGTGGATCACCTGAGGTCAGGAGTTCCAACCAGCCTGGCCAACATATGAAACCCCGTCTCTACTAATAATACAAAAATATAAAAAATACACAGAAAGGCTGAAGCAGGAAAATTGCTTGAACCCAGGAGTCAGAGGTTGCAGTGAGCCGAGATTGTGACACTGCACTCCAGCCTGGGTGATAGAGTGAGACTCTGTCTCAAAAATAAGTAAATAAATACATAAATATAAAACATACACTAATGGGTTAAGCCTAATTTAGCTTCAGGAATTGGAAAATTAGATTTGGTTCCTACCTCTGAACACTCACTGCTTTTTGCATGATCTTAAACAAGTTGCATTTCTCCTTTCATTCATTCTCCATCTGTAAGTCAGTAAGTCCTCCTTAATTGTGTTTTCCTCTTCAGAGGAATGGTGTCAAACTTCAAGAGAAATACAGCCAAGTTCTTAGGTTTTTAGAGTGGTAGTTAGGCAGACACGAGCAGGGCAGGAGAGGGCCCCCACCAGGAATGTCAGGTGACCATCAGGTTATGGTCAGGTTGTTGTTAAACTGTCTCTCCAAAATAATTGGTTGCAGCTGGCGCCACGAAAAGACAGCCTCCCAATAGACAGAAAATACCCGAAGCTGGTGATCAGTAGCTTTCCGATAGAATTTCAGGAGTTGGGCAAATGGGCTCAAACATGCACACTAAGAGGCAAAATGGCAGAGTTTAACTGGTATATGACCTTCCTCTAGGAACGCTCAACTGGTAAGGAAAAAATGCCCCAGGTGAGCATGCACACAACTTCAGTAAACACACTGCACATGCAGCCCCTCCCAAGTGCTGGCGGGCCATCACACATATGGACTGCCCACTCCAAGGGAAAAATCAAGGAAGAAGAAATGCCAACCCCAGAACCGTGCCAATGTAGAAAACCCCAAGTCAAGGGACAAACGGGGCACTTGGATCTCTCAAGTGGTCTGCTGGGCCCTCTTCCAAGTGTACTTTTCTTCCTTTCATTCCTGTACTAAAACTTTAAATAAACTTTCACTCTTGCTCTAAAACTTGCCCCTGTCTCTCACTCTGCCTTATGCCCCTTAGCCAAATTTTTTCCTCTGAGGAGGCAAGAATCAAATTGCTGCAGAGCCATATGGATTTGCTGCTGGAATGAGGTGACTTCACAACCCTCCCCAGTAGTCGCCAGGAGCTGGCAGAGTGGCAGTAACTTCTGCTGCCCACCGGAGTAAAATGCAATCTGAGTCAAAGAGCCATAAAGTGTACTCAGAAATTAAAAATCTATAGGCAGGGAATTCTAGCTGGGGGTCAGGTTTTCCAAGCAACCAGGGATTTTCTTTGCTTTTAGGCATTTTCTTGTCATCTTGAATGAAAAGTATTAAATACTATGTAACAATTTTTTTTTCTTTGAGACAAGGTCTCACTCTGTCACCCAGACTGGAGTACAGTGTTATAATCACAGCTCACTGCGGCCTCAACCTCCCAGGCTCAGGTGATCCTCTCTCCTCATCCTCCCAGGTAGCTGGGACTACAGGGGTACGCCAACATGCCTGGCTAATTTTTTGTATCTTTAGTAGAGATGGAGTTTTGCCATGTTGTCCAGGCTTGTCTTGAACTCGGGCTCAAGTGATCCTCCCACCTTGGCCCCCCAAAGTGCTGGGATTATAGGCATGAGCTACTGCGCCTGGCCAACAATTTTTTAAAGATAAGGAATTACCATTAAAACCAATGATTCTTAACTCCATCCAGGCGCAACTCCCTTCCTATTATAGATATTTTATAAGACCTGCTTACAATTCTGTCATTAACTAAATAGACTATATAACTTACAAGTGAACATAATTTAAAAAAGCAACATAACACCTGATTATGTAAAGGAGTAATAAAAGCAAAGTTGTTTATAATATAGTATGTATTTCAAAAGGTAAATATCTAGTTTTGACTTCTAGACAAAATAACTTAGATGCTTACTTACACTAATATATAGAATAAATGTAAATGAGACAGCTATACATGTAGTCTGATATAGGTGTGTTATATTGGAAACTTTAAAATCATATGCAGCATTGCGAGTGATTATGTGATTTTCCTAAATGTTGAATACCTTATGGTATATTTCTAACAAAATATTCCTGGAAGCTGGGCTTGGTGGCTCATGTCTGTAATACCAGCACTTTAGGAGGCCAAGGAAGGAGGATCACTTGATGCCAAAGTTCAAGACCAGCCTGGGCAACATTGGGAGACCCCCATCTCTAAAAAAAAAAAAAAAAAAAAAGCAAAAGCTGGGCATGGTAGTTACTACTACCATGCTACATGGTAGGACTACCCCTGTAGTCCTAGCTACTCAGGAGACTGAGGTTGAGGTTGGAGGACTGCTTGAATCTAGGAGTTTGAGGATGCAGTGAGCTATGATCATGCCACTGCACTCCAGCCTGGGCAATAGAGCAAGGCCCTGTCTCTTTAAAAAAAATTTCTGGAAAATTTAAATCTATTAAACACATGAAGAAACTACTTGGTATTTATTTGCAAAATGAATTAAGTTCTAATTTTAGATCATTAAAAACACCTTTTTCAGCTAGAGATATGTCTTTGGTGGACTTTGAAAAGTATGCGAGATGTAGGGCAATTCTTACTGCATGGGACAGTCTTATGCATTTTAAGAAATTCTGTATTGGCTGGGCGCAGTGGCTTATGCCTGTAATCCTAGCACTTTGGGAGGCTGAGGTGGGCAGATCACCTGAGGTCGGGAGTTCAAGACCAGCCTGACCAACATGGAGAAACCCTGTCTCTACTAAAAATACAAAATTAGCCGGGTGTGGTGGTGCATGCCTGTAATCTCAGCTATCCGAGAGGCTGGGGCAGGAGAATCGCTTGAACCCGGGAGGCAGTGGCTACAGTGAGCCAGGATTGCACCATCGCACTTCAGCCTGGGCAACAAGAGCAAAACTCTGTCTCAAAAAAAAAAAAAAAATAAGATGTAAAAAAAGAAATATTGTATTCCCAGTACCAATCCACTAAATGTTAGTTGCTTCCAGTTGTAACACTACAAAAACTTTCTCACAAATGTTTAAAATGCTAACTAATAGTAATACCACCCCTAATGAGAAACTCTATTATAAACAATGTCTGGCACTTGATATGTATTTAATACATGCTTATTGATTAGATGGATGAATGATTATATAAATATTAAATCTCAAAAATAACTTTAATTTCTGACTGTAAGTATCAGAAAACCCAACCAACAGTAGTTTAGACAAATTAGAGTATATAACTTTTCACTAAGAAGTTTGGAGTTAGGCAACCCAGGATTGGTCCCACAGCTCATGATGTCATCATTGTTTATGGTTTCTGTTTTATTTCTATTTAGCCATTCTTAGCAAATGTGTTACTTCCTAATGAATTAAAGATGGGTGCTTCATCTCTGGTTCTCACATCTATATTCGAAGCAGAAAAGTGGAAGGAAGAGGAAAGGATCATTGCCCACAGACTTCCTCTTCTCTTATTGGCCAGAACTATGTCACATGATCAGTGCTAGCTGCAAGGGAAGCTATCATCCTCTCCCTCAAAGTAATACTGCTGCCATATAAAATATAAACAAGCCAGGCACCGTGGCTCATGCCTGTAATCCCAGCACTTTGGGAGTCTGAGGCAGGTGAATCACGAGGTCGGGAGTTCGAGACGAGCCTGACCAACATAGTGAAACCCCGTCTCTACTAAAAATACAAAAATTAGTCAGGCGTGGTGGTGTGTGGCTGTAACCCCAGCTACTCAGGAGGCTGAGGCAGGAGAATCGCTTGAACCTGGGAAGTGGAGGTTGCAGTGAGCTGAGATTGCGCCACTGCATTCCAGCCTAGGTGACAGAGTGAGACTCCATCTCAAAAAAAAAAAAAAAAAAAGAAAAAAAAAATATATATAAACAAATAAACTTTCAAACATATTACTGAAATGCCAAGAAAGTAAAGGCTCCCAGAAACTAAAAATAGAGTGAACATGGAACCTCCTAAGAGGTGAGAAAAGTGCTAAGGCTTTTGCCTTAAGAACATATGCTAAACTGTAGTGATCTTGACATTGCATTTATAATGGTTTCACAGGAAGTGGGGTGGAGAACAGAAGACAAAGCTTGAGGTCTGCCCAGTGTTTGGAGTCTAATAGTAGACCTTGACTCAAAGTTGGAATATGAAATGGCAAGCCACAAACTATAGAAAATATTCATGAAGATGTGTGTTCAGAATATGTAAAAACTTCTACAAATAGGTATCAAAAAGAAAACCCAATTTTAACCAGGAACAAAAGTCTTGGCAAGACACTTTAAAAAAGAAGATACGCTAATAGCCAATAAGGCCATGAAAAGACACTCAACATCATTAATCATCAGGCAAATGCAAATTAAAAGCACAATGAGATACTATGACACATCCATTAGAAGGGTTAAAATTTAAAAGACTAATCAAACCAAATATTGGAGAGGATATAGAGCAACTAGGACTTTCATACATTTCATATATTGCTGATAGAAATATAAAATACGCAATCATTTTGGAAACTGCTTTGCAATTTCTTAACATGTTAAACACATACCTACTATATATCTTAAGATGTTAAACACATACCTACTATATATCCAAGATAAGTGAAAATATATGTCTACACAAAAGCTTGTACATGAATGATCATAGCACCGTTAATAATAATAGTCAAGAAGTAGAAACAACCCAAATGTCCATCAACTGATAAAAGCATACACAAAATATAGTATATCCATACAATGGAATATTGTTTAGCTGTAAAAAGGAATAAAGTACTGATACATGCTACGATATGGATGGACCTTGAAAACATGATGACACATGAAAGAAGCCAGACATGCAAAAAAATACATATTATATGATACCATTTACATAGCATGTATCCAGAATGGGTAAACTCATACAAACAGAAAGATGGTTAGTGGTTGTTGGGGGCTGGAAGAGAAGGAAGTGGGGAGTGACTTCTAATGAGTAGAAGGTTTCTTTTTAGGGTGATAAAATATTATGGAATTAGATAGTGGTTATGCTTGCATAACTGTGCCAAAAACCACTGGATTGTATACTTTAAATATGGGTGGATTGTATGGCATCTGAGTTACATCTCAATAAAGTTGTTGTTAAAAAATATATATAAGCTATATACATCATCAACACTGCCACCATCCCAATTACCATTGCCAATATCTTGGTATACAGCCTTCTAAACTCATTTCTGTGCATCACATATACTTGTTAAAGAATGAAAATTGGATTACACCATGCATATCCTTTAAGAAGTGTTGTTGTTGTTGTTTAGATACAATATTTCACTTTATTACCTAGGCTGGATGTAGTGGTGCAATCATAGCTCACTGCAACCTCAAACTCCTGAGCTCAATTGATCCTCTCAATCCTCCTGCCTCAGCCTCTTAAGTAGGTAGGACTACAGGTACATGCCACAACACCCAGCTAATATTTTAATTTTTTGTAGAGACAGGGTCTCACTATGTTACCCAGGCTGGTCTCAAACTCTTGGCCTCAAGCAATCCTCCCACTTCAATCTCCCAAAGTGCTGGGATTACAGGCATGTGCCACCACATCTAGACTTTATAGAAAGTATTTTAAATTACAACACACATGACTTTATAATCATAAAGTAATATCAGACTGGAAGACCATTGTCTTTTTTCTGATTTTAGGAGTAAAACTGTCAGTCTTTCATCATTAAATATTATATGAGTTCTGGGGTTTTCATAGATTCTCTTTATCAGGTTAAGTTCCCTTTTACTCCCCATTTGCCAAGTGTTTTTTTTTTTTTTAAATCATGACATGGTGTTGCATTTTGTCAAATGCATTTTTTGCATTAATTGAGATGATCATATGGGATTTTTCTTTATTAATATGGTATAGCCTATTGATTGATTTCTTTATGTTGAGCCAACCTTGCATTCCTGTGATAAATCTCGTTTGGTTATGGTATAAAATCCTTTTTTAAGTGTAAATTGGCAAATTTTATTTATTTATTTATTTATGAGAGGGTCTCGCTCTGTTGCCCAGGAGTGCAGTAGTGTAATCTTGGCCCACCGCAACCTCCACCTCTTGGGCTCAAGCAATTCTCATGTCTCAGCCTCCCAAGGAGCTGAGACTATAGGCATGTGCCACCACACTTGGCTAATTTTTGTATTTTTTGGTAGAGGTGGGGTTCCACTGTGTTTGCCAGGCTGGGCAAATTTTATTTAGACCTAATTAATCTACATATGAATGGACCTCACTGTCTCAATTATGGAGTTTCATTATAACATCATCGTATTATTCCATTCTCACACTGCTAATAAAGACATACTTGAGACTGGGTAATTTATAAAGGAAAGAGGTTTAATTGACTCACAGTTCTTCAGGGCTAGGGAGGCCTAAGGAAACTTACAGTCATGATGGAAAGGGAAACAAACATGTCCTTCTTCACGTGGCAGCAGCAAGGAGAGGTGCAGAGCAAAGTGGGGGAAAGCCCCATTTAAAACCATCAGATCCATGAGAACTCACTCACTGTCATGTGAACAACATTCAATTACCTCCAACTGGGTCCCTCCTATGACACATGGGGATTATGGTAACTACAATTCAAAATGAGATTTGGGTGGGGACACAGCCAAACCACAGCATTATGCCCTGGCCCCTTCCAAATCCCATGTTCTCACATTTCAAAACATAATCCTGCCTTCCCAACAGTCCCCCAAAATCTTAATTCATTCCAGCATTAACTCAAAAGTCCAGGTTCAAAGTTTTATCTGAGACAAGGCAAGACCCTTCTGCCTATGAGCCTGTAAAATCAAAAGCAAGTTAGTTACTTTCTAGTTACACTGGGGGTACAGGCATTGAGCAAATACACTCATTCCAATGGGGAAAAAATTGGCCAAAACACAGGGGTTATAGGCCCCATCCAAGTCTGAAACCCAGCAGGGCAATCATTAAACCTTAAAGTTACAAAATGATCTCCTTTGACTTCATGTCTTACATCCAGGTCATGCTGATACAAGAGGTGGGCTCCTATGGCCTTGAGCAGTGCCACCTTTGTGGCTTTGCAGGGTACAGCCTCCCTCCTAGCTGCTTTCATGGGCTGGCATTGGGTGTCTGTGACTTTTCCAGGTACATGGGGTAAGCTGTTGGTGGATCTACCATTCTGGGGTAAGACAGTGGCCCTCTTCTCACAGCTCTACGAGGCAGTGCCCCAGTGGGAGCTCTGTGTTGGGGCTCTGAACCCACATTTCCCTTCCACACTGCCCTAACAGAGGTTCTCCATGAGGGTTCCACCCCTGCAGCAAACTTCTCTCTGGACATCCAGATGTTTCCATATATCCTCTGAAATCTAGGTGAAGGTTCCCAAATTTCAGTTCTTGACTTCTGTGCACCTACAGGCCCAACACCTTGTGGGAGCCACCAAGGGCTTGCACCTTCTGAAGCAACAGCCTGAGTTGTACATTGGTCCCTTTTAGCCATGGCTGGAGCTGAAGCAGCCGGGATGCTGGGCACCATGTCCAGAGGCTGCATAGAGCAGGGTGGCCATGGGCCCAGCCCATGAAGTCATTTTTCCCTCCTAGGCCTCTGGGCCTGTGATGAAAGGGGATGTTCTGAAGGTCTCTGACATGCCCTGTAGGCATTTTCTCCATCGTCTTGGTGATTAACATTTGGCTCCTTGTTACTTATGCAAATTTCTGCAGTGGGCTTGAATTTCTCCCTAGAAAATGGGTTTTTCTTTACTATCGCATCATCAGGCTGCAAATTTTCCAAACTTTTATGTTCTACTCTCTCTTGAATGCTTTGGCACTTAAAAATTTCTTCTGCCAGATATACTAAATCATTTCTCTCAAGTTCAAAGTTTCACAGATCTCTAGGGCAGGGGCAAAATGTCATCAGTCTCTTTGCATAGCAAGTGACCTTTACTTCAGTTCCCAACAAGTTCCTCATCGTCATCTGAGACCACCTCAGCCTGGACTTTATTGTCCATATCACTATCAGCATTTTGTTCAAAGCCATTCAACAAGTTTCTAGGAAGTTCCAAACTTTCCCATATCTTTCTGTTGTCTTCTAACTCTTCCAAACTCTTCCAACCTCTGCCTGTTATCCAGTTCCAAAGTCACTTCCACATTTTGGGGTATGTTTACCCGAACAGCTCCATTCCTGGTATCAATTTACTGTATTAGTCTGTTCTCACACTGCTGATAAAGACACACCTGAGACTGGGTAATTTATGAAGTAAAGAGGGTTTTGTTTTGTTTTGTTTTGTTTTTTTAATGTCAGTTTCGCTCTTGTTGCCCAGACTGGAGTGCAATGGTGCAATCTCGGCTCACCACAACCTCTGCCTCCTGGGTTCAAACAATACTCCTGCCTCAGCCTCCTGAGTTGCTGGGATTACAGGCGTGCCCCACCACGTTCGGCTAATTATTTTGTATTTTTAGTAGAGATGAGGTTTCTCCATGTTGGTCAGGCTGGTCTCAAACTTCCGACCTGAGGTGATCCACGCGCCTCAGCCCCACAAAGTGCTTGGATTACAGGCGTGAGCCACTGCACCTGGCTGGAAAGAGGTTTAGTTGAGTCACAGTTCAGCAGGACTAGGGAGGCCTCACGAAACTTACAATCATGGTGGAAGGGGAAGCAAATCCACCCTTCTTCACATGGTGGCAGCAAGGAGAAGTGCAGAGTGAAAGGGAGAAAAAACCCTTATAAAACTATCAGATCTCATGAGAACTCACTCACTATCATGAGAACAGGATGGAGGTAACCACCCCCATGATTCAATTACCTCCCACCTGGTCCCTCCCATGACACATAGGGATTATCAGAATTACAATTCAAGATGAGATTTGGGTGGGACACAGCCATACTATATCAACCATCCTTAGGGGTTATCTTGTTGCACTACCTAGTAGGTAAAAGTGCTTATGGGCTTTGTAGGCAATTCCATCATAAAACCCCATGGGATAGGATCACCTCCCACCAATCTTTTGCTGAGCAGTATTCCCTGATAAGATAACAGAAGTTTTTAATGCTTTGATTTTTTTCAGATTGGCATGATACAAATAGCAACAGACAAAAATAATGTTAAAAAATAAACCAAATAAAAGGTTGTACACAATAACTTACATTTATTACAAACAAACAAAAAAAGGAGCGAGAGGAAATGGTCAGAAGCACAACATATAAGATTAAGAATTTTAAAGCAGTGGCTGGGCATAATGGCTCACACTTGTAATCTCAGCACTTTGGGAGGCCGAGGTGGGAGGATGACCTGAGGTCAGGAGTTCAAGACCAGCCTGGCCAACATGGTGAAACCCTGTCTCTACTAAAAATACAAAAATTAGCCAGGCGTGGCAGCAGCCACCTGTAATTCCAGCTACTCAGGAGGCTGAGGCAGAAAAATCACTTGAACCTGGGAGAGGAAGTTTGTAGTGATCCATGATCATGCCACTGCACTCCAGCCTGGGTGATACAGTGAAGCCCTGTCTAAAAAAAAAAAAAAAAAAAAGCTTACATTCTGCCCTAATGGCAGCATAAATTAATAGCTACAAGTGGCCATCTTGCTGCCTGCTTCAGCCAGAGGATACTTTTGAATAAATGGAGAGCAAATTTTGTGAAAAACACAGTATGAAGGAAGAAAGCTTGGTGAGTTTTCACTGCAGACTTTGTACTGACAGTGTTTTGGAGTGGCATCCCTTGAATGGCCTGGCAGCATTTCTAACATGAGAGTCCTCTGTAATTGGGCTAGGAGATAACTTTTCTTCTGACTGGGTGGGCATTTTCAGGTCTCCATATTTTTCTCAATAAAGCCAACAAATTGCACTGCATATTAGGTGGGCCCCAAGAATACTACTGGTTAGACTGTGTAGCACAGCAGCCCTCCCAGGCTTGCACTACAAGGGGATTCTGAGGCAGGAATGTCAACCTCATGGTTTCACTCATAGCACCAGGCTTGCCATTGCTGGTAGATATTTGGTTGGGATTTGGTTTCCTGTAAATTGGGATATATACTTGTTTCAGCTTACTCTCAGTTTCTGCTGCTTTTAACCATTTCTGTTGCACATATCTGTCAGTAGTTCTCCACAAGAAATAACATTCAGTGATGCTAGTCAATGATTTCCAAGGGAAAAAGTTTTGGCATATGTCGTTGAAGTCTTTGCCATATTTTTTCCAGTACCTCTTCGAATAAGCTAGCTTAAGAGGCTGACCATTCTTCCAATTTATCTCTGCATAAAACAGCTTCTGCAAGTGGTACTGAGACACTAATTGCACTGCTCAAATCATAGCTATGTCTACGCAATGTATTGATAGCATGAAAGAAGGTGATGTCTTGGGAAGCTGCAGCAGCACTCATATGCAAACTAGGCTGCCTCAAAGAACTGCTGCAATCGAGAGGTCTAGGGAGTGTCCCAATAGCACTTGCTACAATTAAAAACTGGTTAATTGATCAATCTTTAAGTGGGCTATTTGGATCCCCAAACTTTAACTTTCCATTTTCACTGCTCCCTCTCATCTGATTCTCCTTCTATGAGCATTTCTGGGACATCTACTTGATATCTAGGTCCCATTCTGAATTCACCTTCATCAGCTAATAGTGTTTTCGATGAGGGGTCATGATCAATAAGTAGAAGAAAGTATCCTTTTTATGAAGATATGACAATACTGATTCTGTCTCATTCATAAGCCAACACTGCATTTTCCCCTAATATGTGTTGAAGGCAAAGATTCATATTGGGGTAACAAAGAAAGTAACTTATGTTTTGATTGATGTTTCTGAGTATTGGTCAAGTAAGGGTCAACTATTGTTTCAGATTCTTCCTCAATTTCTTTAGCATGCTTCTCCACAAGCATTATCAGTGTGTTAAAAATATCATGTAATCTGTAAAAGCATACTACTTTTGCTTCCATGTTGCCACTTGCAGTCTTGTCGAGATTTTCTATCCTGATTATTTATGGATTGCTGGAGGAATTCTCAAAGTAGACAAAATCTCCTACCTGGTACATGTTGGCCGCCATGTCTGCCAGCCCCCGCTCCTGTTCACCGGGACCCAGTTGAACCCCATTGCCACTACTGCAGCCTCACGGGGAAGGTGCTCTGGGAGGGGGAAGAGAGGGAACAAGGGAAAGAGACAGTGAAGGGAAGGGGATGCTGAGTGGTCTAAAATGTTTTTATATGTTTTTTTGAATTCAGTTTGCCAGTATTTGGTTGAGCAATGTTGCTTCCATATTTATAAAGATATCGCTCTGTAGTTTTCTTTTCTTGTCATGTGTTTGTCTTGCTTTTATATCAGGGAAGTACTGACATCAAATATTGAGTTAGAAACTGTTCCCTCCTCTTTTATTATTTGCAAAAGCTTATGAAGAATCAGTAGTAATTCTTCTTCAAACGTTTGGTAGAATTCACCAGTAAATCTGTATAGTCCTGGGCCTTTTCAAAAGTTTTTTTATTACTAATTCAGACTCTTGTTATTGATCTTTTCAGATGTTCTATTCCTTTTTCAATTAGATTTGGTTGTTTGTATGTTTCTAGGAATTTGTCTATTTCATCTAAGTTATCTACTTTGTTGGCTTATAATTGTTCATAGTATGCCTAATGTCTTAGTTGGCTTGGGTTGCCGTAACAAAATATCACAGACTGTGTGACTTAAACAACAGAAATTCATTTCTTACAGTTCTGGACTTTGGGAAGTCCAAGATCAAGGTCCTAGCTGATTTACTTCCTCTTGAGGGCTTGCTTCCTGACTTACAGACAGCCACTATCTTGATATGTCCTCACAAAGCTTTTCTTTGGTGCATGCATGTAAAGAGAGAGCACTAGAAAGAAGAGAGAGATGAGATCTCTCCCTCTTTTTTATTTTATTTTTTATTTCCGTAGGTTATTGGGGAACAGCTGATGTTTCGTTACATGAGTAAGTTCTTTGGTGGTAATTTTTGAGATTTTGGTGCACTCATCACCTGAGCAGTATACACTGTACACAATTTGTGGTCTTTTATCCCTCATCCCCTTCCCACCTTTTCCCCCTGAGTATCCAAAATCCATTTTGTCCTTCTTATGTCTTGGCATCCTCACAGCTTAACTCCCACATATGAGTGAGAACATACGATGTTTAGTTTCCCACTCCTGAGTTACCTCACTTAGAATAATAGTCTCCAATCTCATCCAGGTCACTGTGAGTGCCATTAATTCATTCCTTTTTATGGCTGAGTAGTATTCCATCATATATATATATATTCACACACACACACCAGTTTCACATCTTTTTTTTTTTTTTTTTTAGACAGGGTCTCATTCTGTCACCCAGGCTGGAGTGAAGTGGCACAATCACATCTCACTGTAACCTCCACCTCCTGGGTTCAAGTGATTCTCATGCCTCAGCCTCCTGAGTAGCTGCGATTACATATGTGCACCACCATGCCTGGCTCATTTTTTTGTATTTATTTTTAGTAGAAACAGGGTTTCACCATGTTCGGCAAGCTGGTCTTGAACTCCTGACCTCAAATGATCCATCTGCCTCGGCACCCCCAAAGTGCTGGGATTTCAGGCGTGAGCCACTATGCCCAGCCTTATACCAGTTTATTTATCCACATGTTAATTGATGGGCATTTGGGTTGGTTCCATGATTTTACTTGCAAATTATGCAACTAAAAACACGGGGGTGCAAGTATATTTTTCATATGATGACTTCTTTTTCTCTGGGTAGATACCCAATAGTGAGATTGCTGGATCAAATGGTAGTTCTACTTTTAGTTCTTTAAGGGATCTCCACACTGTTTTCCATAGTGGTTGTACTAGTTTACATTCCCACCAGCAGTGTAGAAGTGTTCCCTGTTCACTGCATCCATGCCAACATCTATTATTTTTTGATTTTTTGATTATGGCCATTAATGTAATACCATTATGGTATCACATTGTGGTTTTGATTTCCATTTCCCTGATCATTAGTGACGTTGAGCATTTTTTCATATGTTTGTTGACCTTTTGTATATTTTCTTTTGAGAATAGCCCAATTTTTGATGGGATTGTTTGTTTTTTTCCTTGCTAATTTGTTGTAGATCCTGGGTATTAGTCTTTTGTCATATGTACAGATTGCAGAGATTTTCTCCCACTCTGTGGGTTGTCTGTTTACTCTGCTGACTGTTCCTTTTGCCATGCAAAAACTCTTTAGTTTATTAAGTCCCAGCTATATGTCTTTGTTTTGTTACATTTGCTTTTGGGTTTTTGGTCATGAAATCCTTGCCTAAGCCAATGTCTAAAAGGGTTTTTCCAAAGTTATCTTCTAGAATTTTTATAGTTTTATGTCTTAGATTTAAGTCCTTGATCCATCTTGAGTTGATTTTTGTATAAGGTGAGAGATAAGGAGCCAGTTTCATTCTCCTACGTGTGGCTTGCCAATCTTCCCAGCACCATTTGTTGAATAGGGTGTGTCCTTTCCCCACTTTATATTTTTGTTTGCTTTGTCAAAGATCAGTTGGCTTCATTTCTGGGTTCTCTATTCTGTTCCATTGGTCTATGTTCCTATTTTTATGCCAGTACCACGCTGTTTTGGTGACTATGGTCTTATACTATAGTTTGAAATCAGGTAATGTGATGCCTCTAGATATGTTCTTTTTGCTTAGTCTTGCTTTGGCTATGGAGGCTCTTATTTGGTTGCATACGAATTTTATAATTGTTTTTTCTAATTCTGTGAAGAACGATGGTATTTTTATGGGAATTGCATTGAATTTGTAGATTGATTTTGGCAGCATGGTCATTTTCACAATTTTTTTTTTTTTTGAGACACAGTCTCACTCTGTCATCTGGGCTGGAGTGCAGTCACATGATCTTGGCTCACTGCAACACTTGAACCCTGGGTTCAAGTGATTCTCATGCCTCAGCCTCCTCAGTAGCTGGAATTACAGGTGTGCACTACCACTCCTGACTAATTTTTATATTTTTAGTAAAGAGGGGGTTTGCCATGTTGGCCAGGCTGGTCTTGAACTCCTGGCCTCAAGTTAGCCACCCATCTCAGCCTCTCAAAGTTCGGGGATTACAGGCCTGAGCCACTGCACCTGGCCATTTCACAATATTGATTCTACCTATCCATGAGCATGAAATGTGTTTCCATTTGTTTGTGTCATCTATGATATATTTCAGCAGTGTTTTGCCATTTTGCTTGTAGAGGTCTTTCACCTCCTTGGTTAGGTATATTCCTAAGCATTTTATTTTATTTTTTTGCAGCTATTGTAAAAGGGGTTGAGTTTTGTTGTTGTTGTTGTTGTTGTTTTGAGACGAAATCTCACTCTATTGCCCAAGCTGGAGTACAGTGGCACAATCTCGGCTCACTGCAACCCCCCCCTCCCAGGTTCAAGTGATTCTCCTGCCTCAGCCTCCTGAGTAGCTGGGACTACATGCACATGCCACCATGCCCAGCTAATTTTTTTGTATTTTTAGTAGAGACGAGGTTTCACTATGTTGGCCAGGCTGGTCTTGAACTCCTGATTTCGTGATCTGCCCACCTCGGCCTCCCAAAGTGCTGGGATTACAGGTGTGAGCCACCACGCCTGGCCGTGGTCGAGTTCTTAATTTAATTTTCAGCTTGGTTGCTGTTGGTGTATAGAAGAGCTATTGATTTGCATACATTGATTTTGTATCCAGAAACTTTGCTGAATTCTTTTATCACTTCTAGAGCTTTCTTGAGGAGTCTTTATGGTTTTCTAGGTAAAGGATCATATCATCAGCAAACAGCAACAGTTTGACTTCCTTTTTACCAATTTGTATGTCCTTTATTTCTCTCTTTTGTCTGATTGCTCTGGCTAGGATTTCCAGTCCTATGTTGAAGGGGAGTGGTGAGAGTGGGCATCCTTGTCTTATTCCAGTTCTCAGAGGGAATGCTTTCCACTTTTTTTTATTCAGTATTATTTTGGCTGTGGGCTTGTCATAGACAGCTTTTATTACATTGAGGTATGTCCCTTGTATGCTGATTTTGCTGAGAGTTTTAATCATAAAGGGATGCTGGATTGCGTTGAATGCTTTTTCTGCATCTATTGAGATGATCGTGTGATTTTTGTTTTTGATTCTGTTTAAGTGGTGTATCACATTTATTGACTTGCATATGTTAAACCACTGCCGCATCCCTGGTATGAAACCCACTTGATCATGGTGGATTATCTTTTTGATATGTTGTTTGACTTGGTTAGGTAGTACTTTGTTAAGTATTTTAACATCTATGTTCATCAGAGATATTGGTCTGTAGTTTTTGTGTCCGGAATTGGTGGGATCTTGGTCTCACTGACTTCAAGAATGAAGCCAAGTACCCTTGCAGTGAGTGTTACAGTTCTTTAAGGCGGCATGTCTGGAGTTTGTTCCTTCTGATGTTCGGATGTGTTCCGAGTTTCTTCCTTCTGGTGGGTTCGTGGTCTCGCTAGCTCAGGAGTGAAGCTGCAGACCCTCCCGGTGAGTGTTACAGCTCTTAAGGCGGGCGTCTGGAGTTGTTCCTTCCTCCCTGTGGGCTCGCGGGCTCGCTGGCTTTAGGAGTTAAGCCGCAGACCTTCGCCGTGAGTGTTACAGCTCATAAAGGCAGTGTGGACCCAAAGAGTTAGCAGTAGCAAGATTTATTGCAAAGAGCGAAAGAACAAAGCTTCCACTGTGTGGAAGAGGACCCAAGCAAGTTGCCACTCTGTGGAAGGGGACCCGAGCGGGTTGCCACTGCTGGCTCGGGCAGCCTGCTTTTATTCTCTTATCTGGCCCCACCCACATCCTGCTGATTGGTAGAGCCGAGTGGTCTGTTTTGACAGGGCACTGATTGGTGCATTTACAATCCCTGAGTTAGACACAAAGGTTCTTCATGTCCCCACCAGATACAGAGTGTGGACACAAAGGTTCTGCAAGACCCCACCAGAGTAGCTAGATACAGAGTGCCGACTGGTGTATTTACAATCCCTTAGCTAGACATAAAGGTTCTCCACGTCCCCACCAGACTCAGGAGCCCAGATGGCTTCACCCAGTGGATCCCCCACGGAGCCTGCAGGTGGAGCTACCTGCCAGTCCCGAGCCATGCGCCCACACTCCTCAGCCCTTGGGTGGTGGATGGGACTGGGCTCTTGGAGCAGGGGGCAGCACTCCTCGGGGAGGCTCAGGCGGCACAGGAGCCCACGGAGTGGGAGGGGAGGCTCAGGCATGTCGGGCTGCAGGTCCTGAGCCCTGTCCCGTGGGAAGGCAGCTAAGGCCTGGCCAGAAATTGAGCACAGCAGCTGCTGGCCAGGTGCTAAGCCCCTCACTGCTGGGGGCCGGTGGGGCCGGCCGGCGGCTCCGAGTGCGGGGTCCGCTGAGTCCATGCCCACCTGGAACTCGCGCTGGCCCACAAGCACCGGGCGCAGCCCCAGTTCCCACACGCGCCTCTCCCTCCACACCTCCCCGCAAGTTGAGGGAGCCAGCTCCAGCCTTGGCCAGCCCAGAAAGGGGCTCCCACAGTGCAGCGGGAGGCTGAAGGGCTCCTCAAGTGCCGCCAAAGTGGGAGCCCAGGCAGAGGAGGCGCCCAGAGCAAGTGAGGGCTGTGAGCACTGCCAGCACACTGTCACCTCTCATTTTCTTTTTCTGTTATGTCTTTTCCTGGTTTTGGTATTAGGGTTATGCTGGCTTCATAGAATGATTTGAGGGGAGGGTCCCCTCTTTCTCTGTCTTGTGGAATAGCATGAATAGGATTGGTACCAATTCTTCTTTGAACGTCTCTTAGAATTCTGCTGTGAATTCGTTTGGTCCTTGACTTTTTTTGTTGTTGGTAATTGTTGCTATTACCATTTCAGTCTCTCTACTTGTTACTGGTCTGTTCAGAGTGCCTAATTCTATCTGATTAAAGCTAGGAAGGTTGTATCATTCCAGGACTTTATCCATCTCTTCTAGGTTTTCTAATTTATGCACATAAAGGTGTTCATAGTAGCCTTGATGATCTTTTGTATTTCTGTGGTGTCAGTTGTAATAGCTCCCATTTCGTTTCTAATTGTGCTTATTTGGATTTTCTCTCCTCTTGGTTAATCTTTCTAATGGTTTATCAAGTTTATTTATCTTTTCAAAGAAGCAGCTTTTTGTTTTGTTTATCTTTTGTATTTTTTTGTTTGTTTCAATTTCATTTAGTTCTGCTCTGATCTTGGTGATTTCCTTTCTTCTGCTGGGTTTGGGTTTAGTTTGTTCTTGCTTCTCTAGTTCCTTGAGGTATGACTTTAGATTGTCTGTGCTCTTCCAACCTTTTTGATGTAGGCATTTAGGGCTATGAACTTTCCTGTTAGCACTGCCTTTGCTGTATTCCAGAGGTTTTGATTGGTTGTGTCACTATTGTCATTCAGTTAGAAGAATTTTTAAATTTTCATCTTGATTTCATTTTTGACTCAGTGATCATTCAGGAGAAGGTTAATTTCCATGTATTTGCATGGTTTTGAAGGTTCCTTTTGGAGTTGATTTCCAGTTGTATTCCACTGTGGCCTGAGAGAATACTTGAATTCAATTTCAATTGTCTTACCTTTATTGAGGCTCGTTTTGCAGCCTATCATATGGTCTTTTGGAGAAAGTTCCATGCACTGTTGAATAGAATGTATATTCTGTGGTTGTTGGGTAGAATGTTCTGTGTATATCAGTTAAGTCCCTTTGTTCCAGGGTATTGTTTAAATTTATTGTTTTTTGTTGACTTTCTGTCTTGATGACCTGTCTAGTGCTGTCAGTGGAGTATTAAAGGCCCCCACTATTATTGTGTTTCTGTCTATCTTATTTCTTACTTCTATTAATAATTCTTTTACAAATTTGGGAACTCCAGTGTTAGGTGCATATATATTTAGGATTGTGATATTTTCCTGTTGGACAAGACCTTTTATCATTATATAATGACCCTCTTTGTTTTTTCAACTGCTGTTGCGTTAATGTTTGTTTTGTCTGATATAATAACAGCTACCCCTGCTTACTTTTGGTGTCCATTTGCATGCAATGTCTTTTTCCATTCCTTTCCTTAAGTTTACGTGAGTCCTTTTGTGTTAGGTGTGTCTCTTGAAGGCAGCAGATGGTTGGTGAATTCTTATCCATTCTGCAATTCTGTATCTTTTCAGTGGAGCATTTAGGCCATTTACATTGAACGTTTGACTGAGATGTGAGCTATCATTCCATTCATTATGCTATTTGTTTCCTGTATATCTTGGGTTGTTTTTTTTTTTTTAAATTGTATTTTTGTCTTGTAGGTCTTGTGAGATTTATGCTTTAAAGAGGTTCTGTTTTGATGTGTTGCCAGGATTTGTTTCAAAATTTAGAGCTCCTTTTAGCAGTTCTTGTAGTGCTGGCTTGGTAGTAGTGATTTCTACCATTTGTTTGTCTGAAAAAGACTGTATTTTTCCTTAATCTACAAAGTTTAGTTTCACTGGGTACAGAATTCTTGGCTGATAATTGTTTGTTTGTGAAGGCTGAAGATAGGGCCCCAATCCCTTCTAGCTTGTAGACTTTCTCTGAGAAATCTGCTATTAATCTGATAGGTTTTCCTTTATAGGTTACCTGGTGTTTTTGCCTCACAGCTTTTAATATTTTTTCCTTCATCTTAACTTCAGATAAGTTGATGACAATGTGCCTGGGCAATGATCTTTTTGTGATGAGTTTCCCAGATGTTCTTTGAGCTTCTTGTATAATGTCTAGTTCTCTAGCAAGGCCAGAAAAGTTTTCCTTGATTTTTCCCCCAAATACACTTTCCAAGCCTTTAGATTTATCTTCTTCCTCAGGAACGCTGAAGATGCTTAGATTTGGTTATTTAATATAATCCCAGACTTCTTGGAAGCTTTGTTCATATTTTCTTATTCTTTTTTCTTTGTCTTTGCTAGATTGGGTTAATTTGAAAACCTTGTCTTTAAGCTCTGAAGTTCTTTATTCTGCTTGTTCAATTCTATTGCTGAGACTTTTCAGAGCATTTTGCATTTGCATAAGTGTGTCCATTGTTTCCTGAAGTTTTGATTGATTTTTATTTATGCTATCTTTTTCATTGAATATTTCTCCCTTCACTTGTATCATTTTTTGGATTTCCTTACATTGGGCTTCACCTTTCTCTGGTGCCTCCCTGATTAGCTTAATAACTAACCTCCTTCTGAATTCTTTTTCAGGTAGATCAGGGATTTTTTCTTGGTTTGGATCAATTGCTGGAGAGCTAGTATGATTTTTGGGGGGTGTTAAAAAACCTTTTTTTGTCATATTACAAGAGTTGGTTTTTGGGTTCCTTCTCATTTGGGCTTTGTCAGCAGGAACATCTCAGGCTCAAGGCTGTTGTTCAGGTCCTTTTGTCCCACGGGGTGTTTTCTTGTTGTAGTACTGTCCCCCTTTTCCTAGGGATGTGGCTTCCTGAGAGCTGAGCTATAGTAATTGTTATCTCTCTTCTAGCCATCCAGCAAGCCTACCAGGCTCTGGGCTAGTAGACTTGCTCTAGTAGACAGGTTCTGGGGGTTGTCTGCACAGAGTCCTATGATGTGAACAATCTGTGGGTTTCTCAGCCATGGATACTGGCACCTGCTCTGGTGGAGGTGGCAGGGGTATCAAATGGACCCTGTGAGGGTCCTTAGCTTTGGTTGATTATTGCACTATTTTTGTGTTGGTTGGCCTCCTGCTGGGAGGTGGTGCTTTCAAGAGAGCATCAGCTGTGGTAGTATGTGGAGGAACAGGTGGTGGGAGAGGCCTTAGAACTCCCATGAGTTTATGTCCTTTGTCTTCAGTTACCAGGGTGGGTAGGGAAGAACCATTAGGTGGGGGCAAGACTAGGTGTGTCTGAGCTCAGACTCTACTTGGGTAAGTCTTGCTGCGGCTCCTGTTGGGGGTGGGGGTGAGGTTCAGGTTCCTAGGTCAATGGAGTTTTGTTTCCAGGAGGATTATGGCTGCCTCTGCTGTGTCATGCAGGTTGTCAGGGAAGTGGGGGAAAGCTGTCAGTCACAGGCCTCACCCAGCTCCCACCCAACCCAAAGGGCTGATCTCACTTCCACCATGCTCCCACCCCCAACAGCAACAAGTCTGTTTCCAGGCAGTGGGCCAGCAGGACTGAGAACTTGCCCCAGGCTACCCACCTCCCAGCTGTGAAAATAACTAGGGCTTTCCTTCCTCTCCCACCTGTGGAGTATGCACACCAGATTCACACCCTCCCCCAGTTTCTGGCCAGGAGGCTTCTAAATTGGTTCAAATTGTTACAAAGTTCAGCTGGTGCTTTTCTTCTCCCTGTGGCCTTTTCCCAGTGACTCTGGTAGCTCTCCTCAAGGATGCCTGTGAGGTGAGGCAGAAATGTCTTGCTAAGGGACCCAGCAAGCCCACAGAGATTTTCCTTCTGCTTCCTCTACCTCTGTATTTCACTCAGCTCTCTAAATTGACTCAGCTCCAGGTAAGGTCAGAATCTTCTCCCATAATCTAGACCTTCAGGTTCCCCAGTGGGGATGTATGTTCATGGATGAACAATCTTCCTTTCCCACTTGCAGAGTTTGGGCACTCACAGTATTTGGGGTGTCTCCAGAGTCTTGCAGGAACAATCCACTTCTTTCGGAAGATATATGGGTTCTCTTGGCTTTCCTAATATATTTCTACAGTCATACTGGAGCAAAAGTTCACAGTACAAGCCTCCACAGGCTGTTGTGTCTGTCCAAGTGGGAGCTTCAATCTAGTCCTGCCTGTCTGCCATGATCTCATCTCTCCTTCTTTTTCTAAGTCCACTAATCCCATGATGAGGGCCCAAGCTCATGACCTAACCTAACCCTATTTACCTTACCCTAACCCCATCTTTAAATATCATCATATTGAGAGCTAGGGCTTCAGCATGTGGATTTAGAGACAGTGAGGGGGAACATTCAGTCAAAAACACCTTATAATATTTTTTGTTTTGTAAAGTTATTAATAGTGTCCCATTTTTCATTTCTGATGTTAGTAATTTTAGTCTGTTTTTTCTTTTCTTTCTTTCTTTTTTTTTTTTTTGGATACAGAGTCTTGCTCTGTCAGCTCTGTCACCCAGGCTGGAGTGCAGTGCTGCAATCTCAGCTCACTGCAACCTTGCTTCCTGGGTTCAAGTGATTCTCCTGCCTCAGCCTCCCAAGTAGCTAGGATTACAGGTGCGTGCCACCACACCTGGCTAATTTTTGTATTTTTAGTAGAGATGAGGTTTCACCATGTTGGCCAGGCTGGTCTCGAACTCCTGACCTCAGGTAGTCCACCTGCCTCAGCCTTCCAAAGTACTGGGATTTCAGACATGAGCCACCACGCCCGGCTGAGGTTTGTTTTTTTTTTTCCTTGCCTGGTGAGATTAGCTAAAGTTTTGTCAATTTTGTTGGTCTTTTCAAAGAACCAACTTTTGGTTTTACAGATTTTCTCTA
Source organism: Homo sapiens (assembly GCF_000001405.40). Lineage (NCBI taxonomy): Eukaryota > Metazoa > Chordata > Mammalia > Primates > Hominidae > Homo > Homo sapiens. Next base: position 157,973,209 of record NC_000002.12, read on the forward strand.
TGATTTTTCTATTTTCTATTTCCTTTATTTTCTCTGTAATATTTATTATTTCTTTTCTTCTGTTTGCTTCGGATTTGCTTTTTTTTTTTAGCTCTTTAAGATAAAGTTTTGGTTTTGATTTGAGATCTATCTTTTTTTAAAAAAAAATAGGCATTTCTAATTATACATTTCCCTCTAGGCACTATTTTTACTGCATCTCCTAAGATCTGGTGTACTGTGTTTTTATTTTCATTTATCTCAAGGCATTTTCAAATTTCTTTTGTAATTTACTTTTTGACCTTTAATTATTTACAACTGTGCTCAATTTTCTTGTGAAATTTCCAAATTTTCATGTTATTAATTTCTAATTTCATTTCACTGTGGTCACATAGTATAATTTGTACCATTACAGTCTTTTATACTTTATTAAGACTTGCTTTATGGTGTAACATATGTTTTATCCTGGCAAATGTTACTTGTGTGCTTGAGAAGAATGTGTATTATTTTATTAATAAATGGAGGTTCTTTAGATCTCTGGAAACTGGACTATACCTTGTTCAAGTCTTCCATTTTCTGGAAGACATTCTGTCTAGCTATTCTAACCACCATTGAAAGTGGGTTAATTAATCTCCAACTACTGTTGAATTGACTATTTTCTCCTTCAATTCTGTCAGTTTCAATTCTGTTAGAATTTGGGGTTGTTTGGTGCATATATGTTTATAATTCTTACATGTTTTTGATCAATTAACTCTTTTTTTTTTTGAGACAGAGTCTCACTTTGTTGTTCAGGCTATATAGTACAGTGGTACGATCTCAGCTCACTGCAACCTCCACCTCCCGGGTTCAAGTGATTCTCTTGCCTCAGCCTCTTTAGTAGCTGGGATTACAGGTGCATGCCACCATGCCTGGCTAATTTTGGTATTTTTAGTAGAGACAGGGTTTCTCCATGTTGGCCAGGCTGGTCTCGAACTCCTGACCTCAAGTGATCCACCTGGCTTGGCCTCCCAAAGTGCTGGGATTACAGGCATGAGACACCATGCCTGGCTGATTAACTCTTTTATCATTGTAAGATGTCCTTCTTAGTCTTTAGTAACAATTTTTTGTCTTAAAGTCTACTTTAATAATATAGTCATTCTAGGTCTCTCTTAGTTACAGTTTGACTGGTACATCTTTTTTCATACTTTTATTTTCAACCTCTTTGTGTCTTTAAATCTAAAGTCTCTCATAGACAGCATATAGTTGAATCTTGCTTTTAAATCTGCTAACCCCTTTTTTTTCTTTTTTTGAGACATAGTTTCACTCTTGTCACCCAGTCTGGAGTGCAATGGCACAATCTCGGCTCACTGCAACCTCTGCCTCCTGGGTTCAAGCAATTCTCCTGCCTCAGCCTCCCAAGTAGTTGGGACTACAGGCACCTGCCACCACACCTGGCTAATTTTTTTTTTTTTTTTTGTATTTTTAATAGAGACGGAATTTCACCATGTTGGCCAGACTGGTCTTGAACTCCTGACCTCAGGTGATCCACTCATCTCAACCTCCCAAAGTGCTGGGATTACAGGTGTGAGCCACTGCACCTGGCTGAATCTCTTATTTTTAATTTGAATGTTCAACCAGTTTACATTTAATGAAATTGCTAATAATGTAATGTTCTCATTTGCCATTTTTCTACCTGTTTTTTAGATGTTTCATGTCTTTTTCAATCCTTCCTTTATTAATACCTACTTTTGTGTTATAAATATATTTTCTAATGTATTGTTTTAATCCTTCATTGTTTCTTTTACTGTATTTATTTTTATTTTCTTTTTTAAAATAATTTTTAATTTTCAATTTCTGTGGGTACACAGCAGCTGTATATATTCATGGGTTACATGAGATGTTTTGATAGAGTCATGCTATGTGTAATAATCACATCATGGAAAATGGAGTATTCACACTCTCAAGCATTTATCCTTTGTGTTACAAACAATCCAGTTGTATTCTTTTAGTTATTTTAAAATGCACAATTAAATTATTTAATTTTTTTCTTCAACTTTCATTTTAAGTTCAGAGGTACATGTGCCAGATGTTCAGGGTTTTTTCACATAGGTAAATGTGTGCTGTGGTGGTTTGCTGCATGGATCATCCCATCACCTAGGTATTAAGCCCAACATGCATTAGCTGTTTTTCCTGAGGCTCTGCCTGCCTTCACCCCTGCTCCAACAGGCCCCAATGTGTGTTTTCCCCCCAATATGTCCCTGTGTTCTCATCATTTAGCTCCTACTTATAAGTGAGAACATGTGGTGTTTGGTTTTCTGTTCCTGCATCAGTTTGCTGAGGATAATGGCTTTCAACTCCATCCATGTCCCTGCAAAGGACATGATCTCATCCTTTTCTTTGTGGCTGCATAGTATTACATGGTGTATATGTACCATATTTTCTTTATCCAGTCTATCGTTGATGGGCATTTAGGTTGTGTTCATGTCTTTGCTATTCTTAATAGAAAATGCACAATTAAATTATATTAATGGTAGCCACCCTGTTGTGCAGTCAAATACTAGGCCTTATTTATTCATTTTAACTTTTTGATACCTATTAAGGATCTCACCTCCTCCTATCCCCCACTAACCTTCCCAACCTCTGGTAACCATCCTTCTACTCTCTATCTCAATGGGTTCAATTGTCTTTATTTTTAGGTCCCACAAATAAATGAGACCACGTGATGTTTATATTTCTGTGCCTGGCTTATTTCACTTAACATAATGAATTCTGGTTCCATCCATGTTGTTGCACAGGGATCTTATTCTTTTTTATGGTTGAATAGTACTACACTGTGTATGAGAATCACATTTTCTTTATCCATTATCTGTTGATAGACACTTAAATGCTTTCAAATCTTGACTATTGTTAACAGAGCTGCAACAAACATGGGAGTGTAGATATCCCTTCGACACACTCATTTCCTTTCTTTTGGGTATATACTCAGTGGTGGGATTGCTGAATCATATGGTAACTCTATTTTTCATTTTTTGAGAAACCTCCAAACTGTTCTCCACAGTGGCTGTACTAATTTACATTCCATCAACAGTGTACAAAGGTTCCCTTTTCTCCACATCCTAGCCAGCATTTGTTATTGCCTGTTTTTGAGGCCATTTTAAGTGGGGTGAGATGACATCTCATTGTAGTTTTGATTTGTCCCTTCCTCTGATGATCACTACATTGAGCATCTTTCATAGGTCCGTTTGCCATTTGTATCTCTTCTTTTGAGAAATGTCTTTTCAAATCTTTTGCCCATTTAAAATTGGATTATTAGTTTTTTTTACTTTTTTTTTTTTTTTTTGTCACCCAGGCTGGAGTGCAATGGTGCGATCTCGGCTCACTGCGACCTCCACCTCCTGGGTTCAAGCGATTCTCCTGCCTCAGCCTCCCGAGTAGCTGGGATTACAGACATGTGCTATCACGCCCGGCTAATTTTTGTATTTTTAGTAGAGATGGGGTTTCACCATGTTGGCCAGGCTGGTCTCTAACTCCTGACCTCTGGTGATCCACCCGCCTTGGCCTCCCAAAGTGCTGGGATTGCAGGTGTGTCCCACCATGCCTGGCCAGATTTTTTTTTTTTTTGACAGAGTTGGTTGAGCTACTTATATATACTTGTTATTAATCCCTTGTTAGATAGGTAGTTTGTGAATAATTTTTCCCATTCTGTGGGTTGCCTCTTTCCTTTTTGGGTTGTTTCCTTTGCTATACAAAAGCTTTTTAACTTGATGTGATCCCATTTATGCTTTTTTGCTTTGGTTGCCTGTGCTTGTGGGGTATTACTCAAGAAATCTTAGTGCAGTCCAATGTCCTGGAAGTTTCCCCAATGTTTTCTTGTAGTAGTTTCATAGTTTGAGGTCTTTAAGTCTTTAATCCATTTGGATTTGATTTTTGTATATGATGAGAGATAGGGGTCTAGTCTCTTTCTTCTGCATATGAATGTCCAGTTTTCCCAGCATCATTTATGGAAGAGACTGTCTTTTCCCTAGTGTATCTTCTTGGTACCTTTGTCGAACATGAGCTCACTGTAGGTGTGTGGATTTGTTTCTGGGTTCTCTATTCTATCCCATTGGTCTGTGTGTCTGTTTTTATTCTAGTACCATGATGTTTTGGTTACTATAGTCGTGAAGTATAATTTGATGCCAGATAATGTGCTTCCTCCAGTTTTGTTCTTTTTGTTTAGGATAGCTTTGGCTATTCTGGGTCTTTTGTGGTTCCATATAAATTTTAGGATTTTTTTTTCTATTTCTGTGAATAATGTCATTGGCATTTTGATAGGGATTGCATTGAATCTATAGATTGCTTTGGGTAGTATGGACATTTTAACAATATTGATTCTTCCAATCCATGAACATGAAATATCTTTCCAATTTGTGGTGTCCTCTTCAATTTTTTTCATCAGTGTTTTATAGTTTTTATTATAAAGATCTTTCACTTCTTTGATTAATTTCTAGGCATTTAATTTTATTTGCAGCTAAAGTAAATGAGATTACTTTTTAAAATTTCTTTTTCGATTTGTTCACTGTTGGCATATAAAAATGCTATTGATATTTGTATGTTGATATTGCACCCTGCAACTTTACTGAATTTGATTATACGTTCTAACAGTTTTTTGGTGGAGCCTTTAGGTTTTTCCAAATATAAGATCACATAATCTGCCAACAAGGATAATTTGATTTCTTCCTTTCCAATTTGGATGCCCTTTTCTTTTTCTCTTGTCTAGCTGCTCTATCTAGGACTTCCAGTATTACGTTGAATAACAGTGGTGATAGTGGGCATCCTTGTCATGTTCCAGATATTAGAGGAAAAGCTTTCAGTACCCCCTCACCCCCCAGTTAGTATGACATCTGCTATGGATCTTTTGTATATGGCTTTTATTAGGTTGACGTATGTTCCTTCTGTACCCAGTTTTTTGAGGGTTTTCTTTCATGAAGAGATGCTGAATTTTGTCAAATGGGTTTTCAGCATTGATGGAAATGATTGTATGGTTTTTGTCCTTCATACTGTTGATATAATGTATCACATTGATTATTTTGCATATGTTGGAACCATGATTGCATCCCTGGGATAAATCCCACTTGGTCATGATGAATCATCTTTTTAATGTATTGTTAAATATGTATTTAGTTGAAGATTTGTGCATCAGTATTCATCAGAGATATGGACCTGTAGTTTTCTTTTCTTGAGGTATCTTTGGTGTTGGTATTGGGGCAATAATAGCCTTGTAGAATGAGTTTGGAAGTAGTCACTTCTCCTTGATTTTTCAGATAGTTTGAGTAAGATTGGTATTAGTTCTTCCTTAAATGTTTGGTAGAATTCAGTGGTGAAGCCATCAGGTTCCGAGCTTTACTTTACTGAAAGACTTTTGATTATGGCTTCCATCTCATTGTTATTGATCTGTTCATGTTTTGGATTTCTTCATGGTTTAATCTTTGTAGGTTGTATGTGTCTAGAAATTTGCCCATTTCTTCTAGATTTTCCAATTTATTGGCTTATTGTTGTTCACAGTAGTGACTTATGATCCTTTGAATAGCTGCAGAATCAGTTGTTGTGTCTCCTTTTTCATCTCTGATTTTATTTATTTGTGTCTTTTTTTTTCTGAGCTAATCTGGCTAAAGGCTTGTCCATTTCGTTTAACTTAAAAAAAACCAGCTTTTTGTTTCGTTGATCTTTTGTATTGTTTTCTTCATTGTAATTTTATTTATTTCTGCTCTGATCTTTTTTATTTCTTCTGTTAATTTTGGATTTGGTTTGCTCTTGATTTTCTAGTTCTTTAAGATGCTTTGTTAGGTTGTTTATTTGATGTTTTTCTTTTTTTAATGTGGGCATTTATAGCTATAAACTTTCCTTTTTAGTGCTGCTTTTGCTGTATCCCATAGGTTTTGGTATGTTGTGTTTCCATTAGCATGTGTTGCAAGAAATTTTTAAATTTCCTTTGTAATTATTTCATTGACCTACTGGTCATTCAGAAGCATATTGTTTAATTTCCACGTTGATCTTGTTTGGCTGTGTCCCCACCCAAATCTCATCTTGAATTCCCACATGTTGTGGGAGGGACCCCATGGGAAGTAATTGAATCATGGGGGCAGGTCTTTCTTGTGCTGTTCTCATGATAGTGAATAAGTATCATGAGATCTGATGGTTTTATAAGGGGGAGTTTCCCTGCACAAGCTTTCTCTGTTTGCCTGCTGCCATCCGTGTAAGATGGGACTTGCTCCTCCTTGCCTTCCATGATGATTGTGAAGCCTCCCAATCCACGTGGAACTGTAAGTCCAATAAATCTCTTTCTTTTGTAAATTGGCCAGTCTTGGGTATGTCTTTATCAGCAGCATGAAAACGAACTAACACATTAAATTGGTACCAGTAGAGTAAGGTGCTGCTGAAATGATACCCAAAAATGGGGAAGCAACTTTGGAACTGGGTAACAGACAGAGGTTGGAAAAATTTGGAGGGCTCAGAAGAAAACAGGAAAATGTGGAAAAGTTTGGAACTCCCTAGAGACTTGTTGAATGGCTTTGTCCAAAATTCAGATAATGATATGAACAATGAAATCTAGGCTGAGGTGGTCTTAGATGGAGATGAGAAACTTGTTTGGAACTGGAGCAAAGGTGACTCTTGTTATGTTTTAGCAAAGAGACTGGTGGCATTTTGCCCCTGCCCTAGAGATTTGTGGATCTTTGAACTTGAGAGAGATGATTTAAGGTATCTGGCAGAAGAAATTTCTAAGCAGCAAAGCATTCAAGAGGTGACTTGGGTGCTGTCAAAGGCATTCAGTTTTAAATGGGAAACAGAGCATAAAAGTTCAGAAAATTTGCAGCCTGACAATGCAATAGAAAAGAAAAACTCATTTTCTAAGGAGAAATTCAAGATGCCTGCAGAAATTTGCGTAAGTAACAAGGATCCCAATGTTAATCCCCAAGACAATGGGGAAAATGTCTCCAGGGCATCTCAGAGACTTTTGCAGCAGCCCCTTCCATTACAGGCCTGGAGGCCTAGGAGGAAGAAATGGTTTTGTGGGCCAAGCCCAGGGTCCCATGCTGTGTGCGGTCTAGGGACTTGGTGCCCTGCATCCGAGCCACTCCAGCCATGGCTGAAATAGAGATTGGGCCGTGGTTTCAGAGGGTGCAAGCCTCAAGCCTTGGCAGCTTCCACATGGTATTGAGTCTATGAGTGCACAGAAGTCAAGAATTGGGTTTTGGGAACCTCCATCTAGGTTTCAGAGGAAACCTAGAAGAAGTTTGCTGAAGGGGTGAAGAAGTTTGCTGAAGGGGTGAGGCCCTCATGGAGAACCTCTGCTAGGGCAGTGCAGAAGGGAAATGTGGGCTCAGAGCTCCCACACAGAGTCCCTACCTGGGCACCACCTAGTGGAACTGTGAGAAAAGGGCCACCATCCTCCAGACTCCAGAATGGTAGATCCACTGACAGCTTGCACCATATACCTGGAAAACCCACAGACAATCAACACCAGCCCATGAAAGCAGCTGGGAGAGATGCTGTACCCTGCAAAGCCACAGGAGCAGAGCTGCCCAAGACCATGGAAACCCACCTCTTGCATCAGCATGACCTGGATGAGAGACATGGATTCAAAGGAGATCATTTTGAAACTTTAAGATTTGACTGCCCTGCTGGATTTCAGACTTGCATGGGGCCTGTAGCCCCTTAGTGTTGGCCAATTTCTTCCATTTGGAATAGGTGTATTTACCCAATGCCTGTACCCTACTGTATCTAGGAAGTAACTAGCTTGTTTTGATTTTACAGGCTCATAGGTGGAAGACCTTGCCTTGTCTCAGATGAGGCTTTAGACTATGGACTTTTGAGTTAATGCTGAAATGAGTTAAGACTTTGGGGGACTATAGGGAAGGCATGATTGGTTTTGAAATGTGAGGACATGAGATTTGGGAGGGGCTGGGGTGGAATGATATGGTTTGGCTGTGCTGCCACCCAAATCTTACCTTGAATTCCCATGTGTTGTGAGAGGGACCCCATGGGAGGTAATTGAATCATGGGGCAGTTATTTCCCATGCTGTTCTCATGATAGTGAATAAGTCTCATGAGATCCGATGGTTTTATAAGGGGGAGTTTCTGTACACAACTTCTCTCTTTTTGCCTGCTGCCATCCATGTAAGACATGACTTGCTCCTCCTTGCCCTCCACTATGATTGCAAGGCCTCCCTAGCCATGTGGAACTGTAAGTCCATTAAACCCTTTTCTTTGTTTTTTTTTTTGAGATGGAGTCTAGCTCTGTCACCAGGCTGGAGTGCAGTGGCATGATCTCAGCTCACTGCAACTTCCGCCTCCTGGGTTCAAGAGATTCTCCTTTCTCAGCCTCCCGAGTAGCTGGGATTACAGGCACGCGCTGCCACACCCAACTAATTTTTGTATTTTTAGTAGAGACAGAGTTTCACCATGTTGACCAGGATGGTCTTGATCTCCTGAACTTGTGAACCGCCCACCTTGGCCTCCCAAAGTGCTGGGATTACAGGCATGAGCCACTGTGCCTGGCCCATTAAATTTCTTTCTTTTGTAAATCGACCAGTCTTGGGTCTGTCTTTATCAGCAGCATGAAAATGGACTAATGCACATACAAATACTAAACAAGTATTTGTATAGTTTCCAAAATTCTTCTTCTTATTATTATTATTATTATTACTTTTGAGATGGAGTCTTGCTCTGTTGCCCAGGCTGGAGTGCAGTGGCGTGATCTCCGCTCACTGCAAGCTCCGCCTCCCGGGTTCTTGCCATTCTACTGCCTCAGCCTCCAGAGTAGCTGGGACTACAGGCGCCCGCCACGACGCCTGGCTAATTTTTTTTATTTTTAGTAGAGACGGGGTTTCACTGTGTTAGCCAGGATGGTCTTGATCTCCTGACCTCGTGATCCACCTGCGTTGGCCTCCCAAAGTGCTGGGATTACAGGCGTGAGCCACCGCGCCCCGCCCTTTTTATTGATTTCTAGTATGATTCTGTTGTGGTCAGAGAGGATGCTTGATATTATTTCAATTATTTTGAATATTTTAAGACTTGTTTTGTGACCTAACATATAGTGACCTAACACATAGTTTATCTCTGAGAATAATCCATGTACTGAGGAAAAGAATGTGTATTCTGCAGCCATTGGATGAAATGTTCTGTAAATGTCTACTAGATCCATTTGGTATATAGTACAATGTTTCTTTGGGCCATGGCCCAATGTTTCTTTGTTGATTTTCTCTCTGGAAGATCTGTTCAGTGCTGAAAGTGGGGTGGTGAAATCTCCAGTTACTATTGTATTGGATTCTCTCTCTCTCTCTAGCTCTGATAATATTTGCTTTATATTTCTGTGTGCTCCAGTGTTGGGTGCACATATGTTTCAAATTATTATATTCTCTTGCTGATTTCATGCCTTTATCATTATATCTTGACCTTCTTTGTCTCTTATAGTTTTTGTCTTGAAATCTATTTTGTCTGATATAAGTATAGCTACTTTTGCTCTTATTTGGTTTCCATTGGCGTGAAATATATTTTTTCCAGCCCTTTATTTGCATTCAATGTTTGTGTTTGTAGGTGAAGTGCATTTCTTGTAGGCAACAGATTAATGGGCCTAGTTTTATTTATTTATTTTTAATCCATTCATTTACTCTATTTCTTTTAATTGGAGAGTTTAATTCATTTACATTCAGTGTTATTATTGATAAGTAAGGACTTATTCCTGCCATTTTGTTATCTGTTTTCAGGTTGTTTTGTGGTCTTCTCTTCCTCCTTTCTTTCTTGTCTTCCTTTTAGTGAAGATTATTTTCTCTGGTGATATGATTTCATTTCTTGCTTTTTATTTTTTGTGTACTTACTGTATGTTTTTCAATTTGAGGTTACCATGAGGCTTGCAAATACTATCTTATAACCCATTATTTTAAACTGATAACAACTTGACACTGTTTGCATAAACAAACAAGCCAAAAGAAAACTAATACACTATGTCTTAACTTCGTCCCCCTGCTTTTTAACTTTTTATTGTTGCTATTTATATCTTACTGTACTATGTCTTAAAACGTTGTAGTTATTATTTTTGATTGGTTCACTGTTTATCTTTCTACTTAAGATAAAAGTAGTTTACACACCACAGTTACAGTGTTATAATAATCTGTGTTTTTCTGTGTACTGACTATCACCAGTGAGTTTTGTACTTTAGATGATTTCTTCTTGCTCATTAACATCCTTTTCTTTCTGAATGAAGTACTCCCTTTAGCATTTCTTGTAGGACAGGTCTGGTGTTGATGAAATCACTTGGCTTTTCTTTGTCTGGGAAAGTCTTTATTTCTCCTTCATGTTTGAAGGGCAATTTTGTGGGATATACTATTCTAGGGTAAGAATTTGTTCTCTTCAGCACTTTAAATATGTCATGCCACTCTCTTCTAGCCTGTAAGGTTTTACACTGAAAAGTCTCCTGTCAGATGTACTAGAGCTTCATTGTACGTTATTTGTTTCTTTTCTCTTGCTGCTTTTAGGATCCTTTCTTCATCTTTGACCTTTGGGAGTTTGATTATTAAATGCCTTGAGGTAGTCTTCTTTGGATTAAATCTGCTTGGTGTTCTATAACTTTCTTATACTTGGATATTGATATCTTTCTAGGTTTGGAAAGTTCTGTTATTATCCCTTTGACTAAATTTTCTATCCCTATCTCTTTCTTTACCTCCTCTTTCAGACCAATAACTCTCAGCTTTTCCCTTTTGAAGCTATTTTCTAGATTCCGTAGGTATGCTTCATTGTTTTTTATTCTTTTTTCTTTTGTCTCTTCTGACTATGTATTTTCAAATAGCCTACCTTCAGCCTCACTAATTCTTTATTCTGCTTGATCAATTCTGTATTAAAAGACTCTGATGCATTCTTCAGTATGTCAATTGCATTTTTCATTCCATTATTTCTATTTATTCTTTTTAATTATTTCAATCTCTTTGTTAGATTTATCTGATAGAATTCTGAATTCCTTCTCTGTGTTATCTTGAATTTCTCTGAGTTTCTTCATTATAGCTATTTGGAATTCTGTCTGAACAGTCACATATCTCTGTTTCTCCAGGATTGGTCCCACGTGCCTTATTCGCTTCTTTTGGTGAGATCATGTTTTCCTGGATCATCTTAATACTTGTAGATCTTCTGAGTCTGGGTATTGAAGAGTTAGGTATTTACTGTAGTCTTCACAGTCTGGGCTTGTTCATACCCATCTTTCTTGGGGAGGCTTTCCAGCTATTTGAAAGGACTAGGGTTTTGTGATCTAAGCTGTATCTGCTTTAGGAGGCAGCAATGCTCTGGGTCTTGCAGACTCATAGAGGTACTACCTTGATGTTCTTGGACAAGATCTGGAAGAATTCTCTGTATTACTAGGCAGAGACTCATCTTCTCTTCCTTTACGTTCTCCCAAACAAAGAGAGTCTCTCTTTCTCTGTTCTGAGCCACCTGGAGCTGGGGATGGAGTGACACAAGCACCCCTGTGGCTACCACCCTTAGGACTGTGCTGGGTCAGACCTAAAGCGAGAACAGCACTGGGTCTGGCCCAAGGCCTGCTGTAACCACTCCCTGGCTACCACTTATGTTCACTCAATGCTCTAGGGCTCTACAATCATTAGCTGGCAAAACCAGCCAGGCCTATGTCCTTCTCTTCAGGGCAGCAAATTCCCCCAGGTCTTGTGTGGGTCGGGGGGCCATCCAGGCACCAAGAACTAGAGTAAAAAACCTTAGAACTCTACCTAGTGTTCTGTTGTGCTATTTTTGAATTGTTTTCTTAGTGGGTGTATGTTAGCCAGGGTTCTCCAGAGAAACAGAAACAATGGGCTATATAGAGATATGTAGGAGGAGATTTATTATAGGGATTGACTCATGGAACTATGGAGGCCAAGAAGTCCAATGATATACTGTCTGCATATTTCCTGGGAAACCAGGAAAGTCAGTGGTATAATTTAAGTTCAAAGGCCTGAGAACAAGACTACCTGATGACATAAGTCCCAGTCCTGAAAACTTTAATCCTGGTGTAGGGTGTACACTGGTGGAACTCTATTTCCTGAGAACTTGAGTTGTGGAGGCATTGGAAGTCCTGAAGTCCAAAGGCCCAAGAACCAGTAGTTTCAATATCTGAGGGCAGGAGAAGCCGAATGTCCCAATTCAAGAAGAGAGAGAAAATTAACCCTTCCTCTGCCTTTTTATTTGATTCATGCCTTCAACAGATTAGATTATGTCCACCCACATGGATGAGGGTGGGTCTTCTTTGCTCAGTCTGTTGATTCAAATACTAACCTTGTCAAGAAACACCTTCACAGACACACCCATAAATAATTCTTTACCAGCTATCTGGGCATTCCCATTCCTTAGGCCAGTCAAGGTGACATATAAAATTAATCATCACAGGTTGCTGTTAGAATTACAACATCATAATTTATAACAATCTATTTCAAGTTAATGCCAACTTAATTACAATAATATACACAACTTTGTTCCCATATAGCCCATCCCCTTTCCCCTCATTTTTTGTTGTTATTGTCATGCAAATTATAATACATAATTCCAAATTTAGATATCCTACTCTTTACTGATCATCTCCAGTACATTGTGTGCCCTTGGATACAGAAAAAATATGAAATGCTTTGCAAATCTTAAGTCATCCTTGCACAAGGGCCATACTAGTCTTCTCTGAATTGTTCTAATTTTGGTATATGTGTTGCTGAATTGAGCACAATGTAATCCGATTTTACCATTAAAAACTTCACTCTGACAGCATGAAAAATGGATTAAAGAGGAGGCCAGTGTGGAGGTAAGAAGACTGATACAAGATGCTGGAGTAAACAGATAAAAGATGATAGTAGTCTAAACTGGAGTTCAATACTGAAGTGTTAGAGAACAGAGGCTGACGACAAATTTGAAAAATGTTAAAGATATAATATTAACTAGCTATGGTGACTGAATGTAGGGTTGAAGAAAATAGAAGAGGAAAAATGTTTAGCTTTCTGCATCATGTAACTGAAGGGATATGGTGCTATTCATAGAAACAGATAACATTGAAATAGGAGCTTTGGGAGAAAATGCAACAAGCTCAGTTTTAGACCTTTTGAATTTGTGATACTTGTTGGATATTCAAATGGAGACTAGAGATGATCAATAAAGAGTGCGATATCTAGATTTGAAACTAAAGTGAGCAATATGAACTGTGAGTATAGTATAGATTTGAGTGATTAGTATGTAGATAGTAATGGAAGCCTAGTAAGTTTATTAGAATGCCCAGTAAGAGTGAATATAGTGATAATAGAAGAAGAAGAAGGATGGAATTCCAAGGAACAGTAATATTTGACTTTGAGGAAAAGATTCTTCCCAAAAAAGAGAAGGAGAAGCCCTAGAAGTGCCTGGACAAGCAGGAGAGTGTGTTGTCATGAAAGTTGAAGGAAGAAAGTATTTCCAGAATCAAGGTGCCACAGAAAATAAGGACTACAATGTTTTCATTGGATTTAACAATAAAGAAATTCATTAATAACTGTGGTACATTAAAGATAGCTGTAAATTATTTGCTGTTCTCTCTATCAAGAAGTGAAGTCTATTTGCTTTCTGTTGAATCTGGGCTGGATTGGACTTGTATTGACCAATGTGGCAGAAGTGAGGTTCTTTAATTTCTGAGGCTGAGCAGCTTCTATTTTCACAAGGTTGAAATTGTTCCTCTTGAAATTCAGCCATCATGTTGAGAGAAGCCCACATGTAGAGAGGCCAGGAGGAGAAGGACTAACTTCTAGCTGAGTTCCCAACCAAAAGCAAACACCATCTGCCAGCCATGTCAATGAGCCATAGTGGATGTTCCAGCTCAGTCAAGCCTCCAGGTGACTGCAGTTCTGTGCAGAACAGAGGAATTGTCTAACTGAGCCTTGTCAACCCACAGAATCATGGCAGATAATCAGTGGTGTCTGTTGTTTTAAATGACTAAGTTTTGAGGTAGTGTGTTACTCAGCAATTGACAACCTATTTTCTTACTATTTTGTAAAGTCCATAAGAGCAGCTGTCCTGTTGGGGAACTGCAGGTGTAAATTGCAATGGGTTGAAGAGTGACTTGAAGGATAGAAACTGGAGACATCTATTTTAAGAAGTGGACTGTGAAAGAGAGGAGCTATTTTGAGTGGTATTGGAAGAAGTTCTGTATTTGACAAAGGATGTTTTGTTTGTTTTTAATAGGAAAAACTTAAACGGTATTTAAGAAGGGGTTAGTTAGGTGGTGCCTCATGCTTATAATCCCAGCACTTTGAGAGGCTGAGGCAGGAGGAAAGCTTGAGGCCAGGAGTTCAAGACCAGCCTAGGAAACACAGTGAGAACTCATCTGTACAAAAAAAAGTCAAAAACTTAGCCAGGCATGGTGGTACATGCCTGTAGTTCCAGCTATTTAGGAGATTAAGGTGGGAGGATCATGTGAGCCCAAGAGGAGGTCGAGGCTGCAGTGAGCCATGACTGCACCATTGCACTCCAGCCTGGGTGACAAAGTGAGACTCTGTCTCAAGAAAAGAAAAAAAAAGTGTTAGTTTAAGGAAAAAACATTGAAGACACAGGAGAGATGGGTTAATTGATGGAGCAAGGTTCCTGAGGAGACAGGGAAAATGCTGTCTTATTCAGATGCCCCTAGAAAGGATCTGATTGGTTTCATTAGATATTATCCAATTTGGATGCCTGGATGAGTGAACTTTCATATCCTACCTCCTCAGCAGTCATCCTATGGATGGCTGCCTATGGCTCAGGCACTAATACATTTTCTAGTCATCTATGGCTAGAGTATTTAGGTAGTATTGTTTAGGGTATTTCAGGCTATGAGTAATAGAAGACATATCTCAAAGTGGCTAAAACATACATCTGAAGTTTGAAGGTTGATTAAATCAGCAGCTCAAAAGGTATCATCAAGGTTCCAGGTTCTTTCTATCATTCTGCTCTGTTGTCTTTGGACTTTTATCTTGTTCTCTTAGGTGTCCTTCCATAATTGTCTCAAGATGACTGCTGCAGTTCCAGGGGTCATATTCAGAAGATAATGTCAATGGACAGAAGTAAGTTTCTCCATGCAAGTCCCTTTCCAGAAGTATTCTAGCAAACTACTCAAAAGTTTAGAATCTCATTATATGCCCAGTCAATATTGAGGATGATTTTAGGTAGATTATTTAAACTTACTGAACTTCCATTTGCTCATCTGTAAGACAGGTAGCAAAATATCTATCTCAAGATTATCATAAGGAATAAAAGAGTTTTATATTAAGTGCATCACCTAGTGTTTGGCCCATATGTCCTCCATCTTCCATCCTGTGTCTACAGTTCATTTTCTATGAAACATACTTGAGGTTCTCTCCTCCCATTTAAAAGACTACATATGGCTTAAAATAAAATTGATTCATGAGAACACAGGGACACAGGGAGGGGAACATCACATACCAGGGCCTGTTGGGGGTGGGGGGCTAGGGGAGGGATAGCATTAGGAGAAATACCTAATGTAGATGATGGGTTGATGAGTGCAGCAAACCACCATGGCACGTGTATACCTATGTAACAAACCTGCACGTTCTGCACATGTATCCCAGACTTAAAGCATAATTAAAAAAAAATTGATTCATCTTCTGGTGCTAGAGTTTACTCTCCTGGAAATACTCAGAAGAGAGGAAAAAAATAACTGGATGTCTATTAGAAAAGAAAAAGGATGGACGGACAAAGGAGAATGTCTGCTCCATGGGACCACCAGTGTGCAAGAAACTGTTCTGGTTGTCTCATTCTTGGGGTGTAAAAACTCCTGGGTTCCAGGCAGGAACTGCCTGGGTTCCAGGCAGAGTTTCCTGTCTGGGAAAAAGGGAGAGAGCCAGTGCACAGGTGGGGATCCAGGGCACAGATGGAGTATAGGTGCTGCTGTATGTGTTGGGTAACAGAGGTGAACATTCAGCATGATTTATTCTTATTCCAAGTATATACTGTATAGGATGGCCCTGGGCTTCACCACAGGCCTAAGATGGAGCCAGAATAATAAATCATAAAATTCCATGGGCTCCAAAGAGAATGTAACCTGAATACTGAATAGTATTTGCGTTATCATGTAACTAAGGCAAAAATAAAATACCGTGCATTCTCACATGCCTTGTGCTTTCTCTAGAAACAATTAAATTTCCCATCTAGAATCTCCCTTTGCTTATCTCAATAGACACAGTGCCATCTACTGAAAATAAAGCACCAATAGCCATGGTACCCTGAGGGATTCCCAGGAGAGCCCCCCTCTCTGTGGGCTCCCTGTCTCACCCACCTCCCAGATGGACTGGAGGGAGTAGGCGGAATCCACAGGCTGTTCTCCTGTCACAAACTGTAATGCATCTGTTCCCTGGTGCTTTCCGTGAGCAGCGAGAGTAAGATGTTCCTGAAGGGACCTAGGGAGCCTGGCAAGGCACTTACAGTGTAAGTGAAGGCTCTTTTAGGCTACCCTCTTGCCTTCAACCAAGTATAAACTGAAGCTATTTTATATAGTGGAGGCATAGTTTTTATATTCAATCATAACAAGGATGAATGACATGTCTTCCTTTGGGTAATTAGGAGATGTTTCTTTCCACACAATAGTGTAGCAATGTGTTTAAGTACGTTTACCCTTCTGTGAAATTTTTAATGGGTACAATGGATAAGAGATTAATAACAGAATCCTGGACCATTATCAAGTCAGGTATGTCTTTGGGAAATGTGGATAACCTAGGTTGCTGTGAAATTCACTTAGGCGAAAGTCCACATTTTAGTTCATTATGTCCTCTCCAGGTGGCAATGTCTCTTGGTCTCATACATGGAGAAATGGAGAAACAAAAGGAGACCGTTTCTGATTTAGCCACTACAATTAATGATAAAATAGAAAATGGAAGCTTTAAAATACACAGCCCTCTGCAGGACATACTCAACTCTTGCCCTCACCACCTCTCACTTTACCATTCCTCCTCCCAAGGAATCTTGGCTCAGCATGTCAGGAAGCCCTTCAGGGACCGTTTATAATTTAAAGCTCTGGTTTGAACTGATTCTGATTTGGCTTTTGGTAGTCAGATCTGGCATCTCTTCCATTTGCCCCTCCAAATCTGGCCCCATTTTCTCTGTTGCATTTACTGCTCATTCTTTCTGCTGTCTTTTTATTAGATTTTCCAAAGCAAAACTCCCTGCAGTGAAGTCTGTGGTCTGGTAATTTATCACAGATATTCTTGAAATTGCCTCATTAAAAGGGGCATTCGAAGCTGAAACCTAAGCGTCTGTTACCACGGTAACCACCGGCAACTATTTAGAACAGCCTGCTTAAACCAGAGGGGTAGAGGATTGCTGTTGGCAGAGATTGAAGGTAGGCAACTAAACTCTACTGGGCAGGGGAAAAGGCCTATAGATTCTGATGTGGAATTCTCAACCTCAAGTCAGATATCCTTCTACATAAGACAAAATAAGTTGGTGCCATGCTCCTGAGTTCTCTCCTGCATGTAGTCTAGGAAATTTGAAAATTGAAAATTCTTTTCACCATCAGATTACCAAGGGAGTTTGAATTAAAAATGTATACCTCAAAATTACTTGATCATGCTTTGCATGTTCTTGAGCCAGTCATTTGCCTCTCAGTGCCTCAAGTTCTTTGTACATTTTTTTAAAAAGTGGCCACCATGAACTCTATATGTCTTAGTCTGTTTGTGCTGCCATAACAAAATGCCTTAGGCTGGGTAACTTATAAAGAAAAGAAATTGGTTTCTTACAATTATGGAAGCTGAGAAGCCCAAGATCAAGGTGCTAGCATTAATGTTTGGAGAGCTGCTCTCTGCTCCCAAGATGGTGCCTTGTTGTTGTGAAATCTGCAATATCACGGGGTGGGAGGTGGAAGAACAAGAGAGCCAAACTTCACTTACTCAAGGCCTTTTAAGAGGGTACCTAACATCATTCTTGAGGGCAGAGCCCTCATGATTTAATCACCTCCCAAAGGCCCCACCTCTTAACACCATCACCTTGAGAACTAAGTTTCAGTATACAAATTTTGGGGGTATACACACATTCAGACCATAGCACTATGTCAGCAGGTTATGTGAATTATCAGTGAGGCAATAAAAGTGAAGCCTTTTTGTTAACAAGGTGCTACATTCAAGTAGACTAAAACTCACATTTTGAATCTATAACTGTTCTCCAGAATGTCTTATGGATTGCCATTAGGCAAGCTTCTTCTCTCAAAACAGAAACAAAATCAAAAACAATCACAATTCCTCCAATAGAGAGTAGTGTCAAAATAACCTTATTTATTGCCTTTCCAAGCCAGGATTCTCCATACTTTCCATTATCCACAGGCCTGTAAAAGAGCTAACAGTGCCTGTTAGGCATATCTTGAAGTACTACAAAGGTGGTTATAAGAAAAATACATTTGGTAAATAATGAAGATTACAAAAAGTACAAATGACATTCCTTTGTCCTGTTTTCTTGGTTTCCCAGTGCAATTTTGGATAAAATATTAAAGAGACAATTAATCAGGAGTGCTGAGCACTGTATGAAAATAGAGAGAGATGCCAGGTCAGGCAATACATATGGGTAATTTAGAAAGATCTATATTTTTAAAAGTAGTTAGATGCTTGGGAGTATTTTGTATGTACTGTTTTCTTAGTAGAAATATAGTGCATTAAATCAACAGGATTAGACAAATATGACAGATGGAAAAACACATCTTGGTGAGCAAAGTATGGAGGGATGAAGACATGATAAAGAAGAAAAGACTGCAGAGTGTTGATGTTCTTGTGACAAGAAGAAGGGGGTATGGCCTGGACTGGAGTCGTGGTAGGAATGGTTATGGAAGACAGTAACAACAATAACTAGTGTCATATGAAAAGGGATTGAGTTATGGATATAAGTGGATGCATTAAATCTGCAAGATCTAGAATTTCTTCAGCACTGCACTCCTTTTGTTGTTTTTCATACTGTCACAACTGCATTAATCAACTATTAGTGAATTTTTGACGACTCATTCATGTACCTACGAAGGAACAGGGGTAAGCAGAGCTCATTCTTCGGGTAGTCTTAAGTAGGCAGCCTGCGAGCTCAAATGTTCTAAATTTCCTTCTTTTCACCAAGTAGGTAGGGAGGTCTGAGCTTCCCGGAGATAGGTGGGGTGTGGAGGAGTTCATGGAACATCAAAAATATTGAGATGTTCAAATCAGAATGGATTCAACATCAAAGAGAGATCTTGCACATATTTCAGAAAAGGTGAACAAAGCAATTCCACATAAAATTGCTTGTTTTGTGGCTGTTAATGAGAAAATTCCCAGAAACATACCTTTTACTGTTTATGTCTCAGACCTTGTAAATCATGAAATGCAATTTCAGATTGTAGTGTAAGACCTATAGAGAAACGTGGGTATTGCTGTTAGCTGTAAATACAGTTCTTTATTATGATTGCAGCTTGTTCTCCCTAAAATAAAATTCAGCATGTGCTGAATTTAAGTTTAGCTTGGCTAACTTTTCTGCCAGATAGAATATAAGTACACTGCATATAATACTGTGTTAGCTTTTTTTTTTTCAACATGAACTCAAATTTTGAATGTTCTTATCAGTTTATTATTAAACCTTCATGCAAAAACAAAATGGGAAAATGTAAGGGCATAATCTGTGGCATCAGATAGAACTGTTTAGATCTTGATTATGCCACTTACTTGATTGCTAATCCTTACTTTCCTTATCTATAAAAATTGGATGATAGATATGCTTACCTCATATGGTAGCTCTGAGGTATAAAGGAGACAATGAATGTAGACTTTGTTGGGATACTTACGTATCCTCAGTAAATAATACCCATTTTCCCCACCCAAGTTCTGAACCAATTTAGAAACAGACAAGAGTAACGCAGGCAGGAGACCATTATCATTGATAAAGCTGACACTGGAGAACTTAGGCTTCCTGACGCTGAATACCAGAAATAGACAGGCTCACCAACTGGTATCAGGTAGTCCTGGACAATGGGTCGTTCCACCGGGAAAAGGTCTTTGCCACTATGCTTACAGCTTGCCTAAAATCATGCTCCCTGTGAGAGTTGCTACCAAAAGAGAAAGAGGCTGGAATACAAATACCCAGATTCTCTCAACTTATCCTTGCCAGGGGAGGATAAATGAGGAGGTGGAAGTATCCAGGAATGTTACAGCTCATGCAGCTCTCTCTCATGGGAGGAAACAGCAGGAGTGGAGAATGAGTATTCCCTCCCACAGAATGATTAGCACAGTGCCTGGCACATGCTAATTTATTATTTGTCATCTATGCCTATTATATTTACTGGTTCTTAAGGAAAAGTGAAAATAAATACAAATTATACTTTGAACATATGTGAGAGTGGTAGGTGGCAAGTTTTAGAGAGATTGATAAAACCTGAATAGTTAAGGTCCTTATATGTCATAATGTGCATTTTCATTTTGTTTCGTAGATAATGGATAACCAAAAATAATCTTAAATCAGGGAGAAACCCTCTATTAAGTCTGTTCTTACACTGTTATAAAGAACTACCTGAGACTGGCTAATTTATGAAGAAAAGAGATTTAATATACTCATAGTTCTGCAGGCTGTATAGGCAGCATGGCTGCGGGGCCTCAGGAAACTTAAAATTATGGCGGAAGATGAAGCAGAACCAAGCATATATTCATCATGGCGGAGCAGGAGATGGAGAGAGAGCAAAGGGGGAAGTGCTACACACTTTCAAACAACCAGATCTTTTGAGAACTCTATCATGAGACAGTACTAGGGGGATGGTGCCAAACCATCAGAAACCACCCCTATGATCCAATCACCTCCCACCAGGCCCTACCTCCAACACATAGGGTCACAATTCAACATGAGATTTGGATGGGGACACAGAGCCAAACCATATCAAACTTTCAAGTTTGCACTTTAGAATATGAACTCTTTCTTAGACTGTTTCATGTTGCTATAAAAGAATACCTGAGTCTGGGTAATTTGTAAAAGTAAGAGGTTTATCTGGCTCATGGCTCTGCAGGCTGTATGACCATGACACCAGCGTCTGCTTCTGGTGAGGGCTTCATGGAGCTTCCACTCATGGTGGAAGGCAGAGGAGAGCAGGCATCACATGGTAAAGGGAAAGAACAGAGAGAGAGAATGAGAGAGAGAGGAAGAGGGGTGGGGAGGGAGGTGTCAGACTCTTTAACAGATCTAACAGGAACTAAGAGTGAGAACTCACTCAATCCCGCAAGAATGGCACCAAGCCATTTGTGAGGGATTCATCCTCATGACCCCAACACCTCTCTCTAGGCCCCACCTCCAACATTGGGGATCAAATTTCAGTATGAGATTTGGAGGGGACAAATATTCAAACTATATCAAACTCTAACTGCAGTATACAACATAGAGAAGATGAACAGTCTCCCTGAGCCAGGCACTATGGTATGCACCTAATAGAATGCTCTCTCTTTTAATCCTCACAGCAATCTTGAGAATAATGCCACACTCACATCACTCCCATTTTAAGATTGCATAACTGAAACTTTGAAAGTTTAAATAATTTAGCCAAGATACTCAGCTTATAAATGAAAAAATCGAGAATTTGATCCCATATCTACCTGACTCTAAAACTCAGGACTGGCTTCATGGGCCCGTGACCAGTACAGTCACACAGAGACCTGAATTTAGAAGGGCTCTGAGCTTGGTTTCATGCTCTGCTGTCTCAGTATTAAAATTCTTAATCATTTTAGAACAAGGAGCCTGCATTTTCATTTTGCATTGGGTCCCTTAAATGATGTAGCCAGTCCTGCCAAGATATCTTTTCTTACTATTATTCCAGTCACCACTATCACCAAATCGGAAAGATTCTACACAAATAAAACTCCCCTTTTCATCAGAGTTATGGAAAAGTAATGAGTCTAGGTGGAAAATTAATATGTGGATGATCGTATATGGGTGTTTCTGCATTTACACGTGTAAATGTTCACAATTCAGAGCCCAGTCATTGTCACCACTCTTTTCTCAAACATTTTTTTTATTCCTAGGGACTTCACCAGTGCTGCCATGCTGGCCCCAGGCTGTGAGTTGGACCCAGACCAAGAAGTGGTGAGGACAAGGCCTGAAGGTTAGTGAGGGAAGAGGAGAAATACATTCATGTCTAAGCACATGTGTCTGGTCATATTCCAAGTCTCAGTACAAATTAATTTTGAATTATGTGGTTGATGTTTTCCACATTTCAGCTTCCATCAACTGGCACAAATAATTAAGGGATGATGCAACACATATTGGTACAATTTCTCAACTTTTTTAGAGCTAGGCCCACTGAAATTCAGGTAGCTACTACAGACGATGGAAGAGGTTATTTTAGAAAAACATGCTATGTGAACAGCCCTACACTGGTGCCTTATTTTCAATCACCTTTTTAAACCATGAATTCATAATACTCTTTAAGGTAGTTGACCACTCTAACGATCCCTTTAATACATAATTTTTAAAAAAAAATAGAAAAAAATTGAAAATACAAAAAGAAAGACCCCAGAAAAATTATTCTAAGTCTTTCTGCATTTTTTTCACAGGCACATACACACACATACACAGACTTACAAAATAGAAAATGGTGGGCATAATTTTTTGTAATCTGGATTTTTTCCTACTTATACTGAGCATTAATGGTTTTGAAAAAAAGCTATAATAGTTTTTTTGGTCATTTAAATGATTTCCTGTGTTTTTTTTTCTATGAAGTCCATTGTTGTAAAAAAATCTGATTATTTTCTTAAGCTAAAGTGAAATATCCTATTCAAAGGACATATACACTCATAAGACCCTTGATATATATTGCTAAATTGTCTTCAAGATTGGTTTTACCAGTATATAGTCCCAGCTCAATGTGGGAATGCCTGTTTGCATAAACCTGTTTTTAAAAGTTCAGATCTAAATCTATTTGGTTTTCTCCTTCTAGCTGCTTATCAACCAAGGTGCATACTTTGGACTAAGGGGAACAGAAGATGCCTTGCCACTCTACCATACACACTGTGACCACATGATTGTAGAGGCAACATTGCCTCTCTCCACTGGAGAGAAGAGCTTTTCTTGGTTTACTATAGCTTTGGCTATATCTTAGCTTACCATACCTTTAGTGAGGAGATACAACTATTGCCTAAACATACTTTTTTTTCTTTTTTAAGCTAGGCTATAATATTTATTGAGCTCTTTTTTCTTGCTAAATGATATTATTAATTTATTCTCTCACATATTTCCCTAGAACTTGTTTACTCCCTATTGAATAAATGTATGGCTTTTTTCCAATCTGAAGTCAGTGTTAGTCATGTTGCAATGTTGTTGCCTAATTTGGGGTCTCTAAAATGACTTGTAAATAAGAATTAGATCCCAAAGAAAATTATTCCGGCTAATTATAAATCTTTGAAAGTTATTTTTATGCTTTAGTTGTATTCTGTGAGGATTTACTATGGCCTTCTAGAGCTTTCTAGAATTAGAGAAGAAACAGCCTGAAAACCAACCTTTTGAGTAAGCTCAGACTCAGATATTACTCATAGAAGCCCACATACTTAGATCCTTTTCTAAATCCTAGGATTGCTTTAGGGGACACATATCGATGAAGCATATTGATTAAACTTCAATGAGAAGTTTAATAGGAAAGTCTTTCTTATAAAGAAATCCTCTCTGGCCAGAAATTGAATAAGTAATTTTAGGGCAACATGACATGTTTTTGAGTGATAACTTGGATTCTGAAAAGACATTTATTCAGTAATGCTAATAAAGTAATCATAATTCTTTTCACTGATTGCTTTCATCTCAAGTAATATTGTTTAATCAACTGCAGAAGGACCAAGAGAATAACACCAACTTGACCTTTGACTTTTAACCTCAACAGTGTGTCTTCACATCACTGCAGTAGCAGATTGCTGCAGTTCTTCCCTATTGTTTTCTCAAACGTTTCTTTGGAAACTCTGAGGGTAATTCATTTGCCTGTAACATCAGGGAACTGCTTGTCTGATTATTAGATCAAATAAGAGGATGAACTAGGGAGCTTATCAAAAAATCAGTAAAATATAGTTAGGACACTACATAATATTTTGTGTTTGGACCTCCTATTTTTTTTTATTTTTATTTTACTGCCAGTCATTCTACTGCTCATTTTGGGAACCTTTGCTCATTTCTTTATTATAAGTTTACCATTTTATAATATACCATTGAACATCTGTAAAGGTCTTCACATTTTTAGGTAGCTAAAATTGGATGTTAATATTTTTTTGGAAACTTGTTGCCTGGTAGTAATAAGGAGAAAGTGGGACTAGAAACTGGAAATAGCTATTTTTAAATTGTTAGCAAATTCTTCTGTTTATAGAGGTAAAATTTTGAATTTACTTTTGAGGACAGATTGCTCCTTCACTTCCATGCCTTAATTCCCAGACACATATATTTTGATTATGGGGAAGATGCCACCATGGTCTCTAATTCAAAGCATGTACCACATCCTGTTAAGACAGAATATCATCCTTTTAAGCCGTTGTCTCCCAGTTGGCACCATAACAGAGTCTTCAGTGAACTATTCCAGCTTTGAAATAGCCCAGCCATTTCTGAGAGATTGGGTGTGTGATGAGGCATTTAGATCATTGCTAGGAAAACCTTCATCTGGGGAAGATGCTTTGAAAGGGGATGTTCATTTTCCTTAAGATGCACTACAATCACCCCCTCTTACCACTAAACGTTTGGACAGGTCCAAATCTCAGTATGTTGTAGGTGGATAAGTACACACAATGACCTGGGAAAAATTAACTTGCATGCCCCAAACATTTCAAGACTTTGCTAATAAATATATAGCAACAGAAACCTGGGGAACATGTGTGAGAGTATGTTCTAAGGGTCTTTTTCATAAGAAGATACAATATTAGATTGGGTTAAATCATGGATATGGGTGTACTTAGTAGAGATTCTGGATTTAATGTATTAGCTCATGCAACTGGAGGTGGTTTTAACATCTTTCTTGGTGGATTGACTAAAACTTGGACTCAATGGTAGTCTACATTTAATGGGGATGCCATGCCAGAGCTTCCTTGGCATGCTATGGAGAAGGGAATCCACAGGCTTAGGACATAAGGTTGAACTGGATTTATCATGTGCAACCTGGTGCCCATCCTCCCACCTAATGCTCCACCAGAAACCTCGAAGACTTTCCCTTCACTAAGATATTCAGAAATACTTTAGTGCAGGGCACGTCTGAATCCTTGAAATGCTCTGTGATTACTCTACTTCGAAGGTCAGAAATGACTGTGGGGGATGTTGCCCACTTAGATGGGCTCCCTGATTTGATTATGATGTGCCTTGATGTGTGTCTTCATCTTTCTTTTCATTAACATTTATTGAGGCCAGGCACAGCGGCTCATGCCTGTAATCCCAGCATTTTGAGAGGCCCAGGTGGCTGGATCACTTGAGATTAGGAGTTCGATATCAGCTTGGACAACATGGTGAAATCCCATCTCTACTAAAAATACAAAAATTAGCTGGGTGTGGTGGCGCATGCCTGTAATCCCAGCTACTCAGGGAAGCCTAGGCAGGAGAATCACTTGAACCCAGGAGGTGGAGGTTGCAGTGAGCCGAGATTGCACCGCTGCACTGCCTGGGTAACAGAGCAAGACTCTGTCGCAAAAATAAAATAAAATAAAATAAAAATAAATAAAGTTTATTGAGTTTCTTGGATCTATATGTTTATGTTCTTCAACAAATCTGGGGAAATTTCAGCCATATTTCTTCAAACTTTGTTCCTGTCCTCTCTTCTCTCTCATCTTGGAGACCACATTTACATTCAGAGTAGGCTGCACGAGGTTGTCCCACTGCTCACTGAAATTCTGTTGATCTTTTTCAGTCATTTTTTATCTGTGTGTTTCATTTTGAGTAGTTTCTATTGACATGTCCTCATTTGTAGTGTCTAATCTACTTTCAATCCCATCTAGTTTATTTTTCATCTCACATATTGTATTTTTCAACTCTAGAAGTTTGATTTGGGTCTTTTTGTTGTTGTTGTTGTTGTTGTTATTGTTGTTGAGATGGAGTCTCACTCTGTTGCCCAGGCTGGAGTGCAATGGTGTGATCTTAGCTCACCGCAACCTCCACATCCTGGGCTCAAGCGATTCTTCTGCCTCAGCCTCCCAAGTAGCTGGGATTACAGGTGCCTGCCACCACACCCAGCTAATTTTTGTATTTTAGTAGAGACAGGGTTTCACTATGTTGACCAGGCTGGTCCTGAACTCCTGACCTCAAGTGATCCACTCGCCTTGGCTTCCCAAAGTGCTGGGATTACAAGTGTGAGACACCTCACCCAGCCTATTTGGGTCTCTTTTATGTCATCATCTATGTCTTTTCTTAACACACTTATGGTTTCCTCTACTTTCTTAAACATATAGACTATAGTTATAAACCTGTTTTAATAACCATGACTGCTATAGTCATTCACCACATAATAACGTTTTGGCCAATGATGAGTTACATATATGACAGTAGTTCCATAAAATTTTAATAAAGCTGACAAATTTCTATTGCCTACTGACATCTTGATAATCCTGACTCTATGTAGGCCTGCATGTTTTTGTCTTAGTTTTTAACAAAAAAGTCTAAAAAGTAAATGGAATAAAAGTTAAGAAAAATTTTACATCTATTTTTATTTTGGGATGCTATTCAAATCACACACACACTTACCCAAAAAGAATCAGTGAGTGTGAGAGAGAATAAGAGAAGTACACTAAAAACATCAAAAGAGATGGAGATTGCACTAGAGGGATTAGGATAAAAAGGGAAGGAGGGAAGGAGAGAGAGAGGGAGAAATGTCAAAAGTTATTAAAACTTTTCAAAATAAGTATTAATGTAAGAATGGTAGAAAAGATAATATGTTTTTCTCTTCATTTTGTGCCTTTCAAATTTTTTTTTTTTTGAGACAGAGTCTTGGTCTTGTCCCCCAGGCTAGAGTGCAATGGCGCGATCTCGGCTCACTGCAACCTCTGTCTCCTGGGTTCAAGTGATTCTCCTGGGTTCAAGTGATTCTCCTGCCTCTGGATCTCTGTAAGCTCTGGAGATTGCTCTACCTGCTCCTTCTGAGTGGCTCTTTTTCCTGCTTTTGGTAGTTTTCTCACACGCATGGGCTGATCACTGCCCAGCTGAAGAATCTCTGCAAGGCAGCCTTAATCTACTTACAGGGTTTTTTGGAAATATAAATGAGAGATCCAACTTATATTAAGTAAAAATAAAGTATTCATTGTCTCATAATACTGGAAAACTGAAGGATAAAACTCACTCAAGAGACTGGCTGCAGTAGCAAATGAGGTCATCTCTTTTGTGCTCACTGTTGCTCTTCCTCCATCTATCCCTTTTCTCTCTCTCCTGTTCTCTTTGCTGATGCTAAATGATTTCTTGCTGGAGATGGCTTCCTCCAAACAGAGGGAAAGGTGGCCT
Organism: Homo sapiens; assembly: GCF_000001405.40. Classification (NCBI taxonomy): domain Eukaryota; kingdom Metazoa; phylum Chordata; class Mammalia; order Primates; family Hominidae; genus Homo; species Homo sapiens. Next base: position 158,000,599 of record NC_000002.12, read on the forward strand.
GAAGCAATGGTGGCTGCTATCATCATCCTTCTAGTCTTTCCCTAGGTCCAAGTATCAAATCTCGGAGAAATTTATTGGCCTGTTAGAGTCACATGTCCATTACTGAGCCAAGCATTGTGCATGGGAGGAGGTGTGTTCTGACAGGCAAGGCCTGGGTTAGCACTAGTTAAAACCTGTGAAATGAGCTCCTTGCAGGAGAGAGTAGTTTTATTACTAGAAGATGCTGAAGGAGGGAATTTGGGTCTACAAAACAGCAATGATCAATTCACCCAGTTTCCTCATCAGTAAAGTGGATAAAAAATTCTAAAATATGACCGGGTATTTATTAGGTACTTGGCTTATCATAAGTGCATGGTAAATGTGTTATTATTAAATCTGAGCATAGTACCTCCAGTTGTCAGTAACTGCATTCACTTCTCTGTATTGCTAATCCTCAGTAAAGAAGTTTCTCCTTTGTTTCTCTGTGCCAAGAGTTGCTTGAATTCCTACCATGGGCCTCAGTTTCCAGGTAACTGGGTTCCCGATCATTTGCCATTGCCATTTCTCAAATGCACCTGTTTCTGCCTTGCCTAAGCAGAGATCTTTTGTAAGCATCAAACCAGCAGCAGGAAACAAATGGTCCACTCAAATTGGGTAATTTGAGTAGAGTTTATTAAGGAGATTATTTATAAAGGTATTAGCAGGTTATAGGGAAATCACAAGGAGTAGTGCAGTACCCTGGGCTAGTAGAAGGCCTGATGGGACAAAGGACAGAATGATGTTGGTGCTGGAGAGAGAGGGTCACCTGACAGGAGCAGGGATATTCAGCCAGCCTGTAGTGGCCCAAGGAGAGGGAGCTGGTGAATAAATACCCTGGCCTTCTGCTCTCACTATTCTACCCTCTTTCTGATCTCCAATGCTCCCCATGGGGTGAATCCAATAAGAAGCTATAGTGCAAAAGAGCCTGTTTATACAGCCCAATAGGTCAGCCTCCTACTTGGGGCACAGAGAAGAGTGATGAAGGGAATAGGGTGGACTGGAAGAACAACTGGGAAACATCAAGCACGCCCTAGATCTTGGTCTTATTTTTTTCCCAAGATGAAATAACTTATTCCTGGTCATATTCACAAAACATGTGTCTGCTCTGGATTTTCCTGGTCTTGAGATAGGGAGCTCTGAATTTCTATAACCTGAAGTTGGGGAAGATTGCTAGCCATAGTCTGGTATTTAAGAAAGCAAAACACTGCTTGCAAATACCTGGACATTTGCAACCTGGTAACAGGAGGTTTTGTTCTTTAGTTGTATCCCATGATTGGATCTTAGATCAAGCCATTCCTTGAAGCGGACAGCTTTTCTGGTTGCCTGGGGAGAATGAGCACCAAAAAAAAAAAAAAAAAAAAAAAAAGAAGAGAGAGAGCTGTTACCTTACATGGAAAGAAGGTACTCATATGGAAGGAGGCTACGGGGGCGGGGGCTTCACAGATTCACCTTTCAGCATCTTTTACCAATATAAAATTCACCTCATTTTTCAAAGTGCTTACAGGGGAAGCCAAGGATGCAGGGCAGGGGAATAAAAATGGTAATAATAAAAGAGGGAGATGAGGTAAAAACAGGTTGTTAGGAAATATACAGACAGATAAAAGTGAAGACAAAGGGGAGGGTGAAGTAATAACAAAATCAAAGTGATGAGTACCAAAGATAAACGTGCAACTCGAAGCCAGAGGCAATCCCACCATTAGAGAGAAAAAGCAGGCCTTGGTCCAGTTTTTGCTGTGGAAGATGAACCAGGGGCCGAGCAGCTACCCATTATCACAGTTAGAGGACAATGCAGGCCTGGCCCAACTCTCTGCTCTTTATTTTGAATCCTACATTTTCCTTTCCGAAACACCTTGGAAGCCACTTAGCCAAGGTAAGAGGAAAAGAAAAAGGCAGCTATCTGGCAGGCCTGCCTGCACAGAGCAAGAGCTTTGCTGGGCCATTTGAGACAGGTAGGTGATTCAGACCGTATTGAAGGGAAGATCCCTGGGGTGGTTTGAGGATTTGGGATATGTTACCAAATATCTTGAAAGAAAAATCACAACCCAAGTGCCCCCTGGCTTAAGTGCATGTTTATTTTCACAGCCTTTGTCTTTCAGAGATCAGCACTCCATTGCTGTGTTGCTATTGTAAGGATGGAAAAAAATAGAACCATTTTAATGTTGTGCTGTTTGCATTTCCTGACAGTTAAGAAGCAGCCCCATTATTAGCTGGCAACACCGTTGTGACATTAGTGGTGACTTTGCTGCTTGGGATTCAGCTCATGAAATATCTTCCTTCCTGGTACAATTTTTTTTTTTCCTTTTTCTTTTCTTTCATCTCTCATGTTTAATTCTCATGCAAATGACTAGCTAAATGGCCATCTATGCTTTAGGTCTAACTGCTGGTCCAGGTTAAGAATGGGCTACCAAAGATGCTAACATATTAAGTTTGATGCAGTCTCAAAATACTAGAACCCATGGAGCCACCTCCTCATGGCTATCCCTGATGGGCAAGGGAGCTGTCTTTGTCAGGGATGGGTAGGTGGGGTGTCACAACTTAGGGGGCTCAGGGAGGTCCTGACACAGAGAAAGAAGGACTTTTGTGTTGGTGGAGGTGTCAGAGCATGATGGGGCACAAGGTCTTGGAGGTTGTAGGGGGTGAGAGGGTCCGATGCAGAGTGCTGGAGACCAGTGGGAGGAGGAACATTCCTGCCAGGGATAGGGACAGTGGAGGCAACAGGAGAGTGATTCGATGAATAAATAAATTGAAGACAATTGGAGCCAGCCTTCACATTATTTGGGAGAATAAATATACATATAGAAAGAGAGCCAGCTGGGCAGGGTGGCTCATGCCTGTAATCCAAACACTTTAGGAGGCCAAGGTGGGTGGATCACCTGAGGTCAGGAGTTCGAGACCAGCCTGGCCAAAATGGTGAAACCCCATCTTTACTAAAAATACAAAAATTAGCCAGGTGTGGTGGTGTGTGCTTGTAATCCCAGCTATGTGGGAGGCTGAGGCAGGAGAATCACTTGAACTTGGGAGGCAGAGGTTGTAATGAGCTGAGATCACACCACTGCACTCCAGCCTGGGCAACAGAGTGAGACTGTTTCTCAAAAAATAAAAAAAAAAAAAAAAGAGAGAAAACTACAACTCTGTGGCCTAGGAATGGAATTGTAGATATTAGTACAACCTCATGGCTTTTAATATATGGGTATATAGAAGTAAATACAGATGTAAAATGTACACATGTATATGCTTGTGTGTGTGTATGTGTATTTTGCATGTTGCAACATTTCTCTAAGTGCTGGATTGTTTCAAAATAAAAACAAGAAAAATAATATGAGAGCAATAGTACTATTTCAAATGGAGTATAGTACTAATAATGTTATAGTGCCAACAACATGGTGTTATTGAAGGATTAAATGAGATAATTCATGCAGTGGATATAATATAATGCCTGGCACCCAGTAAGCTCTCAATAACTATTATTATTATCCCATGGGAGAAAAGCTTACAATGAACACTATTCTACATCTTATTCTTTTCACTAAAAATATATCTTAGAAATATTTTCATAACTGTACATACTTTTTAAAATTAGTAAATCTTGCTAGTGTTCTTTACTATATTACTTTTATAATTAGAAAAATAAAAAACAATCATCGTCGGGGGATGATCTGCCTTAGTATGTCATCTGCTGATGACTCATAATTTAATTAATTCTTGTTGCTAATGGAAACCTCCCGGTGAATAAGGCTTAGTTGTATTTTAATAGCAGTACGTAGTGGAGAGAATAAGAAAAAAAAAAATCCAACACCTAATCTATGGAAAAATGGATATTCACACTAATTTTTCCTACTTTTGTAAAGCTCTGAATCAAAATCACTGAGTAATGAAAGCAGCTGTCAAACTTCATTGCTTCAGTCTGTGAACAAACCCCTACAGGTCTGCTGCGACCAGTCACTATTCAGTGTGCTCGGGAGACAGCTGTGAACAAAACAGGCTCTCCCCTCATGAAGCTCTCTCCTCCTAGTCGGGGGAGATGGATAAGAAACAAGTAAACGCCCAACTTTCTGTGCTTCCTCAGTTAATAACAAATTAACATTAGATCTGTCCCTTTCCTTCATAAAGAAATGCAATTTGGTAACTTTTTTTAAAGTTTGTGCCTTATTATTCATTTGACTTTTAGTAACCTTTTGAGCCTTGGTTCCCATATATCAAAAATGGAGATAATAATTATCTTATAAGGTTTTTGTAATCAAATATGTAAAATGCCTGGCATAAAGCCAGCCCCTTTGCAGATGCTTGATAAATAGAAGCCATTATTACATGTTAAATTGTACAATTTTTGGTTCTTGTTTTTAAGACTAAAAGAAGATTGTTTTGATTTACAGTTACAGTACCCTAGGTTGGGTGTGTCACTGATATATCCCTAAATCTTATCAACCAGTGCCTACACCTCTAGTCATGTTTCCTTTACTGCCCTGTCACAACCTCTCACCAACAGGAATGAGGAGCCTGTTCTTCTACTGGGTTCCCTTCTAGAAGGAATCTCAAGAAATCTGTTATGGTCTCTTGTCACCTACCCTGCAGCCCACACTTTGAGTGATCACTTTGCACTGACTATAATTGTGTTTTCCAGGCAGCTTTTTCCAGAGGCCAGGGCTCTCACTGAGTTCTCCAAAGCTCACCAAGCCCAGACTTGACCTTGCAAGCCATGCTAAGCATTTGGATCTTTATCCTGAGAATACTGGGAAACTGAAATGTTTAAGCAGGAGAACGACTTGACTTCATTTATATTGTAAAGGGGATTCTCAGGTTGCTGGTAAAGAATGGGATGGAAGATGAAAAGAGAAAGCCAGGAGAGGAAGAGGATCCTGTTGTCACCCAGGTGGAAAACAACAGAATCAGAATCAGGGTGGGAAACAGGAGAGGCAAACAAAGCACGAGCTTGAGCTTAAGGCTCTTTGGAGGCAGAATTGATAGTACTTGTTGATGGTTTCAGTGGAAGAATGGGAAGGAACGGGGAAGTTTTCAGTTTGAACATTTTGGTGAATTTATATGGCTCTGCCATTTACCAAAAATGAAAAGTAACATGATATTTAATAAAAACTTTACTAAGTGCCAATGGAATCAAGTTGAGTGCTTGACACTGCAGGGACCAGTGGGGGCTCTTCCGGCTTACAGCTGACCCTAAACAAACTTCAGGGTCCTGGCCCAGCCCCCGAAGGCCTCTCCATGGCCAGGAGCAGCTCACACTCCACACACAGGACTTCTAGGCATCCGCAAGCCTCAGTCCTGTGCCCAACCATCAGTCCCCTTGAAGCAAATAAGCTTCTCTCCTTCTCTATCCTGAGGCGTGTTCATCCCCTCCTCACACTCACCTAGGGAATGGTCTCATTACACTGCGCAGCTACAGTGATCAGCAAAACACCCCAAAGCGCATTCCCCTTTACCCAAGTCTGGGCTGTTAGTCCTAAAGGGCAGTAAGTAGAGGAGAGTTCAGCCTACAAACACCATTTTATGGCTAATAAAGTTATTTAATTCTTCAAGAGCACAATGTGGTTAAGAATGTCCATAATGGCTGGGCACGGTGGCTCACGCCTGTAATCCCAGCACTTTGGGAGGACGAGGCGGGCAGATCACGAGGTCAGGAGATCAAGACCATCCTGGCTAACACGGTGAAACCCCGTGTTATTTAGTCTTTACTAAGAATATAAAAAATTAGCCGGGCGTGGTGGTGGGCGCCTGTAGTCCCAGCTACTCTGGAGGCTGAGGCAGGAGAATGGCGTGAACAAGGGAGGCGGAGCCTCGGCTCTTGCAATGAGCCGAGATCGTACCGCTGCACTCCAGCCTGGGTGAAAGAGCGAGACTCCGTCTCAAAAAAAAAAAAAAAAAAAAAAAGTCCATAATTCCCAATATGAAGCAGAACACTCAACATCTTCCAGACTGCAGTGTCTGCACTCAGATGCATGGAAACTTCACCATCTTCTCCAGAAACAAGGGAGAGATACTTACCTCACATTTTAAAAAATAAAGGGACCATTCACTTGAATTAAAAAAATAAAAGCAACTTCCAAGACTCACTTGTTTTGGCAAACAAGCTAACAAACCATCTCCAGTGGGCGTCTTCCTAGGCATACTCGAGGAAGCCTTTCAATGGAATGAGCTTCTCCTTCCTGCTCTTACTCAAAGGCACTTGTCAGATCTGAAATGACACCAGATTTGCTTTCCAGAGCAGCTGTTACAAATGACTGGATTTAGAGCAAGGTATCTTTAAGACAGGGTCAGGAAAGGTGAACATTCCAAGGGGCATATTTCAGTGTGCAAGATTTTGTGTACCAGAAGGCCCTTGGTTCAATGCAAAGCCTAGTGAGGAGATTCCACACCATCCTAGTTCCCTTTGCCTTGTTTCCTTTGCCTCCCTGACTTTGACTCTGTGAGGTACCCATTTGTATCCTTCTCTGAGACTGGCATTCACCTTCCCTTTGCCAGCCTCTCTGGCAGCAGCACTCAGTAGTAATACTCATATCCTTTGCTCAGCCCTTTCTGTGTACTCATAGGCAGTGTGCTAAGTGCTTGATATGCATCATCTTATAACCCTATAATAATTCTGCGAGGCGGTGCTATCATTATACTCAGTTGACAAGTGAAAAACACCAAGTCGGAGAGACAAAGGTGTTTCCTTTCCCAGAGGTGACACATTTGATAAGGGTCAGAAGTCAGGTTTTCGTGACTTCCAAGCCCAAGCTCTTTCCACTCTGACTTCAGTCTTTTCTTGTTCCCTCTGGCTTGCACTTTCTCTTTTCAGCTCTGCATTCAGCTGACTTCCCCATAACAAATTGATCTTGCCCACTTCTCAGGTGCCCTGAGTGTTCCCTGGCAACCAGCTTGTCTTGAGGGCCTCATCTAACCATGTCATTGTGAAGTGCTCTCTGCTGCCCTGCCTGGCAACTTTTAACACCGGCCAGTTCCTTGTTCCATGCACATTTGCTAAGAGGAGCGTGGGTTTTTCACGTATTTCTCTCTCTCTCTTTTTTTTTTTTTTTTAAGACGGAGTCTTGCTCTGTCGCTCAGACTGGAGTGCAGTGGAGTGATCACTGCAACCTCCACTTCCCAGGTTCAAGCAATTCTCCTGCCTCAGCCTCCTGAGTAGCTGGGATTACAGGCACGCACCACCACATCTGGCTAGAGACAGGGTTTCAACATGTTGGTCAGCTGGTCTTGAACTCCTGACCTCGTGATCCGCCTGCCTTGGACTCCCAAAGTGCTGGGATTACAGGCCTCCCAAAGTGCTGGGATTACAGGAGTGAGTCACCGTGCCTGGCTTTTCATGTATCTCTATTTTCATTAACCAGATGCTTCTGTGTTAACATTTAAATTAAAATAAAAGCAATCAATTTTCAAGCTCAGGATCTAAGAATACATTTAAGGTCTCAAAAATGGATTGAAAAGAATGTAAATTTAACTTGTAATTGGATACATGGAAAGTTAATGGGAAGTAAAGATATTTCAAATTCAGAATCCTTTGAGGCTTTTCCTAGAGATGAGAAATTATGACTTTTAAAAAGACTTTGTGTGTTTTTAATGTATATTTGCTTATAAATATATTCGTTCATGAAACTTTGCCAGAGTGTCTCAGGAATGCCAGTCTAAAATGTAAATTTACTATTTTGAGAAGGTTATTACTTCTTCAGCTTATTAGAAATAAGCCAGTGTGAGATCAATAATTACCTTTTGGAATGCTGAATTATTTACTGTATTTGATTATTTTGTGTTGCAGGAATATAGCAGGTGTTTAGGTAGATGAATTAGAAAGAGTACCTAAATTGCTTTTACCAGTTACAGAGCAGAGTGGAGAGGAATGTTATTTGACTTAGGCTAACCTTGGAATTTTTCTTAAACACACAGTTGTTTGAGGCTTTACTCAATAAAATACTGTACTGGCACAATGAAATGGGTATCCCGTTTCCCTAAAGCTAATGACTTTCTAAAGCACTTGACTTTCCTACTGTAAGATTAGCACTATTATTTCCAGGCCAATCAATAGGCATAACTCCAAGATTAAAAGCAATTTGGATCATTATTCTCTTTTCATTACATATTCATTATTTTCTGTTTGAATAAGACCTGTAATCAGTGTTATTTACCAATCTTTATGGCGAAATTTTAAACTACTGATTGTTTCAGTCTTTGCAGGTATTAAATGCCATTTCAAATATCCTTTCAATAATTTTGTAGTTGCTAATGAAGTCCATTTTCCCAGATTTTTCAGTCCACTGAAAGAACATTGAACCCCCAAGAGTCTTTAAAAGGTATTTGTTGTTTAATTGGTGGCAGCTGTTCCTTAGAAAGTTACCTAAGTATATAAAAGTGCTTTTTCTCCCCTCTTTAATAGCTTTTTATCACCCTTTAAGGGTTATCCTTGAAATACATGCAGACTACATATGATGGTCTCCTGAAATGCTTTGATATTGCAAATTTTAAATATTATAATTCTAACACATGCAAGAAATTATAGGACAGTACCCTTTAATTTTGGATTTAATTACTAAAGCTTTAATGAAATATATTCTCTTGGCTTTCTGGCTAGATTTTTTCAGGAAAAGTTATTAGTTTATTGTAGTTAATTCTAAAGCATGTACATTCTGAATTACTTGAATACAACAGTTTTTCTGCTTTGTCCTTGAATTCTTTCCAAAAATCATAAGGTATTGGATACACACAGTAATAGCAGATTTGCTTAAATGTCGCTATTAATCCAGTTTATAACCCCTAACATTTTGTACAAGGAATTTCAGAAAGAAACCCTTACATAGACATCTAATGTCCAGAATAACCAGAGCCAAACATAATGATTTTACAGTTGAAGGATAGCCAAGACGCACATTTTCTGAGTGTGGTTTTACTGGGAGTCTGTGTGCAGATGAAATATGGCTTTTAAGAACATAATCTTCATGGAAAAGGCTTTTCTTGTCATAGCACTGGGCTGACTTTCAAGCCAAGGTCAAAGTACTTTCTGCAGGTCTATTTTTAGGTTTCCCATTTCTCAACAGAAGGCTCCCAGTTTTGAGTTAGCGCAACGCAGACTGGACTGTGCCCTAGAAGGAACAGGAATGCTTCCTCTTTGTGGCTTCCCCTGCATCTACCTGCAGACTTCTTGCTTTGCACAGCTCCAGGGTGAATGGGCATTCTCCTGCGGGCTGCCTTCTGTGGTCATCTTGCCCCAGCAAATGCTGTAGTCTCTCGTAAGGCAAAGGGCTATGCAGGGTTACTTTCCTCTTGCTTCTTTTGGATTTTCTAAAAACGTGGCTACCTTACATTATTGCTATTAATCAAGAATTTTCCAGATCTTCAAACTGCAAACCCAAGGGGGGAAAAATGAGGTCAAAGTGATTTAATTTAGATTGAGGTGGAAGACACCAGGAAACGAGTATGTTAATCAAATATATCAAATGCTATTTCTTTGTCTTTGAAATTGAATACAGAGGACATAGAAGTCTGTAAATAAATTAATAAATTAATGCATGTATTTTGGTTTTATGTTATGGCTTTTCATCGAAAGCGACAGAAGAATGAGGATGAAGAAAACCCGGAAGAAAGACAAGCAATCAACCTTGATATAGGCGGAAAATATCTACTATAATAATTATGTATCACTTTCCCAAAAAGGAACACTAGATTGTTAAAAAGAGTAATCCCTGAATTTGTTATAAGTAGTGCTTTGATTTTATGAATATATGTTCTTAAAATATTTTCCTTTCCTTATTTTCTAGTGAGGAAAGATTTAAATATCCTATCCTGGATGCTGGAAACTGTTGCATCCTCTTCCCGCCAACCATTAACTTTTACTTCCTTGCATAACAGCCCCATCTTGTGGTTGTTTGTAAATTTTCCACTAAAGATATGTTGCATTTTCACAGTTACGGGCATAAGTGGAATCCTCCCTTTTACCTTTCCTAGTAGGCTGAATCAAATTAAGCAGGAAAGAAGAACGGGTATGCATGAATTCAATTTAAAAGGCCAAAAACTGGTGAGGGAAATACAGGGCAGGTATTCAACAAGGATTGTTTGCATTAATGTTAAGTGAAGGCACAGTTATATTAATAGGTAAAAGGTAATACAATGAGTTCCCTCCAATGAGAGCATCATTAGCTCCCTCTTTTTCTTTTTTTTTTTTTTTTTTTTGAGACAGAGTCTCGCTCTGTCACCCAGGCTGGAGTGCAGTGGCACAATCTGGGCTCACTGCAATCTCTGCCTCCTGGGTTCAAGTGATTCTGGTGCCTTAGCCTCCCTAGTAGCTGGGACTACAGGTGCACGCCTCCATGCCCAGCTGATTTTTGTATTTTTAGTAGAGACGGGGTTTCTCCATGTTGGCCAGGCTGGTCTCGAACTCCTGACTCAAATGATCCACCCACCTCGACCTCCCAAAGTGTTGGGATTACAGGTGTGAGCCACAGTGCCCGGCCTCCTCCCTCATTATCTTAATAAAGCTTCTGATCTGGCACCTGTCTGCTTCACTAGGCCAAGGAGGCTTACCAGAGCTCATACAGAGCGCTGCAATTCCAAACCCTTGTGCTGGGGAACACCCTTTGGTTTCACACGGCAGAAATACAATAGGAAATAGCTTCAGAAGAATGCGAAGGTAATGACTCAGGTAACCAGACAGCCAGAAGGACAGAGGAAATGGGTGATTCAGAAAGACCTGACACAGGGTTCTGAATGCCAGCAGGACTCTTTCTCCCTCCTGCGTCTCTGAGTGTTTTGCTCATTGTCTTTTTCCCCTCTGCTTCTTTTCTGGCTCTTTACAGTTTCCAGGCTCACATCTGGGCTCATGGCTCTCTAACTGGAGAGAAGGAGCCCTCCTTTCCCATAAAGTTTTGAAAAAAAGCTAGGGAAGAAGTCTGATTGGCTTGTTTTGGGCCACATGACCACCCTTTGATCAATTGCAATGGTCAAGGGAGCTAGGCTCAGCTTGGGTAAGTTGTCCACCACTGAAGGGAACCAATCACTGTGGAGGAGGATGTAGGGTCATGTGAAAAGATCAAGTTTTCACACAGAACACTTGTCTGGAGGGAGGGAGGGAGGGAAGGAGCCATTTGTTTAAAGAAGGAAGAGATGAATAAACCAACTTGGCTAATTGAAACAAACAGACTTCCTCCTTTCCTCTCCTGTCTATGCCTGGCACATCACTCAACAAATATTTGCTCGATAAATGAAAGATTTTCTAATTGAATAGAAGATCCTAGGGTAGGTGTAAATGGTAGTGGGGTGGGGATAGGGGTGTGTTTGCTATTTCCTGGAGCTGAAGAAACCACAAGGTTCCTTTCCTTCTAAAATTCTGGGTTTTTCCACTCCCTGGCTATGGCCGTATATGGTCTCCCCTCTTGCTTAGAGCTTACACCAAGAATGCTGGTTTTCATCTACTTGACTCAGTGAGCATCTTTTTTATCCTTTGGGTATCTTCTCCTCTGCGGTCCTGCCTTTAGTGTTTGCATGCTCACTCTCTGAGCCTCCCTGTACTCTCTGCCCGCATAGACCAGTACATGTAAGCCTTTTAAAAAAGAGTTTGATTGCTAATCACTCTGAGGAAAAGAGAAAATTTTAAGAACAGAATAAGCATGAGGAAGTTTCAAAGGTTCAATAATCTTTCTGAATTGTTTCTACCTTTTTTTTTTTTTTTTTTTTTTTTTGAGAGGGGGTCTCCAGTTGCCCAGGCTGGAGTACAGTGAAACGATCTCGGCTCGCTGCAACCTCTGCCTACCGGATTCAAGTGATTCTCCTGCCTCAGCTTCCCGAGTAGCTGCGATTACAGGCACGTGCCACCACACCTGGCTGATGTTTGTATTTTTAGTAGAGACGGGTTTTCACCACATTGGCCAGGCTGGTCTCAAACTCCTGACCTCAAGTGATCCACCCACCTCGGCCTGCCAAAGTGCTGGGATTACAGGTGTGAGCCACCGTGCCTAGCTGATATAATTTTAAAATTATGAATAACATTGTGATAAATTATCTTGTGATATTTAACCACATCTTTGATCCTTAAAAGAGATTCCTGGAAACAGAATTATTAAAGCATACAAATATTTTTATTATAAATTTATTTATTTCCCTCATTATACCAATTTTTAGAAAATACTAATACATAGAAGAAAATATAATTTATGAAGTCACTACAAGGAGATGGTAACTATTTTGTTGGATCATGTTTTTATGTGTACATATACTTTAAACAAAACAATAATTACAAAGACACTTTAATAATCTTTATTCACTTAAACTCAAAATAACTTATTACTAAAAATTTTAAGTGATGATCTCATACCCTACTATATGGAGAAATATTATAATAAAATTCATCAATGCCCCATTGTTGAATATTTAGATTGTTTCGAATTTAAGCTATTGTTATTATTATTTTTTTTTTTGAAATAGATTCTTGCTGTTGCCCAGGCCGGAGTGCAGTGGTGCAATCGTAGCTCCTGGCCTCAAGCAATCCTCCCATCTCAGTCTCCCGAGTAGCTAAAACCACAGGTATTGCCACCAAAACTGGCTAATTTTTTTAAAAAGTTTTATTTTTTGTGGAGATGGAGTCTCACTATGTTGCACAGGCTGGTCTCAAACTCCTGGCTTTAAGTGATCCTCTGACTTCGGCCTCCCAAAGTGCTGGCATTACAGGCATGAGCCATCACACCTGGCCAATAATTCTTTTTCATGAATTTTAATGCACATATCCAACGTGGACATGAGGATGCATTAAAGGGGCATTATAACTCTTACAGCTTTAGGCATATGGGCATCCATTTGTGCTCTTGCCTGGGCTTTACCAATGTTAGGGGTTGGCCTGGCTGCCAAGGCCCAGGTATTTAATTCTAGATGTGGAAAGGCTTGGGGAAGAGGGGATTAGTAAGATGAGAAGACAGCACATCATTTGTGACTTTTTCTCTCTTGCTCTGGTAAAATGTAAACAGAAGCAAAACCTCAGGTTGGGAAGCCAGCAGTGTAATTTGGCAACTCACTCGGAAGAGATGTGTTTGATGAGGAAGAGGTGAGATGATGGATACAGAGTTCCTGCGTGGCAACAGGCACTCAATAAATAGTTATTTTTCCTGAGAAGGAGAAGGGCGAGGCACCTTTACATATCTGGACAAAAACACCTTTAAGCAGCAGTAAAACCTAAAGGAAGAACAGCACACTAGCACATGCAGATGAAGGAAAGAAAGCTTTGTGCGGCTTGCTTGTGTGAACGACAAGCCCAGGGGTTTTGTTTTCTTGTGTTTACGTAGGAAAATCACAGACAGGGACTTCCCAAGAGACTGTTTCTCTTAGCCACTGTCTGCTCCTAACAGTTACAAGAACTGTTCTTCCTCCCACAGCTGTGGCAGAAGCCTGCTTCTGCAGGGTCTCTGATGGGGAAGAACTGAGCTGTTTAGGATTGAACTGCCCACCTACTGTTAAGTAATGTTCTGTCTGTAACACAGGATTTCCACTTAGGAAAATGTGCTGTACATTTGGCTGCAGCATTTACTACGCATCTGCTTTACAAGCCTGTTCTGCAGCTCCAAGGCCTAACTCCAAACTGGCAAATGGTCTCTGAAGACTGCCATCAGAAAGAGCCAGGCCAGAGTTGGGATGGGGCAGGGTTAGCAACTAGTCTACTAGGAGGTCTGGTGGAATCAATTAGGAAAGTTAAGCAGGGGAGCTCATCAGCGGCTGATTGCCTCTCCTAGAACAACCCCAGCTCGCAAATACTCTCCAGAATCATTCAGGGAGCAGTGGGTCTGTAGAACTGGCCCTGCTGCAGTATTAAGCTGGAAGGTAGTAAATTCTTCTTATGGGCTTCCTTGAATCTGAGCTAAAGCCACAATTTCCTTAATAGTTTTCCAATAGCACTCCATCTCTTATTAAAAAGTACAGTTAATCTGGACCTTCCCTCCCACTCCCCTGTAATGTCAGAAAAGAAATGTGTTTCTGAAAATAAATGCTTCTTTTGCTGCGTGGCTATATTTCTTCAGGACTGTGGTTAGCAAATTGCTGCTGCACAACATAAAACCAAGCAATGAAACATAAGACATATGCCTTCTATAATACACTACTGATTAATACAGCTATTCTCTATCAAAAATACAAAAAGAGCCCCACCCAAATAGAGATCATGCCAACTTCCACCACATCTTCTCCCTCCACCCCATAACAAAACACCCAAATCATTCAGTTTCCTAGGGAAATTTGGTTCTAAGCAACTCTTGAATCACAAATTACTTTTGAAAATGATGCTTATATTCCAAAAGAATCCTTAGATTCTATGGTGATAGATTATTTTGCAATGCCTAGCCATTCTGATATGTAGGAAGCAGAAAACTTGGTCCAGCAACAATAAAGAGAATAAAATTACCTGTATTCCTATCCCATAATACATCTTTTGAGCACAATTTAATTAATCTTCATTATGATCATTAGAGAAACTAACAGATTTAAAATTATAATTAAACAAAAACACACAATGTCAAATTTACCATCTTAACCATTTTAAAGTATACAGTTTAGTAGTGTTAAGTATATTCACATTCTTGTTAAACAGATCTCCAGAACTTTTTATCTTGCACAACTAAAACTCTATACCCATTAAACAACAACTTCCCACTCCCCCTTTCCCAGCTCTTGGCAGCCACCACTCTACTTTCTGTTTCTATGAATTTAACTACTTCAGATACCTCATATAAGTGGAATCATACAGTATTGATCTTTTTTTGTGACTGGCTTATTTCACCTAACATGATATCCTCAAGGTTCAACCATGTTACAGCATGTGACATAATTTCCTTCCTTTTTTAGGCTGAATAATAATCCACTGTATGTATATGCCACATTTTGTTTATCTATTCATCTGTTGTTGGATATCTAGATTGCTTCTATTTCCTAGCTATTGTGAATAGTGCTGCTGTGAACATGGATGTGCAAATATCTCTTTGAGACTCTAGTTATATACGGATGTGGTTTTGCTCTGTGTTCCCACCAAATCTCATCTTGAATTGTAATCTCCACGTGTCAGGGGAGGGGCCTGGCGGGAGGTGACTGAATCATGGGGCAGACTTCCCCCTTGCTGTTCTTGTGATAGTGAGCTCTCACAAGATTTGGTTGTTTGAAAGTGTGTGGCACTTACCCCTTTGCTCTCTGTCTCTCTCTCCTGCTCCACCATGGTAAGATGTGCCTGCTTCCCCTTCAACTTCCACCATGATTGTAAGTGTCCTGAGGCCTCCCAGCCATGCTTCCTGTACAGCCTGTGGAACTGTGAGTCAATTAAACCTCTTTTGTTCATAAATTACCCAGTCTCAGGTAGTTCTTTATAGTGGTATGAAAAAGGACTAACGCATATACCCAGAAGTGAAATTGCTGGGTCATATGGTAATTCTATTTTTAATTTTTTGGAGAACCACCACACTATTTTCCATGGCAGTAGCCCCATTTTGTAATGCCACCAACAGTGCACAAGGGCTCCAGTTTCTCCACATCCTCACTAACACTTGTTTAAAAAAAAAAAAACTAACAGATTTTTTTTTTAAATTACTTTTTCTTGATGTCAATTAAGAAAATATTTCTAAATTGTCCCATTTCATTAAGACTGTCTTTTAGTGCCCATTGTGTTTATTGAATACTTTATAGGGATCAAGTTGTCTCATAAAGGGCTCACCTTTCATAGAGGTTTATGGATGACTTATATTAGCAAAAAAAATTCTTGTGAATTAGATGATTTTTTTTTTTGAGACAGAATTTCGCTCATGTTGCCCAGGCTGGAGTGCAATGGTGCTATCTCAGCTCACTGCAACCTCCACCTCCTGGGTTCAAGCGATTCTCCTGCCTCAGCCTCCCAAGTGGCTGGGATTATAGACACCCGCCACCAAACCCAGCTAATTTTTGTATTTTTAGTAGAGACAGGGCTTCACCATGTTGACCAGGCTGGTTTTGAACTCCTGACCTCAAGTGATCTGCCTGCCTCGGCATCTAAAGTGCTGTATTACAGGTGTCAGCCACTGCACCCAGCCCTGGGTCTAGGTTTTGATCACCCTAGACCATCCCGTCTTCCTCTGGAATTTGAACTTGAGATTTGTTCAAGCAACCTTGATGATTGTTAATCCTTTTCTATAATCCTGGAGAGATACGGAGGATTTCTCAATAATTAAGTGTTGAGAGGGCCCTTTTCTGTCCCCACCCCACAAGCAGAATCAGGTGGTTAATGTTTCAGGCACAGGTCAAATCCTCAATTTTTCCCTCTGAACAAAAAAGAAAGCCAAGGAAGAATTGGTGACTTGATTTTGTAACTGCTCATTACAGGGCCATCTATGCTTTTTAGCATGCAGCATCTTAATAAGCCAAGATACTATAGCAGAGGGTCCATAACTAATCTACTGTAATAAATAAAAGGAATGGGAGTGGTACTAGCATATTCTATGGATATAATGTGCAGTTTGCAAAGTGTGACATTTTAAATAAACTTTATTCTTGAGGTATTTAAAAAAACATAAAGGCAGTAATGAAATATAGTGCACAACATTAGTTGACACAGCAATTCCTGCCTCTTAAGACCCTGTTAAATAACCAGAGCTTAAATCTTCATCTTGAAATATACAGCTCTTCTATGATTTTAAGTGAGTTGTAAAACTTTTATGGAGTGTGTCCTAACTTTATTTTAAAAATAGTCTCCACTTTTATAGCAAAGGTGACCCAGAGGTACCTTGTGAATAATAGAACAACATATTTAAGCCATAAATTTACCTTTCTGGGCAATACAGAAGTCATCTTAGTACTTATATCTCTCCTGGAAGGAAGCAGCAGCAAGCAGGAGCAGGGATGCATCTTGAAATGGCTATTTACCCAAAACTTACAGATTTTAACTCTAGAAGTAACTAAGTTTTACCTCAAATGGGCACACTTAACATTTCTGCTACCAAGTTGAAACAAGGATTCAAAAGTTAAAGCTAGGTATTATAGAAACATAAAGTCAAATCTTTGCATAGCTGAGTGTTGAAACTGGGAAAAGTTCATACTCTCAGTATCTGGTTTATGTAGTTATTCGTTTTTGGGCATACAACTCTGTAAGCTGATGTGGGCCTGTGGGATGAGTTCATTCCCATATAGGGGGAACCAAATTTGACTCCAAAACTAATTAAGATGTTCAAGTGCTTTTTACTTATGGCCAAAATTTCACTGGGTTGCAATTCTTCGATTATATCAAACTCTTGTACATTTTTCAATGAAGCACAAACAATTCATTTTCTATTATTCTTTGTTTCTTCTTTTTAAGCTTATATACTTTGAAAATAGTTGTATAGTTGTAGTCTATTAAATATATGTCATATATATATGCATACACAATGAATACAGTTTGGTCTTTACCTTAACACTGTATGTGAAGCCTCATTTGGATGTAATGATAATTAATGTTTTAAAAATGAGAAAACCACTGACTTAGGCATTTCTTCTCTTTCCCACTGAAGACACATAGAATAACTAGATGATATCATAACCAATGAAAATCATTTACTAAACAGCCTCTCGTATGTGGTGTCATAGTAAGCATTATCCAAAGGACACTAGTTTTAGTGACTAAATAAAAGCTCCGCTTCCTGTGATATCCCAAGAAATAGCTACTTGCAAAAATATCTAGTAAGGGTGCACTTGTTTACAGAATTCAGAAGTCTTATTAAGACGGTTTGGATTATGCTAATATTCTCTGTTCCAATATTTATAGAGGGCAGTGAACCTGGCACTGTGTCTTTTTTTCTTATTAGGAATTCACTGAATGCAAGTGAGCATTAGCTTCCTTTTTACCTGTACCCATTGTTCCTCCCTTCTCTTCTCTCTCTCCTCCTCCCTTTTCTCTCAGCTCCCATCCTTCTTCTAAGGGAGGGGCCCAAGGGCAGGGTCGACCAAGTGGGTGCAGAAGAGCAGGCTGCAAGGCTGGAAGGCAGGTGCATGGCTGTTTCCCAGGTGGCAGTGGGGGAAGGGGGCTGCATAATCTCTCTATTTGGAAAGCAGGTAGGGAGAGAGGACAGCTACCTGTTACTTTAGGCCATGTTAGGTGAACAGGAAGAGTCCAAACTAGGTAAACTTTTAGTGGGACAGAAAAAGGATATCTTTTCCCTTTTGTCAATACACTCTTACATTCCTGTCTCTCAGAACACCTTCTCTTTCCCACTCTTCTTGGATCTTTATATCTCCTTTTCCTAGGAGCTCTGTGAAAACGGCCATATATGCTTAACAGCTCCCAGATGTCGAAGGAGCCAAGAAACTAAAGGAGGTGGTAGACAAATCCACTTTGTTTGTATTGGGTAATTTATTGAGGGAACTTATAGACAGAAGCATGGTCTTGCGTGGCCCCAAGATAGGTAGATCTCCACATGGTTACTCCACAAACCCAAGTCTTATCCACCATAAGGAAAGGGTATACATACTCTAGCAAGACAATTAAACCATCCAGAACAAGCAAGAATGCTATATGTGTCATAGCCTATAATTTGTGTGAAAACATCAAGATTGCTTTGATCTAAAATCAGGAGCACATGTTCTTGCACTAGGGTCAGTAAATAAAGGAGGAATCAGGAGGCCTTCCTAGAACTGGGGCTGATGGAAAGTCAAGATGGTGGATTAGCATCCAAGATGGAGTCACTTTTGTCTCCACAGAAGGTAAAAAAGAGGCAAGTTGGTGGGATATGAAAGGAGGCAGGAGAGAGAAGAGAGGACAAACCTGGAGAGATATACAGATCCATTGCTGGAGGACGGAGCGGGGAGTAGTATAGGCGCAGAAGACCTTGTGGGTTGGGGTGGGGAAAATGTTCAGAAGCCTCACTCCTGGGGCCGCTATGTTTAGGCACCACCCCAGTGGTTCATCTTGCTTCCTCTTATGCCTTCCGTCACAATCTGAAAATGGTCAAACCATCATATTGCTTTAAAGAATTATTGAAAATTCTCTTTAATGATAGCCTGTATAGGTTATTTCTCAAGAATTTATATCCTCCAAAGTGGAAGGAAATACAATCCTTTAAAACACACACACACACACACACACACACACACACACACACACACACACACAAGAAAGACAGAGAGAGAGAGAGAAATTCTATCTTGATTTCATATGGATAAAATGTACACTTTATTTTACAAATATCCTTGTAGCTTCCATTTTACATGTACATCAGTATATATATTTTTTAAGACAAAGAACTAGCATGCAGGAGTTTTTTAGAGTGATAGATCTGTATCCTGAAGGTGGTTACGTAAATTTACACATGGGTTAAAATTTTATACACCAAAAGAAAAAGTCGATTTTATTGTATTATAATTTGTAAAAATAAAATAAAACATTTTACTGTCACAAAAAGCCCATCTTCCATACAAAATCCAAAATCTGTCTCTTTATACCTAGCATAAAGGCTAAGGTGACTGTTGAATAGCGACTAGATTTGCTTGAAAGGCCCAGACTTGCTCTGTTAAAATATTAATGCATTAAACAAGGCCTGTTTGGTTTTTGTTTTTTTTAAAAAAAGCCTTATTAAGCACTTGCTGTGGAAATCCCCAAAAGTCACTTCCCTTGAGGAGCGAGTGTTTTCGAAGTGTTTGAGTGGACTAAAATGCAGGTCTGTGTTCTCCTTCTGACTTCACTGCTCCTGTTCTTCGACTGTCCATGGTCCTCCTTTGCAAAGTGGCGTTAGTTCCAGCTCTTTCTTCAGAAGGTTTGGTATGAGGATCTCTCAGCTGAGGGCCCAGGGAGACAGCTCTGTTAACTGCACTATGCAGGACAAGTGCGGACATGATGATGATCAGCTCCATTTCCCCTCAAGTCCAGAGACTGGACGGCAGGGTGGAGCTGGCATCTCTGCTCCTTTGCCAAAAAGGAGAAATTGATCTTCTCCTAGTTCCCCAGGATGCTCCCAAGCACACTCCAAATAGCCCACTGCTCACACTCCCTGATATTCCAGGAAGAAGGACAGATGCAACATGGAATGACACCCAGAGAGCTAGAGAAGCCTGCTGAAGCAGGGATGGAAATCCTCCAGGCACAGGGCTGAGGTTCACAGGGCATGCACCAGCATTGTTCGTGCACAGATGACAACCATTCTGACTGGTTGGTGGCTGTGCTTCACTGGTGATCAAGGATGTTAAACACAATCCCTGTGGACCAGAGGCCAGTGAGCTGGCATAAATAAGTGGAGCAGCTTAGTGTAAGAATTCCAAAACCCTCAATTCATTTTTCTTTTTCCAATTTTTGATAGAGACATAATTACAGGAAAATATTTCTTGACTCCAGGAAAATTGTTAGTGCAATGGAAAATGAAAACAGATGCATGGCTTCAGAGAAAGTAAAGAATGATGAGAACAGGGATCGAGGGGACAGCTGCTGCTTGGCTCTACTCTAGGATGGTCTCAGCCTTTATTGGGCCATGAACCCCTCTGGCAGTCTAGTGAAGCCCATGGATCCCTTCTCAAGATGACGCTTTTAAATAAAGAAAATAAAATACATAGGATTACAGAGGAAACTGTATCAAAACACAGGGGTCCCCTGGACCTAGGTTAAGAGCAATAGTCTCCATGCAGTAATATGGGTCTTGCACTTCTAAATATTTTAACCTTTCCAAGAGAAGTCAAGAACCCTAATTTTTAAAAGAAATGTTCTGACTTTTAACTGTTAACATGAAGTCTTTTTAAACACCAAGCCAGTCTAAGTATGTATCTGGATTGGTTTTGGATGCTGGTCTGATACTGAAACTTAATTTTAAGATTCCAGGAGACTCTTCATAAACAAAGAAGCGTGACAATCCCATATGGTGTCAACAGACGAGACTGGGGACAGTGTTATGGCCAAACCAGGGAAAGCCTAACACATGGCTGTCTGTTCATCGGAGGAGAACAAAACACAGCAGAGAAGAAATTGTATCCTATGTGCTTGGATTCATGTTCTTAACAAAGCTAGTTGATATTTGCCTTCCTTTGAGATTTTAATTTTATTATCTCACCTGTCACTATGATTTCCCATGGAGATATTTAGATAGATTTATCAAAGTTTGATATTGGAATTTAAGATTTTTAATTTGCTTTTATCACTTCTTTTCTACTAACTCTTAGAAAATGGCTTTTTCACCTTGGTAGGAAAGAGAGAGAGCTAGTATTATACTATCATCATAGACAGGCTCTACATGGGGAGACATAAAAGACAAAACAGAGGGAAGGTCCCTATTTTAGGAAAATTTTCTTAAATTATTTATCTCTATGAAAGATACCTATTCTGAACATAATTGAAATTAGATGAGATCAGATCATTATCATTTCAAGTAATTAGAAAATATATAGCTCTCTCAAAAACATCATGGAATCCATATACATTTCCTGACAAATGGATCCCCACATTCCAATAAATGGAAGCCATACCATAAAGTCAGCAGTTTTTTTTTTTTTCAAATTGAGTCAATGAAGTATTTAGTAAAGTATTAGGAAGTATTTCCTAGATGAGTGGCTTCTACATTTTTTGACCACTGTGTGTAGTAAAGAAGTATATTTTGCACATGTCTATATAATAAAAGTCTTGGCCATGTGCGGTGGCTCATGCCTGTAATCCCAGCACTTTGGGAGGCCGAGGCGGGCGAATCACGACGTCAGGAGTTCGAGACCAGCCTGGCCAACATGGTGAAACCCTGTCTCTACTAAAAATACAAAAAATTAGCTGGGCGTAGTGGCGGGCGCCTGTAATCCCAGCTACTCAGGAAGCTGAGGCAGGAGAATTGCTTGAACCCGGGAGGCGGACGTTGCAGTGAGTCAAGATCACACCACTGCACTCCAGCCCAGGGAACAGAGTGAGACTTGTCTCAAAAAAAAAAAAAAAAAAAGTTCCATAAAGCTGTACTGGAACTTACTAAGAGACATGTTTTCTAATTTATTCTATTATGTTATACTTCATTTAAAAATGTTGGTCTGAACCCACTAAATTGACACCACACAATAGTTGATTTCACTGACCTGTGCTTTGATAACCTACCATGCTACTTCTACTGCAGGCACAGCCCTCCATTCCCATCTTCTCCCCAAAATGCTCCAGAGTCAAGACAGTCTGGACCAGGTTCTTCTTTCCTCATCCAGACTTGTGCAAAGAATAGGTATAGAGGTTCTGTACGATAGTCAGCTTGCATCTTCTTAATTCCTTATTTATCCACTCATTCTTTCATTCCTACTGTCATTCATTCAAGGAAACATTTATTGAATATTCAGTATGTGGCAGCCACAGATCTTCCATTTAGGGATACAGGCATAAAAGCAGATGATTATAATGTCACAGGTTAAGAACTGAGCTGAGTATGCATAGGGAATGGTGGAGTCTCAGAGCAGTGGCACCTGGGGGCAATGATCTTGAAAGGATAAGAAGGATGATCTGGGTGAAGTCTCCACCTAGACATTCTTACAGGTATCTCAGCACCCAACAAGATGAATGCTAGAGCAGGAAGTGGGTTCAGAGACAGGAGGCCTGATTGGGAGGTGGGGGTGGGTGTGGGAAGGGCGTGTGTGAGGATGGGGTGTGTTAAAGTCTTTGGAGAATAGTGCATGAGGAGGGGAGGGTGTGATGAGGTCATGGGGTTGCTGTCAGTTGGGGGGGGGCATTTGGAAGGCTTTCAGTCCAGTGCTGCTTTACCCCCAATGTAGAGAATTGACATTGCAAAAGTTTATTGTTTTTGTATTGGCAGAGGATCTCAATTCTCAGTGACACTCCATAATAATTAATTGCTACAAACAGCAAAGGCTTAATGCTAAGCTTGGAATCTGGACTCCCATGATCACTTCTCATAAAGAGCCTCCTCTCCCTCTGAAAGCTCAAAATGAGATCACAGAATGTTAGAATTGGAAAGAAGCTAAGTGATGGTTATCTGGCTACTTCCATTTACAGCAATAACACCTGAAGCCAGCGACCTGTCCAAGTTCACAAAGCTGGTCAGCAGGAGAGCCTGGCCTGGAAGCTGGTCTCTTGCCTTTCACATCGAGTTGGGACATGGAGCTTTGGGGTGGGGTGGACACGGTGGGAGTTGGGTGGGGGTGATGGAGTAGCCAGCAGAGGTGCCTCTCCTTCTAACTGCCTTTTGCTGCTTCCTATGCAGGCCAGAGGGAGACACCATACACAAGCAGCCACTCTTCTGGTGGCCCATGGCTTCTTGTTTAGAGGGTTCGACCGAAGTTGCCAGGTCACTGTGGTGGAGCCTCCTATGTTCAAGCAGCAAACATTTGGGTTGTCAGGGGCTTTTGAGAACTCCTGCATTGGTCTCTTGAGCTCTCTTCAGCTCTGGATCCCCTCCCTCCCAGGGCCCAAGGGAGATTGCCTGCGTCAAAAGCATTTCATATGTTAGGTCTCCAGTTTCTTTCCTTAGTAGACTAAAATGTAGCATTGTTAGAACTTGAATGTGCATTAAAAATTCACCTGAGAAATTTGTTTAAAATGCAAATCCCAGGACTTAGACATTCCAATTCTTAGGTCTTGAGGAGGGACCCCAGCAACCTGCATTTTAAAGATCTTACCCAGGAATGCGGATATAGGGATCCCCTGGAGCATATTTTTTAAAATATGGGACTTAGAGCATATAAGGTTTGAGGAAGACAAAGACCTGGGCTTCCTGGGAGGTTATCTCTTCTCCTTAGTTTAAGGACCAAAAGGTTTCTTTCAACTAACCCACTGAGGCCATTTAGAATAGCTTTCTTGCCCCCAAACTGCCAGGATATCACTACAAGTTGACCTGTAGAGGAGCAGGATTGGGATGTAAACTGCATGGGAAAAGATAATCTTAAGAGTCATTTAATTTAATTAGCAGTAGGGCCCCAACGCCTGGGAAAAATCAGGTCTAAGTGGCAGTTTCCACAACAGCCACAAGGTGGCCACCTTCGGCGTCAATTTGAAGAGCTCAGAGAGTTACCATCAGGTTTAGCTTATTTTCAATGTTAAATGTCATCAGTTTTTAACGTGAGTGTTAATTTTAAAAGGATGCAAGAAGAAATGGCTTCACAGGAGAGCCTTCAAACTCACATTTTAATCAAATACTGACATGATCTAGATGGAGGAATTTAGTGAGGTTTCCACATCAGACCCCAGAAAAAAGATAAAAATCTGTTTGAGAAAAAGCCATAGTCTTTGCAAAATGAAATGTGTCACTTAAAGGGAGTGTTTTTTAAAGCATTCTGAAAAGTTGGCTTTTTGGAAAAGTAGCAGGTGCAATCTGGTCATAAAAAATAAAAAAAAATTATCATCTGGTAAATTTTTCTTTTTATTGGTGCATAATCAAGATCAGAAAATAGGGCCAGGTGCAGTGGCTCACACCTGTAATCCCAGCATTTTGGGAGGCCAAGGCGGGTGAATCACCTGAGGTCAGGAGTTCAAGACCAGCCTGGACAACATGGTGAAACCCCGTCTCTACAAAAATATAAAAATTAGCCAGGCATGATGGCGGGGTGCCTGTAATCCCAGCTACTTGGGAGGCTGAGGCAGGAGAATCGCTTGAACCCGGGAGGTGGAGGCTGCAGTGAGCTGAGATCGTGCCTTTGCACTCCAGCCTGGGTGACAGAGCAAGACTCCCTCTCAAAAAAAAAAAAAAAAAAGATCAGAAAATATAAAAAGGTCAGGGTGGAGGGAAGGGTGTGGGTGTGGAAATGCTCTGGATAAATGCAATAACCCCAGGGCCATTGTGGACCAAAAATGACAGCAGAGCTGTGGCTTGGCTGATGCAGACCTGAGCCTTTCTTCCCAGCAACTCCACGTGCTTTAGATGTTATCCTAACTGTCCTGGAGTGTGGAGGCCAGCAGGCCTGCAGGGAGGAGCAGCTACAGGGGAGGGAAGCCAAACAGGCTAAGAGCAGGGTACAGGAGGCCTTGAGGACTCACCACAGTGCAACTGCAAGCCAAGAAGCCCTGCCTCAAGCCTCCGGGAGGCCGAGCCACTGGCAAGGTCACTGCCAGCCTGTGACCTCAAGGACAGAGCAGCCAGTAGTTGGGGTTTATGGTGAGGCCACGGTCACCATTCCACAGGGATAGGTTGGAAAATATAGCAATGGCATCAGACCAGCAGAGAATGCTGGGGACAAGGCTGCTGGTCACTTAGTGGGCTTTGGGCCATATGTGTACACATCTGTGTAAAATTAGTTCAGAGAGCAACTCCTGGCCAGAGCCTCACACGGAAGACATCCTCTGACGCATCTGAATTCCAGAACAATGTGCGTAGAGAGGTCAGTAGAAGGGGGTCTGGAGGGATAAACATCACATCCTCGTGTTCCAAGGGCACATGGGAAAGTTGGCCTCACATCCTACCCTCTCATTTCAGCTTCGTCTGGAAGAAGCAGCCCCGGAAAGAAAGAGGACATAATCGAGGGAGGCAAAAGGCCACCAGGACATAAGAGGTGGTGATGAAGTACAGCAGCCTCCATAGCTGAGGCCTTCCTCTCCAGCCTTCTTCATTGTATCTCCCGTCGTGCTCTTTGTGAGGTTAGGAAATGGTGGGAAGGGAAAGCTCTTGTCGACAAGAGACCTGAGGCGGCCTGGTTTCTTAGATATTTGGAGAGTGTGGGAGAGGATTCTAAGAGGTTTCTCTTTCTGCCTCTTCTCTTATCCTCGCAGAGCAGCATCGGGGGCTGAAAATTCCCAGAGCATTACCCTTGGTGCTTAGGCTGCCTTCTTTCTAGAAATATGCCTTCAGCTCTCAAGCAGAAAGTAGGACAGTGTGGGGCCCAAGTAAAGGTCTCAAGGTCCTGATTGTTCTGAGGGACAGCTGTCCTTTGGTTGTTCTCTGATCAGGCCAGCTCACTGCAGGCAAAATTGGATGACAGCATATACAGAGAGCAGGACTCATGTTCCCAATGTAAGAACGAGCGTCTCTCTAGGACTATATCTCATGGGAACCCTCTCTGTGCTGCTTGGTAGATGGAGGAGATGCATATATGGTTGAGGAGAGGGGATACTTCATAAGTCACCGCCTTGGCAAGACTCTTTTTCCATGACATTACCTGTGGCTCCAGGAGAGTGGCTTCCCAAAGTTGGCCACACAGAAAGAGTTCAAACCTGCTGACTGCCATGAGATGACCAGGTCATGTTTAATATAAAATATAACAGGCAAGCAGTCTGTATTAGTCCATTTTCATGCCGCTGATAAAGACATACCCAAAACTGGGAAGAAAAAGAGGTTTAATTGGACTTACATTTCCACATGGCCGGAGAGACCTCAGAATCATGGTGGGAGGGGAAAGGCACTTCTTACATAGTGACAGCAAGAAGAAGTGAGGAAGATGCAAAAGCGGAAACCCCTGATAAAACTATCAGATCTCTTGAGACTTATTCGCTACTACGAGAACAGTATGGGGGAAACTGCCCCCATGATTCAAATTATCTCGCACCGGGTCCCTCTCACAACACTTGTGAATCATGGGAGTACAATTCAAGATGAGATTTGGGTGGGGACACAGCCAAACCTTTATCATTCCACCCCGGCTCCTCCAAATCTCATGTCCTCACATTTCAAAACCAATCATTGCCTTCCCAACAGTCCCCTAAAGTCTTAACTCATTTCAGCATTAACTGAAAAGTCCACAGTCCAAAGTCTCATCTGAGACAAGGCAAGTCCCTTCCACTTATGAGCCTGTAAAATCAAAAGCAAGCTGGTTACTTCCTAGATACAATGGGGGTACAGGTATTGGGTAAATACAGCCATTCCAAATGGAAGCAATTGGACAAAACAAAGGGGTTACAGGACCCATGCAAGTCCGAAATCCAGCGGGGCAGTCAAATTTTAAAGCGCCAAAATGATCTCTTTTGACTCCAGGTCTCACATCCAGGTCACACTGATGCAAGAGGTAAGTTTCTATGATCCTGGGCAGCTCCACCCCTATGGCTTTGTAGGGTACAGCCTCCCTCCTGACTGCTTTCATGGGCTGGCATTGAGTGTCTGTGGCTTTTCCAGGCAAATGGTGCAAGCTGTTGGTGGATCTACCATTCTGGAGTCTGGAGGATGGTGGCCCTCTTTTCATAGCTCCACTAGACGGTACCCCAGTAGGGGCTCTGTGTGGGGGATCTGACCCCACATTTCCCTTCTGCACTGACCTAGCAGTAATTCTCCATGAGTGCCCCACCCCTGCAGCAAACTTCTGCCTGGGTATCCAGGCATTTCTATACATCTGAAATCTAGGCGGAGGTTTCCAAACCCCAATTCTTGACTTCTGTGCACTTGCAGGCTCAACACCATGTGGAAGCTCCCAAGGTTTGGGGCTTGTATCCTCTAAAGTCATGGCCTGAGCTCTACATTGGCTTCTTTCAGCCACGGCTGGAGTGACTGGGATGCAGGGCACCAAGTCCCTGGGCTGCACACAGCACTGGGATCCTGGGCCAGGCCCACGAAACCATTTTCTCCTAGGCCTCTGGGCCTGTGTTGGGAGGGGCTGTTGTGAAGATCTCTGACATGCCCTGGAGACATTTTCTCCATTTTCTTGGAGATTAACATTTGGCTCCTCTTACTTATGCAAATTTCTGCAGCTTGCTTGAATATCTTCTTAGAAAATGGGTTTTTCTTTTTCTATCACATTGTCAGGCTGCAGATTTTCCAAACTTTTATGCTCTGCTTCCCTTATAAAACTGAATGCCTTTAACACTCAAGTCATCTCTTGAATGCTTTGCTGCTTAGAAGTTTCTTCCACCAGATACCCTAAATCATCTCTCTCAAGTTCAAAGTTCCACAAATCTCTAGGGCAGGGTCAAAATGCTGCCAATCTCTTTGCTAAAACATAACAAGAGTCACCTTTGCTCCAGTTCCCAACAAGCTCCTCATCACCATCTGAGACCACCTCAGCCTGGACCTTATTGTCCATATCACTAATAGGCTTTTGGTCAAAGCCATTCAACAAGTCTCTAGGAAGTTCCAAACTTTCCCATATTTTCCTGTCTTCTTCTGAGCCCCCCAATCTGTTCCAACCTCTGCATGTTACCCAGTTCCAAAGTTGCTTCCACATTTTCAGGTATCTTTTCAGCAACACCCCATTTCTGGTACCAACTTACTGAATTAGTCTGTTTTCATGCTGCTGATAAAGACATACCCAAAACTGGGAAGAAAAAGAGGTTTAATTGGACTTACAGTTCCACATGGCTGGAGAGGCCTCGGAATCATGACAGGAGGCAAAAGGCACTTCTTACATGGCGGCAGCAAGAGAAAATGAGGAAGATGCAAAAGCAGAGACCCCCTGATAAAAGCATCAGATTTCATGAGACTTATTCACTACCATAAGAACAGTATAGGGGAAACCACTCCTATGATTCAAATTATCTCCCACCAGGCCCCTCCCACAACACATGAGAAAGTGAGGAAGGCTGGCAGGCTTGCCCAAGGCTTGGATTTCTGATCAGAGCTTCGTCAGCCCAGAGCTCTTTGCAGCCAGTCTATCTGTTCACTCGCCCCTCATTCCACATAATGCACTCACTTTCAAGACAGTCCTTTGGAAATAAATTTTGCCTTAAACAAGACATCATTGTAAGTCTGAATGGTTCAATGGTAAAGTAAGTTAATAAGGACAATTTATCTCCAAATATTTAGAGATATTAAACAAAATATCTAGTTTAAACTAATAATAAACTAAATGTACTGTTCTAAGATCAAAGCAGCACTTCGTAACTGAGTTCCTCATAATTAGATTTCTAAAAAATAAAGATGCTTTAAAAAAATGTTTTCTTTGAAGCAGATGCTGTGTTGACTGATAGTCAAATTTTCAGTATCTTACACATTGTAATATCACTTTAGATAATTAGTTACATTGCTTTAATTTCCAAGCACCATGCCTTCAAGTTCCATCTGGCTGCCATGCAGATATTAGCTTTATAGGAAGCTTACTGAATGGCCAATATGGTGAATGCCTTGACAAGGCTACAGATTTATAATATATAGCATATTCCTTGCCATCAGTAGAGTGGCAACTGAATATATTGTCCAAACTGGGACACTTTTGAGCATAAAAGAATGCACTATTAATAATTACTCCAGAAAACAGGTATAAACTGGGCACTCCTTACCTATAAGGCAAAGTTTTTCCTTCAAAGTTATTTCACAAAGGGAGGGAGACATAGACATAAAAATAGACACAGATATAAATAGAGGTATTATTCAAGACTTCTTGAAGTTTCTCATATTCTAGGTCATCTCGTTTCTTTTTTTTTTTTTTTTTAAAACACTATTTAGGAAAGATACATTCCCTGAAATGATTCAATCACTGCTAGTTCTACAGTTTTATAGAGAACATCTTACAAAAATGCGTTTTAGAAAGCAGGCATGGCAATTTGACACAGATTTCGTAATTATTCCTTAGGGTAGTCCTTCAAACTTTCAAATTTGGGTTTTGAAAACACAAAATAGCAAAAAGGGAAGTAGTTGTATTGTCAACTTATAGAATGAATGGGAACCCCTACTGTTAGGAAAGTTTATGGTTTGAAAGAAATTTTACAGACATCATCTCACACGATTTCAAAAAGTGCTGTATGTCAAACAATGTGCTCTGGACAAGTTGGTAAAAGATAAAAAATTGGCGATTATGATGAAAGAGACAACGAACATGGAAAATATATTTTGAGAATGTACAAAATTATTCTGAAACATGAGGGTGGCAAGAAATTCTAAATTAAGCATTATTTTAGGTAGTACATGATTTTTAATATCAACAAGTAATTTAATTAACAAATTATTATGAGTAGACAATTGAATATTTCATCCATATCCCTGAAAGTTTATATATTCAAATTGGCCAAAAACTTTTCCTTTGGCTGTTCTTATGGGAAATCACTTTGTATTTGTGGCCATCTTATATTTGAGCATATGTTATAATCACCATATAGATTTCTGTTCTGTGTAAGTTTGTGGCAACAGACTCCTGAAGTTAAGGCTTGGAGAATAAAGGGTGCCCCAACTTTCTGTTTGGGCAGAAACTTCATCAGGACTCCAGGTGACAGGGTAGGGCATTGAGACTGTGAGCTATGCCTTGCTTGGGCTGATGTCTAAGCCCAGCTACTGTCTTTCAAAATACCACCACATTTAAGGTAAGAGATTATGAATATGAGAAGATCCTACAGCTTAGTAGATGACAGCCAGGATAACTAAATGTCCCAGGGGCAGTTCCTTTTCATCCCACTTCTCTAAGAAGCCTTCAGTCATAGACCCAAGACCTAACCTAGTTTGCTATTAAGGTGACCTGAGGCACATCTATTAAAAGTGAGCTGCTGGTTGGATCTAAAAAGAAGGATGTGTCAACCTGTTCTCTTCTGACCTCTTGGGAGCTTAGCATCTAGCTGGGATGGTTATCTGTACTCTTGTACTAATCAGCTTTGCAACTTTAGGCCAGTCAGTTCCCTCAACTTTCCAAGGGCATTAGATGAGTTGTGTTATTTTTTTTTTCCTAGAGCTTACTATCCTTTTATTTATGAGAATAAAAATAAGAAGGCAGCAAAATATTAAAATTAAATAAATGGTACAGAAAATAAATGCCTCAGAATTAAAAGAAAACAAAAGATCAGTGTGGGCTGGAGTGATTAGGGGAATCATTTGATTTCTTATCAGGCTTTCCTCCTTCATTAGTTGTAGACTTTAGGTTCATAGATTTTGGAGTAGGAAGTAAAGTGAGGGCCAGGAAGGAGAATTCACTCACGTAAGGTCCTGTGGCTACATAAAAGGCCCTCAAGAACTAAAGCATAATCTGGCCTCCCAAGCCCTAAACCTACGTAAGGCATTGCTTGGTATGTTGAGGGACTTGGAGAAAAGGAAATTGTTTCTTCCTGGTGGTTTTCTTCATACATTTGATGATTTCATTCTCTTAATTTGGCTCTTTGAAGGGACTTCCGAGATTTTGAGGCCCTGGAGGAGGCTTAGGGATGGGTGAGGAGTGCAGAGATCTGGGAAACCTGAGCTGTTGGAACATCTCCAGGACCGCTGAGGTTCCGAGCCAGCTCTATTCTAACAAGGATCTGCAGAGGCAGCCAGTGTCGGTTTGGAAGGCCATAGTTATCTTTCCAGTTGGTAACACATAAAGCTGTTTAATCAGATACATGAACTTCTTTGTATAACTCACTCAAACCACAACTCTACCATCAGAAGGCTATGAAATAACATTGAGAAAGTAGATTCAATGTCTGCCACAATCCAGGTGACTGCATTTCCTACATTTTTGGTTTTCTTCAAAACTGGAATCCCTTGGATGGGTAAAATACTAGCGTTCTTTCTTTAGCAATTTCCTCGTGTTTTAAAAGGTGGTTAGAATTTGATCGTGATCATGATCATCACCATTATCACCAAGATACCTCCCTCGAGTATGTTCATCATTCAGAGCACACATCTTCATACAGCTGAATATTGTGTTCCCCTCTGGGTGGCAACTTTCATGAGAGACTCTGGAAACCAGAAATTTCCCAGGAGAGAGCTGCCGGAATGGTACAGGGTCTGTAAACTATGATAGATGAAGATCAAAAGAATTGGGGAATCTCTGCTCTGGAGAAGAGAATCCTGACAAAAATTGAGAGCTAGCAGCTGCTTGTAATGCAGCATTGGGAGCAGATATTGCTGATTTTGGCTTAGTAGAAATAAGAACTTAATAAAACTTATAGCTATTCAATATTGGAGTGGGTCAGGATGAAGTCATGCACATCCTGTCACCAGAAATGTTCATGGCGAGACTGGGGAAACATCTTTCAGGGATGCCATGTAGGGGACCCCCTCCATGGGCTAAGTTGTGGTGAAAAGTTCTGGGTTTGAACTGGGGAGTCAAACAGGTATATGACAAAGAGCTTACCTCTGAGGGGCCTGTGGTCTTCCAGAACAAAGGCTGCCTACATGAAAATATAAGCAACAACCTAAGGAAGTGTATGACATAGGACAGGGGAAATATTAAGAGCTGTGGGTGGTGAGGGCAGTGGCAGAGGAGGGCTTCATTAGGAGGTGGGACATGGGGGAGGTGCTGAAACATGGCTGGGACTGAGATCACTGGAGAGGAAGACTCAGGGCTGCATTTGGGGCTACGGGGAGCATTGTGAACAAAAGACTGTGCTGGAACACAGTATGTCTGGGACAGAGGAGGATTTGTGAGGATACAGATCATAAAATTAGAGAGCACTACAAAGGCTGGATTCTGGAAATCCATGAGTTCCAGGTTATTGAAGTAAATCCTCTAATGGTTTTTGAGTTGCTAAATAGCAATGCTTTTCATATCTGACAGGCAGCACAGGTTTCTTTGTGCAGGGACACAGAGAGGCCAAATGTTAAGGTAGGAAGCAAGTAATATCATGGCATTTTCCTGACCTCTTTCATCTCTGCAGGCTCTGGCCCTAACAGGCTTTTAGGGGGAAATTGTACATTCCTTCTGGTATTTACCAGTATTGGCCTACCCATCCTTAAACCCTCAAATCCCGCTGTATAATTACCCCTAGGAGGCCAGGGGTCATTTAGAACACCAAATGTAGGCAACACCCAGCTATTAGAACTCAAACTTCAGAGCTCTACCTAAATTCTGGCCTGAAGCATACTGAAGATGGGAGGGGGGCCCCAAAGGTGGAGGACCTTTGAGCATGGTGTTTCTTTCTTGAAATAAAGGTGTTTAGTTTCTGAGGTTGGCCTGGGCAGGCTGTGTTCCTGTATAGGGAAGGGTATAGCTCCACTCCCAGGGAGGTCTCTCTGCCACACTAGAGCCCTGGCGGCAAAAAGGCTTACAGATGCTCTCACACTCACCTACTCTCCTGCTTTCTGCATTTAGCTGGGCTCTTAGGGAGGAAAACTGAGATGAGACTCAGGGGTGCTCTTATGACTGCAGATGGGATGGGTGGTTCCAGGAGGGAATGCTGAAGAATAGCTTCTCCAGAAGGGATCTTCCAGGGAGCTTGAGGGGAGCCAGCCAGCCAGCCAGCCAGTGAGTACTCCTCCTCTTTCCTGGGAAGAAGGAGAAGAGGCTGGGGAATGGGCGGTCCAGCAGTTGGTCTCCATGTAGGGCAATTCCTTGGCAAGATAGCAGCAATAACTAACTAGTTCTATGCAAGATCTACCTGCAGGCAGCTGTCCAACACGTTATAATTAAAGGGGTTCCACAAGCCCACTTTTCCAAGTAGTTTCTGTTATTAGCCTATCCTCAGGTTTAAAATGCTACCATTAGGAGAGATTCACTGGACTTTAGCACAAATCTCACCCCAAGGTTCTCTTAAAACATGCAGTTTCACAAGGATGCAATGAAATTAGTTTATTTGCTTATTCCAACCTGTTGAGAAGAGTGCATTGCCCTGAAAACATTAGGAGTTGGAGAAGGCAGCCAAAGACAACCAGATGTTTTGAGAGTGGACAGTACCAAGGGTCACCTTTACTTCCTTCAGGATTTGCTCTGGGGCAACACAGACCCGGTCAAGCAGCATCTCCTGGCTCTGGCAACCCAGAGAACAGTGTAAGGCTCCACACTTGGAAGTGGATACTTTTCAAGCTAGCTGTATGTTCAGTCTCTCCAGGAGGAAAAGCCATAAGAATCTAGGAGTTTGACCATGATCATGAATTCCAACCTTCCACCTCTGAACTGCTCTTCATGGTGTTCCTTCCTGCATGCATTTTTACCATCAGGGTGCTTGTTCTTGAAGCTGCCTGGGGACTCTCAAGTCTGCTCTCTGTGGGGAGGAGGTACGTTTTCACTGAGCAGACACAGCACTCCGCAGGGCAGGGAAAGCTCTCTGTTCCTCTTCCAGTGCAGAAGCCAAGGTCCTGGCTCCTTCGACCTCACACATAGGGCAAAGGCTTCTGCTCAGATGCTTTTCAGAGAGAAGGAAACCGTCCAGCAGGTGTCAGTAAGTTCTAAGATGTGTAAGGAGCCTGGCTTGATAATGGAGTGTGCTCTTTTCCAAACCAGCTCAGCCTTCAAGGATCTCAGAGGAGATGTGACAGACAGAGGGCCTTGAGTGACAGAGCTTCCAAGAGGGGAGCTTGGGAAGGGAAAATTGAAGTCCATTTCCTTCCAGAGATTTGTCGTGTGTGTGTGCCTGAGGATTCTAGGAAGTCTGTCCTATAAATCTGGACTAATTACGCATAGTGAATGAAAAGGAAGAGATTGTTTGGCACCAGTCAGCAGTTCATTATGTCTATGCCTCTGCTGCAGAGCATGAACCATTTCTGGCTTTATCTCAGGGGCAGCTTGTTCGAACTAGCCTTAAGATTCTCCTTCAAATTGAATGAGGCCTTAAACTGAGGTCACTGTGGAAAGGTCACTGTCAGTCCAGCCTGGAGAACTCTTTTCTGAATTAAGTTGGCCCTCCTCCAAATAAAGTGCACATCAGAAGCCCCAGAGCCACTGTAGCTTGCATTAGAGCCCCATTTCTGGCCTGGCATCAAATGGGGTTCTTGAAGATGTGAAGCAGAGGTGTGGAAAAGAGCTCTTTACCTTGCTACATCCTCTTCTTTTTATCAGAATTTATTAAAAGATTGCATTTTCAGGTACAGTGCTAGAAACTACAGAGGATACGTAGAGATATAAGATGGGGTACCTCAGTTTAAGAGGATCAGAATCTTTTTTTTTTTTTTTCTGAGATGGAGTCTTGCTCTGTCGCCCAGGCTGGAGTGCAGTGGTGCGATTTCAGCTCACTGCAACCTCCGCCTCCTGGGTTCAAGCGATTCTCCTGCCTCAGCTCCTGAGTAGCTGGGATTACAGGCATGCACCACCACGCCCAGCTAATTTTTGTATTTTTAGTGGATACGGGGTTTCACCATGTTGGTCAGGCTGGTCTCGAACTCCTGACCTCATAATCCACCTGCTTGGCCTCCCAAAGTGCTGGAATTACAGGCATGAGCCACCGCGCCCGGCCAAGGATCAGAATATTGAAGTGGGCTCTGATAGTCTGTCATTGATCAGCATATTATCCCATTCCTATTGTGCTGGATACAATCAAAGGAACTCCTCCTCCATTTTACAGAATCTTGATGGGTTATTAATTGGGCACCATACCCTACTACTGCGGCATGGGCTTGTAACCTGAGCTGGCCAATCAGAGTCTACCTGGGAATTGCTTTATGGGTGTTATCAGTTTCTTACAGCCAGAGATGTGAAACTAATTCATACATTGATGACATTAGATCTGCCAAACTGTTTAGCACTGTATAAAAACCAGCACATAATTCTGCAGGGACGGGATTGACTGGTCCAGAGATGTTCTTATTTTACATTGTAAGCAGTTGTTCAAATACACAAGGGTTGAAACCAGTTTTCCTCTGTTAAACAGCTGTCATCCTTACAAGCTACTGGAATAGGGGATTTCTAGGAAGTTGATTTTCACGTTAAACATACATTAGTGTTTTCCAAGGGACAAGGATTGTGTCAAATAGTTGGCCAAAATTTACCAAGCTCCTGGAGATGTTGTCACTCCTCTGACATGTAAGTCTCTTGGGCAGTAGAAGGGTCGTGAATGTAGATCCTAAAAGAACTCAAGCTCACAAGCTTGGAAAGTAGCAGTGATGATTTAAAAAACAAAATACTCAACTTTACTTCTTTAATCTGTAAAATTAGATACATTATCATTAGAGAAGGGCTAGAAAAAAATGCTTGCTGAGTTTCTTAAGCCATTCTCCAAGATTCATAGTGTCACACATTCTGTTATTAAAGTTATATTTTATGTTTCACAAGTTTCTTTTTTTTAAGGTATAATTTCAAAGTCTTTTCACTTGAACCTGAAAAGCAGGGTGGGCAAATACTCAGCTCCTTCACTACGACTGTACCCCCGAGCGCTTGGTGGAGACATTGATGCCTCCCAGCACAGTTCCTGTGGAGTCCAGGTGTGGTCTTGTAATTGACCTCAATACAGAGCTCTCAGCATCAGCATTCATCACCAGGCCATTAGTGTGGGCCTATTGTGTGCCATGAAAGATGAAAGCTATTTTCCAGTATAAACTATAGCCAGTGGTGCCATTTTATGTACAGACTCTGAGCAGAAATTTTGCTAGCTCTTATCTGTTCGTTCATAAGCTGGTGTAAGTAAGGCTCTGAGAAACACACAACTTCAAAATCAATCAATGATAGATTGTGACACTGATGCTATGAATATAAATGTTTATGGAAAGGCAGGTGAAGATAAGACCAGTTACTTTTAAGTTCTCAACATGTCAGTTATCTGTCCCTGTGGGCAGAAGATAAATATTCATTAAATAAATCAAAGAATGGTGAACAGTTGAAAGGGGGCACAGTCAAAATTTCACATTTCCAAATGTGTTTTGCTTCACACTGAAGGGTACCAGACACACAGACACGGAGACCCCAAGGTCTTCTGTATGTTCCTTAAAAGAAAGTGACACATCTCCAACAAAACACTGGCTCAGTAGAAAGTCTGTATGGGGCTGGGAAAGTTTCCTATCTTCAAGTTCATTTATTTTTTGGAATCTCAGATTCATTCCTATCTCAGAGGGCTAACCAGGCTCTGACTTGACATAAAGGATAGAAATGTAACAATCCTTGGCTGGGTGTGGTGGCTCACACCTGTAATCCCAGCACTTTGGGAGGCTAAGGTGGGTGAATAACGAGGTCAGGAGTTTGAGACCAGTCTGGCCAACATAGTGAAACCCCATCTCTACTAAAAATACAAAAAAATTAGCTGGGTGTGGTGGCGGGCATCTGTAATCCCAGGTGCTCGGGAGGCTGAGGCAGGAGAATCGCGTGAACCTGGGAGGCGGAGGTTGCAGTGAGCCGAGATTGTGCCATTGCACTCCAGCCTGGGCAACAGGCTGGAGACTGTCTCAAAAAAAAGAAAAAAGAAAAAAATCCTTTTGGGGGGATATATTAGTTTCCTAGGGCTATTGTAATAAAGTAGCACAAACTGGATAGCTTAAAATCACAGAAATGTATTCTCTGATTGTTCTAAAGCCTAGAAGTCCAAAATCCAAGTGTCAGCAGGGTGAATTCCTTCTGAGGCCTCCGAGGGAGAGTCTGTTCCATGCCTCTCTTTAGCTTCTGGTCATGGCCAGCAGTCACAGGGACTCCTTGGCTTGTAGAGGCATCACTCCAATCTCTGGTCCATCTTCCATGGTGTTCTGTGTGTGTGCCTGTCTTCACATGACCATCTCTTTTATAAGGACACCAGTCACATAGCATAAAGGATCCACCCTACTCAAGTATGACCTCATCTTAATTTAATTACATCTGCAACGACCCTATTTCCAAATAAGTTCAATTCTGAGGTACTGGGGGTTAATATTTTTGCATTTTTTGGGGGGTGGGGGGAGATACAATTCAATCCATAACAGGGAATGAGGAAATATCTGATCCCATCAAATAGTGAATGTTGCCAAAGCATGTAAAGCAACATCTTAGATGGTTTTGATTTATGGTGGCAGGTTCATGGGCCCTTAGAAAGAAACTAAGGCAGAATGTATCCTCAATGGGTAGAAGCATTTCTGCTGCATTGTTTTCCCATTTCTGCTCTGATTAGAATGTCAACAGTCGCCTAAAAGACAAAGGCTCTATATTCCATCATCAGTCTCCAGAACCATCTTATTTTCAGTTTCCCAAGTTTAAGAATCTCAGCACACATAATTTAGTATTTGTATCAATAACACTGCTTTTTGTATTTTATTCAGGTGGCTTCTCTTTCCTGGGCTTTCAGTCTACCAGATGTTTTAAATGGCTTTCATACATGGAGAAACAGAAAAGAAAATATTCCACAGAGGTTAAAGTGATGTGAGGCTGATTTGTTAAAAGTGTTGTGTCTTTAGAATAAATGGATACTAAAATAGTTGATTTCAAAGAACCAGATTGATAACCCCATTTTGATTGCATCAATAATGAGGACAAGCAAATCAAAGATACTTTGTAGCACATGTTTGCTAGTGTTCTTGTAATTTTTCACTGGGCAGATGCTGGAATGATATATATTTTGTATTATGCAGCAACAGTAGACAGACAGCTAATATTTTTTTCCAGTTCAGTTATTCATATCTTAGCACTGCTATAGAAAGAAGTAATTTCATTCTTTTTATTGCAGAGAAAGAAAAGAGTTTGTGCTACTCTTCACCCTTGAGCTGGAACAGCCTGTGGCTAATGCCCATTTGTAAAACCACATTGGGAGAGAATTTTTTTTACTCTCTCTGCTTCCTGACCTCCCAAAAGACATCATTGTCAAATGTGGGCATTAGAACTCTATTGAGGGTTTCTATAAAGATGGCAGGGAAGAAGAAAGGGTTGTATGTGCCTGGCACTAATTTTAATTTTATCCCCAGAGACCAGGTCACCAAAGCTAGTGTTATGCAGAGAGTAGACAATAGGTTCCATCGGGGCATCCATAATTTTCCCCATGAGGGAAATGCTTTCCCCTTGAGAGCTGCAGGGATCTACACACCGCACTGAGGAGATCTAATCCACTTTGGCTGGTTGCACTGAGATACTCCCTGTTCCCAATTAAATCAATTATCTGGGTAATCTTCATAATTAATGGCAGGCAGAAGGCTTGTGTTGTCAGGACCGGCTATAGCAAAAATATTTGGGTGCGTGACGTAAGCCATAGTTGCTCTGTGGGTTTCTGAGGCTGGGGAAGTGAAGGGGGCCTGGGTGTACCCTAGGTCAGCTTTCTTAATTAGTAATGGGCTCTAACTAAGCAGCAGACCCACAGGTGGTAGAAAGGGCTTTCAACTAAAAGTCAGGAGATTGTGTTCCTGTGCAACCACTGGCACTAGCAAGCTGTGTCACATTGAGCAAGATTCTTCACCTCAGAATGACTTTTCTGTACATCTGTAAAATGAAGCAGTGAAATCAGTTGTATTTACAAAGCAAATGCTAAGTATCAGGCACTGTAGTAAGCATTATTTCATTTAATCCTTATAACCAACCTTTTATGAAAATCAAGGTACAGAAAAGTTAAGCAACTTGCTCAAGGTTACATAGTTAGTAATTGTCAAAGGCCAGAGGGTCTTTAAGCTCCCTGTTGAATATAATTTTAATGGCCATTGCCGAGAGTCAAGCATAAGACTCAGTGTCCCAACTAAGGCTTAGGTTAGTTTTGATTCTTTCTACTCAAAGTTCATGGACTAATAGCATGGGAATCACCTGCCATCTTTCTGGAAATGTAGAGTCTTAGACCCCACTCCAAATCTGTTAATCAGAATCTGCATTTTAACCCAGATACTAACTTGGTTCACACACCTATTAAAGCTTGAGAGGCACTAATCTAAGGCCGACCAAAGTCTAGTCAAATTGGAACCAAGGTAAGGAATTTCTGTTTTCTCTCATTTCCAGTAAGCTCTGAAGGCCCTAGACTGAGGCCCCAGGGGAGGGGTGCTGTGCCTTCCATCTGGAACTTAGTGTTAAGCCATTTGCTTGTGTGCAGGGCTGTGTGTTTCATCTTTTAGTTTTTTGCCCAAGTTGTCGGCTCCTGCTTTGCTGCTCTGTGTCCAAAAGGAAGCCTCCAGTAACCAGAAGTGAAAAGGAAGTTAAAAATGATCTTTGTGGGCTGACTGCAGTGGGCAGGCCATTATGAATGGATTAATGTATGTGCAGGATGAACTTCTCCAACGTCCTTTTGCAGGGAGGAGAAATTGCTGTTCTAACTCTCCCACTGGCTTCCCTCCTTTATTTAACAATGACTCCACACAAAAGCTTTCTATGGAAAGATAATTGGATTTCTAACTCTATTTGTTGAAAATTCACTTAATATTATAATGGCCTCAGTTATATTGTTTGTATCAACTGATGAGTACTAAAGTGACAATTTCTGGATAGATATCTAGATTTTTGTTCATACATCTAGCATTACCAAAGCTGAAAGGGAAAAAGAAGCCAGAAATAAAAATCCATTAATAAAAACAGATACCACATATGCCTTGCTATGCTAGGCTTAAATGTGCTGGATAAATTTAGGTTTTCAACATCTGAGTGCTATTTTTATCTTACCTATGCATGTATTTGCTCAGTGTTTAATTGCTGTGGTACTTTTGGCAAATGGGTCACTGAAGAAGAATATAGCCTGCTGTACTCATGACTGAAGTGCTCATTTAACTCAATCTAAAATGAATTAAACATACACTTTAATCTAATAGTGATTACCCCTCCCTTCCTCTCAATGGAGGTTGCAACAGAACCCTGCTTTCTGAATAGACTAGAGGTTCCCTTTGACATCTTTAGCTCTCAAAACATTGGTTACATCATGCTTGGCTATTTTTATTTGTAAATAAATTTGGTGGCTATAGTAGGATAAGATTTGATTTAGGGACAGAAGATCTGGGTTGGAATGTAACTAATATTACTAGCCATGCGCCCAAGGGTTAGTCATTGAACCTGCTAGAGACAGAATTTTCTCCTTTACAAAATAAGAATAATTGCATTGCCTATGTAATTGAAGCTAATATTTACTAACTTTGTAATACTGTTCAAATCACCTCCCAAGGCCTCAATTTTCTTACTTGTAAAAATGGTGCTAATAGCTGCTTAGCCTAACAGGGTGGCTGTGAGCAGTAAATGAAATAATATATGTGAAATAATAAAGAACCACAGATGGTCCTCAATATCCAAGGATAGCTGATACTTTAAAAATTCAA
The DNA here is from genome assembly GCF_000001405.40 of Homo sapiens. NCBI lineage: Eukaryota > Metazoa > Chordata > Mammalia > Primates > Hominidae > Homo > Homo sapiens. Next base: position 158,041,161 of record NC_000002.12, read on the forward strand.
AGAGAAATCACTTGAAACAAGAAGCATTTTTTTTACAATAAATGGTATTTTTAAAGTACTGATTGAATTTTATTTTTAAAAATGAAAGGTATAAAATCATTTAGTATTTATTTTATATTTACCAGAATGTTACAGTTAAAATCAATTGCTAATTTTAGAATCAGGAAATGAATTAAATGTTGATTTTTTGGCTTAACTTTGCTGGCAAAATTTTAAGATCTCCTTTACTTTACATTGACTTTTGCTACAGTCATGAGAGGGTCATTTCTGCAAAAATATTAAAGGACTTCACTCATTTCCCCGAGAGTCTCTTTTAATTCTCTGATATTCAGATCACTCTCTTTTGAAGCTCAAATTATGTCCTCATCCAAGTTGGATGAAAGCCTACATCTTTTGTAGGATATGCAATTTCACTTTGTTGCAATCAATTTGCATTTGATTTGCATTGTATTAATGACCTCATGGGAGTGACCAACAAAGATCTTGATGCCAGTGTGAGGGTAGACAACAGCATAAGTGGAAACTTATGATTAAATGAGAACTAATTACATAAGTGGTCAATTAATTAGTGAATCTTTTTCTGTCCTGAGAATTTTTGCTTTCCCATCCGATGTTGGAATTGCATAGATGTAGTTGATGAGTAAATGAGTTCCCTCTCCCACCTCCCCCACACTGAATATGATTCAATTGCCAAGAATTTGATTGGGGACCAAATTCTTAAAATCAGATCATATTTCAAATGCCCTTGGTTGGGAGACACCATTTTAAGGCATCCTTTCATGTTTCCCAAGGAAATCAAAAAGCCTATCTAATCCCTGACTTAATCTTACCTTTATAAATCTGGATTTCCAGGAATCACACTTCCTTGGATATACATACATTTCTTCAGTGAATTAGGGGTCAAGTAATGCTGCCTCACTTCATTCTTTGCAGACCAGGGGCCAGGTCCAGGACCATTTTGAAGCAGGCACAGGTGCGCCAGGCATAGAAAAAAGTTCCCCACTTGCAGGAAGAGACTTAAATCCTGAGTGTGGAGCATCTCACCCCTTCCCTGCTACTCTGACTGATTTAGGCCTGTACAGTTTTTTCTTTTCAATCCTCTGCAGGCCAGGAGTGTTGACAATTAAAGATAAAAGCAGGCCAGGGAAGAACAACCCCCCTCGCTTTTTTTCCTGAGCATCTCCCATAAGCCATAACATCCCCTGACATGTCTAGAAGGGGAAGTTGTCTGATGTGTGTCATGATCACAGATGCCGCCCTTCCCCCATCTTAAAACAAGCTCCACCTTCCCATCCTGTTGGATTAGCACTGATTAAGGGTTGAGAACAAACAGGATTTCATGGTGTTTCTGTGAGGTTTCTTAAACAGACAGCTGTGGGCAGAAATTTAGACAAACAGCAGGGCTTTTAAGGGGATCCTTAAATGATCTTGTCATGTCATCACTGATGGAATTACTTCTAGTTTCTGCAGCCAAACCCTGGTATAACAAGAAACTTGCACTCTAAGATATTGGGGAGACTTTTTTGGGGTGACCTTATAGGAAGAGAGAGGAAGGCCTTTTTGAATGTACTTTGTTCTCTTCTTCCTCCCAAGGAGGACACTGGGTGGCAGAGGGGAAGCAGAGAGACTGGAGAGGCCGGCGAGGATGCTGGAGAGGAAGGGAGGCGCCACACTGTTGGTGGGGAGGAGGCCTTTGGAGGAAACGAATGATTTCCACCCCAAATCCTCTCACAACAAAGAGGCCCCTGCCGAGCCTTTTCCTGCCAGGCCTGGGCCTGTGAAGCTCCCCAGCACCCTCCGCAAAGAGCAAAGCCAAATGTTGACAGTCTCAAACCCTCATTTCACCACATCTTAAGGTAGCCCTAAATGCTTGTAGCTTTTCATTTAGGAGCAGGAAGAGAGATCCCCTTGGGAAACCACCCTTTGAAGGCATAAGCTCTAATGTTTAAAATCTGTTCACAAACTAGACATTTCTCTGCTCTCACTGGGGCAGCTGGTTTCCCTCTAAATAAATCACAGGGCTGGGGAGCATTTCAATGAGAAATCTTAGGGGTCTCCTTTCAACACTGTACAAAAAGCCCAGCCTCAGGGGAGCTGGCCTGGGAACACCTTCTGCAGGCTATAATCCTGCTCATGAACTCCTTTGGGATTGGTTTGTCTGGAAGGTAGATTTAGGAACATTGTGCAATCCCGACATTGCAAAAGGGCATCAGGGGTTGACCAGAGTCCCATGACATCAGAAGTCAAGCCTGGCAGATGGGCAGAGAGAGAGAAGTAGAGTCTCTGGGAAAGCATCCAGATGCCTCCTACCTTTGGCGGTCAGCACCTTAGCCATCCAGGGGCTCACAGAGTATGCATGGGAGGAAAGAGAGGAAGTGCAGCACTCAAACTTAACAGAATCTGAATAAGCCTCAAATGTAAAGACCATGTTGCTCTATATGGGAGATAATGGTGATTCAATGGGAGAGGCCAGTCAGGGGAGATAATCATTCAAGGGTCTTGTATGTGCTTGCTTAGGAGGATGCAGACAACACAGAATTCATGATCTTGCCCATATTGCTGCCAGCATAGTTACGACCATCTGGTTGGGGAGATAAGATCAAGACACTTGAAATTGGAAGCAGTGATTCTCTGGGGGCGGTTTGCCAGCATTAACGACAAGTTTAGTCTCTGGAATCTGATATCATGGTGTGAATTTTAGTTCCATCCACTTATCATCACCTGTATGACTTTAGGAAAGTTACTTAGTCACCAGGAGGCTCCATTTCCTCATTTCCAGTATGTACATCATTGTGCCCACCTCACAGGGGTGGAGTGCAGATCAAATGAGCTATCCTGGGAAGGCACTTGGCCCATAAAAGGTGCTCAACAAAAATTAGCTTTAGATACCTATTATCCAAAGATGAGATATAATTAAGCTCTAAAGTAGCATGGCCTAGAGTAACTAACAGCTCAGAGTAAAGAAAATAAGTTGGATTGGAGGAAGCTTGGAAAAATGGGTTAGATTTAGACTAGCGGTAGATGGGGGCAAAAATCATTGAGGAACTGCAGAAAATGAGAGAGCAAGCACAGACAGGGTGTTCCCCTTTACAGGCCAGTTTTGATGTAGGCCTGCCTAGAGTACAGGCAAGTTGACCATAGTGGGAAATTGGATTATTTTAAATGGGCAGAACCCGAGAACTGCACTGAGGCAAATCCAACTTACAATGACTGGGAGGAGGGTGAAGAGCAATGTGTAAGTCTCGGGGCAGGAGAGGATGTAGTGACAGTGGAGTTTCAGGGAGCCTAAAGGGGCAAGGATGGCAGGATAACCGCAAAGAGAGTCAGGTCAGCCAGCTAGGGTGACATGGTGGTGACCTGGGAGTGTGGCAGCCGGAATCTGAGACTATTACGACATTTACAGGGAACAGGAAATGAGATTTAGTGACACTCGTGTGCACAATGTATACACATTGTGGAATATAAAAGTCTTAAATTAATGCTTATGTTCGATCAGGTATTTTGGTTTTAAGGAACAGAAATGCACTTAAGTTAAATCAAGTAATTAGAGATTTGTACACAAGCGTGGGAACACAGGAAAAGCCAAATAAACTAACAAAAGGAGGCTCCAGAGAGACGGTAACCAGAGAGTCCTCTGTAACCTAAACGGCTCTAGTAAGATGTTTGCTGTTTCATTTTAGTCCCTACCAATCACAGCCTTAACTCCGCTCCATGTGTCTGAACAGCAGTCCTCTCACTTCTGACAAATTCCCTACCCTTTATAAATATATTTTCCATTCTTGATAGGTAATGAATGAATACTTTGCAAATATTAAATGAATGTTAAATGAATGTATTTTCTTTCCCCCTCAAATCCTATTCTTTGCAATTTTCCACCTTTCCACCTTTTTCCTGAATGTATTTTCTTTTCCCTTCCAAATCATATTCTTTGTAGGTTAAGCCATGAAACCCCCTTGTCCCTTGAGAAAATAATGGGCTTGAAAACCAGGCTTAGATGACAGGAGGAATTTTCAAAATCCCTTTTAGAATTTCAGGAACTAACTTGGATGAATCAGACCATAGAATTCCTCCTGAGGTATAGAGATGATACCCTTTCTATCTAATATGGCTTAGTCACAAGGCTTAACTAGTGATGGTGAAAGGATGGTAAGATGCAGGCGAAGACAAGGAAAACCCCACCCTTTCTAGCCTGAAGCACGGTGGGAAAAAGGAGAGAGGCAGAGATGGAAAGACTAACTTCCTCTTATCTCCCAACACCATCTCAAGGCCAAACTTCAAGGGCAGTGGGCAGCTTTAGGAACATCCAGGTAATTTGGGGTACTGAAGTGGCATGAGCATTTCGCTCCATACCATGCCTGGGACTCTAGGAGGCAGTCACTTCCCATGTTGCCCTCTGCACCTCTGGGACGACTTCATCAAGTTGTCCACCTGGAGGTGCCATGTGGTGAGATAAACTTCCTGATGTTTTACTTTTTGGGTTGGCTTTTGGTGCTCCAGTGATGTAGATTCAATGTAGAGGAAACAGAGTTTGGGGAGTTCTATTTCTCAGTAAGCGTGTTTTGATGCTGTGACAGACAAATGGGAGGCACAACCCTTTAGGAAGGGTTATTAGCATCAGTAAAGTGCGGTGAGGCCACATGAGCCAGGGAAGGCCATCAGCCACCACCCAAGCTACGAGAGGCTAGATCGCAAGTGGTACCAGCCGCCAATTGTAGCTGCAAGTACCAGTGGGGCCAGCCATGAGCAGCTGTTCAAGGTCATGGCTGTGGAGACTAGAGGAGACAAAGAATATTAAATGGCATTTGGGCCTCTTTCCCCTCAAAGCCCACAAGATCATATAAGCTCCAATCTGCCCTATAGCCCCAGACATCACATTGACAGAGAAGGAAAAGAAATAAGATTCTAAAAAATTGAGTAATGCCTAAGAATGTCAAAATTATTGCTTCAAACTAAGAACTAGACTAAAGCATGTTATTTTGGTTTGTTCCTTTTGTTATCCAGTGGGTAGGGCTCATTAACAAGATTAAGGCTGTTCTAAATCAAATAAAGAAGCTATATTTTGTCTGCATAGTGGAATTGTAGTTTAAATAAATGTATAACCTCATCGCCAGAGTGTATGTTTGCTCATAGTTTCCACTCCCCCTCACTTGAATATGATCCATCATGACATCCCAGCCAACTTCTCAATTGCTCTTTAAATCATAACCTACAACTTCACTTTTTACTCTTAAGCATCTGGCTTGCTCATTATTTATTATTTCAAGGACTCCCCCAGCCAGAGAATCTGCTTGCCCCAAGTTGTTTTTCTGTGCCAGGTTGTATGGATTGAGATTTGAATTTTGGGTTAGGAAATAGGGAGACGGAGCTACACACAAAAGAACTTCCAAGGAAGCATCTAAAGGTAGATAAATTAATAGTCAATTCTTCACTAGTTTGCCTATGGTTAACGTTATGACCAAAGGAGAACTGGGAAAAATGCCTTGTCAAGATATTGAAAATGTTCTGTCTTGACAACACGTTGCTTCCCTTTAAACCTCTCCACTTATGTAATTCTTATAAACCTCTTCACTTATGTAATTCCTACAAACCTCTCCACTTATGTAATTGTGATTGAGTTTTTCTACTACCAGAAATAAGCTTAGGGAGTTCTGTAAGTTTCATCTCTTTTCCTTATATAGGGAACCAGGGAATCAGTCCATTCTTTCTCATGCAGAATTTTATTTTTATAACTACTCAGATATTATAGTTAATAAGATGTTGCCATTATAGAATAGAATGATTTTCCAAAGAATTTAAATATATTAAAAGAGATCAACTAAAACGACACCATGCTTGAAGATTCAGAAGATAGTTCAGAATTTTGCAGTCTCTCTGGGTTATAAATAGAGAAATCAGCTATCATTGTTCTTTCTATGTGCATCTGAGGGAGTTTTGGTTAATAGTCGAAGTCAGCTTATAATGTGTATCTCATGTTGCATTTGTTCTAAGTTTCATTCCACCCAAAAGCAAATTCAGGGTGTCCTGTGGTGCATTTCCTACCTCATAAACATCTTTATCAGGAACTCCACATGTTCACACAGCGGGGGTATTGAGGTTCATTTAAGGGGAACCAACTGGAAAGCCCATTTTAGGTGATGAAAACTTTAGCATGAGCACAGGCTGATTAGCTGATGGCAAAGCCACATGATGCCCCCAGGGGTGTTGGGAACGAGAGGTGGCTACTGGTTTACTTGAACGTCTACCATCAGCTGAGTTTAAACCTGCCTTTTTCCCAGTTTATGTGTCAGTGGCAAGAGGAGCATGCTGATATAAGGATTTTGTAGCTGGCATCCGGTTTAAACCCGGGCATTGTTCTCTACTCAGAAATATCATATGGGTTTACCCAAGGCCAAACCAAGAGACCAGTGGAAATGAGAAGGCACAGGAAGTCTTTTTTTCCAGCACCACTCCTTAGTGTCATATGTCAAAAAAATGCACTTCATTATCAGTATCTGTAATTGTTAAAAAACAGATCATGATAGAGCCAAATTATAAAGGAATGTAGCTTCAGTTACAGTTGCAGATAGAAGGCAGCATATCATCCTTTATCCTATTGCCACAGTGGCTCATTCATTCATTAATTTTCTTTCAACAAGTACTTGGTGAACATATACTATATGCCAGGCTCTTTGTAAATTGCTGGATTACAAGTCTTCCCAATTGGTTTTTCTAAATTCTAGAAGGAGTCTCTCTTACCTCAGATTTATTAGGATATTTGTTTGTTTGTGGGATTTTTGCTCCCGTCACAGCTCAAAATCTGAGGAGAGAAGTATGTACAGTGAGCAGTCCTGAGCAGAGAGTTCAGTGAGGGTTAATGAAGGCTGGGGGCATCTGAGATTACATAGCCAGATGTTCAACCAGAGAAGGATTAAGGGGTGAGGCTTCTGGGCATTTCCCCAAGCACCTAATCTATAAGGGGCACTAAACAGTACTAGACACAGAAAAGAAAGGACACAAGTTTTTGCAAGAACTCTCCTCATGGATTGCATTCTGTGTGGCTGGAAGGAACACTTGGACAAGAGAGTTGGATTGGGGCAGGGGCAGATGAAAGTTTTGATTTCCTGAGTGGGGCCCCCATGCTCAGTTAGAAGAACTGAGTTGCTCAGGAAAACAAAAGAAACTGAGGGTGGACATGGTGGCTCACGCCTGTGATCCCAGCACTTTGGGAGGTCAAGGTGGGAGGATCACTTGAGCCCAGGAGTTTGAAACGAGCCTGAGCAAAATAGTGACACCCCATCTCTACCAAAAAATAAAATTACCCAGGCATGGTGCCATGCACCTGTGGTCCCAGCTACTTGGGAGGCTAAGGTGGGAGGATTGTTCGAGCCCAAGAAATGGAGGCTGCAGTGAGCTGTGATTGCACTACTGCACTCCAGCCTGTATGACAGAATGAGACTATGTCTCAAACAACACTACCACAACAACAACAAAAGAAACTGAGGACTCCCTACATATCTTCCCTCTCAGCTTTTGCCCTTTGTAGTGCACAGTCTCTCTTCTAAGTTAAACAAGTGTTTAAAGAGTATTAAAAAATTGTAAATTAGCTATACAAGGTGCCTGATTCCATGTTTAACCATCTTCTTGCTTCCCTGGGATCTACCATTTGTGTGGCTTGAAAAGGAGGAAGGCAGAAAGCCACATGAGGGCTAGAGGGGTGTTTAGACATAGAGGAGAACTCTGGCCCAATTTCTACCCCTGCCCTTCTGCCTGCAAAGCAGAGCAGGCTTTTGAAAAATGTGATGTGAGTCAATGTGTCTTGACCATCTCTCCTTTCTCCACTATGGCATCTCCCTTGCTCCAGGCACCCAGTGCAGTGGGTGTGAGCCCTGACAATTTAGAGTTCCCCAGGGTGGTTCCAGACATTCCGCTTGCCCACCCCTCATCACAATTTAATTGTTACCTGTTTGGTCCCTTAGGGCCTTACTAGGTGATTCTTACTAAAGCACTGGGTTCTAAAATAATGGTTGACTTTGGATCCATGTCTAACTTCTCCAGATAGAGACATAGAGTTCAAAAGCAAAGCATGAGAGATGGGTAGTTTATTTCAAAGGCATGCATCTATCATGGTGGGCTCTGTGACAGATGGAGAGAGATTTAGGGGTGTGTGCATCTGTCAGTGGCATGCTCAAAACCACAGCACCTGTGTGGCAAAAGAAGTTCCCATTCATGCCACAGGCCTCTTCCTTTAACCTCATTGGTTAAGTTCCAAGTGATTTTCAGCTGCAGTACAAACCAGAGGACATCAGGTTTTGTTAAATGTTCTTTCCCTGTTTTCCTTTTTAAACTTCTTCATCTGCTTACTGTAGCCCAGCATTTATTAGCAGGAGAGAATGGTTTTTCAGCCTCTTTTCATTTTAGGGGTAATACATTAGTGAGCTTTTTCCTCTACTGTGAACAACAGGTGCATGGAAATCATAGTCGGGGAGAACAGGCAGCAGCAATCAGACTAATACACTCTGCGGGGAGGAGGAGCGCCAGGCACTTTAATTGACTCATGCATTTGGGATCTGAGACCATTTTAAAAGATCTCAGTCTGTAGTAGAACAGTCTGTCAGCTTTCATTTGGGATTTTAAAGTGAACTGGGGAATATTACCTAGGGAGAAGAATTTTGTAAATGTTTTACACTAGTTTCTTATGATCATACATTAGAATTCAAAATATATTTCTTTAATCCTGTTGACAATTTTTCACTTGGAAAAGACTTGAGCAAAATAGCTCTTATGTGATTTCACTTGAACCAATAGGCCCCATTACCATTTGAAATAAAAATCCCCTTGAATTTAAGCTTTTTTTCTTCACTGTGGTGATTCATTTTTTATTTCTAATGGTTAATCTTGATTCCTGACATTTTATTTACCTTTTGTTAGTTCTCAAAATATTAAGAGTCATAGGCAACAACAGAAAGTGGAGCGTTTTATGCTTAATTCCTGATACAGAAATTTAGCAGAGTGTTTGGCTAAAGAGTTTCATGAGAAATAAACAGACACCTTTATGAACTGAGGTTTTCCATGAGCACATTCCCACATTGACCATCTCCTGGAGACAGGTAACATATCATTCTCTTCTGCATTTTTAAGAAAGTGTGAGAGGCATTAGCAACTATTTGCTAAAAGCACAGAAGCAAAGACTCTAAGTGAAGACTGAGAAGTAAACAGTTTGGCTCCAATGTATTTACATGGATTATTTAGTTTTTTTTTTTTAAATGTACTAGTCTATCTTATCCTTATTCTCTAATAAGGTAAGAGATGAAAAATTGCACTAATTATAACCATCAAATTTCAGTTTCTAAAAGAGACCTTAGAATAAGAAGGATCTAGCTAGGTGTGATGATATACACCTGTAGTCCAAGCTACTTAGGAGGCTGAGGCGGGAAGATCCCTTGAGCCTGGAAGTTCCAGGCCAGTGTGGATAACATAGCAAGACCCTGTCTCAAAAAAAGAAAAAAGAGTAAGATGGATCTGGCATTTACTGAATGCACAAAGAAAATAAAAATTCTATTATTCCAGGAATTTTTTAAAAATGAGTTTTTATTTGCTGCTGTCAAATGTGATTATGGAATTTGAAACAGGGTGGAACTCGAAAGCAGATAATGTAACTGAATATGAACTATTGAAATGCACTGAGGTAGTTAGGAAGGATGAAAAAGACCTACTGTTTGATAGCATAACAGAGTGACTATAGTCAATAATAATTGGACATTTAAAAATAACTAAAAGAGTATAATTGGACTGTTTGTAACTCAAAGGATTGCTTGAGGGCATGGATACACCATTCTCCATGATGTGACTAATTCACAGAGCATGCCTGTATCAAAACATCTCAGGTACCCCAGAAATATATATACATGTACCCCATAAATATATATATATGCACACACATAAACATTATATAAATAAATATATCTACTATGCACCCATAAAAATTAAAAAAAAATCATTGAGGGTCACTCTAGGAATATGTGTGTGTGTGTGTGTGTGTGTGTGTGTGTGTGTGTGTGTATGTGTGTATAATATCTTTCATTTCATAACAACGCAGTCTGTCAAACTTCCTTTTTTTATCCCATGGAATTTATAAATTGGGAGGAGCATTTTGCATACTTCATAATTAAATTAACTTTGATAGTCATTTAAATCTTTCAGTGAGATCCTGGAAAAAGAAGAGGCTAGAGGGACACAATCTGACAGTGCTGTGCTGAGGGTATATTGAGGAATATCTGTTTTTTAGAATCTGAACTACCAGAGGAAATGACTAAAATGAATGAACAAATATTACTTGGAGTGAAGATAAATAACAACTACATGGTCAGGGGCGGTGGCTCACGCCTGTAATCCCAGCACTTCGAGAGGCTTAGGCGGCCAGATCACGAGGTCAGGAGTTCAAGACCAGCCTGGCCAACATAGCAAAACCCCATCTCTACTAAAAGTACAAAAATTAGCTGGGTGTGGTGGCGGGCACCTGTAATCCCAGCTACTCAGGAGGCTGAGACAGGAGAATCGCTTGAACCCAGGAGGCGGAGGTTGCAGTGAGCCGAGTTCATGCCACTGCACTCCAGCCCGGGCAACAGGGCAAGACTCCACCTCAACAACAACAACAACAACAACAAAACAAAACAACTACACTTTGCCAAACACAATGCTATTCATATACAACATTTCACTGAGTCTTCACCAGACCTTGAGAGTAGGGGCTCTCATTCCCATTCTGTGGAGGGATGCTGCCCAGCTGGCCTGGCACACATATCCTCTGCTGGGAAATCCAATGCTGTCTGTCCTAACCCATGAGGCCTTCCCAGTAAATACCCTGCTACCCACAGTGGATAATTCTTCCAGCTACAAAAATATTTAGGTAGGGGTTGCCAGAATTAGCAAATAAAAATAGAGAACACCCTTCATATGTCCCAAATATTATGTGGGACATACTTAGACTAAAAAAATTTGTTGTTTATCTGACAGTCAAATTCAACTGGTGTCCTGTATTTTATCTGGTAACTCTAGGTAAGGGAATAATGGGAACATGTCACCTGAAGGAAAAAGTAGGTAAGGAATTGGAACCCAACAATGAGTCTAAGGTCCAATAAACAGTGAGGAATGTTCCTAAGGAACAAAAGATGTACCTGACTTATTCTATCAAATGAAGCTGTAGTAGAAAGTATGATGGTGGCGATATCAAGATGTGGGTAAACTGGAAAGAAGTATACTTGGGGTAAGCTTTCAATAAACAGGGACACTATCGAGAGTTACTCTTACCTAGGAAGGAGTCAGTTATTATTCCTTGGAGTAAGGCCTACCATTCTATCCCTAGTGGCTAATGCCCTGGACACCAACAGTAGCCATTCATTATATGGGTATTGAATGACTGAATTGGGAGAACAAACTTAGGAGTGACATTGGTTGCCATATATTAGCTCTGTCACTTTGATAAGGTTACTTAACATCTTTGGGCGTCAATGTCTTTATTTGTAGAATAGAATTAATATTATTGCCTTTTGCCCAATAAATGGCAGAAGTGGCTTGTCTTCTTCACTGTCGTCATCATCATCTTCATCATCATTATCTAGAGTAGGAACTGGTAAATGTTTTCTGTAAAGTCCCAGATAGTAAACATTGGAGGTTTGTTGGGCCATAATGTCTCAGTCCCAAGACTCAACTCTGCCATTATAGTCTGAAAACAGCGACAAACAATACATACAAGTATGAACATGGCTGTGTTCCAATAAAACTTTATTTACAAAAACAGGCATTGGGTCAGATTTGGCCTGAGGGCTGTAGTATGCCAATCCCTGATTTAAAGCAGGGCTCCTCAATCACCTCACAAATCTCCTCATTACAGGGAAAGGATGGGAAAAGAAGAAAGGAGGTGCCCCTGGAACCGGTAGATAAGCTGGAGCACCTTTCTAGCAGGAGGTGTGTAGAAGCCCCCACACCAAGTGTAAAGAAGGTGGTAGAAGACTTGGGTGTCAACTGTGTGTGGTGAATAACAATAGCCTTTTGGGAAGTCCTGATTTAGAAGAATAAGTAAGAAAGATGTAGCCTTTCTAACAAAACCTGGAGGGCAAGGGTTGGGTTTTACATACTTTCATAATAATACCTAACATACACTGGGTGCTCTGTTATGTGCTGGCTGCTGTGCTAAGCACTTTATATGCATTTTCTCATTTAGTACACCCCAAATTCTCAAGGAACAGGTATATTAGATAAGGAAACTGAAATTTGGAAAGACTCGTGATCATGGTTATCCAGAGTTCAATTTCAAGCAGTCTGACTCCAATGTCTGAATGCCTAACTCCCATACCATATTGCTTGTATCTTGTACAGGCCTAGCTCAGTACCATGTACAGGGCTGGATTCAGGACCATTCTATAACCATTCGTAGAACAAGCAAATGGATGGATGGATGGAAGGATGGATAGGGCTTTGATTTCTAGGTAAATCATTATCCATACAGTAGCTACTTGACCTTTGGCAGAATTGTTAACATGTTTATAAATAATCTTATGAAGCTATAGATTAGGTTTTCCAGGGAATTTGAAGGATTTTAGCCACAGGATGTCTCACACATTACCATAGTTTACTCGAAGTGTGAGGAATTTATCTTCTACAATTCAAATGTGGAGAATGGGGCATAGACAGATTATAGGCCTTCTTAATTGGAAAAAGTAAATAGTGAAAAAGCTAATGCAGTGTTATTCCAAAGAAGGGGTTTTCTTTACCAGGTTTGATGGGACAATGTAACTATCTGTCACAAGCATTTTCACAATTTTGTGGTGACTTACAGCAAAATATTAGTAGCTGTGTTGAATAAAAGTCTGCATTTTTGAAAAAGTGCAAAAGGAGACCGAGGTGGGTGGATTACCTGAGGTCAGGAGTTCAAGACCAGCCTGCCCAACATGATGAAACCCCGTCTCTACTAAAAATACAAAAATTAGCTGGGCGCAGTGGCACACGTCTGTAGTTTCAGCTACTGAGGCATGAGAATGGTTTGAACCTGGGGGAGGTTGCAATGAGCTTAGATGGTGCCACTGCACTCCAGCCTGGGTGACAGAGTGAGACCCTGTCTCAAGGAAAAGTAAATAAATGAATAAATAAAAAGAAAGAAACAGTGCAAGAGGGAAAAATATAGCTTATAAATAATTGATAAATGCCTGGTTTACTTTTTCATGTTTTTGCTTTGTTGGTTATTTTGAGGTTTTTTTTTTTTTTTAAATCCTTGCAATGTGTAGAGAAAGAAGGAAGTGAGAGAAATTAATTAATGTATTTCTCTATGTTCCCTTGGAGAATCATGGGCTTTGCATATTGAAAGTCATTTTCCTCTGATAATATGAGATTGTGCTGAAATTTCTGTAGTGGGACATGGGAAAGAGTGAGGCTGAGAAAAAGCATGAAAACCATCCCAAAGCCAGTGACTTTTGAGAATCTGGTGTGTACTAAGGGCTTGCTGGGAGACTAGTTTTGCAGCTTTTTCACTGCCTTTTCCAGAAACATCTGCTGCTAGTATTTTAATTGGTTCTTCTCATCCCCATAAATAGTCAATGACTTCTACATGATGTTGAGCTAACAAATCTTTTTCCCATTAAAAATGTTTTAAACTACAATAAATACACAAAACATAAAACTTGCTATTTTAACCATTTTAAGTGTATATACAATTCAGTGGCATTAAATAAATTCACAGTGTTGTGAATTATCACCACCATCCATCTCCACAACTTCTTTTAATCTTGCAAAACTGAAACTCCGTACCCATTAGACTAAACTTCCCATTCCCCTCTCTCCCTAGCCCCTGACAACCACTATTCTACTTCCTGTCTCTACTAGTTTGACTACTCAGATACTGTCTTAGTTCATTTTCTGTTGCTTATAACAGAATACCCCAAACTGGGTAACTTATGAAGAATAGGAATTTATTTCTTACAATTCTGGAGGCCGGAAAGTCCAACATTGAAGGGTCGCATCTGGTGAGAGCCTTATTGCTGGTGGGGGCTCTCCCTGCTGAGTCCCAAGGCGGTGCAGGGTATCACATGGTGAGGGGCTGAGCATGCTAATGTGCTGGTTCGGGTCTCTTTTATAAAGCCACCAGTTTCCCTCTCAGGATAACACATTAATCCATTAGTCCATGAATGGATTATTCCATTCATAAGGGCAGAGCCCTCACCACCCAATCACCTCTTAAAGGCCCTGCCTCTCAATATTGTTACATTGGGGATTAAGTTTCAACCTGAATTTTGCACGGGACATTCAAATCATAGCAGGTACCTCACAGAAGTGAAATAATACAGTATTTTTTTTTGTGACTGGCTTGTTCACTTCGCATAATGTCCTCAAGGATATACATCCTCAGAGCTGTCTTTCTTGACACTCCTAAGTGATAGCCCTCTAAAAGTATTCCCATAACATGATGAACTTCTCTTTTATACAATTTTTGAAAGTTGTGATATTTAAGTTAAAAATGGGTATTTAACAGGCTGTGCAACTATGATGTCAAGGAAGGGTAGGGAATTCAGGCATAACCAACTCCAGCATTTCCAGCAATGTCCCAGGGCCTCTCTGCTGTGTCCTGTGTTGGTTTCTTTCTAAGCTAAGCATTCTGCTCATGGCGGAGATTGTGTTGTCCTCACAGCCAGCCATTTAAGCTTAAAAGGTCACAGGGTGATTTGTCATTTCTATGTGTGATGATGTTTCTAGTGTCTGCCTCCTTCCCTGGATGGCAAGGTCACTTTTTACCCTACATCCCTGGCACATTTCCTGGCATACAGTGAATGAATGGAAGGTTAACAAGACCTAAAAGATTCACGTGTGAGGAAAGGAGAGGAAGGAGACAAGACTAAACTGGGAGGCATGATGCCTTTAGGATGATCGCTTTCTGTGGAGAAGTTCCTGATTCTTTAAAATTAGAATGCATTTGATATAAACTACACAAAGGCAGATGGTTTCAAAATCAAAGCTTTGAGAAATTGAGACCTTATTTCAACAATTGCTGAAATAAGAAAAAGGTTCTTTTAAAATATACTTTATTTTAAAAACAGTTTTCCATTGTTAAACAATTGAGAACTGAGTGCAGAGCTCCCATCTACCCCACACCGAGATTCCCCATTATTAATATCTTATATTACACCATGGTACATTTGTTACAATTAATGATCCAGTAGTGGAAACATTATTATTGACTACAGTCTATAGTTGATTCAGATGTCTTTGTTTTGTTTATTTACTTTTTTCTGTTCCAGGATCCAGTATTCATTTCCTATGACCGCTGTAAAAATTTTTGACAAACTGGTGGCTTAAAAATAACAGAAATGTATTGTCTTACAGAGGCTAGAAGCCTAAAACCAAGGTGCCAGGAAGGCTATGCTCCCTCTGAAACCTGTAGGAGAGCCCTTCCTTTTCACTTCCTAGCTTCTGGTGGCTGCTGGCAATCTTTGGTGTCCCAGGGCTTACAGCAACATATTTCCAATCCCTGCCTTCACCGTCAAATGGCCTTCTCCATGTATCTTCACATGGCCGTGAGATTCTTAGAAGGACGGCAGTCGTACTGGATTCAGGACCTACCCTATCTAGACTGCATCCCAACTTAACTAGTTACACTGCAATGACCTTATTTTCAATTAAGGTGGTATTCTGAAGTACTGGGAGCTAGAATGTCAACATATCTTTTTTTCTGAGAGGAGATGCAATTCAACCCATAACAGATCTCATCCAAGACACCACATTATGTCATGTCTCTTTAGGCTTTGCTTGGCTGTGGCAGTTTTTCAGATTTCCCTTATCTTCTGATGACTCAACAAAATTGAGGACTACTGGATAGGTGTTTTGTAAGATGTCCCGTTTTTTGGAATGTGTCTGAAGCTTTTCTTATGATAACACTAGGGTTATGTGTTACTGGCAGGAAGGTCACAGAGGTAAAGTGATATTTTCATCACATCTTATCAAGGGTACACAGTGTCAACAAGATTTATCACTGTTGATGTTGACCTTGGTCACCTGGCCGAGGTAGTGTTTTGTCAGGTTTCTCTACTGTAAAGTTACTCTTTTTTCTCCCTTTCCACATTGTGCATTTTGGAAGGAAGTTGCTATGCACAGCCCGCACCTAAGGAGTGGGGAGAGTTAGGCTCCTGCTCTTCAGGGTGAAAGATCTACATAAATTATTTGCAATTCATCTGTGTGGAAGATTTGTCTGTTTCCCCCCATTTATTAATTTATTTAATCATGTATTTATATCAGCATGACCTCATGGATATTTTATACATTGGATTATAATCCATTACTACTCTATTTTGTTGCTCAGATTATTCTAGCATTGCCAGTGAAAACTCTTTGAGTTGGCATGTGTGTCCTTTTGAGAAACTACTGCAGAGTTCTCATCTACCCCACACCAAGTTTTCCCTTATTAATATCCTATATTACACTATGGTACATTTGTTTCAATTAATGATCCAATAGTGATACATTATTATTAACTACAGTCTATAGTTGATTCAGATTCTTTATGTTTTTTAACCTAATTTTTATTATTAAGTATAGTCTACAGTTGATTCAGATTCTTTTTTGTTTTTTAACTTCTTTTTTTGTTGTTCCAGGATGCTGTAGTAGTTTTCTATGGCTGCCATTAAAAATTTTTGTAGAAGTGGGTGGCTTATAACCTCATGTTATGAACTGAATTGTGTCCTCCTGAAATCCACAGTGTTGAAGCCCTAAACTCCAATATGACTGTATTTGGAGACAGGGCCTATAAGCAGATAATAAAGGTTAAATGAGGTGATAAGGGTAGGCTTTAATCCAATAGGACTAGTGTGCTTCTTATAAGAATAAGAAGGGCCTGGGCGCAGTGGCTCACTCCTGTAATCCTAGCACTTTTGGGAGGCCAAGGCGGGCGGATCACGAGGTCAGGAGATCGAGACCATCCTAGCTAACACGATGAAACTCCGTCTCTACTAAAAATACAAAAAATTAGCTGGGTATTGTGGCGTGCGCCTGTAGTCCCAGCTACTCAGTAGGCTGAGGCAGGAGAATGGCATGAACCCAGGAGGTGGAGCTTGCAGTGAGCCGAGATTGTGCCACTGCATGCCAGCCTGGGCGACAGAGCGAGACTCCGTCTCAAAAAAAAAAAAAAAAAAAAAAAAAAAAAAAAGAAGAAGAAGAAGAAGAGACGCAAGGGAGCAAGGGAGCATGCTTGTATGCTCTCTCTCTCTCTCTCTCTCTCTCTCTCTCTCTCTCCCCCCAACCTGTGTGTGTGTGTGTGTGTGTGTGTGTGTGTACGCGCATGCACAGAGGAAAGGACGTGTGAGGACACAACGAGAAGGTGGTCTCCTACAAGCTAGGAAGACAGGCCTCTCCAGAAACCAACCCCCTGACATTACCTTGATCTTGGACTTCCAGCCTCCTGAACCATAAGAAAATAAAATTCTATTATTTAAGCCATCCAGTCTGTGGTATTTTTTTTAAGACAGCCCTAGCAGACTAATACATCCCATCAATTTCTTTTTCAAGCACTTCCATATTTTCTGGCACTATAAGATGCTCCAGGCTTGTATATTTCCTGCCCAGTCCTAAAATCAGCCATTTGTTTTGAGGGAACGAACCCTGGTTCCTTTTATTAGAGAAAGATATTAGACACCAAGATCTGGGCAATGAAAAGGGTTTAAATAAGGAAAGTGAATGGTTTGGGAAGCTGAGAGGGAGAAGAGAGTTGCAGGCACAATGCCTATGAAAAAGGCAGGCAGGGAATTGCCCAGGTCAAGCAAAGATTTCCTGGTTAAAGATTCAAGTGGTTAAGGTGAAGAGAGATGAGTGAAGGGATATGAAGAGGACAAGCACAGAAGGTCCCAGAGTCAGCTGAGGAGGTCAAAGCGAAGGGCTTTGTTATTAGCTAAGCTACTGATTCTCAGCCATTGAGGAGGTCTTCAAGAAGTGATTAAAGATATCCATGTTCCATTGCCTGACCCACTTCCAAAGAACAACTATCTAGTCGATTGTGACTTCAGAGTCTGAGATCATAGATATCTTCAAGAAGTCCAAGCATGATGGGAAAACATATGGTATGGAATCTCCGAACTTACAGACCTTGCTGCCCAGCTCTAGCCATATAATGAACTTGACCATCAGGTAACCAAGCTAGTGCCTCAGACAGCTTCATACTGAACACTAATGCCTGTCAGCCTTTCAAATTATATGGCCATTTAAATTGATGGCTAGGATGACTGGTTGCACATCCATTCTGTCATTGAACTGGGCTCTTGTCTTTAAACTCAACTATTGAACTTTCTGAGCTTCCTCTGAGTGTTGTTCCACATGCAGTCAGTCACATTTTAACATAAGTCATACATCATATCTTGGCAGCCAGGAATGACCAAACTTAAGCACCTTGCTGGCACAAAAAGAGGTCTTAATGACTTGACTTTGGTCATATTGGGCAAAAGGGTAAAAGTGATTTGTCTCTGGGAGGCTGTGTACAGACTACAGATTATTGCAGGGAGAATTTGTACAACGTCTGGCACACAGAGCTCTGGAGTGTGAACACCTCACTTGGCATAGTTCTTGCCCCAATATGGCTTCCTCCTTTTTTCCATCCTTTTCCTCTCATCGAGCACTTGAGCCTTTGTCTCATACCCTAGCTGTTCATGGCTTCTAAGTTCAATGTTCTATCTGGACCTTTCATCCTTCAAGGGCTCCAATTCAAAGGATCTTCTTGGTCTTCACCACTCATCAAAATTCCCATTTTCTGAGATTCTAATCTCATCAAGATGTTGGGAGAATGCATTTTGCTTAGTTGGTTAAAGAAGTCCATCATAGATGGTGAATAACTTATAGGCATTAATACATTAATTAACACATATTATGAATACATTAAATGCACGCTATTTTCAACCACATCTGATTTGTGTGTGTGCGTGCATGCATGTGTGTACACACATGCATGCACACAGGCACTCTTCCCATGACTTGTGTTCAACCTGAAGGTTGTAGATCATGGTGATTAGGAGGGCAGGCTCTGGAGTTAGTCTACTGAGTTTTATATCTGGACTCAGTCTCATATTACTTGTGACACTGTATGAAAGCTCCTAAGGCTTTCCAAGTATTAGTGTGTCTTCATCTCTACAATAGGTCTAGTAATAAAGGCTGTCATTTTAGGTTATTGTGGAGTGAGATGAGATGATACATGTAAAGCACTTCAAGGAGTGTCTGGTGCACGGTAAGCTGTCAAGTAAATGTTAGTTATTATGATAGTGGGTAATTGAGACAGTCATCCTCCCATCCTGCCTCTGCTTTGAATGTCAGAAAGGTGGGACACAACTTGATATTCCTTTCTCAAAAATTTCTTGCTGATGAGAGACACATCTTTTGTTTTGTCCATGAGCAGATTGCAAAATTCCAAGAAGTCAGCATCTTACCTTAATTTGAAGGTTTGTGCTATGGACTAAACTGTGTTCCCTCAAAATTCGTATGTTGAAGCCCTAACTTCCAATGAGATAGTATCTGGAGATGAAACCTTTGGGAGGTAATTAGATTTAGATGAAGTCATGAGGGTAGGGCCCCATAATGAGATTAGTACCCTTAAAAAGAAGAGCCACCAGAGAGCTCACTCTCTCCCTGCCATGTGAGGACACAGTGAGAAGGTGGCCATCTACAAGTCAGGAAGAGAGCCCTCACCAGAAACCAATTATGCTGACACCCTGATCTTCGACTTCCGGCCTTCGGAAATGTGAGAAATAAATGTTTGTTCTTTAAGTCACCCGGTCTATGGCATTTTAGTATGGCAGCCTGGATGACTAATATAGTTTGAGTGATAGCATGTCCTTACAACTATCCAAGTATTAAATATCAGAACTTTTCAGTGAACTGGTAGAAACTTAGCTAATTCAGTTTTATCTTAATAGTAAAGCTAAGGCTTAATCCATTGACATGTGATCAGGCTAACTATGTTAATTATAGCAACGGGCCACAACCCCAGTCAGATTTCTTTCAGATGAATCATAAAATTATTATCTCTGAACTGGATAAGAACTTAGGAGTCATTTGATCTATCTTCCCATGTGGCAGATAAGGTCACTGAAGCCCAGGGTAGTTAGAGGTTTAGCATAAGTCACACAGCTGGAGCCCAGATTTTCTCCCTCCATGCCAGTGTTCCCCTCACACAAGGCCTTAGTGTATATCTTCAGTCACAAGGAGGCCCTGGAGGGGCTGTAGAGATGAATTAGCCCAAATTAGTGCTCCTAGAAAGAGTGCAAAGATTTCTTTTCTAAAGGGTCTTTACATACATTTGAGAAAACACTGTGTAGCAGCATTGACTTTTTATTTTCGCTGTAACTTAGAAAGTCAAGGAAACTGTAGCTTATTTTCTTTAAATAATAGATTTAAACTTCCTCCTGAGCTCCTACTCCTTCAGGGGGTTAGGGATATGGGGAGTGGTGGGACTGGCACAGGGGGCGGGGCCACCTACATCTGCCAACAGACAGTATCACTGTCTCTTCCATTTAAACAGTTTCTTCTAGATCATTTGGATTATTTGGGGTTGGTCTTTTGAATTTCTTTCCTCTCTTCCTGCTCCTTCCCAGGATGGACTCGAAGCTGTGTGCAGGTTTGTGGTCTGGCCCTTGGCCTATGTGTCTCAGTTGCACCTGGACCCATATCGCCTTTGCGTGCACAGATCAGGTAATCTGGCCCTAGCCCAGGTATCCACTAGCTCACTGATTCTTTCAGTGGCTTCTGTCCCTTTACTGAGGCATGTGGGAACTTTTGGCTCCTCTATCCCAGCGACAGGCATGTTGCATCCCTCAGACCAAAGCCTGTTTTTTAAAATAAAGTTTTATTGGAACACGGCCATACTTGTTTATTTACATACAGACTACAGCTGCTTTTATGCTAAAGCAATAGTATTGAATAATTGTGACAGAGACTTTCTTGTCCACAAAGCCAAACATATTTACTTGTAAGCCCTTTACGGAAAAGTTTGCTGACTACTGCTGTCTAATAGAACTTTCTATGATGACGGAAACATTTTTTATTTGTGCTGTACAGTGCAGTAGTCTTGAGCCATACATAGTTATTGAGCACTTGAAATGTGGCTAATGCAGCTAAGAAAACACATTTTAAATTACATTTAAGCTTGGTTACTTTAAATTTAAGGAGCCTGTGTGGCTAGTGGCTACCATATTGGACAGTGTAGTTCTAGATGCTGAATGGGCCTTGGGGAGCCAGGAATTCTACCTTCTGGTCTTCTCCCTGGCCATTTCTCTATTAGTGCTCCTGGGACATGTATCCACGTGCAAGGTTTTTAACCAGGGGTTTGCATCTTTTCTCAGGCACAGTGGGGAAAACATGCTATTAAACCCTGCTTTCCAGATTCTTCCATAGCTAGCAAAGGTTTAATGTCCAGCACTATCTACCCTACCCCAATGTTTGACCCAAGGATAGGACACAAAGAGGCAATTCTGTAGCACTCTCCTTTTTACACTATCCCTTGGGTCCAGGAGGGCAGGAATTCCCTCCTTTTTCATGTGGCTAGGACTTCCCTTATAGGATGCTGTATCTTCTTCTGAGATAACACTTGTTATTTTCCCGTCAGAGGACTATCCAATGGATGAGGTGCAGAGATAGAAACCAGCTGAACTATAAGGGAGATCCAGCATACTGGCATTCCAAAATACTGTTCTTGATAGGACTGCTATATTACCTCAATTTATGAGAGGTGTGAAACTTGACTATGCTCAGATTCAATGCACATTTGTTGGGTATCTGATACGTTTCAAGCACTCAATCCACTGTTAGGAAGTACCCAATCTGCTCCCCTGCCCCTCTTTTCTGTTATTCTCCTGCATCCCCAAGCTGACAAACACAGTTTCACAATCATCCCTTTGAGCCTGATTTCAGCAGTTGTAGAGGGAATACTTGCAATATAAGTGTAGCCTTTTCTTGAATGATTTAACTTTTTTTTCTGAACAATTACCTTTTCTGGAGAGCCATTCTTCATCACCTCATTTAGGCCCACATCACTCACCTGTCCTCTTTCCCTGCTTTACTTTTCCCCAAAGCACTTTATCACCTGACAAACTCTGCAATTACCTAATGAACTCATTTTCTGTCTGCCTCTTTAGAATATAGGCTACACAACAGCAGGAATTCTATTTGATTCATTGCTGTATTCTTATTACACAGAGCAGTGCCTGACAGAAAGTAGGTACTCAAATATTTTTGAATAAGTAAAAGAATCAGGATTATACCTTGTAGTATAACTTTGATGTCTGAAAAACCAGGAGCCGCTCACTGCATGGTAGAGTCTGGTGTTCCCACTGGCTGCTTGCAACATGGCCACCGCCACCCAGCAACAACCATCTCTGCCTCCTGCCCTGCAGCCTCTGCCACTGCTGCCTGGGGACCAGCTGTAGGATTAGGCCACCATTTTCTTTTCTTTTTTTTTTTTATACTTTAAGTTCTGGGGTACATGTGCAGAATGTGTAGTTTTGTTACATAGGTATACATGTGCTATGGTGGTTTGCTGCACCCATCAGCCCATAACCTACATTGGGTATTTCTCCTAATGTTATCCCTCCCTTAGCCTCCACCCCCCGACAGGTCTTGGCGTGTGATGTTCCCCTCTCTATGTCTGTGTGTTCTCATTGTTCAACTCCCACTTATGAGTGAGAACATATGGTGTTTGGTTTTCTGTTCTTGTGATAGTTTGCTGAGAATGATGGTTTCCAGCTTCATCTTTGTCCCTGCAAAGGACATAAACTCATTCTTTTGTATGGCTGCATAGTATTCCATGGTGTATATGTGCCAATTTTCTTTATCCAGTCTATTATTGATGGACATTTGGGTTGGTTCCAAATCTTTGCTATTGTGAATAGTGCTGCAGTAAACATACGTGTGCATGTGTCTTTATAGTAGAATGATTTGTAATCCTTTCAGTATATACCCAGTAATGGGATTGCTGGGTCAAATGGTATTTCTAGTTCTAGATCCTTGAAGAATTGCCACACTGTGTTCCACAATGGTTGAACTAGTTTACAGTCCCACCAACAGTGTAAAAGTGTTTCTATTTCTCCACATCCTCTCCAGCATCTGTTGTTTCCTGACTTTTTAATGATCGCCATTCTAACTGGTGTGAGATGGTATCTCATTGTGGTTTTGATTTGCATTTCTCTAATGACCAGTGATGATGAGCATTTTTTTCATATGTTTGTTGGCCACATGAATATCTTCTTTTGAGAAGTGTCTGTTCATATCCTTCACCCACTTTTTGATGGTTTTTTTTTTTCTTGTAAATTTAAGTTCTTTGTAGATTGTGGATATTAACCCTTTGTCAGATGGATAGATTGCAAAATTTTCTCCCATTCTGTGGGTTGCCTGTTTACTCTGATGATAGTTTCTTTTGCTGTGCAGAAGCTCTTTAGTTTAATTAGATCCCATTTGTCAATTTTGGCTTTTGTTGCCATTGCTTTTGGTGTTTTAGTCATGAAGTCTTTGCTCATGCCTATGTCCTGAATGGTATTGCCCAGGTTTTCTTCTAGGATTTTTATGGTCCTAAGTCTTACGTTTAAGTCTTTGATACATCTTGAGTTGATTTTTGTATAAGGTGTAAGGAAGGGGTCCAGTTTCAGTTTTCTGCATATGGCTAGCCAGTTTTCCCAACACCATTTATTAAATAGGAATCTTTTCCCCATTGCTTTTTTGTGTCAGGTTTGTCAAAGATCAGATGGTTGTAGATGTGCAATGCTATTTCTGAGACCTCTGTTCTATTCCATTGGTCTATATATCTGTTTTGGTACCAGTACCATGCTGTTTTGGTTACTGTAGCCTTGTAGTATAGTTTGAAGTCAGGTAGCGTGATGCTTCCGAATAGGAACAGCTCCGGTCTGCAGCTCCCAGTGAGATCGACGCAGTAGGCCACCATTTTCAATGCATAAACACATTCCTCAGTTCTGTGGTGTTCTTGGTCACATATTTATGGAGTTTCTGAAGGGCAGTGGAGATCACTGCCAGGCATAGCATGACCTCTATGCAAACAAGGAAACTGTAGAAATTCATTACTACTCTACCAAGAAGCACCCATTGTCCTGGACACAGAAGTGTTGAATTGAAACCCATAGGGCATTTTACAAGAGTTCTGACCTAGATAGGGTAAACCTCAGTGTGCTTCCTTTCTGTTGCCTCAGTATTACTGGATTGAAGAAGTGTCGCTTCTTGTTAGGAGGTTCATTTCATTTATTGTTACTTACAACTTCATACTCAAAGCACTGAGAATTTCAAGTGGAGTATATTGAAGTAGACTTCAGTTTCTTTGCATCATTTCTGTATTCAACTTTTAAAATTCTTTCATAACCCTATTGAGTGTCTTTTAACTAAATTAACATGGCTCAAATGAACTGTCCAGCTCCTGTGGAAGTCACATACAAGAACATGAGGATTTCTTACTACACACAACCCAACCAATGTGACCTTAAACAAATTCGTAGAGGAACTTAAGAAGTATGGAGTTTTCACAATAGATAAGAGTATGTAAAGCAACTTATGACACTACTCTTCTGGAGAAAGAAGGTACCCATGTTCTCGATAGGCCTTTTGATGATGGTGCACCACCATCCAACCAGATTGATGACTGGTTAAGTCTTGTGAAAATTAAGTTTCATAAAGAACCTCATTGTTGTACTGCTGTTCATTGCATTGCAGGCCTTGGGAGAGCTCCAGTACTTGTTG
The DNA here is from genome assembly GCF_000001405.40 of Homo sapiens. Lineage (NCBI taxonomy): Eukaryota > Metazoa > Chordata > Mammalia > Primates > Hominidae > Homo > Homo sapiens. Next base: position 158,065,890 of record NC_000002.12, read on the forward strand.
CCCTAGCATTAATTGAAGGCAAAATGAAAGATGATGATGCAGTACAATTCGCAAGAAAAAAGCAGTATGGAGCTTTTAACAGCAAGTTAACTTTTGTATTTGGAGAAGTATCATCCTTAAAGATGTGGCTGCACTTCAAAGACTCCAGTGGTCATAGATACAACTGTTGCAGTTAATAAAACTGGGGTCCCTGATGCTATTGCCTTGGAAGTGGAACTTGAGATAGGACCTGATTTGTTATACTTATTAGCCAACATGTTGGCTTTGAGTAAGTCTAATGAAACTTCCATAGGAGTACTGAAAGGCAGTTTTACCAGGCCACAAGCTAGACAGATTTGGCAACCTCTGTGTTTGGGTTACAGTCAACCTATTTGGACACTTGGCAAAAGATTCTTGCTGTTAGCATTTAAAATGTGCCTGTCGTTTGTACCAACTGACCTTTCCCGAAATCATGCAGTATTGAGTTATGTCTTGTTTAAATCTATTTGCTTGCCAGAATCTTATCAATATATAAGAAAATTAGGAAGATTAGGTGCCACCCGGCACAATACTTGTGTATTTTTAGTACCATACAGAACTAAAATCCCAGGAACTATGAACACTCTAGACCTTATGTAGTTTATTCCTTCAATCATTTCAAACATTGAAAGTAGGGCCTACATAGTGATTTGCCTGCTCACTCCATGTTTTCATCTCCCACATTCATGCTAGCAAATATCAGATTTGTTTAACCATTGATTCTTTTTTTTTTTTTACCATGTCTTACAGTGATTATTTAATGTGTTTCAATAAATCTTACTTTGTGCTGTTATGAAAAGCCTCCATTAAAAAAAATCTACATTGTATAGAAGCATGTGTCTTTAATGTCTTCAGACAGAAAGGCCTTACAGTTCATTTAATGTTTGCAATCTGAGGTGCAACTTCACAGGCAGGGACTGAGAAAAGAATGGGAGGGGGCTATTCATTATTTTTAGCAAAATTTTGCCTTTGTCTTGTGCAGAGCATGTGGGATATGCCCTTTAATTTAGTAAAATATTTTTTAAAGGTAGAGATGATTTGTTATTGTAGCCAAAACAATTCTTAATCATAAAATTTCTAAAATTATTGTAATTTTTTCCATATTTATCAGAAGTTGTTTACCAACTTATTTTTGTTTGAAAGTGATTTTTTATTTCCTTCTCTTCCTAACCATTCTTGCAAAAAAAAGAAGCAGGTTTCTGCTAATGAATTGAGCAGACATCTAATTTTTATATGCCTTTTGAGCTGTGCAACTTAATATTTGGATACTTGATAATTTGTTTTATTATGTAATTGATAAAATGGTGATGTGTATTAAGGTTAGTTCAACCATATATTTATACTGTCTGGGGATGTGTGGTTTTAGTTCTGTGGGAGAAATAATTTGTCAGTGTTCATCAGCTTGTAAAAACTTAGTGTGAGAGCTTAAACATCTAAATAAATAGTGAAATGCATTTATCATCAAAAAAAAAAAAAAAGAGAGAGAGAGAAAAAGAAACAAACCAAACTTCTTCCCTATCAGGAGTGAAGACAAAGAAAGACAAATGAGATGAAGGATATAGGGAATTCCTCTTCACTGCCTTTGTGGGGAGAGGGAGAAGCAAAATTTGTAAAGGAATATGGAATCCTACGTGCATCAGGGATTGGAAAACCAAAACTTTCAGAAGATGAATGGTGTCCCATTATGGGCAGAGAAGATTTACAAATCGATGTGTTCAGATTGCCAGATTCCAAGTTTTTACCATGCCCATTTTTTTATTTCATTACAAATACTGTGCCCCAGAATAATTCCTGAAACTCACTTATTTACCTATAATTTCAGTAGTTATCAATGATTGGAGGTACATTTTATTTTTAAATAAAATAATTAGGGTTATGTTTCTGTTTGGAATGAACTAAAATGTTTTCAATTTATTTTTCACCTTAGCATCTTTAAGTTGCAATAAAACAGGCCTAGCAAGTAAAATTTCTAAAGAGTTATTTCAAATGAAATTATATATATTTTATCTACATTATGTCACATGTTATATTACATATTATACATATTTATAAACCATAAAGTATTCTGCATTAATAAGGCATTGCTACTGTTATTATTATTAGCAATTCTGTAAAAACTTTGAAATAACTTTGAATAATCTTTTTTCCCCCCTTGCCAAGAGTGTGAAATTATTTAAGAATTGGACATGGCCTAACATTTAGTTACTTAATGAAAATGGCATAGATTTCCCATTCTGGTGAAGTGATAGAAATCTCTACAACCTCATCTGTTGGAAAGTAATGGCTCTGAAAATGCAAAAGAAGGGAGAATAGGAGAATCAATTAAATTGTTCTTATAGTACTAATTACAAATTGTGAAGCACTGGTTTTGTTTTAGGAGATTTTGAATGGGATTTTACATTAAGGCATACTTAATATCAGGCTAGTTAACCCGAGGAGAAACAAGTCTGAGTAAGCATTTGGTTATTTTCTTGCCTCAGAGAATTACCTGAACATATTTATTCCAACGATCTTGATTTTATGTAAATGAGCAAAATCTGTGCAATACAAACAGCCCAAATTCAAAGCAAATGTTTGAGAAAAATCACCACTAAAGGAAAGTTTATGTATTACCTCCCCCGCTGTTCTGTTTGACTATGACAGAGACGGGGGCAGGGGCAGAAGTAGCCATTTAAGCATGCTGTTTCCTCACCTGTAAAATGAAGTGGTTAAATGGTTAAGGACCACACGCTCAGATGCTTGTGTGGGCCCAGCATATATTTGTATGAAGTTTGCTGCTGAGCTTAAGATCCTATGGAGTTACTGAGGACTATGATAAATAGAATAGGTATGGCCTTCCTTAAAGCATTCAAATTCAAATATATATATATATATATATATATATATATATATATATTTTTTTTTTTTTTTTTTTTTTTTTTTTTTTTTGAGACGGAGTCTCACTCTGTCACCCAGGCTGGAGTGCAGTGGCGCAATCTCAGCTCACTGCAAGCTCCACCTCCCAGGTTCATGCCATTCTCCTGCCTCAGCCTCCCCAGTAGCTGGGACTACAGGTGCCCGCCACCACGCCAGGCTAATTTTTTGTATTTTTAGTAGAGACGAGGTTTCACTGTGTTAGCCAGGATGGTCTCCTGACCTCGTGATCCGCCCACCTCGGCCTCCCAAAGTGCTAGGATTACAGGCACGATCAAACTCAAAATTTTAAGGCTTTTTGCTGTCCAGAGGCTAGTCGCCTCTGGAACAAATGATTGCCAAGGTACAATAAGACACATTTCATGAACTCCTATCTTTTAGGAAACTGCTTTTGATGTCCACCTGTGCAAGTTCTTGATTTAGTGCCCATGAGATCCAAAGTCATCCTTTTTGCTTGCTCCATGAAATGAAGCTGGGCCATTTAGTTTTCAGTTGTCAGCTGACACAAGGTTAAGCTATGCTAGTAGAGTGTGCAGAAGAGATATTGCAGGAGAAAGGGGTTTGCTCTCTGATTCCAGTGAGCCCTCTTGGCAGGCTCCTGCAGTGTGGGCAGCTTCTCCAGTGTCGAGCTTATGCAGAGTGCAAAGCTTCTCTAGTGCCCAGCTCCTACAGTAGGGGTGACTCCTTAAGCATCTAGTTCTTGCAGTAAATACAGCTTATTTAGTGCCTGGCTTCTACAGTGCACCGTGGTCGTCAGCTTCCCCTAGAACCCTTTGTGTTCTTTTGTAGCAGAATCTCTCTGGTGAGGCATGTCCCTATGAACAGCTCTCCCTGACACCCTAGAGCGAGGATTTTCAGCAAGTTCCACTGGCATGGCACCTCAGTGATCTCTCAGTCACTCTGTGAGCCACAGCCATGCCCTCCAACAATGTCTTGACTTGTTCAGGCTGTTACATCAAAATACCATAGAGTGGATGGCTTATAAACAACAGAAATTTATCAAGTTCTGGAGGCTGGAAGTTTGAGATCAGAGAGCCAGCATGGTCAGTTCCTAGTAAAGGCCTTCTTCCAACAAGAAGACTGCTGACTTCTTCTTGTATCCTCACATGGAGAACTCTCTGGGGTCCCTTTTATAAGGGCTTTAATCTCAATCATGAGGGCTCCACTCTGACCTAATCACCCCCCAAAGGCCTCACCAAACAAGGTCTGGATCTCAACCTTGAGTGCAGGGAGCTTTTTCTTGGGTGTTCTAGCTCAGCTCTAGGGATAGTGGCTCCTTGTATCTGCTATTTTTATATTATTTAGCACTCTCTTCACTTCTTACTAGCCAATCTTTTGCTACTGTAGTCTCTCCCTATAATTAACAACTCTTTATATTAAACTTTCCCTTGTCCAAATTACCGTGTGGACTCTGTCTCATGAATGAACCCAAACTGAGCTACCCCCAAGCATTCAGCAGCTTTTCCATTTATGTTGGTGTCATTCAGATAGGACATCTCTACCCATTCTAGACAAGCCATCTCTACCTGTCCCTACCCAGAAATCAGAGACGTGTTTCTATCTATGTACAGGTCTCTTGATTCAAGTAAAGTGTTAATTATCCAACCTCATTTAATAGATAACTGAGAACAAGAAAAGCTGTATGGTTTCCTTATGATCACATAGCCAGTTAATTATGGAGCTGGGATCAGAACCCTGGTATTCTGACTCCTAACCCAATGTTCTTTCCTCTCTGCCATGCTGGCATTTTTCACTAAAAATATTAATTAAGCCACTGTTTATGGGGGGCGGAGCAAGGTGGCTAAACAGAAGCCTCCACTGACTGCCCCCAAAGGAACACAAAATTTTAACAACTAACTACAAACAAAAATGCACTGTCATAAGAACCAAAAGTCAGGTGAGGAGTCACAGTACCTGGATTTAACTTTATATCATTGAAAGAGGCACTGAAGAGGGTAGGACACAGTCTTGAATCACTGATGCCACCTCTTCCCTATTCCCCAGAGCTGCTACATGGCATGGAGAGGGAATCTGAGCACTTTAGGGAGGGAGAGCACAGTGACTGTAGGACTTGATATTGAACTCAGTGCTGTTCTGCCATGGCAGAGAGCAAAGCTGAGCTGGGCTCAGCCATTGCCTGCCCACAGAGAGATCATTTGGATCAGCCTTAGCCGGAGGGGGATCATCCATCCCAGTGGTTGGGACTTGAGTTTCTCTGCAAGCCTCATCACCAAGGGCTAAAGTGCTCTGGAGTACTAGGTAAAATTAAAAGGCAGTCAGGGACACAAATACTGCATTTCCTAGGCAAGTCCTAATGCTGGGCTAGGATTAGAGCCAGTGGACTAGGGCGGCACGTGACCTAGGGAGACATCAGCTGGGGTGGCTAAGGGAGTGCAAGCATCATCCCTCCCACAACCCCAGGCAGTGCAACTCGCAGCAACAAAAGTGACTCCTTCCAGCACGGTGGCTCATGCCTGTAATCCTAGCACTTTGGGAGGCTGAGGCGGATCACTTAAGGTCAGGAGTACAAGACCAGCCTGGCCAACATGGTGAAACCCTGTCTCTACTAAAAATACAAATATTAGCTGGGCATGGTGGCACATGCCTGTAATCCCAGCTACTGGAGAGGCTGAGGCAGGAGAATTGCTTGAACCCGGGAGGTGGAGGTTGCAGTGAACCTAGATCATGGTATTGCATTCCAGCCTGGGCAAAGAAGCGAGATTCTGTCTCAAAAAAAAAAAAAAAAAAAAAAAAAAAAGTGACTACTTCCTTCTATTTAAGGAGAAGAAAGCTAAGAGGAAAGTGGACTTTGGCTTGTATCTTGACTACCAGTTCAGCCACAATAAGATAGGACACTGGGCAGAGTTATGAGTCCCCCAGACAACATTTCTATATACACCCTGGACTAGAAGGGAACCCACTGCCTTGAGAAGAACCAAGTCCTGGCAGGATTCATCATCTACTGACTAAAGAGCCCTTCAGCCCCAAATAACTAAAAGTGACACTAAGGTAGTATGCAGTGGGTCTTGGGTGAGAGTGTGAGATATGCTGGTTACAGGTGAGACCCAGCACGTTCCCAGCTGCAGCGACTACTATGAAAGACTCCTTCTGCTTGAGAAAAGCAGAGGGAAAAGTAAAAGGAACTTTGTCTTACACCTTAGGTACGTATTTGGCTACAGTAGAGTAGAATATCAGGTGGGCTCTTGGGGACCCTGAGTCTAGGCCTTGGTTCTTGGACAGCTTTTCTGGACCTGCCCTGGGCCAGAGGAGAGCCCACTGCCCTGAAGTATGAGTCACAGGCCTAGCAGCATTCCCCACAAGCTGACTGAAGAGCCATTCGGCTTTACGTGAATATTGGTGGTGGCATGGCAGAACTCCCTGCAAGCCAGTGGTGGTGGTGGCCACTGGGAGAGCCTCCTCTGCCAGTGGAAAAGGGAGGGAAGAACAGGAAAGACTTTGTTTTGTGGTTTGAGGGCCAGCTTAACCACAGCAGAATAAAACATCAGGTAGATTTCTAGGTTTTTTTACTCCAATCTCTGGCTTCTAGACAGCATCTCTGTACCTGCCAAGGGTCTGGGGAAACTTGCTGCCCTAACAGAAAAGACACAAACCTGACTATCTTCCCATCTGCAGACTGTAGAACCCTAGGGCCTTGAGTGAACACAGGCAGTAGCCAAATAGTGGTTACAGTGGGCCTTAGGCAATACCCAGTGGTGTGCTGGCTTCAGGTCCAACCCAGCACCGTCCCAGTGGTGGTGGCCACAGGGCTCCTGGCATCACTCCAACCTCAGCTCTGGGCAGCTCAGCACACAGAGAGAAAGAGACAGACAGACAGACAGACAGACAGACAGACAGACTCCATTTATTTGGGAGAAAATCAGGGAAGAGAACAAGAATTCTGCCTGGCAATTCAGAGAATTCTTCTAGATTTTATCCAAGAACACCAAGGTGGTAACTCAATGAGTCTATAAGAACCACAGCATTATTGATCATGGGACACAAGTCCCTTCAAATACCTGGAAAGCCTTTCCAAGAAAGATGGGCACAAACAAGCCCAGACTGTGTAGACTACAATGAGTACCTAAATTTTCAATGCCCAGGCACTGATGAACACCCCCAAGTATCAAGACCATCCAGGAAAACTTGACTTCACCAAACTAAATAAGGTACCATGGACCAATCCTGGAAAAACAGAGATATGTGATCTTTCAGACAGAGAATTCAAAATAGCTGTTTTGAGGAAGCTCAAAGAAATTCAAGGTAACAAAGAGAAGGAATTCAGAATTCCATCAGATAAATTTAACAAAGAGATTGAACTAATTAAAAAGAATTGAGCTGAAACTCTGGAGCTGAAAAATGCAACTGACATGCTAAAACAATGCATCAGAGTTCCTTAAGAGTATAATTAATCAAGCAGAAGAAAGAATTAGTGAGCTTGAAGACAGGCTGTTTGAAAATGTATAGTCAAAAGAGACAAAAGAAAAAAGAATAAACAAAAATGAAGCATCCCTACAAGATCTAGAAAACAGCCTCAAAAGGGCAAATCTAAGAGTATTGATCTTAAAGAGAAGGCAGAGAAAAAGATAGGAGTAGAAAGTTTATTCAAAGGGATAATATCAAAGAACTTCCAAAATGTAGAGAAAGATATCAGCATTCAAATACAAAAAGGTGATAGAACACCAAGCAGATTTAACTCAAGGAAGACTACCTCAAGGCATTTAATAATCAAACTCCCAAAGATCAAGGATAAAGAAAGGATCCTAAAAACAGCAAGAGAAAAGAAACAACATACAAAGGAGCTCCAATACATCTGGCAGCAGACTTTTCAGTAGAAACTTTATAGGCCAGGAGAGAGTGGCATGACATATTTAAAGTGCTGAAGGAAACAAACTTTTACCCTAGAACATATCCAATGAAAATATCCTTCAAGCATGAAAGAGAAATAAAGACTTTCCTAGACAAACAACAGCTGAGGGATTTTATCAACACCAGATCTTTCCTACAGCAAATGCTAAAGGGAGTTCTTCAAACTGAAAAGAAAGATGCCAACAAACAAGAAGAAATCCTTTGAGGGCCAGGTATAGTGGCTGACGTCTGTAATTCCAGCATTTTGGGAGACCAGTGCGGGAGGGTAGCTTAAGCTTGGAAGCTTGAGACCAGCTTGGGCAATGCAGTGAGACCTTGTCTCTCCAAATTTTTATTTAAAAATTAGCTGGGTGTGGTGGCATGCACTTGTAGTCTCAGCTACTTGGGAAGCTGAGGAGGGAAAATCACTTGAGCTGGGATGCAGAGGTTTCAGTGAGCCAAGATTGTGCCACTGCATTCCAGCCAAGGTGACAGAGTGAGACCCTGTCTCAAAACAAACAAACAAAATCCAAACAGAAAAGAAAGAAAATACATCATCTGAAGATAGAAAACTCACTGGTAATAGCAAGCACACAGAAAAGCACAGAATATTATAAAACTGTAATTGTGATGTGTTTACTATTCTTAAGTAGAAAGACTAAATGGTGAACCAGTGAAAAATAATAGCTATAACACCTTTTCAAGACATAGACATTTCAATAAGACATAAAGAGAAGAAAATAAAAAGTTAAAAAGCTGGGGGATAAAGTTAAAGTGTAGAGTTTTTATTAGTTTTTTTGTTGCTTGTTTATTTGTTTACTTATGCAATCAGTGTTAAGTTGACATCACTTTAAAACAACGGGTTATATGACAGTATTTACAGGCTTCATGATAACTTCAAATTTAAAAACATAGTATAGATATACAAAAAATAAAAAGCAAGTAATTAAATCATACACCAGAGAAAATCACCTTTAGTCAAAGAAAGACAGGAAGGAAGGAAAGAAGGAATAGAAGACCTTCATACACACACACACACACACACACACACACACACACACAGAAAAATAACAAAGAGGCAGTAGTAAGTCCTTATTTATCAATAATAGCATTGATTGCAAATGGACCAGACTCTCTAATGAAAAGACAGGGTGACTGAGAGAATTTTTTTTTTTTTTTTAAAAGACCAATTGACCTGTTGCCTACAAAAAAGGCACTTCACCTATAAACACATACATAGACTGCAAATAAAGGGCTGGAAAAAGACATTCGATGCAAATGGAAACCAAAAAAAGAGCAGGAGTGGCAATACTTATATGAGACAAAATAGATTTTAAGAAAAAGACTGTAAGAAGACACAAGGAAAGTCATTACATAATGAAAAAATGGTCAGTTCAGCAAGAGAAAATAACAATTATAAATATATATGCACCCAAAATTGAAGTACCCAGATATAAAGCAAATATTATTTGAGCTAAGGAGAGAGATAGACCCCAATACAGTAATAGCTGAAGATTTCAACACCCCACTTTCAGCATTGGACAGATCTTTCAGAAAGAAAATTAACAAAGAAACATTGGATTTAATCTGTACTGTAGAACAAATGGACCTAAGAGATATTTATATTAGGGAATAGTATAAATGTAAATGTTCTAAGAGAACATTTTTAGTGTAATAAAAATGTGAATGTTTTAAGAGAACATTTTAGCCAATGGCTGCAGAATACACATTTTTCTCCTCAGCATATCGATAAGGATAGACCATATGTTAGGTCACAAAATAAGTCTTAAAACATTAAAAAAACTGAAATAATACCAAGCATCTTCTCTGACCACCATGGAATAGAACTAGAAATCAATATCAAGTTGAATTTTGACAACTGCACAAATACATGGAATTTAAACAATATGCTCCTGAATGACCATTGGGTCAATGAAGAAATTAGGAAGGAAATTGAAAAATTTCTTGAAACAAATGATCATAGAAATACAACATACCAAAACCTATGGGATACAGTGAAAGCAGTATGAAGAGGAGAATTTATAGCTATAAGCACTTACATCAGAAAAGAAGAAAATATTCAAATAAACAACCTAATGATGCATCTTAAAAAATTAGAAAATCAAGAGCAAACTAAACCCAAAATTATTAGAAGAAAAGAAATAATAAAGATCAGAGCAGAAATAAATAAAAATGAAATGAAGAAAATAATAAAAAAGATCAACAAAATGAAAAGATTTTTTGAAAAGATAAATTGAGAAACCTTTAGCAAGACTATCTAAGAAAAAAAGACACAAATAAATAAAATCAGATATGAAAAAGGAGACATTACAACTGATTCCACTGGAATTCAAAGGATCACTAGTGGCTATTATGAGCAACTATATGTCAATAAATTGGAAAATCTGGAAGAAATAGATAAATTCCTAGACATATACCACCTAACAAGATTGAACTATGAAGAAATCCAAAACCTGAACAGACCAATAACAACAAGATCGAAGTTGTAATACAAATTATCCCAATAAAGAAAAGCCCAGGACCCGATGGCTTCACTGCTGAGTTTTATCAAACATTTAAAGAAGAATTAATACCAACTTTATTCAAACTATTCTAAAAAATAAAAGAGTAGAGAATACTTCCAAACTTATTCCATGAGGCCACTATTACCCTCATACCAGAACCAGACAAAGACACATCTAAAAAAGAAAACTATAGACCAATATTTCTGATGACTATTGATCAAAAATCTTCAACAAAATACTAGCAAACCAAATTCAACAATACAGTTAAAAGACTGTTCATCATGACCAAGTGGGATTTACCATAGGGATGCAAGGATGGTTCAACATACGCAAATCAGTCAATGTGTACATCATATCAACAGAATGAAGGATGAAAATCATATGATTATGTCAATTGATGCTGAAAACAGATTTAATAGAATTCAATATTGCTTTATGATAAAAATTCTCAAAAAACTGGGTATAAGAGAAACATACCTCAACACAATAAAAGCCATATGTGAAAGACTCACAGCTAGTATAATCCTGAATGTGGAAAAGCTGAAAGCCTTTCCTCTAAGATCTGAAACACGTCAAAGATGCCTGCTTTCACCACTGTTATTCAACATAGTACTAGAAGTCCTAGCTATAGTGATCAGAGAAGAGAAAGATATAAAGGGCATCCAAATTGAAAAGAAAGAAGTAAAATTATTCTTGTTTGCAGATGATATGATCTTATATTTGGAAAAACCTAAAAACTCCACAAGGAAACTATTAGAACTGATTAACAAATTCAGTAAAGTTGCAGGATACATAATCAACATACGAAAATCAGTAGCATTTCTATATGCCAACAGTGAACAATGTGAAAAAGAAACAAAAAAGTAATCTTATTTACAACAGCCACACATAAAATTAAATACCTAGGAATTAACCAAAGAAGTAAAAGATCTCTATAATGAAAACTAAACATTGATGAAAGAAATTTAAGAGGACACTAAAAAATGGAAAAATATTCCGTTTCATAGATCGGAAGAATCAATATTGTTAAATGTCCATACTATCTAAAGCAATCCCTATCAAAATACCAATGACATTCTTCACATAAATAGAAAAAAACAATCCTAGAACTTATATGAAACCACAAAAGACTCAAAACAGCCAAGGCTATCCTGAACAAAAAGAACAAAACTGGAGGAATCACATTACCCGACTTCAAATTATACTACAGAGCTATCATAACCAAAACAGCATGGTACTGCCATAAAAACAGACACATAGACCAATGGAACAGAATAAAGAACCCAGAAACTAATCCATACACTTACAGTGAACTCATTTTCGACAAAGGTGCCAAGAACGTACATTGATGACAAGACAGTCTCTTTAAGGTGCTGGGAAAACTGGATATCCATAGGCAGAAGAATAAAACTAGACCCTTATGTCTCACCATATATAAAAATCAAATCAAAATGGATTAAAGACTTAAATCGAAGACCTAAAACTATAAAACTGCTACAAGAAAACATTGGGAAACATTGGATTGGCTAAAAATTTCTTGAGTAATAAACTACAAGCACAGGCAACCAAAGCAAAAATGGACAAATGGGATCACATCAAGTTAAAACTTCTGCACAACAAAGGAAACAATCAACAAAGTGCATGAGACAACCCACAGAATAAGAGGGAGAAAATACTTATAAACTACCTATCTGACAAGGGATTAATAACCAGAATGCATAAAGAGCTCAAAACAGCTCTATAGGAAGAAATCTAGTATTCCAATGAAAACATGGGCAAAAGATCTAAATGGACATTTCGCAAAAGAAGAGATACAAATAGCAAACAGGCATATGAAAAAATGCTCAACATCATTGATCATCAGAGAAATGCAAATCAAAACTACAATGAGATATCATCCCACCCCAATAAAAATGGCTTTTATTCAAATGACAGCTAATAACAAATGCTAGGAAGGATATGGAGAAAAGGAAACCCTTGTACACTGTTGGTGAGAATGTAAAGTAGTACGACCACTATGGAGAAGTTTGGTGTTTCCTCAGAAAACAGTAAAATAGAGTCACCATATGATCCAGCAATCCCACTGCTGGGTATATTCTCAAAAGAAAAGAAATCAGTATATTGAAGAAAGATTTGTACTCCTGTGTTTGTTGCAGCTGTGTTCACAACAGCCAAGATTTGGAAGCAACCTATGTGTCCATCAACAGATGAATGGATGAATGAATGTGATACACAGACACAATGGAGTACTATTTAGCCATAAAAAGAATAAGAGCTTGTCATTTGCAACAACATGGATGGAACTGGCAATCATTACATTGAGTGAAATAAGCCAGGCACAGAAAGACAAACATCACACTTCACTTATTTGTGGGAGATACAAATGAAAACGATTGTATTTGTGAAGATAGAGAGTAGAAGATGGTTACCAGAGGCTGGGAAGAGTAGCAGGGGGATGGGAGTGGGGATGTGGGGATTATTAATGGGTACAAAAAGTAGTTAGAAAGAATAAAGAAGACCTAGTATTTGACAGCACAACAGGGTGAATATAATCATAATGACTGCACATTTTAAAATAATGAAAAGAGTAGAATTGGATTGTAACACAAAGGAGAAATGTTTGAGGGGATGGATACCCCGTTTACCCTGATGTGGTTATTGCATGTTGCATGTCTGTACCAAAGTATCTCATGTACCCTGATATGGTGTGGTTCTGCATCTCCACCCAAATCTCACCTCGAATTGTAATAATCCCCACATGTCAAAAGTGGGACCAGGTGGTGATAATTGAATCATGGGGGCAGTTTCCCATATACTGTTTTCATGACAGTGAGTCCTCATGAGATCAGATGGTTTTATAAGAGGCTTCCCCCTTCGCTCAGCATTCATTCTCTCTCCTGACACCATGTGAAGAGGTGCCTTCTGCCATGATTGTAAGTTTCCTGAGGCCTCCCCAGCCATGTGGAACTGTGAGTCAATTAAATATCTTTCCTTTATAAATTACCCAGTCTCATGTATTTCTTCATAGCAGCATGAGAACGGACTAACACATACCCCATAATATATACACATACTATGTACTCACAAAAATTAAAAATAATTTTTTTTAAAAAAAGGAAAAAGCCTACTTGTATATGTCCCTGTAGGATATCCAAATTATAAGAATTTGGTCCTAGATATGCTTCTTGGATTGGCTGATCAGGGGTTAATGAAAGAGTTGTGGAATTTAGGATTGGAGAGCCTTGAGCTATTCACCTCCTGGAAGATCTGGGGCAAATGAACTAACATTGTTATAAAATGGAAATATCTACGTTACAGGGGGCTTGTGATGACAAAACAAGATCACAGACAGGTAGCACCTGTCATCATTAGCCAAATTTAGAAAAATTAAAAGGCGATTAAATCATACTAAACCCATTCCACTTCATTCAATTATTTTCCCCACTCATACATTTCTCTTACATACATTTTTTTCAAATGGCTGAAAAAAAGCCTTTTCCAATATGTTCTCCCTGACTTGTCACTGTTTCTGCTCTCCAACAATGAGTGTGTTTCTGGCAGAGTAATGTTGAATGAGTTCGAGTGAGTCAGAATTGAGAGAGAGGTAAGTTCTATGCTGCCTCATTCATTGTTCTTTTATATAATCAGTGTTAACAAATGTAAAGCTAACTGTATTCTGTGAAGTGTATCATGGGAGTCAGTTTCCTGTCTGTCAGGCACTATTTGCACAGAGACAACCAAGCCATTCAGCGTAATCATCATCTGTGTTTGAAGTCTCACTGTCTGGGGGAAGAGTCTTGCTTAGATCCACACAGCCACATAAATATCCCTGGTCTTAGCCCCTTGACTCTCCGGAATTTCCCTTTCAGAGCTTTCTCATTTGATTAAGAGATTTGTGTTCCATGAGCCACACACCATTTCATGCTTCTTTAATTACATATTCATAAATTTTTATTTAAAAAGTATATGTTAAGATAAATGGTATTAAAATAACAATAATTTTATCTTTTATTATGTGCTTACAAACCAGATATTTAATATATATTTTCTTATTTTATCTTCCCAATACTCCTGCATAGTAATTATTATTATTTCCATTTTACAAGAAGAAAACACTAAGATTATGAGCTTGCTGGCCCAATGATACATGGGTCCATTTGGCTTTAAAACAATTATCCTTTCAGTATATCACACTGCCTCTGTAGGTGCAATTTGTTAGTCTACCATTTTGAAACAAAACAGCATCTATATCCTGTGACAGAATTGTGCTGTACTGTTTTTCTTGCTTCCACAGCCAAGAGAATGGCTTTCTTCTGAATACAATTACTTTCCATTTATCCACACACTGATTATACCCGGAACAATGCATCATTTGGTATATTGTTAGTCTGTTTTTATAAATCTTGATGCACTACTCCCTTCCAACTTATTGAAGCCATAGTTATCTTTCCCAGCTAGTCCAGTTCAAATCAAAACTGGCCAAACGTTGGAAATATTTTTTCTACCTTGAAACAAAATTATGACTTTTACCAAAAAGCCAGCCTCTGTATTTTGTCCACCAGACTGTGCCCTCATTAGTGTGGGAATGAAGAAGGGATTAAGACAAAGTAGGGGAGGATTAGAATTAGTGTGGAACATCTCTGCTCTCTGATCCCCTGACCTTCTCTCACCTGAACAGGCTCTGGAGAGAGGAGAGGAAAGATCTCCAGAAACCTCAGTTATTTGTTAGAAAACCACGTTGCAGTATTTTAAAAGTATTCATTTAAAGGCATTTATTTTAAAATATTTTCAAATAAAATCTAATGTTAAAAAATGAAGTGTGTCATGCCTGTGTACTCTTCTAAATGTTGATTTAGTGTTGTTACATCTCAAATGACTTACAGACATAAGAATCAAGTGTTACCAGGAAAATAAAGAATGGATACAGTCTCATAAATTAAATCACAGAATATAGAGGAATTGTATGAAATGATGATTTTGGAAAAACAGGACCATTAGTCCAAACACTGCTTATGTCAAGTTTTACTGCTTAACAAAGATAGAGGATATTTCTAATGCTTAACAAAAATTAAGGTCACTTTAAAGAAAAGCTTGTGCCCTGGACCATATTTTTTGTATTGCACTATGTTCTTATTTTGCTTGAGGACTAGGTCAGTTAAAACATTTTTTTCTATTGAAGGGAATGTAAATTAGTAGTCATTATGGAGAATAGCATGATAGTTCCTCAAAAAACTAAAAATAGATCTACCAAATGATGCAGCAATCTCACTGTGAAGTATATATCCAAAAGAAAGAAAATCAGTCTACCAAAGAGATAGCTGCACTCCCATGTTTATTGCAGCACTGTTCATAATAGCCAAGATTTGGAAGCAATC
This sequence comes from Homo sapiens, assembly GCF_000001405.40. Classification (NCBI taxonomy): domain Eukaryota; kingdom Metazoa; phylum Chordata; class Mammalia; order Primates; family Hominidae; genus Homo; species Homo sapiens. Next base: position 158,081,566 of record NC_000002.12, read on the forward strand.
TAAGTGTCGATCAGTGGTTGAATAGATAAAGGAAATGTGGTCATATACACCATAAAATAATATTCAGCCATAAAAAGAATGAAATCCTGTCATTTGCAACAACGTGGATGGAACTGGAGCACATTAATAAGCCAGACACAGAAAGATAAACTTCACATGTTCTCACTTATTTTGGGGAGCTAAAAATTAAAAAAATTGAACTCATGGAGATGGAGAGTAGAATGATGTTACCAGAGGCTAAAAGGGGTAGTGGGGAGGGGGAAAAGTAAAGATGATTAATGGATATAAAAATATAGGTAGATAAAATTAATAAGATCTAGTATTTTTTATATTTATTTTTATTTCAATAGGTTTTTGGGGAACAGGTGGTGTTTGGTTACATGAATAATTTTTTTTTTTTTTGAGACAGTCTCACTCTGTCATCCAAGCTGGAGTGCAGTGGCTCTATCTCGGCTCACTGCAACCTCCACCTCCTGGGTTCAAGCAATTCTCCTGCTTCAGCCTCTTCTTGAGTAGCTGGGACTACAGGTGCCCATTACCATGCCCGGGTAATTTTTGTATTTGTAGTACAGATGGGTTTCACCATGTTGGCCAGGCTGGTCTCGAACTCCTGACCTCAAGTAATCTGCCTGCCTTGGCCTCCCAAAGTGCTGGGATTACAGGCATGAGCCATTATACCTGGTCTGGTTACATGAATAAGTTATTTAATGGTGATTTGTGAGATTTGGGTGCACCTATCTCCAGAGCAGTATACATTGTACCCAACGTGTAGCCTTTTATCGCTTACCACCTCCCACTCTTTCCCTAAGTCCCTAAAGTCCATTGTATGATTCTTAGGCCTTTGCATCCTTATAGCTTAGCTTCCACTTATGAATGAGAATATACAATGTGTGGTTTTCCATTCCTGAGTGCCTTCACTTAGAATAATGGTCTCCACCATATGCAGAAAACTGAAACTGGACCCCTTCCTTACACCTTATACAAAAATTAACTTAAGATGGATTAAAGACTTAAACGTAAGACCTAAAACCATAAAAACCCTAGAAGAAAACCTAAGCAATACCATTCATGACATGAGCGTAGGCGAAGATTTCATGACTAAAACACCAAAAGCAATGGCAACAAAAGCCAAAATTGACAAAGGGGATTTAATTAAACTAAAGAGCTTCTATACAGCAAAAGAAACTATCACCAGAGTGAACAGGCAACCTACAGAGTGGGAGAAAATTTTTGCAATCTACTCATCTGACAAAGGGCTAATATCCAGAATCTACAAGGAACTTAAACAAATTTACAGGGAAAAAACAACCCCATCAAAAAGTGGGTGAAGGATATGAACAGACATTTCTCAAAAGAAGACATTCATGCAGCCAACAAACATATGAAAGAAAGCTCATCATCACTGGTCATTAGAGAAATTCAAATCAAAACTACAATGAGATGCCATCTTACATCAGTTAGAATGGCGATTATTAAAAAGTCAGGAAACAACAGATGCTGGAGAGGATGCGGAGAAACAGGAATGCTTTTACACTGTTGGTGGGAGTGTAAATTAGTTCAACCATTGTGGAAGACAGTGTGGCGATTCCTCAAGGATCTAGAATCAGAAATACCATTTGACCCAGCAATCCCATTACTGGGTATACACCCAAAGGATTATAAATCATTCTACTATAAAGACACATGCACACGTATGTTTATTGCGGCACTGTTCACAATAGCAAAGACTTGGAACCAACCTAAATGTCCATCAATGATAGACTGGATAAAGAAAATTGGCATATATACACCATGGAACACTATGCAGTCATTAAAAAAGATGATTTCATGTCCTTTGCAGGGACATGGATGAAGCTGGAAACCATCATTCTCAGCAAACTAACACAAGAACAGAAAACCAAACACCGCATGTTTTCACTCTTAAGTGGGAGTTGAACAGTGAGAACACATGGACACAGGGAGGGGAACATCACACACCAGGGCCCGTTGGGGGATGGGGGGTTAGGGGAGGGGTAGCATTAGGAGAAATACCTAATGTAGATGATGAGTTGATGGGTGCAGCAAACCACCATGGCATGTGCATACCTATGAAACAAACCTGTAGGTTCTGTGCATGTATCCCAGAACTTAAAGTATAATTAAAAAAAAATATAATTGTCTCCAATTCCATCTAGGTTGCTCTGAATACCATTATTTCATCCTTTTTATGGCTTAGTATTCCATGGTGTATATATATATACATATATATATATACACGTATATATAGACATATGTTTATGTCTGTTTATATATATATGTTTTTTATATATATATATATATCTCACAAGTTCTTTATCTATGGTGATTGAGTGGCATTTGGGCTGGTTCCATATTTTTGCAATTGAGAATTTTGCTGCTATAAACGTGCATGTGTAGGTATCTTTTTCATATAATGACTTCTTTTCCTCTGAGTAGATATCCAGTAGTGGGATTGCTGGATCAAATAGTAGCTCTATTTTAGTTCTTTAAGGAATCTCCACACTGTTTTCCATGGTGGCTGTACTAGTTTACATTCTGACTAGCAGTATAAAAGTGCTCCCTTTTCACCACATCCATGCCAACATTTATTATTTTTTTATTTTTTAATTATGGCCATTCTTGCAGGAGTAAGCTCATATTGTGTTGTGGTTTTGATTTCTATTTCCCTGATAATTAGTGACATTGAACATTTTTTCATATGTTTGCCATTTGTATACCTTCTTGAATAGAATTGTCTATTCATGTCCTTAGACCACTTTTTGATGGGATTTTTTTTTCTTGCTGATTTGAGTTCTTTATAGATTCAGGAAATTAGTCCTTTGTTGGATATATAAATTGCAAAGATTTTCTCCCATTCTGTAGGTTGTCTGTTTGCTGATTGTTTCTTTTGCTGTGCAGAAGCTTTTTCATTTAATTAAGTCCCATCTATTTATCTTTGTTTATGTTGCATTTGCTTTCGGGTTCTTGGTCAAGAAGTCTTTGCCTAAGCCAATATCGACAAAGGTTTTTCTGATGTTATCTTCTAGAATTTTTACAGTTTCAGGTTTCAGATTTAAGTATTTGATACACCTCGAGTTGACTTTTGAATAAGGTGAGAGATGAGGATCCAGTTTCATTCTCCTACATGTGGCTTGCCAATTATCCCTGCACAATTTTTTGAATAGGATATACTTTCCCCACTTTATGTTTTTGTTTGCTTTGTTGAAGATCAGTTTGGTGTAAGTATTTGGGTTTATTTCTGGGTTCTCTATTCTATTCCATTGGTCTGTATGCCTATTTTTATACTAGTACCATGCTGTTTTGGTGACTATGGCCTTATAATATAGTTTGAAGTTGGGTAATGTGATGCCTCCAGATTTGTTCTTTTTGCTTAGTCTTGCTTTGGCTATGCAGACTCTTTTTTTGTTACATATGAATTTTAGAATTTTTTTCTAGTTCTGTGAAGAATGATGGTGGTATTTTGATGGGAATTGCAATGAGTTTGAAGATTGCTTTTGGCAGTTGGTTATTTTTACATTATTGATTCTACCCATTCATGAGCATGGGATATGTTTCCATTTGTTTGTTTTGTCTATGATTTTTTTCAGCAGTGTTTTGCAGTTTTCCTTGTAGAGGTCTTTCACCTTCTTGGTTATGTATATTCCTAAGTATTACATTATATTTTATTTTATTGCAACTATTGTAACAGGGATTGAGTTTTCAATTTCATTCTCAGCTTGGTTGCTGTTGGTGTATAGCAAAGCTACTGATTTTCATACATTAATTTTGTATCCTGAAACTTTGCTGAATTCATTTATCAGTTCTAGGAAGCTTTTTGGAGGAGTCTTTAGGGTTTTCTAGGTATACAATCATATCATCAGCAAACAGTGACAGTTTGACTTCCTGTTTACTGATTTGGATGCCCTTTATTTATTTGTCTTGTCTAATTTCTCTGGCTAGGACTTCTAGTACTACGTTGAATAGAAGTGGTGAGAGAGGGCATTCTTGTGTTTTGCCAGTTCTCAGAGAGAATGCTTTCAGCTTTTCCCCTATCGGTATAATGTTGGCTGTGGGTTTGTCATAGATGGCTTTTATTACATTGAGGTATATCCCTTGTATGCTGATTTTGCTGAGGGTTTTAATCATAAAGGGATGCTGGATTTTGTCAAATGCTTTTTCTGCATCTATTGAGATGATCATGTGATTTTTGTTTTTAATTCTGTTTATGTGGTGTATCACATTTATTGACTTACATATGTTAAACCATCCCTGCATCCCTGGTATGAAACCCACTTGTCATGCTGGATTATCTTTTTGATATGCTGTTAGATTCAGTTAATCTAGTATTTTATTGAGGATTTTTGTATCTTTGTACGTTCATCAGGGATATTGGTCTGCAGTTTTCTTTGTTATGTCCTTTCCTGGTTTTGGTATTAGGGTGATACTGGCTTCATTGAATGATTTGGGGAGGATTCCCTTTTTCTCTATCTTGTGGAATAGTGTCAACAGGATTGGCACGAATTCTTCTTTGAATGTCTGATAGAATTCAGGTGTGACTCCATCTGATCCTGGACTTACTTTTCTTGGCATTTTTAATTACCATTTATCTCTCACTGCTTATTATTGTTCTGTTCAGAGTTTCTATTTATTCCTGGTTTAATCTGGGAGGGTTATATATTTCTAGTTTCTCCTGTATGTTTTCTAATTTATACACATAAAAGTGTTCATAGTAGCCTTGAATAATCTTTTGTATTTCTGTGGTATTGGTTGTAGTATCTCCCATTTTGTTTCTAATTGAACTTATTTGGATATTCTCTCTTCTTTTCTTGTTTCATCTCACTAGTGATCTATCAATTTTATTTATCTTTTCAAAGAACCAGCTTTTTGTTTAATTTATCTTTTGTATTTTTTTTGTTTCAATTTCATTTAGTTCTGCTCTGATCATTGTTATTTCTTTTCTTCTGCTGGGTTTGGGTTTGGTTTGTTCTTGTTTCTATAGTTCCTTGAGGTGTGACCTTAGATTGTCTATTTGTGGTCTTTCAGATGTTTTGATGTAGATATTTAAGGCTATGAACTTTCTTCTTATCACCACCTTTGCTGTATCCCAGAGGTTTTGATAGGTTGTGTCACTATTATCTTTCAGTTCAAAGAATTTTTTAATTTCCATCTTGATTTCATTGTTGACCCAATGATCATTCAGGAACAGGTTATTTAATTTGCAGGTATTTGCATGGTTTTGAAGGTTCCTTTTTGAGTTGATATCCAATTTTATTACACTGTGGTCTGAAAGAGTACTTGATATAATTTTGGTTTTCTTAAATTTATTGAGACTTGTTTTGTGGCCTATCATATGATCTATCTTAAAGAATGCGCCATGTGCTGAGGAATAGAATGTATATTCTGCAGTTGTTGGGTATAATGTTCTGTAAATATCTGTTAAGTCCCTTTGTTCTAAATTATAGTTTAAATCCATTCTTTGTTGACTTTCTGTCATGATGACGTGTCTATTGCTGTTAGTGGAGTATTAAAGTCCCCCACTATTAATATGTTGCCATCTATATTATTTCTTAGGTCTAATAGTAATTGTTTTATAAATTTGGGCACTCCAATGTTAGGTGCATATATGTTTAGGATTGTGATATTTTTCTGTTTAACAAGTCCTTTTATCATTATATAATGTCCCTCTTTGGCATTTTTAACTACTGTTGCTTTAAAGTTTGTTTGGTCTGATATAAGAATAGCTACTCCTGCTCATTTTTGATGCTCATTTGCATGGAATATCTTCTTCCACCCCTTTACCTTAAGTTTATGTGAGTCCTTATGTGTTAGGTGAGTCTCTTGAAGACAGCAGATCCTTGGTTGGTGAATTCTCCATTCTCCCATTCTTTGTCTTTTAAGTGGAGCATTTTGACCATTTACATTCAATTTTAGTATTGAGATGTGAGGTACTATTCTATTCATCACGCTATTTGTTGCCTGAATACCTTTTTTTGTTTGTTTTTCATTGTGCTTTTGTTATATAGATCCTGTGAGATTTATGCTTTAATGAGGTTCTATTTTGGTGCTTTTTGAGTATTTGTTTCAAGATTTAGAGCTCCTTTTAGCAGCTCTTATAGAGCTGGCTTGGGAGTGGCAAATTCTCTCAGCCTTTGTTTGCCTGAAAAAGACCATCTTTCCTTCATTTATGAAGTTTAGTTTCTCTGGATCCAAAATTCTTGGCTGATAATTGTTTTGTTTAAGGAGATAGGTCTCCAGTCCCTTCTAGCTTGTAGGATTTCTGCTAAGAAACCTGCTGTTAATCTGATAGAGTTTCCTTTTTAGGCTACCTGATGTTTTTGCCTGACAGCTCTTAAGATTCTTTCCTTCATCTTGACTTTAGAAAACCTGATGACTATGCTGAGGTGATAGTCTTTTTGCAATAAATTTCCCAAATGTTCTTTGAGGTTCTTGTTTTTGGAGTCTAGATCGCTTACAAGGCCTGGGAAGTGTTCTGTAATTATTCTCTCAAATATGTTTTCCAAACTTTTAGATTTCTCTTCTTCCTCGGGAACACCAATTATTCCTAGGTTCTGCCATTTAACACAATCCCGTACTTCTTGGAGGCATTATTCATTTTTTAAAATTCTTTCTTCCTCTTCTTTGTTGGATTGAGTTAATTTGAAAGCCTTGTCTTCGAGCTCTGAAGTTCTTTATTCTACTTACTTGATTCTATTGCTGAGACTTTCCAGTGTATTTTGCATTTCTCTAAGTGTGTCCTTTATTTCCAGAAGTAGTGATTGTTTTTTATTTATGCTATTTATTTCACTGAAGCTTTTTCCCTTCATATATCATTTTTTAAATTTTATTAAGTTTGACTTCACCTTTCTCTGGCACCTCCTTGATTAGCTTAATAGTTGACTTTCTGAATTCTTTTTCTGGCAATTCAGAGATTTCCTCTTGGTTTGGATCCATTGCTGGTGAGCCAGTGTGATCTTTTAGGGGTGTTAAAGAACCTTGTTTGTCATATTACTAGAATTTTTTTTCTGGTTCCTTCTCATATGGGTAGACTATGTCAGAGGGAAGATCTTGGGCTCAAGGGCTGCTGTTCAGATTCTTTTGTCCCATGGGGTGCTCCCTTGATGTGTTGCTCTCCCCCTTCCTCTAGGGATGTGGCTTCCTAGAGCTGAACTGCAGTGATTGTAATTTCTCTTCGGGATCTAGCCACCCATTGCAACTACTGGACTCTGGGCTGGTACTGGCGAGTGTCCGCACAGAGTCCTGTGATGTGGACCGTCTTCAGGTCTCCCTGCTGTAGATAACAGTATCTGCTCTGGTGGAGGTGGCAGGGGAGTGAAGTGGACTCTGTGAGGGTCCCTGGTTGTAGTTTTGCTTATTGTGCTAGTTTCATGTTGGTTGGCCTCCAGCCAGGGGGTGGTGCTTTCAAGAGAGCATTAGCTGTGATAGTGTAGGGAGGATCAGGGAGTGGGCAGGGCCATAGAGCTCTGAAGAGATTATGTCCTTTGTCTTTGGCTACCAGAGCGGGTAGAGAAAGACCATCAGGTGGGGGCAGGGTTAGGTGTGTCTGAGCTCTGAGTCTCCTTGTGGGGTCTTGCAGTGGCTGCTGGGGGGATAGGGGTGTGGTTCTCAGGCCAATGGAGTTACGTTCCCAGGGGGATTATGGTTGCCTTTGTGCATCATGTAGGTTGCCAGGAGAGTGGGGGAAAGTTGTTAGTTACAGGCCTCACCTGGCTTCTCTGCAGCCTGAATGACTGGGCTCACTCCCACCGTGCCCCTTTGACAGCACTGAGTTTGTTTCCAGGCAGTGGGTAAGCAGGGCTGAGAACTTGCCCCAGGCTACCAGCCTCCTGGTTTAGAAAGCAAGCAGGGCTTTCAGATTTTGCACCTCCCTGCCTGCTGCAGTTTCTGTGCTGTGTCTGCACTCCCGATTCAACCACCCCCGACCCCAACTTCTGTCCAGGAAACTTTGCACTCGGTTGAAATTGTTACAAAGTTCAGCTGGAAGTTTCCTTCTCTCTGGTCATTTCCCAGTTCCTCTGGCAGCCCTCCCAAAGGATCCCTGTGAGACAAAGTCAGAAATGGCATCCCTGGAGAATGAAAGTGCCCACAGGGCTCTTCTCGCTGCTGCTTCTACCCCTGTATTTCACTTGACTCTCTAAATTCATCTCAGCTCCAGGTAAGGTCAAATCCTTCTCCTGTGATCTGGGATCTGGACCTTCAGGTTTCCCAGTAAGGGTATATGTTTGGGGGCAGAATATCCCCCTTTCACATTTTGGGCACTCACAGTTTTTTGGGTATATCCTGGGGCCTGCAGCAGCAGTTCACTTCCTTCAAAGGGTCTGTGGACTCTCTTGGCTGTTTCTGCAGTAGTTCTTGAAGCAAAAGTTCATGATGTTAGTCTCTACATGCTGCTCTGTCCATCCGAGTGGGAGCTGCAAATTAGTCCTGCCTCCTATCCTCCATTTTCCCCAAGATCTAGTATTTGATAGCGTAACTGAGTGACTACAGTCAACAATCATTTATTATATATTTAAAAATAACTAAAAGGGTGGAATTGGAATGTTCCTAACACAAATAAATAAATTCTTGAGGTGATGGATACCTTAATTACTCTGGTGTGATTATTACACATTGTGTGCCTGTATTAAAACATCAAATGTAGGCCGGGCACAGTGGCTCACTCCTGTAATCCCAGCACTTTGGGAGGCCGAGGCGGGCGGATCACGAGGTCGGGGATCTAGACCATCCTGGCTAACACGGTGAAACCCTGTCTCTACTAAAAATACAAAAAATTAGCCAGGCGTGGTGGTGGGCACCTGTAGTCGCAGCTACTCCGGAGGCTGAGGCAGGAGAATGGCGTGAACCCGGGAGGCGGAGCTTGCAGTGAGCCGAGATGGTGCCACTGCACTCCAGCCTGGGCGGCAGAGTGAGACTCCGTCTCAAAAAAACCCAAAAAACCCAAAAAACAAACAAACAAACAAACCAAATGTATCTAAGTATATACATCTATTATTTACCCATAGCAATTAAAAATAAATTTAAAAAAATTTTCATTTCTAATTTTTTGCAATATTATTTTTGCTTGTTAAACAAAGCATCTGCCAGCAGCACGGCCACGGACCCACATGGACAACTTTCCTAACAGACATAAAAGGAGTATTGTCTAAAGGCTAGCATGGGTTAGCTTTAAGGAATAAAAGAGATAACCCCCAAGTTTTAGAAATGAAGAATGTAAGCTCATGAGCTGATGCCACTGAGGCCCAGAGAGGATCAAACTTGGAATAGGCCCCCGTGCCAAGGTGCTGGGATTCTGCAGGATGTATACACAGGGTCCTGGTTTGTAGGTGACCGTTGAACCTGAAACTTCTACATTAAGCCAAAACTGGGAAACTCTGTACCTTCAGTGAAAGAGGGCTAACATCCCAATGACTGTCTTGAATGCAAAGAAAGTTTGTCTCTGTGGCACGTGGGTACAAAAACAGTCTCCAGTGAGAAACGGAAGTAACGCGTCACTTGTGTTTGTAGAATGACAGTTTATGCTACCTACATGGTACCAAAATCCTTAAAATAAGACATTAATGTCAAACTGGTCCTAGACTGTGGACACACTTGTAGCCTCTAGCAGAAGCAAATACAAAACTGCTGCCTGGGGATGCTTTCAAATATTTCTGTGTACTGGATTCCCATGGTAAAATAGATATGGACTACAAAATTGAAATTATAGGTAAAATGAGGAAACACTAATGAGAGAAATCAGCTGTAATGGGAAGATTAGCACTTCAAGAACTTCAGATAGATCAACAACCTGAAAGAAATTATAAAATATCTATGTTTAAAATGATTACATAGACAAAAGATGAAACAGAAATATGTAGAAAAAATAGGATACGGTTTTTAAATATAGGTTAATTTGAAAAAGTAATAATTAGCTTACCTACAAATGAAAAAGTTTAGTAAACGAAAAATCTCAATGCATGGTATATTTGTTACCCTGTTGCCACAATAATGCTATTGCCATAGGTCCTGAAAGACACACAGCAAGCATTTCCTACTCATGTGCCTGGGGTCAGCTGGGCTGGCAAAGTGACTTTGCTGATCTTCGTGGGCTTGCTCACTTCTGGGGCTCAGCTGGCTGTTGGATGATCTAGGCTGGCCCTCACTGGGGTGACGAGGTGCCTGGGCTCCGTTTTACATGCTTCTCTTCCTCCAGCAGACTACCCTGGGCATGTTAGTATGACAATGGGGAAGTGCAAAGGCATGAACAACTGGCACATTGTCAGTTCTGACTCATTTTCTTGATCAAAATAATGGCATGATCGAGTCCATGGTCAAGGAGCAGTCAATGTTACCCAGTTTATGGTGAGAAGGCATTGCATAGTTATATGGAATAGGGTGTAGATACAGGGTGGAGTAAATAATTGAGGACATTACTGCAACTAACCACAGATAGGTTAAGAGTGGTCAAGCACACCCAGAGAGTGTGTGAAGAAGAAAGATCTGAGAAAATTTCTCATTTTATTGCCGAGAGACAAATTGAATGTATAAAAGGGAAGTTAATACATTAGGAGGACAAACTGAGGTGGCCTAACATACATCTAAGAGGGGTGCCAGAAGAAGATAACCTATTCAGGAAGAAATAGTGAGAATTTCCTAAAATTGATAACAGACAGGTTTTTTCATAATTTGGAAGCACAGTGAGCCATGAGAATAAGTTATTTTCTAAAAAAGTCACACCTAAACACATTTTAATAAAGCTTCAGGATATAAAGAGAAAATCTAGATGCAACCAGAAAGAAGAGACAGATTACTTACTCAAACACAAGCAGATGAAAACAAACTTTTCATCAGCAACAATGGGTACCAGAAGATAATGAATAAACATCCCATGAGTGCTGAGGGAAAATCACTGGCAATCTGGAATTCTAGACCATGCTAAATAGTCACTCAAAAATGAGGATAAAACAAAGATAGTTTTCAGCTCAAAGCCCATGCTGAAGAACTATTATATAATGTACTTTAGAAAGAAAGAAACCCAGAAGGAAGGAGATCTGAGAAGCAATTGTGATCAAAGACATTGGCAGACATGGATAATGTAAATTATTATTAACTATCAACAAAGTGGTAACCATAAGACTAAAAGGGAGGAAGGGATGAAAACAAGATAGATTAAGTTACTTTATACCAAAATGTGAAGTAGTAATTAGAGTTAAATTGTTCCAAGTTGCTTGTGTTATGCAGAAGAGTATAGGTATTAATTAGCTTTGAATTGTATTAAGTATGCTTGTTGAAATGTAAGGGTAACTATTGAAAGAATAGAAATAAAATATATAACTTCCAAAATAACAGAGGGAAATGGGGTCTGCAAAGAATCATGTAATCATTTTTTTTTCTCACTTTGCCACCCAGGCTGGAGTGCAGTGGCATGATCTCGGCTCACTGCAACCTCCGCCTCCCGGGTTCAAGTGATTCTCGTGCCTCAGCCTCCCCAGAAGTAGGGACTACAGGTGCACGCCATCATGACTGGCTAATTCTTGTATTTTTAGTAGAAATGGGGTTTCACCACATTGGCTAGGCTGGTCTCAAACTCCTGACGTCAAGTAATCTGTCCACCTCAGCCTCCCAAAGTGCTGGGATTACAGGCGTGAGCCATTGCGCCCAGCACAGAGAACTTAATCATTCTATAGAATGTAGGAAGGCGGTAAAAAGAAACATACACACACACACACACACACACACACACACACACAATTAGAAAAAAAATAAGAAGAAAGGAGTAAAAATATATCAGGAATCACAGTATTTGTAAATGTATTAAACATAGATAAAAGACAACTTTTTGAAAATCCATTGATGTATTGTTTACCTGATACACTCCTAAAACATAATGACATGGAAAGTTTGGAAGTAAAGGACAATATATATAACCAACAAAGGATCAGTATTCATCATATATAAAAATCTCCTACAAATTAGTAAGACAAAAATAAAATACCCAAAAGAAAATACGGGCAAAGAATGGAGAAGAAAGCTGAAAGACTGCCAAACATATATAAAGGCGTTTAATCTCACTAGTAATCAGGGAAATGAAATAAAGCAAAGAGATACCATTTTACAGTCATCACATTAACAAAAGAATTATAAGGCTAACAACATCAGATTTATTGGCAACAATATGGGGAAATGGGGTTTATTATACACTGTTGACAAAAGTGTAACTTGGTAAAACTATTAGGTAGGGCAATGTAATACTATCTAGTAAAACTGAATACATGCAAACATATTATTACCACACATTAGAGAAACTCTTATGTGCATACACAAGAAGATACCCATAAGGATGTTTACAGGAAAAAATTGGAAGCAACATAAAAAAGCCAGTTTTAAAAATATATATATAGTATATGTTACATTTATATATATATGCCATATATTATATATACATATGATTCTTATATATACATATCTACCATATATATACATATACCATATACATACACACACGCACACACCTTAAACCTGCTCATGTAGTTATTAAGTACATACTTATAAGTACGAGTTTTAACATATACCCCAAAAGCATACCTACCAACTCTTCACCTTTAGGACAGTGATTACCTTCAGGAAGAAAGTGAAGGTAATCTAAAGTAAGGAAGGTGACAGGGCTTTAATGAAATCTTTCCTTTAAAAAAAAATGTGTTAAATATGGCAAAATGTAACAATTGTTAAATTTGGGTAGTAACTACACAGGCATCTAATATATCTGTACCTTTATGTTTAAATGTTTTAAAATTAAAAATTTTAACTATAGTAACTAACATGAAGTAGTCACAAAGACCTAACAATCACCACAGCAACAGTATTTTCTGTTTAGTTACTTTAAATAAAAAACCAAGTAAAGTGTTCAAAAGAATAACATTTTTGAAAAGTCATGACATGCCTAAGGTGAAGCATTTACAGAAATGTCAATGTGACCATGATTATACAACCAAGGTTTTCTACTTCCTTAGAAAAAAAATTAATGGTTAACTCAATATATTGCACTTAGTAATGTTAAGAGAGTTCCATAAAACATACTGTTCTCTTTCACTCAGCTAAACCTAAATTAGAATCAGTCAGCTTTGAAATTTCATGACTTTGGGGGCCTAGAATTCACCACCTCCACAATGTATTAGCATTATTTTCCCATCTGAGCCCTCTTGGGCAGCAGCAGTAATAATCTGTGGTGTGTGTTAGAGGTTAGGACTGAACCTTCCTTGAGTTCCCAGGAAAATCACCCCCTCTCCCTTCAGTGTGGGGTTTGTCAAACTCACAGAGCTTCCTCCAGCTGTGGAGGCTGATTTCCCAATGTACTTCATGATCTGGTTAAGCGCTTTCATCAGGTGCTGAAAGACTAACACGGGCTTTAATCTCCAAGGCTTGAAGTCACCAGAATGGCCAGTCACAGGCAGTGAGGAAGCCAGGCTAGGAGACCAGCAGAAACAGAGCCTCTCAGCCCTCATACCCTTTAACTAATATTTCAGGGACAGCTCAGGGGCAGACAGAAATTGCTCCAGACAGGGTGGTGAGTTGGGCCCTGCTATTTGGGTAAAATCATAGGGAAGTGATGAGCCTGAGATGAGTTAATCGTAAAGTGTGTGTGAGAGACATTTTAAGGGTCAATTTAAAATTTGGCAATGAGATGACTTTAAAATCAGCTTTAGGACTGGGCCATCATTTTGATGGGGCCATCTTGTTCATCAGCATTCAAAGAACACACAGCTGCTATGGTTTAACTGTGCCCTCTTTTCCTATAAATGAGTTAAATCAACAACCTGATGACTAGCAGGGTAAAATGTGGCAGAGAGATGTTCCTTACATCCCAGTCCTACTTCACCTTCAACACCCAGATCAAATTCCCTTCTCTTGTTGAGGCCATTCTCCTTGGACTTTGTCTTCTTTAATGGACTCCACCATGTACCAGAAGCAGAGTAGAAAGAGTTTTCATGGTTTTGTGGCTGCACAGATCTAGATCTGAACTCCAATCTCCATTTACTCACTATAGGATCTCAGGCATTTGATTTAACCTCTCTAGGCTTCCATTTCCTCATCTGAAAATTGGGGAAATAATAATACCTATCTCACAGACGTGTTGTGAGGATGAAATGAGATACGGAGTCGAACTGTTTAGTCCAAAGCCTGGCCTGGAGTAATGCTATTAGCCACTGTTGTTACTGACATTCTTCCTGTTTTTTTTTTCATTATTTTTCCTTATCCTTCAGATTTCTATTCTGAGTTGAATGTGGTTATTTCGAGCTTAGACAAAAGCTTTTACATTTTATTCCCTACTGGTATTGATTTAAAATATGCTTTATTTCCAATGAAATAGCTTTTCTTGAATTTTTGTTAGACACGCGGTGCCTCATATTTTCTCAAACATCATTAAGAACAGAAACATCCTAAAAATTGAAGTCAAGTACATGCAGAAGTCAAGGGTTTTTCAGTCTTAAGGCCCTCTGTTGACCAGGCCACTAGAGGCACTGATGACCTTTGCTGGCTGTTCAGAGTTTTCTGTTGACTCTGAGGCTCTGGTGTTGGCTTAAGGTCAGCCATTAGAAAACAGTGAATTTACGCTTTGGTCACACTGTGGGAGTCAGGCTCGTGATAAGAAAGGCCACCAGAAAAGCCAGGGAAGTTGTAAGTAAAGTTCTTTTCATTTGGATGTTGCCAGAAAAAACAGGCTGAGAACAAAGACCATTATTAAAAAATAATAAAATAGTGGGCCAGGTGTGGTGGCTCACGCCTGTAATCCCAGCACTTTGGGAGGCCAAGGCAGGCGGATTACCTGAGGTCAGGAGTTCGAGACCAGCCTGGCCAACATGGTGAAACCCCGTCTCTACTAAAAATACAAAAATTAGCTGGGCATGGTGGCACAGGCCTGTAATCCCAGCTACTCAGGAGGCTGAGGCAGGAGAATTGCTTGAGCCTGGGAAGCGGAGGTTGCGGTGAACTGAGATTGCACCACTGCACTCCAGCCTAGCTGACAGAGCAAGACTCTGTCTCAAAAATAAATAAATAAATAAATATAATAAACAATAAGTGGCCATCAATAGGAGAATGGATAAATTGCTGTAATGTCATATAACAGATCACTATATGGTAATCTGATGAATTAGACCTATGCCTAACAATAATTTGATATCATTGCATATATAATATTAAATTTTTGAAAACAAAGTTGTAAAGGAAGGTAGAGTGGGATAGTATTAAGGTAAAATTTTTAAGCAGAAGAACCAAAACTATTTTTTTATCATCTATACTTCAACTTATAAAACACTTGAACCAGAAGTATACTTCCCAAATTTAGGGTTATGTTTACTTATCTGGGGAGAAAGGGAAGGAAATGAGATTGGATAAATCTTCAACTGTACATGGATTAATTTTAATGTTTTCAAATTAATATTAAGTCTGGTAGAAAAGAACATGTTAAATTTTTCTGAATACTTTGTAATATATATTAAATATTTTATAGTTTTAAAAACATGATAAAAAATATGAACCAGAAAAAAATAAAATAAAGTAAGTCATTACTCATCTTCGAGCATTAACAAACTTAGCACATAGTAGGTGCTTAATAATCACTTACTGCATGATAAGTATGACACTTCTTATGTGGCGTTTCCATTTACCTGGAGACAGACCCTTTCTGGAATGGCTGACAATAGTCAAGTCCTCCTTACTCAAACCCCTACAAAAGCCTATAAATAAATGTTCACGCAATTTGAAACTTGTTATTTTCTTAACTTTAATCATTGTCCAAAGAGAAATTCCTGGTTTCTCTCTCTATATATATATATATAGAGAGAGTGTGTATATAATTCTGGTAAAAAATAAATTTCGTCAATCAAGAAATTTTCCTCAGGCAAATTTCAACTTTATAAAGATTCCAGATGTCAATGCCTTGTGGGTCCTGGAAAATATGTCATTGTTTTGTATTTCTAAATCTCATACACAATTATTAAAACTTTTACAACATAACCACATCTCCTGAGACTGGAAACAGGAGCTTGCAGTCCTTTGCAAGGATTAGGGGATGCTGCAATCCTCCCCAGGGCCTCAGCATGGGTCAGCCTCCACTACACCAACCCTCGGGGGAAGGTATCTGTGCAAACATTCAGCTGCCACCCCTCTGCCTGGCCCTGCCTAGAACAGCAGTGCATTTTGACAGAATTGTGGAGGGAAACACCCTCCAAAAAAGAGCAAAACAAACACCGTAGGGTTGTAGCATTTGTCCTAGGGATATCATTCTTGCTTATAATTATAATATAGTACTTTGAAACCTAATACTAATCTCTTTTTTTCTTTTCTGTATACATGGCCTTTTTCATAGTGCACACTCCCGTCTATCTGCTGGGGAATGGGAGTTAGAGTAGGAAATTAGAATTCTTTCAATAGCAATTATGAGTCCCTAATAAGGCAATGTGAGGAAAAATAAAGATTTTAGATATGTTTATACTGTCATTAACACAAAAAAACCTAGGTCTGGACTTGAACACGGAGATTGCTAGAAACCAGAGAGAACTCAGGATAGGATATAAGGGAAATTCACATAAGACAGAGAGAAAAAGTACAAAGAGGGTCTCCTCTTTTAATTATGAGAGTAAGAGGGCAGGAGAAATGGTGCAAGAGGCAGGCCAAGGTCTGCGGTGACCACCCACCCTTGGGGGTGAAAATAAAGGAGGAGGGTGCTATCCCTATCCAACTAGGCATAGGCCAGCCTGAGAACACTGCAGCCAGAGGCCTGCATCCTTCGAGGCAGCCTAAGAAAGGTTGTGATTCTCTAGGAGAATTTCCATATTCAGCTTAGGCCTGCATCCAAGATGGTGAGGGGGAGGGCCAGCATAATGCTCCCTTAGGGCCAGATGGGGCCAGCTGCATCTCAGTGAGCGCATTCAAGGACCCATAGACTACACCTAAGTAGCCACAGGTCCCTTATGAGAAAACAGCGGACAATGCCTGAGCTGCATCATCACATAGAGCCAAGGGATAATACAAGGAAATGAGCACATGGATCCAGGAGCCCTTCTCTTGCTCCTTGCTCATCCCCACCATTCCATTTTGTACGTGTCACCTCAGATGGGAGCAGTGGGCACAAGGAAGAAATTGGATGAACGCGTATCTAAAAGAAAATAAATCATCTAAATGAGACTATTTAAACCAAAGACAGAGATGCTGTTAATTGGCAAGTTTAAAAACACTGTCCTCTGCTCTATCTTCCAGGAGGGTGCGTATACTGAGAAAGACTGGATAGCTAATAGAAAATACTGTACATTTTCTTTGCACGTATATGTAATAATGTTAAACTATAACACATCTATACCATAAAAAATTGTACACTCTTAATAGCTCCCCTTTTATACAAAGGTTTTGAGGCACCTATAACCTATGTATTGGAAAATAAACACTCAAGGAAAGATCAAAAGATCTTTAATTAGTTTTAGTTATTTGTCACGAAGGAGAGAATGCTGAATTTACACTTAGTATATGTGTTTTAACATACAGAAGGTTAGTATGAGGAGTGTGGTAACTTGCGTTTTCTTTATTCATGGAATGTCAATATTTTTGTGGAAGAAAAGAAGCAAGAACTGTCTTTTTCATGCCTTTATCTTCAGCACTTCCTAGACTTCCTGGAGCATGGTGTATGCTCAGTTAATATTTATTGAATGAATAAATGAAAATATAAACTGCTTAGCCTCAGAATGGATAGCTTAGGACATTTTTGGAGCTCTCTCAAGCCATTGCTGGTGCTATGGGCTGAATGGAAGAGCCAGGGAATCTGATGTGGCAGGAGGAAAGGGCTCTTGGTTACCCCATCCCCACTCTGAGACCCGCCAAAGAAGGAGGAGATGTGAGGACTTTGCTGTGCGTTGACACCCCTACTCCCATAGGCTGTGAGGCTAGTGTGTGTGTGCATGTGTAAGGGGCAGTGTCTTCTGGGAAGGGGTGCCTGCTGCAGCCTCAGGTGAACCAATACAACCTTTGCTGATACCCCATGGAGAGACATCTAAGAATTGAGACTCTGGTCCCAGGGCTAGTCTAGCAGGCAGGGAAAGAGCACAAAAGCATGGTCTCAGGGAGGCCTAAATGCTATCCAGTTGTACATCAAGACTGTGCTTTCTTTTTCTAATATTAGAGGTTCAGGGACAAAATTAAGCCAGATAGAAAACTGTAATGGAATTGAGAATGTAATAGTGCCAGCATCATAAAGGAAGACGGTAGGAAGTGAAGTGTTTTGTCTCAGGCAAGACACCATGGAGCATGGATTTGGCAGATCTGATGCAAGACCCTCCTGATCACAAGGCTGGACTGAGTCATGGGCTGTGCCTGGCACACAGCCTTTGTTTGCAAATTACCCAGTGGCCAGGTCTGAGTTTGCCTTGTGCACTCCTGTGTGCATAATTTTTAAAAACGAAACCTTTTCCCCTGCTCTTCAGGTGACTGGCCTTTTGCAATACAGTCAATCAAAAAGCATTGCTGAGAAACAACCTACCATAAGAGCAGGATCGAGTCTTGAGAAGATTGAAAGGTGGGGAGAATAATTTAAGACTGCCCAGAAGGCATTAACTAGTATTCTACTTTCATCAACTTTTATAGATTCCACAAGATTATTCTGAACTTCATCCAAATGACAATTACTTGCCTAAATGTCTGACCGAGTTGTTACATGGGGTCCATAAATCTTAGATGGCATTACCTGGCACTGTTAGTGATCAAGATCACTGGTTGACTGAATCTGCACCGGAAACAGACATGTTAATCAACCTAGTTAATTCACTGTGGTAATTAATTACTGAACACTTATCTAATTAGCTAACATTTTTACCTCTCAAAGCCAGAGGTAAATGCCAGATTGAAATTGGTGGTTCTCCTCATTATACCTTAAAAATAAAATTGAGAGATATGGCATGGAATATCAAATAAAGGTGTGCTGGTGCCAGCAGTAGTGAGTGAGTATGTTGAGTCTCAAAATTGCCAGTGGTTCCTGGGAAGGAGCAGCAGGTAGACCAGCCTGAGATGAGTCAGGAGGTAAGAGACAGATGTATACAAGCTATCAACAAGAACTACTGTTCTAAGTTACAAAGGCAACACACATGTTAAAGACTATTTTGCCTCATAGTCATCATTACCTTTTCCAGGATAAGTGTCCTCAGGAATTTTTTGCTATCTGGGCACAGTTGCAAACGTCTAGTTGGTGGTAACAGTGGCAAGATTTAGGCTACATGGATTCCCCAATATAGAGTCCCCTATTCTTTTTCCTTCCTATTCTGTAAACTTTGCTGTCTGACCAAGATGGACCAAAGGAGGCCAGTGGGGCATTCAAAGAATTTGCCAAGAATGACTGTCACCAGGAAGAGGAGCATCTTCTAACATGGAGAACTCAGTTAGGATATGAGCACTTGATTCTTGACTGTGATGCACATTCTTGGAAAGAAATCCAAGCATATTAGGAGGTGTCTTGTATTTGCTGCTGTTTGGCATTTATAGACATTTTAGGTTCTGATTTGCCTGAAAGCCATGAGACTACGTTCTTGAAGCTCTCACCAGCATAGAACTTCAGCTGATTGCTATGGGAGTGAAGAGAAAAAAGATCAGGATGAAGTTGTCTAGTTTTCTAGATTTTTCTGTCCCAAAAGTGAAAAGTGAGAAGCATTAGTGAAAGTAGTGAATTCATGCCTTTCTTGGCAGAGACTCCGTTTTCTGAAAATACTATGCTGTATTATTATTCCATGTGGATTAACCCCTGGTTCAATAAATTTTACCAATGGCCTACAGTTTAACTAAAGAAAGAGGCCCTGGGAAATAAGTTTTGTTTAATTATCAGTTCTTCTGTGTGAACTGGAATGAGCAAAGTTCAGATAAAGGGACATTCTGAGGTCCAGACTTTGGATGCTTCCCTAACTTGTGATGACAAAGAATGAAAACAAGTTGGCGAGGGGCTGGATGGAGATGGGGAACTGAAATGTTTGAGAACTGAAAGTTCTCGTATGTACTGGACACAGTTTTGAGAAGACCTGGTAGGTGTGTTATAGAAACCAAAAGAGGACTCGTATCCATATACAGTTGTCTCAAAGCAAATAAGCCTGTTTGCAACATCAAACCTGTGTTGGGATCAAGGACAGATGTAAGGGAAAGTTCTCACCAATAGTTAACAAGCTAACCAACCTGGTCAAAGAGCTAGGATGCCACACCTTCAAAGGGGGCCTATCTTCTTGAGGAAGTGCTGCTCTGAGAGCTGGGCTGTGGTATAAAAGTCATGTCAGGGAGGACATCTTTTATTTGATAGGAAAATTTAAAATGCTAAAGGAAAAATTTTCTTAGCAATTTCACAGGAAAACCTAAGTTTTAAGAGAGGTTATCATTCTGACTGGGAACTGAACTATTATGACTAGGTCTATAATTTAATAACAAGTCACAATATCTCTCTTTCTTGACATCAATTTAAGGTGACTTTTCACATAGTAGAGAGAATGGCTTCAGTTATACCTGCCTCCAATAGGTCCATGAGATCTGACAGGAATACATATGTTGGGTGAGTAATTTTGATTTTGTAAATTTGTTTTGATCAGATGGTTGCTCCTTGG
Source organism: Homo sapiens (assembly GCF_000001405.40). NCBI lineage: Eukaryota > Metazoa > Chordata > Mammalia > Primates > Hominidae > Homo > Homo sapiens. The sequence goes on from NC_000002.12 coordinate 158,102,178, forward strand.
ATTTTGTATTAAATGATTAGATAATGGGCCTCTACAGTTAAGCAAATTTCTTAAATGTAGAGATTATATCACTGGATGCAGCTCATAAAGCAATAAAAACAGTGGAAAATGTATTTTCAATGACATTTTTACTCCTTGGTTTTGGGGGTTAGGGTTTGGCTCATCTAAGAAAATGGGGCAAAATAAATTATAAAAAACATGCAAAAGTTTAGCCAACCTTCAGTAGTAAACAAATTCAAGGTTCAGCCTGGGACTCACTATAGAGTTCAGCCCTTAATTCTAAGACCATGGGCTGCAAATGAGAAATAATTAAAAGGGCCTCCCAGTGCCTGAGGGAGGTTTAATTGTATTGCAGGATATTGTGGAGTGATTTCATATGCTTCATGATGGACCTTACATAGAATTTACTTCTGAAATACCGTCTATGTGATTCATCTCATGGGTAGATATAAAATTGCTGAAGCTGTCTACAAATTTAGCTCCAGTTCCTGCCCCAGGTTAACAGAACACAACAGAGCATTAATCATCATGAGGCATAAGGAGATTTTGCTGGTTCCCTCTGATTTCCTGAGAGTTGTGTGAAATGTCTTGCTTAGAGCCTCCATTATGTCAGCATTTCAGAAAACACTCCATTTGCCCATCCCAAACAGAGGTAGCCTCCTGCATGTTCCCTTCTTCAGGGAAGCCCAGGAGAAAAAGAAAAGGAAAAATTATGAAGATGAAGGTAATGGCAAATGGAAAGACTTCTGCTCAGCCAGCACTTTCTTTTGGTTACCAATATTTAATACTCATCATGTAGTGTAATTTGTCACGATTTACTAAAAAGACTATTCTATGTGTTAGGAAAAGGAAGAAGAGTTTGAAGATTCAACAACACATATAAACCTATTTAGTAAAAATTATATATTTTGGAAAAATCAAATATTCCAAAAACTACATTCATATTGGGTAGAAATTTGGCATGAAATCCCAAACAAGTTTTTTCTTTGGTACTGATAAAGTGATCATCTTAGAAGTGCTTCTGGATGAGCCCAATGAAACAAGAAACTTCTATAGACAGTCCCCCAAATTTTCTGACGGAGAAATCATTAGACGTTGGGACAGGGCATCAAGGAAAACTAATCCTAATGAATTAATAGTATTATAATTAATATAAGTGAAAATAATTAATGGCTCTGCTGGTTGGAGAATTTCTCCTTGAAGATAGGAAGTGTGTGTATAGATGAGTGATTTTAAAAACACCAAAGCCCAGGTCTCCTTGACCAAGTCAATCCAAATTTCTAGAGATAGGGTCTAGGGATAAGTACTCTTTAAAGTGCCCCTGGTGGTTCTGATATGTAGCTGGAGTTTGGAATCACTAGGGTAGAGCAATGAGACTCTTTTATAGAGTAATGATTCATAGATTCAGTTAGGAATCCAAAGGAATATTTCCAGGTCGTGAAAGTAGTCTTGGCAGAGTGAAACAGAAAGTGTAATAGAATTTGGAAGAAAAAGTTTATGGCAGTGTTTGTCAAACTTTAATGTGCATGTGAATCACACAGAGTTTGTTAAAATGCAGATTTTGATTCAGCAGGTATGGGGTAGAATCTAAGACTTTGCATTCCTAATGAGCTCCCCAGATGTTCCTGATGCTGCTGGTTCACTGACCACACACTGTATAACAAGGGACTAGGGATAAATTCTTGCCTCACAAGAGAAGAAAGGAAATGTCCCTTTGCTTTGAGATTTTGAAGCTTGTTCTGTAGTAGTAATGTGTACTAACACCACGGAATACTTTATTTTTGAAACTAGGTACGTATGACCCAGTAACTAATTAAAAATCTATAACTCTAGATGTTTTTGAGAAGGAAATTAATAGTATTTTGTTCCAATTTCTGAACAGTTAAATTTAATTCAACAATAGAATTTGTTAAAACTTAGGGATTCAAGAAGGATATTTGAGATAGCTTGCATCAGGGGATTCGCAGTCTTTCTAGAGGGATGGAAACTTAACTATATTGCAATGTGAAATGCTATCTACCAGCATTAGCATGAAACAAATGCTTTGGGAACACAGTGAGAAAAAAATTAATACTGATCAAGGAGAGAAGATGCTTGGAAAAGCCTTCACGGAAGAGGTAATATTTGAATTGGACCATAAAGGAAAATTGGAATTTGATAGGTGAAAAGTGGAAGAAAGGGGGAAGGATGTTTGAAGGACAAAGGCCTGAAGCAGGGGTTCTCAACTTTGGCTTCACCAAAGATCATTTGAGATTTTAAAAATACTTAAAATCTTTAGATTTAAAATACAGAGTGTCTAAATTAATTAGTGCCTGGTCACCAGTGTTTTTTTGTTTTTGTTTTTGTTTTTAAAGCTCCCTGGTAATTTTAATGCAAACCCAAGTGAGAATCGATAAAGATATAGAAAGACACAAGGCCTGGTAAAATGTTTTGAGGTGTATGGAATGAAAGCCATGTGGAAAGGCTAGGCATGATGGCTCACACCTGTAATCCCAGCACTTTGGGAGGCTAAGGTGGGTGGATCGCTTGAGGTCAGAGGTTTGAGACCATCCTGGCCAACATGGTGAAACCCCATCTCTACTAAAAATACAAACATTAGCTGGGTATGGTGGCAGGCACCTGTAATCCTGGATACTCAGCAGGCTGAGGCAGGAGAATCGCTTGAACCAGGAGGCGGAGGTTGCAGTGAGCTGAGATTGGGCCACTGCACTCCAGCCTGGGTGACAGAGCGAAACTCTGAAAGGGAAGGGAAGGGAAGGGAAGGGAAGGGAAGGGAAGGGAAGGGAAGGGAAGGGAAGGGAAGAGAAGGGAAGGGAAGGGAGGGGAGGGGAGGGGAGGGGAGGGGAGGGGAGGGGAGGGGAGGGGAGGGGGCAGGCATGTGGAGAGAAATGGAGGAACAAAGAACAAAGAAGTCTCAGACAGTTCTTGGCAAAGACGTCTTGACCCACTGTGGTGTGGGGGTAGATAACTTTTATCACTAACAACTCTAGTGGCATATGATTACTATCCAAATAACCGAAAGCTACAAATGATATGCTTCATAAATATGAACTAGATTGAATTAAGGTCATTCTTATAGCCGTCATCAGCTCACTGTCTTGAATTTCGTGGTATTTCACAAAGAAAAGGGAGGAAGGATTGGTGTTCTAGCTAGCACTGCCGTGATGGGGGTTTGAGCCAGGGCCATGGCCAGTGGGGTAGAAAGAAAGTGGTGTGTTCAGCATGGTTGGTGGAGTCCTCAATGGCAGCGCTATTCAAAGTGTTGTCCATAGACCATCAACATCAGGACCAATGAGGAGCTTGCTAGAAATGCAAATTCGGACACACATCAGCAACTCACTGAATCAGAATTTCCAGAAGAAGAGTCCATGAAGTGTCCGGCTGATTGTTATGCATGCTACACTTTGAGAAGATAAAATAAAATACAAATAACTTACTCAAGGTTGCACAATTAGGATATATATGGTTGAACTTGTACTGGAACCCAGGCAATCTGAATCCAGAGCCCAGTAGTTTATATTCCACAGCCTCCCATGCAAAGAAATTAGATGACCGTTACAGTCAGAACTGAATAGAAATGGCTGTTTTGTAATTTACTGGTTGTTAATCTTGCACAAGTTTCTCAACTTCTGTAAGCCTTGGCTTCTTTGTAAACTAAATTATTAATCTTACCCAGCTAAGAGGGCAGTTATGGGACAAATGAGTTAATGCATTTGTTATATGCAGTTTTCTTGCCATTTTCATGCTCAGTGCTATGCTTGGCACATAGTGTGGGCAAATATTAGCCATAATTACTGTTATACTACATTGCTTCTCAACAAATAATTTAACCCTAAAGGAAGGTTTATGTTCAGACTTTCTTTCTTGTGAGCTTTCTCTCAAAATTCTTTTATATCTTCTTTGTATAATTTTTTTTTCCAGAAAAAGGTTTGTTCACGTTAAAAATCCTTACTTGGATTTGATGGATGAAGACATTCTCTATCACTTGGATTTGGGAACAAAAACACACAACCTACCAGCAATGTTTGGAGATGTAAAGGTAAAAACATTTCTAATTTCAGGAAAAATGATTGAGTTTTCTCTACTAATTTTTCTTCTTACCTTGCCAAAATAATCTATACACCTTTGGCTAGCACAGTCCCAATAGGAACTGAAGTCACACTCATTCTCTGAAACAATTTGGAATGTGTATATCATGAACAATCATTTCCACCTCAACAAGACATAAAGGTTCCCAAACTAAATCTAATGCAAACATGTTATTTGGCTACTCTGGCCCCTGGAGATAAATATAATTTTATTGACAATACTGCTGGGTGTTGAGAATTCATTATGTTTTAACAGATTCAGCTCACTATTTAGCATCTACATTTATAGCTTAATCTCACTAGTTCTCGTTTTATTAACTCATAAAAATAACCCAACAAAACTAACAATATAATATTATTTCACTTCTGGGAAATAACCATTATCTAATATTTCATATTAAGAATTTTGTTTCATAAGAAATATTTCATACAAATTATTTATTAAATACTACCATAAAATTGTACTTCTGCATTATTTATTTTATCTGACATATTTTAATTATATAAGCAATTTGTGTACATTATTTAAAATAGGGAATACAAAAAAGAATATGATTGTTAAAAAACACCCAATAGTCCTGCCACCTAAACATAGACATGATCAACTCATTTTTTTCTTTCAATCATTTTTAATGAATAGACTTTAAAATAGTTGTAATTATATAACTGCATTCTGCACTTCATCATTTAGGTTTACATCATTAACATTTCTCCATATTATTACATTCTTTTGAAACATATCATTTATGGGTGTCAAGTGGTGTACCACACATTACAGAGACTATTACTGAGTTTTATGTTAAAATATTTTCCATTATAAACAGGAATCAAATGAATATTTTGTAACTAAAGATTTTCTACATTTAGGCCAATTTGCTTAGGGTGATTCACAGAAATGGTCAAAGAGACTGAATTTTTAAAGAACTTTTGTTTTCCAAAAGACTGTATCTATTTACAGTTGCACTAATGGAGAATCGCGCTGTTTTCATCTGACTTTTTCGTTTCTTTAGCAATTACGAGAACAAAAATAAAAGCGTCACATCTACTATCTCACTAACATCTGCAGATTTAGCTCTTTTGGATGGGTTTAGCAGATATTAACTCTCTCCATAAAACAAGGAAATTAAGTTCAGAGAGGTGGAGGAAGGTTACAGTTACACCATAGAGTGGTAGTGCTGAGACCTGGATTAAGTTCTTCCAAGTCCAATCTCTAGGGTTCTTGCTCATTGCACTAGGAGGACCCTTTGAGTCACAGTAACTCAGGATAGTCCATAATTATTTAATCCTAGCTCTTTCACTTACCCAGTGGGTCAAGAGGCAGGTGAGAAAAGGGGAGGAGGAAGAGGTTGGAGGCAGAGGAAAAGGAAGGGAACAAGAAAGTAAGGAAGGAGGGAAGGAAAGAAAAAAAGATGGGAAAATGAGAAGAAATAGATCTATTATGCCTATGATTAGTAGGTGCTGAGTGGCCTTCTCCTGCTCCCTCTCTCCTAGGAAGGAAGGTGTGAGGGCATGGGTGGGTGTCCTGGCAGTGAGGTGACCCACCCTTTCTTCACTCCTCTCCAGGCTGTGCTCCTTGCCTTTGTGTGGCCTGCCTCTATTTTGCGCTTTGTCTTCTCAATGTAACCTCTTCCCCTGCTGCTGTTTTGGTTTACTTATGCTCCAAGAGTCATTGATCAAGGCGGTCTTTAATACTCAATAACCAGATTGTACCAGAATTCAAATGTTAGATTTGAGGTTCATGCCTCTCAATAATATCCCAGGACCCTTGTCTAGGGATGACTCTGATTAATTGAAAGACTTTTCACAATTAATGAACTAAGGCACACAGCTGGTTAATACATTTAAAAGACTTGAGATATATATTTGAGACAGAAAGTGATTTGCTATCTACATATCTTGGGTGTCTGTGTCTCCTCTACCATTTATGGTGCGCTTTCTATATATCAGACTCTGTGTGGCACATGCAAATGGTACATTCAGTCCCCACAGCAACTATAGTTATTATCTCCACTTTACAGATGAGAAAACACAGGCTCAAATATATACATAGTGTTATAACACATATATGTTTGTCTGTAATAGGCACAACACAGCTGGTAAGTCAAATAGCTGAGATTAAACCTTAGGTTTCTCCGATAAAAAAATAATGGCTCTTTCTCTGTTCAAACAAAACAAAATAACACAAAAACAAAAACAAAAAAACAAAAGCACTATGTTTTAGTACTTTTTAGTACTCCAAGTATTAGTTTCTGGGAAATTATTGGGATGGAAAGCTTTGTTTTAGAGATAAAAATAAGGGGACTCACATGTATGTATCTCTCTCACACACGCACACACACAGACACACACACACATACGCACACACACATAGTTGTCTCATCTCGGTTATAATCCCAGGAAACAGACCTTCACGTCTGCCTGTCCAGATTTTGTTCAGCACTTATTCTCACACACTGTCTGTCATAACCACTATCCAACCTTATACATTCACCACCCACCTGGTTGTGAACCTTCAGTAAATTATCTTTTGGATAAAAAGACATGCTCTGTTTCAAACATGTTTTATCCCATCAAACAGCAACTCTACTGATTGAGCCATTTTGATGAATAGGAGGCAAAAGCGTGTGTGTGTGTGTGTGTGTGTGTGTGTGTGTGTGTGTGTGTGTGTTTGTAAATTGAGGAGCAGGTAACCTAGCTCCAAATGTTCAGAACTGGCCATTTAATCTGAAGTAGAATTTTTTCAAGGCAGCGTGTAAAGTCTGATTTATTCTCATAGATGGTTTCCTCAGAAACTTGCCTTCCTCCAGCCATGTTCTCCTCTTTGAATGAGAACATTCTACATTCAATTTCTTGAGTTCCTTAAATCCCAGGGCAGCAGTCCTGGCTAAGAAAAGAGGACATAATCCATCAGTACCTGAAAACTCAGGCTTGTCTTCACAGAGATGATAATCATTATTAATACCATTATCTTCCAAGAAAGGAGAACTCTGGGTGTATAAAGCTGAAACTTCAGACTCCAGCAATCACTCCTATTTCCTTCATATTCTTACCATATTTAAAAATTTTTGCTACTTGCTACTGCAAAATCTCAGTAGCTTAATACAATTTAAGTTTACTTCTCACTCACATTAGGTACAAGGTGGGAGTTCTTAGTTGATGGATGGTTTCCCTACATCTGGTGATTCGAGGACCCAGGCTCCTTCCATAATTGTTACTGTTTCCTTCAAGGCATAAATTGCTGTTTCCCAGTGTGTCAACACCTGTCCAGCAGATGACAGCGACAATATGTAGGGTCACCAATACATCCTCCTTGTAGGATGGGAGATTTCTATGGGCTAGGACTGGAAATGGTACCCATTACTTCTGCTCAAATTCTAGTCACTGGAACCCAGACAAATGACCTTGTCTAACTGGAAAGGAGGCTGAGATGTTAAGTTTAGCTGGGTGCCCAGAAAGAAGAGCAAACTGTTTAGGTGAACAGCTAATCAATCTCTGCCATACTCACTAGAAAGATTCAGACAATTAATACATACGGTGGAAGATCCTTAGAAGTTATCTATTCAAATTTAATGGACATTTATAAAATTCTCCACTCAAACAAAGCAGGATATACATTTCCGGGGAAGGCAGGAAATAGTTTGAACTGAGGAAAAATGAAAATACAACATATTATATCTACAGAATGTGGGTAGAGTGCTGAGAGGAAATTTATAGAATTAAAGGCTAATGTTGGAAAAGAAGAAATATTTTTTATTATACTTTAAGTTCTAGGGTACATGTGCACAACCTGCAGGTTTGTTACATATGTATACATGTGCCATGTTGGTGTGCTGCACCCATTAACTCGTCATTTACATTATGTATATCTCCTAATGCAATCCCTCCCCACTGCCCCCACCCCATGACAGGCCCGAGTGTGTGATGTTCCCCTTCCTGTGTCCAAGTGTTCTCATTGTTCAATTTCCACCTATGAGTGAGAACATGCGGTGTTTAGTTTTTTGTCCTTGTGATAGTTTGCTGAGAATGATGGTTTCCAGCTTCATCCCTGTCCCTTACAAAGGACATGAACTCATCCTTTTTATGGCTGCATAGTATTCCATGGTGTATTTGCTTAATCCAGTCTGTCATTGATGAACATTTGGGTTGGTTCCAGGTCTTTGCTATTGTGAGTAGTGCCGCAGTGAACATACATGTACATGTGTCTTTATAACAGCATGATTTATAATCCTTTGAGTATATAGCCAGTAATGGGATGGCTGGGTCAAATGATATTTCTAGTTCTAGATCCTTGAGGACTAGTTCTAGATCCTTGAGGACTCGCCACACTGTCTTCCACAATGGTTGAACTAGTTTACAGTCCCACCAACAGTGTAAAAGTGTTCCTATTTCTCCACATCCTCTCCAGCATCTGTTGTTTCCTGACTTTTTAATGATTGCCATTCTAACTGGTGTGAGATGGTATCTCATTGTGGTTTTGATTTGCATTTCTCTGATGGCCAGTGATGATGAGCATTTTTTCATGTGTTTTTTGGCTGCATAAATGTCTTCTTTTGAGAAGTGTCTGTTCATATCCTTCGCCCACTTGATGGGGTTGTTTTTTTCTTGTAAATTTGCTGGAGTTCTTTGCAGATTCTGGATATTAGCCCTTTGTCAGATAAGTAGATTGCAAAAATTTTCTCCCATTCTGAGGTTGCCTGTTCACTCTGATGGTAGTTTCTTTTGCTGTGCAGAAGCTCTTTAGTTTAATTAGATCGCATTTGTCAATTTTGGCTTTTGTTGCCATTGCTTTTAGTGTTTTAGACATGAAGTCCTTGCCCATGCCTATGTCCTAAATGGTATTGCCTAGGTTTTCTTCTAGGGTTTTTATGGTTTTAGGTCTAACATTTAAGTCTTGCCGATTCCCTTTCCATAAGTTCTATGCATTACTGAGAGAGGTGAAGTCTCAAACTATGCTTGTGAGTTTATTAATACTTTATTTCTGACAGTTTTTGCTTTATTTTTTAAGCTCTGTTTTTAGTTTTTATACACTTTGAATGTTATGTCTTCTTGGTAAACTGACTCTTATGGTTATGGAATATCCCTCTGTCTCTGGTAATTTTCTTTGCTCTGAAGCCTATTTTGATATTAATATAGTCATTCCAGCATTAGATTAAAGCTTGCATGGTCTATATTTTTCCATTCTTTTACTTTTAATCTGCCTGTATCATTATCATTATAGACAGCATATAATTGGATCATATGTTTGTTTATTCATTCTGAAAATCTCTGTGTCTTAAATGGGTGCTTAGACACTTTGCATTTAATGTAATTATTGATATGTTTGGATTTAGGTTTACCATTTTATATTTGATTTCTGTGTATTAAGCTCTGCTTTCCATTTCTTTATTCCTCTTTCCAGCTTTCTTTTGGGATAGTTGAACATTTTTTAAATATTCCATTTTTATTTATCTGTTATATTTTGACTATATCTCTTTGTTTTGTTTCAGTTTTGTTTCTCTGCTTATTTGTTTTAGTGGTTGCTCTAAGGATTACAGTAAACATATTTAATGTTTAAAAATCTACTTTTAATCAATGTTGTACGACTTGAAGTGGGACATATAGACCTTACAGGAATATACAGGAATCAAATAAACAAAAGAAGTGCAAACTTATACTCTGAAAACAACAAGCATTATTGAAAGAAATTTTGAAAGCTCTAAGTAAATGGGAAGACATCCTATGCTTATGGATTGCAAGATTTAATATTGTTAAGATAACTATACTACCAAAAATATTCTACAGATTCAATGCAGTCCCCATTAAAATTCCAGTTGCCTATTTTGCAGAACTTGACAAGCTTCTAATAAAATCCACGTCAAAATGCCTGGAATGCAGGATAGCCAAAATAGTTTTTACAAAGGAGAAAAAAGTTGGAGGACTCGCACTTCCCAACTTCAAAACTTATTACAAAGTTATAATGATAAAGACAGTGTGGTACTAACATATGGATAGACATAAAGATCACTAGAACAGAACCAAGAGACCAGAAATAAACTCTCACCTTTATGTACAACTGATTTTCAACAAGCATGCTAAGACAATTTATTGTGAAAAGAATCATCTCTTCAAATGGTGCTGGGACAACTAGATATCCACATGCTAAAGAATAAAGTTAGATCCCTATCTCACACCATATTCAAAAATTAACTCAAAATGGATGAAAGACCTAAATGTAAGGCTTAATTCTATAAAATGTTAGAAGAAAACATAGACATAAATCTTTGTGACCTTGGATTAGGAAATGATTTCTTATGTAAGATACCAAAACACAAGCAATAAAATAAAAATAAATAAATTGAACTCTAAAAAAAAAAGGAAGTTATCTATTCAAAATCAACATCTAAATATGTCTTTTATAAAATCACTAACTGGTATCCTCTAATCTCTCACTAGAAATTTTAGTAATATGCAATGCATTTTGAATGTATTTATATTCCCTTGTTAACACAGAAAATGCATAAAATGCAATAGACCAGATTAATACAACATGGCATAGTTAAGCCTTTTAAGATGCTAGGGATATCTAAAGCTGAGTTTTTTTCTGGCAATCATTAGGCAAAATCCTTAACATATTTTTGTAATGCCTCTGACTCCTTCCCAGTGTGTTTCTAACTTCTTTGATAAAACCAGGACAATTGATCATTTTGTTTGAGACATAAACACAGTAAGTGTCACTTAAGGTCAATGTTGGTTGGTGGTCTTCAGCCATATTTTACTTCTCATTAAAGCAGCCAGACCGAAAATTGTGTCCAGAGGTGGTGTTTAGTGAGTCTGGTTTAGGAGTAAGGAAGGCTTTAAGAACCAAGCTGCTTCTGTCTGTGCATATGATCTTTATGTCTCCAGAAATATTCAGAAATTCCTGTCGATTATAGCAATATCTACAGTTCAAAGGAGAATTCAAACCACAAGCTATTCTAACATCTGTTTTGGTTTTATGGTCAATCTGAATAGTTGTAATTTACATTCACTGGCACCACACAATGAGGTTATTTTCAAACTACCGTACTGTGTTAAAAAATTTCCTTGGACTTAGATCGTGAGCCAAGTCTTAACTATCCATACCAACAAAGAAGAAAATTCTAAGAATTATCAATAACTAGTTTAAAACTCACCTGAAACCATGGTCTTAACCTCTTTGCTACCAGTCTTTATGGCAGACTTCTATTGCAGTTCATTACTAGCTTAAGGCTTCATCAGAGAAACTCATAAGAAGGCAGAGAAAAGACAATATTAAGGGTAGAAGAGAAGCAGAGGGCGTGGATACAGGGTTAATTACACCCCTAATTGAGAAAGAGAATAGCTCAGGAATTATTGCTAAATGGAAACAAGATGCATCATGTACTCAGACCACCCAATAGTTAGAGTAAATCATTTGTGAATGGGGCCGCCTATTCTATAACCTCAGTTAGGTATTTCGTTAGACAGATATTCTTTATCCCTGTGATGGACCTTGTCAGCCCTCCCAGTCCTCTGTCCAATGCTGCCTACATCAGCCAGATACCACCAACTGCCTTTTCCTCACTAGAGGACTCAAACCAGCTTCCTGTGTACTAAATTCTGCAATACAGGAAAAGTAACAAGCTCAGAAGCAGGAATAGAAAATTGCTACATGATATAAAAAATAATGGTTACCATTTGCACATCACTGAGAACGTGTCTGGACTTGTGCAATGTCCTTTGCCATATGCAATCTCACGTTCTTCTTTCAAAACTCTCTGAGAGGTACTGTGTTTTTCCTATTTTGGAGATGTTCTGAGGCACATCGATTATTTGTGTGACACTGAGCAAGTTTCTTACTCACTGATGGGGTTGGAGTTCAAAGCCAGGTTTACCTAACCTCAAAGGGCAGACCCTCCACTATGTTGTCTTCTCTCTCTCTGCATTTTCCTCACCACTTACTTCAGAATCCGGGAGGACTTGACTCTTGCCACCTTGCTGTGGCCTGTGCTTCCTCCTGGGTGTGAGAGTCTGCTACTGCTCACCCTCTTGTTGCTGACCCGTAGTGCTTCTCTGCTCCTCTCCCTGGCGTCCACCTCTCCCACTCCTGGTACCTGGGGCTAGGGTACCCCTAAACAGACTGTTGTATGAGTAACTGCCAGACAATTGTATTACCATCTTCTATTAGACACCGTTGACTGCAACACCTATCCTAATTTCAGAGAAGGTAAAATGTGAATAAAACAAAAACAAAAATAAATCACTGGAATTGATGAAATGCCACAGGGAGATCCCACATTTACAATAATAAGGCTTGTTCCATGAGAATTTCTTCTGAATAAGAAATTTAAAAGTCTTGACATGATTCCTTTAAAATTTTAAGTTCACATACTCCATTTCACAATACAAATTTATGATGGGGGATGGGGAATCAGAAAACATACCTAAAACTGGTGGTTCTCCTTTTGCTCTTACATCACTCACGTGCCGTGGCCTCAGAACTTACATCCTAAGCATATGTCATGGTAATGCTCAACAATAGGCTGTCTATGTCAATTTAAGATGCTGGTTGGTGTTCACTATAAACAAAAACACCAGGAAACACCTCCTTGAATAATATCAACATTTATTTTGATTTTGTGATTTTCTTTACAAATTTAGTGCAAAAAACTTTGCATCTGTTGCTTTATTTACAGGTTGATGATGCAAATTAGCTAATTCATGGAACATAAACCATGACATCTACACGTGTTCTTAAGTAAATTAACTAAAAAGTAAAATAAAAACATTAGAGTTGAAACTGACCCGTGGTTCTTATCCCAGTTACTATGGCAGGCCCTTGTTTATTTTTATTAACAGTTTGTCTGTGTCGGTGGGAGCCCCAACAGAATGAAAGCATTTGCACTGTTTATGCACAAGGAGCTCGGGTTTGAGGAAGCTGAAGAAGACATAAAAGACATCTGTGCTGGGACAGACAGATACTGTATGTACAAAACCGGGCCTGTGCTCGCCATCAGTGTAAGTATCCATGGTTGCATTTCAGCTAGTCATTGCAGGCTAGAGAAAAAAGTGGGAACTTTTACATGTAGGAGTTCTTTTTCCCTCCAGCTTCGCATTCTTACACAATCAAACAAGGTGTCCAGGTATGAGTTCATTATTGGAAAAAGCCCCCAGGGCAGAACACAGCATGCAGCATCATTTTTGTTTATTAGTTACCACTTAGGTATTCAAATTAGGGGGAAAATACTCAAAGCACCCCTCCTTTCTCTTTACTTTGTAACTGGTTAACACCCCTCACCCCCGCCACGGCAATTTTCCTTCTTCTATCCCTTACCCAGCTTTGGGAATGTTGAGCTTTTAGTACACAGAGGCTAATTTTCAGGACTGCTAAAGTGCTGCTGTTTAACACCATAATAAGCTCGCTGAAAAGCTGCTAATGCATTTCTACTGAGCTCTTGTAAATTACTCTCCTGCATTTAGAACATGTGAACAGTTATGGAAGCACACAGTGCCCTAAGACAAAATGAAAGGGGAATGATTTGCAGTTTTAGGGAAGATGCAGACCATTTCCCCCTTGGACTCAGCTGGGCACACACTGATGAGGGCGTATGTGCATAGGCATCCCATTTGCCTTCCCATGTTTGTCTCTCTGCACAGGGCTGTATTCTGAAGCAATAACTCTGAAGCCATCACATTTCTGGGCACTGCAACCCTCAAAAGAGGCACAGGCAGGCATGCCAGGGGACAGGGGAAGAGTCTCCTGCACAGGGTGGCAATTCTAAGGAACTAAGCTGTAAGTGGCTCCTACCATAGGGAATAGGCATCATCCATTGATTGCCCTACAGTGTGGACAATCATTGATGAAAACCTGCGGTAAAGAAGGGAAAATTATGCAACACCAATAAGGCAGCTAAATTGCTCTCCTCTCTGGGCCAAGAGCGCCTGAAACCTGCTCAAATGGGAGAGTCCATTCAGTTATTCACTTGTGCATTCAATAAACCATTACAGAATATCTACATTAGAAGGAAGCTGAATATCCACTGATCTTGGTAAATTTTTTCTTACCAACATTTAGTGGACCTTTAGACTATAACTGTTTTTTGTATAGTAAATGGAGAAGGACAAAAAAGTAAGTTTCTTAAAAATGTGACACTACCATAAATAAGCAGTAAAACTTCACAGTAAGAAATGAAAACAGCAATAGACTGATCCTGTCCTGTCTGGGAAAAAGACCTGAAATATGTGTGATGCCAAGGTTACCAATTAGAAATGGGCCTTACTAGGCAGGCAGGGGATTGACAAATGTGATTCCTTCTTTGAAAATTCTTCCTCTCCAGTAGTGGTTGAATGGGGTGCGTGTGTGTGAAAGAGAGCACAAGTCCATTTGTCATTTTATCAATGCGTAACATAATAAGTGGCAATCATTAACTTACTAAATGTCTGAACTAGAAGGAATCTAATAGATCAAATAATAGTTCATCTTCTTATTTTGCAGGTAAGAAAAAATAATACTTAGAGCATTTATTCATTAGTCACAGAGCCAGTTCCAAAGTCCTAAACTTGTTAATCTTGGATATACAAATCAATACAAGTTCGATGCCTGGCTCCAGGATGCTTACTAAACATTTGAAAGTCAGGGCATATGCAATGGGAACCAGAAAGGGGTAACGCAGAGGTTCGAAGTTTCCATAGCTCAACATTCTTGATAGACGGAGGAAGCTCAGGTGAAAACATCATGGTCACGGCCAATGGTTTTCCAAAGTCTTTGTGTCCAAAAGTAGGACACATTGAAGAGCACATTTGACTCTCTGCTGTTATGTCAGGAATTAAGTTACTACCAGTTTTGAAATCAGTTCCAGTTTCTGCAAATTACAGAATGGAGGATGTTTCTGGAGAGTTATTAGGACATTGTGTAGCCACCAGGAGTTGCTAAATCCTGTAGCCTGTGTTGATCCCTTTTCTGGTGACATTGATTCCACTGTCCTGAATACTGAAAAAAACAGGGCTATGGTCATCATCTATAGTAATTTAAACTCACTTCCATGTTCAGTTTAAGTTTAAAATTGTTAAGTGGGGAATCTAACCCACGTTTCTACTCTAGTACCTTTCAGAGCACACAAAATTAACAGCAAATGAAATGGATTCACTATTTCATTTAGTATGGTTGAAAAAGACTGATGATTTGGCAACCAAAATTATATTTCCTCAAAATCAAGTCAATCGTGCAAAAAGCTCTTTTTCAAAGGCTCATCATGAAGAGCCCAGTGGGAAGATGGGAAATGGCACCGCCCTGACACACCTGTATACCACACCATCCCCACCTTCTGCTCTTGCTGATGAGGGCTGAAGTCAACAGAACTGGCAGTGAGATGCCTCCCTCTGATCTTCACAGATGGACACATCTGTCAGCATGTCATGTAGGTGCCAATTAGGGAGGACTTACATTTTCCTCAGCATTGGCAAAGTCTTAATGATTATGTAAATGTATCTGAGGCCTGTTAACTTGTAATGATGGAAGAAATTATGTCCTGTTCATGTATCACTTTGCAAGATGTATGATGACTTTCTCTTTCTCTCAATAGCACGGCATGGGCATCCCCTCCATTTCTATTATGCTTCATGAACTCATCAAATTACTCCACCATGCACGGTGCTGCGATGTCACCATTATTAGAATCGGTACATCAGGGGGAATAGGTGAGACGGATTGATGTCTACTATTAGAACTGAGTGATCCTTACATACATGGTAGCTGCCAAAATATAACATCCTATTCAGAGCCCAGCAAAAGCCCAGATGGGCTAAAAAGTGTCAGAAGGCTGGACTTGAGGAAACTTAAGGAAATCTGCCCACATTGCCTTTTTCTTTTATTCCTTTTTTCTTTATGGAAACCCACAGGGAGAGATCTCACTGCCTATTGCGGGATAGTCTTAGGTGTTTATAAAGGGAAGAGTAGAAAAATTGTTAGAAGATATGTTTTGAGGGTAGGGGTAAATTTCAAGTCTTAGGAGTTTTTTTAAAGTGACAGAAATAAGTGTGTTCAAGTAAAAAAAAAAATCATAAAAATGTCCCAGTTTTATCAGCTAAGTGAGCAAACTGCAAAGCTCTTAGAAAAACATTGCTTTTTGCTCACATCAGTTACTACGTCACCTCTACTGGCTGTATCTTTTCCTCATCAGTACACTAGAAAGAAACCAGGCCAGGCTTTCAGGGAAGGCTTAAGTGATGCTTCCTATAGTTTTCACAGAGCCTCCCAACCTCCCTTCTTCTTAGGCCTGTCAGTCAGCTGTATAGAGGCCTTGGTTTTGCTTCCAGAATGTGTTATGATGAAGTTTTGAGGTTTCCTCAAAACTTTCAGCTTTTTCTTAAGGAGCACATCTTGTCAGGGTATGATTTTACCATGTCACCAAAGTGCAAATACAGACTGCACATGGCAAATGGAGAAGTTTGGTTGACAGGGCGATAGAACTGAATGGGCATTATAAAAAGGGCTGAGATTTGGGAAGAGAAATGGTGGTAGAATTAGACATTTATGGAGCAAAAAGGGATGTCAGAAATCCTCACACAAGTAGGTGGAGAAGTGGTGTGTTCAACATCACAAAGCCACCATGGCTGAGCCATGCTTCACTAGAAATCAGACATGTTGGAAAAGATGATGGCTTTCCACAGCCGTGGTCCAGGAATAAAGTCCAGCCAAGGCCCTTACATCTGGGAGAAAGTAGGACCTTTGTGGATGTTCATCCATAGAGAGAAGTAGAGTGCTAGCAATAAGTGTCAGATCAGGCATCCTTCTAGATTGTAGTTTATCCAACAATACCCCAAATAATCAGTAGTAGGGAACTGCTCATTTGGGCATGAATTTCAGATAACATAGCTATTAAAGTTGCTCATAATTCTTGGGTTGTGGGTTACAAGGATCTGCCTTCATAGCCAACATTCATGCATTGTAAAGTCCTGACTGCTACAGTTACCACTTGATATTAACAAACACCAGCATGGGCAAGGTGCTCCAATGATCATCCAGCTCTTGATTAGGGTATTTTATTTCATGGCAACACGATACATATAGCACACAATGAAGGCCCATGGATGGTGGCAAATTAACCCACTGTACTGGTGTGGACACCTTCATTTTGAAGTTTTATCCTCATTAAGAACTCTTAGCTTACCAAAAAGATGTATTTGCTTATTTTCTTTTAAGCAGTATTGCGTTTGGAGATGAAAGATGTACACAGTATTGTCGCTCACATGATCCCTTCCTACATGAGCCAACACACCTTAACAAGCATAAACTACTCAGTTAAATAGTATGTTGACCTTTGAGAAACCTTAACCATGACATAATACACTAACACATTTAAATATTAAGATGGCATATAAATAACATCATTTTTATGTATATATTTTCAACTTCCCTCTCAATCACTTTCTTAGGACATTGTGAACAATTCAAGGAGCCACTTACTTGGATTGTTTAAAAACTATCTGGCCAGGCATGGTGGCTCACATTTATAATCCCAGTACTTTGGGAGGCCGAGGCAGTGGATCACTTGAGGCCAGGAGTTTGAGACCAGCCTGGCCAATGTGGTGAAACCCCATCTCTACTAAAAATACAAAAAATTAGTTAGGTGTGGGTGTATGTGCCTGTAGTCCTAGCTATTCTGGAGGCTGAGGCAGGAGAATTGCTTGAACCCTGGAGGCAGAGACTGCAGTGAGCTGAGATCACCCCACTACATTACAGCCTGGGTGACAGAGCAAGACCTCATCTCAAAAAAAAAAAATAAAAATAAAAATAAATTAAAAAAAAATATTTCACCCAACAAGGCTCTATTATCAGTGGCCACCTTGGGTCTCTAGTTGGATCTTCTAAAGCATTTTGTAATTAAGTCTACTTTGATCAATATCAAAATTTATGCCACCCTGAAGGATAAGTCTATACTCTATAGAAAGGATTGTCAAGCTTTTTCTGTAAAGGACAAGACAGTACATATTTTAGGATTTGCTGACTGTGTGATTTCTATTGCAACTTCTCAACTCTGCCTCTAGAGCTTGAAAGCAGCTATAGACAATATGTAAATAAATGGGTGTGGCTGTGTGACTAATAAAACTTTATTTACAAAGACAGGATTTGGTTTATGAACCATAGGCTTGCGGAGCTATAATCTATGGCATCTTTGTGAAAACATTCACTCATTTGACAAATTTTTATTGAGTACCTATAATGTGGCAGGCACAGAGCTAGACCAGGAGAGAGCAGTGAACAGACATAGTTCTTGACTTTATAGAGTTTATGTTCTATCAGAGAAAAAGATAAACAAATGGGTAATTATAAAAAGTGTTAGGACAGAGAGAGTCTAGGGCATTTATGAAGATATATCTTCTTATTCAGGCTTTAAATAGAAACCAGACTGGGTCAAAAGCTGGGTCAAAAATGGGCCTGGGGAAATTTAGTGTAACCTATCTGTGTTGCCTTTTAATTTTTTCATTTGTTTGCTTCCCTTCTGTGGATTCAGACCTTTTTCAGGAAGTAAATTAAGCTGACACCTGAAGAGTGACTTGGTGTGTGGTGAAAAGGTGGGGGGAGGAGGAGATGGCATGGCAGGCAGGGAGACTAACAGTTGGCAGAAAATAGTTTCTTAAGTAAGCCCAAGTCCCTTGAGCAACTCAGACTTTGTAGCCATGGAAGGTCAGCCAAGAGCCCTGATTTACATGAAGTCGGCGAGAGAACAAATGTGAAAAGAATCAGAAGAAAAAGAGGATAGAGATGCAAAGAAATTACAGTAATCAAGAAGTCGCAGAGAAGATTAAATATTAAGAAGTCACATCACTTTATGAAAGCTACTTGCTGGCAGGCTTATTTAGTTTTTTCCTGACCTAATTTATTCAAATTTGAGCCCAAAGTCTGGCACTAATTTGCATGTCCAAGAGTCATGTTTGTCTTGAAATCTAAACCCCATCACATTGTAAATGTGCATTTGAAAAGACAACAAATGTAAATGCCTCTTCTGAATGTTATTTAATTGCATTTGGAAAAGAAAATAATTTTAAAGTTGAAAACAGGGAGACTCATTAGCAGCTAGCATTAATACTAGAATAAGTTACATACTATGTGTCAAAAGTAAACTCTAAACGATATTCTTCTGTAATCATTTATTCCCACATTGCAGGGATTGCACCAGGGACTGTTGTAATAACGGATATAGCTGTAGACTCCTTCTTTAAGCCCCGGTTTGAACAGGTCATTTTGGACAACATTGTCACCCGAAGTACTGAACTGGACAAAGAACTGTCTGAAGAACTGTTCAACTGTAGCAAAGAAATCCCCAACTTCCCAACCCTCGTTGGACATACAATGTGTACCTATGATTTTTATGAAGGTGAGAACAATTTATAAACTGTGAAGGAAACAGAAAAATGCCAGCAACTCTTTGTTATTCAAACCCATAATTTATATTAACAACTCTACTTAAGAAAATTAATATTTGTGGGTTAAAAAGGAAATGAAACAGCCTTTTTTACTTACTAAAGCATAGAAACACAAGGACATAATGAGCAGCAGAATGAATTTATATTGAGGGTGGATTTAATCCTCCAAGAACACATTGAACACTAAAATGCAATTAGTGATGTTCACAGAATCTTATCTCTGTTTATGCCTTTAACTTAAATTAGCAGCTCTAAGAGAAGGGAAGTATGCTGATTCTATGTTTCTGCCATTCATCTGTACCTCAAAAATGATCCTGTCCCCCGGAAACAGTGGTCCAGAAAATGGGGAGAAATGCTTGGGGAGGGGGTACAAATCCCACGGGATGGCATGATCTCAGAGCGGGGTTTTTATCTCTCAGCCATGAGTAAGGGGTCCCCAAACCAAGTTTAGAGACAAATTGAAGATGACTGCTATGTAGCAGCACTTGCTACTAGGGATGAAGGGCCAAGGGGAAGAAACCTTCAAAGACAGACCCCCGATTCTTTCTCGTCCCAGAAGAAAGAATCTACACAGTATTGGTACCATGCCTTGAAGGGCATTCTGAAAATCTGGCAGTAGTTTTATTCTTTTCAAAATCCATACTATTTCATTATAAATTACTTTTATTTTCCCTTTAGCTCAAACTTAAGATATATTGAATTTTAAAAAATTATGTTTGGAGATAGGTCATATTATCTATACATTTTACTTCCGGTTAGTAAAGGTGGTTTCACCACATATTTGTTGTAAAATAGAAGGGCTGTTGGGGTCCAATAGGGTTGGGACCCTCTGTTCAAGGCCACTGACTCATAGTCCATCTCGAGGGTCACTCACTGATATGTTAAAGCAGAATTTGCAAATGGAAGCTTGTTAAAGTCAATGTTTCCTTTGGCCTGCACAGTATTTTTAAAAATGTGAATTATTTTGCCAACATTTACAATATCTGGAGATTTTATATTAACACCCACATTTCTGGCTTTTTGAAATAACTAGCATTTAAAAATGTACACCAGTATATGCATGACAGCCTTGACAAGCCCTGACCCACATCTGGGGCTACATTTGCTGAAGGTGAGGTGAAGCTGCTCCCCTCAGACCAGACACTCGCATCGACATTACCTGCTTGGCTTCTGCGATGTCTGTGTTTGAATCAGCTTAAATAGAGGTGGTGGCACGCAGCTCTAATGAGAAGAGAAGGAACAAGGGGAAGCAGACTGCCAGGGGTGAAAGTAGCGTGAAAGAGATAGAGGAAAGGGAGAAAAAGAGAGGAAAGAGCACCAAAAAGGGGATTGTGAAAATAATGGATGGCAACAGAGTGCTATTAGCCCACTTGCTTGAATCCAGGTCTTCTCAGGAGTGAGGAGGCATTAGGAGGTCTATTTCTGGGTGTGCACAGGGTACGGAAGGAGTAATGACATCAAGGTTTCCTTTCCTTGCTTCTGTCCGCACTGGTAGATACAGCTGAAATTCAGTGATGAATGAACACTGGGAGCAGCCTGGAAAGGAAAATGTGATCACAAGGGGTGGCGTGCAGCCTGAGAAGTGTGCGGAAAGGGGGAAGGTGGACAATGTCGCAAAGGCATATGGAGAGGCGCAATGTCCAAACACTGTCCTGATCCTCAAGTAGCTTAGCATCATCGAAACCTCTTTTTTTTTCTCCCAGCACCCATCCCTGGGCCATTCCCCAGTCATTGGAGCAACCTGAGATTTTCCTCAAAGGGCAGCTCTCACAGCAACCCCCCGCTTCCTGATTTCCCTGGGCACAGTGCTGGCTGCTGCAGCCACTCAACAGTTACTGACCCCAGAACTGAGGTCCTCGGCCATGAAGGCTCCTTCCTACGTATGAGACTCCTCAGCTAGGGACAGCATCGCTCCACAGTCCTCTGGTAGGAAGAGTCACACAGCTCAGTTTATCCTACACGGGGAGCACGCTGTAGAGTTAGACAGCGGCAGCGTGCTCCAGCCAACAGCAAGCCTCCTATGAGGCCACTGTCAGTGGGGTGGGACATCAAGTCACTAAACGTTCTCCCCTCCCTTTCAGGCCAAGGCCGACTAGATGGAGCACTGTGCTCCTTTTCCAGAGAAAAAAAGTTAGACTACTTGAAGAGAGCATTTAAAGCTGGTGTCAGGAATATTGAAATGGAATCTACAGTGTTTGCAGCTATGTGTGGACTCTGTGGTCTAAAAGGTAAGCTTTTCGTGAATGCTTAGGGTCAAATTCTCCTCTTTCATGAAGCTACTTTTACACCTTAGGAGAAGAAAAAGAGGTCCAGCTATATATTACCTTGGGCTGAAGGCATGACTTATAATTGTATATAATATACATTATCTCATAATATCTTGTGAGTGGCCAGGACATTATTCTTATTATGCAAATAAGGAAACTAAACCTCAGGGTTCAACAGCTAATTGGTGACATGTTCAGGGCTTGACAGCAAGTTCAGTTTCCTTCATCCTGGTGGTGGCTAGTAGTTTCTATTACAATTGAATTTATTGAGACAAGATACAAACAAAATATTCCTAAAATAGTCCATCAATCATAATTTTAAAGAGCATGGTCAGGGAAGGATGGGAGAAGAATGTGCCACTTGGATATCTGGGGGAAGAGCATTCTGTTCAATGCAAATCCAAGGCCACAGACAGGAGCATTCAAGGAGAATTGGAGGAACAGGGAAGAGATCAGGAGGGGAGAGGCAGTGGTGGAGAATGGGAGGAGAGAGGGAAGATGTACAGATTGTGTAGGACACTGTGAGAACAATGACTTTCACTCTGGGTGAAATGAGAAGCCACTGGAGAGCTCTGAATAGAGAGGTGGCTGGATCTGACCTGTGTGTTAACAGAATCACAGTGGCGGCTCAGCTGGGAAGACCCGAATGGGGTCAAGGGCAGAAGCAGGGAGAAGAACGAGAAGGCGAACGCAGTAGTCTAGTGAGAGTTGATGGACAAAGTGATAGCAGCGCAGGTAGTGAGAAGTAGTCAGATTGTAGAAACATTTTGAAGACAAACCCAACAACATTTGCTGACAACTTGATGTAAATTTGGTGAGAAAGGCAGGAGTTAAAAATGACTCCCATGTTTATGGTCTAAACTACTGGAAGCATGAGGTTGCCATAACTGGGACAGAGGAAATTGGGGTGAAGACATTAGGGTAGTAGACATCAAAATGGAGGCCAAGCAAGCAGGTGAATTTATGAATCTGGAGTTTAGGTTGGTCGTTTGCACTGGAGACATAAAATTCTAAGTTGAAAGCATATAGATGGCATTTAAAGCTATGCAATGGGTAAGATAACAAACAATGAGTCTAGGCACAGATGACAAGAGGTCCTTGCTTAAACGTTAAAAGTTAATTGAGATGGGAGAGACCAAGGAGGAGTGGCCCATGAAGTTGGCAGTACACCAGGGAAGTGTGGCATCCTGATATGCAAAGAGGAAGGCTTCAAAGAAGTAAAGAATTACAGCACAATAAAGCTTCATTTTTATAAGTGGAATTTGACTTGCAAAACTTGTCCTTATAGTCAATGAATTTTAATCTACACATTACAAACAGAATATATGTGGTCATATTTCTAAGAATGCATTTTACAAAAAAGCTGTAGTTCTAAGGAGATTAATTGTTGAACCACTATCCTTAACTACTTGCATCTGTCAGAATATATGTACGTGTAAATTATTGGTAAAAACGTGGGAAGAACACGCAATGCATTTTTGTACTCTTTTTTTTTTTTTTTGAGACAGAGTCTCCCTCTGTTGCCCAGGCTGAGTGTAGTGGCGCAATCTCGGCTCACTATAATCTTTGCTTTGCCTCCTGGGTTCAAGCAATTCTCTTGCCTCAGCCTCCCACATAGCTGGAATTACAAGCTTGTGCCACCATGCCCGGCTAACTTTTGTATTTTCAGTAGAGATGGGGTTTCAATGTTGGCCAGACTGGTCTTGAACTCCTGACATCAAGTGATCCACTTGCCTCGGCCTCCCAAAGTGCTAGGATTACAGGAGTGAGCCACCACGCCCAGCCCATCTTTGTATTCTTTTGAAGGTCATTGCTAGTATCCTCTTTTAGAGAACAAGAGCATCTGCTTTTCTCTCTACAAGTTAGTGACGGTGGGAAAGCAGCACCCCACACAGCCTGCAGGGACACCTGGATTCAGATGGTTCTGCTCCAGGAAATGCCTCCTCACATTTCTTTATTACATAAACAAGTGATCACTTGAGTCATGTCTCCACCTAATGTGTAAGTGTAACATAATTTGTTAACCACTTTATTAATAGTTAAACATAAAATGCCGAGTTATCAACATGTTGCCTTCATGAAAACCGGGTGATGACCAGCAGTTCTTTCTTAAGAGGCACCAACTGGCAGCCAAGAAGAGTTCTAGGCTTGTGGACCCTGGACTCTGAGTCTTTCTTTCTCTGTTTAGGATGTTGCAGAAACCTAAGTGAAGTTATTCTAAGAGCCTTTCTGTCCTTGCTGCAAATCTTTGTAACCTTGCTCTCTCTGCTACCTGCAGGTTTCCCTCCTGGATGCTTTCTTCTCTACATTTCTGTAGTTACTGCCCTCCACTGCATTTTCTTTCTTATGCTGCTGCTGGACCTGCTGGTAGCTGATTTCCGCCTGCAAATAGCTCTCCCCCAGGCCACTGCTGCAGCCTTTCATGGAGTAGACCCCTTCTAGGCTGCCAACATTCACACTAAAAGTTGCATCTGCAGCTCTGTAGTTCTTGGGAGTATTTCTATCTGAATGTCTTCATGGTGCCAGCGGCTCTTTATCTCCCTCAGATTTACTGTTCTAAAAGGTGGATTCCTGGTATGCTGTCCCCTGGAAGATCAGCCACCAAGTATAGAGACCGAAAACCCCATGGATAGGGTGCTATCATATTCTCTTCTTTCATTACTACTTCATAACATCCTGTTCCCGTAACACTGAAGCTTGGAAGCTGGCATCTGGCACCTTTTGATTTTAACCCATTTATAACGCACTTTGTGTGAGCCAGAAAAGCTTGCTTGGGGAAGGGCTGAGAATGCATTCATGGACAGCTGCTGAAACAGAGGAAGTTAGAGAGGACATCTGATGGTAAGCAATATGGAAAAAAAGATTTCACCTGGCACCAAGAGCCCAGGGCCCATAGGCATGTCTCCCTAACCCCCTCCCTGCCACTGTTAGTTATGGCCCACCCTATCCTATCTCTCCAGACAGCCTTCTGACACCTCTTCTGTTCCTTTAGTACACCAGATGACTGGATAACCAATCAGAATTCATACTAAGGTGATGGCTTATAAATACCAAATACTTACATAAACAAAGGTCTTCTAGAGAACCATTGTACTAACTTAGATGAATTACTCACTGAGTTTGGACCATTGCAGAAACAGATCTTTCTAGATCTACTTAGCACAAGGAGGCCTTGGGTCCACGTGGATTACCACTTATTATCTTTGCAGTTAGTATTACACATCTCACCCTAAATCTCACCTCCTCAAAAAAGTCTTGCATGACTACCTACACTCACTCACTCACAATGGTGTCATTCTATTTCATTTATCTGCATCACATTTACCACTACTGACTATATTTCCAGTCTGTTTATATGTTAACTTATATATTATTTCATGCATATTAGTGCATAAAGGCATATATTGATTATTTCTCTCCATTAGTGCCATAAGAACAGGGACCTTGTTTGTCATTGCTGTATCCCCAGTACTTAGAATAATGCCTGCCATATGGGCTTTCAATATTTACTGAACGAGTGAGTGAATGAAAAAAAAAAGGGCCACTAGACTCTTTTTGACTATGGAAAATGGCCATTGCAAACTTTAACCTTTATTCCCCAGCCATATAAGTGGCTTAGAATTGTCTAAAGGACTTAGGAGTATCTCCTAACTGTCCACAAAGGGGGAAATAAAGCCTTAAAGTCAAGCCTCCCTTTGCTCTAAGGTCTATACAAATATTTATTTTGCTAGATCTACAACCTCTGGGTCTGTCAACATTTGATAGGTGGACAAACTACCTATAATAAGGCCACTGACACCCAGAAGTCACTGTTGCTATCCTGATCTCATTATTTTAGAAAAGAGAGTTGGGAATCCAATGCTGTTTTAACAAAGATTCAGGTGAAGGGAAATAGTGGAATTCACCCAATTATTCCAAAGCTAAATTTTCAGCATAATGTAAACCTGTTCAATGGAAGCACTGTGCAATGCTCAATAAATGCATTCTCCTATCACTTTATAATATGCACATATCTGTGTCTCTCTTAAAGCAAAATCTACTTTAATTAAGCCCCAAACATTCTGATGAAAGATGATAATCCTCTTGTACTGTGAACTTGTGGTAAGTATGTTTAACTTGTATTCGTGTTTTAAAGACAGTGCTGCCTTTTGACACAGGCTTGCCTGACAATATATGAAGCCTAATATTTGTCTACGCTTAGGTTCTGCTTAAATCCTCTTCTATGTCTAGTTGTTTGCAGCACTCACAGTGGCTTTTCTTTAAAGAATTCAGTGTTATTTCCTTGGACAGACACTGGTAACTTAGGGAAATATTTAGTCTTTATAATATTACCTTAGTACAGTTCAATGAGAGGGAGCAGAATCTTGACTTTAATTCCATGTTTATATTCTTCTGCTGTTCCCAACAATGAAGGATATTGGACTCTGAGAACTGCATGAGGATCATTGATAAAGGTAAAAAGATACCACAAGGATTAAAGGTTATAATCAGTTTGGAGCTAGAGTATTTCTTAACCCTAAAATGGAGATAAATCCAGATTTTGAAAAATCTTTAGGCCAGGGTACAAGGAGACCAATTGCAGGGCTCTTCACCTTTACAAGAGAAAAACTTCATTCTGTATGTATTCTACATGACTGTAGCTCAGGGAGGTTAAATAACTTTCCCACCTTCTCAGAGCTGGGAAACAGGTGAGCTGGACTTTGAACCCAGCTTGGCTGACTCAGGCAGCTTTGCACCCTGCCTGCCATTTCTTGCCAGCAGCCTCCGTGTGGACACAACATGTTCATAGTCTCTGGACGGAAGAGCCAAAATGTGCACCACTAAAAGTCAATGCAGATTTTTCCATTTTAAGTGTGGTGAGCAGATAGTTGCACCACTGCCACAAGCAAACCCTAAGGGCTGAGCACATACCAATTGACTTAGTGATGGGATCAAATAAAACATTAAGCAGATACTTATTTTATAGTATGCAGAGCCCTCATTTTGCCAAGAAAATCAGTCATTGTAGCTGGAAAATCAGGTATAAATGGTATATAATTCACTTATTACTTTTACAGGGACAAGATTTTTACAAAGGTGTCTTTTTGCTTTTTCACATATTTTAATCAAGGTCAGTGTCTATAGTTTTGTTTGATTCATTTTAATTCCACCCTCCTAGCCTCTATTCTACTCTTCCCTTCCCACTGCCAACAACTCACACATTAGGGATCATTTAGCGCCATTGATTCCACCCTGTCTGTGGTTGTCATTATTTGTGGCCCTCCTCTCCCCTGCTATGACCCCAGGGAGGCTATCTGGATTCCCCTGGTGAGCCTCTCACCCCCACCTCCAGTAAGTACACAAGGCTCCATCGTCTACCTATCCTGTAGCATCTCTGGTTAACGGTCCCACATCTGGCAGAAGCTCAAGTCCTCGAGATTACATCTGGACCTCCTGGAGAAGACAGCAGGTTTTTGAACGAACCAAATCATGTGAGGCATGTAAGCTGAGGATGTGGACTTGCAAGAAGCCTTTGAGATCTAACCTGCTCCTTGCTCAGAGGATGAAATGAGGTCTAGAGAGTGTAATTGACCTGCCTGAGGAAACAGACTAAAACAGAGATGAATTAGAATAGACATCTCCTGTCTCCTGATCACCACTCTCTCCACTATTCCATAAGGTGCAAAAAAGTAATATATTCATCTATCGAAAGATGACCTGTACTGCCTCTATTTAAAAAAGCATTTGTGGCAGCTTTCAATGAAAGAGGAATGCATAATAATATAATTTAAACAGAGGTAAAAAAAAAAATAGGAGGCATTTATTTAAGGAAATAGATAGGAAGGTTTTTTTTTGTTTGTTTTTTTTTTGAGACAAGGTCTCTGTCTGTAACTCAGATTGGAACACAGTGGTATGACCACAGCTCACTGCAGCCTCCACCTCTTGGGCTAAAGCCATCTTCCCACCTCAGCCTCCAGAGTAGCTGGGACCACAGGTTCATACAACCACGAATTTGTGTGTGTATGGGTTTTTATTGTTGTGGTTGTTGTTGTTTTTGCAAAGTCGAGGTCTCACTTTGTTGCTCAGGCTGTCTTGAACTCCTAGGGTTCAAGCAATCCTCGTGCCTCACCCTCCCAAAATGCTGGAATTACAGGCATGAGCCACTGTGTCTGGCTAGAAGTTCTCAGTATTAAAGAGGCCACCCAGGAGTACAATACTTAATTTAAACACTTAGATTGAGCTCTGAGTTTCCTGGAAGCCAAGCTGTAAACAAAAACACTGCATTTGGGAGGCCGAGATGGGCAAATCACGAAGTCAGGAGATCGAGACCATCCTGGCTAACATGGTGAAACCTCGTCTCTACTACAAATACGAAAAAAACCAAAAATTAGCCGGTCATGGTGGTGGGCATCTGTAGTCCCAGCTACTCGGGAGGCTGAGGGAGGAGAATGGCGTGAACCCAGGAGGCAGAGCTTGCAGTGAGCTGAGATTGCACCACTGCACTCCAGCCTGGGTGACAGAGCAAGAATCCGTCTCAAAAAAAAAAACAAAAAAAAAAAACCACTGTGCATTATACAGCCACCATTAGCTAGTAAAAACATTTGCGGTTTGTCACAAAATCTTGATCCAAATGTTAAACTTAAATGAAATTATCAGCTATATTATAATGGGCAGTGTCGTTGATAGCACCTTTATAAAAGGTATGGGACAATTCTTCATAGGTATAATGAATTGGTTCTAATTCAGCATTGTTTGGGCACCCAAAGAACTGGGGTCCAGGTATGTATATTTGTGGTAATGATGATTCAAAGATAGAGTTTAAAGTCTTTGAAGCAGTCATTTTCAAATATTAATGTAAAAATAATTTAACTGGGAAGATGTTTTCATGCAGATTCACTGCGCTTTCCCAACACCCATCCCCAATTGTGATTTAGTATGTCTGGAATAAAGCCTAAGTATCTCTGATTCTGATGCAAGAGGCCAGTGGAGCACATTTTGAGAAACATGACTCTAGAAGAACAAATTGTTTCTATGTCTCTTACCATTGACCAGCCCCTTTGAATACAAATTTTCCCCACCTTGTTTTTAATAAGCAGCCAATAGCCTGAGATTAATGTTTCAGCGGAGATACAGGAAGTGCAAAGACTCTGGGTTGTTGATTAAAAAACATTTCCTGTGCTTTACATACCAGGCATATAGGGAGCAAAGGTAGTGTTTGCTTAATAAACTCAAACCCTTGAGGAGCAATGGGGGAGGGTATGAACATAACCAGGAAGAGGTAGAAGAAAGGCCAGGCTGGGAACTCCAAAGCTAATCTTTGCTGCTTTTCCTTTTTCCAAAGACCAGCCCTGTTTGACTTCTGCTGTGCAATGGGCATTTGTGCCCAGCCCTGCTATCTTTGCCCACTGTTCATGGGAAAACCTTGTTGAAAGTTCATTCTGAATCAGAGAGGTGGGGTTAAAGTGGTGGTCCATAGGGGTGCGTGGATTCCTAAGGATTCATGAGTGAATTTTCAGGGGCCCTGGGACCCCTGAAGTTATACACAAATATTTTGTGTGTATTGGCAGATGTGTATTTTTGTGTGAAAAGAGGTTCCAATTAGGACTTTCATCAGATTTTCAAAGCAGCCATAAATGTTCCCAAAGGGTTGACAATTACTGGGCAGTCCTAGTTCAGCTCAGGGTGCATCCAAGCTCCATGTTCAGGTCTGTGTGTTCCCAGAACATTCTAGCCTCAGGTCAGTTCACTGACAATCTCCTTGGTGGCAGCTGGGTCACTAAGTATCTCTTCCTCCCCAGCAGCCACCCTCCCTGCCTAATCTGAGGATTTTGCTAGCAAAGCTGTCAGGCTTAATTTCAGCAAATTGTTTTGGGTAATTAGTCCCTTTTAATTGCTCATGGAAATAGTAATTTTAAGTGACAAGATTATTATATGCTGCTCGCTAGTGGATTCTCCAGGGTCAAGAAAACACCACTGAGATTGCTATAACCTGTTCTTTTCTATCTTTGGCATTCCCCTTGAAATCCAGAAAAGACATTTAGTAAAGTCGGTTCCCACTCTGTAAAAAGTATAGAGCACTGGTTTCCTTTTATCCTTCTGCCAAAGTGAAGGATTAGAGAAGGACTTTCAACTTTTCTGTGCGACTGCCAGCCCATGTCAGGCTTCACAGATTTGCTGATCATTAACTTGAAAAGCTGTGGGAAGTTTCTAGCTCTTCCATTTGCTTGTTTACCTGTACAGCCAAGTTGCTTTACAACTGACTGAGTTTTGAATAAATAGGGTCCTAGGTGATGAAATATTTGCCGCAGCTCAAGTTGAATATTTTCATTGCTTTTCACGTCACTGAACAAGAGGGTCAGTCTGACCGATGGGTCAGTATAACCGATAGGGCAGGATTGCCTAATGGTTCACCATGTGCTAGCTCAGGGGAGGAGTGGATGGAAGGTAGAGAACTCTTCTCTCATCAGTTTAGGAAGCTAGGAGTTGATTGGCTCTGACCAGCTGTGTAATACTGGGCCATTTGGTTGATCATTCTAAGCCCTCATTTAATCATCTGTCGAAAGAGGACAAAAATAATCCTAGCTCAAGGAATAGCTGTAAAGGATTAAGTGATATCATAAATGCTTGGCATGTAGCAATAACTAAGTCAAACAAAAAAGATACATGGATTGGAGAAATGTGGAGAAACGCATGGAGAAAACATTTCTAAACTGATACATCTGATAAGAGGTAATACACAGAACATACAAGGAACTCAAACAACTCAATAGCAAGAAAACAAATTAAGAAATGGGCAAAGGATCTGAATAGGTTCTAAAAGAAGACATACAAAAGGCCAACAGATATATTAAAAAAAACACTCAACCTCACTAGTCATCAGGGAAATGCAAATTAAAACAATGGCGAGGTGTCGCTTCACACCTGCTAGAATGGCCATAATCAAAAAAGACGAAAGATAAAAAGTGTTGGCAGGATGTGGAGAAAAGAGAACCCTTGAATACTGTTGATGGGAATGTAAATTAGTACATCAATTATGAAAAACAGTATGGTGGTTCTTCAAAAAACTAAGAATTCCCATATAAGCTAGCAATCCCACCTCTGGTACATATCTGAAGGAACTGGTATCAGTGTGCTGTAAACAGACATCTGCTCTCCCAAGTTTGTTGCAGCATTATTCACAACAGCCAAGATATGGAATCAACCAAGTGTCCATCAACAGATGAATAGACTTTTAAAATGTGGTATATATACACAATGAAATACTACTTAGCCTTTAAAAAGAAGGAAATTCTCTCATTTGCAACAACATGGATGAATTTGGAGGCCATTTTGTTAAGTGAAATAAGCCAGGCACAGATAGACAAATACTGTATGATTTTACTTATATGTGGAATCTAGAAAAATCAAACTCATGGAAGTAGAGAGTAGAATGGTGGTTACCAGAGTATAGGGGAGCAGGATGGGGAACGGAGAGAAACTGGTCGAAGGGTGCAAAATTTCAGTTACAAGGAGGATTAAGCTCGAGAGATCTATTGCATAGCATAGTGATGAGAGTTTGTAATAACGTATAGTGAAAAATCTTTAAGAGAGTAGATTTTAATTGTTTTCACCATAAAAATGCAAGTATAAGAGATGATAGATATGTGAATTAGGCTAATTTAATCATTTCACAATGTATACATATATCAAAACATCACATTGTACCTCATAATTATATATAATTACTATTTGTCATTTAAAAATAAAGATAGCATGTACTATTATAATTACAGTATACTACTTCTTCCCAAATCTAGATCTTACAAAGAAGTCTGGAGTAGCAGAGAGGTCAAAGAAATAAACACTACCCTCATGCCCAACTCTCTCCATGCCTTCCAAGTTTGTTAATACAGACACATCCAATCCAATCACATATGTACTGAAATCCTTTTTTAAATGATGCAGATTCAGATGGAGATTATTACACCGTTAGCAATTCAAAGTGGCTAACACTGATTTCAATGTGGGTAACCACATTCCTTGAAATCAAAGATTTGATATGAAACTGACAATAAAGAATTCATATGGAACTCAATTTTTCTTGCTGATGAAACCAAAGACATTGCCCTTGTGACAACTTTTCAAAAATAAGAGTTTCATTTTTTAAAAAAGACTTTTGTTTTTTTTCCTCCAGTTTCCTATAAGATTTCATTCTCATTCTTTAGAAATCAAATGCTAATACATTTCCTCTTTCATGGTGCTGCTTCTTACATTTAAGCATTTCATATCATGTTTTTTCCTCTCAAATTTCATGAGAGCCAGTACTCACGTTTATTGGTATTTCCTGAGGTCAGCGTTCTATATCTCTTCTGTATTTACTTTTTTCTTCAGCAAGGGCTGCAATGCAGCAGGCAAACTCAACCATTGCACCAAGGAGAAAAATGTCACCTTGGGAATTACGGCTAGTTCTCCAGTTATATCCTCCCGTAAAAGACCCTCCTCTAAGAACTGGAAATAGGATAGAAAGCAGGAGATGGCATATCTCAGATTGCAAAGCTTTCTCCTTTATCTTGAACATGATGCTTTCCTGAGCCTTAATCTAGTCAATTGTGGAGGAAAAGAGGAAGGAGGAGTGTTCACAACAATTTTAGTTAACTTATTTAAATGAAGTGTTTGGTGGGATTCCACAAAAATATTGAAGACCAGAAGGTTCAGTAGGTTGCATCTACATTACAACAACAACAACAAAAATACACAAAAGTACATGTGCTAGGGATGCTGGTGTGTTTGGCTAATGCTTCTATAGAAAAGATGAACCCATTCATTCCATCAGTTGTGCTAATTGCTCTTCTAGCTGCTGTGGTCTGTGTGACACTTCTCGACAGACTCGACTGTGATCAGATCAACTTGCCTCATGATGTCCTGGTGGAGTACCAGCAACGGCCTCAGCTCCTAATCTCCAACTTCATCAGACGGCGGCTTGGACTTTGTGACTAGACGTCCTAACTGGGCAGCCCAACCCTCCCCTGCAAGTTTGTAGCTCAAGTTGTAATGTGAAAGTCATATTTTATTTGTGGCATTTTTATATAGTTCTCATCCACATGCTAAATGGAAAGACTTTATGAAATCCTTCTCTCTTAAAAAGGAATTTATTGTAAAAGAATACTCACACTAAATTAAATTCAAATTTCATTTTAGAATAAGTTAACTAAATCAGTCTAATAATTAAAATTTTAAAACTCCTGGATTATGACATTTGGAGTTTCATATGCAGCATTAATTAAGCTCACATCAAAATAGACCAGCCATTTGCACATAGTTACCAGTCACTCTGTTTCTGAAACCAATCCAGAAATTCATGTTAGAACATTGTCAGGCACTTCTAGGTATTGGACAAGTGACAGAAACTGATCATCCATATTCAAAATATTTACAGAAAAAAGTGTCAGTGAAATGTAGGTCTATATGGAAAAGTTACCATTAGGAAAATATGGCCATACTGCTTTTTTACCCCTGCACTATTTCAGTGCACCACAGAATAGGATTCGAGATTTACATATGCCTGTTTGTGATTTTATCTCAGAATATAACAACTCTGGATTACATTTTCCTCTCAACTGAAAACCCTCAGTAATGCAAAGAAAGGCCTTCCTTTTTCTTCAGAATCACAAGTGACTAAATTGCCTTCTAGCCATTTTTTCTTGTAAAAAAAGTGTTTTGAGGAGGCTGTATTTTTTATTCCATTTCAATATTAACCAAATAGGCTGAGAAATTCATAGCAATTGAATTAAGACTTGAGTTCAAGATGTTAAAGGAATCCTTTTGTATGACTTGTCCAGACCGGCCTATTGCCCTACCCGTTTGATTCTCTGGGAGGCATGGTGCTCCTCCTGGCTGCACATGCTCTCTGTGAACTGATCGCATCTTGGGTTCTTCTCAATTTGACATACTTGGGAGTCGGAATGACTGGATGGGGGATGGGTAGAGGATGACTGGCACACTTGTATAGTATGTAATGTTGTGTACATATTATTTATATGGTTGTGGCTCAAATAAAGTTTAATTCCAACACAGTACAGATTATTTGGATCCCAGAGCCATTGTCACACATGACCGAATGGAGGCTTGGGGCAGGAAATAGGTCCTAGGCCGGTTGAGTCTGAATTGGCCTGCTCCTGGGTGGGGAATGTCTTTCTCTTTCAAGCAATGACAATAAACAAGAGGTATTTATCATCACCAATAAACAATCCCCCAAGAGGTACATTGGTTTGTGAACTTCTTTTTGGCACTAGAGACACTTTAAGTGCCATTTTTAGGGTATCTCAATAATTGACCATCAAATTCAAAGATCAGAGCTAAAAGCAAGCTAGAATAGCATTGCCGTCATTTTCTGATGGGATTTTTACTTTGTTTCATATTTTTTTAGACCATGTAGTGAAAACCACCTCAGAGAGGCTTCAGTTTGAACTTTTATCTGCCTGCTCCTGGACAATCTTTTTTTTTTTTTTTTTACACGGAGAAGGAGAGGCTATGAGAGGGAGAAGAATGAAATAATTACAGTTAATCTTCTCTTCAACTCCTGCAAGGAGTGTGTGCGCACAGGTGCATGCATGCATGCATTTATGTCTGTGTCTTCCTCACTGGTATTTTCTATCTCAGTAAACCATATCACTTGCACAAGCCAGAAACCTGGGAAACCCCTGTGATGATTCTTTCTCCTTAATTTCCACAGCCAGTCAATCACTAAGTCTTATTAATTGATCCTCCTAAATATTTCCCCAGTCTGTTCATTTCCTTCCATCTTTTTGGCACCCATCCTAGTCCAGGCCACCATGATCTCTCCTCCAGGTCACTGAGGAAGCCTCACTCCTGATCACCCTGCCTCCATTCTTGAAGTTTGATTGGGTTATTTTCCTGCTTCAAAGCCTTCACATTGGTCTTAGAATGAAGACCAAAGCCCTCTGTGCAGCTTAGGCATTCCTGACTGGGCCCAGCTTGGTAGCCCAGCTCACCTCACCCACTTCTTCCCCTTGTGTCTGCCCTCCAGGCACATCACCCTTGGTCCTTCAGTCTTACCCAAGGCACAAATTCACAAAGGCACAATCCCTTGGGAAGGACTGCCAACAGATCCATCCAATGGGGGTGCTTAGCTGCGGGGACAAGTGGGACTGAGATCCACCCTGTCCAGCTAGCTGTGAGACCTGGACAGGGTGAATCTCAGTCCACCCTGAGCCACAGTGACTGAGAGGGGCCTTTTCCTGATTTATACAATGGTGTTATATGGGATAGTGGGAACTCTTAGTGCCAATGTCCCTTCCCATTTCAGAGCCTTTTGCTGTCTACTCTCCCTGAAGGGCCCTCGCTTAACTCATGCTCATGGTTTAAATCTCAACTCAGAGATCCCTTCCCTTAGAAAGTCTTTCTAATCCTCAAACCAGATTCCTTCCATGCTCACCTGTAGTCCCCCTCCAGAGCCCCCTCGACTACTTCTTCAAAGTATGCAGCTTGCAACTATGTCATGATTGGGGTCATTATTTAATTAATGCCTACTGTCTACACTATAAGGTTCTGGAGAACAAAGACTGCACATATTTTATTTGCTTCTATCGCTTCAAGCACCTAAAACAGTACCAGACACATACTAGGCACTCAATAAATACTTGTCAAGTGAAGAATGAATCCTTTTCATAGCATTTCCCTTGTAAACTCTCACTATAATCTCACAATCTTTGCAAGACTCATACTTTCCTTATTCAGTCCTGGTCAGCACAGCTCTCCCTGGCTGTTCCTCCCACTACATCTCACTCTGTGGGGAGGAAAGTCCTCTGTACCATCAGTGTATATCTGTGGCAGTGTCTAGAACCTCTTGTTTTCTCACATACACACAGCTTTCCCCTCTGTCAAAACCAAGCCCCAAATTCACCTCCTTTGGGGAGGTCTCCAACTTCAATTTTCCCTCAAGTCATCACTTCTTCCCTCCTTCCTTTAGAACTAGATTTGCACTGGGAAGACAGGAATTTGTTCTCATGCAGATGCCGTATTGAGAACATTTATCCTTTTTCATGTTCCTGGGCTGTCTTCATTTGGGAGGCTCACATTTCCTTTGTACTCTTAGCGTGTCATAGAGTTTTGTTCTCTACAGGTATCTTCTGACTGCTTACCTATGCACACTCTAGGTCTGGGCACCGGCTTTTTACCTCACCTGTAACAAGCTTCTCTACTCATTCTTTCTTGCCCTCTTTGAACACCCTTCAAGAAGCAGATTGGCCTGCAAAAACCCTCTTCTTGTCATTTCTATGTATATTTGTGTACATTTTTTGTATGTTTCTTCCTTTGTTCATTCATTCATTATAAATATATATTCCTCCTTCTTCCCCAGTAGAATCTGAGACAGCTTACAAGGTTGAATAATAGCACATCGAGATAGTATAAGATAGAACTAACTGGGCAAGAAAAGGAAAAGCAAAGGCAAGGGGCATCAACTGGTACAAGCCTGAAGCTTCTGCTACTGTGCATTCCATAGAGTCTGTGCATCAGCAGAACGTGGGCTCTGAATTGGCTTGGGGCCAGCTAGTGGTTGCCTCGTAAAGAGAACAAATTTACAGCATCTCTAAAATAAAAATGCAAACTAATGATCAGGAGAAGAACAACTAGTCCTGATTCTAAGAGGCCACAGTGTGCAGAGATGAGTGTGGATCTCAGACCGCCTGGGTGTGGAGTTGGGGGGATGAGCCCCAGTTGGGCGTCAGTGTGTTCATTCCAGGACACCGCCCTGAGGTTCTCAACACAGGTGCATACTAGGATCACCAGGGAAGCCTTTTGAAAACACTGTTCAGAGGTCCATCTCAGACCAATTCAACAAGAATCTCTGGGAGTGGGACTGGGAAGCTCTATTTTTTATTTTGCAGCCTAAGTTGAGAGTTACCAATTTAGAAGAATGGACAGTCTGTGACTCTGGCATGTGCTCTTCCAGCTGAACTTCTAAAACTCTTTAGGCCTTGTCTCCGCTGGAATAGTTATATAAAGATCAAGTTCTTTTACTTGACTCACTCCTCGATGCTAGCAACAGTATCTTACTCATTTTATATTCCAGCAACTTGCACAGTGCCTGGCACATAGTAAGACTGAAAGGATTTTACATTTTTATATTATATATAAAATATATGAAACAGTTTATAATTTATATAACATATGTGATATATTAAAAATTATATATAATTATAATGATGTAATTATATACTATATATTATCTATTAATAAAATAATTCATTCAATCTTACTATGTGTTTATGTATTCATACATATACACATGTACACACACATATTTGCTGGTATGTATAAAATTATGTACAAAAACATACAAAAAACTAAAATACCCCAATGAAAGATGAAACAAAAATGAACAAAATCACAAAAATAACAAAAAATAGCTGACTATCTCTCAGGGTAATTTTATCCAAATGTTATCACCTGAACAAGTCTTCAGGTCGACATGTATATATTAGTCAATATAATTTGCTTTTGTATTCCATTTTCATTCCCAAACATCAGCACAGGAAACAGTTAAGTTTAATCATTGCTTAGAAAAACTCAGTCTGTAATCCAAAATACACAAAATAACATTTTTGACTTATTTTTATCAGCTATAGAATGTTACCTAGTGTGTTGCATCCTGTAGAGGCTTCATACGGGAGGTAAACTATCAACTTCAGGAATATAATAGTTTGAATTTTATTTATTCCTTTTACAAACACAGTTTTAACATTTGGGATTCATTTTGGAGACCCCTGATAAAATCTATGAACCCGATCTTCAGGAAAACACACATTCATACATATGCCCCCAAATCTGCATACAATTTCCTGGGTTTGTGCACCTTCCTTAGGTCAGGTTGTGGCAGGACACCTGTGTCCTCTACCAAAGGCCATAGCTCCTGTGGGTGGCCCTTGCCACACTTCTGTCCTCCCTGGGTTCTGGTAATTGCCCTGCTTCAGCCCTCTCGGATCAGGGCTGGTAACAGTTGTTTCCAGCTGCATCATCCCTTGTTGCTCCCTAAATCCTGCCCACCCCTTGTAAACAGTCCCTTCAGTAAGTTCTCTCGGTTCCCTGTTTAATTATGCCATCTGGTTCCTGCTGAGACCCAGTAATACAGCCTCCAAAATACATCTGGGGACCAAAACCATTTTGAAAATCACTGACTTAAGGAACTGAAGTCATTCTATATGAAGATCTTTCAATTATGCATTTTTTAAATTGCAAAACAGAAGCTAATTCTTTAACTGGTAAAATACTTTTAAAAATATAATCTTCTGTACAAGAATGTATTCTTTTATTTAGAGATTCTCGTGAACTCTCCAGGGCCTGCAGCTTGAGAAACATGGTGCTCAACTTATTTTCCTAGCTGGCTGCTGGGCATCACATGTATGATAGAATTGAAAACTTGAGTAAAAGACAGATTAATGGCCTCTACTGTTTGCCTCCAAGCTACAAGTCCTGTCATCCTGTCATGGAAGGAAATTAAAATTGTCTGATACATACTGAGTTTCATAAAGCCACACTGTTCCTCTCCAGGATCCTGTGTGCCTCTAGATGTCTATACCATAGATTTTTTTTTTTTTTTTGAGGATTTGATCAACAACCTCCACCTCAGGGTTGGAGCTGTGTAAACTAATCTTTAATTGTTAAGATCTCCCTTTGTTCCTTTTAAAAATAAATGAATTATACATGTTTTTTTCTTTCGCAATCCTCCAGGACTTTCTCTGTCTTTTAATGATCCTAAAACTATAGCCAGTGACTCTGCAAACCACTGTCTCCTAAAATGAATAACTGGAAAAAAACTTACCATTTGCAGCCTGCTTCGTTATTCACTTCTCAATGATTTTCTCAATTTCTGATTTGTTTTTTCACTCCTCCCAAACAGAAGTCATTGAATCTAGAATCAATTTAACATTCGTTTTTCTAAAAAACTGAGCATAGCAGTTTTCACTTGAGAACAAGAGCCATTAAACCACTTTTTCCCCTTGAAACATTAAGCCTGATTTAAATATTATTTTTTATTAGTATAAAGTAGTTTAGAAATTCATTAGGCAAACAACTTAGACCAGTATCATATTTTGCAGAGGACTGGTCTAGAATTAACCTACCAAAAAGTAGTAATTTAGGGTTGTGTCTATTTTTCTAAATTTCTAATATTCTTGGAAAAGCTATTCCACCTATAGTAGCTTAATTGTTAACACCGTGAAGCACTGTGGATGTTCCAAGGTTACAGACATTATCTGGGTCATCAGATTTTGCCCATTCCTTGTTAAAACAGGAAGATGGATCTTTAAAAATCTAGATGCTTTTCATATCCAAATCAACTTATTTTTTCATTTGAGTTCAAGTTTGTACATTTCCTACCAGCATTCCAACCAACAAAAACCAATGATGAGATGAAATAAAATGACACCCAGGTTCCACTTACTCTAGGTAAATGATCAGCAGTGACCACGAGCCCTCTACTCAGATCTGTTTCCTACACTTCACAGTCCTACTTTCAGTGCTATCTTCTTCCTTCTACTAGGACCCCAGAGGACTCACCTCTTAAAGAGCCAGTCCAAAGTTGGTTTAAGGCTACAATGCTATGAACTCGCTCCAAGTAAACAAGCAAATGACAGAACAAATATATTTATAAAGAATCTACTTTCTGTAAGTCACAAGACTAGGTGTTATGAGAGAACAAGATACAGCCAGCTCCATTAAGCAATTTGCAACCTAGTAAGTTCAAGGCACTAAGACAAATGTGTGAATGACTAGAACTCAAAGGATAATCTGATAGACTCCAAAAAATAGGTAGACATACAAGTGTTTTGAGAGGTTAAACAAAGAAAATGATACTATGGAGCTGAGAGGGTTTGAAAGGGTTTCTTGGCTAAGGTGGATATTTGAGATGAGCTTTACTTAAGGGTATTTTGATAGAGGTTCTAGCGGAGGTGTTGTCACTAAAAGGAAAAGCATTAAGAAAAAATGAGGAAAAGACAGGACATATGACTAGAATGGTGAAGAATCCTGGTTGGCTGAATCTGGAAATGTAGTTTGGGAGTCTATTAGGTAGGGTCCTAAAAGTCAGGTTAAGAAGATGGGACCATATTGGCCAGGCAATGGGAAGTTGTTCAAAAGTGTAAAAGCACTGGTTCTTTTTCAGATAAAGATCACTAAGAAGAAACACCTGGATGTAGATGACCAATACTTGATCGGCTACATTTCACAATTTCCAAGGTGGTGGTAGGTGGTCAGGGGGAGATGGATTAAAGATAAGATGAGGCCTCCAAAGACACTATTTGCTTGTTAGTCAGTTCCCTTACTTGTGAAGGTCAGTGGCTTCAAATTTTTACCTAAAAAGTCAAGCCGCTTACATATTTCAGAATAAAAATTGCCTTTTCACGTGAAAGATCATGTGCTTCCAAAGTCTTCTTATGTTAAAAGGCTAAGGAGAGTTCAAATATGACACAGCCTGAATAGAGGCTGTGGGAGACAGTGGTGTTGAAATGACTGATGAGTGAGAGATGTCAGTGATGATCTCAGCATCTATGCAGATAAAACCTTTTACGGTTTTGTGGCTAATAAAAAATTAGTTTTTCCAAAAAAAATGTATAAAATTTAATTCATTAAAAAGTAAAGTCTCAGTGAAATTCTGATACATGCTACAACATGGATAAACCTCAGGATATTATGCTAAGTGAAATACTACACACATACAGATAAATATTGTACGATTTCACTTATATGAGGTACTTAGAGTAGACAAATTCACAGAGAAAGAAAGTAGGATACTGGTTACCAGGGGCTGAGAAAAAGAGGAAGTGGGATTCATTGTTTTATGAGCACAGAGTTTCAGTTTGGGATGACGAAAAAGTTCTGAAGATGGATAATGGTGATAGTTGCACAATAACGTGAATGTATTTAATGCTACTGAACTGTACATGCAAAAGTGTTAAAATGATAAATGTTATGTAAGTTTCACTATCACAAAAATGTAAAGGCTCAGTGAGGTCTATTTTGTGGTTTTTATAATAACACATTCTAATTTGCTAATTTTATTAATTTACTCATTGCTGATACTCATGCCTGCTGGTTGGCATTTCTACGTGGGCTTCTCTGATCTACAGGAGTTAAGTGGCTCTAAGAAGGTTCTGTGGTGAGTGATGAGTCACTCAGCAAAGGAGTTGAGTATGGTAATGGCTACCAGCAGGGAGACCGTGTAGCCCCATGTTCTTATCTCCAATATAAGACTGTATCTGCCAAGAAGTCCTAAATCTTTGAATCCGGCAGTTCAGGCATTCTTGCTCAAGACAGCATAGCTGACTGAAGTTATTTTTAAAGCACAGTTTATCAGACTCAGGAATGCAGTGAGAAGATATGACTGACACATCAATAGCTATCAGAAAGAATGATTAAATCTAAAATACTAGAGAGAAGAGAAGAAGGTAGACACACCAGGGAGTATTTCTACAGGATCAAAGGCTGTAAATTTAAAATGGAATTTTCCTGCATCAATCCAATAGGCATTACCCTGGGTATAAATACTCTGGTGTCTCAATAATGGAAGAACAACTAATAAGTTAATTTATCTTTTCAGGTTGTCATAGCATACATGGGACTCTGTGGGGTCAAAATATGTTGCTAGAGAAAGATAGAAATTATCATGAAGTGAAGGGAAATAATAAGAAAAAAATGAAAGGAAATATTGAGAGGGAAGGGAGACTAGTAAGCAAGGAGAACAGTTGTGGAAGGATATTATGAGAAGAAGTTTACTGGGGGTTCTGCAAGAGGGAGAGCTATTATACCCCAAGGCATTGCAAACATCTACGAAGGCTGCATGAAATATTTTGGGAAGAGAATCAAAACATGCCAGAAAAAAAGAGAAAACTTAAAGCCAGGGTTGTGACCGGGGCTTACAGCTGATACTAAACATGAAGGCTAAGGTTTAAAGCTCATGTAGACATGAGGCCTCATGTCAGGTGAGGTGGATATTGGAACTAATACCCAGCTGAAGAAATCCTCCCACCTACACAGGAGATTCTAGTGAATCTAGTTTGTCTCTGTTTAACAAGCAATAGGAAAAAAATACAATTCCCTAAGAAAGTCAAACTCCATGCCTGAGTCTGGCTTGGAATTTGAATTTATTTCAGGAACTCTCATTTTAAAAGATACACAGAAAATTGGGTCATGGAACAGAGACACCCC
The DNA here is from genome assembly GCF_000001405.40 of Homo sapiens. Taxonomy (NCBI): domain Eukaryota; kingdom Metazoa; phylum Chordata; class Mammalia; order Primates; family Hominidae; genus Homo; species Homo sapiens. The sequence goes on from NC_000002.12 coordinate 158,144,119, forward strand.
TGGTGCTCCTAGCATAATAAATGCAAAACCACATGGGGAAGCAGACACACCCAGGTGACACATGATTCTCACAAAATAGCCAGCCTCGTTGAAGATAAGCTCATGATAGAAAGTCACAGAATAAGCAAGTAACAATATTTGTGTGAGGCACAGTCAACAGGAGGATTAGACCCAAGAATGTGACTAGAATTGGGCCTTAAAGAAAGCAACTGTCATATAATAGCTTTAAAATCATCAAAGCTATACCAGAAGTAACTAAAACACAAGAATAAAAAATGTGAAAAGACATGTGAGGATCATGGCGGACGCGAGGCAAGACTAGATTGCAACTCCGACTGGGACAGACAGAGGTGTGTGGAGGCTCGCATCATGAATTTTTGCTCCACAACGACTGCAGGAATAAATCAGAAAACTTCGGAGGACCCACAAACCCCCTGAAGAAAGCAGATTGCTCCTGCAGGGCCCGGGAGACAACCCAAATACTCTGCGTGCCCAAACTGGAAGTAGGAAAGGGAGATTGTCTGCCCCCAAACACACCTCCCCACTGGAGAAACTGAAGGCCTAGATTATGGGAGAAGATTTTGACCTTACCTGGAGCTGAGTAAATTTAGAAAGCCAGTGAAATACAGGGGTAGAGGAAGCAGTGGGAAAAGCCGTGGGAGCTCGCTGGGTCCCCTGGCAAGCTGTTTTTGCCTGGCCTCACAGAGGCGCTTTGGGAGGATGGCCAAAGGTGCTGGGAAAAGGCCACAGGGAGAAGGAAATCTCCAGCTGAATTTTGTAACAATTTGAACTGAGGGAGAAGTCTCCTGGCCAGAACTTGGGGCAGCGCGTCAATCTATCTGGTGTGCTGACTCCACAGGTGGGGGAACAAAGAAAGCCATAGTTGCTTTTGCAGCTGGGAGGCAGGTAGCCTGGGGCAAGTTCTCAGCTCAGGTAGCTGAAGACAAAAGGCCTATACTCTTGGGAGTTCTGAGGCCCCGCCCACCACCTGTTACTCCTATCCTATCACAGCTGATGCTCTCTGGAAAGCACCACCTCCTGGCCAGAGGCCAACCAGCGCAAAACCGGTGCATTAAACCACCGAAGCTAAGAACCCCCCAGAGTCCATTTCACCCCTCTGCCACCTCCACTGGAACAGGTTGTTAGATATGAGTTCTAAATTTCTTTTCAAAGAATCAATATGTCAGTATGTTCAATTCTTTACCGTCTACTTTTAAACTTAACTTTCTCATAAAGCAACCTTTTTTGATTACCTGCTCCACCCTGACTCATTTCAGTTACCTGTTCCATCCTGACTCATTCTGATTACCTGCTGTGTCATAACCATTTTTCCCGCCAAACCACTCACCCCCGTCACTCTCTTTAAATTAGCCAGTCGGAATTAGTTTAGCTTGTGTGGTCTAACTCTAGCCAAGAGGGGAAGGACACAGCAGCAGGGGCCACGCGCGTCAGGGATAAGAACCCCTTCCCCTCCCTTGTCCAAGTGTGTACTCACCATTGCTTCATCTGTAAGGGTGCACACTTCTACAGAAGTACCTTGCCTTGCTGAGAATTAAAAAGAAAATTTTATATTCGAGTGCTATTTCTTTTGCAGCACCAAAACTTTATATATAACAAGGTGCTGGTATCCATGGCTGAGAGACCCAGGTGGTTCACATCATAGGACTCAGCAGACAACCCCCAGTACCAGCCAGGAGCCTGGTAGACTCACTAGGCGGCTAGATCCAAAAGACAGATAACAATCACTACAGCTTGGCTCTCAGGAAGCCACATCCATAGGAAAAGGGGGAAAGTACTACATCAAGGCAACACCCCGTGGGAAAAAAGAATCTGAACAACAGCCTTCAGCCCTAGGCCTTCCCTCTGACAGAGCCTACATAAATGAGAAAGAACCAGAAAACCAACTCTGGTAAAATGGCAAAACAAGGCTCTTTACCACCTGCCAAAAAATCACACTAGCTCACCAGCAATGGGCCCAAACCAAGAAGAAATCCCTGATTTATCTGAAAAAGAATTCAGGAGGTTAGTTATTAAGCTAATCAGAAAGGCACCAGAGAAAGACAAAGCCCAGTGTAAGGAAATCCAAAAAATGATAAAAGAAGTAAAGGGAGAAATATTCAAGGAAATAGATAGTATAAATAAAAAACAATCAAAACTTCAGGAAACAATGGACATGCTTATAGCAATGCAAAATGCTCTGGCAAGTCTCAGCAATAGAATTGAACAAGTAGAAGAAAGAACTTCAGAGCTCAAAGACAAGGTCTTCGAATTAACCCAATCCAACAAAGACGAAGAAAAAAGAATAAGAAAATATGAACAAAGCCTCTCCAAGAAGTCTGGGATTATGTTAAATGACCAAACCTAAGAATAGTCGGTGCTCCTGAGGAAGAAGAGAAATCTAAAAGTATGGAAAACATATTTGGGGGAATCATCAACGAAAATTTCCCTGGCCTTGTGAGAGACCTAGACAACCAAATACAAGAAGTACAAAGAACACCTGGGAAATTCAACGCAAAAAGATCACCTAGGCATAGTCATCAGGTTATCTAAAGTAAAGATGAAGGAAAGAATCTTAAGAGCTGTGAAACAGAAGCACCAGGTAACCTGTAAAGGAAAACCTACCAGATTAAAAGCAGATTTCTCAGCAGAAACCCTATAAGCTAGAAGGGATTGGGGCCCTATCTTCAGCCTCCTCAAAACAATTATCAGCCAAGAATTTTGTATTCAGCAAAACTAAGTTTCATATAAGAAGGAAAGATACAGTCTTTTTCACACAAAGAAATGCTGAGAGAATTTGCCACTACAAAGCCACCACTACAAGAACTGCTAAAAGGAGCTCTAAATCTTGAAACAAATCCTGAAAACACATCAAAACAGAACCTCTTTAAAGCATGAATCTCATAGGACCTATAAAACAAAAACACAATTTAAAAAACAAAAACAAAAAACCAACATATACAGGCAAAAAATAGCATGATGAATGGAACTGTACCTCACATCTCAATACTAACAGTGAATGTAAAGAGCCTAAGTACTCCACTTAAAAGATACAGAATTGCAGAATGGATAAGAATTCATCAACCAACTATCTGTTGCCTTAAAGAGACTCACCCAGCACGTAAGGATGTACACAAACTTCAGGTAAAGGGGTGGAAAAAGACATTTCATGCAAATGGACACCAAAAGCAAGCAGGAATAGCTAGTCTTATATCAGACAAAACAAATTTAAAGCAACAGCATTAAAAGAGACAAAAGGGGACATTACATAATGATAAAAGGCCTTGTCCAACAGGAAAATATCACAAATCTAAACATATATGCACCTAACACTGGAGCTCCCAAATTTATAAAACAAGTGATAATAGACCTAAGAAATGAGATAGACAGCAACACAATAATAGTGGGGGACTTCAATACTCCATGGACAGCACTAGACAGGTCATCAAGACAGAAAGTCAACAAAGAAACAATGGATTTAAACTATACCCTGAAACAAATGGACTTAACAGATATATACAGAACATTCCATGCAACAACCACAGAATATACATTCTACTCAACAGTGCATGAAACTTTCTGCAAGATAGACCATATGATAGGCAACAAAACAAGACTCACGAAATTCAAGAAAATTGAAATTATATCAAGCACTCTCTCAGACCACAGTGGAATAAAACTAGAAATCAACTCCAAAAGGAATCTTCAAAACCATGCAAATACATGGAAATTAAATAACCTGCTCTTGAATGATCATGGGGTCAACAATGAAATCAAGATGGAAATTAAAGGCCAGATGCAGTGGCTCACGCCTGTAATCCCAGCACTTTGGGAGGCTGAGGTGGGCAGATCATGAGGTCAGGAGATCGAGACCATCCTGGCTAACATGGTGAAACCCTGTCTCTACTAAAAATACAAAAAATTAGCCAGGCGTGGTGGCAGGCGCCTGTAGTCCTACCTACTCGGGAGGCTGAAGCAAGAGAATGGCATGAACCTGGGAGGCGGAGCTTGCAGTGAGCCGAGATCGCGCCACTGCACACGAGCCTGGGCGACAGAGCAAAACTCTGTCTCAAAAAAAGAAAAAAAAGATTGAAATTAAAAAATTCTTCATATTGAGCAACAATAGTAACACAACCTATCAAAACCTCTGGGACACAGCAAAGGTGGTGCTAACAGGAAAGTTCATAGCCCTAAACGCCTACATCAAAAAGGAGGGAATAGCACAAACAGACAATCAAAGGTCACACCTCAAGGAACTAGAGAAACAAGAACAAACCAAACCAAACCCAAACTCAGCAGAAGAAAGGAAATAACCAAGATCGGAGCAGGACTAAATGAAATTTAAAAAAAAATACAGAAGATAAATGAAACAAAAAGCTGGTTCTTTGAAAAGATAAATAAAATTGATAGACCATTAGCAAGAATTAACCAAGAAAAGAAGACAGAAAATCCAAATAAGCTCAATAAGAAATGAAATGGGAGATATTACAACTGACACCACAGAAATACAAAAGAGTATTCAAGGCTACTATGAAGACCTTTATGTGCATGAACTAGAAAACTTAGAAGAGATAGATAAATTACTGGAAAGATACAACCCTCCTAGCTTAAATCAGGAAGAATTAGATACCCTGAACAGACCAATAACAAGCAGCGAGATTGAAATCATAATTTTAAAAATTACCAACAAAAAAGAGTCCAGGACCAGACAGATTCACAGCAGAATTCTACCAGATATTTAAAGAAGAATTGGTATGAAGCCTATTGACACTATTCCATAAGATAGAGAAAGAGGGAACCTACCCTTAGTCATTCTATGAAGCAAGTATCACCTAAGTACCAAAACCAGGAAAAAGCATAACCAAAAAAGAAAACTACAGACCAATATCTCTGATGAACACAGATGCTAAAATCCTTAACAAAATACTAGCCAACCAAATCCAACAACATATCAAAAAGATAATCCACCATGATCAAGTGGGTTTCATACCAGGGATGCAGGGATGGTTTAACATATGCAAATCAATAAATGTGATACACCACATAAACAGAATTAAAAACAAAAATCACATGATCATCTCAATTGATGCAGAAAAAGCATTAGACAAAATCCAGCATCTCTTTATTATTAAAACTCTCAGCAAAATCAACACACAAAGGACATACCTCAATATAATAAAAGCCATCTATGACAAACCCACAGCCAACATAGTACTTAAAGGGGAAAAGTTGAAAGCATTCCCCCTGAGAACTGGAACAAGACAAGGATGTCCACTCTTACCACTCCTCTTCAATGTAGTACTGGAAGTCCTAGCCAGAGCCATCAGACAAGAGAAAAAAATAAAGGGCATCCAAATCAGTAGAGATTTTGCTGTTTGCTGATGATATGATTGTTTACCTAGAAAACCCTAAAGATTCCTCCAGAAAGCTCCTAGAACTGCTAAGAAAAATTCAGCAAAGTTTCCAGATGCAAAATCAATGTAGTAGCTCTTCTATACACCAACAGTGACCAAGCTGAGAATCAAATCAAGAACTCAACCCCTTTTACAATAGTTGCAAAAAAAATTACTTAGGAGTATACCTAACCAAGGAGGTGAAAGACCTCTATAAGGAAAACTACAAAACGCTGCTGAAAGAAATCATAGACAATACAAACAAATGCAAACACATCCCATGCCCATGGATGGGTAGATCAATATTGTGAAAATGACCATACTGCCAAAAGCAATCTACAAATTCAATGCAATCCCCATCAAAATACCATCATTCTTCTCAGAATTAGAAAAAACAATTCTAAAATTCATATGGAACCAAAAAAGAGCCTACATAGCCAAAGCAAGACTAAGCAAAAAGAACAAATCTTGAGGCATCACATTACCTGATTTCAAACTATACTATACGGCCATAGTCACCAAAACAGCATGGTACTGGTATAAATATAGGCACGTAGATCAATGGAACAGAATAGAGAACCCCAAAATAAACTCAAATACTTACAGCCAAGTGATCTTTGACAAAGCAAACAAAAACATAAAATGGGGAAAGGACACTCTTTTCCAAACAAATGGTGCAGAAATAATTGGCTAGCCACATGTGGGACAATGAAACTGGATCCTCACCTCTCACCTTATAAAAAATCAACTTAAGATGGATTAAGGACTTAAATATAAGACCTGAAACTATAAAAATTCTAGGAGATAACATTGGAAAAGCCCTTCTAGACATTGGCTTAGGCAAGGATTTCATGACCAAGAGCCCAAAAGCAAATGCAATAAAAACAAAAATAAATTGTTGGGACTTAATTAAACTAAAGAGTTTTTGCACAGCAAAGAAACAGTCAGCAGAGTAAACAGACAACCCACAGAGTGGGAAAAAATCTTCACAATCTATACATCTGACAAAGGTCTAATCCAGAATCTACAACAAACTCAAACAAATTAGTAAGGAAAAAAACAAACAATCCCAGCAACAAGTAGGCTAAGGACATGAATAGACAATTCTAAAAAGAAGATATACAAATGGCCAACAAACATATAAAAAATGCTCAACATCACTAATGATCAGGGAAATGCAAATCAAAACCACAGCGGGATACCACCTTACTCCTGCAAGAAGGGCCATAATCAAAAAGTCAAAAACATGGATGTGGTAAACAGGGAACACTTCTACACTGCTGGAGGAAATGTAAACTAGTACAACCACTACGGAAAACAGTGTGGAGATACCTTAAGGAACTAAAAGTAGAACTACCATTTGATGCAGCATTCCCACTACTGGGTATCTACCCAGAGGAAAATAAGTCATTATATGAAAAAGATACTTGCACACGCATGTTTATAGCAGCACAATTCACAATTGCAAAAATGTGGAACCAACCCAAATGCCCAATCAACAAGTGGATAAACTGTTATATATATATATATATATATATATATATATATATATATATATATATATCATATCACATATCATATCACATATATATATCATATCACATATCATATCACATATATATCATATCATATCACATATATATATCACAGATAGATGTATAGTAGTATTCATATATATGTATGAATACTACTCAGCCTTAAAAAGGAATGAATTAATAGCATTCGCAGCAACTTGGATGGGACTGGAGACTATTATTTTAAGTGAAGTAACTCAGGAATGGAAAACCAAACACCATATGTTCTCACTCATAAGTGGGAGGTGAGCTATGAGGATGCAAAGGCATAAGAATGACACAATGGACTTTGGGGACTCAGAGGGAAAGGGTGGGAAGTGGGTGAGGGATAAAAGACTACAAATAGAGTGCAGTGTATACTGCTCGGGTGATGAGTGGACCAAAATCTCACAGATCACCACTAAATAACTTACTGATGTAACCAAACACCTCCTGTTCCCCCAATAACCTATGGAAATAAAAAAATTTAAAAAAAACTTTTTGAAAGAAATATGAAAAGACAAGTTTGCTTCGAATGATAATGTTAATGATGATGATGATGATGATGATGATAGCATAGCACTGACCACACACTCCACACTCTATTTTTGCAAATAACTCATTTAATCCTCATAACATTATAGTATTATAATTGTGTTATGAGGCATTATTATTTTCCCATTTTATAGTTGAGGAAACTAAAGGACAGTGAAGTTAAGTAACTTGCCTTGGGTCATAGATCTAATAAGTGACGGAATTGACATTCACAAGGGCATTCTTTATTTGGAGTACAGGTCCTTAAGCACTATACTAAATTAAGAACTAAGTCTATTTCCAAATGAAATTTCAAAAGAACTTCAGGATTTGAGAATTACAAAAATTAAAATGTTGGTAATTGTAAAGAAAATTCAGCAGGTGAGTTAAATAGACGGTTAGGCATAGTTGAAGAAAAAAGGCATGTATAATAATGTATAGTAGAACTGAAAAAAATCTAAGAATGCAGTACAGAAAGAAAGAAATGGCAAATATATAAGCAAAAGTAAGAAATCAAGAGAATAAAGTAAGAAGATCCAATATATTTCTCAGAATTCCAGAAGGAAAGAATAGAGAGAACAATAAAGAGGCAAAATTCAAAATAAAATGACTAAGAAATTTCCAAAGTTGGTAAAAGACAATGAATATTCAAGAAGCACAGTATAAAGATATATCACAAGTGAATAAATGTAATAAGGCTGTCTAAGAAAACTAAGAGAAAATGTTAAAAGGAAGCAAAAAAGGAAAGACAGATTCCTTACGAAGGAGCAGTTAGATGGATAGCACATATCTCAATAGCAACCATAAACACTAGAAAATTCTAGATTATCTAGGTGATAATCTAGATCAGGACTCCTGCAGAGTCCTGAGGAAAAATATTGTTAACTTAGAATTCTATAAGCAGGTAGAATATCAACCAAGTGTGAGGACAAACTAAAAACATTTTTAAACAAATAAAAATGGAGAGAGTCCCCTACACTTAGGTTATTGATGAAAGAATAGCTAATTGAAGGATACACTTCAGGTAAAAAAATAATTGACTCAGATAGGAAAATAGGATGCAAGAAGAAATGGTGAGCAAAGGAATACAAAAATAATGACTGAAAAAAATAAATCTGAGGGATTAAAAATAAGTACTAAATAATATTAAAATGGAAATCTGAAATATAGAGTTGAAGGGTCCTAAGAGCCCACCATCGCTGGAGAGGAGAGGTTTGAAATAACATTAGACTTTATTACTTGTATATATTAAAATATAAGGCTGGAGGAGGGGGCAGAGCAAGATGGCCAAATAGAAGCCTCTAGCAATTATCCCCCCACCACCACAGGAACACCAAATTGAACAACTATCCATACACAAAAGCACCTTCATAAGAACCAAAAACCAGGTGAGTGACCACAGCACCTAGTTTTAACATCATAAGAGGCACTAAAGAGGGCATGAAAGACAATCTTGAATTACCTACACCATCCCCTCCTCATCCCTCGGCAGTGGCTACATGATGCAGTGAGAGAATCTGGGCATCTGGGAGAGGAAGAGTGCAGAGATCATGGAACTTTACATTGGAACTCAGCGCTGTCCTGTTATAGTGGAAAACAACTTGGGGTAGAACTCAGCCGGTGCCCACAGAGGGAGCATTTAGACCAGCCCTAGCCAGAAGTGAATTGTCCATCCCAGTTGTCAGAACCTGAGTTCTGGCAAGCCTCACCACGACGGGCTAAAGTTCTCTAGAGTTCTAGGTAAACTTGAAAGGCAGTCTAGGCCACAAAGACTGCAATTCTTGGGCAAGTCCTGGTGCTGTGCTGGGCTGAGAACCAGTGGACTTAAAGGGCATGTGACCTAGTGAGACACCAACTCGGACAGCCAAAGGAGTGCTTGCATCATCCCTCCCCTAGCTCCAGGCAGCACAGCTCACAGCTCCAGGAGAGACTCCTTCACTCTGCTTGAGGAGAGGAGAGAAAAGAGTAAAGAGGACTTTGTTTTGCAACTTGGATACCAGCTCAGCCACAGTATAATAAGGACCAAGCAAAGTTCTGAGGCCCCCATTCAGAACCTAGGTCCCAGATGACATTTCTAGACACCATAGGCCAGAAAGGAATCTGTTGCCTTGAAGAGAAAGATGCAGTTGCAGCAGGATTTATTACCTGCTGGCTAAGGGGCCCTTGGGCCTTGAATTATCAGCAGCAGTAGCCAGGCAATACTCACCACAGGCCTTGGGTGAGACTCAGAGATGTGCTGGCTTTAGGTGTGGTCAAGCACATTCCCAGCTGTGGTGGCTATGGGGAGAGATTCCTTCTGCTTTAGAAAAGAAGAGGGAAGAGTAAAGGAAACTTTATCTTGCAGCTTGGTTACCAGCTCAGCTACAGTGGGATAGAGCACCAAGTGGGCTCCTGGAGTCCCCAATTCCAGGTCTAGGTTCCTAGAAGGCATTTTTGGACCTGCCCTGGACCATAGGGAAGCCCACTTCTCTGAATGGAGACTCAGGACTGGCAGCATTCACCACAAACTGACAGAAGAGCCCTTGGGCCTTGAGTGAACATCAGCAGTAGCCAGGCAATACTCACCATAGATCTAGGGCACTTGTGGTTATGAGGAATCTTCTGCTTAAGAAAAGAGGAGGGAAGGCTGGGCATGATGGCTCATGCCTGTTATCCCAGCACTTTGGGAAGCTGAGGTAGGTGGATCACCTGAGGTCAGGAGTTCGAGACTAGCCTGACCAACAAGGTGAAACCCCGTCTGTACTAAAAATGCAAAAATTAGCCGAGTCTGGTGGCAGGTGCCTGTAGTCCCAGCTACTCAGGAGGCTGAGATAACAGAATTGCTTGAACCCAGGAAGTGAAGGTTGCAGTGAGCTGAGGTCGCACCACTTCACTCCAGCCTTGGCGAAAAAGAAAGAAAAGGGGAGGGAAGAGTGGGAAGGACTTTGTTTTGCAGCTTGGGTGCCAGTTCAGCCATAGTAGAATAGAGCACTGGGTACACATGTAAGGTTCTGAACTCCAGGCCCTGGCTCCCAGATGGTACCTCTGGACCTACCTGGGACCCAGAAAAATTCACTGCCCTGAAGGGAATGACACAAGCCTGGCTGGATTTGCCAACTCTTGATTGTAGAACCCTTGGCCATTGAGTAAACATAGGTGGTAACCAAGCAGTGGCCATCCTGGTCCTTGAGCAAGACCCAGTGCTATGCTGGTTTCAGGATGACTCAGCACAGTCCCAGTGGTGGTGGTCATAGGGGTGCTTGTGTCACCCTCCTGCATCTTCAGGTTGCTCAGCACAAAGAGAGGCACCATTTGCTTGGAGGACAGTAAGGGAAGAGAACAAGAATCTCTGCCTGGTAATCCAGGCAATTTTCTGGATCTTACCCAAGACCACCAAGGTAGTATCTTTACAAGTCTGCAAGAGTCACAGCCTTACTGGCTTGGGGTGCCACTTAATGCAGATATAGCTTCAGTGACCAAAGTCTTAGATCACAACATTCAAGTCGCTTCAAATACTTGGAAAGCCTTCCCAAGAAGGACAGGTACAAAGAAGCCCAGACTGCAAAGACTACAATAAATACCTAACTCTTCAATGGTCAGAAACTGGTGAATATTCACAAGCATCAAGACCATCCAGGAAAACATGGCCTCACCAAACAAACTAAATAAGGCACCAGAAACCAATCCCAAAGAGACAGAGGTATGTGACCTTTCAGACAGAGAACTCAAAATACCTGTTTTGAGGAAGTTCAATGAAATTCAAGATAACACAGAGAAGGAATTCAGAATTCTATCAGATAAATTTAACAAAGAGATTGAAATAATTAAAAAGAATCAAGCGGAAATTCCGGAAGTGAAAAATGCAATTAATACACTGAAGAATTCATCAGAGTCTCTTAATAGCAGAATTGATCAAGCAGAATAATTAATGAGCTTGAAGACAGGCTATTTAAAAATACATAGAGGAGACAAAAGAAAAAAGAATAACAAACAATGAAGCACACCCACAAGATGTAGAAAATAGCCTCAAAAGGGCAAATCTAAGAGTTACTGGCCTTAAAGAGGAGGTAGAAAAAAGAGACAGGGGTAGAAAGTTTATTCAAAAATAATAATAACAGAGAACTTCCCAAACCTAGAGAAATATATCAATATCCAAGTACAAGAACGTTATACATCACCAAGCAGATTTGACCCAAAGATGACTACCTCAAGGAACTTAATAATCCAACTCCCAAAGGTCAAGTATAAAGAAAGGATCCTAAAAGCAGCAAGAGGGAAAAAACAAATAACATACAAAGGAGCTCCAACACATCTGGCACCAGACTTCTCAGTGGAAACATTTTGGGGGTCCAGGGGACCTTCCCAGCACTTCTTAAATTATACCATTATGACACATGTGATTCCATATCCTGGCAAAAACCCAAAGAAGAGTCATCACTTTATCTGATTTGTGGATATGTCCCATAATGTTCTATAGATACCCAATGTAATTCTTGATACTTGTGATAACAGAGGATGGTCAATTTGACAAATGCTGAGATCAGAAAGCAATAGAGTTGAGGGCTTAGAAGCCAGGTTACCTGGCTTTAAGTTCAGATTCTTATCCATTCTGTAATCTTGGGCAAGATAAGCCACCTTTCTAAGCCTTGGTTTCACCCATTGTAAAATGCAGGTAGTAACACTGTATATCTCATAGTGTTGTTGTTGCAGATCAAATTACTTCATACATGCAAAGCACCTGAAACACTGCCTGGAATGTACTTAGTCTTCCATAAATGTTGGCTGTTACTCTTAGCAGTTCTGACAAAAAACTATCCGTCAAAAATCTGTTGTTCAAGAGTTTGATTTCAGTACTTGTGTCTGCATAACATATCACTGTAAAACAAATGTATTACCATTCTTTATAATTTCATGAGTTGACTGGGATCAGATGGGTGGTTTTCCTGCTGGTCTTACTTGGGGTCTCTCATGTGGTTGCAGTCACATGATGGCAGGGGCTGGAGTATTTGGAGGCTTGACTGTACTGCGACTGTACTCCCAGATGAGCTCTTTCCTAACCTGTCTGGTGCCTCAGTGCTCCACCACATGGCTTTACTCTCCACAGAGCTCATCCTCCAAGGCTCTCCATGGGGCCTATCCTTCGGCGGCATACTTGGACTTATCACATGGTAACTAGCTTCTAAGAACACAGGAGCAGAAGCTGCTAATCCTTTTTAATGCTTAGGTTCAGAACTGTCAGCATCACTTCTGCCCCATTCTACTGGCAAGTCACAAGGCCATCCAGCTTCAATATGGGAGGGAGGGCACTAGAGAAGAACATTAGAAGAGGGAGGCAGGGCTCACTGGGGGTGGTTTTCAGTGACAGCAGCTACAGTTGGCATGTGGGAGTATGAAGAGTGTGTTACACCCAAAATGAAAGGACAGGTAAGGTGTGAGTATCAATAACTGAAGTGAACACAAACCAAGACTTGTGGTATAAATAGATCCAAGCAGGGGTAGGCCTGGCAGATGGTTGGCAGAACTCCATGCCAGTGGTTGGTAACAAAAGATGGTGAAGGTAGCTACCAGAGGAACTGGAGATCTTGATCACAGAAGACAACCTCTGAGTCCTAGAGTACCACAGACAGAAAAACCATTACCAAAGAACCACAAAGAAGTGACCATGGACAGGATAGGATGTAACCAACCAGGCCCTGGGCAATGGAGTGACATGCTGGCAACAGGAGGAGCAGACTCAAGGGCTTGATGCTGAGTGAGGGCAGCCTTCTTATCACACTGTGCTTAGAATCAGGATTGTTCAGAGATTCTGTAAGAGCATTAAGTGCGCTGTTTGGGATTCGGACAAGAGTGAAGAAGCAGCTAGAGCCAGGCCAGTCATCACACCTTTGGGCGCTGCAGAGTTATGAATATTTCCATTTGCATATCCACTTGCCCAAGGCTTACTTTGCATACAGACCTGCTCACCTACCCCTCTAAAGGAACTTTCCAAAAGAGAAAACAATGAATAAATTTGCTCTTCCTCTCGAAGTGATAAGGATTGGACCCCACTGACCTCCACTTTCACATCATCTCACACCTGATTTATTCTGATTAATAATAAGTGGTTCCCCCACTCCCAGTGTTCTCCCTGCTTCCATCTGACTGTACCCTGCTCTCCTATTAACCTTCTGGAAGCATTGTCTTTGTTTTCATGCTCCACAAATATTTAAATATTTTGTACTGTCTACGTAAGTTCAAACACCTTGGGCTGTCATTCATGAAACCCTAGGCCTTTGTCTGTGAAGAATGGGGTGGAGTTGGAGGATGGCAGAAGTAAAACCCACAGATACCAGTAGGGATTGCATTCTGGCTTTATAAAACCTCAAAAGGGACAAGAACAGCATAGACCAGGAAACAGCTGGATGTTGTTCTTTCAGAAAGAATATGGAAATAAACCAAGGGGGTCTGTTTGATCATCGAACAGACCAAGGGGGTGACAACTGGTCAGCAGCCTGCAGGGGTGAAACATCTGCTAGGTCTGAACCAAAGGGATCCCAGAAATTTGTTATCTTCCCTATTGGAAGAGTCCATCATCACCTCAAAGCAATTGCTGCTTCTTGTAAAGCCACTCAACAAGTCACAGGCGTAGGCATGGCAGGTGATTGGCAGAACTCCATGCTAGTGGTTCACTTAGAACAGTCATCCATGCATAGTGTCTGGGTTCTCGGTCCCAATGTTTTCAATCCATCATATTCTACAAGTTTTTCTCTGTGCCTGCACCACAGATTATGCAATTTCCTTTATCTACACCTGTGTAGAGATGAGGAGGTTTTTCCATTTCTCCATGTTGGAGGTTCGTTGAATTGAATTAACCTGTTACAGATTTGGACTCAGAAAGAGGAAAAAAAGGAAATTGTCTAGAAGCATTAAACTCTGAGGCTTCCACTGATCTCTCAAGCCAGTTTTAAGTAACTACATTATATTGATATAATAATATCAGTGGATAACAAAATATTCTCTTCACATTATCTGGACCTTTTCTTCTAGATACCAGGGTCCCAATCCATGTAGACAGAAGTTCATGTTGTGCTGTGCTGGACTTCCTTTAGCAAGGCATTTATTTTCACTACCAAGTAAAGTTTGATTTTATTTTAGTAGGTTTAAAAATATTATTTTTAATAATCTTCCCAAAGTAAATGAGTGTATATTTCAATAGTAACAGGGCATTTGTTGCATCATTTTGTTTTTAATATACTGTGAAGATAAACATTTCAGATGAATACCATATTTATAAAATGTCTAAAGAAATGTAAGCAAATTGTTTTTGAAATTGTTTATAAATATTAGGAGTTTTAAGCATATGTGGTGCTAAGTAATATTGACATGTCTGGGAAAATGTGCAAAATAGAAGGCAAATAAGGCAGCTACTCACTCCCCAAATTCACTTACCCACAAGCAAAATAAATTATTTGAGAAAAAAAATTTGATGAAATTAGTGAGGCCACCAGTGACATTTAAAACACGTATTTAAATACAAATCTGAATCAAGTTAAGCAGCGAAAAAAACCTCGACCCCTATACTATGAAAGGCAGGAAAGAAAAAGAACACAGGCATTTGTTAGTACAAGAATTACTGTTGAGGGTGGAAATTCTTTCTGGAGATTATAAAAATATGGTAATAACAGATTTGATGTCATATTTTTTCCTAAGGACTGAGGGGTACAGTTGATTCCTTAAGTAGTCGGGCAGCTTGTGGATTCTATTGACATAATTCAGTCCTGTATTGAGTTTCAAATATCTACTGTTCCCAAATGTTCAGTGTCTAAGTTCCTGAGACTTTCCTCTCAGGATCTCTCCAGTATTCAGCAGTAATATATCAAGTGTTCATCTTCAAGTGTATCAGCAGCCATTCAATCATTTTTCCAAAGAAATTGATCAAATATCAGAAACAGTAGAATTCCCAGATTGTTTTCTCTTCC
Source organism: Homo sapiens (assembly GCF_000001405.40). Lineage (NCBI taxonomy): Eukaryota > Metazoa > Chordata > Mammalia > Primates > Hominidae > Homo > Homo sapiens. The sequence goes on from NC_000002.12 coordinate 158,159,533, forward strand.
TAGGTCAGACTTCATCATTTCTAGGATTTGTTTGAAGTCTTTAAAAATTTTATAACTTAGACTTTCCTCCTGACTTCTCCCGGCAAAGTATTGGTCTTAACAAGTTTCTATTTTCTTCCCCATGTCGTTTACCTTCAAAGTGGCTTCATATTTTATCTTTGAGTCCTGAACACAGAACACAGAGGTAAAATATAGCTATGCTAGATTTTAAGAGATGATGAAGCTGTTTTAATGAGGGCAAAATAAAACCTATGGAAGTACAGCCTCCATAAAAAATAACTAAATACACATCAAATGTAGAAAGCCCCACGCTTTCTATGATTTTTACAATTACTAGGACCATATAAATCATAGGAATTTGGGTGTGGGAAAGTGGGCTGAGCTCTTTGGAGGGAAAGAAGGTCATTTTTATAGTTAGCCTTTCTGTAGTGCAGAAATCTTTGCTGTGAAAAACGGTACTCAGCAATTAAAGTGAGGTTAAAAAGAAACTGAAATGTTCTCTTCTTCCTATTTTCAGAAAAGAGTGGAAATGGTAGTTGGGACAGTTGCAGAGATGGAGGGATTATCTACAGAGGGCATGAGGCTGTGGTTGGTGCATCAGAGGAAATGAAAAAAGAGCAGTGGTGTGTCATTGCATCCATAGTAGCAAATATTGAAACCTACTGAAGCTAATTTAAGTAGGAAAGCAATATTTTATGGGTGTTAGGTAGTTCTTAGAATTTCTGGAAAGGCCAGAAAGTTATTGTTTGAGGCTATCCAACTGGAGAAGATGCTCAACTCTCATGAGGAAATGGCCCCACTGAAGACCCACTGCTGCTGTGTCCCCTGCACCTTCGCCCACATCAGTTACCCTGAGAACTAAGAACCAGATACTATAAATTATGCAACTATTGTTCCTTGAAGCTGAAATCTTCCACTGCCACTCGTCAGAAAGTGGATTCTTGCCTTATCACATAGCTGTCTTATGAACTGCAGTCTCAGATGGTTACATCTGATAGGCAGAGAATATATCACAAGATATTGGGGAAATTGAATCTCTAGCTTCTACTCTGGAAGACAGAGGCATAATGCGGGACATTGCCCAAATGTGAGAATGGCAAATATATTCCATCAGCAAATGTCCTCCAACAGCAGTATGGTTCCAGTGTAGGAGACAGGAAGTCAAGAAGTTTGATAGATTAAATGTTACAAATGAGAGAAAATGGAGCATCATGAATGACTCCCAGATTTCAGGTTTGCATAATGTGGTAGATGGTGTGGGCATGACTGAGATGAAGTGGGTTTGAGGAAGGAGCATGTTTAGTACAGGAAAGGCAGTCAGAATCAAGAGTTCATTTTTGGTGAATTCTAGGAAGATGACAGCATAAGTGGCATAATATTTTGAATCTCCTTAAATCAGCCTATAAAAAGAAACAGAGCAAATAGGATAACAAAGCCAAATACCCATGGAGATCATCCTTAAAAATAGGTGACAGTGGTTGGGTGTGGTGGCTCATGCCTGTAATCCCAGCACTTTGGGAGGCTGAAGCGGGCATATCACGAGGTCAGGAGATCAAGACCATCCTGGCCAATGTGGTGAATGCTCATCTCTATTAAAATACAAAAAATCAGCCCAGCATGGTGGCACACACCTGTAATCCCAGCTACTTGAGAGGCTAAGGCAGGGGAATTGCTTGAACCCAGGAGGCAGAGGTTGCAGTGAGCTGAGATCACACCACTGCACTCCAGCCTGGCAACAGAGCAAGACTCCATCTCAAGAAAACAAGGAAAAAATAGGTGACAGTATATTTCCATAGACTGTAAAATATGAGTGGATGAGGAGTAACCACTGACACCAGTAAGAACTGCATTTTATCAGTACCTTTGCAGGACGAACCAGAGAAAAACAAGGGGCATCAGATGAACTTGAGAACCCTAAAATATCCAAAAAGTACTCACTGGAAATTTTATCTGAAGCTGAGAGGAGTTTCACACCCTCTAATAAGGGGTAAGTTAAAGGAGTTTGCATTAAAGTCTGAAGGGACCAGAGAAGTCTGGGCTCCATGAACTCCCAAACTAACTCATCAAAACTTACTTTGAGGGCAAAGAGTCCAAATGAGGAGAAACTGTAGCAAGGAGACGCCCATTTGAGCAGCACAGAGACAACAGCATTAAAGGAAAGGGAAGGTCCAGATAAAAGTAAGGGAAAACATATTTCCAGAAAATAAGCTTCCAAATTTTTTGAACATTGCACAAATATAACAAAACAGAGAGCTCTAGAGCCATGAGGTTAGAGAAACTATCTTGAACAACAACTACTTCTAAAAATTAAGAAAGCTAATTTCAAGTGTAAATGAGGAAACGAAGTATCAGATCTTAAAATTAACATCAGACAACAGATCAAGAAGCCAAGTAACATTCCTAAAATAATTAATGCACATTAGAAAAACATTACCACAAAAGAGATTAAAATTATAACCTAAAAAATAAAATAAAAAGCTAAACAACTATGAAAATGATACATGAAATGAAATTAATCAGAATTAGGAACACTCAAAAATTAGGTAATATATCTCTGGAAATATTATAAATAAAAGAAAAATATTTTAGAAATGAAGAGTAAACTAGAAGAACAAATGAATAAAAGCGCAACAGATAATACCTTAAAAATAGGAAGTAAGAAATATAAAAATTTAAAAATAAAAGCAAAGAGCAAATGAAAAACATTCTATTTTGTTTAAAATGACACTGTGTTCTTCAAAAATGTCAGTTTCATCTTCAATAAAATACCAGCAAACTGAATTCAGCAGCATATTAAAATGATTATATGCCATGAACAAAAGATACTTATTCCTGGAATTCAAGGATGATTCAACATACAAAAATCTATCAGTGTAATACTCCAGATTAATAGAACAAAGGAAATAAAGTCACACAATCATCTCAATTGATGCAGAAAAGGCATTTGACAAAATTCAACACTGCTTTGTGATTTAAAAAGAACATTTGACAAATCAGGAATTAAAGGAGATTTCCCAACATGATAAAAGCCATCCATATATGAAAAACCCCCTGATAACATCATGACAGTTTTTCAGAGCAATTAGGCAACAGAAAGAAATAAAAGCATCCAAATTGGAAAGAAAGAAGTAAAATGATCATTTGCAAATGACATGATCTTCTATGTAGAAAACCTTAAAGATTACACACTTACACAAACTGTTAGAACCAATAAGCAAATTTAGCAAAGTTGCAAGATACAAAGTCAACACACAAAAGTCAGTTGTGTTTCTGTACACTAACAATGAGCAATTCAGAAAGGAAAACAACTCCATTTACAATAACATCAAATGGAATAAAATACTTATGAATTAACTCAACCAAAGAGATAGAAGACCTGTACAATGAAAAATACAAAATATTGCTGAAAGAAATAAAGGAGACATAAATAAATGGAAAGATATCCTATGTTCATAGATTGGAAGACTTAATATTTTTAAGATGTCTATATTACCCAAAGCCATCTAAAGATTTAATGCACTCCCCATTAAAATCCCAATGGTGTTGTTTTGCAGAAATATTTTTTAAATTCTAAAATTTGTATGGAATTCAACAAACCCTGACTAGCCAAAAAAACTTGAAAAAATAAGAACAAAACAATAGTGAAAAAGATCAAAGTTGAAGGACTTCCTGATTTCAAAACGTACTACAAAGTTACAGTGATCACACTAATGTCTTTAGGTTAGTGTGGTACTAGTCTAAAGACAGACAGACCAATGGAATAGAATAGAGAGCTCAGAAACAAGCCCTCGCATATATGGTCAACTGATTTTCAACAAGGGTGACAAGACCATTCAATTAAAAGGACAGTCTTTTAAACAAACAGTGCTGAGAAAACAATATCCACATGCAAAAGGATGAAATTGGATTCTTACTGTATACAAAAAATAAAGTGGATGAAAGCTCTAAATGTAGGTACTAAAACTATAAAACTCTTATAAGAAAACATGGAGGAAAAGCTTCATGACATTGGGTTTGGCAATGAATCTTTGGATATGACAGTAAAAACACAGCAATAAAAGAAAAAATAAATTGGACACTGATATTAAAAACTTTTGTACATCAGAGGATACTATCAACAGGATAAAAAGGCAACCTACAGAATAGGAGAAAATATTTGGAAATGATATATATCTGATAAGGCATGAATTTCTGGAATATGCGGAGCTCCCCTACAACACAACAACAACAAACCAATCCAATTCAAAAATGGGCAAAGGGCTTGAATAGACATTCCTCCAAAGAAGATATACAAATGACCAAAAAGCACCTAAAAAATTCTCACCAACACTAATCATTAGGAAAATGCAAATCAAAATCACAATGAGATACCAATTCACACCATTGAAATGGCTATGATAAAAAAACAAACAAACAAACAAAACAGAAAATAACAAGTGCCAGCAAGGATATAGATAAATTGGAACTCTTGTGCATTGCTAATGGGAATGTAAAATGGCAAAGCCACTGTGGAAAATAGCATGGCAGTTCCTCAAAATCTTAAACATAAAATTACCATATCATTTACCAATTTCACTTGAGTATATTCTCAAAATAATTAAAAGTAGTGGTTTGAACAGATATTTGTACATCAATGTTTATAGCACTGTTATTATAGCCAAAAGGTGAAAACAATCCAAATGTCCTTTGACAGATGAATAGATAAAAAAAATTTATATATATATATATACACACACACAATGGGATGTTTTCAGCCTTAAAAAGGAATGAAATTCTGATACATTCCACAACATGGATGAACCTTGAAAACATTATGGTAAGTGAAATAAGTCACACATAAAAGGACAAGTATTATATGATTCTGCTTATATGAAGTACCTAGAATAGACAAATTCATAGAGAAAAAAATTAGAATAGTGGTTACCAGAGGCTGAGGGGAGGAGGTGTATAGTTTTTGTTTAATGGGTTCAGAGTTTCAGGTTGAGATGATGAAAAAGTTCTGAAGATGAATAGGGGTGATTGTTGCACAACAATGTGAAAATACTTAATGCCACTTAACTGTATGCTTAAAAATGGTTAAAATAGTAAATTTTATATTATGTATATTTATCACGATAAAAAGTCAATGTCTTGAAAGACAACAAAGGCTGTAGAAATGAATCAAATTAAAGAAGAACACAAAAGCAATTTAAAAGTTGAATAAAATGTTAACAATGGGAGAATCTGGGGTAAAGTTACAACAATTTTATTCTTGCGGCTATTCTATAAAGTTATTTCCAAATAAAAAAAGTTTTTAAAAATGAAGAAAGAGATTAAAAGAATTCAAAACAAAGTGACAAATAAAGACTACAGACAAAGAAGATCCAACATAGCATAATAGCATAATAACAGTCCTGGGGAAAAAAGGAAACATAACAAACACTAAAAATTATAATTTTACAAAATTCCTGAAATAAAATTGAATTTATATTGTGAAAGGGAATATAATTTACTAAGTATATTAACCCAGAATGACAAACACAAAGTCCAGTAAAACTGCTATATTATAAAGGAAGTGAAAAAAACTCTAATTAGGCAAAAAGATCAAGTGATTCTTAGGGAAAGAAAACCATGTTATAGCCAGCCCTTTGACATTTTATGCTAAGAAAAGAAAATGTAAATAAAGTATCTTAGACCCAGGAAAAATTTATTTTCAACTATAAAGACGACCATCAACCTGTTATTAACATTCAAGGACCCAGAAAATATTGCTTCCATGACTAATTCCTAAATAATCTTCTGGAAAACAGGCTTCAGACAACCTAAATGACAAGAGAGAAATTGACATTAAAAACTGGCAGTATTGGTAAATATATATTTACTAATAGAATAAGATTCAATCATGGATAAAAGAGAGTGTGTATAATGTCTACACAGTCCCTCGCAATATAGATAACAAAAAGAAAAAGAATAGAAAAGGCATAATAACCCCAAATTTTATTATTTTTGTTTTTATTATATTGGTATTTTATTCTAAGACTTTTGTGTGGATAATGTAAATGAGTAATTATGTCATATTCTAACATCCGTGTGTAATTGGGCACCAGAATTGTCAGTAAGGAAAAAAGAAAATACAAAAGTAACATACAAGATATCAAGTGAAAATCCTATGGAATTTGAAGTAACAGAATAAATAAAAAAAAATTTTATCTTTAGATAATATAAGCGTATGTCTGGATTTGTTGGGTTTTTTTTGTTTGTTTTTGAGGCGGAGTCTTGTTCTCTCACCTAGGCTGGAGTGCAGTGGCACGATTTCGTCTCACTGCACCCTCTGCCTCCTGGGTTCAAGTGATTCTTGTGCCTCAGCCTACTGAATAGCTGGAATTACAGGCGCTCTCGACCACACCTTATTAATTTTCATATTTTTAGTAGAGACAGGGTTTCACCATGTTGGCCATGCTGGTCTTGAACTTCTAGCCTCAAGCGATCCACCTGCCTTGGCCTCCCAAAGTGCTGGGATTACAGGTGTGAGCCACTGCACTTGGCCTGTTTTGTATATATGTCTGTACATGTATATGTATATGTGTATGTATATGCATATGTATGGGAGTGTGTGTGTGTGTGTGTGTGTGTGTGTGTGTATTTTCTAACCATGCTCATTGAAAAGGTCTAGAATAGAAGATCAACCTAGTAGCAATGTGTATTCTTTGTCTCCAAATTTTGGTTTTGAAATACGATTTTCCAATAAAAAGAACCAAAGCTTCTCAGAGAAAAGGTTAGTTCCAGGTCAGAGCAAGAAATATTCAAAATGAGCTTAAAACATCTTGTTATGCCCGATAACAAACATGACAGATTTCAAAAAGTGGCTGCAAAAATATTTCCTATTTCACATACTTTTTTCCAATGTGACCTTGCCATCAATAAGTGGACTTTTTCTCAGCCTTTTTTAATCTGGGAGAGTTCTATGACTGCTTTGATGAAAAGAGTATGGAGGAAAAGACCCTATCCCAGTTCCAGCAGTAGATCTTAACTGGTCTAGCAGCTTGCATTTTATACCTCTTAGAATGTTTGCTCTTGGAAAATTCTATCTTGGAACCCAGCTACCATTCTATGAAAAGCCAAGCCATCTTGAGAAGTCATGTGTAGGTGGTCGGTCCCATTGACAACCTCAAATGAGCTGCCAGCCAACAACCAGCATCAACTGCCAGTCAGGTAAGTGAGTCCTCTTGGTCATTCAGCCAAGTTGAGCTTTTGGATGACTACGTCCTCAACTAGCAATTGACTACAAATTTATAATATACCCCGTGGTAGGCAGAAAATGTCTCCCAAAGATGTCAATTTCCTAATCTCCATAATCTGTGAATGTTATGTTACATGGCAAAGGGTATTCTGATCGCTAATCACCTGACCTTAAAATAGGGAGATTATTCTGAATTATCAGAGTGGGCTTAATGTGATCACAAGAGTTCTGAGCAGTGGAAGAGGGAGGCAAAAGAGGAGTGTGGAGTGCTGGGATGTCAGAAGGATTAGGCCTGCCACTGCTAGCTTTGAAGATAAAAGAAAGACAGCATGAGCTAAGGACTATAGGCAGCTTCTAGAAGCTGGAGAAGGCAAAGAAACCGATTATCTCCTAGAGCCCTGAGAAAGGAATACAGCCCTGTCAACACTGTGATTTTAGCCCAATGAGATTAAATTCTGATTTTTGACCTTCCAAAACTATAAGATAGATTTACATTGTTTAAACCATTAAATTTGTGGTAATTTGTTACAGCAGTGATAGGAAATTAATATAGGCCCCAAGTGAGAACTACCCAGTAGAGCCCAGTCGACTCATAGAAACATGAGAAATAATTTTTAAAAATGAAGTTTGAACCACTAAGTTTTACTGCATAGCAATAGATAACTGGAATAGCAAGGAAGTTACCAAGTCTATTAGGCTATCTGAATAGAATTCATAAGCCAAACTGAAAAGGTTTCCATTAGGCAAAGGGGGAATAAATGGAGCATCAATAAGGATAACACTTTAATAGAGTAAATGATCAAATACATTTAAATTCATAACTTCATAAAGATACAACAAAATTGATCACCTTTGCAGGATGTCAAAGAATAAATTCATTATTTGTAAAACTGTTAGGTTAAAAAAAAAACTCAAACACTTAGCCTACTCCTCTTATACTATCAAATACCAGAAGAGGAAAATTTTTTTCTTTATGTAATTTTTCCAGTAACAAAGGAAAGAGTGATTGAATTTGAATATATCTCTACCATGCAATCTGTAAGTAATTAATGGACTTAGGCATTGAGAATTAGTGGCAGCAAAAATTGCAAAAAGAAGTTCCATCCGATAACATGCATATCCTGCTGGGGGAACACACCACCACAATAAAGTAGCCTTGGAAAAAAGAAAAGAAGAGAACGACCTGAGTCTTATGTCTGATAAAGCCTCTGGGTCAACTACCAATTTATGGCAAACACAAAGAACAAAGGAGAGAGGAATACATTAAACTATTAGTACACCAAAAAGATAAAGTCAACAAAATCCAGCATAGGGAATTCTGCATATAAATTTCTTTGTTTCTTCAATAAATAAAATGCAAACAGGGAAAATGGATGGAGGGGGAAGCCTGTAGATTAAAAAACACTTAAAAGACATAATTTAAAGCTAAAACTAAAGTACAGCATTGAAGGATGTCCCCTTGGATAATACAATTAAAAAGATAGAGTTAAAGGGTCTAATCCTGGAGCACTTCAACATCTGGAGATGGATAGAGATGGAGGAGTCAGAAAAGGAATTGAGGAATGACCAGAGAAGCAAGAGGTGAAGCAGGCTGGTATCATAGAGGCCAAGAGAAAAGCATGCTCTGGATGGGGTAGTTGTCAACTGAATCAAATGTTGTCATGAAGTCAATAAGATGAAAATTGAGAAGTGGTCATCAGATTTGCCAGCACACAGTTCATTGGTGACCTTGCTAAAAGCAGTGTCAGAGGAGTTGAGGGCAAAGCTAAATCAAATGAGTGACAGTAACTGGAAGATGAAAAGAGACATTTAATGGCTATTGGCAACTCTTTAAAAATGTTTGCTTGAGAAGAGGAGCAGAGATACAGCCTGGTAGCTAGGGGACAATACGGGGTTAATGGAGATTTCTTTTTAAAGTGGAGTTTATTCTAGCATATTTGTATGCTGAGAGAGAGCTTGAAGATATAGAAGAGAAAAAGAATAAACAAAAAAGAAAAATTCTTGCAGAGTTGAGATGGGATGAAACCCAAAACACACATGGAAACATTGGTCTCTGATAGAGGGAGGGTTTCTCCCTCTGCTAGAGGATGCAAAAGTAAATGCCCATTTGGGTGTATTTGCAGATTTGGTGGTAGGGAGGTAAGGGAATTTCTACTAGATGGATTACATTCTTTCCTTTCAGTTTGAAACAAGCCCATCGTCTTCAAAGATGTGGAGCTGTATCAGGATATCCCATTTATTAACCATGGGATTGAGGGTAGTGGTTTTTAAATTTTTTTTGGACCATTACCCACTAATAAATATATTTTTCTTATGACCCACTATACAGAAACACAGATAATTGAAATAAACTTTCATGGCCCAGTGCTTACTCCTATTAGGTATGTTCTCTTTTCTTTCTTTTTCAAGCCTGCTAGGCAAACTAGACTGGCAAGAGCCACAACCTTTTGAAGCAGAGCACAAGGGTTGGGGAGGAGGAAAATAAAGGGGATCCTATCCCATGTCAGGGTAAATATGACTCCCGAGCAGGGACTGGCCTTCCTGTCTCAGAAATACATGTAAATTAAGGATATTAAATCAGAAACTGGCTAACAAGATTATTTCCAATACACTTATATGCTAAAAGATTGTTTTCATAATTTTCTAAATTTTTTTCATTTCATTGGGAATTCATAGCATTGACCTATTATAGTATATAAGTAAAACACTTATGTAAACATTAAAGAATAATTAGACAGATCCTCTAATCACTACCCTGGTTAAGCAATAAAACGTTTTCAGTAACTTGGAAGCCCCTACTCCCAACTGTCTCTGCATCTCTGAGAGGTAATCATAACCTTGATTTTAATTTTAATCATTCTATTTTTCTCTATTATTTTGCCACTTATGCATATATCCCTAAATAATATAGGTTAGTTTGCCCTGCTTTTGTACCTTAGATAAATAAAATACTACACAGTATGCATGCTCTTGTTTCTGGCTCCTTTCACTAAATATGTCCATGGTGCTATTTTTATTCATTTTCATTGCTGGATGCAATTCGTATTTGAATACACCACATTTTTTATATTTATTTACTGTTGATGAACATTCTGCTTGTTTTCATTTGGGAATCCTAGTTTATGTCCTCCTACACACATGCAGGAGCTTCTCAAGAGCATCTATCTAGCAGTAGAATTGCTGGATCAGAGTATGAATGCTTTCAACCTTATCAGATAAGTTCAAATGCTTCCAATTTACACTCCCACTACCAGTAGGTGTTTCCCATCGTTCTATATTATCACTACATGATATTGTTAGATTTCTTGACATTGTTGCCCATCTGGTGGGTATATATTGATAATTCATTGGGGGCTTTAATTGGTACTTCTATCTTTTCATATGTTCATTAGCCATTTGGATTTCAGATTTCTTTATTCAATTTTGTTTTATTTTAAAAAATGCTGGTTAGATCTGATCTTTGACAAACCTGAAAAAAAATGGGGAAAGGATTCCTTATTCAATAAATAGTCCTTGGAGAACTGGCTAGCCATATGCAGAAAATTGAAAGTGGACTCCTTCCTTACATCTTTTACAAAAATGGACTCAAGATGGATTAAAGATGTAAATGTAAAACCCCAAACCATAAAAACTCTAGAAGAAAATCTAGGCAATACCGTTCAGGATAAAGGCACAGGCAAAGATTTCATGATGAAAATGCCACAAGCAATTGCAGCAAAAGCAAAAATTGACAAATGGATCTAATTAAACTAAAGAGCTTCGTACAGTAAAAGAAATTATCATCTGAGTGAATACAGAACCTACAGAATGGGAGAAATTTTTTGCAATCTATCCATCTGACAAAGGTCTAATACCCAGAGTCTACAAGGAACCACCACGTGTCAGTTGATTGTTCTCAAAATGGTGGTGCTATCCCTCACAGTACTATCACCAGCTACTAGTCTGACTGTTGGGAAAACGTAAAGGGGATACTATTCAGCTGGAATTTGAGTGTGATCCTCTGGACATCAGTGTGGATGTTGATGTTGGAAAGGATCTGTGGACTCTGAGGAATATTGGTGTCATGCTGTTTAGAGAGGGTATGCTCTGACATGGCAGGGCTTTCTTGGGTCTATGTCTGAGGCGTCACATCAAGCAAACTGAGGACCCATAAAGGAAAACTGTAACCCTGGGAGATACTGTAAGGATAAACACTAATGCTCACTACTCTCTAGCTCTTGTTAAACACTCCTTCCTCTCTTTTTATGAGATGTTATGACGAGGCAACAAAAAGGGTGTTAGAATGAATTTTGGAATGCAGATAAAGATATTGCCCATAGAATCTTTTGTGAAGATTTATTCTAACGGGACTGTACTTGTATTTTTTATTTCCATGATGTTGGGGACAATCATAAAGTCAAAGATTCCACTAGTTGGATTGGGCTTTTTTTTTTTTACATTATTCCAGTAATTGCACAGAGGCTGCAACCCCTGGGAGGTAGGTGGGAAATGTCAGGGAGCTGCAATAGACAGAAAAAGGAGTGGGGTAATCTTAACTGTAACAATGGCAACTTTCAACAACACTAACTTGTTATTCTGCTTGAAAAATTATTTTTTAGAAATAGTCAAATATTTATGTTTGAGTTTTATTTTAAATGCTCCTTTTCTATAAAATCATCTAAATATTTAATAGATAATTTGGAATTTTTGACAGCATTCCAAATATTATGAAATTTTAAATATTTCTTCTAAACAATCACACAAATATATATATTTCCAAACCAAAACAGATATTCCCATGCTTGAAATGCTATTTCTAATTTCTAATTTATTCTTAAGGGCTAATTTGCAAAATGAAATTGTTTGGATGATTGGTTTGCAGTAAACATGGTGTACCAAATTGGTTTCTAAATTTAGAGAAAGGTTGAGTCTCCTCTTATAATAATCAAGAAATAATAGAAGTATTAATGATAATGAAGCTTCCATAATTAAAAAGTCAAATTCTGAAATAACAAGCAGAAATGAACATTAGCAGGTAGCAGCTACATAATTTATAATTCTCACAAAGTTATTTTGAGCTCTTTTTATAGGATAACATAACCTCCAACATGTAGTTTACTAAATTATAGTATAAGTACTATATGTGCCATAATTAAGTTCCATAATTTGGGGGAATTTAGTACTATTAAATATAACTTAAAGATACAGGAAATATAGTGCATAAAATTCTAAGAATCACAAAAGAAAGGCAAAGTTGTTTTAATAGATGCTATGATTTCTATGTCTGATATTTCAAACATTTTAGAAAGTAGTAATTATTATTATCCATATACATGTTTTCAAAGAAAAATGCTCTTTACATATAGAATTTGAGGATGAGCTCTATATTTTAAATACAGTAGACTCCATGTCCTTTCTTGGAGGTTTTTGAGGACTAATTTTTGGTAATATCTCTTTAGCATAAAGTGTTCTATGAAGTCCAGCTTCTCGAAGTGCTAACTCGAAGCGAAGTCTAGGGTCAGAAATTATCTGTAGAAATAAAAATACAATTTAAATAACAATTCATTGAACTAAAATAACTTTTAACATTTAGTTCCATGTTTTCCCAAACTAATTTGTTTTTACTGGACAGATGACTAGGTGACAGTAAACTGTGAATACAGTGACTATATTTTGGAAACATCTAAACCTTTTTGACATTATCACTTTTCAGTACATCAGTGGTTTCCCATGTAGGGTATATAGAACATAGTGTACTAGATTAGTCAAAATATAATGCGTTAAAATTATTAAAAGATGAAGTAAAAGAAGCTTACTTTCAGTGCTACTATTGATTTATCACTTATTGCTGGCTGGAATTATAAAATACAGATAATCATTGATTAAAATAAATCTAAGCCACAAAAAAAGCATCTTAATTTCTCCATCATCTGGCAATATGTAAATTAAGTTTAAACACATGGCCACCACTTGAAAAACAAAATCAATAGAACTTTTCTTCCAAGGCTGGATTTCTATTTCAAACAGAAGTAGAAAATGCCTCCATCGATCTGATTCTAAGTGGAAGTAGACATATGAGTAGTTCAACTTCTGTTTTCATTTATAGCTGATTGGATCTTATTCCTCTTCCCCTCCTCCTATGAATATTAAATGTCAACAGAGACTGTTTGAAATGATAAGAAGGTGGCCACATATGGATTTTACCTAATGAGGCATTTTACATGGATTTGAAGTCCCCCTAGAGGATGTGATAATAAGCTAGTAAAAGCAGCCCCTCCAGGAGCTCTTAGGCGAACTGGGGCAATAAAAATGTACACAGATAACTACAGATTATGGCAACATGTGGCAGATGCCCTAAAAGTAGTAAAACATGGGGGTGCATCTCCTGGTGGTGGCGGCATGCGGATGGTCTCAGGTGAAGATGAGCAATTGAACTACCCTTAAAGTCCAACTTAGTCTATAAAGCAGACTGGGGAGGAAGAGAGACCTAATGAGAAAGGAAGACACCTACAAACTCAGAGGTGAAATAGGCCAACTTGGGATAAGGGTGGTTTGAGCAGAGTACTGGTTACCATTGAGGAACACTGGAAACAGATGCTTCTCAGACTAGGACTTGAACTTAAAAGGCTTGCATGGCCATGCCGAGTCTAAGGAGCTACTAGGGTATGTTTGTTTCTAGTTTTTGCATAAAAATAATATAATCATTGTAGTTGCATAGGAAGATGGGTCTGATTGTAAGTTCAGAATAAATTAAGGTGGCAGGGAAAGAAGAAATGGAGGCCGAGAGAGTGGTTAGGAATTTACTACAATTGTCTAGACATAAAGTAATAAATGTCTGAACTTGGCTGGTAGCAAGGAAGAGATAATTGTCAGAAACACTATGAAAACAAGAATCAATAGCACTTGGCAGTTGATCAGATACAGGGCTTGGGGCAACGATGAGTATGAAGTCAAGAATAATACAGAGATTTGTGTCTGAGAAGCAATAAATATGAGCCTAAGACCCAGGTTTTTCCTCTTCTGTCTCAATGTCTTCTCCCTGGTCTGCTCTCATGTGCTCCAGTGATTCATGTGCAACCTGTATGCCATTGACTCCCAAATTACATCTAGGACTCACCTCTCTTTTCAGTTCCATGTTGTGAGGCTTAAATTTTTTTTTATTATTCAATTTTTGCATAGCTAGAGAGTGAAATGGAGATCTCCCCTCTACCGGAACTTCCATCTTCCCAATTCCCTTCCCCACAGGCAGCCCATCAGTTTCTTGTAAATATGTACTAGATATTTTTACCCTAAACATGGTATAAGTAAAACAAATTCTCTCTTTCCCTAAATCTGTTTTTCTTTCTGTATTCTTAAATGGTTAATGGCAGCACCACCAGATGATTATAATTTACTGAATTACTACTGGGTACCAAGAAATATTTTAGGCAGTGGACATTTATTATCTCTAATGCTCACAAGGACTTTGTAAATAATTATTTTACAGATGAGGAAAACAAGGCATAAAGACGTAAATAGCTTATACAAATGCACCCAGCCAATAAACAGCGGATGTGGATTTGAATCCAAAACACCAGCTCTTAATATTACTTGTTGTCTAGCTTCGAATCATCCTTACTTTCTTTGTCCTCTCCCTTTCTCAGCCAGAGCCATTCATGACCCCACCACCACCACTACTTCTATGAAGGCTCTGCCATTTTAAAAGGAACTCACCCCAACCCATGCCCACCCCCACCAATTTTCCATTCAGGACACATAGCTAAAACATAAGTCTGATTACAGTTGTGTGTCACATAATGACAGGGATACATTCTGAGAAACGTGTCCTTAGGCAATTTTGTTGTGTGAATGTCATAGCATGTACTTACATAAACTGAGATGGTACAGCCTTCTACACACCTAGGTTATATGATATAGGCCATTGCTCCTAGGCTACAGCCTGTACAGCATTAGTGTGCTCATTACTGTAGGAAGTAATGAGCTGTTACTGTGCTCATTACTGTAGGAAGTTGTAACACAATGCTAAGTACTTGTGAAACTAAACATACAAGAGGAAATGCATTGTGCTATGATGTTAAGACACTACTAGGCAATAGAAAATTTTCAGATCAATTATAATCTTAAGGGACCACCAACATATATGTGGTCTGTCTTTGACCAAAACACTGTTATGGGGCACATGACTGTATATAATTTAAAGCTTCAAAGTCTGGCATCTGCATACAGATGCCTTAGTAGCAAGGCCTACTTGCTACTACTGGTCAAATGCCTTAGTAGCAAGACCTACTATGCTTTTCAGCGCCTGAACCTAACACATGTTTCCAGTCTCCTCTCCCAGCACTTGTCATGCACCCCTTGTCATGTATCTTACACTGAAGACATACTAGGAAAAAGCCTTGCCCCACCCTCTTCCGCTTGGTCAAACCCAGAGGTGAAATAGGTCAACCGAGTATAAGGGTTAGCCCAGCGGCCTGAGACTTTTTAGCTTCTGATTTCAATCCTTTCAAGCCTCAGCTATTCTCCCCACTTCAGCAGCTAGGATCTAGAGACACCTCTTAAACCTTGTAATTAATCCTTCTCCCTATGTATCCTCCCCCACAACCTATTTTTGTTGTTATTATCGTAAATCATCTGGAGTGGATTTTGCTACTGCTTCCAAAAATCTTTGACTAAGATAGGGCTCAGAAGTTTCCTCTCTGACACCTTCTCTGACTTCTCCAGTCGGGGTTAGCCATTCATTCCCTTCTTCTTCCTAGGGCAACCCTTAGACATTCATTACAGAGTTGATCCCACCCTGGTGGCATTGTTGCTACACATGCTACTTTCCTTCCCCAGTAGGCTCTTTTGCTCACTTCCTCCAGACAAGATCAGCCTATCTTGCTCTGATGTAGCCCAGGCACCATACGCAGAGCCAGAATATAATATATGTTCCATAAATATTGGTTCAATTAATAAATGAATTATGCCTCTTTAGAGTCCCTAGCAAAGTATGCCGCACAAAGTAGAGACATAAGCGGATGAATGGATGGTTTCCTGGTTTTTAAATAATTAAATAATTATTTAGCTTCTCTCCTTAGATTTGTAAAACTGACAACTACTTTCTCTCTTAATTTCAGTGACTGATATATCATCCATCCACCCATCCATCCATCCATCCATTCATCTGTTTTCCCTCCTACCTTCCATCCCTCAATCCATCCATCTAAAAGATCTTTTAAAATCCTTTCTCAGTTACAGGCACAGATTCTCAGGCACAGATTAAAATGAACCCTAGGTTCCTAGAAATGGTTAAATAAGCCCTTAACACCTTTTTCCGTAAAAAATGTTTTATCATTAGCTCTGATGTATTATCTTCTGTTCATTTTCATTTCTAAAAACTTTCCTCTGCTTTGTCATCAGTATCAGTTGTTTATTAATATAATTTATATTATGAATTTAAATATAATTCTTAATGTAACAGATAAACATTTAAACAACAAAATACAATATTAATACAGAGCTCTCAAATAAAATTTTATAAAGCATTTTTAAAAAAATTTAAAAAATAAGCTTCAATGACAGATTTATAACATTTTTAGGTAACCTCTTGTTCTATGGTAGCCTATTAACTAGTTTGTAATATTAAGAATTATGTAGTAATTATGTACTATCATTTAGAAGTAAAAATTATGCTAATATGTAAGATATTCAAATGTAAATATTGAAAACTGTTGTAACCCCAAACACACACTTCTACAGTCCTTACCATCATCATGGCTTTTTCATCAGTCATGCTAATTTCCATAATTACCTGCTGTTCATTGTATGTATTCAATGTGAAGAGTGGCTTTTGAAGAATAAATTCTTCTTCAATTTCAATGCCCATTCTAGCTTTTGATGCCATTGTATCTGACATCATTCTAACAGGATCAAATTGAGCAACAACAGCAACCTAAAAATGAGAAAGCATGGCTACTTGGAACAAGGTACAAACTAAATATTTCTGGGCAACATTATTGATGTCTAATGCCCATTAAAGTTAAGAAATTTTATTAAAGGTAAAGCCTGAGAGGAAAGGGCAGAAGAAATATTAATTGGTCAGTCCTAGAGATCCACAAAGGAGTTAAAACAAAACAAGACAATACATATAAGACAAAATATTAAAATGCCTTGGCATATAGTTATTTGCTAATGATTGAATAATTATAATTAATTTCAGAAAACAATTTATCTTTCTGATATGAAGTCACAGGAAATCTCATATAGAAAACCTTACATATTCAACCAACTTGAAAGTCACAGAAAGTAAAAAAAAATTCACTTTTTGACCATTAGCAATTTATGGTTATGGTAACAACCCCATGAAGTTTCCTAGGAAGTTTAACCTGATTGAACTGGATCTAGAGCATATAATTCTTGGGTCAAGTGTGTTGGCATTAGTGAACAAGGTGGGTGAATTTCCTTTGTACCAGGCAACTAGATTTCCAGGGACTGCTATAAACCATTGTCCTCCTTCTACTGAAAAATTGCAAAGTCATTTTAACCCAAATGCCCTTGTCTTTTATAATTCAAACCTGCATCTTAATGAAAAGAAGTCACTAATTTTGTAAATGATATGCACCATTAGTAACACCTGCCTATTAATTCTGAAAGTCAAGAATTAGCATGAAGAAAATGGCATTCTTAATGCCATTTAAAGACTGTAATAAAATAACTGAGGGTTGAACATGCTTTAATTATTTTAGGTTTGCTAGCTAAAATAGCTTACATCACAGTTCTAAATACTGATTATAGATAAGAGATAACAGCTATTTCCTCTTTCAAAGCATTCACAGATGGAAAGAATTCTAATCATATAGACTGTAGTTATCAAAGTTATGTTTTGAACAAGAATGTGTTCAGTAATAGTGACATTAAGTCTTGTACCCAGAAGGCCATGATATATAAGTTGAATAACTAAAATTTTGTAGGATCCAGGATTACCAGGACTTACATTCCTATGCTTTAAATTTATCTTTATAATCTTTTTTTATCAAAGAAGATGATGATATAATAGTCGTATGCATTTATGCCACATCTATACCATCTCATTTAGCTAGACTTCCTTGGTTTGAATCAGTATAACATTTACTAGCTGTGTGACTTTGAAGAAAGCACCTAACCTCGGTGTCTCCTCTGTTTCCTCTCCTATAAAATGGGGATATTAATATTGCCCACGTCATAAAGTTGTTGTAGAAATTGAAGTAATACCTAACAGCATTTAGAAGAGGGCTTTACACTTAGTAAATAATAAATTTGAACTCACATTATTGCAAACCTATCAGACAGATCCTATTATTCCCATTTTTCAGATGAAGAAATAAAGCTTACGGAGGTTAAGTAAATGACCTGTTTCCAGTGCCGGTGAGTACACAACCAGCTTGTACCAGGTTGGAAGGACACCAGAGGCCAAGTTCTTATCCATGATTCTGTGTTCCCTCCAGCAACACAGGAGGGAAACCAAGTAGTCCTTTCCTATTAGCTGGGAAACGGTGTCAATGAAGATTTTAGAGATTTTGAGTTGAAACAACCCCTTCAAGTTCAAAACTCTGAAAAACTACCAAGTAAAACTATCACATTTCCTAAGTTCTTAAATTCTCACCCTTGCCATCTACCATCCATTTTCATCTACTTTTGCTTACTTTCACTAGGCAAAGTGATAGGAGGCTTTTATTTCTCCACAAAATAGGTATTTTCTAAAAAACTGTTTTTAACACATTTGTTGACTGTGGGATGTTTCCAAAGGGAGGCTCCTATGCCAAAGAAGATTATCTTGCTCGAACTCCACCAGGTTTTTTGAGGACAGTAAAATTCGTAGACTAGATGTAGAGCCTCACTGTTGTAAATGGATACTATCCAGCTAATAAACTCTAGGTGATATAGATATAGTTAAATCTTGGGAGAGCTTTTTAAAAGGTGATGATAAAGTTCTTTCAATACACTGAGAAACTGGAAATGGTTCAATATAATCTAATTGCTCCCAGGAATGAACAGCAGTATCCCCATTTGGAAAAGTTAAATTTTATATAGCAGATGTCATGAACTAAGCCCCAGTAAGAATGCTATTAAGAGCACTTAGAAACATTTTTTTTAAAAAAACCACCCATGAAAATTTCCAAATGAAAAACACCTGTTTCCTAAGGGCTTCTAGCCGCCGTGCTCTCTCTTTGTCTTCATGAGCTTCTTGAAGGGCCACTTCCTTTTTCTCCATCAAACGCCTTTCCAATAATTCTTGTCTATATTTAACCCTTTAAAAATAACACAGAAGGAAGTTGTGGAAGCATCATAATAATATTGGAGATTGTACAGAAAACAGCATAGGGGCAGAACACATCTCAGAGGTAACAGCACTGTCACATTTTTTTTTTTACTGATTTCTCAAGTCCAAATCAATAAAAGACACTCATATAAAATGCAATTTTTTTTTTTTTTTTTTTTTTTGAGACACAGTCTTGGCTTGAGTGCAGAGGCACGATCTTGGCTCACTGCAACCTCTGCCTCCTGGGTCCAAGCAATTCTCCTGTCTCAGCCTCCCGAGTAGCTGGGATTACAGGTACCCGCCACCATGCCCAGCTAATTTTTGTATTTTTAGTAGAGACGGAGTTTCACCATGTTGGCCAGGATGGTCTCAATCTCCTGACCTCGTGATCCGCCTGCCTTGGCCACCCAAAGTGCTGAGATTACAGGAATTCATAGTAATTCTAATAACAACCAGAGAAATACAGGAAAGCGTGGGAGTAAAATTCAGTTCATCTCATTCCTCATTGAAATCACTTTATTAACTCTCAGAGTACCCACTGGCTGCCATGGCTCTGGCTAACCTGCCCTGAGAGGTGACTGGCTCACTTTCAAGTGAGCTATTATAGTGGTCTCCCAATGAGAAGCTTTAGCACACCTTGGGTTGTTAGAAAGTTTACATTACTGATTAAATATACAAATTTTTAGAAGGAAAAGTAAAATAAGCTACTATAATAATATGTCTAAATTATTTTACTTACTAGAACTTAAACTTTACATATATTGTCATCTACATTCTCACTTTCTGAGTAGGTGCGTATGTGTGTTAAGCAACTTTTAAAATTGCACTTTGACATCTGTAGATGGCAGCAAAAACATGACTTTCCCTTAGCATTCTATTTCCAACCCCCTTAAAATCATCGGCTATTAAAATATGGCCCACTTAAATACCAGCTTAAAGCCCTGAGCTCCTTGGCCCTCCTCTGCTGCCTTTTTTGGGCAGCCTCCCTTGCCATCTCCTTGCCCAAGCTATACTTCTACTGAATTATAGAGATGGAATTCATCCTTTCAAAAGAGTAGGCACCTGGGTTCTCAGGGGAGTATTAGCTCTCCACCTCTGCCTTTCATCATTGAAAGATTTAGCTTTCTCTGTGGCATCAGTCACAAATGTCCTTTACCCTTAGTGTGCACACCTGCATTTTCCAAGGTGGAGACACCTTCACTAGACCTTTTACATTCTGGATTCTGGTATTTACTGCGTGTTCACCCTGCATCAGGTCTTGTGCTAAGTGCTTTATATGTTTTAGGTCATTTAGACCTCACAACAATCACATGCTGGGTTGCCATTTTTTAATTCCATTTTATGGATATAAAGAAATAGAAGCATAGACATGTGATCTTAAGAGACGTACAAATAAGAGCCACTGAGAATTTGGAGAAAGGTGAGATGACCAATCACTGCACTGTGGGAGGGGCTGGCTAAACTTAGCAAGAGCTTCACGGAGGAGGCAGTATCTGAGCAGGGTCTTGAGGATTAGGATTCCAGGCAGAGACAGCAAGTGCAGGGCTGGCATCTGAGAGTGGCCCTCACTTGCCTTGACCTAGTCATGGAGGCCACGAGAGGGGAAGAGCTCAGGGTGGCAAGAACAGAACAAGTGAATGATGAGTGACAGAGAAGCCCAGGCAAGTACTGGTGGCTGAGGCTGCAGCCACAGGGTTCCCTTAGGAAGACATGCTCCTGGGGAGGAATACCCCAGAAACAGGTTGCTCATGAGTCTGTCATGAAAGGAGAGACACAGGAGAGGAAAGGAGGGAAGCACACAGTGGATCCTTGTGGAATACAAAACCCAGAATGAGATTTAGAAGGAAAATCCTAACCTCCTTTGATGGCCATGAGTGTTCTTGCCAAAATCAGGAGTCAATATAGTCAAGACACATAGATTAAAGAGCCCACAAACCAGAATGCTCCCTTTCTCTCACGCCTCCATGTCATGGAAAGCTCTATTTCTCATTCTCTCCACTTTCACTAAGGCATGACATGACACAACCTCCCTAATGAGGTTCTACTCAATTTAAGCACTGAGTACAAGCTAAGTGAACTACTGTGAAGGTTCAATTAAAAAATACCCTGGGATTTGACAATTACCATATGCTAATTCTCAGAACCTTTGGAAAGTTTCTCTTCCTTTGGGATATATAGGTTGCTTTGTCTGCAACAAAGTTTTTGTCTGTTTTGTGGAAAAGTAATAGTTGTTACAGTCAGGGGAGCTTGACTAGTGAGGAAGAAATTGCAAATGAGAGAAAGGCATTTGTACTTGTGTGGTAGAGAAGGCTGACTCATCATTTACTTTGAGGCTTATTCATTTATTTAACAGGTATTTGTTGAGCACCTGCCATGCATCAAGGGCTGTGTTAGGCACTGGTGATACAACGTCAACATGGGAGACATGCTCCTGTCCTCGAAGAACTGACAATCCAATGTAGATACAAAGACCCAGGCAATTATGATACAGGGCAGCTTGTGCTCTGATGGGACAATGGGGCAGAGACCATGGGAAAGACAGCTTTCCCAGACTTGGGGCTTTTAGGGCAGTATCTATAATAGGAGGAAGTACTCTGAATTTAAGATCCAAAGAAGGAGCAGGAATGCACCAGGAGGGGAGAGAATAGAAAGAATGATTCAGACAAAAAAGTAGCATTTGAAGGCCCAGAGGTGAGAGTGAGCAGGTATGTCTTAAAAGACATTCAGAATAACCAAAAATGAGCAAAATAAGGTGCAGAGGGCCAAGAACTGAAGCTAGAGAAGCAAGAGGGGCTGGACTGTGGGGGTTTTGAAAGCATGAGAGGTTTTGATCAGGGAGAAGTATCTGCTGTGATATGCAGGATGGGTTGTTGGGAGGCAAGACTAGAGATGAGCAATCCAGATGGGAATGGAAGGCCTCCTGATCTAGGATGGGGGAAGAGTACTCATAGGAGGTTGGGAAAAGATAGGGATTTAAAGGACATGTAGAAAATAAAAATCAACAGAAAGTTTTCATTTATTTTATGGGAGAGGGAAAGAGATAGAGGAAATTTTCTCTTACACAGTGAACAGGGGTGTTCCTCCCTAAGACTGGGAACTCACATGAGAAACAGGGAGGTGAAAGAATTAAGTTCAGTTTGAACACAGACCTGTCTTCACAAGATCTGGGCTGGAGAAATACATGGGGAGTCTTTACCAGTAGAACGGAATTGAAGCCACAAGGCAGATGCCACCATCTAGAAAAAGAGTGTAGAGTAAGAAGAGAGGTAGGCCTGGGATTGATTCCTAAGGAAACAACACTTAGGAAAGGGAAAGAAGGAGAGGAAACCATTTAGGGAAGTGAGGAGGATAAGTGGTCCTAAGATGTTAGGGAAAATGGGGTCAACAACATCAAATGCTACAGAAAGATCAATTCTAGTGCAAAATAATGATTGGGTTAAACAACAGGGAGTCATTGGTGACCTTGGTGAGAACATCCCACAGAGGTGGATGAGGTGAGGTAAGGCAGTAAGAGAGGGCATGGAGACAAACAAGTCCTGCAGCAAAACTGATGCAAATGGAGAGGCGAGAGACAAGGCGGAGCTGGAGGGTGCACAGAGCCGACCACAGTTGCATTGGCTCCAAAGTGATGATCAAGGTTACTCTGACTGCCTGAAGGATTGGCCATGAAAAAATTTCAGGACTTAGGAGACACACTCAAATTCTTCATTTTTACAGATGCTATGGTTTAAACTCAATAATACTTCACTTAAAAAAGGAGAAACTCTTGGTGCTTCTTCTACTCTGGATAGAAAATTTTCTTTGCCTAAAGAGAAGTGATGCAGAAAAACTCCTGGGAGGAAGCCAAATACTCACATATTCATGGGGAAAGAAAATAGCAACACAGTAAAGTCAATCATTTGGAAATTTTTCCACATAAATACTTTTAGCCACTTGAGGTAGCAGATTTTCTCCAAATTAAACTGTTGCTATGAAAGTCAATGTCAGGAAGTGGCTAAACTCAATAGTTTTTAAGTTGTGCACTGAATTCCCAAACAGAAACCGTCTTGGGTTCATTTCTCAGTCTATTATATGCTCCCTGAGTCTACAAAGGTTGAAAGTGCTGCAAAAGAGGCATTTTCGACTTCTCTTGGGGGAGGAGAAGCATCATATTGTTCAAAAGCAACAGCTGCTGCAGAATCCGGCACAGCACTAACAATAATCTGGAAAGGATTTTATTTAAGCCTCCAGGCCTGAGTGTAGTTGAAGGGACAGTATGCTTTCATGTAGAAATGGAGAATTTATGTATCATTTATGAGACATTTTAATGTGTGCACAGCACTCTAAGAAATGAGTATACAAATGCAAATGTTTGGAAACACCTTGATCCGTAGTAACAGCTTCCCTGGGCTTCACTGAAACTTCAGTGAGAACCGGGCAAAATGATAAGTACCAAATCTTGATCTCCCTTTTATCTGGAGTCACAGCTAACTTTCCTCTCAAAAGAAGCTACAGCCACCAAGGGGGAAAAAGACTTCTGACAAATGGTCAATAGTGGCAAGTTCTACAATTTAAAACAAACAAAGAAACAAACAAAAAACTTAAGCAATAAAATGGAGCATAAAGACGTATCTTCATTAGGGTCTCTAACTAGTATGGAACTCCCCCTACCACCTAACATTTCAGGCAAGTAATTTGCCCTACTGAATTAAAGGCAGTTTATAATCAAACTTGCTACTTAGTGTTTAAGTCATGTGGCTTAGTCAATATGCAACAAGAAATCTTTAAACAGGCATGTGCTGGAGGTGCTACTATCAGGTGTTTCAGTGGCAGCATCACGGGGAACCTGTTTCTGCCTGTTGGGAAATTCATTTTTGGCTCAGATTTTACTCAGGAGGTTGTTCTTCCTACTAAGCAGAGGGGACCCCTTCATTAACTACAGGTCACCCCAACAGGGAAGAATGTGCAGATCAAAGCAGGCAGGCCAGGTGCCAACACGTTTCAAGTGGAGGGGAGAAGTCTGCCCAAAGAAAAGAATGGAAATTGCACAGGAAGACATTCACATTGAAAGGCATCACTCCTCTAACCACACGGGCTGGGAGTCTCCACTCAGTGGGGATTCTGGCTAAGGGCATAAGCAAAGACCAATTTCTGCAAACAGGAATGTGAATCCTGACACAAGACACTGACATCCTGGTACAGATTGGCATGAGGCAAGAACAAAGAAAACTCACAGGGTCTCTGCAGAATCAGAAAAGATGAACCCTTGCCAGCCCCAAACAGAGACCATTGTTCAGCTCAGAGAGCTTCCTGGTTCCTTTGTGAAGCTATTGGAACCCCATCTTTTAATTGATTAATTAGTTAAATTAGTCAACATAGAGTTACTTAAGCACCTACTATGTGTCAAGCACTGTTCTAGGTGCTCAGGTTATAATAGTGGGGGGAAATAAAACAGAGGAAAGAAGTCCCTACTCTGTTGAGTTTACATAATTTGTGGTCTGTTATGTATAAGCATGCCTAAATGAACACTGTAGTAAAATCACAAAATTGTTCTTAATAGTTTTTGAATTTATTCATAAACTTCCAAATTACAGAGCCCCTTTTCAGATTGCTACAGAATCATGGTTCTCAATCACTGAAACTTGTAAAATGACTTGCAATGCCAAGGCCTCGCTCCAGAATAATTACATCAGAATCTAGTAGTCAGGCCCAAGTACTGTATTTTGTTGAAAGTTCCACTAGATGATTCTAATGAGCAGCCTGGGATGAGAACCAATGCTACATAGCTTAGTCATTCTCAAATGAGCGTACATCAAAATCACCTGTGTGACTGGTTAAACCTCAGACTTCTGGGCCAGCTCCAAAGTTTCTGATTCAGTAGTTGTCAAGCGGAGCCCCCAAATCTGCATTTCTGACAAGTTTCCAGGTGATGCTGATTGTGCTGGTCTGGGGACCACACTTTGAGAACTACAGCATAGATAAATATACAGATTAAAAGGACTTTACCTGACTATTGTTATCAAGACAAAACCAGTTACAAGTTACTACCTAGACAGGGCTTATTTCTGTTTGCCTGTGCTAAACATTGCAGTTATATGCCTCAGGACTGTTCCAAACTAGAAATTCTTGCTTGGTATTATTGACATTCCAGAGCAGGACCTTTCAACCCCATTCTTTCCCAGCCCCTATGGCCCTGACACACATGGATGACAGGTTCTCTCAGAGACCAGAGCCTTCTCAGGCTTGGATAAGTGCTGGTGATGGGCAGTTGCAATAATGGCTATTACTGAACCTCTTTCTTTCCCTCTGATGGACAAAACACTGGTGTATCCTGATGACAGCTGAAAACCTCAGGCTACTGGCCGATATTTAAAGGGTCTATTCAGTAAAATCAAAGGAAGAGGAAATAACTCGAAGGCGTCTCAGCCTTTAAATAGAGATATGAACCACCTTCTTTGAGAATTATTTCGGCAGCTCCAAGGGTTGGATATCTTATCACAATGGAAGCAAAAATCCATAAATAAGAGCACATTTTCCTGTTGATTTTAATCAGTTCTAAGCCTGCTGTTTGAGTTCAGGTGAGCTGGAAGTGAGAGATACAAACAAGGACTTCAATCTGGGAGTCCCATGTTGAAAGGAGGACAAGCTGTGAAGAGAGAGACACTGGAAGAGTGTTGCAAATATCATATTAGCTCATTCCCCAAACTAATCCAAAAAACTATTTCTGCCACAACTTATTTATTCTTCTTTTTCTGAACCATTCCTCTTTCTACCTGACCTTCTGTAATCCTTTTATATCTTTACATATCTTCAACATTTTCCTCAACTACTCCTTTCCAATAACATTCCAAATGGGGCTCATTGTTTATAGAGAATTTAAAAATAATAAACGGACAAAAACCTTTTTAAAAAATCACCATGCCCCAATAGTTTAAATAATGTTAGTGATAAAATACTTCCTCCACTGGAACACTCAGCCACACCTGACCCCATTCTCAGTCGCTGCTTTCAATGATTTGCCTTAATTGAAAACCAGTGCTTCCCAGGTGCCACTACTTTTATTGCAACCTCTTAAAATAGAGGGTACCTGCAGAGAGGAGGCTGAGTTTTTCTGGCTCCTCAGTGACAATTCCAGAAAGTTGTACACATTGACTTTGGGATGATACCATCCTGTCTGTTCTATGGTTCTTGGAATTAACTACTG
The DNA here is from genome assembly GCF_000001405.40 of Homo sapiens. Lineage (NCBI taxonomy): Eukaryota > Metazoa > Chordata > Mammalia > Primates > Hominidae > Homo > Homo sapiens. Next base: position 158,186,191 of record NC_000002.12, read on the forward strand.
ACTGGCTGGGTCAGTGTCCAATATTTACTCAACTCTGCCCACACAGTCTCTTGATTTCCAGCACCATTAACTCCATCCCTACTTCAGCAAACTTTTCCTTAGACTGAACTTAGAATTGTCATCACCTAGAACTGTTCCCCTGCCAACACCTTGAACTGAGGATTCCCGTTATATGCCTCCAGGTCTGGGGTCATGGCATAGACTTAGAAAGGCTGTATGCTGCACAAGTCTAGGAAGCGTCATTCACATGGATTGCCTGTCACCCTTCTGACACTGTCACCCATTTAACCTTACTCAATCTGTGACTTGAGCTTAGCAAGATTTCCATTGTTCAACAATATTTATTAGCTTAAATTAATAACCAACCACCTTCCACGGTTCTTTTTCCTCTACATATAAATTTATTCAAATCGGGTAGAGGGATGTATCTCTCAACTCTGCCTCCCTTTTCAGATACCGTCTTTTTTTCTTTCATTCCTTTTACTGCAAAATTTCTTAACTGAGGAAGCCATACATTCTGTCTCCAGCTCTTCACTTCTCATTTATTAACTTAAATACCATTGAACAATGGAAATCTTGCTAGGTCCCAGGTTAGGCCTTCCCTCCTGAAATTTTTTTTCTAGTTTTGCCTTTTCTCCCAGGCTACAAGAACCAGTCAGGCTTTATCTCATTCTCTCCCCAGCTTTGGAGCCCTGGGTCTATCTCTTCAAAGGCATTGTCAACAGCATCCTTTAATTATCTTGCCTTTTCTTTCTCATCTACCCTGCCAATATCCAACTCTAATTCTTTGTTGAAATTATTATGTACTAATGAAGTTGATCCTTAACTGGACATTCAACACTGCTCCAGAATTATTTATTCTCTCCCCAGCTGCTTGATGTTCTCCTTGAATTTCTACATCATGGCTAACTCTCCCTCTTAGTGGAGAACCTCACCTGCTCCACTGAAAAGAGCATTCATTTCCTCAATATGCTTTGCCGCTTCCAACCTTGTCAAAACTCATCTTCATCCATCCTTTGCTCCTTAAATCTGGGCTCCTAATCCTATAAATCTAGTTGCTGCTAGGATCTTGCTCCAGAAGTGAACTTCTTTCTTTCTTAATTCTTCAGTCTCTCTCTCTCTCTAACCAACCACCTTCCATGGTTCTCTTTCCTCTACGTACAAACTTATTCAAATGGGGTGGAGGGATGTATCTCTCAACTCTGGCTCCCTTTTCAGACACCATCTTTTTTTCTTTCATTCTTTTTACTGGAAAATTTCTTAACTGAGGAAGCCATACTTTCTGTCTCCAGCTCTTCACTTCTCATTTAGTCCAAACCATCCTGCAGTCTGGCCTCTGTCCACTCCACTCTATGGAAACTACTTTCCCCAATAACACCAGTGACTCAAAATTGCAAACTCAGAGCCGTCTTTCAGAGCTCCTTCAATGTGACCTGTCTGCAATGCCTGGTACTGATGATACCTTCTTCTTGGAATGTGCTTCCTATCTCTTGCACTGCTTTCTCTTCATTCCTTTTACCAGCTTCTCCTCGTCTGTCTACCCAAAGTTCCAACATGAATCCTCTTCTTTTCTCAATTTAAAAACTACTTCTGAGAAATCTGACTTCAACTACAATCAGTGCACAAATATCTGCAGCCTCCACCTCCCTCAAAGTCCCAGATCCTTTGAGCTTTTATTTGTTCTTTATGTAAGTTCAGGATTACCCTCAAACAAATCTCTCAAGTGTAACTATATTACATTGCTGGTTAAATAAAGAACTGCTGCTTTAAGGGCATCTGAGTTGGGTATAAGTTTGACATCTTCTTGTGCAAAGTTAGGAACCAACCTGATGACATATCTAAATAGAAAGCCAGACGGCCTCCTTACATGCTGTTAGAGATGAGCCACTATGGTACCCTGGGTACCATGGACAGAGCTAAGATCATGTCTGCTCAATTATTTGGGGTCCACTCCAATCCAAAAGCAGACAATCAAGCTCCCAATGTTTAATGTCTTATAAGATGGCTGCAACAATTTTAGCCTGCAATATTTATAGAGGAGTTGGTCATTTCAGCTACTTAAAAACCTAAGGAAAGCACTCATAAAATATGAAACTTTGAGCAATAGAACTTCCTGGGGCCAAGAAAATCATGTATATGCTTAAGTAACTGATTGAGGTGACTTCACATTTGGGATTATTAGCTATAAACCACTTTATATAATCTAAAAATAATGACTTTGATATTAGAATATTTTTTTTAAATATGTGTCTTCTTTCCAGCAGTAATTAGATACCAGAGCCAACTGCCTATTATGGACACACCTAGATTTTAATCATTAAATCAGTACTGGGGAAACTGGCTAACCATATGCAGAAGAACAAAACTGGACCCCTACCTCTCACCATATATAAAAATTAACTCAAGATGGATTAAAAGCTTAAGAATAAGAAATCAAACTATAAAACTCATAGAAGAAAATCTAGGAAATACTTTTCTATACATTGGCCTAGGCAAAGCATTTATGACTAAGTCTTCTAAAAATGCAACAAAAATAAAAATTGACAAGTAGGACCTAATTAAACTAAAGAGCTTCTGTGCAGCAAAAGAAACTCTCAACAGATTGAACAGACAACATACAGAATGGGAGAAAATATTTGCAAACCAAGCATCTGACAAGGGACTAATATCCAGAATCTATAAGGAACTTAAGTCAACAAGAAAAAGAAACAAATAAACCCATTAAGAAGTAGGCAAAGGACATCAACAGACACTTCTCAAAAGAAGACATGTAAGTGGCCAACAATTAATCACCAGAGAGATGCAATCATTAATCACCAGAGAGATGCAAAACAAAACCACAATGAGATACCATCTCACACAGGTCAGAATGGCTATAATTAAAAAGTAAAAAACAAAAATAACAGATGTTGACAAGGTTGAAGAGAAAGGGAACACTTATACATTGTTGGTAGGAATGTGTACTCAGTACACAGGTACTGAGTAAAGAGTCAGAAAGAGAGTGAGAGGAATCTGAAGATACCATTTGAGTCACTGAGGCAAGACTCATGCCCTGGATTCCCATTCTTGTAAATCAATTCATTCCCTTTTCTGCCTAAGCTAGTTTGAGTTAGGTTTTGTCAGTTGCTTCTGAAGATTCCTGACTAGCAGACACATCTTCTATGTGTAAGGAAATCTGTGTCTTTTTGTCCTCTATAACAAGAGGACATGTATCTAGCTGTTCCAAAGGGTAATCAGTTCTTTTCCCAAACTGATGGTCCATGGAATGTTAATTTCCCACAGGAAGTTAACACGTATACTATAAAAATGTGTTCAAGTAAGTTTGGGAAATACTAAGATAAACAAAGTAAAATAAATTTATTTATGGCAGGAGCTTTCAGAATATTTATGATAATATGGTGGAGTGCATTATGAATCTCTAAAAGGAGGACTTAGTGTGCTTATTGCTCAGTTATCTGATAACAGAAACCTTTCTCAATAGACCCAGTTTGGGAAATAATATTTACCTTTCCATAAGCAAGCAAGAATGGTCAAGTAAACAAACTGAATGGCATAGACACATAGACACTTCCTGCTTTGTATTATAGTTTCTGTTTTCATGTCTTGTCTACTAGACTGTATACTTCCTGAGTCTAGTGGCTATGACTTAATCTCCTGTGTATCCCCAAGAACTAGCAGAGTGCCTAAAACACAGAAGATATGCACCAATAAATGAAAGAAACATAGAATAAATGATGAGTGAAATTAAAAAGTGATGGAAAGCATTCTATTGAATATCCTAAGCTGTAGGTAAATAACAGGACACAGGAGTTGGCAAAATAAAAATGTAAGAATAAATTAAATATACATTATTCCTTTAAGCCTGTCTAATTAGTCAGTGAGTATGTCTTTGTAAGATATTTAATCATTTGAGAAGCTGGAAGAGAAATTGAATTACTGGAGAACAAATCTAGTGTCAGTTCCTTTTGAGAATAAGGAGCCATGAATGCTAAAAGCCAAACTGAGGCATGACATCCACGACCATGATACAGACTTGCTAGGATCATGATTTTGGAGGGACAGCACAGGCAGAAATAATGTTGGCTTTCAGAAATTATTTATCATGAACTGAAATTTAAAAGGCCACCCAGGCAGATCAGCATTTATTTGCCCAATTGCCTCTAATACATTCATTTATTCAGCACATTTATACAAAGTGCCATATATGTAAATGTATAACAATCATATTTCTGCAAAACAAACCAAAAACCCAGAGCAATTAGAAACACCTATCAAGTAGACAAAGGCAGAGCTTACATCTGGATTTTGAATACTTAGAGGCACCTGTCACTTGCCATCATATGAACTCACTAACAAAAGACATCTGCCATTTGATACTAATTGGGTAATTTGCACAGTGACTCTTGAACTCACAAATGGTTTATGGTAGATATAGTTTAACTCCACAATTAATATGTATTGCATTTAAAAAATCTTCATGAGGCCATATAATCATTTTAACAGTTGTGTAAGAAGGGAACTTTTGTTGAGGGTTTACCTCATAACATTGGAACCTTTCTTTAAATTCTTATGCTAATTTTGTTTGTAAAGCAAAATAATGCTTTTAAAAGTAAGAAAATGATAAGCATGGGTGATTAGTTTTATTGGAGAGGTTTTTTTCAGCTGAAAAATTCTCATAAGACACATAATTCCTGATGCCCAAGGTTTTCATAAATGTGTTTTCAGAATCACAAATACTAAAAGAGGCATTGCTTTAGTATTGAGCTTTAAAAAGACATGCTAATAAAATATACCACCGTGTTATCAAGTCATAATATTTCGGTCTAGTTCTATCTATTTTTAACTTCGGCTACTTATTGTGAGAACTGATTTTAATTGGTCCTCGTTTTTCTGGAGATAGACATCTGTATGATTATGATGATGGAACTGGGTTCCCTTCTTTAGCAGCACTGCTGAACCGAGAGGGCACTGAGACCACAAAAGAAACCACAGTCTTCTCCCTCAAACAAATGATTTAAGTAAATAAGATTAATAAAACATGGCTTCTCTAATGCTGTTTGAAAAATCCCCATTACATTCTCTTTCTTCCTTCCCAGATCTCTCAGAACTTCTGTAGAAAGCAAACATCAAAAGGACCAAAGGTTTTTGTAGTGATTCAGCCGCCCACAGCAAAGAAGTAAACCTTGATTTTCTTTCAGCCTAGGAAATGATCAGCGAAGAGGCTTCACAAACAGCCTCTTTAACATTTGAGGTTAAAAAAGAAAGTCAGTGGAGCAGAACAGTTATTTTCACAAACGCCTTCGGGGTTTTTTCTTCTACTTTTTAAGTAACCCTTCTAATCCCCCCAAGTAAAATATTTTCATTAGCTAAAGTTTTGGCTAGGCATTTTAAACATGCTTTAAAAAAACAAATGATAAAATATATTTATGTATTGGGTGTGACTTTTTCTAGTGCTTTTTTCCTTTGGCTTTCTCAAATGCTGATTTCCTCTGGCTATAGAGTTTCAACTAGCTTCTTTGGTGACTCTGCCAAGTCACACCTACCTTAGCAGTTTCCGTTTTGTCTCAGAATTCAGCTTTTGGAATTGAGCTCCGGAATCACTGTTCCTTTTTTTTCTTTGGAGACAGACAACTCTACAAAGCAGTTCACCCTAGAGTTCTGCCAAGTGAACCCTGGTGTTTGGATTTCAGGAGGAGAGCCCATCTCCAGTGCCTACTTGGGGAACTCTGTTACCTACCCTGTAGTTTTTTCAGGTGAGATGCCAAAGGTTATGTTCAAGAAAGGCAAAGAGAGAGAGATGTGTTGCTTTCATCAACACTCAGACAATAAAGTCAAAGATAGTAAAATTAATTAAATTAACAGGGAACCAACTTTACTGGAAAAGATAAAGCAATAAACTGGACAGAGATTCAGATGAACTTACAAATAATATGTAGATCACTGATAGCCCCCTCTTTTAAAGGAAACATGTATATATCTTCTCGCCAGCTTTATTCAAGTATGGACAGAAATAAACCTCAAGAAACCCTGTCTTTTCCCTTCCTACATTAAGCTAGAGATGTCCATATGGGTCTCTCTTTGGATATCTCTCTCAAAGGAAACAGAGAAATTGCTAGAGGAGGGTCGTGGGCCAGAGAATAAAACAGGCTTCCAACAACTCACGATTTGTAAACTTTAGTCGGATGTCTGGATTATAATTAAATCTAAAACTTGGAAAGCAGCTGGGGAAGGGTAGACAGGCTGAATGAGAAGTAGGGCAGGGTTTACTAAGCAAATCATGGTGTAGGAAAAACAGATAGCTAACTTTTATGAAATTTTATTTTAATAAAGTTTACAATGGCCAAGCGTTGGCCATCTAGACACAGCTAACAAAGGACACCAAGAGGTGGTTGTGTCTCTTTGTTCACATTCTACACAGAAAGAAAAGCAGCAGCAGGAGAGGCTCCTTAGGAAAAGAGCTCTCTCCCTTCATGAGAACTTCACAGTAACAGAGGTCAGGAAATAAACAGACCTGGCTCTCTCATGGGGCCTAACCATGACCCCAAACAGTAAACCCAAGGGAAAATTCCACTTAGTCCAAGTTAAGCTGACAAAGTGGTATCAATATTGCCCATTAAGGATAGGTTTATTTTCTCTGACCTAAGCTGCTTGGCAATCCCATGGTCTAAATAGAAAAAAAAAAAAGGCTATTTTATTTTCTCTAAAAGCAATAAGCTTATGTCCAAAAGATTATAATTTCTTAGAGATATTGTCAACCCTGTCAATATATGAAAGGCAACTCACATTTTCTCTCCAAGTGACTCAAATTTTAATCTTTATTATCCTTTCCCAGATGTCACAACTCCTCTCTGCCAGATTCCCCATTATTTCAAGAGACAAGAATATTCCTTAAGGCCTCCTTTTGAATATACATCTTTCTGATATCATGTCTCTGGTTTCCCTGAAGACTAACACATCAACAAATCTATCCTGTGCCTGGATTCTAGGCTTTGAAAATAATTGTATCAGTTTAGCCAGGCACAATCAACATTTCTGTCTTATGTGCATTCTTCAATTCCAGCAGAATGTCTTGTTTGCACCGCCCCAATTCTATGCATAAAAGTGTTGATGCAGAAATTGGCATAATTGTGAACAGAGACAAACCTTTCTGCAAATAAGACAACTGTCACTCATGGACCACAGGAAGACTCTATTCTGAGACTGCTCCAACATAACATCAGCTATGGAAGTCCTAGGAGGGTATGGCTTGTGGAGTAATACCCTGATTAGTGTGCACCAAAAGCTCACAGTATTTTTTTTTAAGCATCAAAAAGCCTTGCTCCTCTAGAAACGTTTAGCGCATTCAAGCCCACACACACTCAGATAGTAACGATAATCCTTTCTTTGTGGGATTTGGAAGAGCTACAAAGAATAAAAAAAGCCACAATATTTTGACAAAGTGATGCATTCTTCTCTAGGTATAGTTGATGGAAACTTTTGAACTTTCCCTGTTCAATTGATAAAACATTATAAATGCAAGAACATTGGAGTATATAAGGCTTTATAGGAATACAACAGATAAAGACACACACTTATTAGGTGTATATGAAGTACCTTATATTTTTAAAATAATCCATTTGCATAAAAATTTACAATTTTACATAAGGTATATCTCCTAATGCTATCCCTCCCCCCACCCCACAACAGGCCCCAGTGTGTGATGTTCCCCCTTCTGTGTCCCAATGTAAATGATGAGTTAATGGGTGCAGCACACCAACATGGCAGATGTATACATATGTAACAAACCTGCACGTTGTGCACATGTACCCTAGAACTTAAAGTATAATAAAAAAAAAAAATTTAAAAAAATTTACAGTTTAAAGGGTATTCTCTGATACATTATCAAGACATTTAGTATAAAAATAAGTTATTACTCAACTAACATTTAAACAGCATCATTCACTTTCTCCATTTCTGATTAAATGAGGAAGGGTGTTGGCAATTTTTTTAAAATTTAATAAAAATTTCTACCCTCCTGTTTCCAAGCAAGATTTGAACTGATATTTAGTATTAAACACAGGTAAAACAACAACATTAAAAATCAAAGACAAGACAAAACCAAGTAAAAGGAGTAGATATTTCCAAGCAATTGTAACAAGTTAATTGTCACAGTTGGGCCATGAATTTGCCTTTCACAGGCGTCAGCATTTGCTCACCAGATGGAACTACTGAAACTCTGTGCCTCTTTAACAGGGTGTTTCTAGACCTGTCTCACCAGCAGGGGCCCTGGATTAATTATACTGTTGTATTTCTCAGAAAGCGGTGAGTAGACCAACTGCACTGGAATCAAGGATGCCTATTTTTAAAATGAGGATTCCTGGGCCTGCCCTAGGCTCTCTGGAGGTAGGGTTCTGGAATTTGCATTTTCATATTACCCATCAGGTGATATTTTTGCTCTCTAAAGTTTGGAAACCACTACCTTCCTGGGAATGGTGTCCATTGCATGGGAACTATAGAAAACCCAGCAACAACGAGATAGAAAATTGTTATAGTGACCAGCCCCTTGGATATTGCTTTATGCTTTGTTATTTCTGCCCTGTGCAGGTAATATATTGAAATGCCTGGTCCACAGTTCACTTGATTTTTTATTTTGAATGGTCCCATGTGCTTGAACTCCTCTGACTATTATGTTATTCTCTTTCCAGCATCCCATCCCCCATCTGCTCATCCACACTTTTTTGGTTCCTGCCACAAGCCCCTGATAATTGTGCATGTCCCATAACCTGCTGGTTACTCCTGAGCTCACTTTGATAGTTCTGCATGTGCTACAGTCTCTGCTTGTCTCGCTGGGATCAATTCACTCCATGCTGGTCCTGGGTCCATCTGAGACCCTCCCTACCCCAGCTTCTAGCCATCAATGCCTACATATGGACCTACATTGGAGAAATTATCTGTTCTTTGTTCCTGAAAGATATTTCCAGTTCACTGGCTTTATTGGCTTATTCTGTGTATTTGAGGTATGTATCTTATGCTTTTCCCACTTTCTACACACTCTCAGACACAGTTAATTGCCCCTGCTCTTTTCCATTTCCCCCCATATATTCATTGGCTTATATTATTGTCTTATGATGTGCCTCTTACATTTGACAATTTCACATGAAGGCATATCCAACATCTGGCCTTTAAGTTTATGGTCCAAATTTCTACACTAAACTTATGAATGCTTCAGTCATATACTTGGGAATTCATCATCGTTTAACATTCATTTACCCCCAAGTAATTTTGTTTGTTCTTGTTCCCTGTGAAGTTTTGCGTTTTTGCTAAAAATTTACGATAATACTTCCTGCTCCTTCTCTGTGGAATTATTAAGGCTCCTGTCAAAAATATTTTCTCCATTTTTGAGAGGGACCCATTGTCCCTAGCTCAGAGCCTCCCTTTTTGGTCACAGACCACTCAGGAAATCATTTTTAAAAGAGCATGGACAGCACATTCTGGCAGTTTTCTATGGTTATGCTGCTTCCAAAGCAATCTGCATGAGTCTTCAGCAACCTGCAAGAAGACAAGATAGAAATATCACCTCCACATTCAGCTCCTTTAGTCTTCTACTCAAGACTTCAAAGTGTTCAGGATGCCTCCCACTTTTCTTCAAATTGATCATACAAGCCAGGACAAGTGCAGAGTGTCCAGTGGGCGCAGGAGGCTTAGGATCTCACTTCTGAATTTTGGAAAAGTTTATCAGGGGAGGCAGCACAGCAGATATAGCACATCAGGTCTGTAACACAGGCAATTCCATAGCAATCCATAGGGAATCACAATTAGCTCCTCATGGGACTTACTCACATGATTTCTTCCATCAGCTGGGGTGCCTGTAAACCCCAGTCATATGCCAGAGCCACTTCATACTAGCTGGAGGGACTGAGCCAATTGTTACATTTTGGGACCTTTGCAAGCTAGTCGTTAAACACAGGCATTATTAAATTATGTAAATTTACACAAAATCAATTATATTAAAAACAAAGGTAACAAATACTAAAAACTCACCACTTTTTAATTATTTTACTGTGTTTTACTATTATCTATGCTCTTGAGATAATTTATATCTACTAAATCTGTATGGCAGAAATAATATATGAGAGTATGCCACTGCACATCTCTTCCCATCTCTGTGTTCAGTAATATCAAGTTGGTAATTTGAAATAGGCTATGGTGGGATATTTACACCACAGAAATCAGCACGTGCTGAAAATCAGGATTTAACCAACCCTCTTCTCCTCCCCCCAGCCAGTTGTTAAATATGTCCAGTGCATTATTTGCTGTGAATCCAGCCCATTTAGTATTAAGATGGAAAGTGCAAAAGTACACCATGGTTATGGGTCAAATTTCCCATCTTTACTTAAAACTTTCTCACTGCCCCCAATCTGCTTTCCTTTCGATATGGTCCAACATGTCTCAAGCCAAGGCCTGTGGAAGCACAACCTATATCAAATAACTTACCTGAATAACGTTCACACTGGCCCTCCTTTTTAAAATCTTCAGAAATTCTTTCATATAAATTTTACGTCTACTTTTTCTCTGCTCAAAATCCCTGCTCTTTTACCTACATTGTCTCCTATACCCTACTCTGCACTTGTGTGTCTATGTGTTTATATCTGTGTGTTTATGTGTTCATATCTGTATGTACTAGATAGTAGCTGGGCAGTTACTTCTGATTGACTAACTTTAAATTAAAATATCTGTAATTTAAGCCCACCTTAGTATCTACTAAAACACTGGAAGGTGAGATCATTAACTGTCTTAGAATCAATACTTGAGTCCTTAAGAGGGAATTCAGGAGGTTAGCAAACATTATTAAAAGATCAGAAAATGGATTCAGGAAAATCTAAAGAAAGTAAGACTCTTTATGTGGCAATGATAAGGCTAATGGGGAACTGAAAGTGATCATGGAGAATGATTGGGAATTTTATACAGAGAAGTCTTTGTTCTCTGTTTCCACTCACAATAAGTCAGGACAGATTCAACTTACAGCACTTCATCGAAAGAACTGTAGAAGAATTCAATGAGAGAAAATTATCTGAAGGTTTTATTTCTCCTAAAGTTTTTTTTAATCAACATTTTAATCAATGATCCCACAGAAGCTGAATTTGAAGGTAGAGAGTCTAATTACGAAAAAGTCACTCAAAAATATAGTCAATGGAAGATGGGATGTCTGAGTTGTCCCCACAAACAGATATGGACTCTGGCTTTCTAATATCCTACAAAGTTCTAAGCTTAATTGAAGATCTTATTTACTAAGGTTACCCCAAGTAAAGTATGTGTATGGTTAAGGGATAAAGATATAAATACCTAAGACACATGATACCAAATCTAACCAAAGAAACATCCTGTCTAAAACCCCATTTCTGATAAAGTCACTGAAGTTATTTTGCTGGAGAGCATAAGAGAGCCTCTAATAAACAACTTCCCCTAATACTTCATGAGGTCCTTGTGTTTGTCTAATCTCATTTTGAACCAATTTATGTATTAACCTGCTATGCATAATTTATGTGCAACCTCCTGGTAATTACTTCCCTATTTTTTTATTGCCACTCTAATGATAGATACAGTTTCTATACAAGTTTCTTCCAGTATCCTGGAATTTGCTAAATCTCTGGGTATATATTATAATATTTTTGGAATAGAAAAGGTAAAAACCACTAAATGCATTCATTAACTGGTTAATGCAATTAATTCTAATGAATTAATCAATTAATTCTAATGAATTAATCAATTAATTCAAAAAGTCAGAATTAACCCTATTCAAGCTCTACAATATTTAAGGCTTCCAGGGACTTTTGTAATTTGGTCTCTACTTATCTATTTAATCTTTTCTCTCACCACAACCTTTGCCCAACCTACTCCAAACACTTCAACTATAGTAAATTACTAAATTACTTTCAGTTCCTCATGGAGATTTGGCAGGAGGACATTTCCTATTTCTGGAAGGCCTTTCCTTCTACTAAGAAAACACCTGACTCATCCCTGGCACCCCCTACCTGGTTTAAGTGCTACTTCCGTGTGTGTCCATAGCACTTTGTGCTTCCCTTCCCCAGGATATCTGAATATCTCACTTGGCCTTCAGGTTCTTGAAAACAGGGACAGTGTCATTTTTGTCCATCATTGTATCCCAAGGTAGTAGACACTCAATAATAATTATTAAATGTGTAAACCAAATAAGTTGGTGGATTTTAAATAATAGTATCACTGTGTTCTCAGACTAGAGGCCAGTGTATCAACTCTGCACCTTTGAAGTTGAAGTTGAAGAATGGCCCAACTTCATGGTCATTATATTCATTTTCTGAATCATGCCAGGAATCATGAAGTTTCCCAAATGCGAATTCATGATGATTTTACACACACGTCATTTCATGCCTTTGTTTTCTTTCCTAATGATGCCTGGGATTTCATTGGACTTTTTGGCTGATATCTTCAGAGAATACTTGAAATGGCTTCAAGGTCTTTTTTTTTCCAGGTCGGAAATAATTATTTGGAATTATCATCCTATAAGCACAGTTTGTAGGATAGAAAAATCAGAAACAGTGAACTGAGTTTAAATTTATCTTAAGTTAGATTCTGTATGTTACCAGCAGCACAAATTTTATCTCTTTGTCAAACAGAGCTGAAAAGCTATTGTAAAGTTCAAGAACATCTCCCCTAAGGAACAAAAGCAGAAGACTTCTGTTATGATGAGGGAAATCAAACAAACCTTGATTCTGAAACAGCTTTGTTCTCAGAAAGATGACTTTTTAAGGGAGGAGACCAAAACAAGAGTGAAAAACCAGAGGCAGGGACCTTGGGACCAGTAGAGATTAGTTAAGCATAAAGGGATCTGCTTGAAAGGTATGTATAGGCTTGATAGGGAGAACAGAAGAGTGTCATGGCAGCAAGGTATGAATTAAGAAAACATGTCTTGGTTTATAAGAGATTTTACTTGGTTTTATTCATCTGCTCTAAGGTGTATGATACTTTAAGCTTGGAAAGTAATTTTCTTATAGTTTTAATGAAGACATTTTGATATTGCTTTTTTAAATTTTAATTTTTATTTATATATTTTTTTGAGACAAAGTCTCATTCTGTTGCCCAGGCTAGAGGGTAGTGGCACCATCTCGGCTCACTGCAACCTCCGCCTCCCAGGTTCAAGTGATTCTCCTGCCTCGGCCTCCCAACTAGCTGGGATTATAGGCATCCGCCACCACCCCTGGCTAATTTTAGTATTTTCAGTAGAGACAGGGTTTCACCATGTTGGCCAGGCTGGTCTCAAACTCCTGACATCAGATGATCCACCCACCTTGGCCTCCCAAAGTGCTGGGATTACAAGTGTGAGCCACCACGTCCGGCCTTTGATATTAATTTAAAACCAGTTTTTAGCTTATAAGTTATTTAAATTATTTTTCTATAACAGACTTTAGGTGCTTCTAGATGATAGATTCTAAAATAAAACTCCATTTTATTTTAACTTGGAGTCATTTTAACTCCAAGTCCTGTCTCAGGAAATTATAGGTGAATAATGAAGGTCACTTTATGACAGTTATTAGTAAAAATATAGTTATCTGATTAGATCATTATTGGGAACGAGCAAATGTTTCTTTTTCTTTGAAAATAAAAAGGGTCAAATGATATAAATCATCCACTTGTGTCTCATGATAATTAAAGATTGGTGCTTAAAGCATAAACATCTATTTTTCTGCCTCCATAAACTTGCTTTCTTAATGATTTTAATCAAATGTTCAGGTGAAATGGCATTGATTTTATATCATGAGGCTTTGAAAAGCAGCTCAAGAGGGTTGAGACGCATTCAAACTAGTCATTGTGGTAGTGATCACAGATCATTGTGATGGCAGGGACAGGATAAAGGAAGATTCTGCACTCTGGTCCAAAAAAAATCAGCTGCACAAGGACAGGGCTGGTGACACAGAGTTTGGTGGTGCATGTTTAAAAAAGATGATCATTATCTAGGTTCATGCCCTGAAATTGGTTTTTACATCTCACTGGTTTATTTCAGTCTGAACAGACCCATTTTTTCCCATGATATTAAGTTTTCTGAAGCACTTAAGGAATGCTGTTTAATTTAAAGTCTTGTAGGATGCTCCTTATTTTTGATTTGTCTGATTATTTCCTCTTGATATCCAGTTATTTACTTTGGTTCCTCTTTCCCCTGAATTTCCTGTAAACAGTAAGTTGGGTCTTGAACAGGGGTTGACACACTATGACCCTGGGACCAAATCCAATCTACTGCTTATTTTTATAAATAAAGTTTTATTGGCACATAGCCATACCCATTTGCTTACATATTGACAGAGCTGAGAAGCTGTGACAGAGACAGGATGGCCCACGCAGCCTAACATAATTATGTTCTAACTCTTTCCAAATAAAATTTGCCAACTCATTGACTAAGAAATTGATTGGCTTCAGGTAAAATATTTTGGCACCAGGGTGATGTACTTCATATTATACCATCATGAGGCACACTGTCAGTTTGCCTCAGTATTAGTGATGCTAAATCAGTACACTTGGTTAAGGTAGCGATAGTCAGCTCTCTCCATTGTAAAGGCATATTTTTTCCCTTTTAATTTAGTAATTCATAGAGTTATACTTGGTTCTGTGTAAATGTCCAATTTTCTGAAAAATTCTTTACCTAAAAGTTTCACCATCCATTGATGATCTAGAATTATTACATTAGGAAATAAAAAATGTTATTTTCTAAATCTATCATTTCTTCAGCATTTATTAGCTGACACATTAAAATAGCCTAAACTCACCCCATAATTTCCCTGCCCCAGACCTGGAATCAGCCATTTGTTTCCCAATTAGCCCTGTTCCTTCAGGTGGGAAATAATATCTAGAAATCAGTACCTAGATACTAGGTAGGCTCATTGCCACTGGAGTGTCATTGTTTCCCTTACTGTGATGCTTTCTAGAGAGAGAAAAATTTACTTAAAAATTATAAGTTCTTAATTATATTTTCATTTTATATTTAATATCACCGTTTTGAAATTTTCATTTAATATTGGTATTTTTCTTTTACACTGAGTCCTAGTCCTGTTAATATTAATATGTCAATTTATATGTAAATATTTCGAAGTCTCAATACCAGTGTTACCAATAATAATAAACCTAACCAGTGAAGTTTAGGATTTCGTTCCAGTACTTTTTCCCTAAGAATATATCCAAATAATGTATACAGATTACTGTTTTCTTTTATTTGTTACTATTTTTTTTTTGGAGACAGGGTCTCACTCTGTCACCCAGGCTGGAGTGCAGTATTATGATCTTGGCTCACTGCAACCTCCATGTCCCAGGCTCAAGTGACCGTCCCACCTCAGCCTCCTGAGTAGCTGGAACTACAGCTATACGCCACCAACTCTGGCTAATGTTTTTCTATTTTTTGTAGACACAGGGTTTCACCATGTTGCCCAGGCTGCTCTGGAACTCCAGAACATAAGCAATCCAGCCATCTCGGCTTCCTAAAGTGCTGGGATTACAGGTGTGAGCCACCAAACCTGGCCCAGAGTTTTCAAAAGTTACTTAAAATAGTCTTTTTTCCTCATATGGTTATATTATCTTACTTGGGAGGGGTTAAAAAAACATTATTATGACAATTGGGGAAATTTGAATATGGCTAGATACTAATTGATATTATGGAATTACCATTCATTTTCTTAGGTATCACAATGGTATCGTGGTTAAGTACGTAATTGTCCTTATTCTCAGTTAATTCATGTCAATGTAGTGATAAAGTGTCATGATGTCTGCAACTCTCTTTCAAATGGCATGGCATAACAAAGTGTGTGTGTGAAGGTAGAGAGAGAGAGTAGAAATGATGAAGCAAATCGGGCAAAATATTAAAAATTAGTAAAACTGGGTAGAAATTATTTGCACTATTCTTATAACTCTTCCTTTGCTTGAAATTTTATGAATAATTAAAATTTAGAGAAAAAGGTGGGAGAGAAAGAAAAATATTGTCATTGTTCCATATGAATTTTTTAAAGTGTTCCATACACATACGCACAATCACTTTCCCACTTTGGGCAAAATTAATTAACGTATGTATCTTGAGGAAAGAAGCTTATAAGTTTGCTCTGTTTTAGCAGAAGGGTCAGACCATACATAAGGCTCTGAGTGTTATACTGTGGAAGTGAATAGGCAGAAAGGAATGCAATCAGATGAGAATGGTGTCTTTGGTTTAATAGAATGTCAAGTTTTCTCAGCTTTCCTTCATTTCAGTTAAGTTTTTCTAAAGGCGAGATAGAACCCAAGTATGTAAGAATATTTTGCTTTTAAGCAGCAATACTGATGTTCCCCGCTTCTTCCACCATCCTGCTAGACCTGGGGTCAGTACACATTTTGTGGAAACGGTGCCAAATAATAAATATTTCAGGCCTGCAGGCCATACAGTCTCTGTTGGCATCTATTCAACTCTGTCACTGCAGCACACGAAAGCAGCCAGAGACAAACAAAGAAGCTTGGCTCTGTTCCAATAAAACTTTACTTATGGACACAGAAATTTTAATTTCATATAATTTCTACACAACACAAATTCTTTTTTATCTTCTTTTTTTGACCATTTAAACATGCAAAAACATATTCTTAGCTTGCAGGCAATACAAAAAACAGGCAGAGGGCCAGATATGGACTAACCCAGAGAACAAAAGGGAAAACTTAAAATTGAATCTTTGTGTTGGCTGCCCTTTAGCTGCCTAGCTTAACTTTGGTGAAGGAAAGGGGCTCTCTTAGATGGTGTGACAGGTCTGAGCAGCACTATACTCTTAAGCCATTCAGCAGAGAGCAGGAGAGTCCTCTGAGACCTCCAAGATTAAAGAAGTCCATGAGCTGCTGTAAGTAGGGAGGCTTGCTTCAAGTTTGTAATCAGTGTGATTGGAGTCATAATGAAAGTAATGGTAACTGGAACCTTGGTCTGTTAGTCCAGCATCTACTTAGAGTTGGAGAGCATTGTCTTATTTGCTCCCTTCTGCAAGTGAAGCCACCTTACCCACTGTCTGTGCCTTGAGGTCTTTACCTTGACAGATCAATCTCATGTTTATCTGTGCAATAAAATGGGTTTGCTTTCAGATATGAATTCGTCTTATTTAAATAAATGTATATTAGATACTGATACAAATAACTTCCTAAGCAATAAGCTTTATTTGCAATAATTTATATCCTTTAACAATACTGCCATAGTGATCCTGAACCACGATGTTTGGGCATCATCACGGTGGTGTCCTCTGGCCAGTGAGGATTTTCCTCCTAAACTCTTCTCCACTATTAATGGCAAATGAGTTGAAAGCATACTCCCTCCAAAAAGAACTCACAAAACAAAGACCTTATAGGGATGGAGACAGATATGGGGAAAGAGAAAGAGACAATATCCTCAATGTTAAAAGTTTGTTAGGAGAAAGATTTACATTTGTTTCACATGGTCTCAAACAATAAAAGGAGGACCAATGTGTACAAGAGACAGATCTGAGCTTACTATAAAAAATAAAGGAATTAAAAAAAGGAAAAGAAAAAAATTCTATAGCTATCAAAAGATGAAATATACTGCCCTCAAAGATAGCAAGTTCAACATCAGGAGATGCGTATGTACCTAGGATGTATGAAATGTAGGAACACTTAGTAGAGAAGTGGAAGAGATTTAAACATTAAAACCATTGAACTAGATGACTTTTAAGATTTATGATCTTTAATACTCAGGCTTGACAATTTTGAGATGGTACTCTTTCCTTTGTTTAGAATAAAAAGGCAAACATAAATAACCAAGAGACAATTCCTTATTCCTGTAGTTTAAACAGAACTAAAACAAGTGTGACTCATTCAACTATAACAAATCAGGCCCTACCATTTGTCTAGTAGTGGTTTATTCTAGTTAGATTCCTCTACTCAATGAATATTTATTGAGATTGAGTTACCTACAATGTGCCAGATACAAAGGTAGGATGGTGAAGACAGATGCAAATTCCACTTCCGTAGAATTTACTGGAGTTTACTGGAGAAGATAAAAATTTAACAAGTAATTACAATACAAAATGAGCGTTAAGACTGTACAGGAAAAGGGCACTATGGTGGTTTTCAAATAGGATCACAAATTATTTGATACTCCTCCTATTGAGAGTTTGGATCTAAATGCCTTCTACTTGAATCTTGATGGGCCTTATAATTACTTTGACCAGTGGATAAAACAGAAATAACACTATGTGATTTCCAAGACTAAGTCATGAAAGCTATAAGGCTTCTGCCTTTTTTTGTTGGAAGACAATCTCCTGGAGCTCAGAGGCATTATATAGGAAGTCTGGCTCCTCTGAGGCCACTATGCTTTGAAGAAGCCGAGCTTCATGGAGAGACCATGCAAAGCTCCAAATGACAGTTCCCAGCTACCCCCAGCTTTCTAGTCATCTCAGCCCAGACGAAAGAAGACATCAGATTATTCCCCTCCCCTGCCATTCAAGTCCTCCAAGCTCAAACTCCAGAAATTATGAAGCAGAGAAAAACCATCCTCTCCACGCCCTGTCAAAATACTTGACTCTGTCCAAATTCATCTCAGCAGGCATCATGAAAACATACACCAAGAAGACATAACTTCAACAAGAGGCCAAAGAAGGTCTCACTGAGGAAGTCACATTTGTGCAGAGACATGAAGAACACAGGAATGTAGTCAGCCACAGGAATGTTCCCAGTAGAAGAAACATCCATCTGAAGACCCAGTGGATCTACCAGGAACTGGCAGGGCCCAGCAGTCTGGAGAGGAGTAGGAGGGGCAGGACTCCAGTGAGAGATTAAAGAGCTAAGCGGAGTCCAGCCATGGGCATCCCATGGGCAACATTAAGGCATCTGAACTTTACCCAAAGTGTGAAGAAAAACCACAGAAGGGTTTTCAGTATCTGAATGACATGACTAGCTGTGTTTGCTTTGGGGCAAGGCTGAAGTAGTGAGGTGTTGTGGCTGCAATTCAGGTGAGAGGATGGTGGCCCTATCAGGGTGACAGCAAAGGATATCAATATTCAAAAGGTAAATTCACAGAATTTAATAAGCCCTTGGCTGTAGGAGTGGGGAGTAAGAGAGGGAAGAGTCACCTTGGGCTTCTGATTGGGCAGTGAGTACATCCTGTTGTCATTTACAGAAAAGGGAATGCTGGAGGAAGAACAGGGTGGAGAGAGCAATGAATATCTCTATCTGAGGCATGGAAAATGTGAAGTGCCAGGGAGACATCCATATGGCAAAGCCCCAGACAGCTGGCTAAACATTGTAGATAAGGAGGAGGGTGTAGAGAGAAATGAATGTAACAGTGTGTATTGTACTCCGGGTGCTTTATATACATCATTTCCTTTAATTCTGCTAACAATCATTTGGGTGTGTCCAGAGACATAGGTAACTTGACTAAGGTCATAGAGGTAGGAAGTGGTAAGATAGGGATTTTAATACAGATTTTCTTACTCCACATTAAAAAAGACAATCATAATGCCAGATGATTCTTTGTAGGTTTGGAAGGTAGCAAAATCAGCTTTTGGGAATGCCTATCCAGTCAGTTTAGTGAGTGATCTGAACAGCTAACAGTATGAACACAGGTCAGAACAAGAGAAAGCTGTCCAGCTGGTCCAGGCCATGATGCAGATGGCAATGCCACTTGTCCTTGATGCAGAGGGTTCACTGGTGCCCCGGTGTATTCTGGGTAACTAGAATGTCTTATAGAGCATGTCAAAACCTTTATAGGTTCTCGCATAGTAGAGACCCTCAGGGTTCTGCAGCACAATCATGCCTTCTTTGCAAGTTGTAATTTTTCTTTTAAGATCTAGCTCTTGAATCACTATTGGACCCTGGTGATCATTATGATAACTATCATTTGTCAAGCAGATACATGTGGTAGGCATTGTAGTGAGTGTTTTCCATGTTTTAGTGTGTTTATTCCTCACAAGAACCATATAAGGTATGTATTTTTTTAACCTCTGTTTCATAAACAAGAGTTTGGCTCCTGACCTTAAGATACCAGGTAACAATGAGACTCATCGCTATTCCAATGAGCTGGGTGTCACTTGAGCCACCAGATGCTTCTAGGAGTACCTAAGCAGTACCAACTCATTAAACGAATGTAGAATGGGCCTTAAGACCCAAGTAATTTACACAGACAGGCAGCTCCCACTCAGCATGCCACTCCTGCCACAGCAGCATCCTTTCAACCCACACCCACAGCCCCTAAGGCACCCTCTGGAGAAAGGAAAAAATGAGCCAGTTTTACAGCTGGATCTACACATGCACTGGTCCAGACAGAAGCAGAGTGCTGAGATTGATGGCCCTGCTCAGAAATGTCCCTGAAAGGGGATGGAGGAGGGAAATTTACCATGCAAATGTAATTTCAATAGGATGATTTCCATGTTCACTTTACCTCATGTAAAGAATTAGTGACTGGCTCATATTAGGTACTCAGCAAATATTTTTTAATAGATGAATAAAATATGGATTAATAACATTTTGTGGGCAGTAGCTAATGGTTTGGCCAGTAGATTAGGGACACTGAAGGAATAAGATTGGAGGATTGTGAAAATAAGTCCCTGAAAAATTGTTGGAATTAGTCCAGAGTGCCCATGTATTGTATATAGGTGATTTTAAAGAAGTAGGTGGGAGTCATGGCCTACTATGTGTGTATCAGTCTTCTTCCCCAGCAACCTGCCACTTGCTCAATGGGCTTATGATAAAATGCTCCTAGTGATGGGGAACAGGAGATACGGACTGCTCAACCATGTCAGTTGCTTTTATCAAGGCTAATCTGACTACTGTAACTGTGAGTCCTTAACATGGTATAATACCCCAAAGGAATCAGCCAATTTTAGCCAGTTCCAATACTTTATCGACCACTTTCTATTATGGAAAGGACAGAAAAAATAATTGGATTTTCTTTCACTATACACTGTTTTTGGGCCAACTGTGTATCCATAGTATCGCACAAGACATTGTTTCTTCCTAAGGAAGTCCATTAACTGTGTAGAAGTAGAGGAATGGGCTGAAGCGCAGGCATTCACTGCATCACCCGGATACTGCTGTCCTTATAAGACGACAGATAGCCAATTGAAGACTCCACTACAGAACGAACTGGGAAGCAATATTTTCTGAGGTTCAATGCTGTTTTATAAGAAGTGATTTTGCTCTGATTAGTGACCAATATATGGTGCTATTTCTCACAAAGACAGAATATGCACATAATTGTACCACTAAATACAAGTGGGAATGGTGCTTTTCACAATTAACCCCAAAGATCCTTTAATAAAATTTCTGTTTCCCATCCCCAGGACTCCAGGCTCTGCTGGTTTTACTTCTAATGCTTCCATCGGAGGACAACAATGGTTACATTGACTTAAGATCTGATGCAAATGTTTACCTTTTGGGGTCTGTCATACCATGAAGCAAACAGACAGAAAAGAAGGTACAGTGTTGGTTGGAACAATAGACCTATCAATGGGAAATAGGAGTGTTATAATTTAATACAGGCAGGCAGAAGCAGATGAAATCCAAGGAATTCCTAGGACACCTTATGGAATTGTATGCCAGGGATAAAAGTCAACCTATGCAAGCAAGTCCTTCAGAAATTAAGGTAGGAGTCAACCTATTGAGTAAAGAACTGCAGTCAGTCAAGATGCTGGCTGAAAGCAATGGGCATACGTAATTCACAGTACAGAAGGGAAATTATAAATCTGAATTGTGATCTTGACCAAATTTGCAGAAGCAAGGACCACTTACAGAAAGGTGTTCATTTTGATCTGACACACACACACACACACACACACACACACACTTTCTGTTCACTTCCTTCACCTCCCTTTTCCATACTATTTTACATGAGGTGTTGTTATTGGTAGTGAACTTTAAAATTCCATTCACAGGTCATGGAATATAAAGATAGATCATGACAAGATGAGAGGATGATAGGGCAAAAAGATATGACCCTAGGGATCTTGGATTTGGAACTGGATGCTGTAACAAATGAGACTTTAAGTTTATTCCCTTTGGGAATGAAGCGAGTACATTTTGGGTTGTAAAAGGTAAAACAACAGTCTTAGGTGGAAGCAAATTTTTTGCTGTTTTAGGTATAGAAAGAAGGGTATGTGTTGATTTTTCTAACTAAAGCTGTGAACTGTAGAAGGTGTTCTCTTTCTTTTTTCTCGCTTCTGAGCCCCCTTCCTCCTTTGTAGAAATCCCCACTGTAAGCTGAGGCCTGATGCTTGCTTTCCCAGCCTCCTCTGCAGCTAGAGCATGAGTGTGGGACCTGAGCTCTGCCCTATGGATGCTGCACTCAGAAGCCAGTGGTGCAGAGAAGCAGGGCCTGTCGAGGAGCTGTTAGGGCCCTGGGCAGGGTGGCACGACAGGAACAGGAACAAAGGCAGTGTTGCCAGCAGAGATGCCCAATGTCATGAGACCACAGGGGAGGAGGCACGCCATGAGGTCCAGTAGTCATGGTTAAACTTAAGAGGATAATTCCGAAGGGAGTTGGGTTCCAATCCTGACTCTTTTCTATCTTCCCAGACTTCATTATTCCCAACAGTTTGCTAAGCTTGGGTCTGTGGCCTAACTGATGATTTTGTGGGCTACTCAAATATCTTTCCACAAAAATCTTTTTACCACAAAATTTAACTAGAAAGGATTTCTGTTGCTTGTAAGCTAAAACCTTAGTTAATGCAAGGAGGTTGGACTAGATGCATTGTATGATTCCTCCCAGTTTCAAAATTATATGACGCTGTAAAACTTATATTAGAATATATTTTTTAAAAAAACCCAGATTATAAACATGCTCCCTTCATTAACCTTCTAATTCTTATTTAATATCATCTGATGGCTGTATTTATGTATGTATATTTATAAATAAACATAAATATATGTTATATATACATACATACATGTGTATGTATGTATATATATAAATAAACATAAACATATATTTTTACACATACATATTTTTTTTCAGGGGTAGTCCCCCAAAAGAATAAACTTCAAGTGCCTGGAGTTCTATGGTATCCACCAGGGTAGTGGCATATTGTAAAAGCTACCATGTTATTTCTCCCAATCCATGGCTTTATTCTCCTTCCTTCATTTAACCTATACCAGCTAAGTTTCTGCCTACCTAGCCCTGCAGCTTTATAAAATCTTTGCAAAGTTTATGCCCAAAAGGTCAGTATTTCATTACTTAAAACTACTTAGTAAAACTCCCTAAGAAGTTAGTAATAAAGACATCAATACATCAATAAAGTATATAATGGTTGCCTCCATATCACTCACAAATACTGTGTGATGTACTGGAGGACACAGCATCCTTTGCTGCTGTGGAAGACCTGCAAAGCATTTACCTCTGCATATAGGTGTAAAGGTTGCCAGAGAGAAAGGTTGGGTTACCCACGAAGGGATGCCCATCAGACTAACAGCGGATCTCTCTGCAGAAACCCTACAAGCCAGAAGACAGAAGGGGCCAATATTCAACATTCTTAAAGAAAAGAATTTCAACCCAGAATTTCATATCCAGCCAAACTAAGCTTCGTAAGCGAAGGAGAAATAAAATCCTTTACAGACAAGCTAATGCTGAGAGATTCTGTCACCACCAGGCCTGCCTTACAAGAGCTCCTGAAGGAAGTACTAAATACAGAAAGAAAAAACCGGTACCAGCCACTGCAAAAACATACCAAATTGTAGACCATCGACACTATGAAGAAACTGTATCAACTAATGGGCAAAATAACCAGCTAGCATCATAATGACAGGATCAAATTCACACATAACAATATTCACCTTAAATGTAAATGGGCTAAATGCCCCAATTAAAAGACACAGACTGGCAAATTGGATAAAGAGTCACGACCCATTGGTGTGCTCTATTCAAGAGACCCATCTCACGTGCAAAGACACACATAGGCTCAAAATAAAGGGATGGAGGAATATTTACCAAGCAAATGGAAAGCAAAAAAAGGCAGGGGTTGCGATCCTAGTCTCTGATAAAATAGACTTTAAACCAACAAAGATCAAAAAAGACAAAAAAGGGCATTACATAATGGTAAAAGTATCCAAGCAACAAGAAGAGCGAGCTATCCTAAATATATATGCACCCAATACAGGAGCACTCAGATTCATAAAGCAAGTTCTTAGAGATCTACAAAGAGACTTAGACTCCCACACAATAATAGTGGGAGACTTTAACACCCCACTGTCAATATTAGACAGAACAATGAGACAGAAAATTAACAAGGATATTTAGGACTTGAACTCAGCTCTGGATCAAGCAGACCTAATAGACATCTACAGAACTCTTCACCCCAAGTCAACAGAATATGCATTCTACTCAGCACCACATCACACTTACTCTAAAATTGACTACAGAGCTGGAAGTAAAACACTCCTCAGCAAATGCAAAAGAACAGAAATCATAACAGTCTCTCAGACCACAGTGCAATCAAATGAGAATGCAAGATTAAGAAATTCACTCAAGGCCGGGTGCGGTGGCTCACACCTGTAATCCCAGCACTTTGGGAGGCCGAGGCAGGCAGATCACGAGGTCAGGAGATTGAGAACCTCCTGGCTAACATGCTGAAACCGTGTCTCTACTAAAAATACAAAAAAAAAAAAAAAAAAAAAATTAGCCGGGCATGGTAGCAGGTGCCCATAGTCCCAGCTACTTGGGAGGCTGAGACAGGAGAATGGCGTGAATCTGGGAGGCGGAGCTTGCAGTGAGCCAAGATCATGCCACTGCACTCCAGCCTGGGCGACAGAGCAAGACTCTGTCTCGAAAAAAAAAAAAAAAAAAGAAACAATGAGAACACATGGACACAGGGAGGGGAACATCACACACCAGGGCCTACTTGGGGGTTGGGGGCTAGGGGAGGGATAGCATTAGGAGAAATATCTAATGTAGACGGTGGGTTGATGGGTGCAGCAAACCACCATGGCACGTGTATACCTATGTAACCAACCTGTACATTCTGCACACATATCCCAGAACTTAAAGTATAATAATAAAAAAAAAGAAAGAAAACAACCTAATGCTCCAACAAAAACTTTCAAATATCTGTAGCACTAGTTATGTACCAAAATAAAAGTCTGTGTTACTGAAGAGGAGAATTTGAGATAATTGATTCTCAAAAAGATCACAGCACCTAGATGTTCTATTCGGAATTACAGCATCTGTGGTCAATTCATTGACACATACATATGAAACAAAAATAATGGTGGGCATAAAGGGATGTAATAATGCTCATTTTATACATTAAAAAACATATTCTAAAGTATTTCTGATTGTTGTCTGACCTTTACCAGACACATACCTGCTGACATTCCATTTTTTGACCTGAACAAGTAAATGCAACAGACAGATCAACTTAGCACACAACGAAAATCCAGTAACTCTTTAAATGAACAAGATTTCCAAATCAAAAATCAAAGTTGTAAACAACAAAGTAAAAGCAGCCTAAACTACTCAGCAAACGACATGCTTCAATTGCTTGTGGTTTGGAAGGAACCAGAGATGTACAGTCAACTTGATGTACAGTCATCAGGAGCTAAATCATCATCCAAGACCTCTTGAATGACCTTCAGCTGTGCCATCTCTGCCCAGCTGGTGCTCCATTTGCCCACAGGCATAAGCTTGCTTGTTCATTTTCACATCAAAATTGCTATATATTGCTTTGTCCATGAATTTCTTATCCTCTCTGTCAATCATGCTTGCTTAGCTAAGCTCCATTCAAGAACTACTATGATAATATCCAAATAATCTGTGTATCCATGTCCCAATGTATGAACACACACATCTCCCACAATTTGTTTTGTTATACTGAGAAGCAGGTCATAAGTACTATTATTATTATTATTACTGTTGGCCACCAATGAGGTTTCTTTCCATGTCTTAAGTTACTGCTAATTTGCAAAACATTTCTAATATACATATAAAATACAAAACAGACAGTCCTATTAAGAACTGTATTTGTTTAATGGTTCACAGTGATCTTTGGACTATATCATTTGGCACATCCACTTGGAATGGGGATTTGGTTGACAGAGACTTAATGAACAAGAGCATCCCCATTAATTTTGAGAAATCTCATGCTGAGAAGCAAAAACATGACAAATGTTTGTAAAAATTTCTGATTAAGTCACTTTACTAAACATACTCTTTAAAGATCTCAAACATTAGACTGTGAACCCACTTTAAATTTCCTTAATGCCTTCCAATACAACATGTCGAAATTTGCACATTGTTAAGAAAAGACATGGAAAATAGAGAGAAACATCTGGCTTTGTTACTTAGAAAATGCAATAACTGTCAATTCTCTGATGTTGGCAAGGACCTCAAAACACACACTAGATTCGCAAGGCCAATTTAGTGTTAGAAAGGCAGCTGGCTCTAGTCTCTTCCTTCCCAAATGGTCATTGACATCCTAAACTTCAAATGTTTACTGTTTTACAATACAGGAAAATGCTGTTATTTGGGAAAAAATAACCTAAAATTAGTGCTGCTTTTGTTTTTTGTACTGTGGAAAGCAACGTTTTCTCCACTAAACATACACACACATACATACACATAACTGGGTTGTTAGAAAAATAACACGCAAAATTTTTACTTGAAGTGGTTTTCTAGAATTGATAAACTGTTCCATGAATATAAGTTTCACCTATATGACCTCTCTGAGCTCAGTGAGGGTACTGTCTAGGAAAAGAGAAATTATGGGCATTTCTACAAAAAGTGGAATGGTCTCAAGAACCCAGTAGGTGACTTTGGGCCCATACTTGAGAAAGTGTAGAAAGAACTTTAGTACAATGGTTCTTAAATTTTGCTGCACTTTAGAATCCCCTAAGAATTTCCCAAAAATGTGGGGGTCAGAATTTTCCCCAGAGATATGAATTTAGTTGGTCTGGAGTCTGGCCTGGGCATCAGGACTTTCAAAGGCTCCCCAAGTGATTCTAATGTAGCAAAGAATGGAATAACAGCTGCTCTAGTGTTACATGAGCATTGACTGATAAAGTTCTTAGAACCTGTAGCATCCATTTGTTGGTTGTACCCAACTTCAGTTTTTTTGGTCATGAAATGATATCTAGAGGAACTCCTTAGCTAAGTAAATCTGCTTTTAGAGATCTTTAAAATTATCTTCTGGAGTATATTGTTAAAACATTTTTAAAACATTAAAATTAGCACAAAGGAGGTAAAATGAGAAAAGCAAGCTATTTATTAAATTATAAGAAACAGCAATGGAGATAAGTAGATGAAAGGCCACAATATAATTATCCTTATTAAAGCAATAATTGGCAAATACAGAGGAATAAGATTGTTAACTACAACAGAGCTGAACTTCAGAAAAGTCAAAGATTGAACATTGTAATAAGCATTTTCAAAATGTCATAATGTAAAGGGGAGAAAGGCCCCTGTGCTTGGAAGAATGGTCTAATTTCTGCTTGCATGCTCTGCAACAGTCACTGATAATAGAAAGCAGTGATGCTAAAGATATACAACAAATGAGATATGACCGTTACATATCCTAGCTTTCTACTCCTCCCTGTGTGTAGAATCTTTCACTACCCAACATAAAGAATGCTCAGTAAAGAAAGTTTCTGGGAACAGGGTAAGTGTTTAAAAACACCTGAAAACAAAATAAACATATACATCAAAGTATCACTGCAGCTGTAGAGAACTCTACACTGCAGTGACCAGGGCACCAGTATTGGTCCCAACAAGGTTAGTTAGGAAGTGCAGTCAGTGCCCTGCTGAAAAGAAAGAACAACTACTGCATGCGAAAGAGAGACAGTTTAGCTTTCAGCAGTGGTGGGGTAGGGGGAGGGGGAGAAGACTTTGGGTAAAAATTACCATGAGGGCTAAGTGGCAACGTTTTGGGATGGCTAGAAAGGAACTTGGAGCATAGAGTTACAGAAACTAAAGAACACAAAGAATAAACATTGTGGTAAAAAAAAAAAAAAAAAAAAAAAGACAAAGATACATTCTTATGTCTATTTTGAAGACTGTCATTTGTTACCCAAGAAAACTAAAGGTATCTTTCACTTAATACTCATATTTTGATTAGCATTTTAACTTTTATACATTTCGCTATCCAGTTTGCTCACCAATTTGAAGCCCATCACAAGACAATCAATGAAACTGAAACTTACCTGTGGCAAGCACCCCAATATCCACCAATTTATTGTTGCAACATAAAAAATGAAATGAAAACTACTAGAAATTAGGTAATAAAAACACAATATTTCAAACTTTGTAGAATATGGCCAAAAATAAACAGGAAAATAAAAACTATAGTCGAGTGAATTGATTAGGAAATAAAATACATTGAAAATAAAATAACTAAAGCTTTCAACCCAAGAGGCCAGAAAAAGCACAATAATATTCAGGGTCATGTTTCATTCTTTGTCTTCCTTTAGCCTCCAACCCTGATGACATGAGTCATCAACTCTAACTCATGTAAATACTGCACACACATCTGTCAGCTTTTGTAGCACTTCTGCTTCCCGCTGTCACTTCCTTAGTTCAGATACTTTTTCTCACAGAGCTTACTGAAGGAAACTTATAATTGGCTTCTTGGTCACCAATTTCTACCTATTTCAAAAATAATTTCTGTCCTCCCCAGAAAAAAAAAAAGATGAACTTTTCTAAAGGATCTAGCAAAAGTCTAGAGCTGTAGAGCTATTTGGAAGCATGTCCCCAGGCTGGAGATTAAATTTGGTATACGTGTCAGCTCTCCTTAATAAAATTTCAATACAAAAAAAATCAACAACATTTCTAAGTGAAATTTGACATAAGAATAGCTAAGATATTTTTGAAAAGAACAATGAGTGAACACTTGTTCTACTAGATAGCAAAACAGAATAATTAGAACAGGACACTATCAATGTAGAACTATAAACATAGATCAGTTTTTAATCTAATCAAGAGTCCATATGGATATAAAAGTATAATTAGAAATGTAACATATAACAAAGGTGGCATTTTAAATCAGTGGGTAAAGATGAATCATTAAATAATTGGTGTTGAGATAGTTGGCTATCAATTTAGAACAATTTAGCTCATATCACTCATTAAAATAAGTTCCAGATGGCTACAGAACTAAATTTTAGAAGAAATATGAATAATATATACTATTTTAAAAGAATTAGGTAGGTTTATTTGCAGAGATACCATGTATCATTTTGAAGTTTGTGCTCTACAAAAATGACCCATGACCCAGAGATACAAAAGAAGTATGACATCCAGCTTTGCCTCTGCTTGTCAAGCTGTATGCCATGGTTCAGAAGGGAGTCTTTTCGTAATTTGTCCACTTGTAGTAGGAGCAATATGCACATGCCAACAGAAGGAGGCACCTTTTTCTTTTTTTTCTTTTTTTTTTTAAATTATACTTTAAAGTTCTAGGGTACATATGCACAATGTGCAGGTTTGTTACATATGTATACATGTGCCACGTTGGTGTGCTGCACCTTTTTCTAACTAGCACAAAGGACTTATATGCCAGCAGCAACCTATAAATAGAAGTTAGTAGTGAATAGTCGATTTGTACATACATAAATGCTTTTTTTACACAAATGGTTGCTATAGACTGAATGTGTCTGCTCAAAATTCATATGTTGAGGGCCTAACCCGCAATGTGATGGTATTTGGATATGTAGCCCTCACGGTGGGAGTCACGCCCTTGTAAGAAAAGACACTCAAGTACTTGCTAACTCTCTTCACCATGTGAAGTCACAGCAAGAAGGCCCCATTCTGCAAGCCAGGAAGAGACCCCTCACCAGAACCTGACCATGCTGGCACATTGATCTTGGGCTTCTAGCCTCCAGAATAGTGAGAAAATAAATTTCTGTTGTTCAAGTCACCCAGTCTATGATATTTTGTCATGATAGCCCAAGCTAACTAATACAGTGGTATTATATTGTTAAATGTGTTGTGATTTTTGTTGCTGTTCTTAAACTTGATTTTATATAGGTACATATAAAATAGATAGCATGCATGTATATGCATTTAAAAATGATAAAAGCAATGGCTTTTAGAGAAGAGACTACATGAGGGTAGTGGTTAAGGGCACTTTTGCTTTAACTTTAATTTTTATAATAATGTCCTCATTTTTACATGTTTTATTTAAAATATTTTTAAAAATATTCATTTAAAATGTACCTATATATACGTACTGTAAAAAATCTTTAAGAACAGCAACAAAAAGCACAATACTTTTTTTTTTTTTTTTTTTTTTTTTTTTGAGACGGAGTCTTGCTCTGTCGCCCAGGCTGCAGTGCAGTGGCATGATCTCGGCTCACTGCAACCTCCGCCTCCTGGGTTCAAGCAATTCTCCTGCCTCAGCCTCCTGAGTAGCTGGGATTACAGGTGCGTGCCACCATGCCTGGCTAAAAAAGCACAATACATTTAATAATATAATACCATTGTATTAGTTAGCTTGGGCCATCATGACAAAATATTATAGACTGGGTGACTTGAACAACAGAAATTTATTTTCTCACTATTCTGGAGGCTAGAAGCCCAAGATCAATGTGCCAGCATGGTTAGGTTCTGGTGAGGGCTCTCTTTCTGGCTTGAAGTGTGGCCTTCTTGCTTTAATATTTTGAGAAAAAATACATTAGTATTTTGTGATGTAAAAGTCAATTGATAGGAATCGCTTATATTTAATGAATACTTAACTGTGTTCCAGGCAGTGAATGTGTTACATTCAATGTATCATTTGATCCTTGCAACAATCTTAAGAAGTAGATACTGTTTATATCCTCAAGGTACAGATGAGGAAACTGAAGCACAGGGAAGTTAAATAACTCATCTAAAGATCACACAGCTATAAAGGATAGAGCCAGGATTCTAATGTCAACCGATTCTAGAGCCTTCCCTCTTAATCTCAATGGCATGTTGAGAAATAAAAGCAGGGTATTAGGAGGTTAGTGGAAACTTGGGCAAAAACAATTTTGATAAAATGAAGAGGGCAAAAGACATATTCTAATAGATTGAGAAGGTAAATGTGATTAATAAATAAAACAATTTCTATGTCTTTTTTTAATGTTGAACCACATGAAATTGCCAGTACTCAACCATTTTGACCTACAAAAATGGAATTTTATGTGGTTCAACCTATCATTTTATTTATGTAGGTATATATATATATATATAATTTTGTGTATATATATATATATATATAAAATTTTGTGTGTGTGTGTATATATATATATATATATACACACACACATACATTTCATTTTTTTGAGATGGCGTCTCGCTCTGTTGCCCAGGCTGGAGTGCGGTAGCACGATCTCAGCTCACTGCAAGCTCCGCCTCCTGGGTTCACGCCATTCTCCTGCCTCAGCCTCCCAAGTAGCTGGGTCTACAGGCACCCGCCACCATGCCCGGCTAATTTTTTGTACTTTTTTAGTAGAGACAGGGTTTCACCATGTTAGCCAGGATGGTCTCAATCTCCTGACCTTGTGATCCACCTGCCTTGGCCTCCCAAAGTGCTGGGATTATAGGCATGAGCCACCGCACCCGGTCGAATATTGTTTTTAAGAAATATAATCTTAGAATTTAAAAATAGAAAAGGGAAGTAAATGACGGAAGTTTTCAAACCCTCAAGGATATGTGTGTGTGTTCTGAACACAGTTCTGGAAACTGCTTCAAGCCACCTTATTCTGATACGGAAAAAAAGTGTCCGTAGTTAAAATATCAAACATAAGGTTTATGAATTGTATTTCAGTAGTACAGAAAAATGTTTTAACCAATCAACCGAATTTCTTAGTGCTATGCAGTTATGAAAGAAGACAACTTCTGGTTACTATCGAAAGCAAAAACTATCAGCAATTTTGTATGTTGAATTCTATCTCCCTAAGTCACAAAATGAGGAATATACATCTATAATATTATAAAAATTTTTCTGAGAATTATATGTCTTAAATATCCTGATATTTTAAAGGCCTTTTTCACTGATTTTCCACTGGCAAATAAGCACTGGACTCATAATTATCTGAATCTACAGCATTTTAACATACGAGTTGAACAAACATATCATAGGCCCTTAAAAGTGGATCAACTCTGTCCTCAGAAGTTATCCAGTTCAACTTTACAGAGGACAAAACAGAGCCTGTAGAGGTGAAATGACAGATTTTCCCAAGGTCATATACAATTCAAAGAAGAGTCAAGACTAAAACCTTGGTCTCCTGGCTCCTCGTCTTTAGTACTCTTTTTAGTATCTTATAATATGCTTATTTTTTTTCTTTATGTAATGCAGATTAATCTGATTTTCCTTTTCTTCTTTTCAAACTGAAGTTCTGAATCAGCTAATCTTGATAATTATTGGGACAGGAAGCAAAAGACTGAAATGACTCTGTAATCAAAGAAGCTCCCTGACTATGAGGGGTAATTTTAGTGGAAGCCTGTATCCTAATGCTGGAACTACATATCTGTTCTGTTTTCCCCATTCCTTTTAATTTCTGTGGCTCTCTTTTGTTCTGGTAGGATAGCTTTAGACTGATCAACCAGATGTTGCCTTGCCCTTTAGTATTTAGCTGTTTGGGAATTCTTATCCACCTACTTGTTTCTGACCCATGGCCTGTATCCACTTAGGTCTTGGTTTGTGTTTGTTAATCTGGGTTCTCATTGGTGGCTTCACCTTCTAACCACGAGCCCTGGCTTTGCTATATTCTCAGTTCTCTCAGTAACAGATTATACTAAACTCTAAAATCCTGAGCTACCTGGGAAATAATGTGCATTTCGTCCAGAAAATCCTTAGGAATGCTTAGCATCTATTTGAAACTCCAGATTCAATCTACAACCTCAGTGATTAGAGTTTGAGATAACAGTCACATGGGTCACAAAGGAAGCTTCCTAGATACAAGTGAATCTCATTGTATCAAATGGTTATGCCTTCCAAAATTATATGTGAGTCTGAGGGGCAATTTTCAAAATAGGCTTTATTTATTATAGCGATTTTAGGTTCGGAGTGAAATTAAGCAGAAAGTATAGAGTTCCAGGAAATTTTTTTACAGCGACTAACTTAGGTAAATGTATCAGGGAAGCTCACTATTTAGAGGAAATTTACTATGATTTATGTTATGAAATGAGAGCTCTCTCTTCTTTATCTTTGGTGAAAATCACTAAGGAGCTAGCTAAATTAGATAACTATGCCAGTTATCAATGTAATGTCTCACAGCTCTAAATCCACCCTTCATTGTCTGCTCTCTGAAAATGGAGGTGGACCCTCTATCTATCCCTACAACTGGCAAAATATTAAGCAGTGTCAGAAAAGGCTGCTTGAAGGACACTGTAGAGGAAGGGGATTTCCTTCCTGGTTTGTGTGTTTATGCCTTCTTGTTCCTACCATACAGCTGCCAGCAGCACATGTAGGGGACACAAGTGTTGCTGTGTCCACAGAGTTCCAATGGCACACCCATGGTCAGTCCCATCAAATTTCAAAAGTACTTCCATGGTCAGATTTCCATTAAGCCTTGCAAGCATCTCAATAATTGGCTTCCAGCTTTGGCCTGCCTGCATCCAAGTTGGGTATTCCCTGTTTGCCTAGTGACTATTGAACTAGCTCTATCTTAACGCACCCAAGAACTTCTCCACCATTCAGAGGGTCATAACCATAGCTTCCACAGTAAGGTGTGAATCCCAACCGTGGAGAGGGCTCCTCAGTTCCAAACGTGTTTCTTCCAAGGGAACCCTCCTTCAGCCCTAGGGTATTCTTTAGCATGCTA
The DNA here is from genome assembly GCF_000001405.40 of Homo sapiens. Classification (NCBI taxonomy): domain Eukaryota; kingdom Metazoa; phylum Chordata; class Mammalia; order Primates; family Hominidae; genus Homo; species Homo sapiens. The sequence continues at coordinate 158,219,905 of NC_000002.12, forward strand.
TTTATCTCTTTATATAGAAAGGATTTCCTGTTAGAGTTTATCATTTTTTCTATTAAACTTACCCTGTTCAAATTACTATATGTTTTTTGTCTCCTAATTGACCCTAACTGATACAGTAACTTTGGAAAAAATAACTTAAATCTCTTATTGTACTCATATGTAAAATGAGGAGACTAGGCTACTTGATCTCAAATGTCCTTTCCAGATCTAAAATTACATACTTCTAGGAAATTCCAGATTTTTTTCATGTATTGGGCATGCCCTAAGTATGTTATAATAAACACCACACAGCACTGTATAATTGTGTACTGTCTTCCCCAGCCTCCGTCACAGTAAATGGGTCTTCCTTCTTATTTGAATAATGGTTTCCTCCTTCTGGGTCAAGAGATAGTTACAGCAGCAGCCAGTATCATTTTATGCACACAGTGGGTAATCAAATACTATCAAATCCTCTGTGAGGGTTTTAACTAGGAAGCTATCTAAGGAACAAAATGAAAAACCAGAGGTTCATGTATGACTATGAGAATTTAAAATGCATCATAGATATCATTGTATTCATTTGTGAATATAAATATTGAAAGGATACATTAAGTATAGAAAAAAGTTCCCTCTGATATTATTTATTCTAACACTTTACAAAAGACTCCATTCACCACCTCCATTACCACACAATTTTAAATTTTCTTTTACCTTTCTCTGTCTTTTAGTGACTGTTCAGCGATTAATTTCTTCAGTTCTTCTAGACGCTGAAGATCTCTCATTTCCATTTCTTGCCACTTCTGTTTTTTCTTGGCCCAGTATTTTTTTATCTATTGTATAAATGTTACATAAAATTTAAATTAACAACAGATATGTAAAAATGAGGGAAAAGCCATAACCATATCCACTGGTTCGTATTACAAAATTGAATTTAAAGGGCACTTCATCTTTTTTGTTTCATAGATATGCTTATAATACATTGGCAACAGAAAAATAAATTAAAACACAAAGGTAGATGCCCTGAGAAACTGCAAGGTTTAACAATTTCTGCAATGAATGGAAATATAACTTGTGCTGACCTAAGGTTTTAATCTATGGCTAAAATAATCAACTTTCCAGAGAACCACAATAAAAGTGTGTTATTGTCTCTAAAGTATATGATCTACCTGTTACTCAAGAATATTTTTATCTTCTTATGGTAATGCAGTCTTTAACAAATATAGCATTAAAACTATTTTTATTTTAAAAGCATTAGTTTATTTATGCTAATGGACAGCAGGATGTTGAAAGCTTTATGCTTCTGGGGAAGTGGCAGGAGATAGGTGGGAGGAAGGAGGAAAAGAACAAATTAGCAGGGTTGTGGTATATAGTAGTTCTGACTTATGTGGTAAAATAAAGGTCGAGCTTATCAAGTGCAAAAAGGTGAAAGCAGTGTTATTAGTAGGCCTGTTTTACTTCCCTTTTCTGGAAATGGAAGCAAAATGAGAAAACCAGAGGTACATATGAGCTATTTTCAGGGAGCTGAAACCCTTATTCAGGATTTCCCAATGTGATGGGACAATGAATGTTTATTGAACAGAGGCCCATTCCACCACTCTGGCCTGCCATGTTGTGCCTGAGTCAAGAGACTGGCTCTTGCAGGTGAGTACCTCAATGGTAAATAGTGAGCGACTGGCAGCAGGGGGTCTGTTGTAGAGGCTGGGCTAGCCCTACCCCTAAGGTGGCATTTTCTTTTCTGAGACAGAGGTGAATAGGAAAATCTAAGTGGTTTCCTGACTTGCCCTAGCAACATGGTCTCTGATTTCTGGGAGAATCAAAAGAAGCATCCCAAGCACCATCGCCACAGACATAGCAACTCTGCAGCCACAATAGCAACATCTGTTCAATGTTTAATGAATAATTAAATAAGCCCAATGTGCAGTGATATCCACTGCAGAGATGACAGAGCTCTGGATTTAGAGAGAACAGAGATAAAGCTAGAAAGGCAGCAGCACCCAAGATGGAGAGAGAGAGAGAGAGGGTGGGTGCAGGAGAGGAAACATTGATTGACAAGGAGTGTTCTAGAGTCCTAACTGATAAATGCCAGGGAATTCTATTAATGACAGATACGGAAATGTTAGCAATGATTATGTCATCTCCATCTGGGAATTATAAACCATCTTTATTTTATTCTTTTCTGCATTACCTTATTTTTGCAATGAATCATATTTCTTTTATAATCAGAAAAAAATTAAGCTACTTCAAAACAAATTTTTTTAAAAGAACAGATATGGAATCAAAGAGCATTTTTCTCTGGGTTAATGCAGACCAATAATACTTCCTTACTCCCAGCACTGGCCTTGGAGAAAGTCAGTGGCTCTTTTGCAGACAATTCCTTGACCACAAGCAGAGCAACCCCAGGTTGCTGGCATCCTCAGATTTCTGACACCACTTGATCACTTGATACACTGTCCTGTGCAGGCCCCAGGCGTATGTTATACCTGGAGCTTTTTGCAATCTCAAGACCAGTTATTTCCATCTTTGACTCTGAAGGTACCAACCTTCAGGCATTGCTATAGTATAAGTGTGCTCTCTCCCTCTCTCTCTTTCTCTCTCTCTCTCTCTCTAATCCTTTTCAGTGCTTTCCACTGAGACCTCTGGAACCCCTGTGTCATCACATGTAAAACTCCCTACATCTTCAACCTTCAGAAAACTATTTCCTTGTTTTCACTGAAATTCTTTTGAGTGAAGGATACTCATATTCTGATACCCCATGTGCCATTTTGCTGGGGAATAGCTGGGGCATTTTCCTCATTGTTAACTGTCTGTTTCAGGCCATTATGATATGTACAATTCTTTCTCCCTTTGATGTTAACACCACATGGATATATCACCCTCTACCTGTCGTTATCATTGGCATGTGTAAATTTCCAAGTCACTCCCAAATTCTCTTCAAGAATTCAGATACTTGGAGTGGAGCCAAGATGGCCGAATAGGAACAGCTCCAGTCTACAGCTCCCAGGGTGAGCGAGGCAGAAGACGGGTGATTTCTGCATTTCCAACTGAGGTACCGGGTTCATCTCACTGAGGAGTGTCGGAAAGTGGGTGCAGGACAGTGGGTGCAGTGCACCGAGCATGAGCCGAAGCAGCGTGAGGCATCGCCTCACCTGGGAAGCACAAGGGGTCAGGGAATTGCCTTTCCTAGTCAAAGAAAGGGGTGACAGACAGCACCTGGAAAATCGGGTCACTCCCACGCTAATACTGCGCTTTCCCAAAGGTTTTAGCAAAGGGCACACCAGGAGATCATATCCCTCGCCTGGCTTGGAGGGTCCTACGCCCACGGATCCTCACTCACTGCTAGCACAGCAGTCTTAGATCAAACTGCAAGGCAGCAGCGAGGCTGGGGGAGGGACACCCGCCATTGCTGAGGCTTGAGTAGGTAAACAAAGCAGCCCAGAAGCTTGACCTGGGTGGAGCCCACTGCAGCTCAAGGAGGCCTGTCTGCCTGCCTCTGTAGACTCCACTCTAGGGGCAGGGCATTGCCAAACAAAAGGCAGCAGAAACCTCTGCAGACTTAAATGTCCCTGTCTGACAGCTTTGAAGAGTGTAGTGGTTCTCCCACCACACAGCTGGAGATCTGAGAACGGACTGACTGCCTCCTCAAGTGGGTCCCTGACCCCCCTGTAGCCTAACTGGGAGGCACCCCCCAGTAGGGGCAGACTGACACCTCACATGGCTGGGTACTCCTCTGAGACAAAATGTCCAGAGGAACGACCAGGCAGCAACATTTGCTGTTCACCAATATTCACTGTTCTGCAGCCTCGTCTGCTGATACCCAGGCAAACAGGGTCTGGAGTGGACCTCCAGCAAACTCCAACAGACCTGCAGCTGAGGGTGCTGACTGTTAGAAGGAAAACTAACAAACAGAAAAGACATCCAAAGCAAAACCCCATCTGTATGTCACCATCATCAAAGACCAAAGGTAGATAAAACCACAAAGATGGGGAAAAAACAGAGCAGAAAAACTGGAAACTCTAAAAATCAGAGTGCCTCTCCTTCTCCAAAGGAATGCAGCTCCTTGCCAGCAATGGAACAAAGCTGAATGGAGAATGACTTTGACGAGTTGAGAGAAGAAGGCTTCAGACGATCAAACTACTCCGAGCTAAAGGAGGAAGTTCGAACCATGGCAAACAAGTTAAAAACCTTGAAAAAAAATTAGACGAATGGCTAACTAGAATAACCAATGCAGAGAAGGCCTTAAAGGACCTGATGGAGCTGAAAACCAAGGCACGAGAACTACGTGATGAATGCACAAGCCTCAGTAGCCGATCAACTGGAAGAAAGGGTACCAGTGATGCAAGATCAAATGAATGAAATGAAGCGAGAAGAGAAGTTTAGAGACAAACGAATAAAAAATAAATGAACAAAGCCTCCAAGAAATATGGGACTATGTGAAAAGACCAAATCTACATCTGATTGGTGTACCTGAAAGTGATGGGGAGAATGGAAACAAGTTGGAAAACACTCTGCAGGATATTATCCAGGAGTACTTCCCCAATCTAGCAAGGCAGGCCAACATTCAAATTCAGGAAATACAGAGAATGCCACAAAGATACTCCTTGAGAAGAGCAACTCCAAGACACATAATTGTCAGATTCACCAAAGGTAAAAATGTTAAGGGCAGCCAGAGAGAAAGGTTGGGTTACCCACAAAGGGAAGCCCATAAGACTAACAGCTGATCTCCTGGCTGAAACTCTCAAGCCAGAAGAGAGTAGGGGCCAATATTCAACATTCTTAAAGAAAAGAATTTTCAAACCAGAATTTCATATCCAGCCAAACTAAGCTTCGTAAGTGAAGGAGAAATAATATATTTTACAGACAAGCAAATGCTGAGAGATTTTGTCACCACCAGGCCTGCCCTAAAAGAGCTCCTAAAGGAAGCACTAAACATGGAAAGGAACAACCGGTACCAGCCACTGCAAAAACATGCCAAATTGTAAAGACCATCGAGGCTAGGAAGAAACTGCATCAACTAACGAGCAAACTAACCAGCTAACATCATAATGACAGGATCAAATTCACACATGACAATATTAACCTTAAATGTAAATGGGCTAAATGCTCCAATTAAAAGACACAGACTGGCAAATTGGATAAAGAGTGAAGACCCATCAGTGTGCTGTATTCACGAAACCCATCTCATGTGAAGAGACACACATAGGCTCAAAATAAAGGGATGGAGGAAGATCTACCAAGCAAAAGGAAAACAAAAAACAGGCAGGGGTTGCAATCCTAGTCTCTGATAAAACAGACTTTAAACCAACAAAGATCAAAAGAGACAAAGAAGGCCATTACATAATAGTAAAGGGATCAATTCAACAAGAAGAGCTAACTATCCTAAATATATATGCACCCAAAACAGGAGCACCCAGATTCATAAAGCAAGTCCTTAGAGACCTACAAAGAGACTTAGACTCCCACACAATAATAATGAGAGACTTAAACACTCCACTGTCAACATTAGACAGATCAACGAGACAGAAAGTTAACAAGGATATCCAGGACTTGAACTCAGCTCTGCACCAAGCAGAACTAATAGACATCTACAGAACTCTCCACCCCAAATCAACAGAATATACATTCTTCTCAGCACCACACCACACTTATTTCAAAATTGACCACATAGTTGGAAGTAAAGCACTCCTCAGCAAATGTAAAAGAATAGAAATTATAACAAACTGTCTGTCAGACCACAGTGCAATCAAACTAGAACTCGGGATTAAGAAACTCACTCAAAACTGCTCAACTACATGGAAACTGAACAATTCGCTCCTGAATGACTACTGGGTACATAATGAAATGAAGGCAGAAATAAAGATGTTCTTTGAAACCAATGAGAACAAAGACACAACATACCAGAATCTCTGGGACACATTCAAAGCAGTGTGTAGAGGGAAATTTATAGCACTAAATGCCCACAAGAGAAAGCAGGAAAGATCCAAAATTGACACCCTAACATCACAATTAAAAGAACTAGAGAAGCAAGAGCAAACACATTCAACAGCTAGCAGAAGGCAAGAAATAACTAAGATCAGAGCAGAACTGAGGGAAATAGAGACACAAAAACCCTTCAAAAAATCAATGAATCTAGGAACTGGTTTTTTGAAAAGATCAACAAAATTGATAGACTGCTAGCAAGACTAATAAAGCAGAAAAGAGAGAAGAATCAAATAGACGCAATAAAAAATGATAAAGGGGATATCACCACCTATCCCACAGAAATACAAACTACCATCAGAGAATACTATGAACACCTCTATGCAAATAAACTAGAAAATCTAGAAGAAATGGATAAATTCCTCAACACATACACCCTCCCAAGACTAAACCAGGAAGAAGTTGAATCTCTGAAGAGACCAATAACAGGCTCTGAAATTGAGGCAATAATTAATAGCTTACCAACCAAAAAAAGTCCAGGACCAGATGGATTCACAGCCATATTCTATCAGAGGTATAAGGAGGAGCCGGTACCATTCTTTCTGAAACTATTCCAATCAATAGAAAAAGAGGGAATCCTCCCTAACTCATTTTATGAGGCCAGCATCATCCTGATTCCAAAGCCTGCCAGAGACACAACAAAAAAAGAGAATTTTAGACCAATATCCCTGATGAACATCGATGCAAAAATAATCAATAAAATACTGGCAAACTGAATCCAGCTGCACATCAAAAAGCTTATCCACCATGATCAAGTGGGCATCATCCCTGGGATGCAAGGCTGGTTCAACATACGCAAATCAATAAACATAATCCAGCATATAAACAGAACCAACGACAAAAACCACATGATTATCTCAATAGATGCAGAAAAGGCCTTTGACAAAATTCAACAGCCCTTCATGCTAAAAACTCTCAATAAATTAGGTATTGATGGGATGTATCTCAAAATAATAAGAGCTATCTATGACAAACCCACAGTCAATATCATACTGAATGGGCAAAAACTGGAAGCATTCCCTTTGAAAACTGGCACAAGACAGGGATGCCCTCTCTCACCACTCCTATTCAACATAGTGTTGGAAGTTCTGACAAGGGCAATCAGGCAGGAGAAGGAAATAAAGGGTATTCAATTAGGAAAAGAGGAAGTCAAATTGTCCCTGTTTGCAGATGACATGATTGTATATCTAGAAAACCCCATCGTCTCAGCCCAAAATCTCCTTAAGCTGATAGGCAACTTCAGCAAAGTCTCAGGATACAAAATCAATGTACAAAAATCACAAGCATTCCCATACACCAATAACAGACAAACAGAGAGCCAAATCATGAGTGAACTCCCATTCACAATTGCTTCAAAGAGAATAAAATACCTAGGAATCCAACTTACAAGGGACGTCAAGGACCTCTTCAAGGAGAACTACAAACCATGGCTCAATGAAATAAAAGAGGATACAAACAAATGGAAGAACATTCCATGCTCATGGGTAGGAAGAATCAATATTGTGAAAATGGCCATACTGCCCAAGGTAATTTATAGATTCAATGCCATCCCCATCAAGCTACCAATGACTTTCTTCACAGAATTGGAAAAAACTACTTTGAAGTTCATATGGAACCAAAAAAGAGCCCGCATTGCCAAGTCAATCCTAAGCCAAAAGAACAAAGCTGGAGGCATCACGCTACCTGACTTCAAACTATACTACAAGGCTACAGTAACCAAAACAGCATGATACTGGTACCAAAACAGAGATATAGATCAGTGGAACAGAACAGAGCCCTCAGAAATAATGCCGCATATCTACAACCATCTGATCTTTGACAAACCTGACAAAAACAAGAAATGGGGAAATGATTCCCTATTTAATAAATCGTGCTGGGAAAACTGGCTAGCCATATATAGAAAGCTGAAACTGGATCCCTTCCTTATGCCTTATACAAAAATTAGTTCAAGATTGATTAAAGACTTAAATGTTAGACCTAAAACCATAAAAACCCTAGAAGAAAACCTAGGCAATACCATTCAGGACATAGGCATGGGCAAGGACTTCATGTCCAAAACACCAAAAGCAATGGCAACAAAAGACAAAATTGACAAATGGGATCTAATTAAAATAAAGAGCTTCTGCATAGCAAAAGAAACTATCATCAGAGGGAACAGACAACCTACAGAATGGGAGAAAAATTTTGCAATCTACTTATCTGACAAAGGGCTAATATCCAGAATCTACAATGAACTCCAACAAATTTACAAGAAAAAAACAAACAACCCCATCAAAAAGTGGGCAAAAGATATGAACAGACACTTCTCAAAATAAGACATTTATGCAGCCAAAAGACACAGGAAAAAATGCTCATCATCACTGGGCATCAGAGAAATGTAAATCAAAACCACAATGAGATACCATCTCACACCAGTTAGAATTGCAATCATTAAAAAGTCAGGAAACAACAAGTGCTGGAGAGGACATGGAGAAATAGGAACACTTTTACACTGTTGGTGGGACTGTAAACTAGTTCACCCATTATGGAAGTCAGTGTGGCGATTCCTCAGGGATCTAGAGCTAGAAATACCATTTGACCCAGCAATCCCATTGCTGGGTATACACCCAAAGGATTATAAATCATGCTGCTATAAAGACACATGCATACGTATGTTTATTGCGGCAGTATTCACAATAGCAAAGACTTGGAACCAACCCAAATGTCCAACAATGATAGACTGGATTAAGATAATGTGGCACATATACACCATGGAATACTATGTGGCCATAAAAAATGATGAGTTCATGTCCTTTGTAGGGACATGGATGAAGCTAGAAACCATCATTCTCAGCAATCTATCGCAAGGACAAAAAACCAAACACCACATGTTCTCACTCATAGGTGGGAATTGAACAATGAGAACACATGGACACAGAAAGGGGAACATCACACACCCGGGCCTGTTGTGGGGTTGGGGGGAGGGGGGAGGGATAGTATTTGGAGATATACCTAATGTTAAATGATGAGTTACTGGGTGCAGCACACCAACATGGCACATGTATACATATGTAACTAACCTGCACGTTGTGCACATGTACCATAAAACTTAAAGTATAATAACAAAACAAAAAAAAAAAGAAAATGAAAGAAAAAAAAAGAATTCAGATACTTCAGTCACAGCCTTCTCAAATACAGGCAACTTCAGCCTGTCTGAATGCCCTTCCAACCTTCCTAATCAACTTCACCATCTGTCTGACTGCCCTTCCAACCTGTAATTCTCATAATTCTATGACTTCCTCCATTCTAGGGAACTTCCTCTTCCTCCAGAATTCTATTATCATTGAAAACAGTTCCAACTGTGTAATCTTGAATCAGCAATAGACTCTGTGACCAGAACCTGCCCTACCCACTTCCAATCATCCTCTGGGCTCCACTTATATAATGTTATTTCCCTAGTGCAGCTCTCATCACAAGGCTTTGCTAATTAATATACTTTTCTTCTGTCCCACTAGGCTGCAACAATTGTGAGATATTCAGCTAAAGTGTCTAAAACATAGCATGTACTTAATAACCATTTGATTGATGACATAATTGTAGGAACTAGTACTAAATTTATGGTTTCAATTGAATCTTCAATGACAATAAGCATTCCATTTATGAATTCCTGGACAATGCCTCTCAGTTTCTCATAGTGATATTCTAAAACCTGTTCACTATGTTCAGCTCCATACCTGCTGCTATTTCCTCACTTTCATCAGAGCAAACAGAAGCTCTACAAGATATCTTTCTCATTGTTCAGCCCATCAGAAGAAGAGGTATTTTTCCTCCTGTTCAAGACTAATGCCTCACCTGGGCTGCAGATCCCATTCCCAATTCCACCTTCTTCGTAGCCTCCCTCCTCATCTGTCCCCTCCTCTCCCCTGTACCTTCAGCTTCTTGCTCTTTGCTGCTTCCTTCTCACATGGAATTAAACATAATTTTATCCCATTGCAATAATTTAGAAATTCTTTAGAACCCAAAGATTGTAGCATCATACCTTTCATTGTTCCTCTTTGGCCAGGCATCTTAGCAACTCGCTTTTTCCCATGTGCACATCTTCTATTTCACTCCTCACCTATGGTATTCCTACCTCTGTACTCCACTCCGAAGTCACTGCTCTCACTAGTGAGTTCCACAGGATCGGATCAAATATCCTTTCCAATCATGATTTTACTTGATGTCTCTGTGTATTTGATTCTATTAACCCTTACCTATAGTATTAAACCATTATTGACTTTGGGACTTTGACATTCATTTGTTCAACAAGTATTTATTGAGCACATGATAACTGGTACTTAAAAAAAATAAAGCCTCTGTCTTGTGGAACTGAGACTTTCTAGAAAGGGAGACAGATAGTAAATGAATGAATGAATGGAATATCACATGCTGTATTAACCTCTAAGAAGGGGATACGTAGAGTGATGGTTTAGAAAAATTTGAGTAGAATTAGTAGAAGGTATCTTTTAAATGTCTTAAATAGGACATCTGGATGACATGACATTTGTTTGAAAACCTGGTAGATGAGCGTGAAACACCCACGGGAAGAGATGGAGGGGAGTACATTGGGAAGAGGGTGCAACAGCATTGGATGGGGAAGACCTCGCATATGTTGAGAACTGGGAATAGGCCAGGGAGCTGGAGCAGGTGGCATAGGTTAAGACTAGAAGCGAGATTGGAGAGCTGCATGGGGTTAGATGATTTGGCCAGGATTTAATTCTAGAAACAAGGAAAAGCCATTGAAGAGACTAAAGCAAATAGTAGCATGATCTGACTTACATTTCTTACATTTTAAAAAGAGAGCTCTCGATATGAAGTGGAGCACGGGTAGTAGAGAAGCTAAGGAACAACAGGGAGACCAGTTAGAAGGAAAAGGCAGCGCTCGTCCCTGGACTCAGGAGATGGATTCAAGTGTTCAGATCTGAGATGTGCTTTTGAGTAGAATCAGAGGGCTCATTGAAAGATTCCAAGAGGGCTCATTGAGAGATTCCATGTGAAGATTGCAGGAAAGACTAATCAAGGACAATTCCTAGGTTTTTGCTTGAACAGCTGGTTGAAAGGTGATACTAGTAACTGAGATAGAAGATTGGGAGAATAACAAGCTTGGAAAAGGAAGAAAATTGGGAGCTCAGTTTTGAACACATAACACTTGACAAGCCCATAAGACCTCTAAGTTGGAGGGGCCAGACGAACATCTGAAGGCACAGATGGGTGGCTTAGGGGAGAACTCAGTGCTGGAGACCTAAATTAAGGAGATAGCCACATAAACAGTATTTGACACCAGAGGACTGGATGAGGTCTCCAGGATGAGGATGTGAACAGGAAAGAGAATGTGGTTATGCACTCTCATGCTTATTTGCTTTTCTGCACAGCTTTCTCTACTAGAATGACTTAATTTCCCTCTTCCACCTGTCAAACTTACTTTATCTTTAAGATGAGAACAAATGCCACCTCCTCAAATCTTCTCCTGAGCCTTCTAGAAAAACAGTAGCTCCATCCATGGCACACCAATAGCTTATAGTTTATGACCCTCCTTTCTTTGACTACCTGCATTCCTGGACTTCTTTCATGAGGTTCTGCCCCTGGATCTTTACCAATATATTTGGGCATTTAGTACATGCCTGGAAAGTTCTGCCTTGCCTTATTGCTTGGTAAATCCTTCCTATCCATCCTTTAAAGACTCAGTTTTAGCATTGCCTTCTCAGCCTTTCTCCCTCTCCCTCTCCTCCAGATACAGCTAGGTGTACCTTCTAAGGCATTATTTGTGTATTCTTAACACAGCATTTCCCATATTAATCTGCATTGTTTATCTTTGTATCCTTAGTACATTGTGTCATGTCTAACACATAAGAGGGTATCATTGATCACTCTTAGGTGACTGGAAGTTTCTTCTGGTCTCTGGTCCAAGAATAACAAAGTTGTACATGGGAACCGGGCCAACAGTTTTCTTTTCAGGATGGTAAAGGCCAAACTAAGTACCTCCCTAAGGACAGTTCCATTCACTGTTCATCCATTAATTCATCCTACAATTTATGTATCAAGAATTATTAGCTTTGCAAGCCTCAAACTGAAGTCAAGACTAAGGGTATTTAACTAGTCCTTTGGGACATTTGTTGAGACAGAGATTTTAAATGCACTGATTGTTAGACTTTTTGAAGGATTCTTATAATGTTCCAATGATAGAAGAATCAGAAAGTCAGCATATGATAAGAGTTGAATTTATAGCTTGTCTCTTTACTTCCACATGAGGTTTACAGAAAAACAAAAGAAGCACTCATTATCCCCTATCTCCTCTTACTATTATACTTCTGATTTGTATTGAATGCAAGAGGTTTATTTTCACAGTCCCACATTTTGTTCATTTTAATAAAGTTAAACCAGTAAAAGTATAATAAATACTGTAGAAATAAAAACTGTAGAAACTATTCACCATATAGATTTTGGAGCCAAAATAATGTCATGCTATTTTTCAGTCTAAGATCATTTTTATATCCTACCTTACTTTTGTAATCTTTCAGATTTTTTCCTATTAAAAACTACACTTGTAAACAGAACATTTATAATATTAGAGTATCTCAAAGTTTAACTTAAAAAAAAACTTGGACCAATATTATACAACCATTAAATTCAACATGAAATAAGAATTTCTTATTTACACATAGGAAGCAGAAAGTTAGGACAAAAGGATTAGAGTAGCAAATAGTTTGTCTCTTATTTCACGCTTGTGTGATGTTGAATCTTTGAACAAATAGACTTCTGTACATTGTTGTCAGGTCATTATCTCTGACCTGTGACTCAGTCAGAAGGAAGTCATAACACTTAACCAGACTCATAAAAGATATGAAGTTCAAAGCATCCAGTTCCAGTCCCCATAAGCCATTAAGATAAAGCACATTTTTATTCCATTTTCTAGATTCTAATTAGATAGTTCCTTGCATCCTATTTTTAAGGTAGAGAGTAGAATGGTGGTTATTAGAGGCTGGGAAGGGTAAGGGGCAGGGGATGAAGAGAAGTTGTTTCATGCATATAAAACTACAGTTAAGTAGAAGGAATAAATTCTAGTGTTCAATAGCACCAGTAGGATGACTATAGTTAATCACAATTCATTGTATCTTTCAAAATAGCTAGAAGAGAATATTCGGAATGTTTCCAACATAAAGAAATGATACATGTTTGAGGTAATGGATATCCCAATTACTCTGACTTGATTATTACATGTTTTATGCTTGTATCAAATATCCCAGGTACCCCAGAAATTTGTACAATCACTATGTATCAATTATTTAAAAAGATCCCCTTTCTACTTTTGGCCTGGAATATGCAACTCCACACAAAAAGTATGTTTTACATATACATAGCATTGTTATATGTAAAAACATAACAGGATGTCTTAATAGAAAAGCATTCTTTTTTTACTATAATTTTTCCCATGTACTTCATTTAGATCAATGATGGTTCCTGTACCCCCTAAAATCACCACCAATTGAAGTATGACTCCTCTTTCTATATGATCAATTTTACAATTATCTATATTTTGCCACATAGTTTTTACAACTTTGTGTGAACTTCTGAATGGTAAGGAGCATGCCTTATACTATCATGTTTATTTGTATCTAGTATTGCACCTTTCAGATGAGAGATACAAGGTATACATTTGCTAAACTGATCCAATGAAAAAGAATATAGAAAGATAGCATTGCCCAAAATACTTTTCTTATATCAGCTCATATGAATCCAAAAACATCTGGATAGGCAACTTTTCAAACAGTGAGCCAGTTCATTTAGCCAGTTCATGCAGGGGTTTGGAGGTGCATTTAATCCCAACAGAGAATGGGGACCTGGTACATCTCTAGGTCAAACTGCTCATGGAAGCCAGATTAAAGGTATTCTATACTTAGTCATTCCTACTCTCAAAACCTTTCAGCCAACATTACCTCTTCTGTAGTTTGATGGTATAGAGATCTCCGTGTGCTTCAACCTGGGACTGGCTTAAGTTTCTGAATAAAAAATTGGCTTCAGGTTGGGTGCAGTGGCTCAAGCCTGTAATCTCAGCACTTTGGGAGGCCGAGGTGGGTGGAGCACGAGGTCAAGAGACAGAGACCATCCTGGCCAACATGGTGAAACCCTGTCTCTACTAAAAATACAAAACTTAGCTGGGCATGGTGGTGTGTGCCTAATATCCCAGATACTTGGGAGGCTGAGGCAGGAGAATCACTTGAACCTGGGAGACAGAGGTTGTAGCGGGCCGAGATTATGCCATTGCACTACAGCCTGGGCAACAGAGCGAGACTCCATCTCAAAAAAAAAAAATTGACTTCAAAAGAATTACCATCCAGGGCATTTATTATGCAAAGATGGAAAAACTCTCTACATGAGTAAGAAAACAGAGTTAATCCTTCGTTTTCAAAATAGAAAGTCAATTTGGCAACCATCCTGCCTGGTTATTTGAACTTAATGGATCTCCTTTCAGTCTGCAATTAAAACTGTTTGCGTTTCAGCTACTTATCAGTGCCTTAAACTTGAACATTTTAGCAACCAATCTCCAAGGTGATAAACAAGCTCATTTACCTCTGGTAGGAGGGTAAATTGTCATACTTTTTCTGAAGAATAAATTTTTAAAAATAAAAATAAGAAAATAACTAGTAAAAATCTTAAGAATTAAGAAATAAACTTTTAAGAATTAACAGGCAGGAATCTATGCAAAGATTTATAGGCAGAAATGTTCATCACAACCTTAAAAGGGTGAAAAATTGGAAACAATGTAATGATCCCAAGTTGCAAGATTTGCAAAATGCACTATTCTGATGTAACACTATGCAACCACTAAAAATTATGCGGCAGGAGAAAAAGGGGAAAATATGCAAAATGTTGGTCAATAAGAAAAAAATCTTGTTAAAAATAACATATATAGTGTGATTCTAGTTAAATTAAAGTTCTTGGATATGTAGAAAAAAGAGTGTAAAGACACTGTTAATTTTCTTTTGGCAGTGGTTTAGGATTTTGGGTGATTTTTATTGTATTTTGTATGCTTGCTTGCATTTTCCAAATTATCTACAATGGACATAAAATACTTTATAATTACACAATGGGGCCTTCCAGAGGGTGGAGGGTGGAGGAAAGAAAGGATGAGGAAAATAACTAATGGGTACTAGGCTTAATACCTGGGTGATACAATAATCTGTACAACAAACACCCATGAAACAAGTTTACCTACGTAACAAACCTGCACATGTGCCCCTAAACTTTAAATAAAAGTTAAAAATAATAATAGTAATAACTACAAAAGTATATTGTGTATATTATGTGTAAGTATATTATGGCCAGTTTTTATAATGTCTGGCCAAGGAAATTAATATTTGGGAGGAGCATGTAAAGGGCATAACTATTATTCATTCCTGAAGTTTCCAAATTCTATTCCTGTATCAGGTCAAATGACAAGAATCCTACATATATTCCTATATAACATTTTTCTTATCACCTTGCATGTGGCAGCAGTTTCATTTTCTGTAGAAAAGTTTCAAAGAATCATGATTTAATTTTATGCCACAGGTCTTATAAAGGCTGGTACAATCTCATAAGAAGATTGACTTAGGCTCTTGTAAAATTTCTACTGAAAATGCTATCCATTGAGTGGGTTGTACTCCTCCTCCCAATACATGCTGCCAGCTGCTGATCTGCTGGTATGTTCTCTATTATTAGCAAATAAGAGCTATATGTTTCCCTTTAACTTTAACCATGTTCAATTACAACACCCTTCTTTAGTCTTGTTTGCTGACATAATGATATTCCCATTCCCTTAATTTCTCATCTTTTATTCTTTTACTGACTTTCTATTTTAATGATTCCTAATAGGAAACAGATGGCACACTGAAAATTAGGATAAGTTAAGAAGAATGTAATAAGCGGACAACCGACAAAGGAGGGTGGGAATGCAGGGCAACCGCAAGGGCTCATACAGTGCTGGGTGAGGAGGACCCCTGACGGGAGCTGAGATCTTTGGTGAAGGACACAACTGGTCAGTACAACCCTGCAGGGCAAGGAGCTGCAGAAACAACTATCCAAACCCCACACCTCTCCCTCACCTTGATCTCCCATGTTCCACTTCGGCTGAACCAAACCAAAAGCCAGAGGGCAAGGAAGCCATGTGTGAAAACTGTGCTACAGAGCAGAATGGAGAGTGATACGACTCAGGGAGAAGATATCCAGCACTAAAGTATTAATGCCTTTTATTATAAATTGTTTGGAAGTAGATGATGTCTATATGCATAAATAAATAACACTAATCTCTTTTAGGTGATGTTTACTTTGGTCACTTATGTGAGCATTTTCCCATAGCAAAGCTTCCCACTCAAATTGGCAGTAAGCTATTTTCTGCTGTGATGCAGTCCCATGTCCTTATAACATGATGAGCCAAGAAAGTATTCTTGGGTAAACACATTAGTTATCTCCCCCTTAATTGAAATGCCAGGTGGATTAAAAAATAACTGTCATGTCTTCTTTAGGAGGAAGGTCTGTTTTCAGTATGGGCATTGAAATATTGCATAATGATCATGTCATATGTTGATATGGCTGAAATGAATTTGCCTGTAATCCTGTTTAATTTCTCTCTTTTCACTATTCATTAAGAAGGGAGTATATAGACTAAGGATGTTGTATTTCAAAACCTGAAGTGTCAGAGAGAGTGAAAAGTGAAAAGTAATCAAACCTGAGTCATTCAATCATGACTTAGAACCAAGGTGATTTTTGCAATCATTTAATCAAAACACCTCATTTTACAACTAAGGAGGCAAAACCCACAGAGCCTACATAACTTGCTAAGGTCACCGCTCTTGTTAAGACCTCTCAGCTTGGCATGCTTTCCTCTACACCATAACATCAAAGGAGAGTGATATACTTTTCATTCATTTAATTCATTTATTCAATCACTAATTTTGAGTGCCCTGTGCCAGCACTGGGGCTAAAGCAATAAAGAAACTAGACAAATTCTCTTTTCTCATGGGGCTTACATTCTAGAAGTGGGAGTGAAGATAGTCAATAAATAGATGTCGGGAGTGACAAGTGCTAAGGAAAAAATGAAGCAGGATAAATAGATAGTGACAGAGAAAGAGGATGCCATTTTTGTTGGGCCATCAAGGACTTTCTTTCTAAGATGACATTTGTGCAGGACCCTGAATGCTGTGCAGGAGTGAGTCATGCAGACATCTGGGAGAGCAGTGCTCCAAACCTGAGCAAAAGGCTGAGAGGACATATGCTCGAGTGTTCATGGAGTAGGAAGTAGGTTGCTTGGGCTGGAGCTCAACGATGGGAAGAGGAGTAGGATATGAGATTTAAGAAGTATCGGAGCAGAGCAGAGAGGTAGATCACACAGGGCCCTGTATGTCCCTTCTAGACTTCTAGATTCTATTCTGAGTAGAATGGGAAGTCATTGACGTGTTTTCTGCAGAGCAGTGACATGATCTAAAGTGAGTTTTAGAATGATCGGTCTGCCTACTGTGTGGGAAACTGATTGGAGAGGCAGAGTGGAAATGGAAAGGGAGGGGACATATTAATTAGGAGATTAGGAAGCTATTATAATAGTCCTAATTATATTTTAAAGGTACAGCCTTCTATCCATGCCAACAGGTAAGCGTATAAGGGCGGAAACAGAAGTCAGAGAGGATACCAAGCCTTTCGGCCTGAGTGCTAGCAGACTAGATTTCCATTTACTGAAAAAAGAAAAACTAGGGAAAGAGTATTTTGGAGACAAAAGCAAGAATACAGTTTGGGAATATTAGATTTGAGGAGTTAACACATATGAGTTTGGAGTTCAAAAGAAAAGTCCAGGCCAAAGGTATGAATTGGTATTAGGAAATAAATGGTATACGAAGTCATATGGATTGGCTGAGATCATTACAGAGTACACATACTGAGAGGACTGACCCCCACCCTGCCACCCCAGGAGACTCCAAAGCTTAGAAGATGGAACGGTGAGGAGTTTACTGAGAGGAAGATACCAGTAAGACAGAGGAACAAAGAAAGAATGGCTTCCTAGAGGCCAAGGGAATCAAGTTTTCCAAGGAGGAGGCAGTGATCAATTCCATCATAATAATTCAAGTAAGGTGAAGACAAAGAATTGATCATTGAAATACGGAGGTAAGCAATGATGTTGGCAAGTGCGACATTGCTGGAGCGGAGGGACAAAATGGTTCAAGAGGGAATGAGAGGAGAGACACTGGAGACACTGTGTATAGGCCAGGGAATGATGAGATTTTCTGAAGAGGGCATGTGGGATCAAGGGAGGGTAGTTTATAGATGAAGGTCATAATGGTGTATTTTTAGGGTACCTGGAAAGAGCTAGAAAAAGGGGGATGGTGGTGGGAGAGAAATTGGGATAAACTTGAGCAGGAGAAGGGGGACAGGATTCCATGCACAAATGGAGGGACTAGCCTTAGACAGGAGCATGACACGTCATGCACTGTAAAAAGAGGTAAGGGGAGGTAAGGGGTACAGATTCTGAGAGGTGGGCAGATGTCATATTGGAAACCTGTGGAAATTCTCTTCTTGTGAAATATGATGTCAGTAGGAAAAGAAATCACACCAAAATCATTACATTTTCTTCAGTCTGCTTAACAAAAGAATGGCACTGAGGAGGCGATGAAGAAGGTATTTTTTATCTGTTCCATAACACATGTCTTGATACTTCAACTATGATCATATTATAATGGTCTGGTGTCCTGTAAGTGTTTACACATCATAATTCATTATCTCAGAGGGAAGAATCTTGAAAGAATTTTAAGAAGAGTAGGGAGACAGACATAGTAAGCAGTGTGAACTTTTAGAACACAAAAGAAATTCTACTAGAAAGCAGGCAGGTACTAATAAAGAGTTTTAAGATTATCAATTACCTAGCCACTGAATAGTTCTGAGTAAACCAGGACAGGACCAAAGCCATTAAAGCGACCCGAAAGTAAATAGTTTGAAACTGAGATTTCTCAAAATTAATTAATCACAAAATTAACAGCACACAGCAATCATGATGATGGGGAGCATAGCACAGTGTCTAAAATCATACCGGTCAGACCACTCAGGTTCAAATCCTTACTGCACACTTAATGTTCATGTGACTTTGGGGAAATTACATAACCCCTATGTGCCTCAGTTTCTTCATTTATGAAATGAGGATCATATAAGTATCTACCCCTTAGGGCTGTTAAGAAGATTAAATGAACATGGAATACTGCCTTGCACATAGCAAGTACTGTTTAGGTATCTGTTAATTAAATCAAATCCCTATGAATAATCAAGACCTAGCCAGAAAGTACAGTCAAAAATTTATACCTGGAGTTAAATTCAAGATTCTTTCTCTAAAACTGTCTAATGGGAAGTCTTTTCCAGAAAAACAAATACATCTGGCTCCTGATTATCCAGGCTTTCTCTCTCTCTCTCTCTCTCCCTCCCCACCCACCCCTGGCTTTTTCTTAAAACTATGTCCTGACAGAGGGTAGAAAGATTCCATCAGCTTTTCTACCTTTTAAAAAGATGCTCTAGTGGAAGTTTTTATTTTTACAAGACAGCTGAAACCAGAAAAGTGAGCTTCTCGGATTACCATTCTACCATCTGTGGGTTACCACCACAACTTTTCTGTTACCTATTGACTCATATACTGTACCAAGAGTTGACCGTGTGCTCAGTCTCATGTTAGAAGGTTAATTTAATTTAAATTAATAAGGTTGATTTAAATTAATAAGTTAATTTAATAAAATAATGTTTATTTCTAAGTTTTAATAACAAAACAAGGAACATTATGAACATTTAAAAATTAGATGATCCCTAGTTTATTTCTTCTGCATAATTAAACCTCCTATTCTACTTAATTTCTTCACACATACAATAATACTAAAAGAACCAATATTAAATCTTCAGAAAATAAGGTCTGAATCCCAGTTTACTTGGGAGTCTTGTCTACAAAAAACATATGCTATCGTCTCCTTTTGACCATTATATTATCCTGATAATTAATTTACCAATTAGGTTTTTTTTTTCTTTAGTTCCCATGTTTGCAGTACTCCATCAGATTCCCAAAGAAAAAGACTAATAACTAAATAAAAAATACTCCCTTAAACTTTGCAAGATCACATGTCTAGGAGTTATTAATTGAAAGAATCACAAAAGGGAGGGTAGGAAGCAGTTAATCAGAGTGGCCCTCAGCCAAGTGGGGACACTTCAGCTCTACTGGCAGCAAGTTCTTTTGCAGTGAGGATGCTTGCTGTGAGAGATCTCGGTGGATGGATGTTAGAGCCAAGCCCAAGTTGGTGTTCAGAGTGGTTCAAAGACATGTTTCCAGGGTCTAAGAAGTCTATGAGAGTTCTTATACTCCATATTCTCAGGTTTACAAACATGTAAAAAGAGTGCTATAAGCCAACTTTAGATCATCTGAATGACACTGTACTATTGAGTCCTGCCATGGGATTTTTGTGTTCACATTTCAGGTGGCCCTAGTAACATATTATATAAACTGACAATATTTACAGTTTAAGTCATGTTTGTCTAACTGGGATCCAGTTAGATCACTCTCTCTTTCTCTCTCTCTCTCTCTCACACACACACACACACACACACACACACACACACACACCTCTTTAAAAGAAGTATCAGCCTCTCTGTTACACAAGGTTAACAAGGAGAGTCATGAGGGAAAAGGACCTGGAAGAAATGGATGACCTGGGCCAGGATCAGCAGGTACCATCTCACAGGGACCTCTCTGCTATGTGCTGGCTTCCAGGCAGCACTCTGATTTTCCCACCGCCTGAAGCCCTGAGATCTGTATCACTCTCCCTCAACAGCAGAGCATTCGATGGAGATGAAAGGCATTCAGTCACAGGCAATCAAAGAAAACTGCAGAGGACAGTCCCATATCCTGCAATTCCTACAGTACACACACGCCTGCAACAATTAAAGGCCTCAATGGAAACAGGTAAATTAATAGAAAGAGAGTTAATAAACCCTATTGGAGTCAGTTAGGGCAAAAAGTCTATACTCTAAGGCCTGAACTTTGATTAGCTATAGCAAAACTAATCACTTCTGTTAGCATAAGAGTATTCACACTAGGAAGCAGTCAGACCAGCATGGGTGAGTGTGAAGACAGATGCCCAAATTACAGTTTGATGATACTGGAACAGGAAATAAAAGGAGGTCTAGGCATGGATGAGAACAAAGGCACTCTCCTAACCGCTCCAACTTAGGTTAATGTTAGGTTAGGTTAGGTTAAGGCTTTGTTGATACTCCCTGAGAAAGCAGGAAGTAAATCTCAAAGTCACACTCTACATGTGTGTGTACACATGCATATACATATATTTGCGTATGCATATATGTATGTATGTATATGCACAAATGTATTTAATTTGCTATATATGGGCATGCTTAATTTAACCAGTAACAAACTCTATATAGTTCATTTTATATTTTTAGTTTTTCTCTATTAACTCTTTTTGTTGTGCTTATAAAGTCTGAAGCTAAAAGATATCCTTCTGTATTATTAATAAGAGCTCCCATTGACCTAAGAATTGTATATCAGTTTGTGGCCGAGCAGGTAAACACCTCCCTTTAAACAGAGATGAGAAAGGGGGCAATTTCTTGAGTGGATGATCTCTTATAATTGCATGAGGTATGGAGAATGGAGGATTGGGTATAATACATGTCACAATAAAGGCACTTGGTATGTACTTATTGAACAAGCAAATGAATGAATGATCATTTTGTTTGGACCCTTAATGCCCCCTTTGGAATTATACACAATCTTATTGTGAATGTATCTTACTAGGAGTTGATACCATTATCCTATGTTAAAGGGTGGGGAGGCTATTGGAAAGGAGGCAAATGCCACATAGTACTATGTGCTGGAGGACATTCGTACCAATACTCAATATAACAGTAAATGAAATATGTTGAGCCATAGTATTTTCTGAAAGGTGACTTTGGGATTTCAAAATAAAACACAGATTAGAAGACTTATGTATATAGTTTACAATAAGGTCAGCAAGTCATGAAACTTATGAAGTTAGTATATGTTTTATTTGTTTGAACTATTTAGGTGCTAATCAGTACATTTTGTTGATGATTGCCACTTAGAACCATAGGATGTACTTACTAATGAGTCAAAGATTCTTTGCTTTAAAGTGGATAACTATTTCTGCATGCCCTATGCTGTAATTAGAACATTTCTTCTTACTTGACCTTTCAATGGATTCCACTGTCACTAGTGTTGGTATAGTTCTGCCATTCTAGAGACATTCTGTTACTTGGTAAAGAGTAACCAGGCAAAGAGAAAAAGAACTGTATTCATGACAATAGTTTCTGAATCAGCATTAAAACCACTGCCTCTCATTATTATTATCTTTATCTCGTTTCTACCTTTTCTATTTGGTTCTCATGATTTTTCTAACTGCCTTCTGCTCTACCATTCCACTGGGGTAACAATAATAAAAGTAACAATTAGAACATCATTTACTGAGGCCTTTCTAAGTGCCAGCCACGTGCAAACTGCTTCACATGCATTTTCTTATCATACAAATGCAAATAGCACACAGACACAAACACTGAAATGGAGAAAAAGTAATTTCCCTCAAGGCCCCACAGTTAAGAAGTGGCAGTGCTGGAACTCCAGCTCAGGTCTGAGGGAACGCAAAAAGCCCCATGCTCAATACCACCCTGAGCCATTCCCCACTTGCAGTGGGCTCACTGAATTCATGGCCTTCCACATCTGCTACCCACTCTGTAGTTTTTTTTTTTTTTTCTCCTTCCACCATGGCTCTTCTTCATCTTTATTCTGGTAAATACATCCTCTTAGATCAACTCCAATACCTCCATATCTAGGAACTTCTTGGCTCAGGTCTTAATGAGGTTGTTAGTGAACCATTTAGTTATAGGTTTAAGGCCAACATATAGTTGAATAAAGGTGTCTTTGGACTGCTCTCCTTCTATTGAGCCTTTAGTGAAATATCATTTCAGTACCATGGATGTACCAGGGGATATGGAAGCTACCCTATACTCTTCTTAGGGGGAATGCTCATCTTCCACTCCTCACATAGCTGGGAACTTCCTCTCCCCAGGAGGGTTCACAGTATGGCCTGTCATTCTGATTGGCAAATGTGGGAGAAATGACTGAACAAGTTCAGCTCAGCCCTGTCTCTCTCTTAAAATGCCGTCTGTCTTCAGGCGGCACTTTCCCCTTTCTCTGCCTTGCAGTAAGTAGCCTGTGCTTTTACAGGAGGATCTGGATAGTCACAGCTCTTTCTGAGCCTAGAGAGGTGGGTTTGTTCAATGATGGAAGTATCAAAAAAATGCAAGGGGCCACAGGGGCCAGCCACAGTCTCTAATACCTGGGCTATTAAATTCTGCCCTCTTGGTTCAAGGGTCATTCGTCCTTCTTCTTGAATGGTAGTAGGCACTTGCATTTGAGTCGTTTTATCAGCCTGCCTCCCATCACTATAATCAAATTTTGGGGGACTATTAGCCCATTTTCACATCATACTCTCTCTGTCCCTTTCAGTCCAAGCTGGCAGTGTTTCTAATAAAATTTTCCCAAGAACCCAGCAGGACCTCTGTGGATTTTTTGGGAATTCACTACCTCAGACAAAAGCTATACCACAATCTTTTTGAAATAATCTCGTCTCTCTCGGTCTCCTGCCGAGATGGCTGAGGGATACCACTCTTAAGCTTCCTGGAGGCCTGCTAGTTTGAAAAGATCCATGAGAAGCACCGTTGATCTCCCAGAAGGGTCTTTTATATAACTAAATACTCTGACTTTTGATCTTTTCAAGACTAAAACAAAGGACTGTATATTCACACCTCAGTCTGTTCTTCATGCCATACTGTTGGCAGTAATTTGTTAACTCTAAGATCTTTTCCAATCTAGATAGGTCAAGAAGTCCCCAAAGCATCAAGTCTTGATCCTTTTCACTTAAATTTCTTCCTTCTATTTATCTCTTTTCTTTTTACTATAAGCAGCAGAAAGAATCCAGGTGGCACCTTCAACATTTTTTTTTTTTGATATCTTAGTTCATCAACTAGGAAGTTCATTTCTGGTTAATTTGTTTTCCATCTAACTGCAGGACATGACTGCCCTAGGCTTTCTGTCACCACATTAACAGTGATCCATCCTAATTTTTCCAGTTTCCAATAATACATTCATTACTTCCTCCTCAGCCCTCACCAGTCACGTTGTTAACATCCATATTTCTACTAACAGTTGATTCAAGGTATTCTAGCATTTTTCTATCATCCTCAAGATGACATCCTTAAAATTCTTCCAGCCTCTTCCCACTTATGAATTCCAAAGCCACTTCTGCATTTTTACGTATTTGTTATGGCAGCATTTCACTTCCAGATACTAAAATCTGTATTAGTTTTTTTTAAATCGTTGTTGTATAAAAATTGCCTCAAATTTAGCAGCTTAAAACAACACTCACTTGCTAGCTCAGAATTCTGTAAACCAGAAGTCTAGCATGGTGTGGTTGGGCTCTCTGCTTATGGTATCACCAGGCTGAAATCAAGGTATTGACAAAACTGAGTTCTCACCTGGAGAAAAAATCTGCTTCCAATCCCATTCATAAAAGTCCAGTTCTTTATGGCTATGGGCCTGTAGGCTATAGGTCCCATTTCCTTGCTGGCCATCAGCCCGGGCCACCCTCATCTCCTTGAGGCCACCACATTCCTTGCCATGTGACTCCCTCAGTCTTTTATCTATCAATGGTGGTCACATCCTTCTCATGTTTCAAATCTCTTACCACCCCAGTCTGCTATCACTCTGCCTTTAAAGGGCTCATGTGATTAGGTCAGGACCACTTGATAATTTTAAGGTCTTCTGTGCCATATAATCTGACCCAATCGTGGGAGTAAAATCCACAGTATTTATGGTCTGGTTGATTATACAGGCCACGGCTGGAGGGTGAGTAGGGGATCCTATAGCCCACCTTAGAAGCCTACTTATTTTGGTGTTATTCATTGACCGACCCCTTTAAATTCAACAATCCTGAAAAAGCAGAGTTTAAAGCCTGGGAATTTTTTAAAAAATCATTCTTCTGTGCTCACCATTTTTTCTACTCTTAGCTCTTTAGATCAGTATACTATTAGAATAAAAGATGCTGGAGAACAGATTTTATAATGTCATGATTCATTGCCCTGATAAGAACCTACAAATTCCCACACTGGGAGAATGGTTCAGATCTGAAATGGGGAGGTACTCTGAATTCTCTCCTGTGCAAGAGCTTCTGGAGTCTTCTGAAATAAGAATGGTTACAGTCCTTTAACCTGCATTCTGTTTATGACAGTCTACTGGTTTTTGTTTTAGACTATTTCTCCTCTTCTTGGTTCTCTGCAGGAAACATGTAATTTGGGTATTATGAGATCCCCTGAGGGGGTGGGGGAACACCCAAGTGCCAATGTTCTACCAAAGCCATGTCTTTTGGTATTTATTGGTATGATGTTACAAGAAGCTAAGAATTCACAAAGTGGCAGATCCCTCCCCAGAAAGATCTCTAAGGTAAGGCTGAAGGTCACAGCAGAGGTATCCTGATATCCTTGAAAATGCTCCCCACTCCTCAATTGCACAAAGTGTCTGGTGTGCAGATTAGGAGTTGGCAAAATTAGAGAGAATTTTGAAACGCTAGACGAGGGGAGAGATATGTCTTCTTTTTATGTGAGTCTTGCTAAAATCTCCATTTTGGAAGTGAGGCTAGAACCATCCTTGTAATGGATTCTGTGGAACTCTAAACTAGGCATCATGCAGCAACAACATCTCCTAAACCTCAATAATGCAGAGAAATTTTTCTGTGATTTAAGCTAGACAAAGAGCCACATCTAGAGAAAGGGTGGTATGGGAACCAATATTATATAAGGTCCATCTAGCAAGGAAATTTTGTTTCTTACAATAGCTCCCAGGGATCATTTATAGAGAGGTGTTATCTTTTGATTTTATCATGACAACAATTTCAGAAATAGAGAGATGCTCCTGAAAAACATCAATATCATCTAACAACTTAGGAATCAAAACTTTCTTTGAGTCTTAAAACTATGAAAACTGTAACTATTATATTCAACTTGAGTTTTAAAGCATAGAAGAAAAAGTGATTTAAGGAGCTGGGCAACTGCAAGGGTAAAATTAGCATCGAATACAAACCAAAATATTATTCCAGTAAATTGGTCATAACAGACAAATTGCTGGAAAGAAGAATTAGGAGGAAGATTACCTCTTGTTCAGAAATTGTATGGTGGAGTTTTGCACATGGCACAGTTTCTCTGCCTCTACTGCCAGTCCCTTAGGAAAAGGGAAAGCCAGGTAGATGAGACAGCAGATGGGGGGAAAACAGAGCACCAGCTACCAAAGCAACACCTCTCATGACAGCAGGGGGCTGCTGGTGTAATTTTCTGCCAAGCTGCTGTTAAACGCTGAAGAACCAAAATGTATCTCCAACAGTAAAATAGTTAAAACAAAGATAATCTAGGTTTGTGGTGAGTATATGTAAAGACAGCTAGAACTTCTGGTCAGTATCTCTGAGTTGACATGGAAATCTCCTTTCCTACCTCAAACACATAGAAATGCTGGACAAACTATAACACAACTACACACACACATACACGCACACACACTGCCCCAGTGCCAAAAATAAACATGGAACCTAAAGTCAGAGCAGTCAGAGAGAGCTGAAGCCTAAGGACTTGAGGAAAACTGGGACCCAGTATAGGTCTGCATAGCTGGTGGCCGGGCCTTTAACATTTGTCATGGGACCTGTGCTCACGGGAGCTGGAATCAAGCTACTTAAAAATAGCACAAAGTCACATAGGACTTGTCCAGATACAAAATAGGGACTAGATACACCATAATCACTCTCTGCAAAAGTTCCAGGGAGACCAGAGAAGAAAAGGGTCAAGTGCAGAACCCCAGACCAGTGCTGTGCACTAGCCCTAAATCTGATGCACTCTAGGCTCACGGCATAGTGTCCCAAGTCTAGAAACTGATAGGAAAATTGTTTCCAGGCCAAAGGGTAAAATGCATATGACCTTCAACAGAGACACATGTAAGAGCCACCTGTAGAGATGCTCTTGCTACCAGGTCACAGTTCATGAAGAGAAGCATAATTCATAAGAAACAGTTTAATAACCTTGATTACTTGAGCGTTTTAAATTTCCATGGCAATATAGATACTGCAGGCAAAATTAAAAGGCAAATGACCAACGGGTGAAAATACATGCAACCCATATAACTACAAAAAGAAATAGTATCTAGAATTTATAAAGAGCTTTTACATATTAATTTAAAAAATGGATTTTAAAAGTATGAATAAGTGAGTTACAGAGAAAGAAAACTCTCCAGTAAACATGAAAGATTTTCAACCTCACAAATGATCATGGAAATACAAATTAAAATATTTATAAGATACTTTTAAAATTTATCAAATTGACAAAAGTAAAAAAGCAAAGTTGTAGTATCTTATAAACCACCCCCCAAAATCTTATAAAGTTGAAAGTATATGAATCTACAACACAGTTATTCTCCTTCTAGGTACACCCTAGTGAAAGCCTGAACACACGCATCAGTACAAGCTGGCTGCTGCAGCACAGCCTATACGAACAAAACTTTGGAAACTTAAATGTCAACCACCAAAGAGAATGGATAAATGCTAGCTCACTTCTACTACGGAACACTATGTAGCAATTAAAAGGCCGGGCATGGTAGCTCACACCTGTAATCCCAGCACTTTGGGAGGCTGAGGCGGGCGGATCATCTGAGGTCCGGAGTTTGAGACCAGCCTGACCAACATAGTGAATCCCGTCTCTACTAAAAATACAAAAATTAGCCAGGTATAGTGGCGGGCACCTGTAATCCCAGCTACTCAGGAGGCTGAGGCAAGAGAATCACTTGAACCCTGGAGGCAGAAGTTGCAGTGAGCCAAGATCACGCCATTGCACTCCAGCCTGGGCGACAGAGCGAGACTCTGTCTCAAAAAAACAGAGTGAATTAGGTCTATGTGTATTACTAACACAGGTATATTTATATTTTTATTTTACTTTAAGTTCTGGGATACACGTGCAGAACATGCAGGTTTGTTACATAGGTATACATGTGCCATGGTGGTTTGCTGCACCCATCAACCCATCATCTAGGTTTTAAGCCCTGCATGCATTAGGTATTTGTCCTAATGCTCTCCCTCCCCTTGTCCCCCACCCCCTGAAACATAGACATATTTTTAAAACACTGCAGAATGACATAGCATGATAGTGTTCATGAAAAAATTAAAGTCACAAATTATATGTCAAAATATCTTAAAATCTATATATGGCCTGGAAAGATAGAAGTAAAATTCCTGATCATGATTGTCTCTGGGGAGGAAAGAAGGGAAATGGTACTGAGGAAGTTCTCAAAAGAGGATTTCAACTTTATCTGTAATATTCTCTCCTTTATTTAAATTTTAAAAATCTGAAACAAAATGAAAAATGTTAACATTTTAATGCTAGCCAATGTGTACTAATGTCTATATCATATCAATCTCTATTTTAAAAAAATATTTTATAAATGAAAAAGTATTTTAAAAATAAAATAAGTCGTATGCCTTGGTCCTACACAATTGCTAGGGTTTGACCACAACTTTGGCTTAGTTTCCCAAAGCATTGTAATGTCCTCTATACTCTATATAAATAGGACAACAAATTTGATAGGGCACTTCTTATAGTATGTTTTACTATAAAGTACAGGACACTTTATACATGTAACACCCTGCATGAAGCTTAGCAAAATGCAACCAGGGACAAAAATGCATTCTAGGCATGGAGATTTTCATGTTTTTTCAACATGTACTACTTTAATGCTCATAGGTATAGATCACATCTTGCATTCTAAGATGAGGAGAGGATATTTAATTTACACACACAACTAATGATACTGAAATTCTCCTCAGCCTTCATCTTTTCAGGCCTAAGTGTCCTTGTTTTAAGCTGCATTTAGGTTAGCCCTTTGGGTGCCTCAGCCATTAAAATAGCTTAATTCTTCCTTCCATTACTCTGTTCAGTTCTTGTTACAGTGTTTATGAGGCAATTGTCAGCCCCATCTGCAGGCTCAGGAAGCTCTCTCTCTCTCATCTTTTAAATGCCTTTCTCTCACTTCCAGAAATCTTACAAACTAGTGATGTCCCTCCATCCTCTCCTGTGTAGCCATGCCAGTTCCTCAACCCAAACTTAATTGGCACAATTAATTGTACCGACTCCCATTCTCAATACTTGAGTTATTTAATTTGCATGGCTTTACCTGTCTTTGTAAACCCCCAGTAAATGAAACTGTTTCCAAATCTCTTCATATGACATTTAAGTTGACACCGCATGTAAACAAGTGCCTACGAATATAATACTTTTTGTGGTCACGCTAATTCACAGTGAAGAAATGCTTCGAGGGCCCAAGTAGAGGGATATGCTTTTCAATAACTGTACTTTCATAACAGTAAATAATTGGTAAGTTCCCCTATTCCAGAGATATATAGCTCACTTACATTATTTGAAACGTGATCAATATTTATGAGTTTTGGAGGTACATGTAATTATTCCCTTTAATCATCAACTCTCTTGATAGGGACTTGATAAAACCACCCTATTTACTTCCTTAGAAGCAGAAATCAAATTCCTTTTTGAATTAAAATAAGCACTGTGAAGTATATCTTCTTAGCAGCTGACTTTGTCAAATGATCATATAACTTCTATGTATGTTGTTTTCCACAATGCTGCCTCTACACCAATTTGCTGATTTAAAGTCACAAAACAAATCAATAACAATGACAACTGAAGTACAATAAAATGTGGAAAAACTGGCTTATAGCTTTAAAATACATAGTTCCTTTACCTCTACATATTCAACTTGGAACAACCTCTAGGCATGAGCTTCTTTGACTTAGTTGGTCACATAGTGCAAAACGTCAACCATGTTCACAAAAATGAAAAGTTTGTCCACCAATGACCATGAATTAATTAATCATTCTTGGCACTGCAAGCAGCTTTTCCAAAGAAAAGATTTTTTTTACACCATATAGATCAAGTCAAAACAGGTGTATAGGTTAAAGACATTTCCTTTTACTCTGCTGATCACAAATTAATTGACTTTTTGTGAATTATTTCTACAGAGCTTAGCCACTCCATTTAAAAAATGGTTCATATATCTGATTAAATGTCTAACAAAAATATTTTTATGGCAAATTTCATAATTTTTGTGGTGGGAAAAAACATAAATGCCTAAATAAGTATCTCACATATATATTTAAAACAAAACAACCCTTAAGTGTATTCTATCTTCCATGGATTATCAACAATCACTTCTTTTGGTGTATAGTTTTAAGATTGTGCAACAAATGTTTACTCAAAAGAGGAATGATGAATTTGTGTTAGTAAATGAAAAACAAAACCATCTAATAAACAGCCAAGAAGTAAACTCTAAAGGGCATTTTGACTTTCCATGAATTGCACTGTCTCTAGTATAATATATTCTACCAACAAGGATGTTTTTGGCAATTATTTACCACATTGCCATCAACCAAGACACTATCCCAGCACAGTACCCTCTCATTTTTTGCCACGTCCCTATTTATTACAAGATTTAACAACTGTCACAACCTTGTCTTTTTTTTTTTTTTTAACCTACAGCACCTCTTCTAATCACAGGTACCTGTGCTCACACAAATCAACAAAGTGGGTTCTCCTCCATGTCAACAAATCTTTGAAGCTCAAATAAACTTTTCATTAGATAAAACATTCCACTAGATCTTTATGAATGTTCTCAGAACTGCTTATGAGAATTTCATGCCAAACACCAAGACCAAAAAGCTCAATCAGGCCATTAAGCATTCATTCACACATTCGTATTGACAATAGATTTTTTACTTTTTTTTTCTTCTCTGCTCTTTGCAACAATTCCTTCTTCTTCCACAGTTTCTCTTTCTCCTCTTCCTTTTCTCTTCTTCTGGCAGAAATTTCCATTTCCAGTCTTGCTACCTCTTCTTGGTGGGCTCGCCATTGACGAACCTGAAATAAAGAGAAAAACTTCATTCCAGTAACTATGCACACTGAAGTTATTTCATAGGTCATAATAAGACTAGGCTCTATATCAAGCAGATGTCACTTTTTTTCCAAATAAATGTTTAAATTCTATGTGCACATGACTGTGTGATGTATCTGTGAAACGTGTGTGTTAGGGTTAAAAGGAAAAAGCAACTTTAAAATCATGTAATTAAGGAATTCTTCACCTGGATTCATGGAATAGGGTTCCTAAAGAGTCTATGATTTAACTCCAAAGAATCTGTGTATTCTCATAAATAGTAAGTAAAAATTTCTGGTTTTGCCTATGTTTTTTTTCCCGGAGGTTAAACAACTTTCAAAAATTCTCAAATAATCCTAAAATGCTTAAAAGTTTAAGAATCTCTGCAATATTTCAGCCTTCTTATTTTATAAGAATGGAAAACAGGCCTGAATTAAGATGAAAAATAATTGTAAGACACTTAAAACAACTTTCTGGGTACTGGTATGTGTTATTGGCAGAAGTATACTTGCTACAGCCTTTCTATTGGGTATTAGGTAATATGTAAATATGCGTCACAATATAAAAAATGCATAGCCTTGATCCACAACCCTATTTCCAGAATATTATTTAAAGAGAAGACAATTAACTGGACAAGTGCACAAAAATGTACCCACAGGAATGTGCACTACAGTGCTGTTTAAAACAGAAAAATCGAAAAAGTCTAAAGTCTGGCAGTAAGAGATGGCTTAAATCAATTATGGTTCTTTTATACAATGACTGCCATTGAAAGAGGATGCCATAACTCCATATTCATGGAAATAGAAAATATCCACGACATATTGTTAGATGCAGAAAAGCAGATACAAAGCCACATTTGCAGTATGATCTCATTAATGTAAAATATCAACTATGTATCTATGCATAGAAAGAGATTTGGAAGGGGACTTACCAAATAATGATATTGGTTATCTCTGAATAGAATCACTTCCTGGGATTTAAAAAAATTATTCTTTAAACCTTTCTGTGCTGGGTGACATTTTTTCAATAAGTATTTATTATCCTTGTAAGCAGGAAACCAATGAAACTAATAAAATAAAAACAAATACTTATCTGATCCATGTATACATCTGGCTAAGGAAGCAGACAGCAGGGAAATGTAGAGGTATGCAAAATTCTTTTTATATTAGCATTCCCAGTTAAATACTTCATTTCTTACACATTTCATATAAGCATCATTTATTAATGGTAATATATATGATGAAAATTAAATAAATAAAATGTCAAACAAATACAATTAATTAAAGTGACTCTAAAGTTCATTTTTGCAAAAATTTCATTTTCTAAAGTAATATTTGCCTTGTTTATCAAAATAACCCAGGAAATTTCTACTCCCGTTTTTTAAATACAGTTCAGTTTAGCCCACCTACTGCTTATCCTGTCCATCATATTGACCTTTTTCTTGGGAACCCCATTCCTAGAATAGATCATCCCTGCCTTCTGTCCTGACCTGCTTTCAAACCTTTCCTTTCTGTAATTTATCTTCCATCTTTCACTTGCTACAATTAAAATCAGTGTCCTGTCATCCCATCACGTATTACCAGTGATCTACCCCTAAATACCCAAAAGATAGTTTTCTGTTCTCCATTCCTTGACCTCATGGTGATAGTTGACACTGTTGACCATTGCTTTATGCTTAAAACTTTCCTGCCCAGGTCATGACATTTCTCTCCCCTGTTTCTCTACCAACAGATACTGCTCTCTTCTTCCTGTTTCCTGTGTCTACCCTATAATCCAAACCCTACATTATCCTCTCATTAACCTCCAACCTCTCTATCTATGTTCATTATTTGATGTGCTTATCCCCTTCTAGGAGTTCATTCTATGTTTCTGACCACAAAATTTATACCATCCGCTCTATCTTTTTGTCTGCAATTCAATCCTATGTTAAACTCTTTAAGACTTAGCTTTTTGTATGTACACTTAAAATCCAACATTTCCAAAATTAAATTCAACATCTTTAACTTTGCCATAGCTTCACATCAAACCCTGTGCACCTGCTTCTCCTTTCCAAATATCCTGGTTTGGTCTGTGGAACCACAAGTCACCAGGTAGTTTGGATTTTTTTTATTACTATGTATACACATCAACATGACTGTCTCTTTACATTTTACATCTGACTTGGAAGCTCATACATTTCTTAAGCGCGGATGAATTTTTATTTATGACAAACTAATTTCCAAACCATTGAGCTTGGTCGTAGTTCCCTAGTCCATCCAAAGTCTTTCTGCCAGAAGTATTTAGAACAAGATCAGAAAGTTCAAAAGGATGATGTCAACTGATCAATATAGAATCTAAATAATTTAGTTTTCTCACTACCAACAAATGCCCCCCTTTGATGTAGCTAACACATAATCTCTAAGTAGCGTTCCTCCTCTGCCTTCCCTTATATGGCCATTCCTATTCTTAGCTCATGGAGTGACTCAAAGTACCCCCTGCTTGAAATGCTCTCAGATTTCCCCTTCTTCATAAAATATTCATGGCCTACATCTTCCTTGAAACATTCTACTGCCCATTTTTATCTCTCTTGTCTTATTTCACTGACCATACCATAACTGCTCTCTGAGTATGTTGAATAAAATGTTGGTTTCCACTTAGAGCACAGTCCATGCATTTGCCTTCCCCTTATACTGCCTAGCAGAGTACTGGTACATCACAGGTGCTCAACAAGTAACTTTTATTTAATCCTTCAAAATGAATATTTTAAATGAAGCCTGATAAATAAGAAAAAATGATAGTATTAGAATACACCACTTTGCAACAATTGCTGAAATAATGGATCCTAGTTAATGATCATCAATGACCACTAAAAATTTCATATTAACAATTAATGGGAAACTTTATAATGAATGGATCAAGCTGGAAACAAACATATGGAATAATCTTAACATCACAGAGGAACAAGCAGACATTGCTCCTTCTGATGGAAGCATACAGCATTCCCATGAATTATTCTTGCCAAAAAATAAAATTGAATCTGATCAAAGCTCTAGACCTACCTATCAGGTTACAGGAAATTCAGCCAACAGAGAAACACATTATGCAACAGTATATGGGAACACAATCCACAAAACTAAAATTTGTGAACACTCAAAGAACTTTAACAAATTACAAGAATAAAAATGAGGGATAAATTGATAGACATTTATGGAACATATTAACCAAATGCAATATGTGGTTTATATTTGGATTCTGATGTAAATAAACCAATGTGAAAAGAAATTATGAGATAATTAGAGCTATTTCAATACTGATTAGTTAGTTGATGCTATTAAGTTGATGCTATTGGTTAGTTGATGCTATTAAGGAAATATTGTTAAAGTTTTTAGGTATGATAATAGTATGGTTATGTTCTATAACGTTAGAGATATACACTTTAATTTTAAAGCTAGATACTTAATACTAACAGATTATA
Source organism: Homo sapiens (assembly GCF_000001405.40). Classification (NCBI taxonomy): domain Eukaryota; kingdom Metazoa; phylum Chordata; class Mammalia; order Primates; family Hominidae; genus Homo; species Homo sapiens. Next base: position 158,254,380 of record NC_000002.12, read on the forward strand.
TGGTGCTTGTGATTCTTACTATTATTTCAAGGGGCAGGAGGGAGTAAGTAAGAATACAGATAAAACAAATTTGACTAACGAATGGATAACTGTTGAAGTTAGGTGATGATAGACTTTCATAGGTTTTAAAATTTTTCCATACTAAAAAATGTATTGAAAAACAAAATAAACTGTAAAATATAATGCATATGCAAAGAGATTTATATAATCAAATACTGTAGTCTCAAGGTTCTGAGGCAGTAGGAAGGAAGATCTGTAATACATTGAAACAGTGAAAAGAAAAATTCAGCCTTTCTGAGCACTGAGACTATTTTTATAAATTTTAATGAAAATAAGTTAGGGTTTTAGAACTACTCTTCTCATTTTTTGATTTAAAACTAAGGGGAATCGTCATTGAATGACCTTTGCATATTATATGATGTCCTGTGATTTAAAGAAGCAAAAGCATAAATCAAAATCTATAAATGGAAAAGATTTCTGTTTCCTAAGGCAAGTATAGCAAGATAATAACCAGACCAATAAAACTAGTATAACCAGTTTACTCACCAATTTATTTAATTTACCCTTCCCTGTCTTTGGCAAGTCTAAATGATGCTTCTTTTCTCCAAAAAAAAAAAAAAAAGATAAAGTTATGTTGATTTTTAAACAGTGATGTACACACCAGAAAATCCTGAAACAGCTGCAAATTCAACAACCAAAAGCCAATAGTTTGTAGATCTTAATACAAGAAAAAAAGAAAAGAAAAGAAAAGAAATGCTGTAAAAAACAAAAAACAAAAACCCTAGAGCAAAGCTTCAGCCTTCAGAAACTAAATTGCTTCTACTTAATATTGGAATCATGGGGATGGTCAGGGACCCGTAGAATTTTACCTGAAGTCAATAATTCACAGCATTATTTCTAATTATAATGGTACCAGGAAAAAAAAAGGGGGGCGGGTAAAGGAAAGAAGGTTGTTGGAAGCTAGAGTGGTAAGATCTTGATAATGAGAAACAGGCTCAGCAGCAATTGGTATCTAAGCAATAAGGCAAAACAACTTTTAAGAATGCACACTGGATAAGATGAAGAATCTGGTGGCAATTGAAATAACCCTTATCCAATGGATCCTCACAGAGATACTCAAGGGATGTGGATGGCTTCCATGTGGAGAGAATGACAAACAATTATGGTATTTTCAAGACGCCTAAGGATAAGAAAGCTGGCAGGTGGGCAAAAGAATCAATATTAGTACAATAGACTAAAGCACAGAAGACTCTGAGTGAACAGTGAGCAAAAGGAAGAATAGCACAGAAGAACATTTTAGTAGTTTTATTTTAAAGGCTTTGCTAATTATATAGCTTTAAAGAGAGTATGTGAACATATAACAATGTAACAATAATAATCACAAAAGAACATTACCACAGTGGCAGCCAGGAGTGTGTGTTATAGGAAAGCATTATTTAAACTACTAACTACAGGGCATTTTTCCAGGTTTTAATTAATACTTTGCTTAATATGCCTACCAAGGGTTGTCTTTGAATGAGACCTTAACCTAACAGAGGATAAATGACATTTAAAATATGCTCGTCTACTGCAAATAATAAATTAATGGTTTAAAATGAAAATGGTTAGTAGCATTACATGTACTCCTCACTCTTAATGTACAGTAAAGTGGTTCAACTGAAATTAATAAGCACACATTCTCAGAAAGAACAAAGTAATAGAAAAACAAAAATGAAGCCCATGAAAACTTCAAAGGTAATGATTGAAATTAACATCAATGAAACAATATTAACACAATTTTACATCAAAGTTGAGAGCTTGAAAACAATTTATTATAAGTGTCAGTATGGCATAAAGGAAATGAATATTGAACATCTGCTTTTGAGACCCATCTTTGTCACCAACAACAATATTGTTACTTTCAGCAAATGGCTCATGCAGTTCTTTCATGTGTTAAAGGGAGGGACTGGATCAGGTTACCCCTATAGTTCATTTAAGTTCTATTATTCTGATACCATATTTTCCTTAGATAGAGAGATCATAATATATGATATGCTCTGCAATTTTCTTCTCCACGCAAAGCTGACTTCAATGAAAAAACATCAGTACTTTGTAAACCTTTTAAATAATAATAATTAAACATTAATATTATATTCTATTGGCCATATTTATGGAAACAGTGTGTGATGTGGTTGTTTTATATGGAAAATCAAAAGAAAGTTACCATCTGAGCAGTGCCTATAACTGACAATAATGAAATATGAAAAATTGCCATTTATGAGAGATTATTCTGTGCCAGGCTAATGTTTTATTAAGATGTTAAACACATGGTATGATGTAATCCTTGAAACAAGCAAGCCTGTCTACTTCACACTTCATCTGCCTAACTTCTACTTATCCTACTCAAGTCTTGGCTCAGATGCCATTTGCTCCAGGAAGGCTTTCCTAACCCACCATGCCCAGATCAGATACCTCTCTACTTCTCTAGCACATTGTCCCTATTCTATTACAGCACGTATCAAGTGTTTGGAATGACCCAAGGGACTGCAAACTTAATAAGGGCAGGGACCAGATCTGTCTTATTCATAGGCTGTCTCCAAAGATTAGCACAGCATCTGCCAGTCAGTAAGGGTTCAATAAGTACTTCTTGGGTGACTGCATGGATAATGCTCTGAAGTTAGATTGACAGTATTTTCTCTTCTGCCTCTTGCATTGATCTTTAAAAAAAAAAGTCTCCCACCAGAGACATGCTACCATTTTCCAACTCCCCCACCGTGAGACTCCTGATCCCTGCTTTCCTCAGTCCTAGCTGTTTCACTGCTTCCTAAGCTTCATCTGTGCTTATCTGATGGGGAAAATAATCAGAAAACTTATCAGGATTTTCAGCAACTAATTTATATTTCCATCAAGATTAGAGGACATGTGTAAAAACTAGCAATCAAATCCCTTTCTCTGTCTTCTCCCTAAATGTTACTATAAGCTTCTAAATTCAGTTCAGCTGAGTAAACTTTAAATTTTCATTTTATTAAATCTTTAACAGTCTGACAGCACCATTAAATATTTTTCCAATGTACCACTGTTTTTCAATATTACCTACCTAAGCTTTTTAATCTTATATATTTCGTTTATGTTTAAACTTTGCTCATGAAATATAGTACCTGTGATTTTGGATGTTATTAAAGCTTTCTATTCTCCATTTGGCATTTCTGCTTAGCAGAAAAATTTTGTCTTTATTCTTGGCTTCACAATTATTCCTTGGTTTCTTAGGTAACTTCATAAGTTCATTTTTTTATCACCTCTCTTTGATAACTGCTTTTCATTTTCTGTGGCCTTTTATTAGTCTTACTCAGATTCTCAAAGATAATGCACTATTATTATTTCGACTGTTCCATGTCCTTTACTTTTCAAATAAAATCTTGCAATGTTTCATTTAATTGGGTCCTGGAGGGTCTAACCTTAGTGTAAAACAAAACTTCTAGAGGAAGAAACAAACTAAATGCCAATAAGCAGAAAATTATCAACAGCTACTTTTTCTGAAAGGATAAAATTTACAAACCTATCAGTCAATTTTATTTATGAAAGTAACAAAGAAACTGGACTAAGGGTAAGAAATTCACTTGCTTCTTGGCTGTGAGATCTTGGGAAATCACTTCCCAGTTCTGGGCCTCAAATCCTCTTCTAAAAATTAAGAGGACTAGATCAGTATTGTCTAAACAATTCATTAACTGGATCATGAAATCAATTTTGTGGATAGCAACTAGCATTTTTTATGCAAGATAATAGAATGGAAAATAACAGAGATGTCAATGTATTAATGCTGTGTCAAGAAATTATTTCCATTCTGTGTGTGTTCATTTGTGATGTAAAATACATTTCTCACTGTAAGTCACAGTCAAAGAAGCTTGAAAAACACATCAGAAAGCTCTCTATAATCCCTCCCAATGCTAAGGTTCTATGGCTCTGTGATAATAAAGACCAACGTTTTTATGTCACCATCATTGAGCTACAGTCTTTCTTCCTTCTGCAATCAACTCAGAAGCACAGCATAGATGAGAAAACCCAGGTTTTGAAATCATAAACCAGAGTTTGAGTCCTACCTCTGTGACCTATTAAAGGTGTCCCTGGGCACACTGTTTAACCACTTAGAACCTCAGGTAAGTGTAAAATGAGATAATAATGATGCACACTTGACAGGGTTGCTATGCAAACACCAACCATTTGAACAAACCAGAAACTCAGGAATCATCCTAACACTGCCTGTCCCTGACACTCCATGTATCCAAGTTCTGTTGCCTATTACTCCTGACTGTACTTCCCACTGTCTCTTAAACCCATTCAGTTCTCTCTATCTCCATAACCACCACCCTAATTCCATAAGGGCCTCCCTGCATCCACTGTTGCTCCTCTCTCTCTACTGAGGCCAGACTCAGCAGAGAAAATACTTTACTGAATATTTTCAAAACAGATGTCTGATCCATCTCATTCCCTGTCCACACTCCCACCTCCCTGCCTAACATCTTTCAATAGTTTCTACTGCTCATGGGGTAATGTGTAAACTCCCAGGTATAGACTACACGGCTCCCAGTATTTGGCCCAGCCTGTGTCTGCAACCCCAACTCATAATCCCACACCAATTACCAATTTACCCTCTGTGTTCCAGATGCACCTTACAGATAGATCCCTGAACAGGCCACATGCCTTCCAGCTATGTAGATATTGCACATGCCATTTTTTTTTCTTGGAGTGTTCTTTCCCCCTCCCTGCCCCACACTCCCCTTTCTAATCAATATTTATTCAATCCCAAATTTCTGCTGCAATTTCTGTCAGGGAAGCCTTGCCCACCAGGACATGATATCAAGCCTCTTAGTTATGTGCTCCCATAACACTGCTTACTTTTTCTTCAAGGTAATTCTTGTAATTCGAAATTAGACATTCAGTCTTGTAATTACTTGACTGGTGCCTGTTTCCCCACTCGACTGTGATCTCCATGAGAACAGGGACCATAACTGATTGACTAATCAATGTACCTCCAGTGCTTTACCTACCACCCGGCACCTGATAGATGCTCAATAGATATGTTTAAATGAATATGAAATGAGGTAAGAAAGCAAATGTGATATACAAATGCTATTTATGTACCTGGATTGCTGCAGTTGCATTCTAGCTGACATTCCTGACTTCAGTGTCACTTTGGTTCAAACCATTGTGTACACATATATTTATTGGATTAATTTTCACACATTTTTGCTTCCCTGCTCAAGCCTCTTAATAGCAGTGGCTTTTTGGCCACCAGTTCAAGTGGCCTTACAGCTATTTATTTATTCATTTATTTGTATACCACCTTGTCCAAAAGGAAGACTCAATCTTTCAAGGTGTATTTGGATGTGACCCTGTACACATGACTTTATTTCCTATGACTCCCCAGGCTTTTGTCCTTCTCTGCCTCTTCCTTTCCTCCCCACTCCTACACGTCCTTGCTTATCTCCATCCCAGGCCTTGCCTGGAAAGCTCTCATTCCTGCTTCTTACCCTTCAAGGTCATTCAGTGTCCCATCCTAATGATTTCACCTAACATTTGACTAACCCATCTCTTACCTGTGTCTGTGAATACTGCCTAAAATACACCCCTCCTAGTGACTTTTTAACTACCTACTTTGTTTTATTTTCAGTTCACTTACATTTGCCACTATATAAATTGTTTTATTAATCAATTGATTTATTTTCTTGTCTGTTTTTCTCTTTAGACAGTAAGCTCCATGATAGCAGGGACTTGCCTTATTCACTATTCTATTCCTACTCCTGGAATAATGCCTCACCCAAAGCAGATACTCAATGAATATTCCTAGGTGGATGAATAAGTATCTAAAACTCAAATTAACATAAACAGAACTAAAGACAAAAACCACATGATTATCTCAATAGATGCAGAAAAGGCTTTCAATAAAATTCAACATCCCTTCAGGTTAAACACTCTCAATAAACTAGGTATTGAATGAGCATAACTCAAAATAATAAGAACTGTCTATGACAAACCCACAGCAACATCATATTGATTGGGCAAAAGCTGGAATCATTCCCACTTGAAAACCGGCACAAGACAGGGATGCCTTCTCTCACCACTACTATGCAACATAGTATTAGAAGTCCTAGCCAGAACAATAAGGTAACAGAAAGAAATAAAGGGCATCCAAATAGAAAGAGAGGAAGTCGAATTACCCCTGCTTGCAGATGACATGATAATTCCATATCTATAAAAACCCATAGTCTCAGCCCAAAAGCTCCTTCAGCTGATAAACAACTTCAGCAAAGTTTTAGGATACAAAATCAATGTACAAAAATCACTAGCATTCTTATACACCAACTACAGCCAAGCTGAGAGCCAAAACACGAATGCAATCTGATTCACAATTGTCACAAAAAGAATAAAATACCCAGGAATACAGCTAACCAGGGAAGTGAAAGATCTCTACAATGAGAATTACAAAACATTACTCAAGGAAATCAGAGTAGACACAAACAAATAGAAAACCATACCATGCTCATGGATAGGAAGAATCAATATTATTAAAATAGTCATACTGCCCAGAGCAATTTACAGATGCCATCTCATTCCTATCAAACTACCAATGATATGCTTCACAGAACTAAAAAAACTATTTTAAAATTTATATGAAACCAAAAAAGAGCCCAAATAGCCAAGACAATCACAAGCAAAAAGAACAAACAAAGCTGGAGGCATTACATTACCTGACTTCAAACTATACTACAGGGCTACAGTAACCAAAACAACATGGTACTGGTACAAAAACAGGCACATAAACCAACAGAACAGAATAGAGAGCCCAGAAACAAGGATGCACACCTATGACCATCTGATCTTCAACAAAGCCAACGAAAACAAGTAATGGGGAAAAGACTCCCTATTCAATAAACGGTGCTGGGATAACTGGCTAGCCATATGCAGAAGATTGAAGCTGGACCCCTTCCTTACATCATATATAAAAATCAACTCAAGATGGACTAAAGACTGCAATATAAAACCCTAAACCATAAAATCCCTGGAAGACAACCTAGGCAATACCATCCTGCACATAGGAATGGGCAAAGATTTCATTACAAAGATACCAAAACTAATCGCAACAAAATCGAAAATTGACAAACAGCATCTAATTAAACTTTAGAGCTTCTAGACAGCAAAAGAAACTATCAACAGAGTAAAAAGACAACCTACAGAATGGGAGAAAATATTTGCAAGCTATGCATCTGACAAAGGTCTAATATCCAGCATCTATAAGGAACTTAAATTTACAAGAGAAAAACAATCCCATTAAAAAGCAGGCAAAGGACATGAACAGATACTTTTCAAAAGAAGACATATATATGTCTTCAACAAGCATAAGAAATAAAGCTCAATATCCCTGATCATTAGAGAAATGCAAGGCAAAACCACAATGAGATACCATCTCACACCAGTCACAATGGCCATTATTAAAAAGTTGAAAAATAAGAGATGCTGGCAAGGTTGTGGAGAAAAGAGAACCCTTAAACACTGTTGGTGTAAGTGTAAATTAGTTCAACCATTATGGAAAGCAGTATGGTGATTCCTCAGAGAGCTAAAAGCAGAACTACCATTTGACCCAGCAATCCCATTACTGGGTATATAGAGGAATATAAATCATTCCACCATAAAAAAGACGTGCATGCAAATGTTCATTGCAGCACTATTCACAATAGCAAAGATGTGGAATCAACCTAAATGCCTACCAATGACAGATTAGATAAAGAAAATGTGGTACATATACACCATCGAATACTATGCAGCCATAAAAAAGAACAAGATCATATATTTTGCAGAAACATGGATGGAGCTGGAGGGTATTATCCTTAGCAAACTAAGGAACAGAAAATCAAACACCACATGTTCTTATAACTTATCCTTTAGCTAAAGGATGAGAACTCGTGAACACAAAGAAGGGAACAACAGACAATGGAGTCTATTTGAGAGTGGAGTGTGGGAGGAGGGAGAGGAGCAGAAAAATAACTATAGGGTAGTTGGCTTAATACCTGGGTGATGAAATATATCTGCACAATAAAACCCCATGACATGAGTTTACCTATGTAACAAACCTTCACATGTACCCCTGTATTAGTCTGTTTTCACGCTGATATAAAGAACTACCTGAGACTGGGTAATTTATAAAGAAAAGAAGTTTCATTGACTCAGAGTTCTGCATGGCTAGGGAGGCCTCAGGAAACTTAAAATCATGGCAGAAGGTAAAGGGGAAGAAAGGCATGTCTTACATAGTGGCAGGAGAGAGCAAGGGGGGACGTGTCACACTTTTAAACCATCAGATCTCATGAGAACTCACTCACTATCATGAGAACAGCATGGAGAAAGCCGCCCCCATGATCCAATCACCTTCCACCAGGTCCCTCCCTTGAAACGTGGGGATTACAATTCAACATGATATTTGGGTGGGGACACAGAGACAAACCATATGAACCTAAAAGTTTAAAAATAATAGTAATAAAAGAAAAAAGAAAACTCGGATTGGCAATCATATACTTGTCTAGTATCTAAACCACAGGGCCAGATGAGTACCATCTAGCATGTCACTACGTGATTACGTGATTTCAATAGGAAACTTTAGCCTGACAAATTTCTTACACAGAACACACTTCCTTCCACCTATCCCCTTGCCCTCTCTGTCTCTCTAGTCTTTTATCAAGGAGGCAAGCTAAAGTCATGAAGGTTTCACACAGCTGGTAGGACCTGGATTCAGCTTTGAACGATTCACAAAGGAGGATTTGGACTCTAAGGGAACAGTCAAGTTTAGAATACAATAAGACTCTACTTTAGGGCATGTACTCTATGAATGGAGGCCTTGAGAAAGTTAGGCTTATGTATGTGTATAATTTTCTGCAGTGCGTAGAGGGCACCTACCTGTTCTTTTTACCTCCCACGGAAACTATTGCAATGGCTGGCACAGTAAATACTTATTAAAGGTGTATTAAATATATTTAATAATACTTTATTATCTTATATTAAAAAGTTTATTAACCACTTTACATGTGTATCCCACTTCCCAACTAGATTATATGCTCCCTGTATTCTGGGGACAAGGTGTATGCCAATTTTGTAATCCATAAAATCTACCACATGCTAAATTCAAAGGAGATACTCAATAAAACTCATTCTTAAAGACACTTGTGATCTTACAAACATCCCTTTAAAAAGTTGAGACATCTTTCTGCTGAGCCTTAAGTTTAATTTTAATATCAGAGATTTTCCATAAATCTACCAAACCCCAGAAATGACTCCTCTTTTGATTCTGCAATTCTGGGCTTTCTTATCTTGGGCTGTGCTTAAAAATAAAATATCTAGTACATTTACCTAACAAGGCATTTGCCTAATTAATGCAAGTTAAATGGATTACAAAGAAGAAAAGTAGTTATCAAAAATCCTTTCCTGTAATTAGGGGATTATGATGCCTAGCAGGGGAAGGTGAAAAATGTATAGTACATAATGTAAATATACATATTTACATTTATATATTATATAATTTAAAAAAGCATTGGTAAACTATTCTTAAATGTACAGGTTTACATTAACATAACCATACTCCTCAAAGGTCTGATATTTCCTTTAGAGTTATTATTTTAATGAACAGAACCCTCAAGAGAACTGCTCATAGATCAGTAACCACTGTAACTTTTTTTTTAATGAGAATAAGACCATTTTGGAGCTACAAAATGGAGACCACTGCTGAGAACAAAAATTAAGGAAAGTGATTACAGAGTATGATAAAAGTGATTACAGTATATGGATTTACTAACTTATAGGACCCAAATAGGAAACCTTCAATGAGAATACTTCTTCCGTCATCAGCTCATTCCTTTCTAGATATAGCACAGAATCAACAACTGATAATTTAAAGAAACTGGCAGTACTTTTAATCTCTTCACTTGTTACATCTTAGCTATACAGGAGACCAAGAATGGAATGTGATTCTCAAACAAAAATCACAAGATTATTAACTGGGAAAAAATCATAAAAGAAAGAGACTTCCATTATCATCAGCAGAACCCCCTTCACGTGGGATGTTATTCAGCAATGAATATTTCAAACTAAATATAGTGCATGTTGATATGTGTGCATTTTCTGAATGCTATCTTCTAGAAAGAACAGTCAGAATATACCTGGGGGAAAAGGAAGCAAGATCTTCAAGACAGAAAAAGAAGTGGGGAGGGGAGGCAAAGGATAAAATGTAAAATTAAGGGGCTATTATATCCATGCACAGGGGCCTCACCCAGATTATCCCCCAAAATGCTAAATGGAAGTTACAAATCAATTCTCTGAGTACTCACAAGACGATAAATCCAGTCATCTTGAATTTTTTCCAAATAGATACTAAAAAGCAGGATGCTATACTGATATTACAATACGTTCGTGGAAATGGGAAATCTTATTCTTTTCCATAAAGTCTTAGTTAACCTCTGAAATGAATGTTCTGAGTAGATAAACACTAGAATAACGTGCATTATTCTGAATTCATTTGTTTTATGTTCAAGATTTAGCCAGTTTTACTTCTAAATGACAGCTCCACCAAAGCTCATTTATACATTCCTCCAGCTTCCCCAATCTTCGAATTACTTCTTCTGCATATGTTTCTTAAAGGAATAGCTATGACCCCTCATATAAAATTCTATACTATTCCTCATATAAAATTCTATACTATTCACCCAAGGAGACAGCTCTGTCCTAATCCATAAAAATGTATTAAATAGAACATATAAAGCATGATGGTGTGAATCTAATTGCCGCTTATGCTAGGAGGTTCAGAAATTTGAATTTGCTCTTTCAAGTCTATGTTCTATTGAACATTTCCTGCTTACAGATAATTACTCTCAGCTAGAAAAAGATGCTATCTGTCATAACAGAACTAATGCAACCAACCAATAATCCTATACATCATTATGTGCAAATGTCTTGGGTTTTTGTTTTTTTACATTTAAAATTACTTTGTCTCTTCATAAGAGTCAGTTTTTTCATACGTGTGACTCCTCTGCATCATATACATCCCATGGAAGCTTTAATCTTCACACAAGGGGAAATTTTAATCTTCGAATACCACTGTCATTAGTATATAAATTAAAGTATATTTATTGAATTAATAAGAAAATGTTTCTAACTTATAATTTATAAGTATATTTTAAAGAGTTAGTAGCATGTCGGAATCAATAACACCAATTGTACATCTCCCTTGGCTAGCTGGGTCCACTTCCTCTTGTGTTTCCTTTTTGGTTCTTTCCTTTTCACTCAACCCACTGGGGCCTCAGTACCACAAATGTGCTCACAGCTCCCAAATCCTTGGCTCCAGATCCAATTATTCAGCTCTCTGTTGGGTAGCCAACATATCTCCAAAAGCAGCACATTCAAAACAGAATCACTGTCTTCCCCTGAGAATCTATATTCCATATCTAGATTAATGGCATCACAGATCACCCAGTTGGTTGCCTAAGCCAAGAGCCACCCTAGACTTCTTTTTCTCCATTACCCTTCACATCCTGTCACCAAATCATCCTTAATATATCTAGACTCTGTTACTCACCTCCAGCCCCCTACTAAGTTCAGTTAAGCATTCATCTCTTTCCTAGACTGGCAATTATTTCCTAACTGGTTCTCCACTTTCAGATTTATCCCATGTCAATCCACCTTTCATATCCACGCCTGACTAATCCTTTTATAGTGAAAAGTCTGATCACATGATTCCCATGCCTCAAGCCTTTCATTGGCTCCCCACTGTCTCCAGCAGAGGCACAAGCTCAAATATTTGCCAGGGGCAGGCAGGTACAAAAGTGAGTAAAGGGGGCTGGGTGTAAAATGACAGGTGGTGGTTGGGACTACACCCAGAGGAAGAGGCACATGCTCCGTCTCAAGGCACTTAAGGGAGGCAGCTGCTTTGACTCCAGCCAGTTGCTGCCACATAGGAATGAGTGTAGGCCTGCGGTCACCAGATGTTCCAATTTTTCAAGAGAAGCTGGAAGCCTGGATTTGTATGCACAATTTCCAAAATGTTCATGTTGAAAATACACCCACATTCTTTTTAAATTTTTTAATTTATTTCCATAGTTTTTTGGGGAAACAGGTGGTATCTGGCTACACGAATAAGTTCTTTAGTGGTGATTTGTGAGATTTTGGTGCACCCATTTCCCGAGCAGTATACAGTGAACCCAATTTGTAGTCCTTTATCCCTCACTTTCTTCCCACCCTTTCTCCCTGAGCCCCAAAGTCCATTGGTCATTCTTATGCCTTTGCATCCTCATAGCTTAGCTCCCACTTACGTGTGAGAACATAAAGTGTTTGGTTTTCCATTCCTGAGTTACCTCACTTAGAATAATAGTCTCCAATCCCATCCAGGTTGCTACAAATGCCATTACTTCATTCCTTTTTATGGCTCAGTACTAGTATTCCAGTACATATATGTGTGTGTGTCTGTGTGTGTGTGTGTATTTACATATATATATATTTATTTACATATATATATACACACACATATATACATATATATGCACACATATATATGTGTGTGTGTATATATATATATACACATATATATATGTTTCTTTAACCACTCCATTGATGGGCATGAAATTATACCCACATTCTTAAAAACAAACATATGAAGCCCTAGCTTAATATTCAGGCTATCAAATTTCAACCTCTCCCGAACTAGATAAAACTCCGATTCTTAGCATGACATGCCAGGCCCTCTATTATCTGTCAAAGAACATTCATTCCTTTCTTCTCCCCACATACAACCTGTGTTCCACCCACACCAAACATCAAACTCGCCGTGCTTTTTTGCAGCTCCCGTGGCTTTGGATAGTCTTCTCCACTTCTGGAATGCCCTGCCACACCTACACACCTCTTGTTTTAATAGGAAAATGTTATTTGCTTGCCTAGACTCAGCTCAAGCATCTCTTCCTCTGTAATGCCTTCCCAGACCCAGGACGAGACAAGGCAATCATTTCACTCTTGGTATTACCACCATATCGAGGACATGTACTTCTTACATAATTAGTCACACTGAATTGAAAATTTTATTTTACAGTTGCCTTCGCTATCAGAAAATACAGGTTTTTAAGGGCAAGGACTGTTGTTATTCAGTGTTTTACATCTACCCCTAGGTCATAACCTATTAGCAGACATATAATAGTATTAGAACTAAACAGGAGATAAGTAACTATGTCATTTTAACAATAGAAAAACATATAAATTAGAGATTGTCATTGATCTCTAAAAGAATTTAACTCTGCTTTCATATAAATATAAAACCTCAGTCTTAACTGAAAAAGTGTCCATTATCTCTCTGCCTTTTCTCCCGGACTGGTCAGTCCTTCACTCACGATACAGTGGCTTCAGCCCTATTTTCTGTCCCTATAGTTTTGCCTTTTCTAGAACGTTATATAAAAGGCATTACACAGTATGTAGTCTTTGTGGTTGGCTTCTTCCACTTAGCATAATGTATCTGATGCTCATCCATGTTGTTCCATGTATGAGTGGTTGATTCCTCTGAATACTTTGAGAAGTATTCCATTGTATGGATGCACCACGGATTGTTTATACATTCATTAGTTGTAGGACGTTTGGGTTGTTTCCAGTTTTTGATGATCACAAATTAAGCTGCTACACACATTCATGTGCAGGTTTTGTGTGAACATAAGTTTTTATTTCATTTGGATAAATAATCAGTAGCATTGCTGAGTCGTACATGTTTAACTTTATAAAAAACTGCCAAACTGTTTTTCCAAAATGGCTGTACTTTTCTGCCTGTCCGTCAGCAATGCATAAGGGTTCCAGTTGTGCTTCTTCACTAGCACGTGATATTGTCAGAGTTTGGAGGGCTAGTTTTCTGGGGGAGAGGGGTTGATTTACGCCCTCTTATAGGGTGTAGTAATATCTTACACCTCCTTTAAAGCATTTGCCTGACCTCCTTTAAACTCCTCCTTCACTATTCTTTATTAGCTGATAAATCAAACATCTGTGTACCATCTCACGTCCTCTATACCAAATTTTTAAAATTTTCCAGATTTATTGAGGTATAATTGACAAACAAAATTATATTAAGGTATACAACATGATGATTCTATATCTATGAATTTTGTGACATGACTACCACAATCAAGTTAGTTAACACATTTATCACCTCACCTAGTAACCCTTTTTGTTTTGTTTTGTGGTGAGAATATTCAAGCACATTTCAAATATACAATTTAGGACTGTTAACTATAGTTACCATGCTGTATATTAGATCCCCTGAACTTATTTATCTTATAAATGAAAGTATGTACCCTTTGACTATGGTCATCTCCCCTTTCCTCCCATGCCCTTGCCCCTGGTAACCATCATTCTACTCTCTGCTTCTATGAGTTCAACATTTTTAGATTCCACATGTAGGTGAGATCATGCAGTATTTTATTTTCTCTAACTTATTTTACTTAGCACAGGTTCATCCGTGTTGCTGCAAATGGCAGAATTTCCTTCTTTTTATGGCTGAATACTATTCTGTTGGATATACACATGCCACAATTGCTTGATCCTTTCATCCCTTGATGGACACTTAGGTTGTTTCCATATCTTGACTGTTGTGAATAATGAACACAGAAGTGCAGCTATCTTTGATTGGTGATAATTTCATTTTCTTTGGGTATATATTCAGAAGATGAATTGCTGGGCATATGGTAGTTCTACTTTTAATTTTATGAGGAACACCTATACCATTTTTTTCATAATGGCTGTACCAATTTACATGCCCACCAACAGTGTAGAAGAATTCCTTTTTCTCTACATCTCACTGACGCTCATTCTCTCTTGTCTTTTTGGTCATGCCATCCTTTCAGGTGTGAGACGGTATCTCATGGTGGTTTTAACCTGCATTTCCCTCATGTTTGAGCACATGTTCATGTACCTGTTGGCTCTTGGCCAACCTCTTAACTGCAGCTATTGTTGTGGCAACCAGCTGCTCATAGGTAGGACCTGGCAGCAACTCAACCTTATCTCACTTGTGCCATGTATCTCACTTTCTGCTCCAGGGTTTCTCTGCCCTCCAACCCCCATGTAAAGTGTTTGCAAAAACTTATTCATTCTGAAGCATGTGTAAACCTAGAAATGCAAGAAAGTTTATACCCTATTGGTCAACCCTTGACCACTGGTGGAGAGAAGCTGATGAGTACATGTTTCTCTCTTCCACCCCTTCCCCTTGGAAGAATAGTTATAAGGCACATTCTCTGTGGCTCCTCACAGGATACCTAATTGGAATGAACACAGATGAACACTGTAGTGCCCATAGTGGTGACCAACAAAATAATGCATCCTTGGAATGGCTTTTCCTCCTTCCTTGTTTGACTCTTTCAAAGCCTCTACTTTTCTTCCTTGATGTATGTCATTTTCTGAAATAAATTACCTGCACATAAGCCCTTGTCTTGGGCTCCACTTTAGGTGCTATCCCTGCTAAGTCTAAAGGAAGTAAATAACAGAACAAAGTAGAAAGTATTTCAGTTCAAAAGGGAAGTTAACAACAGAACAAAGTAGAACCTACACTAATATTCTCTGTAAGGAACACAAGTATGCATTTTTTCCTTCTTTGGTGAGTAATATTTTTAGGCATGTCTTCAAGCATGAGATATAAGATTGCAAAGTTACATGGCTAAACTGTTGGATTTTTAATACTTAAGTATGTCTCTTCAATTAGAATCATAAGGAGATATATGAACACAGTATTTTAGACTTATTGAAAAGCAATAAAATAGTAATGTCAAACTTGCTAAACATTAACATTTATTCTTCACTAAAGTCATTTGTAAATTGGCATTGTTTTATTTTACCTGCACATTTTGTGACACATCCTCATGAGAATAATATGAAAAACAAGTGAGGTGGCTTGTATAGGTTTGGTCTCATACAGAAGCGGGGTATTACTCTGCACAAGGATTCATGCCAGGGCTGGAGAGATGACACAAGTGTACTAAGCATTGTATCATTTAGGACACAAGCAAATAGCAAAGGATAGGGTTACTTTACTTTGTACGAGGAAAAGAGTCCTTGATTCTGATAACCAACCATTAAAGCTATACTCAAGTGACTCAGATGAATCCTACACATAAGAAATGTCCATATAGAGAACAATTCATAGGTAAACCTGGGATCTTGTAAAGGATTGGATTGTTATCACTTTTGACAACTGACACCACTTGCCATGGCTGTCCATACAAAAGTAGCTTTTGTTAGCAAGCACGAGAAAGCTAGTCTATTCCGAAGGATAGATTTCTCAAGTTCCTTGATGGTGATACAAATATAGCTCAACTCTTTTTGGCACAGCTTTCTGGCACATGCATATTACATATACATGTTGATTATATCCACAGGCACTGTTACCAGGGGGGAGTACTTTTCCAATTATAGAAAGCACTCTTAGTATTTTCAAAATGGTAAAAGCTGATACAGTGGTAGACAGAAGCCACATATGTGCACCCTATCAGAGGATAGTTCCTGAATTTCATTCAACGTTTCACAACATCATAGATAAATGCTGGAAAATAGCTCCTGAGACAAATGGAAAATCTACATTGGATTTGATTTCAGATAAAAATGTATAAGGGAAAATTCTATAAATAATTGTTTAGTTTTATAACCAAGCATTGCAAACATTTGTAACATAGTGCCTTTGTGAAATTGATCCATTCACTGTTTCAGCATAATCATCATCACTTTCACTTTCATCATCTAATAGATTTAATGAAGAAGATTTTGGGGGGGTTAATAAGCTACTTTGAGGCTTTTATATATACTTTTCTAAATCTCTCAATTACTAATTCACCACTAAATGAATACCTTGCAATATATCTATGCTTCTTAACAGTAGTCCCCCCTTATCTATGGTTTCACTTTCCACAGTTTCAGTTACCCAAGGTCAGCCATGGTTAGAAACATATTAAATGGAAAATTTCAAAAATAAAACATTCATAAATTTTAAGTTGCATGCTGTTCTGAGTAGTGCGATGAAATTTTGTGCCGTCCTGCAGTATCCTGGCCAGATGAATCATTCCCTTGTTTAGCACATCCATGCTGTATGCACTACCTGCCCATTAGTCACTTTGCAGCCATCTTGGTTATCAAATCAACAGATCAGAAGTAGAAAGGTGAGCACAGTACAGTAAAGTATTTTGAGAGTGAGAGACCACGTTCATATAACTTGTATTGCAATATGTTGCTATAATTGTCTTATTATTATTCTTGTTCAGCTCTTACTGTGCCTGATTTATAAATTAAACTTTATCATAGGAAAATAATATAAATACAGAATTTGGTACTATCTGTGGTTTTAGGCATCTACTGGGGGTCTTGGACTGTATTCCTCATGGATAAGGGGGAACTATTATAGTATGGAAATCAGATATGTGACTACTAAGTATTTTTATTTAGGGTTACTACTGTCATTTAAACAACATGCCTTAAAACCAAGCTTACTGATTTTGTCACAAAAGTGAATTGCTCTTCCTGTTTCTCTATTTCCCTAACTACTTTAGCTTAGAAATCTCAGGCATCCTACATCCTTTGCTTCCATGTGACAAGTTGCATTAATTCATTCTTTGTTTTATTTGATCCTTCTTTTCCATTTCCACTTCTCCAATCCAAGTTCAAAAGGCAGGGCTGATGTTCAGTTGGTTAATATCAGGACAAAATATAAGTTAGCTCTTAGATGACATGAAAATTGTCTAACAAGCTTAAAGACAGCATTCCAAGAGGTTTCATAAGAAGATTTATAGTGGGAAATTCTGGGGAAAGCACAAAGAACTTTAGCTCAATTTCAGACTTAAGAATCATCTTGGAACAATCTCAGTAACAAGCAGAGCATGTGCTAGAGGTAGAGACCAAGACAGTATATGAGTCCTAAATGCACACTGGTCTCATTGATGGAGAAGAAGGGTACAGTAATATTTCTCTATACCTCTGGTTTATGGAAGGTGAAGTATAGTTCTCGGATGAATGGAATAAAGTATTCTTGAATAAAAGTCAAAAAGAAAAAGTACACAACTACTGCCAATTCTTTGGTAATTCTTATCTTTGACATAGATGAGAAAAAGAGGAAACTCTATAATGCCTTAACTATAGGTTAAATATGAAGCTGTCTCCAGGCAAGGCAGACTCAGACCTTTTGATGAAGCTGCAGAATCCCCAGCCCCTGAGAGTAGGATGCACAGTGCTGTGCCGAGATGGATGTATAGTAGCTTATTGCAGAGGATGAGGCAGCCAAATGCAGGTCTGATGTGGGGAATCTATCTTCTTGGAGTATCCACTCAACGTTCAAGAAGAACTGGTCTTGAGTCAAGCATACCAACTCCTATACTTCTGCTCATTCACTGGGAAAGCATGAAACAATGAAATCCAGAATGTATCTCATCCACCATAAAAACTCCTCTCAGAATTTGAAGTCTTGTGATAAGCAGGTGAGGTGATGGATATATTAATTAGCATGACTTAATCATCCCACAATGTATACATACAGCATAACACCACATTGCTCTCTATAAATATATGTAATTATTGTTTGTCAATTTAAAAAGGATTTAAAGCCTTGGAAACATATGAAGTGGATTCACTTTTTCTTCTAATATGAGATGATGACTTTGGAAGAGGCTGGAGGATGTGAGAAGTGAGTAACTGGCTATGAAAAAAGAACCAAGAAAGGATTTTCTTTCTGTGCTACAAATTATGATTTAGATGAACATTTTATAACAATCAGAGGAAAATTTTGATAGGAGTCATACAGACCTGATACAGAAGGCATCAAGCTAAAAGAAGATGAAGATGGGTTAAAAGTCTATATTTTGGTGATTGCAGGCATGATATATAGGGAACAACAGTGAAGGACCTGATTAGTAGTAAACATAATAACAATATACCCCCAATGTCCCGAGATTTCTTTGAGCAGTGATTACACATGAAATCATATTTATATTTGTGTAAAAATGTTATTGCCTCCTCATGCTTACCTCCTTCCACTATAAAATGTCCCCCAAAGTACTTCTGGGGTGTAACAGAAGATACACTAACAAGAAAGTGCCTGATGGGCACGTGCGTCTTTGTTTGCAGACCTCAGGGGAAGATCTGCCATCTCCTACTATGCATCCACTAAATCTGCAGCTGCTCTTACAGAAGCTCTCTTTGAATGCCATCTCCCGACGCTCACAAAGATGCCACACCCTAGAGGTGCTAGCTGACCCTGCATTCCCTCTAGTATTTCTGTGCCACAGTGATTCTGGGTTCCTTACAGAAATGAATCATGCTTATTACTTGCTGATTTGATGGACTCATTCACTGTGCCATCCCTCCATCACTAACTCTCATGCATCTGTCTCAGGCAACTGCAGAGATTTATGACATGAACTTATAGGGTCAATTTAGGTTCAGCATGATCTACCTTGCTACACTGTGCCTCCCCCACCCAACCAAAAAAAAATATTACAAGTGCTTAGGAAAGGATTCCAACGTCAGCCACCGATTCCCCAGAAAAGAGGATAGTGTTTTCTTTGCAACTCCCTGGCCCTTCCTCTGGGCTCAGAGCCAAGGGTTACTGGCCTCCAGGGCTATGTTCCAGGATAACAGTTACTCCAACATATAGATGACCCCATACTAGAAGCGAGAATTCATGAAGTTTTGCATGGGACTTCAGATTTTACTGGAATGTCCCTAGATGTCATTAGCTTCTGAATACAAATGAAGTTCCCCAAGTTTAGGCTCTGGCTATTCAACATGTAGTTTGTGAACCAGCAGCACAAGTATCATCTAGGAGCTTGTTAGATATGCAGTCTCAGGCTTCACCCCAGAATCGGCAGTTTAAAGAGATTTTCAGGTGATTCAGGTTTACATTAAAGTATGAAAAGATGTTATAGACTATGTCCCTGAATTTTTCCATTTTAGAAAATTACTGACAGCAACACCATTCATGGGTTTGAGTCATGAATACAAACATCTAGATCCATCGACACCTGCAGCTGTCATAGTCACTGTGTTAAACATAGGTGCAAGCAACTGGCCAATGTGTCTCCTGGTGATGTCACATCCAAATATTTACACATTAAAATATATATTATTTTATGCTCAGTTATTTTATTTTTATTTCTCTTTTACATTACTGTTCAGGCATTAATTTTATTTTCAAGCTGTGTAAGTCAGCCAACTATATTTCCTATGGATTTCATTCGGGGAGAGTAAATGAAATATTATAGAGTATTTGTTACAAAAAGGGAGCATTGGGTCTAAGAGAATTGACAACCAACGGTTATGAGAAGCCATCCAACAAGTTTATAGCAGGAAAGTAACATGGTCAGATTTGTTTCAAGTAGATTATTCTGGTGGCTATTTGGAAGATGGATTTAGGATCACAAGGCTGGTGGTAGAGAAGTCAATGTGGGAGAATACTACTATAGTCCAAGTGAGTCTGACAGGTGGCTGGGGACCAGAAGAAAAACTGGCCAGTGAAGATTCTCAGAAGCAAAGATAAAAGGATTTCAAGATGAAAGGAGCAAGTCAACAGAGTCACACGGATTTATATGAATTCTATAAATTGGCCACAAAATGTGGGAACAAGGCCAACTCACTTTGCCTTGGCAGGAGTGTTGGAGGGCAAGGAACAAGGAAAAGGAGGAGGAGGAAGAAGAAACACTTGCTCTCTTTTCTCTGAGCAGCATTCTCCCCTTCATCCCTACTTCCTCATAAGTGATTCTGTAGTCTTTGGGAAATGCCATCGCTAAGAATCTGTAGAATAAATTCTAGTCCCAAATCAAATGCCAATGAGCTGTGTAACTTCTGGCTAGCCAATTTTCTGTGACTCAATGTCCTTACCTGTGGCTTCAGGATAATAATTTGTCCTCTCTTATAAGATAGCTCTGATGACAGGAAAATATATGTCAAAGTATTTTGCAAAATTAAGGAAGAGAACTAATTGTGATTGTTATATTATTTAGGTTTAGACAATATAATAGGTTTCCATTCATAGCATCTGGATGCACGAGTGGGAGCCAGGCCATTTGCTTCTAGGTAATAATTAGGTTTTTCCTTTCTCAAAAAATAAAGAACTTTTTGATATTAGCACTTCTCTATGGCTTTATACTAGGGAATTTATATGAACAAAGAGGCCTAACGGTTCTGTGGCTTTTTGGAGTCTCTTTCTTTATCAAATCCCTGTCAATCTAGTTTTATCATCAAAGTATATTCTTTAGAGGCCTTTGGTGACAGCTGGAAGTCAGAGTTGCAGTTGGTTATATTTATGCAAAGTATTTTCTAAAAGATTCTTGATGGGAAAAATTTAAATTGAAAAAAAAAAAAACTCTGGAGAAATTACTATTGCTTTGGAAGAGTGTAAGTAGTCATGATGACTCTGAAAAAGTATATCCTATGATGAGGGTTTCTCTTACAATGGAAGTTCCAGACAGACTCTTCTATGCACATCATCAGTACTTCTCTGTACCCATAGAAATTTATGGCCTGAACATCTATTCACTTTAAAATCAAAGAATTATCATTATACCTATAGATTCCTGAAAGGCTTTAAAAAATGTCTAATTTATCAAAAAAAAAAAGAGTAAATGGATTTGGTTAAGTAAAAGGATTAACATGTAAAATGGTGATATGTGGTTCTAAGTTATTTATATGACTTGGAGCTTTTCAAGAGTCTTCTCAGGTCAGGATGAGACACTGGGAGTTTACTGGGTTTGCATTAAAAACCGCCTTGCCTCAGTGGCTCACGCCTGTAATCCCAGCACTTTGGGAGGCAGAGGCGAGTGGATCACTCGAGGTCAGGAGTTCAAGACCAGCCTGGCCAATATGGTGAAACCCTGTCTCTACTAAAAATACAAAAAAATTTAGCCGGGCCTGGTGGCATGCACCTGTAATCCCAGCTATTTGGGAGGCTGAGGCACAAGGATCTCTTGAACCTGGGAAGCGGAGGTTGCAGTGAGCTGAGATCACACCACTGCACTCCAGCCTGGGAGACAAAGTGAGACTCGGTCTCAAAACAAAAACAAAAACAAAAAACAAACAAAAAAACTGCCTCGTTATGGGAGGCGAAGGTTGCAGTGAGCCGAGATCACGCCACTGCACTCCAGCCTGGGTGACAGAGTGAGACTCAGTCTCAAAACAAAACAAAACAAAACAAAACAAAACAAAACAAAACAACTGCCTCATTATACTCGTGAGCTGCCTTTAAGACTGGGCATGAAGTTATCACATTAAGTGAGCTGAAACTCCATTCAGACACACAAGACAGCATTTCCTTTATCACTGATGAGGACTTTTCTTTCAGCCATTTGAAATTGTGAAGAAGGCATTTGATACGGTCCTTTATACACAGATAATTATGGTGCTGAAACAGACTTTGAAAAGGCCACTTAGGTCAGACTAAGCCCTGTGATTTTAAATGTCACACATTTGTTCTAGAATATGTATGCTTTGTTAATATGACAAATAGAAAAAGTATGATGTTTCATGCTAATTATCAGCCTACAAATTCCAAACTGCCCAGCTAATACTAGAAATTTACTAAAAGATGTAAATCCACTACAGAGATACTGACATTGCATTTTACATGCAAATCACAGAAGTTTAGAGCTGGAGATAATGTAGCTCAACTCTCCTCTTTGACAGATGAAGAAATTCAGGTACCTTAAGTCCAATGGTGGTTTGCAAATTAATATTGCAAATGTATAGAGACTATACCATTATTGAAGAATTTTCCCAGTGCCATTGCATGTAGTTAGTTGTGCAAGTTGAATAAATGCACATCACAACTCGAGGGGATGATAACATTTGCATAAAGTTGGGCAGTACAGTATACAACTTCAATGGCTATTCACAGCAGGGTTGGCTATTTCATGCAAAAAGTCCTTTAAAGGATTTGGCCTACATTTCCTTGAGGTGATAATGACCATTCCTGATACTTACCATTCACACCTACTGAGAATGTTCCAAATTAAGCTAATGTTTTGTCATAGTCAAGGAGAATAATGATTGATCTAAATATATACTATGGTCATTTTTCTGTCTGACTCACAAATAGGGGAAATAATAGCTAAATGCTGTGAAGTGTTTACTATACTAAATGCCAGGAACTACACCATGTCATTTACAGGCATGGCCCCTTTCAATACTCACAACAACACAGTGAGTTATGTTTTTTTGTTTTTTTTTGTTTTTGAGACAGAGTCTTGCTCTGTTGCCCAGGCTGGAGTGCAGTGGCGTGATCTCGCCTCACTGTAAGCTCCACCTCCCAGGTTCACGCCATTCTCCTGCCTCAGCCTCCCGAGTAGCTGGGACTACAGGCGCCCGCCATCATGCCCAGCTAATTTTTTGTATTTTTAGTAGAGATGGGGTTTCACCGTGTTAGCCAGGATGGTCTCAATCTCCTGACCTTGTGATCCGCCCACTTCAGCCTCCCAAAGGAGTTATGTTTTTTATTTTCATTATTTTATATACAAAGAAACTGAGGCTTAGAGGGGTTAGTAACATGTTCAATGTAAACAAACTCACAAATGATCTAGATAAGACAAGACCAAGTCAATTTGACTAGCACCTGTGGTTCTAGCCACTACACTGTGTTTGGTAAACCTCAGTCATTAGAGTGTCCCCTTCTAACCAGATCCACAAATAATCTATGTTATTAACATTTTTCCTTAAATTGACTCATTTTTTAAAACATAAATTTATTTGAAAATAAAACCGGAGGAGCCAAGATGGCCGAATAGGAACAGCTCCAGTCTACAGCTCCCAGTGTGAGTGACGCAGAAGACGGGTGATTTCTGCATTTCCATCTGAGGTACCGGGTTCATCTCACTAGGGAGTGCCAGACAGTGGGTGCAGGTCAGTGGGTGCAGCTCACCATGCACGAGCCTAAGCAGGGTGAGACATTGCCTCACTCGGGATGCGAAAGGGATCAGAGAGTGCCCTTTCCTAGTCAAAGAAAGGGGTGACAGACGGCACCTGGAAAATCGGGTCACTCCCACCCTAATACCGCACTTTTCCGATGGGCTTAAAAAATGGCGCACCAGGAGATTATATCCTGCACCTGGCTGGGAGGGTCCTTCACCCATGGAGTCTCACGGATTGCTAGCACAGCAGTCTGAGATCAAACTGCAAGGTGGCAGCGAGGCTGGGGGAGGGGCGCCCGCCATTGCCCAGGCTTGCTTAGGTAAACAAAGAAGCCTCAAAGCTACAACTGGGTGGAGCCCACCACAGCTCAAGGAGGCCTGCCTGCCTCTGTAGGCTCCGCCTCTGGGGGCAGGGCACAGACAAACAAAAAGACAGCAGTAACCTCTGCAGAATTAAATGTCCCTGTCTGACAGCTTTGAAGAGAGCAGTGGTTCTCCCAGCACGCGGATGGAGATCTGAGAACGGGCAGACTGCCTCCTCAAGTGGGTCTCCGACCCCTGACCCCTGAGCAGCCTAACTGGGAGGCACTCCCCAGTAGGGGCAGACTGACACCTCACACAGCCGGGTACTCCTCTGAGACAAAACTTCCAGAGGAACGATCACACAGCAGCATTCATGGCTCACGAAAAACCACTGTTCTGCAGACACCACTGCTGATAGCCAGGCAAACAGGGTCTGGAGTGGACCTCTAGCAAACTCTAACAGACCTGCACCTGAGGGTCCTGTCTGTTAGAAGGAAAACTAACAAACAGAAAGGACATCCACACCAAAAACCCATCTGTACATCACCATCATCAAACACCAAAAGTAGATAAAACCACAAACATGGGGAATAAACAGAGCAGAAAAACTGGAAACTCTAAAAAGCAGAGCACCTCTCCTCCTCCAAAGGATCGCAGTTCCTCACCAACAATGGAACAAAGCTGGACGGAGAATGACTTTGACAAGTTGAGAGAAGAAGGCTTCAGACGATCAAACTACGAGCTACAGGAGGAAATTCAAACCAAAGGCAAAGAAGTTAAAAACTTTGAAAAAAATTTAGATGAATGTATAACAAGAATAACTAATACAGAGAAGTGCTTAAAGGAGCTGATGGAGCTGAAAGCCAAGGCATGAGAACTACGTGAAGAATGCAGAAGCCTCAGGAGCCGATGTGATCAACTGGAAGAAAGGGTATCAGTGATGGAAGATGAAATGAATGAAATGAAGTGAGAAGGTAAGTTTAGAGAAAAAAGAATAAAAAGAAATGAACAAAGCCTCCAAGAAATATGGGACTATGTGAAAAGACCAAATCTACATCTGATTGGTGTACCTGAAAGTGACAGGGGGAATGGAACCAAGTTGAAAAACACTCTGCAGGATATTATCCAGGAGAACTTCCCCAATCTAGCAAGGCAGGCCAACGTTCAGATTCAGGAAATACAGAGAACGCCACAAAGATACTCCTCGAGAAGACCAACTCCAAGACACATAATTGTCAGATTCACCAAAGTTGAAATGAAGGAAAAAATGTTAAGGGCAGCCAGAGAGAAAGGTCGGGTTACCGACAAAGGGAAACCCATCAGACTAACAGCGGATCTCTCGGCAGAAACTCTACAAGCCAGAAGAGAGTGGGGGCCAATATTCAACATTCTTAAAGAAAAGAATTTTCAACCCAGAATTTCATATCCAGCCAAACTAAGCTTCATAAGTGAAGGAGAAATAAAATCCTTTACAGACAAGCAAATGCTGAGAGATTTTGTCACCACCAGGCCTGCCCTAAAAGAGCTCCTGAAGGAAGCACTAAACATGGAAAGGAACAAGTGGTACCAGCCACTGCAAAATCATGCCAAAATGTAAAGAGCATCGAGACTTGGAAGAAACTGCATCAACTAATGGGTGAAATAACCAGCTAACATCATAATCACAGGTTCAAATTCACACATAACAATATTAGCTTTAAATGTAAATGGACTAAATGCTCCAATTAAAAGACACAGACTGGCAAATTGGATAAAGAGTCAAGACCCATCAGTGTGTTGTATTCAGGAAACCCATCTCACATGCAGAGACACACACAGGCTCAAAATAAAGGGATGGAGGAAGATGTACCAAGCAAATGGAAAACAAAAAAAGGCAGGGGTTGCAATCCTAGTCTCTGATAAAACAGACTTTAAACCAACAAAGATCAAAAGAGACAAAGAAGGCCAATACATAATGGTAAAGGGATCAATTCAACAAGAAGAGCTAACTATCCTAAATATATATGCACCCAATACAGAAGCACCCAGATTCATAAAGCAAGTCCTGAGTGACCTACAAAGAGACTTAGACTACCACACATTAATAACGGGAGACTTTAACACCCCACTGTCAACATTAGACAGATCAACGAGACAGAAAGTCAACAAGGATACCCAGGAATTGAACTCAGCTCTGCACCAAGCGGACCTAATACACATCTACAGAACTCTCCACCCCAAATGAACAGAATATACATTTTTTTCAGCACCACACCACACCTATTCCAAAACTGACCACATAGTTGGAAGTAAAGCTCTCCTCAGCAAATGTAAAAGAACAGAAATTATAACAAACTATCTCTCAGACCACAGTGCAATCAAACTAGAACTCAGGATTAAGGAACTCACTCAAAACTGCTCAACTACATGGAAACTGAACAACCTGCTCCTGATTGATTACTGGGTACATAACGAAATGGAGTCAGAAATAAAGATGTTCTTTGAAACCGACGAGAACAAAGACACAACATACCAGAATCTCTGGGACACATTCAAAGCAGTGTGTACAGGGAAATTTATAGCACTAAATGCCCACAAGAGAAAGCAGGAAAGATCCAAAATTGACACCCTAACATCACAATTAAAAGAACTAGAAAAGCAAGAGCAAACACATTCAAAAGCTAGCAGAAGGCAAGAAATAACGAAAATCAGAGCAGAACTGAAGGAAATAGAGACACAAAAAACCCTTCAAAAAATTAATGAATCCAGGAGCTGGTTTCTTGAAAGGATCAACAAAATTGATAGACCGCTGGCAGACTAATAAAGTAGAAAAGAGAGAAGAATCAAATAGACGCAATAAAAAATGATAAAGGGGATATCACCACCGATCCCACAGAAATACAAACTACCATCAGAGAGTAGTACAAACACCTCTACGCAAATAAACTAGAAAATCCAGAAGAAATGGATAAATTCCTCGACACATACACTCTCCCAAGACTAAACCAGGAAGAAGTTGAATCTCTGAATAGACCAATAACAGGAAGTGAAATTGTGGCAATAATCAACAGCTTACCAACCAAAAAGAGTCCAGGACCAGATGGATTCACAGCCGAATTCTACCAGAGGTGCAAGGAGGAACTGGTACCATTCCTTCTGAAACAATTCCAATCAATAGAAAAAGAGGGAATCCTCCCTAACTCATTTTATGAGGCCAGCATCATCCTGATACCAAAGCCGGGCAGAGACACAACAAAAAAAGAGAACTTTAAACCAACATCCTTGATGAACATTGATGCAAAAATCCTCAATAAAATACTGGCAAACCGAATCCAGCAGCACATGAAAAAGCTTATCCACCATGATCAAGTGGGCTTCATCCCTGGGATGCAAGGCTGGTTCAATATACACAAATCAATAAATGTAATCCAGCATATAAACAGAACAAAAGACAAAAACCACATGATTATCTCAATAGATGCAGAAAAGGCCTTTGACAAAATTCAACAACGCTTCATGCTAAAAACTCTCAATAAATTAGGTATTGATGGGACGTATTTCAAAATAATAAGAGCTATCTATGACAAACCCACAGTCAATATCATACTGAATGGGCAAAAACTGGAAGCATTCCCTTTGAAAACTGGCACAAGACAGGGATGCCCTCTCTCACCACTCCTATTGAACATAGTGTTGGAAGTTCTGGCCAGGGCAATCAGGCAGAAGAAGGAAATAAAGGGTATTCAATTAGGAAAAGAGGAAGTCAAATTGTCCTTGTTTGCAGATGACATGATTGTATATCTAGAAAATCCCATTGTCTCAGACCAAAATCTCCTTAAGCTGATAAGCAACTTCAGCAAAGTCTCAGGATACAAAATCAATGTACAAAAATCACAAGCATTCCCATACACCAATAACAGACCAACAGAGAGCCAAATCATGAGTGAACTCCCATTCACAATTGCTTCAAAGAGAATAAAATACCTAGGAATCCAACTTACAAGGGACGTGAAGGACCTCTTCAAGGAGAACTACAAACCACTGCTCAATGAAATTAAAGAGGATACACAGAAATGGAAAAACATTCCATGCTCATGGGTAGGAAGAATCAATATTGTGAAAATGGCCATACTGCCCAAGGTAATTTATAGATTCAATGCCATCCCCATCAAGCTACCAATGACTTTCTTCACAGAATTGGAAAAAACTACTTTAAAGTTCATATGGAACCAAAAAAGAGCCCACATCGCCAAGTCAATCCTAAGCCAAAAGAACAAAGCTGGAGGCGTCACGCTACTTGACTTTAAACTACACTACAAGGCTACAGTAACCAAAACAGCATGGTACTTGTACCAAAACAGAGATATAGATCAATGGAACAGAACAGAGCCCTCGGAAATAACGCTGCATATCTACAACTATGTGATCTTTGACAAACCTGAGAAAAACAAGCAATGGGGAAAGGATTCCCTATTTAATAAATGGTGCTGGGAAAACTGGCTAGCCATATGTAGAAAGCTGAAACCGGATCCCTTCCTCACACCTTATACAAAAATCAATTCAAGATGGATTAAAGACTTAAACGTTAGACCTAAAACCATAAAAACCCTAGACGAAAACCTAGGCATTACCATTCAGGACACAGGCATGGGCAAGGACTTCATGTCTAAAACATCAAAAGCAATGGCAACAAAAGCCAAAATTGACAAATGGGATCTAATTAAACTAAAGAGCTTCTGCACAGCAAAAGAAACTACCATCAGAGTGAACAGGCAACCTACAACATGGGAGAAAATTTTTGCAATCTACTCATCTGACAAAGAGCTAATATCCAGAATCTACAAAGAACTCAAACAAATTTACAAGTGAAAAACAACGCCATCAAAAAGTGGGCAAAGGATATGAATAGACACTTCTCAAAAGAAGACATTTATGCAGCCAAAAGACACAGGAAAAAATGCTCATCATCACTGGCCATCAGAGAAATGCAAATCAAAACTACAATGAGATACTATCTCACAACAGTTAGAATGGCAATCATTAAAAAGTCAGGAAACAACAGGTGCTGGAGAGGATGTGGAGAAATAGGAACACTTTTACACTGTTGGTGGGACTGTAAACTAGTTCAACCATTGTGGAAGTCAGTGTGGCGATTCCTCAGGGATCTAGAACTAGAAATACCATTTGACCCAGCCATCCCATTACTAGGTATATACCCAAAGGACTATAAATCATGCTGCTATAAAGACACATGCACATGTATGTTTATTGTGGCACTATTGACAATAGCAAAGACTTGGAACCAACCAAAATGTCCAACAATGATAGACTGGATTAAGAAAATGTGGCACATATACACCATGGAATACTATGCAGCCATAAAAAATGATGAGTTCATGTCCTTTGTAGGGACATGGATGAAATTGGAAATCATCATTCTCAGTAAACTATCGTAAGAACAAAAAACCAAACACCGCATATTCTCACTCATACGTGGGAATTGAACAATGAGAACACATGGACACAGGAAGGGGAACATCACACTCTGGGGACTGTTGTGGGGTGGGGGGAGGGGGAGGGATAGCATTGGGAGATATACCTAATGCTAGATGACGAGTTAGTGGGTGAAGCGCACCAGCATGTCACATGTATACATACGTAACTAACCTGCACATTGTGCACATGTACCCTAAAACTTAAAGTATAATAATAAAAAAAAAAGAAAACCAATAATGACAGATTAGTATTTCAGACCAACCTTTCTGCTAAACTAAAAAATAACTATTCAGTATTTTTTATAATTAATAATAAAAATAACAACCTCTTAAAGAACTTAACAAGATGGTGAGGAACGAATGTGACAAGTGAAGATCTCCTTTTGGAAATTTGGATAGCTACTCCAAATCAGAGATTCTTTTGTGAAAAACTGAGGGTAAGCACTGGGGCATTCACCAACTCAGGGAGGAGGACAGGGCTTTGGAAAGATCATGAAGGAATCTGAGTGAAAAACTGCAGCAGTCAGCTGGGATCCTTGATAACTGGAGCAATTAAAAAGGCTTCAAGCTTTGGTCCTGGACTTTTAATGCTTTCAGGAATACGGCAGAAGGATGCAGCATGTTCATTGGAAGAGGCTAATATACTTACATATCAAATTATTTCTGTGAGCATTTTTAATTCAATGTCTAGTAAATAACCAAAGTGCAAGGTACATGAAGAGAAAGAACCTGAGCCAGAACCAGCGAAAACAAAAGGCATCTGTAGAAATTATCACAAACAGATTATAAAACAACACTGCTTACTGTGTTCATGGAGATGAAAGCTGAGCTTAAAATTTTAAGCAAGGAATTTAAAATTATGAACACTGACATTTAAAATTTTGAAAAATAAGCAAATATCAATTCCAAAACTGATAACTGATATTAAGAATTCAGTGCATTAGGCTGGGCGTGGTGGCTCATACTTGTAATCTCAACACTTTGGGAGGCCAAGGTGGGTGGATCACCTGAGGTCAGGAGTTCAAGATCAGCCTGGCCAACATGGTGAAACCCTGTCTCTACTAAAAATACAAAAATTAGCCAGGTATGGTGGTGGGTGCCTGTAATCCCAGCAACTCAGGAGACTGAGGCAGGAGAATCGCTTGAACCTCGGAGACAGAGGTTGCAGCGAGCTGAGATCATGCCATTGCACTCCAGGCTGGGCAGCAGGAGTAAAACTCCATTTCAAAAAAAAAAAAAAAAAATCAGTGTATGAGATTAACGGCAGATGAGAAATAGCTAAAGAATTGATAATCTGAAAGCTAGATTAGAAGAAACTCTCCAGAATAAAGCATAGCATATGAAATAGGAAATAGAAAAAGAAGGTAAACATAGAATCAGAAAAAGTATTTAATAATAGTAATATACATATATATACACATACATTCATACATACATATACTTCTAGCAAACTAAAACTATAAGGTAACTACTTTTTTTTTTTTTTGAGACGGAGTCTTGCTCTGTCGCCCAGGCTGGAGTGCAGTGGTGCAATCTCGGCTCACTGCAAGGTCCGCCTCCCGGGTTCACACCATTCTCCTGCCTCAGCCTCCCCAGTAGCTGGGACTACAGGCGCCCACCACCACGCCCGGCTAATTTTTTTTTTTTGTATTTTTAGTAGAGACGGGGTTTCACCATTTTAGCCAGGATGGTCTTGATCTCCTGACCTCATGATCCACCCGCCTCAGCCTCCCAAAGTGCTGGGATTACAGGAGTGAGCCACCGCGCCCAGCCAAAAGTTAACTTATTTAATCTGAGAATGTTCTCTTTCAGGTCAGGAACAAGACAAAAATGGCCCTTATCAATGCTTCTATTCAATACTGTAATGGAGGTTCTAACCAGTACAGCAAGGCAATAAAAATAAGTAAAAGGTATAAGCACTGGTAAAAGGAAGCAAAATTGTCATTCATAGGTGGCAATATCCTATACATGGACAACCTAACATAATGTACACAAAAATTATTAGAATTCATAGTACTCATATTAATATGTATTAATATTAGTATACCAAGGTTGCTTATAAAATCAATATAAATTATATTTTTATGTTCTAGAAAAAATAAGACACAGTTTTTTTAAAGATTCTATTTTCAATAGCAAAGACACCAAATATGTAGAAATGAATCTGGCAAAAGATTGTATAGCACCTCTGCAAAGAAACAATAAAACTTTACAAGAGGCTGCTCTGCCTATGGAGTAGCCATTCTTTATTCTTTTACTTTCTTAATGAAAAAAAGACAAAACAACTTTATAAGAGAAATTAAAATTAAAGAAGACCTCAGTAAGTGAAAATGTATACAATGTTCTTTATTTTGCAAAGCTCTCCATTCTTGCCAAATTTATTCATACATTCATTACAATATTAAACAACCCTCAATAGGACTTCTTTTTTAGAACTTGGCAAATAGTTTCCAAAATGTAATGCAAAGGTTCAAGAGTTAAAAAGACACTTATGAAGAAGAACAACAAGGTAGGAGGGCATTTTCTATAGCAACACTCATTACAAAGCTATAATATCTAAGGTAGGACAGTATTTGCCCATGGACATAGACAAATAAAATGGAATGGAGGGTTCAGAAGTAGATTTAGAGACACTTGCCTATGGCACAGACGGAACTGCAAAACAGTGGAAAGGACAGAGCTTACAATAAAAGGTACTGGGACAACTGGGTATCCTTATGATAAAAAGTAATATTAGACATTTACCTCATACCATTAAAAAAAACAAGTCTAGGATTATGGGTCTGAGTATTAGAGGCAAAATAATAAAGCCTTTAGAAGATTAAAAGGAAAATGGATTCATGACTGTATTAGTCCGTTTTCATGCTGCTGATAAAGGTATACCCAAGACTGGGAAGAAAAAGATGTTTAATTGGACTTACAGTTTCACATGGCTGGGGAGGCCTTAGAATCATGGTGGGAGGTAAAAGGCACTTCTTACATGGTGGTGGCAGGAGAAAAATCAGGAAGAAGCAAAAGCAGAAACCCCTATAAGCTCGTCAGATCTTGTGAGACTTATTCACCATCACGAGAATAGCACAGGAAAGACCTGCCCCATGATTGAATTACCTCCTACTGGGCCCCTCCCATAACACATGGGAATTCTGAGAGATACAATTAAAGTTGAGATTTGGGTGGGGACACAGCCATACCATATCATTCCACCCTGTCCCCTCCCAAATCTCATATACTCACATTTCAAAACTAATCATGCCTTTCCAATAGTTCCCCAAAGTCTCAGCTCATTTCAGCATTAACCCAAAAGTCCAAGTCCAAAGTCCCATCTGAGACAAGGCACGTCCCTTCTACCTATGAGCCTAGAAAATCAAAAGCAAGTTAGTTACTTACTAGATACAGTGGGGGTACAGGCATTGAGTAAATAGAGCCATTTTAATGGGAGAAATTGGCCAAAACAAAGGGGCTACAGGCCCCACACAAGTCCAAAATCCAGCAGGGTAGTCAAATCTTAAAGTTACAAAATGATCTCCTTTGACTCCTGTCTCAAATCCCGGTCACACTGATGCAAGAGGTGGGTTTCCGTGATCTTGAGCAGCTCTGCCCCTATGGCTTTGCAAGGTACAGCCTCCTTCCGGCTGCTTTCACGGGCTGGCATTGAATGTCTGCGGCTTTTCCAGGTGCAAGGTGCAAGCTGTTGGTTGATCTACCATTCTGGGGTCTGCAGGATGATGACCCTTTTCTCACAGCTCCATTAGGCAGTGCCCCAGTAGGGACTCTATGTGGCAGCTTCAACGCCACATTTCTCTTCTGTACTGCCTTAGCAGAGGTTCTCCATGAGGGCCCCACCCCTGTAGCAAACTTTTGCCTAGACATCCAGGTCTTTCCATACATCTTCTGGAACCTAGGAAGAGGTTTCCAAACCTCAATTCTTGACCTCTGTGCACCCGCAGGCTTAAACATTACATAGAGGCTGCCAGGGCTTGGGGCTTGCACCCTCTGTAGCCACAGCCTGACCTGTACTTTGGCCCCTTTTAGTTATGGCTGTAGTGGCTGGGATGAAGGACACCAAGTCCCTAGCACAGGAACCCTAGGCCCAGCCCATGAATCCATGTTTTCCTCCTACACTCTGCCCTGTGATGAGATGGGCTGTTGTGAAGACCTCTGACATGCCCTGGAGACATTCTCCCCATTGTCTTGGGAATTAACATTTAGCTCCTTGTTACTCATGCAAATTTCTGCAGCCAGCTTGTATTTCTCCTCAAAAAATGGGATTTTCTTTTCTATTGCATTGTCAGGCTGAAAATTTTCTGAACTTTTATGCTCTGTTTCCCTTTTAAAACTGAATGCCTTTAACAGAACCCAGGTCACCTCTTAAGTGTTTTGCTGCTTAGAAATTTCTTCTGCCAGATATCCTAAATTATCTCTCTCAAGTTCAAAGTTCCACAAGTCTCTAGGGCAGGGGCAAAAAGAGTCATCTTTGCTCCAGTTCCCAATAAGTTCCTCATCTCCATCTGAGGCCACCTCACCCTGGACCTCATTGTTCATATCACTATCAGCATTTTTGTCAAAACCATTCAAAAAGTCTCTAGGAGGTTCCAAACTTTCCCACATTTTCCCGTCTTCTTCTGAGCCTTCCACACTGTTCCAACCTCTGCCTGATACCAGTTCCAAAGTCACTTCCACATTTTCGGGTATCTTTTCAGCAACACTTCACTCTACTGGTACCAATTTACTGTATTAGTCCATTTTCATGCTGCTGATAAAGACATACCTGAGACTGGGAAGAAAAAGAGGTTTAATTGGACTTACAGTTCCACATGGCAGGGGAGGCCTCAGAATCATGTCAGGAGGCAAAAGGCACTTCATACATGGTGGCAGCAAGAGAAAAATGAGGTGGAAGCAAAAGCGGAAACCCCTGATAAATCCATCATATCTCATGAGACTTAGTCACTATTATGAGAATAGCATGGGAAAGATCAGCCCCCATGATTCAATTACCTCCCACTGTGTCCCTCCCACAACACGTGGGAATTCTGAGAGATACAATTCAACTTGAGATTTCAGTGGGGACACAGCCAAACTATATCAATGACTTTGAAGTCAGGAAATTATTTCTTACATAAAATATAAAAGAACTAACCATAAAAGACAAAGATTGATAAATCAATTACATAAAAATTGTAAATGTTTCTTAATTGAAAGATACTATTAAGAGAATGAAAATGAGTGATACAGGATTGGAAAACATACCTGAAAAACATATAACCCACAAAGAACTAATATGCAAAATATTTAATGAACAAGTACAAATCGATAAGAAAAAGTGGGGTAACACAATAGAAAAAAAATGGATGAAAGACTTAAACAAGCAATTTCACAAAGAAAAAAATCCAGATAGCCATTAAACATGCTGAAAGTCCCTCAATTTAATTAGAAATCAGAGAACTGCAAGTTAAAACTACAATGAAATACCACAATACATTTTTAAAACCAGATTGGTTTAAAAAATACAGTAGGATGACAGAAACATTCACAAGGATGTGGAACAACAGGATCTTTTATATGTAGCTGGTACAAGTTCTGGTACAAGCTTGTTAGGAAAAAAATGCAGTGGTACCTTGCCAAGTTGCAGAAACACATATTCTATATTGTTAGGTATGGACCCAGGAGAAGTGTGTATACCAGGGAACACATATAAAAACATTTATTGCAACATTGTTTCTAATAACCATGAAGTAGAGATAACCCAAATGTCTATCAACAGCAAAACGGATCAATAAATTGTGGTACACAATGGCCACACATAACAAAATATTGGGGGAAAGATGCCACACACAGTACGGTAACATACTACTTGATTCTATTCACAGGAGTTCAAACACAGGCAAAACTAAATTATATTACTCAGGGATGCATATCCAGTGATAAAACCAAGGAAATGACTGACACACAAGTTTGTTTATAACATGGGAAGGTGAGGGGTTAGGGTAGGGTGGAGCTACATCAAGTATTTGAATAAAGGGTAGAGCATAGTAGAGGTGGACCTGGGAGACATGTGAGATGCAGATATGCAGGTTGAGGTGAGGCACACAGGAGAGGGAGCTGAAGGATGGCAGGTGGCTGAGGAGGGCACAAGCTGGGAGCACCAAGACAAGCTGGGGAATAAAGGAGGCTGGCGGTGGGAAGGACTGGGCACAGGGATACCCCACCACTCAGGACACATTGTCAGTATACAATCACATTTCATCCCATGGTCTCTAACCTAGCTTACTGCAAAAGCTTCCTAATGCATCTGCCAGCTTTTTCGCTTGTCCTGTCATCCATTATCATGCCTACAGTTCGACTGTTTAGCCAGAGCACGTCATCCTCTGCTCACTCCAGCCACACTGTTCTAATTGCTGTTCCTTGAATACATCAGCATGGCATTTACGCTTGCTGTTCCCTTTGCTTAGAATACACCTCCCCTAGAATTGAGTCTCAGGATTTGACTCAATTGCTGTCTTCTCAATAAGGCTTTCCATAGATAGTTCCATCTAAATTATCATTTCCCTCCTTCCCCACATTCTATCATTTTCTTTGCTTTATACTTTTCTCCCTAGCACTTTTTGCTCTCTTGTAGTATTTATTATAGATTTTGTTGATTTATCTTGTTAGTCATCTTAACTTGCATTAGAAATGAAGCTCCATGAGGGTTGGGATTTTGGAATCTTTTCCACAATTTGATTCCCTAATATTTGGAAGAATGCTAGCGTATACTCAGCATTCACTAAATATTTGTTGGATTAATGAATCTATCCATCCCATAATGAAAGTAGAAACCTTTCATTTCTTTCAATTCTTTGGCTCTTTCTTCTCCCTCACCCAGTTCTGCCCATTCAACTTTCTCAATATCCCTCTACTCCTTTATCTCCACCTCTATCACCATCACTCTAGTTCAGACTACATCATCTGTCACCGAGACGATGGCAATAGAAACCTGACTCCCCACCTCTAGCCCTCTCTCCATAAAATCCATCGCTGCCCCTAACGTTCCCAGCTATGAGACTGATCCTCTTTTATATATATTTTGTTTTTTAAAGAGATGGGTCTCGCTATATTGCCCAGGCTTGACTGGAACTTCTGGGCTCAAGTGATCCTCCTGCCTCAGCCTCCCGAGTGGCTGGTATTACAGGCATGTGCCACGGTCCCCAGGTCCCAGGCTGATCTTAAAACATGTCCCTCTTCTGATAAAGGCTTCCAATGGCTCCTCATCACACAGGTAGACAAAAACTCCTGCTCCTTGATGTTGCACACAAGGCCCTGCAACATCTAGTACACACCTAGTTCTCTAGCCCTTCTCTCATTACACTCTGATTCACACCTTAAAAATAAGAACCACTGAACTGCTTTTGCATCCTGGAACATTGTTTCTGATCTAAGGAAGACTGGCTCATCTCTTCCCAATGTCTAGAATGTCCTCCCACTCCTCATTTTACCAAGCTACCAATCCTATCCTTGAGCAATTTGTTGAAAGGGTTGCCTCTTTGGTGTTTATATGGTTGCCTTCCTCGTTAGGCTATGTGCTGTCCTCTGTGCTCCCGTAATTCTTATACATATCTCTCCCATGGTGTATACTGCACTCCATAACAGCCAAATGTTTATGTGTCTGCCTCCTCTACTGGAATCTGAGATCCCTGAGGATGAATTACTCATCTCCAAATGCCCAGTGCCTGTCATAATGTCTGGCACAAGGTAGGTGCACAAAAACTATTTGTTGAATGAGTAAATGAATAAATTACACCATATAAAAGAAAAATAATTTTTGTAATAATCACTAAGTATATTACTAACAAGCAACTTGTGTCACTTTCAAATACCCAGGCATTCAACATATGTCTTTTATAAATTCCATCTCTTGTGAAAGTAAAGAAATAGGCACAGAGCCCAGAAGAATCACATTTAACATGTCTTTTATGGTCTTTTCATGCCCAGAAAGTTGATTCTCTTTATTATAAATGCCTCAGGCACTGAAAGATCACTTTTTTCTTTTTTTTTGTTCAACTTTATCCCTTTGCTAGTCTGCCTCTCTCATCCACAAAAAGAACTTCCAGCAAGCCACTATAACCAAATGAAACATTTATTATAATAAAACAATATTGGAGAAACTCAATATACATTATTTTAGACATTTACAAAATAGGGATTTTCTCAAATAGTCTTCAGCGAAAATACTCTGATGGGAATTCATTTGGTTATAATCAGCTTGGCAAGGAATACCAAGCAGGCACCGGGTTCAGAGAATGATATGCTCCACTAGGTGGAAATGTACTTGAATACTGCAGATATCAAAACAGAGATTTCCTTCAACAACTAATATATTTAATTCCTCCATTATCACACAGATAATTCTATGAAAATAAATGATACATTTAAAAGTATCATCTGTCCATTTGCAAACTTTCCATTCTGACCTTGAAATTCTCTTGATAAAAGCTTTCCTGTGCCATCCGGAGCTAAGAGCAAGAAATCAAGACTCGAGTCTTTCTAACCAATTATTCCTTCACTCACTGCCTAAAGTTTCCCTAATCAAACAATGCCAGGGTAAAGGGCAAACTACAAAAGGCAGTTAGATCTGCCTTCTGAGTTTCTTGCTGGAGAAAAGTATATATAGAAACCAGAATGAGCTCTGGTGTTATGCAATCTATAGGGATTGCCTGAAATAGACTCAGATGAATTAATGGCACGGGCAGATTTTACAGTGCAATTTTTAAAAACACCATGAAGAATATAAAAGCCAGATGTAAACTATTTGAAATACAAGTAAATTATCAGAGAACATAAAGGAGTACACAAGATTCCTCCTATAGCACTTTTTTAATAAAGTCAATTTGTTACAAATGCAGCATATTCAAAGGTATAGTAAATTAATGCTGTGTTTATTGAGTACCCATTATGGATCAGGATTGGTGTTAGGCATTAGTGATACAAAGCTCAATAAAAAATGTACCCTTCCTAACAAACCTGCACATTGTGCACATGTACTCTAGAGCTTAAAGTAAAATTTTAAAAAAAGTACCCTTCCTTTCACATGTTTAGCGTCCAGAAATAGACACACAAACAAGTATGTATATCAGATATAATAAATGTAATATGGGAGATGAGCACTAGGAAGACAATATGGGGGGTGGGGGAGAAGCACATTCACAATATCTATGGCATTAGTGTAAAGAGCAGATCTCCAGAGAAAGTTGCACTGGTAATATACCCTCATAGGAGCCAACACACCTTACACTTGTCTGCACACTAGGTTGCACCATATGATATTGCTGATATTATGCCATTCCTGACCTATAGAAACAGCAAATTGACATGTTTTAACCTATTTGTTTCTAAAGCAAAGTTTCATTTATTTATTCCACAAATATTTGGCAATCACATAGCAAGTGCAGGTAGGGAGGATAAAGAGAAGGTAGAGTAGATGGAGACTAAGAGAAGCCAAGGACTATAGTCACCACTTAACAAAATGTTTTTTTCCCCTAAAATTTTCCCTGAAACAATATCATAGACTTAGCCCTCCAGGAGAACTATGCTGATCAGAGGACCCTATGGTTGGCCTTAGAGATAATAAGCCACAGAATCTTTGTGAGAATACCTGAAGCAGAGGTTGAGTCTTAGAAAGGAAGGTACCCCCAAATTCCTTGCCGGCAACTCTCATCCCTGGAGTCTGCTAGTTGTCCCTGTTATTTTATTCTCACCTTTATTCATAGTAATAATCTCTGAATTTTGGCTGGGCATCAACTACCTAAAATAGACTGCATTGCTCAGCTTGCAGCCAGGCATGGCAAGTACAAAGAATGTGCAACTTCTGGAAAACCAATGAGGGGCATGGATGTGCCTTCCTGCCTTCCTTCCCCTCTCCCTCCCTCCCTCCCTCCCCCCCCCCCTCCCTCCCTCCCTCCCTCCCTCCTTCCTTCCTTCCTTCCTTCCTTCCTTCCTTCCTTCCTTCCTTCCTTCCTTCCTTCCTTCCGCCTTGGAAATCCCTCCCCATCCCCACCCCGCCAAGTCCTCTGCAAAGACTGATTTATTTTATGTTCCTATAGTTTTGTCTTGCCAAAAGATCATGTAAGTGAAATCATATGGAATGCAGCCTTTTGTGTCTGACATATTTTGTTTAGCGTAATACATTTGAGATGTGTACATGCTGTTGCTTGTATCAGTAGTGTTTTACTTTTTGTTGCTGAGTAATATTCCATTGTATGGAAGTATCACAGCTTGTTTACCCCTTCCCTGGTTGAAGGCATTTGGGCTGCTTTCAGTTTTAGCAGTTATAAATAAAGCTGCTATAAATGTTTACTTATAAATTTTTGTGTCAACATAGATTTCCAGTTTAAATGAATAAACACCCATGAGTAGGATTGCTGGGTCATGTGGTAAGTGTGTGTTTAATAGTATAAGGAACTGCCAAAACAAGCCAAAATAGTAAAAAGAACTGCCAAAATCGTATAAAGAACTGCCAAGATTATGCCTGTAATCCCAGCACTTTGGGAGGCCAAGATGGGCAGATCTCTTGAGGTCAGTAGTTGTAGACCAACCGGGGCAACATGGTGAAACCCCGTCTCTACTGAAAACACACAAATTAGCCAGGCGTGGTGGCTGGTGCCTGTAATCCCAGCCATGCAGGAGGCTGAGGCATGAGAATTGCTTGAACCTAGGAAGCAGAGGTTGCAGTGAGCTGGGATCTCACCACTGCACTCCAGCCTGGGTGACAGAGCAAGACTCTGTCAAAAAAAAAAAACAAAAAAAAACCTGCCAAAATGTTGCACAAAGTGACCATGTTACTTTGCATTCCCCGCTAGCACTGTATGAGAATTCCAGTTGACGATATTTGACATGATCAGATTTTTTAGTTTAGACTTTCTGATAGGTAATACTAATAGCCCCCTGTGGTTTTAACCTGTATTTTTCTACTAATTAGTGGTATTGAACATCTTTTCTTGTTTTATTTGCCATATATCTTCCTTGGTGAAGTGATTGAATTTCTGCTCTTTTAAAAAATTGAGTTGTTTCTTAAACTAGAAAATCTAGAAGAAATGGATAAATTCCTCGACACATACACCCTCTCAAGACTAAACCAGGAAGAAGTTGAATCTCTGAAGAGACCAATAACAGGAGCTGAAATTGTGGCAATAATCAATAGCTTACCAACCAAAAAGAATCCAGGACCAGATGGATTCACAGCCGAATTCTACCAGAGGTACAAGGAGGAACTGGAACCATTCCCTCTGAAACTATTCCAATCAATAGAAAAAGAGGGAATCCTCCCTAACTCATTTTATGAGGCCAGCATCATCCTGGTACCAAAGCCGGGCAGAGACACAACAAAAAAAGAGAATTTTAGACCAATATCCTTGATGAACACTGACGCGAAAATCCTCAATAAAATACTGGCAAACTGAATCCAGCAGCACATCAAAAAGCTTATCCACCATGATCAAGTGGGCTTCATCCCTGGGATGCAAGGCTGGTTCAATATACGCAAATCAATAAATGTAATCCAGCATATAAACAGAACCAAAGACAAAAACCACATCATTATCTCAATAGATGCAGAAAAGGCCTTTGACAAAATTCAACAATGCTTCATGCTAAAAACTCTCAATAAATTAGGTATTGATGGGACGTATTTCAAAATAATAAGAGCTATCTATGACAAACCCACAGCCAATATCATACTGAATGGGCAAAAACTGGAAGCATTCCCTTTGAAAACTGGCACAAGACAGGGATGCCCTCTCTCAGCACTCCTATTCAACATAGTGTTGGAAGTTCTGGCCAGGGCAATTAGTCAGGAGAAGGAAATAAAGGGTATTCAATTAGGAAAAGAGGAAGTCAAATTGTCCCTGTTTTCTTATTAAGTTTCAATAAATTTTTATAAATTCTGCACACAACTCTTCATTAGACATGCAATTTGCAAATATTTTCTTCTAGTGGATGGCCTGTCTTTTTATTATCTTAGCAGTGTCTTTCAACAATTTTGAAGATGTCCAATTGATCAATTATATATTTTAGGGATACTACATTTGGTGTCGTATCTCAGAAATCTTTGCCAAAACCAAGATCATAAAAATTCCCCCAAGTTGTCTTCCCCATGTTTTGTAGTTTTCAGTTTTACATGTGGGTTTATGATCCATTTTGAGTTCATTTTACATACGGTAGAAGTATGTATTAAGGCTCACTTATTTTTGCATCTGGATATTCAATGGTTCACACCATTTTTTTCATAGGACTACCCTTTCTTCATTGAACTGACTGCATATCTTTGTTGAAAATCAACTGACTTGAGATGTGTGGATCTATTTCTGGACTCTCTATTCTGTTCCACTAGACATGTTTACATTTTTTTAATGGCTATGTATTTATTTTTAACAGATATTTTAAGAATATTGGCTTTCCAACTCCAAGTTGTAACTTCCCCTCCTAAATTACCCAGTACTTGAGATTATGGTTGCCTGAAATTTTGTTGCATAAAGTCATTGTAAAATGCAAACATCTATATTCTAGACCAAGTATCCTCATTTGCAAAACATCTTGTGACATGTTGTTATGACTTGCCACAGAAATATAAGGCTCTCATTATAAAGAACATTTAAAAAGTACAGCCTCTTTTAAACTTTGTAAAATAGACCCCAATGCAGACAGATACACTTTAAAAACTAAGACATTTTAAGAGTAGGGCTACTTGGAATATTTTACTTGGAACTAATATGTAGATTCATCAAGTCCTCGAACCCTGGGAATTTCAATTAGCTACCTGCCAAGAGCCACAGATAGTGCAATATAGCTGTATAGACGAAATGCCATCTGCTGCTGTGACCAAAAATCACTCTGGCACTGATGCCTATGGTTCCTCAGAGCTCTCTTTCTTCTGCTAATATTGTATCCATGGTTAACCACAGGGAACTTCTCCATAAATGCTCCCAACTGCCGTGACTATAGGGAAGCCGATAATGCAAGAAATTCATCACTAGCACTGATTATGCTAATGATGCATAGCACAATTGACCACACCAAAATACTCATGAACAACTGCCTTAAATTGGCAGAAACTATTGAATCCTTGCCAGTTCTCATAGTAAACTGGACACCCAAGTTCCTCCAATTATGTTGTTTTTTCTTGTCTAATCAACGAAGTATATTGTGTGGAGATCCCTAATGCTCTAAAAGAAGCAACTTGCTGTATCTCCTGAGCAAATACCCCCTAAATGACGTCAGAGTACAAATGAAAGTAAATTACATCTATAGATGTTGACATATCATTATTATATGCATCTCCTTCCCTATACCTTTTCACTTGGGCCATGTGACTGATGGATGAGCTTTTTGTGATTATCTCTGCCTCAAAGGTGATCCAACATAGTGTGTGCCTGCAAGATCTATTTCAGCTTGGACCAGGAGAATGATGAATCATTACTGATTCTGTCTGTTTTTCATCTTTAACCTGCAGCCAGCAAGAAAGCAGTCAAAATAGCATAGCAGGACCCAGACACCCTCTGTGTCAGAGTTTTTAGTTGCACACAGCAGAATCCACCCTAGATAGTTTAGCAGAATGTAT
Source organism: Homo sapiens (assembly GCF_000001405.40). NCBI lineage: Eukaryota > Metazoa > Chordata > Mammalia > Primates > Hominidae > Homo > Homo sapiens. Next base: position 158,297,651 of record NC_000002.12, read on the forward strand.
TAATTATGGAATTTTAGAAAGCTCATAAAATCTGTGGAGGGGGCAGAGAAGCAAGCTCTAGACTAAGTTTCCAGAAATAACATCCAGAATCATGTACCACAGAGCTGGTCTAGTAGAAGCCACACTGCCTCTGGCACAATTGGGAAGTTGTTGCATCACCAGTGACTCAGAACAGACTGCCTTTGTGTGTGACCACACCAGCAAAACGATGGCCATGCCATGTCTGTCTCTTCATATAACTCCCTTTCTCTTTATCCATCTGAATTAGTCTGTTCTCATGCTGCTAATAAAGATATACCCAAGACCAGGTAATTTATAAAGGAAAAAGGTTTAATTGATTCACAGTTCAGCATGGCTGGGAGTCCTCAGGAAATTTACAGTCATGGCGGAAGGGTAAGCAAACATGTCCTTCTTCACATGGTATCAGGAGAGAGAATGAGTGCCCAGCAAAGGGGGAAGCCCCTTATAAAACCATCAGATCTGGTGAGAACTCACTCAGTAATAGGAGAACAGGATGGGGGAAACCACTCCTGTGATTCAATTATTTCCACCTGGTCCCTCCCACAACATGTGGGGATTATGGGAATTACAATTCAAGATGAGATTTGGGTAGGGATACAGCCAAACCGTATCACCATTGTTTTCAGGAGTTTGACTGTCAAGTGCCTAGGTGTGGTTTTTTTTTGGTGTGTTTGTCTACTTTGGGGTTTGTTGAGCTTCTTAAAAATATAGGTTGATGTCTTTCACTGGATTTGGTAAGTTCTTAGATATTATTTCTTCAATACTGCCTCTATTTTATTCTCTCTCTTCTTTTTCTGGAACTTTAATTACATATATAATACAACTTTTTACCATGTTCCACACCTCTCTTATGTTATCTGCTCTATTCTCACTTTCACTTTATTATTTTTTCTTTATGTGCTTCAGGTGGAATATTTTCTATTGGCTTGTCTTCAAGGTCACTAATTCTGTCTTCTGCTATGCCCAGTCTGCTGATAAAGCCAATTCAATAGATTCTTAATTTAAGGTACTATATTTTACATTTCTAGAATTTCTATTTGACCCATTTTTATATATGCAAATTCTCTACTGAAATACATATTTTCATTCATTTTTTCCATGTTTACTTCTATTTTCTTTAACAAATTAATCATAATTATCTTGAGGTTCTTGTCTTTTAACTACAAATATCTGGATAATCTCTGAGACAGTTTCTTTCCTTGATTATCTATCTGATTTTCCTGTTTCTTTGAGTATTTGGTAATTTTCATCATATTTTGGACATTGTGAATCATATTTGTAGGGCCTCTGGGTTATGTTATATTTCTCTAAACAGTGTTGAGCCTTAGTCAGGAAGGCACTTAAGTTGCCAGAAAATCTCCTGAATTTTACTGATGCTTTGTCTTGGCCTTTTAGAGGGTAAGTCTGTTTCTATTTTCTTTATAATCCTAGAGTACAGCCCTTACCCCTACGGCATGGCCTTTCTAGGGTTTCAACCGAATGTCTAGAGAGTTCACCAAGATTTCTCTACTTTGACTAAACTAGAACTCCAAGACCTACACCTCCCCAGGCCTGTGTCCTGTGACCTCTCAAATCTCTATTTGGTTCTCAGCCTTCTAGTGGTTGTTCTCTGTTTGTCTTTTAGCATCTCATCCTGCACATTCAGAACTTAGAAGCTGGCAAAGGACCCAAGGAATATTTTCATATACATTTTGGAGGCTCTTTATCTGCCAGTCCTTCATCTCTAGTATCCTGCCCCCAAATTGTATTTGCCTTTGCAGCCCAAACTCCAATCTCTGCTTCTTTTACCTATCAAGACTATCATTTTCTGCTTAGGCTGTTTCTATCCACCTCATATTGAAAGATGACCTCAAGAAGAAATCCAGGGTGAATAAGAGGCTCACTTTTAAAACTTCTCTTATTTCAAAAATCTCATCCATACACTGGTTATCCAATGCCTGCAAACATTTTTAAATCATTTTGTCAAGTTTCTATAGTTGCTTACTGTGTGAGGGTGAGTCTGACAACAGCCATTCATCATCCCTGGAACTGGAACTCAGAAAACTCTATTTGAATTAAAGTACTGCTCACATCTGATTTGTGAAACCTAAATCCAAGTCTGCTCTCCAACAGCAAAGGAGGCTGAAATCTGTGGAGAAGGGGGGAATTATGGAAGGAATTGATACTGTGGAGAACTACCAAATGTGGAGAGAGAGAGTTCAAGTGATATTTATTCAAAAAGGTATCTTCTCTCTCAACATTATCTCATTTTCTTAGCTACTTGTGGCTTCTTGACTGGGTCATACAATCAGCTAGAGAGACAACGAGGAGCACAAAAACAAGATGAAGTGAAGAAGAAAACTAAGTGCCTGGTGACTTTGTTCATGCCTAAAATATACCTCAATTTTATGGGTAGTCAGGTTTTATTTTTAAAACTACATTTGGCATCTCAGAATATTCAATGTTGACAATTCAGTCTTGTACTTCACTTCTTGATGACTGCACATCATATACTTGTTTCAACAGCAAGTTTCCTGAGAAATACATTAGAAAGAAGGTAGTGAGGAGAGTACTGTGTCAGGAGGTATTGAGAAGAAGGAACAAAATGCCTAAGGCTTATCCACTTCACTTCAACAAAAGTTACTGAGCACCTATCAGGTCCCAAACACTGAAAATCTAGGGCAGGGGTAGGGGGAGGCTTACACCAAGATGAATAAGATGGTGTTCCTGTTTGCACTTCTTTTGGGGAAATAGAGTTTTTAGTGTGACATAATCATAATCACAGGCGAGCCAGAGTTATGTACCAGGAGTTAGGGAGAACAAAGAGTGTATTGACTCTAGTCAGGGATTCAACAAAGTTTTCCTGTATCAGACATTTGAGCTGAATTTTGAAGATGAATGAGACTTATTCAGACAAAGGAAGGTAAGAGAGGCATTCCAGGCAAAGCCAACAATAGCAAGAACAAAGGCACAAAAACAGGAAATAGAATGTTGCACTGTGCAGTGGCAGAGGTAGAGTGAGAGTGAATTACAAGGAGTTTGGTATTTCTAAATTGTAATGTGTAAAATGGAGTGTGTCAAGAAAGGAGGCTAGAAAGAAAGCCGGGGTCCAAATTACTGAAAACCTGGACAGCCATGCCAGAAAGTTGGGCCATTACTGTAAGCAAATGAGATGGTATCATTAGGGAATGGCATACCTGAATTGCAGTTTTTTTAAGAGACAGGGACTCACTCTGTCACCCAGACTGAACTGAAGTGCAGTGATGCAATCATAGCTCACTGTAACCTTGAACTCCTGGCCTCAAGAAATCCTCCTGCCTCAACCTCCTGAGTAGCTAGAACTACATGCACGCACCACTACTCCTGGCTGTTTTTTTAAACACTTTTTTGTAGAGGCAGGGTCTTGCTATGTTGCCCAGGTTGGTCTTGAACTCCTGGCTTCAAGCAATCCTCCCACCTTAACCTTCCAAAGCACTGGGATTACATATATGAGCCACTGTGCCTGGCCTGAATTGAATTTTAGATAGAGCATTCTGCCTGCAATTTAGAGAAAGGGTTTCTCAAGGGCAGAATGTGAAACATAGTCATGAGAGGAGCAATAGCTCAGGAACAATGGCCAGGGCTTTATGATAGAAAAGAAGGGGCAGATAGATAAAGTTTTCAAAAGTTGGTAAATAGCTATGAAGGTAAGAGAAAAGAGGAAGCTAAGTTTCAAGTAAGAAGTGCAAATTTACCACAGGAAAATGAGGATTTCTATTTTGGACACTGAATTTGAGGCATTCAGCCTTCTAAGTTGATATAATCAGCATGTAGCTGGATACATGAAGCTGAAGAGAGAACTGTGCAGAAATGGGAATAGAGATCTGAGAGCAGTTATAGCATATCAGGGTAGGCGGAATCACGAGGAGGCTTAGTGGCCAATGAAGTAAGGATATAAGAGCAAAGAGCAAGGACAGAAAACTGGAAGGCTCCAGCGTTTTAAAGTGGGCAGACAATGGGAAATATACAGGAAGACTAAGAACCACTGTAAGATATGGCAAGATAGGTTTTACAGAATCTGAGGGAGTAAAGAATGTCAAAGAGTGGATCGTCAACAGGGAAGTGAAGGGGAGAGGTCCAGGAGGATCAGGATGGAAGAGCCTTGCTGGATTAGGTAATACGGTGGTCACTGGAGACCTTAAGGGGTGGAGAAGATTTCAGTAGACTGAGAAGTCAGAAGTTCTTGGGACGATAATGTAGACTATTCTTTCAAAGGATTGATTTCAAATGAAAGAGTAGAGCTAGGGACTGCCCAAGACCTTGAGGATGACAAGAGAAGGCTTCTTTGGATAGTCTTTTGACTTAGTCATGTTTATAGGCTGAAGGAAACACTACAAAGAATAAGAGAGACAAAAATAAAGAAAGGCGATAACCACTAGCATCACATTTCTAAAGTAGTTGGGGGGGTCACAGTTCCAGACTTTAGGGAGAAGGACCGAACTTGAACACATAGGAAGCATCACACCCTTCATCTAGAGGAAGGCCAGCACCTGGCAAGAGACAGAAAGGCATAGGGTGGGGAGGAAGAAATTAGGGGTTGTTTCACTCCTCAATGACTGAATTTTCTTGCTAAAGTAGGAGGTGGCTTGTCTCCTGGGAGTCTGAGAATGAGGGTGTATGGTGTCAGGTAAGGGTCCTATGGAGTGGCGACCATAGGAAACAGTCATAAAAGGAATGGGGAGAGTGGGCAAACTAAGGACAGGATGAAAGCCTCTCATGTGGCATTCAGCATCCAGATGAAGTTAACTCTTCCCCTTTGGCCACCAGGCAGCACTCAGCCACCCAGCATGGAAGCAAAGAAAGACAATTATGAGGGCCGGGAGCGGTGGCTCACACTGGTAATCCCAGGACTTTGGGAGGCTCAGGTGGGCGGATCACAAGGTCAGGAGATCGAGACCATCCTGGCCAACATGGTGAAACGCTGCCTCTACTAAAAATACAAAAATTAGCTGGGTGTGGTGGCACATGCCTGTAATCCCAGCTCCTCAGGAGGCTGAGGCAGGAGAATCACTTGAACCCAGGAGTTGGAGGTTGCAGTGAGCCGAGATCGTGCCACTGCACTCCAGCCTGGTGACAGGGTGAGACTCCATAAAAAAAAAAAAAAAAATTATGAGATGGCTCTGGGGAGGATGTTCCTAGGCATGCCGTTGAAAGACAAGGATGCTGCGGAATTGAGTGCACAGCTAACAGACTGGTTCAGGCAGTAGTCGGGGAAAACTTGGGGGATCAAAGAGCAGGTTTCATGGGAGCAGGAGATTGAGAGCTCTGCTTCCTCCCTTTACTCTCATCCTCTGGTGAGAGGCCTAAATGCCTCTGCTTGCTACAGCAACTGTTATGACAGAAACCAAAATAAAACAAAACAGAGACAGAGAAAGAGAGCACGAGAGCATTATTTCAAAATTCCTTTAACACATCTTAAAAGACACAAATCATCTAAATTACCCCCCAAAAGCCCTTTTAAATTCCAAGGCTGAGAACAAAATTATGGTTAAATGTTTAATTAATGTTTATTATAGCTGGCATATTAGTTTTAGAAAGGTCAAATTTATGATACAATGAAGTAATATTTTTCACACTCTGTGGGCCTACTTTATAGCACACTGGAGCCTACAGTATAATAAATATCTTCTATTATTTTGTAGAACTCTTGTATGCAAACCTTTGTGGGGCCAAGATAATATTGAATTACAAGTTGAATGAGCTGGTGTGAACCTTAGGCAAGTCACTTCATCTTTCAGGGCTCAGCTTTCAGGCTTATAAAATGAAAGGCAGGGATAAATTGCCAAGTTTCCTTCCAGGTTAAAAAAAATTATAAGCATATTTTAACATTTTAAGTGACTGAAGAATTTATAGATTTACTTATTTTCTTTTATGATATCATTCTGATCCCAGCTATAATTTACTGAGCTCAGTCCCTCATCAGGAATACAAATTCCAATGATAACACCCTCTCTAGAAAAAACAGAATCCATTTTACTATAGTGTACTTTATGTTCTGATTTCCCCCACTGTCTGCCTGCATTTACACTTCTCAGGTTTCATCCCTGAAAGTTCAGATATTTGTTTACCCTCATGTGACCATACCCTTCTGAGGAGGCTACATTTTATGTTGTCTCTTAGAGCTGTGGCCTTGATTCAGTGGCTAGATGCTCTGCAGCAACCTCTGCACATCTCAGCTTAGATTTGTCATTGAAGAGAATATCAGGAAATGCACAGAAAGCATCTATTAGGATGCCTGGTGGATAGGAGACACTCAGTAAAGTATGCTTAGTATACGGTACAGCATGATGTGTGAGACATCAACAAAATGTGGCATTGTTTTTGTCCTCCATTCAGATGTTCTCCAACCACCAATTGAAAACTCAGCAGAATGCATGGCTCACTCTTGGGTTAGAGAGGTCCGTGGTAACTTTAAGTCACAAAACACAGTCTTGGTTCAAAATCAGTGCCTGGTTCCAAGAGATTAGTTACCACTTCCCTCTTCATGCAGAAGATGGCTTCTTCTTTCATTCCCCAGATGCTTAAACCTTCAGGGCCCAGAGGTGGGAGAAAGAAAAGAAGAGGAGGGCTAAAGAAAAGGAAAGCAAGTTCTCAGATGATGGGTGACTGACACTGTCCTAAGTAAGCTAGGCAGGAGGTTGATACTGACCCTTGATCTCCAAGCAGTACTGTTGCCTTGATTGCTAGCTGGGCTTTCCAGGAAAGATGCTCCTGATGTGGGTCATGCTCATTTACCTTTGACTAGCCATTTCTTTTCTATCTGTCAGGTTCCCATTTATTGTTGTTCCATCCCACTGTTTTTGGGGTCCCCTTACCTCTGGCAGGAACCCTGTTAGGCAGAAAAATCTTGGGCAGAATATCTTTGACAATGGCCCTTTACCATTAGCCAGTGGTTTCTTAAATAGGGCACAAAAAAGATTGATGAATTATATTTCATTAGGACCTATGAGCTTCCATTTAGGTGTAGAAAGTTAGATAGAATATTGTTCTCACCGTAACCAGAAGAAAAAGCTGAATCACTTACATCAGGACTTTTCCTGAACTCATCAGAGAGCAGAGGTCACAAGGCAATAAATTAGCCTGAAATTTAAGGAAAGACAGATGCCTCCAAGGAGAGCCAGGATGTGACAACTGGCTTACCTGCAGCAGAGCACCTGGGGAGATGAGGCCACTATGGAAGTGGGTAAGAAGACTGCAGCTAAAATGTTGTAATAAATTGATAAATTTTAATGATTTACAAGTTTTAATGACTTCGCAGAGCATGAGACTATAGAACCTGTGGAAGCTACAAACACAAGAGGAATTTGCACCCACTCTCAGGCTTTTCTCCATAGATCTCACAGAGTGCTCACAAAAAAAATATCAGAGTCAGGGTAGGAGAGCAGAGAACGCATCCTATGACAGTGCAGATCTGCCAGAGAGGATCCAAAGCCCTATAGAATGAACACCCATCACTGCTGAAGGAAAAGCCACAAACCCACTAGGGTACAAGTGTGGACCCATCACAACTGGGAGAAGGAAATGAAGAAACCATCTTCTCCTGGGGACGGTGAAGGAAACTATCTCCCTCACAAGAACATCAAATTCATGAGGCAGAATTTGTCTGCCATGGGGAAAAGAGCAGGATTGTTGAGTAAGCCCTTAGCCCCAAGACCCAGGGACACAGGCCCTGCCTGAGACTGAGGTTGAACCAGTATTGCAGAATGCCCCTTCCGCTACCAGGCTAGCAAGTGTCTAGTAACAATCTAGTGCAGGGGAAGGAACAAGAGTGTGGCAAGCCAGGCACAGTGGCTCACCTGCAATCTCCGTGCTTTGGGAAGCCAACGCAGGAAGATTGCTTGAGGCCAGAAGCTCAAGACCAGCCTGGGCAACATAGCAAGACCCTGTCTCTACAAAATATTGAAAAACTGAAAAATTAGCCAGGCATAGTGGTGCATGCCTGTGGTCTCAGCTATTTGGAAGATGGAGGCAGGAAGATCACTTGAGCCTGGGACATCTGGGCTGCAATGAGCTATGATTGCATCACCACATTCCAGCCTGGGCAACAGAATGAAACCCTGTCTCTTAAAAAAAAAAAAAAAAAAAAAAAAGGAGGGACACCCTCTGAGGCACAGGCTCACCAGGAAGCCTAAAGTCTACTCCCACTATAAGCAAGGCAACATTAATCACCAATAACTTGAAACAACTGATGAATGGAAAAACTGTAACGTAGCCATGTCATGGAATACTACTCAGCAATAAAAAAGAACAAACTATTGATACAAACAACATGGGTGAATCTAAAATGCATTATGCTAAGTGAACAAAGCCAGACTCAAAGGCTACACACTGTTGAGTTACACTTACATGACCTTCTAGAAGAGGCAAAACTATAGGGATAGAGAACAGATCAGTGATTGCCAAAGGCTGGAGGTAGATGAAGGGTTGACTACAAAGGGGAGTGAAGAATTTTTGAGTGGTGGTGGAACTGTTCTATATCTTGATTATAGTGGTAGTTATACACCATGCATTTTCAAAATTCATAGAACTATGCATTAAAAATAGTGATTTTGGCCAGGTGCGGTGGCTCATGCCTATAATCCCAGCACTTTGGGAGGCTGAGGCAGGTGGATCATGAGGTCAGGAGATCAAGACCATCCTGATTAACACAGTGAAACCCCATCTCTACTAAAAAAAAAATACAAAAAACGTATGTTTATTGCAGCACTATTCACAATAGCAAAGACTTGGAACCAACCCAAATGTCCATCAATGATAGACTGGATTAAGAAAATGTGGCACATATACACCATGGAATACTATGCAGCCATAAAAAAGGATGAGTTCATGTCCTTTGTAGGGACATGGATGAAGCTGGAAACCATCATTCTCAGCAAACTATCACAAGAACAAAAAACCAAACACTGCATGTTCTCACTCATAGGTGGGAATTGAACAACGAGAACACTTGGACACAGGAAGGGGAACATCACACACCGGGGCCTGTTGCAGGGTGGGGGAAGGGGGGAGGGAAAGCATTAGGAGATATACCTAATGTAAATGATGAGTTAATGGGTGCAGCACACCAACATGGCACATATATACATATGTAACAAACCTGCACGTTGTGCACATGTACCCTAGAACTTAGAGTATAATAATAAAAAAAAAAAACACTAAAAAAAAAAAATTACAAAAAAATCAGCCAGGCGTGGTTGCAGGCACCTGTAGTCCCAGCTACTCAGGAAGCTGAGGCAGGAGAATGGCGTGAACCCGGGAGGCGCAGCTTGCAGTGAGCTGAGATCACACCACTGCACTCCACCCTGGGCGACAGAGCAAGACTCCATCTCAAAAAAAAAAAAAAATAGTTATTTTACTATATATAACATATCTCAAAGACATTTAAAAATAAAAAAAAGTACTTCATTAAAATTAAGAAGTTTTGTTCATTTAAAGATGCCATTAAGAGAAGTGAGGAGACAAGTCATTGATTGGGAGAAAATAAAAAGAAATAGCTCTTGCATACAGAATATATAAAGAACATACAAATAAGTAAGAAAAAAAAGCACAAAACCCAATAGAAAAATAGGCAAAAGACTTGAGTGGGCTTCTCACAAAAGAGGATACCCAAATGGCTAATAAACATATGAAAAGACACTTGGACAGCTTTATTCTAAGTGCAAATAAAAACCATAATGAGGTACCACTACTCAGTCACCACGTTAGATGAAATTAAAGATTAGCAATACCAATGTTGGGGAAGATGTGAAGCAACTGAATTCGGTTGCAAATTTGTATAACCACTTTGGAAAACTATTTGGCAGTATTTACTAAAGCTAAACACATCTGAGCCTTATGATGTAGTGATTCTGCTCCTAAGTATACTATCTATCCAATAGAAATGAATGTATATGTCCAACAAAAGACATGTTCAAGAATGTTGATAGTGCCATTATCATAATAGCAAAAACCTGAAAACGGCTCAAATTTCTGTTAGCAGGAAAATATATACATATACTATGAAATACTAAACAGCAATAAAGAAGAACAAATAGCTGTAACATGCCACAAAGATGAAACAGATATGATGAATCCAAGAAGTACAAAGGACTATATACTGTATATATCATTTGATTTATATGAAGTTCAGGAACAGACAAAACTAATCGATGGTCATGAAGTCAGAATAGTGATCACAGGTGGGGATTGTATTTACTGAGAAGAGGCACTAAGTGGTCTTCTGAGCTGCCAGAAACATTCTAGGTTTTGATCTCAGTGGTTTTTCATGGGTATGCGTGTGTGTCATAAAGCTTCATCCAAGAGTCTTTGAGTCAGCATTAGACAGTTACTTTATCAAGACACTTGCATTTTCGTCTAGCACCTCAGTCTGATGTGCATGTCTATGGTTGGTATTGGATATCCCAATCAAAACTTCAATATTAACATCCTGTTATAGTAACTTTTTGGTTGAACCATATGAAATTATTGATTGTTGACCGTTTTTGACCTAAAGTGCACTTGTGCACTTTACTACATGTATGTTTACCTCAGTGCAATACAATATAAGGAAAATATCAATTTCAGCATAGCTCAACAGTTAATGATAATGTGTGCAAAATGAATATAAACAAACTAGGAATACAATAACTTGTCATGGCCCCTGGCCCCTGTGTGTTTCTTATCAGCCTGAAGATGGAGAAGAAACATGTATTAGCCCTGCAGCCCATGATAGACCAGCTTGATGCAGCTTCTATTCCTTTTAGGTCTCAAGCTTATGCAATGTCAAAAGAAATATCTTTTTGTTTTAAAAAATGCAGATGAAACATTTTTCCTCTAATGTTTTAAAACAAAGACATTTGTTTTATATGCTCTTAATTGGTATTGCTTAATGTCTGCCAGTTGTTTTCTATCAGGAGAATAAAATTTTTTGTTGCACCATCATCTTCCTACCATATCATTTATCAACTTAAGATTTGTGCACTTCAAGTATGTTATACCTCAATACAATTTGTTTTTAATGGCCCTGGCCAACACTCCTGGGGAGGCCATATCCACATCAGGCCTCCAGGACTCATGCACTGTGACCCTCCTGTGGAATGCAATTATTCCCAGCACAACAACCACTCTTACTTACAGTTCTGCCACTAAAGCAGCTCCTCTATTTCCCTCTGAGCATTGCTCCAGTCCTCAATCCTTCTAACAGCGAGGGTTACCTACCAACTCCCCAAGCCATCCTCAATCCAGCCCCGCTAGATATTTCTGGGTCTGAGGAGGAGGAAAACCCCATCCATTCCCCAACACTTCGCTGAGGACTCACACACAGCCCAGCAAGCTTGCCCCAATGTATTTCATCATAAAGCCTCTCTTCTCCTCCTCATTTGAACTTTTTGCTATCTTTGATGTGAATGAGAAGTCCAAGAGTCTTTAGATCAGCATTAGACAGTAACTTTATCATTACACTTGCATTTTTGTCTAGCACCTCAGTCTGATGTGCACATCTATGGTTGGTATTGGATATCTCAATCAAAACTTTGATATTAACATCCTGTTATAGTAACTTTTTGGTTGAACCATATGAAATTATTGATTATTGACTGTATTTGACCTAAAAAATGCAATTTTATACAGTTCAAACTAACAGTTTTATTAAAGGTAGGCTTTTGTTTTTTAAGAGAAACTGAACTTTAGGTTGAGTTTGAACAAAAGGGAAAAATGGATTCTTAAATATCCAGACAAATACTGAAACACCTGTGCAGCATCTTACCTTGGCTTTCAGATCAGCACACAATTCCTGTTGCTTTTTCTTGTCCTTAGCCAACATGCTCTCCATTTCATGTGTTGCACAAGCCTCAGTGAGTGTCAGCACAGCCTTCTGTATAAAGTCTTTCTTATTTTTATTCCAATTTGATATCAGGATATTTTGCTGCTCTATAGCAAAGCGATATTGGTCACAATATTTCTCGTGTTCAACCTGAAAAGATAACAGAGGGTGAATACTTATCATTATGAAAATGAGCTTACATTTTGCATCATTGTTACAAAAATGAAAAGAAAATGAATTATAACCAATGATTTTGAAAAACTGGGGACAAATATTTAATCGTAAATACAGCAACCAGAAACCAGGTACTACCGCCAAAATTCTGAACCCATGGCTAATTGGTGACTGAGGACAAGTCATTTAATGTTTATAAGTCCTTAGTTTCCTCATATAGGATGCAGTTACACCAGGTAACCTCTAAAACCACTTTATTTTTTAAATTTTTTTAGTATTTATTGAGCATTCTTGGGTGTTTCTCAGAGAGGCGGATTTGGCAGGGTCATAGGACAATAGTGGAGAGAAGGTCAGCAGATAAACATGTGAACAAAGGTCTCTGGTTTTCCTAGGCAGAGGACCCTGCAGCCTTCCACAGTGTTTGTGTCTCTGGGTACTTGAGATTAGGGAGTGGTGATGACTCTTAAGGAGCACGCTGCCTTCAAGCATCTGTTTAACAAAGCACATCTTGCACCGCCCTTAATCCATTTAACCCTGAGTGGACACAGCACATGTTTCAGAGAGCACGGGGTTGGGGGTAAGGTTATAGATTAACAGCATCCCAAGGCAGAAGAATTTTTCTTAGTACAGAACAAAATGGAGTCTCCTATGTCTACTTCTTTCTACACAGACACAGTAACAATCTGATCTCTCTTTCTTTTCCCTACATTTCCCCCTTTTCTATGCGACAAAACTGCCATCCTCATCATGGCCCGTTCTCAATGAGCTGTTGGGTACACCTCCCAGACAGGGTGGCGGCCGGGCAGAGGGGCTCCTCACTTCCCAGACGTGACGGCTGGGCAGAGGGGCCCCCCACCCCCCAGACGGGGCCGCCAGGTAGAGGCGCCCCCCACCTCCCAGACAGGGCGGCTGCCGGGCGGAGGGGCTCCTCACTTCTCAGACGGGGCGGCCAGGTAGAGGCGCTCCTCAGTTCCCAGACGGGGTCGTGGCCAGGCAGAGGCGCTCCTCACTTCCCAGATGGGGTGGCGGCCGGGCAGAGACACTCCTCACCTCCCAGACGGGGCGGCCGGGCAGAGGCACTCCTCACATCCCAGACAGGGCGGCCGGGCAGAGGCGATCCCCACATCCCAGACGATAGGCGGCCAGGCAGAGACGCTCCTCACTTCCTAGATGGGATGACGGCCAGGAAGAGGTGCTCCTCACTTCCCAGACTGGGTGGCCGGGCAGAGGGGCTCCTCACATCCCAGACGATGGGCGGCCGGGCAGAGACGCTCCTCACTTCTAGACAGTGTGGCGGCCGGGAAGAGGCGCTCTTCACTTCCCAGACTGGGCGGCCGGGCAGAGGGGCTCCTCACATCCCAGAAGACGGGTGGCCAGGCAGACGCTGCTCACTTCCTAGGCGGGGTGGTGGCCGGGCAGAGGCTGCAATCTCAGCACTTTGGGAGGCCAAGGCAGGCGGCTGGGAGGTGGAGGTTGTAGCGAGCGGAGATCACGCCACTGCACTCCAGCCTGGGCAACATTGAGCACTGAGTGAGCCAAACTCCGTCTGCAATCCCGGCACCTCGGGAGGCCGAGGTGGGCAGATCACTCGAGGTCAGGAGCTGGAGACCAGCCCGGCCAACACGGCGAAACCCCGTCTCCACCAAAAAATACAAGAACCAGTCAGGCGTGGCGGCGCGAGCCTGCAATCCCATGCACTCGGCAGGCTGAGGCAGGAGAATCAGGCAGGGAAGTTGCAGTGAGCCGAGATCGCGGCAGTACAGTCCAGCCTCGGCAACAGAGGGAGACTGTGGAAAGCGGGAGATGGAGACGAGGGAGAGGGGGAGACCGTGGAAAGCGGGAGACGGAGATGACGGAGAGGGAGAGGCAGAGGGAGGAGAGGGAGAGCTAAAACCACTTTCATTTCTAAATGGTAATGATTCTATGAGCAGAAAGCAATATTTTCCCTATATATAATTTTTTAAATACGCCATCTTTACATCAGTTTTGGTATTTTAACAATTACATCAAGGGTTTCAGTTAGACAAAATGCTAATAAACATAAAAATTGCTACCACAATCCTGAAAATTCACAATTTTACCTTTAATTACTGAAACATTCAGATGTTAGGATGCCTAAACTTAAAGTAATAATAACAATGACACTGAGCCCTTCCCATGCTATGCTCATGAGGGACATGGCATTTCCACATTGGCAGCAGTAGCTCCTTTTGGCAGTGAATCTCATCCATGGGAATTAGCAGTCTTGAGGGAAGAACAGGAATGGAGAGAACCTGAGTAGCCTGGAAAACCTCTGTGGGTCATTCTGAAATGCTCCTCAGAAAAACATGTGTCTTCCAAAATTGAGAGTCACTGATCTAAATAATTCTTTATTTTGCCAGTATAGACCATGACTCTGAATTTAATACATTATTTAACCCCCAGGAGTTGTGAGAAAAGCAGCTAGCAAATGGGATAAGGTATGTCCCACCTAAAATAATACTTTAGGTATAATTAGGTAAACAGTAAAACCACTTACTTGGTCTCACTTAAACTAAGTATCAGCTACTAAAATCTGTTCTGTAAACTTCTCAGCTTTGTTTTATAAAGCCAAAAATATACTTAACATCTTTCAAACATTAAGCATATACCACACAGAAATGGATGCTAATCAATCTAATGTAAGAAGTAAATGTATTGGGAGGCCGAGGTGAGCGGATCAGGAGGTCAAGAGATCGAGACCATCCTGGCCAACACGGTGAAACCCCGACTCTACTGAAAATACAAAAATTAGCTGGGCGTGGTAGCCTGCACCTGTAGTCCCAGCTACTCTGGAGGCTGAGGCAGGAGAATCGCTTGAACCCAGGAGGGGGAGGTTTCAGTGAGCCAAGATCGCACCACTGCACTCCAGCCTGGCGACAGTGAGAATCCATCTCAAAAAAAAAAAAAAAAAAACCAAAAAACAAAAAAGTAAATGTAAAAATCTTTATCATGATAATAATAGGAAAATATAAAAATCTTCAAGTTATAAATAACAACTTGTCACAGAAGCAACTAGAATCAATAGGGAACAAAAGGAAAGATCTAATTTAATAAATGAAAGTTATTTAAAAATCCAGAGTGAACTATTTATTATATAACAGGTATCTGTTACTGAATAAAGGGGGAGAGGTGAAGAGGATGAAAGAGGATGGGAGAAAATGGTCACAGTAGCTGTGTGACCTTTGCTTCAGTTTTTTCATCTAAGGATGGGAATAGTACTTCTCCCATCCACTCTTACATGTATTCAAGGAGTTTCCACGTGATTGATATATGGTTAACTTCTATATACATGTGAGTATTATTACTTGCTTAATTTAAAACAATTACAAAAATGCAGAGTATATAAGATGCTATAGCATGGCTCACTTAAAAATTAAAAGTCTGTGTGTTTGTTTACGTGTATGTTATAAGGTGAGTTATTGTGAAATTAACTGGTGACAGAGTAACTTCTGTTTTCTTGCCCTTGTGTTCTTGTTGACTAAAGAATGAAACAATAAAACAGTAATTTCCCAGTTCCTTTTTAGGAAAATATCAGTCACATCTTTGAGTTCTGTATTTGGGGTATTTGTGTTTCAGATCCAACTAGGAGGATCAAGCAGAGTTGTTGTGGTGGGGAAGAGATAAGTAAGTACCACCCCCAGGGCAAGTGCTGGCCTCCCTGTGACTAGAAAGACTGAGGTAGAGCAGGCTCTGTGAATGGTGGAGCAGGCATTTCACTTTCAGGCAAGACCTGGAGATGGTAAAGCCCCTGAAGGTGAGCATCTGGCTGTATGGACATCCAGGAGTCAAATACTAGCAGAGCAGCCCTGGGACCACAGTGAAGATCTCCGCAGCAAGTAGGCACAGAGAGTGACTTCTGCCCGAGGGGGCCCCCCACCTCGTTATGGACAGGACAAACTTGAAAAAATGACCTGCACAGGCTTTCAAACTATTATATAACCCTATTATTTTCTAGAGGGTAGGAAAAAAATAATTTTTAAAGAACCATTGAAAATACATGTACATTGCTTAATAATTATTGACTACTAAAACAATTTAACTTGCCAGTATGTAGGTAGGTCCAGTACTCACCAAATCATGCCTAGATTTGTGAGGAAAATATCTTTGTAACATGTCCAGATACAGAGTCCTTCTTCCAAAGAGATCTCCAGGGTACTGATCCAAAATAGCCTGGTAAATCCAGTGGTCTTCTTCACTTAGTTGACAGTTTCTAGAAGCAACAAAAATGTCACAACATATTATTGAGCAATCATGAAATTTGAGGGACTCAAACTGTTCAAGCTACTAGCAAGTGATAGTAACGAAGCAAAACGAGGTTTCTGTGTATTTTAAATACATTAGCCAAATTTAATGTCTGTTTCAGAAAAGCTTCTAAATTCTAATGCAATGGGTTCCTTCAGTTCTTTATTTGGTCTTGCCATGAGTATCAGGCACAATTCAATTAAGTTTGATGAGACATAGTATTTCAAAAATAAATTATTCTTGCCTAAAACAATATTTTAGAAATCATGACCAATGAATGAAATAAACATTGGAAAATAATTATATATACAGATTAAAAAGGAATTTTATTTATTCAACAAGGTTCCTATGTCTAAACTGGAGAAAAGTATAAATGTAGACAGTTAAATGAGCAATTATGTAACGGAAAATAAAGACAGACTGAGGAAGAGACTTATTTAAGGTTTGACTTCAAAAGAAAGTCTAAAATTATCTTTTACTTTATCTTCTTAGTGCTTCATAGAGGCAATACTAAATATTGATAGTGAAAAGATAACCAACGGCATTAAAACCACTGAAGAAATCATTTGCAAATAGGATCCCTTCAAGTCACCTTCCCAGTAACATATCCACTACGCTCCAAAAGGCCTTTTTCATTTCAGAACACTCCTAGGCACCATCCTGGTTTGCATTCTTTCTAGACTATTAGCAAAGTCTTGTGCAGAGTGAAAAGTTTGCAATATCAGTTTGAACACTAAACTGAATTAATATCTTTTTATATTCTGAGTTTATTTTGCATATCATTATTCCTGTTTAATAAATTAGAATAATCAAATACAAATGCAATCAGAGGGAATATTATTAGCAACAAATACTTCTTAATCCAAGAGGATACTTGTCATTGTTTATTTCTACTATATCAATGGTCTTATACTTTAAGTTAACTGTGCATTTCAAAGAATTTCTTATATATCTTCCATGCCCCTAAAAAATATTTGACAATTTAAAACAGAATAAAACACCTCTTAAATCAGTGACACTGATGGGAATTCCAATGTTCTCATACAAGATTATTATTCTGATAAGTAGCAAGAAAGAAAAATTCTTTTTCAAAGAAAAAAGTCCTATCTGTTTCATAATAGGGGGAAAAAAAGAGAGTTGGAGGTTCTACCAGGAAGAGGAATACTCTAAAGTTCTTCAGTATGACATAATAATTTATTGCAGAGAGAACTGGAAATGAATTCATTGAACACACCAAGTGTTTCAGTCCTGTCTGAAGCAGTTATGCACGTATAGACAAAGGCTTCTGCAAATAAAGCAGTACAAATAGGAGTATTAAGCCAGGAGAAAGGTTTGCCTGAGTAAACTTGGCATTTAAAACATCCTCAGGTTTTCATGGACAACATCTCAGGTCCTCTCTCAAGCAGCCCATCTTCATTCAGGTTAACATAAATGCATTTTAATAGCAGAGTTAGCCACATAAATTCTGCATTACCATACCACAAGCAACAAACAAAAAAATAGAACTAAAGTACATGTCTTCATTAATGTTTGTAAAATGTTTTTTTAATCAAAAGGACTTGAAAAAAGTTTGAATTTCCACCTTTATTTGATTATAAATGTGGATGTATGGGTAGTGTGTGCCCTGGGAAGGGGGAAGCAATAGAAGCTAGGTCCAACCAGTTCTCTGTTCCTCTAAATTGTGATTCACCTCTATAATGGATACTGTTGGTACCACACCCACATCGCCTTTATTAGATGGAATTCCCATCACCGAGATGCTGTGAGTCTTGGCAGATAACTCACAGATGCCCCTTCCTTCTCTGGAGAATTGCTATGGACCAACTAGGAGCTGCCTCTCCCACCCTCTTTAGAGAAGGCTACCCTCCCACCCTCTTTCAAAGGCCAACCATAACCAATGACTGACCTACCTGGAGGTACAGAAAGCCAGCCTACTTGCCTCCAGAGAGGATCAACTCTATGATACCTTTGCACTCTGGCCTTTCCCCATGGGAGCAAACCATGGCCAGTCTCCACTGACACTTTCTTGCTTACACATTTCCCTTCCTCTATTTGGCTTCCTTCACAGCCCTCCCTCTGAGAGCACCTCCCAACAAATCTCTTGTTTAGGAATCCCTGTCTCAGCTTTGTTTCAATAGAACCTACCCTAAGATAATCTACAAGCAATCTTACCCGTAATTTTCAAAAATAGTTTAAATCTTTTGGTAAATGGAGAAGTACTCCTAAATTAATTTCTTTGATGATATCTCATACTGAGTGGCAGTGCAAGATTGTGGCTGTCCTCAAAGAGAAAGTGAAAATGGCAAACATTTACAAAAATGCTTTCCAAATAGAAGCACACATTAAGCAGTGTACATTGCTATAAATAAATATAGCAGCAGAAGAATTTGTGGCACTCAGTGCATTTTTATACATTGCCTGAATGTATTAATTAGCTGCCATTTTAGTGACAATATTAAACCACTTAAACATATGAAATGATCATAAGACATTAAAGTCAGATATTTCAAAGCAAGCATGCCATGAACTGTCACCATATCCATTTTGACCTTCTTGTTGATTTTAGAAGCCTCACATCCCAACAGTTTTTTCCAGTTACCAAAATTACTCAAATTGCAAGTCACTTTTTAGTACATGTAGAATAAAAATTTAAAAAACATGCTTAAAGGAAATGATATATAAATACTCACAATATTATTATTTTTAGGTTATGTATTTATAGCAGTTTCCAGAGCTGCAGCCTTAAATATTGGAGCAAATATTCACATAGGCAGTAATAATGAAACAGCCCTGCATCTCCATTAGAATGCTGCATTTGAGGAAGGGAGAAATCTCCCTCAGCTACATACATACCCTACGTATATACTGAGCCTTTGAATAGTAAAAATCTAAGAATATTTAAACATAGTAGTCTCATCACAATAACAAAGTAGCCACTTCTGAGGAACATGCACTTTGAACTTCTAAAATAAAATCAGATTCAATATATTTGCATTTCCAAGTGTAAATGTGGACACTTTTTAAATCAAACCTTCATCTTTTTTGTATAGAAAAATCTATATCAAATAGCTGAAACTAAGGTTAGGTTTTACCTTTCAAAGTTCTTGTTGAATTCAACTGCTTTGCTGGTGATTCTAATGACAGAACTAGCTAAATTGCACAGACAGTGAAAAATATTCTCATCTCTTATCTACTTTCTGAATTTGAAAAATGACTCTACGTTAAAAGAAAATTTTAAAGAAAACTTTTAAAGTGTCCTAAGCTTTTTGCAATTTACAAAAAAAAATCTTTAGACAAAAAATCTTTAGCAGTTCTCTGCAATTTCTATTCCTTTTTGTCCGTCTAAACTTTCTAATTTAAAGTGCTTTAGAATGTTCATCTTTATCGTAGCCTGCCAAGATTTTACAATTTGTAAGTTTATTGAGTACTTTGAACACTTCAGGGAATTTCAGCCTACAAAAGGTGAGGTATTTACCATTCAATTCTCATTCACCATCCCCTGCCCCACAATATAGTATCGATCACAGATATCATTTTATTATGATTTCTCAGGAAGTGAGACAAAACAGATAATTCAGAAAACAACAACAGAGCTGTAAAAATTCACCCTGACCCAAGCCAATTGTCTCCCTAATTCTACCTGTTTGAATTATTCCAAAAATCCTAAAGTGACTCACAATTAACTTAGCTACTAGTGGTCCTCATAGCCATGTTTAAACCACTTTCCTTGGGTTCTGGTTCCGTGACATTCAAATACATTTAGGGGTGGAGGGCAGACAATGGTGCTAAACAGGACACATACAGGTAACAGATACTTTAACAACAGAAACAAGTTTATGAAACTAAACATTGTGGTTACAAACTGGCTGAAAGCTGTTTTATGTTTTCTCAGAGAAAGGGAGCTTTCCAGGCAAAATGGTAATTAGTGCCTCCTGAAGCTAGCTGATGCAATAGTGAACCTGACCTGAAGAAAAACTCATCTCTTAAAGCAGAACAGTGTTAGGGGACACCTACTGCTCCTTCACAGAGAAGTAGGAGTGCAGTGAGCCACCATTCAATTAATGTGGATGACAGACCATCCTCTTGTCTGGCTGCATCGGGTCTGACCCTCTGTAATATACAACTTGACTTCACCTTTCAATTTTTTCTTTCCAAGACAGAACCATCCAAACACCCAATCTAATCAGCCTGGTTTCTTCATCCACCAATGATCCCAGCCCAGGCCCACTGTCCAGATATAAATCTGTCTGATTTTCAGTCTGGTTTATAGGAGGCTCCCTGCTCCCAGACCCATTTCTGACCAACAGAATCTGATCTTCCCTGGGTATGCATCTTCTATTCCTCAGAGATCCATTCCCACCTCCACAGTCCCTGGCTCTACCAGTCTGGCTACTTAGCTGGAAGGTGACAACCAGAATAAAGTGAACTTTCACTAGCAAGGTCAAAATCCATTGAAACAAACAATTAAAAAAAAAGTGACCTATAGGATAAAGCCAAAACTTGTGCCAAATTCCAAAGCCTCATTCTTCTGAAGAATGATGAAAAGATAGCAGGGTTCTAAAAGTGATGGCTTTGGGAATCCGGTCAGAATAGGAGGCTAAGAGATTTATTTGGAAGTTGCATTTTCCAAATAGCAAGCATATTGCTTTTACTTAGATTTTTTTTTAGAGAAGTTTACATAGAAAGCTCATTTTTTTTTTTTACTTAGAATGTATATTTTTTGGAAGTAGAATAGTAGGGATGATGGCAAGCCTCTTAAACCACTCTTTGTCTCTGAAACATCCATCCAGCAGTAGTTTTCTAGTGGAAGTTTTAAAATAACATGACCGAGATAAAATAGCCTTTTACTGTTTTTTTTTTGGAGACAGGGTCTCGCTGTGTCACCCAGGCCAGTGTGCAGTGGCGTGATCATGGCTCATTGCAGCCTTGAACTCCTGGATTCAAGCAGTCCTTCTGCCTTAGCCTCCCACAGAGCTGGGACTACAGGCACTTGCCACCACACTCAGCTAATTTTTTATTTTCAGTAGAGATGGGGTCTTGTTCTGTTGCCTAGGCTGGTCTTCTTCTGAGCTCAAGCAATCCTCCCACCTCGGCCTCCCAAAGTGCTGGAATTACAGGCATAAGCCACAGCACCTCACCTAAAATAGCCTTTTAAAAGTAAGATGTAATTGCTCAACCACCCCATATGCTAAGTTTTTAATAATTACATTCATCATAAGAAGTGTAAGGAAAAGAAAACTGTAGCAGACATTGCTCCCACCCCTGCTCCTGCCCACCAGAATGCTGACTTTATTCAAGATCCACTCTCCTCCATCCACACTTGGCACTGCTTCAGGAAAAATGAGCCCCATCTCCAGCCCTGGCAGTGAATCTGGATTGATTTTCAGCTATTCACAAACACCCATTCACAAACTTCCTGTTTCTCCAACAAGTGTTTGGTAGGAACAGGGACAAAAGATCGAATTCTGGCCAATGAAATGTGAGGGGAAGTCCTCTGGGGCAAAGGTTTCCTAGCTCTTAAAAAGAGTCACAAAGAAAGAAGGAAGGTCCCTCTCTGCTTCTGGACATTGTTATGCAGAACTGTCTGGCAGGAAGTCATCTAAATTGCAAGAAGGCTGGGCAAGAGAATGCAGAACACCAGACCTCACTGTACTTGGACTTTTCTACCTCTAGACTTCTTGTTAAATAAGAAATTCCTTTATTATGTAAGTTACTTTGAGTTGGATTGGGTATTCTCTTATAGCTAAAGATAATTTGACAGCAAACTGAAAAAGAGAAACATGACTTTTTAAACATAGCATCTTAATATTGCTTTGGAAGAAAAGTACTATGAAAGGATGTAGAGATGAAAGAGATATAGACCCAACATGGGGAGAGACCAGCATCTAAAGTGATGAATACTCTGCAGCTGATTGTGGGCAGACCAATGATGTTCAACACCAAGGGCCATTTTTAAGACCAGAAAAACCCCCTCAAACTCAAATGAATAGAATCAGTGAAGACAAGATCATCTAGAAATACATTATTTGCTCTATGTTTTAAATCCTTATATTGAGCCAAAATCTGTCTCCATGTTACCATTTTATTCTTCATTTTTGGGGGGACAAGAACATTTTAAAGTGCAGTAAAGTTGAATTAAATAAAATTACCTTATATAGACATTATGACTCAATTTTCTAAGTCCAAAAGCAAGAGTAATAAAATTGGCCTACTTCTTTGGGACAGTATGAGGAAAATTTTAATTAGCCATCATAAGGTCTTCTGAAATTTTAATTGCCACATAAAATGTCATAATGTCATCTCAAACCAACCATAAGTAATCACTAAGAAATTATAAGAATGAATTAAAAGAGTGATGGTTCTTCTCAGTTTATTTTTTAGATATTAGCAATGTTCAACTTTATGTTTTCTGATAGGCACTAATACGGCAAATAAACATAAACCTGGGAATGGTGTAGTTATTCTTACATTACTTGTTCTCCATAGTGTTCGTTCTTATGGTTACCTCAAAAGATTATATTTTAACTGCAATTGGACTTCAAGGTACAAAGAATAGGGAAAAGTTGTTGTCATGAACAATTGGTTTGTTATATAAAATAGGTGTTAAAATTCTTCTCATGTTAAAATTTGACAATCTTGTCCATAGAAATTTTAATCTTGGCTTTGCATATAGCTACACATATTTTATTATTTTTACAATATATTCTTTCTGTATTATCCAATAACAAATGTCAGTTGTCCTAGACACAAACCCATCAAGCTGCTGTTTCCATTTTCTTCAATCATATTTATCCAAATTAATTTGATTTCACACCCAGTGAAGAATAGAAACCCCTTATAAATGATTTTCACCTCTTCATCATATAAAACCCAGATTTTTCAGTTTCCTGAAGTATTGAAAATGTAGCCTCATGCACCATTACATTGTGCAGTCACTAGCTAAAACAATTACATTAAAAAGGCAGGTGAAGCTGCAGTGATATTACTAATAAAGACTTAAACTAGGTATTTAAGCCGCTATTCTTAAATACCTAGATATACTTTTCACAAATACATAACATGCAAATAAATATAACTAAGCAAAGGTAAACTCTAAGACTAGTTTTTGAGGGTATCCTGCAGAAAGTGAACCCTTTTTTCCCTTGAAAAAAGGCACTCCACCATATCTAAGAGAATTTAAAATGTTTTATTCCCACGACAAACTCAAAGTAGGTTGAATAAACACCAAATGTGGTTTTTGGTGTTTAAAGGAAGAGTATAAAACCATAAAGTAGTTATTATGAATGATGTATTTTAAGAGACAGCTACTAAAGATATGTGACAAAAATAAAATCATGGTCCACACTATTACCCACTCCTTCCAAAAATATAAACCCCAACATCAAGTTGGACAAGAGAAAATGGGAGCTGCAGTGACCCAGGATGTTGGGTGAGGGGTCATCTAACCAACGAGACTACGTGAACACTGGAAGATAAGGTAATTACGCTGCTGTTTCTGGGAACTTCTCTCCTTATTAATCACCCTTGGCACACAACCAGCTCAGACTGGAAGTGCAGAACCTGAGACTGGACATGCCCAGGCACTGAAACTTTCCAACAGCTCTGAGAGTTCATTCTCAGAGAAAAATGCCACATGGGAATTAGGGCTCCAATGTTTTAACTTGTTGTCACCTCATCAAGTAAGCAAATGTCAGTTACCTATTATACCCCTTTCCCTCTCTTTCTTCTGTCTTGTATTCATCAAGCAACGGTCATATATGTAAGCATTTGTTTATTTCACATATTTTTAAAGACAATTATGTGAAGCCACACAGTGTTTCTTGAGTGTTGCCTTCTGATGCTGACTTTTATCCATCTCATCTTTATTAGCAATAGAGTTTATTTTGAAATATGGTTTATTTTGAAACAAGGGAAGAGTCAGGTTTATTATGAAAACTATGCATAGATTTCTCTTTTGGCAAAACTTTCACATAAGGACAGTGAAAGAGCTATGCTACACAAATAAATATTGAAAGAGAGAGAAAGAACATGAACGTGACACTGATGATATTCACACATGACGGCAATCTCCAATGCCCTGATCTCCAAGTACAGATGAACCAAATAATATAAAGTCTACTAATGAAAACATAAATTGTTTTTACTTGTCTGGAAGGCAATTTACCAATGCTACCAAAAGTCTTAGAATTTTTCATGCCCTTTGACTCAGCAGTTCTATTTCTAGGAGTTCATCTTAAGGGAATAATTATAGAACTACTCAAAATATGGTGACAAAATTGTCTATTCCAAGTTTTTAAAACAATTATCAAAATGTGGTAAAAATAATTGTCCAAAAATAGGAAATTGGTTAAATGTATGTGATACAGTCATACATTGTAATACTATCCATCTAATTTAAAAATATATTGTAAAATAATATTTAATACATGACCTAAATCATAGAAGCAGCTCAGTAACCATTTATTGAAAAAAGGAATGACACTGGATATGATTCAAAACAGGAAAAATCAGTAGATATGTGTATAGTTTTTTTTCATTTTTATAAACAACATTCATACATCTGAAATATATAAAATGTTACCAAAGGATATATCTGAGTGTTGGAAATTTAGATTAATTTTTAGTTTCTTCTCCAGTTTTCTAACTGTATTTTAAAAATTTTCTTTAACAAATAGAATTATTTCTGTATTAAGAGAAATATGCACAAAAGGAAAAGCTCATAGAGCACTAAATAGTTATCTTAAAAATTACTAATGAGTAGAATAAAGCTACTAACAAGTAGGGTAAATTCAAATAGTTTAGTTGAGAAAATATAAAACTATGGGCATCAGCAATGTACATACAGAGGAGAAAATTGTTAAATCATTGTGGGTTTTAAATAGCATTCAGAGTCAGATCTCGAATAATAATAGAATATTAATTATAAACTAACATTATAAAATTTAATATACCTATTAAACTATAAAGTAGAAATTACTTGCCATCATTCTTTAGCTTTTTCCACATATTGACTTCATATCTGACATAGCTAAATGGAGCATCAGACAATTATGTCTCATCTATATGGTTAATTCATCCAAATGTTAGGAAATTAAAGCCACAATCTCATCTGAGTCTCAAACAAGCAATTAAACTTGTCTTCATGTTACTGATGAAATACAGCCCAAATAGAATCTAAATAGCTTCACAAAAACACTGAATAAAGAAAGAGGTTCAATTGTAGTCAAATTGTTTTTAAAATGTGTTTCAGTAAAAGAGATCATCCTTTAAAGCTGTGCTGTCCAAGATGTTAGCCCCTAGCCACATGTGGCTTAAAAATGTGGCAGTCCAAATTAAGATGTGTTCTAAATATAAAATGCTGACCAGATTTCAAAGACTTCATATGAAAAAAGAGAATGTAAAATATCTCATTAATTGAAAAATATTGATTGTATGTTGAAATTATAATATTGTGGAACTATTGCATTAAATAAGACACACTTTAAAATAAATTTCACCTTGTTCTTTTTACATTTTTAATACAGCAACTTGAAACTTAAAATTACATATGTGCTCACATGTATAGCTTTTATCATATTTCTATGAAATGGCAACCTGTTTTACCAGCTGATACTGGTACTCAACCTGATTTACCAGCATCCTGGCATGTGTACATTCTTGAAGCAGTGTGGTAAGCGGGGAAAGCTCTCTATTCAGATGTGCAGAAGAGATGTAATCTTGCCCAACCATTTACCATGTCAGAGACTTTGGGGAAATTGCTCACCTTCCTTTGAGCTATAGTTTCTTCATCTGTAAAACAGAGCTTTTAAGATGGGGTAAACTGAGGGTTAAAATCATTTGTATTTATCAGATCATGTAATAGGTACTTATTAAATATCAATGGTCTCCTCTTCACCCTTTAACTTAGATTTTTAAAAACATGTATTTTTGCTTTAAAAAATAGAAAGTAAAAATATGCCAAAATTATGTCTAATTTCACCACCTGGGAATAACTTTTTTTTTTTTTTTTTTTTTTTTTTTGAGATAGGGTCTTACCCTGTTGCCCAGACTGGAGTGCCGTGGTGTGATCTCAGCTTGCCTCCCAGGCTCAAGCGATTCTTCTGCCTCAGGTTCCCAAGTAGCTGGGATTACAGGCATGCACCACTACTGCCCAGCTAATTTTTGTATTTTTAGTAGAGACGGGGTTTCACCATGTTGGCCAGGCTGGTCTTGAACTGTTGACCGAAAATGATCCACCCATCTTGCCTCCCACAGTGCTGAGATTACAGACATGAGCCACTGCACCTGGCCCAGGATAACTATTTTTATTGTTTATTTGGGTGAATAACATTTCAGTCTTTTTTCTGTGGCTATATATAGATGTAACGCTTTCAGAAGGAAAGAAAAAAAGAAAGTCCATGTTCTATAAACTATTTTGTGGCCTGCTTTTTAATTACATAGCAACATATTCAAACCATTTGTGTCATTAGAAATATCCTTTATATAATCATTAATGTCAGTGTAGTATTCCACTGTGTGGATATATCATACTTGATGAAGCTCATTCCCTATTTGCTGGCTCTTTAGGTAGTTTTGAAGATTTTGCCATCACTAAGGAGAGAAAATTTAATGTTGAACACCCCTGAAGCCAATATCCACTTTATGTCTCTGATTATTTCCTTAAAGATCATATCTAAAGAGACAAAGAGTACTCACATTTATAAAGATTTTTGATGACATGGTGTCAGACTTCCAAATACACCAATTATATATTAAAATGCTCATTTCTCCCATACCATTTTAAACTCTGGACACAATGTTTTACATTTTATAGGAAAAAAATTGAGTATTTTTTAAATTTTCATTGCTTTGATGAGTAGAGAGGCTTTTATAACTTTCTTAGTCATTTGCATTTAGAATTACCAGCCAGAGTTCCACAGACTGCCACCATGAACATCTATTCATTCCCCTCCCAGCATCTGCACCATATACTCTGCAACCTCACCTGTTAGAGTAGCAGATGAACCATCTGTGCTTATTCCTCCACTTGTGTACTAAATCCCAACTCTCCTTACAACTCCAAGGCATCATTCAGCAATTCCCCTCTCGCCTGCATCTTCAGAGTTTATCCTTTACTAGATTACTCTTACTAGCATCAAACACACTGCTACGTCTCCTATTTGAAAAAAAAAAAAAAGCAAATAACTACATAAAAGCCTGGCCCTACTTGCCTACTCTCCTTTGCAGAAAAACTTCTCAAAATAGTTATCTGTACACATCATCTTCAATTCCTTTCCTACGCATTCCAATCTATTCCATCAGGCATTTGCTTCCACTTCTTCAATGAAGATTGAACCTCCATCTAAAGCCACCAACAACCTCTATTAAAGCCAACAGTCAATTATCAGTGTATTTTACTTACCAGCAGCATGTATTCAATGGACTGACCACTTCCTCTTCACTTGCCTTCCAGGACACTACACTCTCTTTGTTTTCATATCTCACAGACATTTTCTCAGTGTCCTTTGTTGGCTCTTCCTCTTGTCCCTGACATTGTAATGTTGGCAGGCCTAAGGGATCAGTCTTTGATTTTCTCCTTCCTCTCTTTACTCACTACTTTAGTGATCACATCCAATCTCATGCTAATGACTCATATCCATGTAATTCCAGTCAAGAGCTCTTTCCTGAATTCCAAACCCATATAGCCAACTGCATCCACACAATCTCTACACAGATACCTAATGGCATCTCAACCTCATCGTGTCCAAACCTCAACCCCGGATTTTCTCCACAGCCAAAGCTTGCTTCACATACGGTGTTCCCCATCTAAGTTGATGGCAACTCCATCCTTCTAGTTGCTCAGTCCCCAAAAAGCAACTATTTGGAACTATTCTTGTTGCTCTCTTTTTCTTACATGGCTCATTGAATCTGTCAACAGGTGCTGTTGGCTCTGCCTTTAAAATATATCCAAGAGCTGAACTGGATTACTTTATCTAAGTGTCCAATATCTTCTTGCACTTCTACCCCCCAGCCCCACAGTTTATCTTAAACACAGTAACTGCCAAAGTGATTCTGCTAAACATAAGTCTGATTTTGTCACTCTGCTCACTTCTGCTCAACACCTTCCAACAGCTTCTCATATCACACAGAGTAAAAGCTGAAGTTTTAAAAATGGCTACAAGGCTCTAAATGTCCTGCCCCCCATCCATACCTCTATGACCCCACCTTCTACTACTCTCCAGATCTGTCACTCTGTTCCTGCCACACTGGCCTCTTGCCAGGCATACTCCCGCCTCAGTAAACATTGACTGGAATATTTTTACCCAAATATCTGCAGGACTAGTTCTCCCAACCCCGTCTTAACTTTTATGTCACTTTCTCAACCAGGCCTACCCCTAAACATCTACTTAAAATTACAGTCTGCCACCAGAACCCCAACACTTTCTATCTCTCTTACTTTGTATTTTTTCATAGCACTTATCACCTTCTAACACTACTGTGTATAATATACTTATGTATTATGTTTATGGTTTTCAGCATGTTTCTGTTTCATGAGTACACGAATTTTTGTATATTTTATGCCAATAAATGTTCAATAAATATTTGTTGAAAATACGAAGGATAAGTCAGTCATATCTTCATCTCATTTGCTCCATTTTCCTTTTGGCTGTTCACCATTCAATTAACTTGCAAAATGTCTTTATGCATTAGGGATTTTAATCATTTGTACCTGATATGTTGCCAACATTTTCCTGTTACTTCATTTTTACCCTTGTCAATTTTTTTCCTTTAAAAATTTTTAGAATAGAAACAATACTCATATGGTTCAAAATTCAAAAAGTTTAATGAAAGAGGATACAATAAAAATTCTTTCTCACACCTACTCCCCCAGGCATCTGGCTCCCCTCCCTCAAGATGAATGTTATCAATTTTTGTGTATTGTTTCAGACATGAAAAAGCAAATATATAAAAATATATATGTTTGCTTTTTCCTGTTTTACACAATGTAGACTGTGCATTGCTTTGATTACTTAACTATATACCTCACCCTAACCCTTACATATTGTTCCATGTCAGTTAATATAAATTTTCACAATTTTTAATCTGCAAAATAATATATTCTGTGTATGTACAATAATCTATAAAACTAGTTCCTATTGATATTAAGGTTTTTGCTCAATCTTTCACTACTGCAATGAATAACTGTAAAAATAAATCAGTGTATACATATTCAAGTACATTTATATGATATATTATTGAGATTTAGAGGCTGTCAGGACAAAGGGCATATGCTTTGTGATCTGGGAAGTCCTGCTGATCTGCTCTATAGAAAAGATTCACCAGTTTAGACTCACTTTAGCAGAATATAAAATACCTGTTTTCTCCACACTCTTGCCACATCTGTTAAGATTTAGTTGCAGATGATAAAAACTATTCAAACTCTTTAAGCAAAAAATAGTTTATGACTACATATTATATGACTTACACAATAATGCCTCTGCCATGATTAGGAAAGGACCCACCTACCACCTCAGGAAGCTATAATGTCAGAATATGATCACATGAGCAACGTGAATGCCTCACTCCTTGCTTCTTTTCCCTTTAACTCAATTCTGAACCCAAATTCATCCAAGGATTTTGGATTGTCTGAGCCCAAATCACATCCATTGACTGATCTGTTCATGGCAACATGCTACAGTTTATAAAATGCTTAATATAACACAGCAATAGTCTTCCCTCATTATTGCTTCTTTTCCTCAGAATTCTCCTAAATTCAAATTCAGATTAATATTTTAATCCTGTGAATTTTATTGATATCGTTAAATTCATATATTGATGGAAAATATCTCTATAATTATTCAGTCTTCTGAGACTAAAATATCACTTGTTCAAGTTTTATGTCCTTCAGCAACATTTGAAATTTTTTTCCTATAGTACAGATCTTTTACATTTCTTGTTAAATTAATTCCCAAATATTCTATATTTAGAATTGCTATTGCAAACTCTGTTTCTTTCTTTCATGAGATCTTCTAGATGGCCACTGTTTATATATATGAAAGTTTGGGTTCTATTTACATTAATTTTATACCCAGCCATCTTACTAAATTATCTCATTTCTTTTTTTTTTATTTAAGTTTTAGGGTACATGTGCACAATGTGCAGGTTAGTCATGTATGTATACATGTGCAATGTTGGTGTACTGCACCCAACAACTCGTCATCTAACATTAGGTATATCACCTAATGCTATCCCTCCCCTCCGCCCACCCCACAACAGGCCCCAGTGTGCGATGTTGCCCTTCCTGTGTCCATGTGTTCTCATTGTTCAATTCCCACCTATGACTGAGAACATGCTGTGTTTGTTTTTTTGTCCTTGCAATAGTTTGCTGAGAATGATGCTTTCCAGCTTCATACATGTCCCTACAAAGGACATGAACTCATCATTTTTTATGGCTGCATAGTGTTCCATGGTGTATATGTGCCACATTTTCTTAATCCAGTCTATCATTGTTGGACATCTGGGTTGGTTCCAAGTCTTTGCTATTGTCAATAGTGCCACAATAAACATACGTGTGCATGTGTCTTTATAGCAGCATGATTTATAATCCTTTGGGTATATACCCAGTAATGGGATGGCTGGGTCAAATGGTATTTCTAGTTCTAGATCCCTGAGGAATCGCCACACTGACTTCCACAATGGTTGAACTAGTTTACAGTCCCACCAACAGTGTAAAAGTGCTCCTATTTCTCCACATCCTCTCCAGCACCTGTTGTTTCCTCACTTTTTAATGACTGCCATTCTAACTGGTGTGAGATGGTATCTCATTGTGGTTTTGATTTGCATTTCTCTGATGGCCAGTGATGATGAGCATTTTTTCATGTGTCTGCTGACTGCATAAATGTCTTCTTTTGAGAAGTGTCTGTTCATATCCTTCACCCACTTTTTGATGGGGTTGTTTGTTTTTTTCTTGTAAATTTGTTGGAGTTCATTGTAGATTCTGGATATTAGCCCTTTGTCAGATGAGTAGAATGCAAAAATTTTCTCCCATTCTGTAGGTTGCCTGTTCACTCTGATGGTAGTTTCTTTCGCTGTGCAGAAGCTCTTTATTTTAACTAGATCCCATTTGTCAGTTTTGGCTTTTGTTGCCATTGCTTTTGGTGTTTTGGACATGAAGTCCTTGCCCATGCCTATGTCCTGAATGGTATTGCCTAGGTTTTCTTCTAGGGTTTTTATGGTTTTAGGTCAAACATTTAAGTCTTTAAGCCATCTTGAATCAATTTTTGTACATGGTGTAAGGAAGGGATCCAGTTTCAGCTTTCTACATATGGCTAGCCAGTTTTCCCAGCACCATTTATTAAATAGGGAATCCTTTCCCCATTGCTTGTTTTTCTCAGATTTGTCAAAGATCAGATGGTTGTAGATATGCGGCATTATTTCTGAGGGCTCTGTTCTGTTCCATTGATGCATATCTCTGTTTTGGTACCAGTACCATGCTGTTTTGGTTACTGTAGCCTTGTAGTATAGTTTGAGGCCAGGTGATGCCTCCAGCTTTGTTCTTTTGGCTTAGGATTGACTTGGCGATGTGGGCTCTTTTTTGGTTCCATATGAACTTTAAAGTAGTTTTTTCCAATTCTGTGAAGAAAGTCATTGGTAGCTTGATGGGGATGGCATTGAATCTATAAATTACCTTGGGCAGTATGGCCATTTTCACGATATTGATTCTTCCTACCCAAGAGCATGGAATGTTCTTCCATTTGTTTGTATCCTCTTTTATTTCATTGAGCAGTGGTTTGTAGTTCTCCTTGAAGAGGTCCTTCACGTCCCTTGTAAGTTGGATTCCTAGGTATTTTATTCTCTTTGAAGCAATTATGAATGGGAGTTACTCATGATTTGGTTCTCTGTTTGTCTGTTATTGGTGTATAAGAATGCTTGTGATTTTTGCACATTGATTTTGTATCCTGAGACTTTGCCGAAGTTACCTATTAGCTAAGGAGATTTTGGGCTGAGACAATGGGGTTTTCTAGATATAAAATATGTCATCTGCAAACAGGGACAATTTGACTTCCTCTTTTCCTAATTGAATATCCTTTATTTCCTTCTCCTGCCTGATTGCCCTGGCCAGAACTTCCAACGCTATGTTGAATAGGAGTGGTGAGAGAGGGCATCCCTATCTTGTGCCAGTTTTCAAAGGGAATGCTTCCAGTTTTTGCCCATTCAGTATGATATTGGCTGTGGGTTTGTCATAGATAGCTCTTATTATTTTGAGATACGTCCCATCAATACCTAATTTATTGAGTGTTTTTAGCATGAAGCGTTCTTGAATTTTGTCAAAGGCCTTTTCTGCATCTATTGAGATAATCATATGGTTTTTGTCTTTGGTTCTGTTTATATGCTGGATTACGTTTATTGATTTGCATATGTTGAACCAGCCTTGCATCCCAGGGATGAAGCCCACTTGATTATGGTGGATAAGCTTTTTGATGTACTGCAGGATTCAGTTTGCCAGCATTTTACTGAGGATTTTTGCATCAATGTTTATCAGCGATATTGGTCTAAAATTTTCTTTTTTTGTTGTGTCTCTGGCAGGCTTTGGTATCAGGATGATGCTGGCCTCATAGAATGAGTTAGGGAGGATTCCCTCTTTTTCTATTGATTGGAATAGGTTCAGAAGGAATGGTACCAGCTCCTCCTTATACCTCTGGTAGAATTCAGCTGTGAATCCATCTGGTCCTGGACTTTTTTTTGGTTGGTAGGCTATTAATTATTGCTTCAATTTCAGAGCCTGTTATTGGTCTATTCAGAGATTCAACTTCTTCCTGGTTTAGTTTTGGGAGGGTGTATGTGTTAATGAATCTATCCATTTCTTCTAGAACTTCTAGTTTATTTGCATAGAGGTGTTTATAGTATTCTCTGATGGTAGTTTGTATTTCTGTGAGATAGGTGGTGATATCCCCTTTATCATTTTTTATTGTGTCTATTTGATTCTCCTCTCTTTTCTTCTTTATTAGTCTTTCTGGCAGTCTATCAATTTTGTTGATCTTTTCAAAAAACAAGCTCCTGGATTCATTGATTTTTTGAAGGGTTTTTCTGTCTCTATTTCCTTCAGTTCTGCTCTGATTTTCGTTATTTCTCGCCTTCTGCTAGCTTTTGAATGTGTTTGCTCTTGCTTCTCGAGTTCTTTTAATTGTGATGTTAGGGTGCCAATTTTAGATCTTTCCTGCTTTCTCTTGTGGGCATTTAGTGCTATAAATTTTCCTCTACACACTGCTTTGAATGTGTCCCAGAGATTCTGGTAGGTTGTCTTTGTTCTCATTGGTTTCAAAGAACACCTTTATGTCTGCCTTCATTTTGTTATGTACCCAGTAGTCATTCAGGAGCAGGTTGTTCAGTTTCCATGTAGTTGAGCAGTTTTGAGTGAGTTTCTTAATCCTGAGTTCTAGTTTGATTGCACTGTGGTCTGAGAGATAGTTTGTTATAATTTCTGTTCTTTTACATTTGCTGAGGAGTGCTTTACTTCCAACTACGTGGTCAATTTTGGAATAAGTGTGGTGTGGTGCTGAGAAGAATGTATATTCTGTTGATTTGGGGTGGAGAGTTCTGTAGATGTCTATTATGTCCGCTTGGTGCAGAGCTGAGTTCAAATCCTGGGTATTCTTGTTGACTTTCTGTCTCCTTGATCTGTCTAATGTTGCCATGGGGTGTTAAAGTCTCCCATTATTATTGTGTGGGAGTCTAAGTCTCTTTGTAGGTCACTCAGGACTTGCTTTATGAATCTGGGTGCTCCTGTATTGGGTGCACATATATTTAGGATAGTTAGCTCTTCTTGTTGAATTGATCCCTTTACCATTATGTAATCACCTTCTTTGTCTCTTTTGATCTTTGTTGGTTTAAAGTCTGTTTTATCAGAGACTAGGATTGCAACACCTGCCTTTTTCTGTTTTCCATTTGCTTGGTAGATCTTCCTCTATCCCTTTGTTTTGAGCCTATGTGTGTCTCTGCACGAGAGATGGGTTTCCTGAATACAGCACACTGATGGGTCTTGACTCTTTATCCAATTTGCCAGTCTGTGTCTTTTAATTGGAGCATTTAGCCCATTTACATTTAAGATTAATATTGTTATGTGTGAGTTTGATCCTGTCATTATGATGTTAGCTGGTTATTTTGCTCGTTAGTTGATGCAGTTTCTTCCTAGCCTTGATGGTCTTTACAATTTGGCATGTTTTTGCAGTGGCTGGTACTGGTTGTTCCTTTCCATGTTTAGTGTTTCCTTCAGGAGCTCTTTTAGGGCAGGCGTGGTGGTGACAAAATCTCTCAGCATTTGTTTGTCTGTAAAGGATTTTATTTCTCCTTCACTTATGAAGCTTAGTTTAGCTGGATATGAAATTCTGGGTTGAAAATTCTTTTCTTTAAGAATGTGGAATATTGGCCCCCACTGTCTTCTGGCTTGGAGAGTTTCTGCCGAGAGATCAGCTGTTATTCTCATGGGCTTCCCCTTGTGGGTAACCCGACCTTTCTCTCTGGCTGCCCTTAACATTTTTTCCCTCATTTCAACTTTGGTGAATCTGACAGTTATTGGTCTGAAATTTTCTTTTTTTGTCGTGTCTCTGCCAGGTTTTGGTATCAGGATGATGCTGGCCTTATAAAATGAGTTAGGGAGGATTCCCTCTTTTTCTATTATTTGGAATAGTTTCAGAAGGAATGGTACCAGCTCCTCTTTGTACCTCTGGTAGAATTTGGCTGTGAATCCATCTGGTCCTGGACTCTTTTTGGTTGTAGGCTATTAATTACTGCCTCAATTTTAGAACTTGTTATTGGTCTACTCAGGGATTCGACTTCTTCCTGGTTTAGACTTCAGAGGGTGTATTTGTCCAGGAATTTATCCATTTCTTTTAGATTTTCTAGTTTATTTGCGTAGAGGTGTTTATAGTATTCTCTGATGGTAGTTTGTATTTCTGTGGGATCAGTGGTGATATCCCCTATAACATGTTTTTTTGTGTCTACTTGATTCTTCTCTTTTCTTTTTTATTAGTCTGACTAGCAGTCTATTTATTTTGTTAATCTTTTCAAAAAAAGCAGTTCCTGGATTCATTGATTTTTTTGAAGGGTTTTTCTTGTCTCTATCTCTTTCAGTTCTGCTCTGATCTTAGTTATTTCTTGTCTTCTGCTAGCTTTTGAATGTGTTTGCTCTTGCTTCTCTAGTGATATTTGGGTATCAATTTTAGATCTTTCCTGCTTTCTCTTGTGGGCATTTAGTGCTATAAATTTCCCTCTACACATTGCTTTAAATGTGTCCCAGATATTCTGGTAAATTGTGTCTTTGTTCTCATTGGTTTCAAAGAACTTATTTATTTCTGCCTTGATTTTGTTATTTACCCAGTAGTCATTCAGGAGCAGGTTGTTCAGTTTCCATGTAGTTGTGCGGTTTTGAGTTTCTTAATCCTGAGTTCTAATTTGATTGCACTGTGGTCTGAGAGACTGTTTGTTATGATTTCTGTTCTTTTGCATTTGCTGAGGAGTGTTTTACTTCCAATTAGATGGTCAGTTTTAGAATAAGTACGATGAGATGCTGAAGAGAACGCATATTTTGTTGATTTGGGGTGGAGAGTTCTGTAGATGTCTATTAGGTCCGTTTGGTCCTGAGCTGTGTTCATTTCCTGGATATCCTTGTTAACTTTCTGTCTCGTTGATCTTTCTAATATTGACAGTGGGGTGTTAAAGTCTCCACTATTATTGTGTGGGAGTCTAAGTCTCTTTGTAGGTCTCTAAGAACATGCTTTAGGATCTGGGTGCTCCTGTATTGGGTGCATATATATTTAGGATAGTTAGATCTTCTTGTTGCATTGATCCCTTTACCTATTTCTAGGTTCTTTCTTCTGTTCTGTGGATCTGCTTGGCTATTCTCTGGTCATATCACACAATCTTGATTATGGTAAGTCTTGAAGTTGGGTAGTATCAGTCCTCCAACTTTGCTCTTCTCTTTCAATATTGATCTGCCTATCTGGGTCTTTCATCTTTCCACATCAAGTTTACAATCAGCTAGCCAGTCAATATCCAAAAAATAATTTGCTGGGATTTTGACTGGGATTGCATTGAATGCATAGATCAAGTTGGTTCCTTTTATTCTCCTGCTGCCAGAAGCAAAAGGGAATTTTTATCAGATATTTACAGTGAGAACTTGATATAGCTCCTGGAGTAAAACTCACAAAAGTGTGGAGTGCCTCCTATGACTGGGTCCTCCTGGAGTTTTTAACTCTCAGAGTTGTCTACACTGAGCCTCTAGCAGTTTATGAATTATGGTTCAGGGTTTCTTAGCTCATTACTGGTTCCTGCAGAGGTTTCTGCTCATGTATTTCTGCTCCAGTAAGTTGTAATTCTTTGTATCTTTCTGTCTCTCCAATTTTGGGGGAAGCATTTTGTGCTGCGGTCTCACTTATTTGATAGATCAAAGACATCTGATTTTTCAGTTTGTTCAGCTTTTTATTTGTTGTTAGAAGCAAGTGGCAACTATGTTTCTACATGCTAGACTGGAAACCAGAAGTCTCTATTTTCTAGAGTTAAAACTTCTCTGCGTAACAATTATGCTAGATTTTTGAATGGCCTTCTCTACTTCAAGATTATTTATTTTTATTTTTATCTCATTCTTTTATGATTTTCTTTCTTCATATCTTAACGCACCTGGAGGTCACTGAGTCGAATAGAATGAAGAGACCTAACCTTATCTTCCAATTGCCTATTATCTAATGCTATCTCTTTAATAATCTGATATTACCCCAGTTTTGAAATTAGCCTTTATTGTAAATTAAATCATTATATTTTTCTGCTTTATTTCTGTTTTGTTCCACTGATCTGCTACACACTCCATAGTCACATAGAACTTTCTAATTTATTTTGATTTTAAAAAATATATATATTTATATTTGGCTGCGCAAGTCCCATCCCTCCACCATTAGTTAATCTTCATTTTTAAAGTTTGGCTGATTTTACAAGCTTAATCTTCCTAATAAATTGGAATATTTAATATAATTTTTCAGATTAATTCCATGAGTCATGGATATTTTGAAGCCAAATCAATTATTGTATTGAATTACGGATGTTTTTAGTGGCAAACAACTAGAAAGCCAAGTCACACTGGTTTAAGACAATAATTGGACCAATGGCCCTTAAAATTCCAGCAGTGAGGTGGACTTCCCATGCCATTCAAATAAAGCACTAGCTCAGTTTCTCCAGGACTCCTGAGGCCCTGCCCTGTCTTCAAAGGCTGTCTTCCTTCGGTCACCAGATGACTGCCAGCAGTAACGTCAGCCATGTGCTTTCTTGGTAACATCCATGCAGAAGAAAAGATACTGCTTTTCACAAGCACCTAACAAAAGTCCTGAGCTTTGCTCAGGGTAGCCTATGCTAACCCTACTCATTCTTCAAAGTTCATAGTGAATTTTGCTTCCTCCATCAATCCTCCTAAGTTACTTTATCCTCAATGTTCCTTTCCTCTGCAGAAATATTAGCATGTGTATTAGTCTGTTCTGATGCTGTTAATAAAGACATACCCAAGACTGGGTAATTTATAAAAGAAAGATGTTTAATTGACTCACAGTTCCACATGGCTGGGGAGGCCTCACACTCATGGCAGAAGGCAAAGGAGGAACAAAGTCACATCTTACATGGTGGCAGGCAAGAGAGCTTGTGGTGGGGAACTCTCATTTATAAAACCATCAGATCTGGAGACTTATTCACTACCATGAGAACAGTATGGGGGATACTGCCCCCATGATTCAATTATCTCCACCTGGCCCCACCCTTGACATGTGGGGATTATTATAATTCAAGGTGAGATTTGGGTGGGGACACAGCCAAACCATATCAGCATGTGATGTATATTCACCTAATCCTCTCCTGAGGATTAGACCTCCCTTAGCTAGTCACTGTGACCTGGGAAAATGAGGTTGCACTGACTGGTACATACTCCCAATCACTGCCTACCTTTGGATCTAGAGATGGAGTCATTTCAAACCAAACCAGCGAGCTACTATAAAATAGGAAGAATTGAATAAACAATGGGACTAACCATGATGTCCACTGCCTTCAGCCAATGAAAACCTTTTATAATTAAACAATGCCCCCTGGATATTTCAACTTTCATATGGCATAGCAGTGCACAACTGTCTAAACTATGCACACACTTCCACATACATGAACACAATCTATGTGAGCCCAATAACTAGAACAAAGAGGGGAGAAGGCCATATCAAAGTAGTGAAGATACTGGTAAACTGGAAGTACAAATAATGTTATGATTGAACCTATAATTCATTGTCTTAGGTAGAACAGTATACTTTTATGCCTTACTGCTCACAAGCCACAGACTACTGATAGCCACCACCTCTGTATTTATTCAAAATCACTCTTTTACTCTTTCTTCTCAAAGACACAACTCCTGAAACCTCATTCAGTTTTTATTGATGCTTCATTATTTCCTGCCAGCATATTTATAAAATATTTTCTTTAGTTGACATTTGCATGTTATTTTTATTTGGTTAGGGTACATGTATATACATTTCTTCCCCCAAATATTCCAAGCCTTCTTAGAGGCAAAGCCATATACTAAACTAATCTGTCTGTTGAACCCCCTACCAGGGAGCTTGCAATGACTACTGTATTTTAAGTTTTATTCAATAAATATTCATCAAGTGAAACAGATCATTATCTGAATAAAATGTATTATGGATAATTATAAGTGGCAAGCAGACTATTAAACTAGAATTTATGAACTTTATATTCCTCCAAAGTAGATTCCTACTGTTCCCATAACATATCTTGCCTTCATTGTTTTTCTTTTCAAATTCAACTCAATTGAACAATCATTTATTTAAAGATGTTAAGGATACAAATATAACTACTAAATTACTTTGTCCTCAAGGGGTTTACAGTCTAGTCATTTAATCTCCCTTCTTAGAATGCCTCCCCACCGTCTTCTGCCTATGCTAAGCATACCCCTTCTTCAAACTCCATAGTGAATTTTACATCCTCCATCAAGCCTTCCTAAGCTATTTTATCCTCAATATTTCTTCCTTCTGCAGAATTGTTAGCATGTGATATATATTCATCTAATCCTCCACTTAATCTTCAGTAATTTTAATGTAGCTGTGAATCTCAACTGTTTCTGAGTCACACAGGGTTGCATTATGAAAGAGCAGAAATTGAGTTTAGTTAAAAAGAAAGAAGGAAAATGGGCTGTGAAGAATAACTCTTACTGGAAGAAAGCCATTTTAGACTGCTAAGGCAAACTCCTCCCTCTTGGGGAGTTACTAACCTAGAAACACCACAATCTCAGCCAGCTTTCTCAGGGAGATAAGGAATCATCTGGGAGAGGAGGTACTGGGCCAGCCAACTTGCTTTAAATGATAGGGTCAGATTTACCCTCTTCACAGCTACAGTTTATCAGGCTGATTATAATGCCCTCTCCCCTACCAAACAAAAAATCCTCTTCCTCTTTCTTGATGAGTTCTAAAATCTCTTTAACAAGATTGGGATGGGGAGTGGGAAGACAATGTTCATTTAACAATTGGAGACTTAAGTGTAGTGCATGGTTGAGTTAGTACTTCACTACGACTGAGTTCCAGTTAACATGTAATTAATCAATCATCAAGTGTAAATTGTATATTATTATTTCTCAGCTTTACTGCAAGATAGGAAAGAAGAAAGGAAAGGAGAGAGATGGGGAAGGAAAGGCTATCAGGAGACCAAAAGGTGTGTGATGTGGAGAAGCTACCATCAGAAAAAGGGGTCCAACTTCAGGTAGAATCAGCTCTATTTACTGACAAGAGTGCTAAGACCAATAGAAGCTATAACTGAAGAGTTTGGATCAGGAAGCTACCAAAGCAAATAACTCTACTTGGTATAATTTAAGTTTTTTCCCCCTGTAATTTATTTCTTACAATTAATAGTTTCATACAGAGGAGCTGCAGTTCACAGGCAATTCATAAGAAATATAAATATTTGTCATATTCGTCTTCTTCCATTCCAAAGTTATAAACCTTTTATTTTAATTTACTATAAATGTGTCCCTTAAATAGTTATCTTTTTAAATATACATTCTTTCGGGGAAAATATTGAGGTCAATATCATAGCACACAAAGCTGTTTCCCTACAAAATGTCCCCTAGATGCTTCATATACACTATAAGGTAGACCATTGATCTAGTTCAGAGTGGTGTATCCGGATTTGTCATCTAAGTGAATTTTAACATAGAAGACACTAGAGAAGATGACCGCTGCCAAACTGAATTTTAAATCGCTGAACATTATATTCACCATGCAGAAGTGGATAATCATTCTTGGGAGAAAACCAGAAGTCTATTTCCTAAAAATGAAATTTAACATATAGAAGAAATTTTTTTAAAATTTAGAAAACATACTCTGTGTTGATCATAGGATAAAATTACAGTCAATTACAAGTAACATAATTCCATGGGTACATTTTCCATTGTATCAATTACTGCAGAGCAGCTTCACATCTTGAAAAGAAAAGTTGTGGTTACTGAAAATTCATATTTGAAAACTATTTCTTACCTGTGTAGTGAAGAGCTCAATAAGAGACATTTTCAACATGTCTTAACCTTATAAAAATCTTAAGAACTATTATGTCAAGAAATTTTTTTGAAAAAATAAAACCCTCTCTATTCATCAAATAGTCAGTCTAAACATTTATTGATTGTATTCCAGTTACATAGTAACTATACAGTAAGTTGGAAGTATAGTGATCCCAAACAAAAATAAAAAGTTAGTGTCAAAAGTCTACACAGGACTCAGTTTTATCTTATCACCTGTATATGTCTTCCAACTGCAGATTAAAGTCTTGAAGCTTCTTCTGATATTTCTGTGTAAACTTATAGAACTCACTGAGAATTGAAGATTTCAAATCAGGGTATGGGCATTCCAAACTTTCTAATTCAATGGGCAGTTCACTAAGCGGGTTAGTCTTTTCTTCCAAAGAATGATCTAGAATCTGAAAAAAAGTATATGATTATTTTATTTAACATAAACGACAAATTGATAAACACATAAATTATTAGCCACATCACACTTACCTTTATACTCCAGTCTGAAAGATCATTTTCTATTCTCTGTTGCTCCAGCCTAAGTCTTTCAAAGACAGTTTTCAATTGTTTCTTCACAAAGTCAACCTATAGGACATTTGGAACAAGTAGTAGGCAAATTATTGCAATTCATTCCATATTTATATTTAAAGACACAATAATTATTCTCAAAAGCCAATCAGTGATGAAGTTTAAAGACCTGTGGAAGAGAGTTAAAGAGATGCCAGCCAGGTAGGCAGTGCTCATCAGACAAATGAGCTGTGATAAGGCTTCTAGACATCCCAAAAATAAGCTCAGAAAGTACAGTGCAGTCACAGTCACTCTGCACCCACCTTTTTATTTTCTCTGTGGTAATGCAGAGAACTTACCAGATGTCTCTGCTCCAATCACCCCTTCCTTCCCTTGCATTCTTGCCTCTAATCCCCACCTGGGCATACATTTATATTTTTTATGAGTATTTATAAAAGCAATATAACATTACAGAATAACTGAAAAATAGAAAAAACCACCTAAATTTTTATCAAACATAGCACACCTATACTCAAGAAGTTTATGCTCAATTGAGGGGAAGCAGTTGACAAACTAATAAAAAAATATGTAAGAAAGGGTCAGGAGCAGGAAGGAAATGTCAAAATAGGGTGGTGTGATAGGGAGTGACTGTGGCTTCTCAGCACAGGCCTCTCAGACAAGAGGACATTTGAGCCAAGATCTAAATGGCAAAGAGTCACATCAACAGGACAGAGGAAATAGCCAGTACAGGAATGGGCCTGGCATGTTGGAGAAACAGAAAGAAGGCCAGCCTGGGTGTGACTGAGCTTTTATGGCAAAGTGGAAATGTCAGGTAGCAGATGTGATTGAAGAAGCAAAAAGGGGGCTATAGGTGGATAGAAGGACTTATGTACTCACAGGAGCCCCTAGGGAATTTCAGCAA
This sequence comes from Homo sapiens, assembly GCF_000001405.40. Lineage (NCBI taxonomy): Eukaryota > Metazoa > Chordata > Mammalia > Primates > Hominidae > Homo > Homo sapiens. The sequence goes on from NC_000002.12 coordinate 158,339,930, forward strand.
CAGATGACTTAATCCCCCTGTGCTGGGGTAAGATCCCAGGATGCATTGGGAGGAGAGGCAAGAATGAAAGCAGGGAAGCCAGTTATGAGGCCACTGGAACATTCCAGACAAGAAATGAGGGTGCTCGACAGAGTTCAGGCATGTGTTTAAAATATTTAGTGGATAGAATTAGCTGCCCTTCTATTTAAATATTATTTATGTATTAATATTAACTAATATACAGGTCACACATGTTTGTTTCTTATCTCAAACTCTTCTAGTTGGGACAAAAATGAAATATTACATTATGGAAAATAAAGGTAACATACTAACCTCTTCCAATACTTTCATGGAGTTAAACTCAATATGTGGGTGTGAATGCTGCAAAGTGTGATGCTGTCTGTATTTTAGATCTGCTCTCAGCTGCTGAATAGGATTTATTACATTTTTAAGATATGTGCACTGTTGTTCTGATAGCTCTTGCTCTATGGTGAAACAAAATTGAATTAAAGGAACACATTATTATTTTAAGTGTCTCCAAAAACAGATCATTAGAGTACAGATTTATTTGGGGATTTCCTTAGAAAAAAACAAATGGCAGTTAATATTAAAAGAACATGAAGTGAGTGGCCCATTCTCATTCTTCAAAATAAAACTCCCCTTTAAATATAGGATCAAAAAAATCTTACCAAAATTTGTAAGGTCACAAAGACATTCATTTCCAATGTTCTCTTCATTGAGAAGGGATTTTATTTCAGATTCCATTTTACATCTGAAATAGATGTGATCTCAATAAATGTTACAATCATAAACATACATCTAGGTTTTTAAAAAATAACCAAAGAGATATTTAGTCTAATATGGCTTTGTCATCTGTTCATTTAAACCATGTACTAAATTCCTAACATGGCTTGAGTCTTTACTAGACACTGAGGTAGATGCATAGGCTCAGGGAGAAGAAACAGCGTGAGCAAAGGCCAGCCCACAGCAGGTCCTGGCATTGCATGTGGAGAGGACCCAGAGCATTGGGAAGCACTGAAGGTCAGTAGGCTGACCTCACTTCCTCAGATCCGTGTTTCAGAAAGATTCCCAAGACAACAAGATAGAGCAGAAGGAGATGTGAGCAATAGAGATGGAAGATGAAGAGGAGGGTATCAGACAAATCTAGACCAACAAGGAGGTAATTTTAAAAGTTCAGAAAGGATGAGACCCTGAATTACAGAGGTAGAAGTATACTTTATTTTTAATATACTAATAAGAGCAACAAATCTTCATGAGCTTATATATGTATACATACGTATGTGTACGTACATATGTATACATATATATGTGTATGTATATACTAATAAGAGCAACAAATCTTCATGAGCTTATATATGTATACATATGTGTACATACATATTTTTTTTTTTTTTTTGGACTGAGTCTCGCTTGATCGCCCAGGCTGGAGTGCAGTGGCACAATCTCAGTTCACTGAAACCTCCATCTCCTGAGTTCAAGTGATCCTCGTGCCTAAGCCTCCCGAGTAGGTGGAACTACAGGCATGTGACACCACACCTAGCTAATATGTGCGTGTGTGTACTTTTATTAGAGACAGGGTTTCACTATGTGGGCCAGGCTGGTCTTGAACTCCTGACCTCAGGTGATCCGCCCACCTTGGCCTCCCAAAGTGCCAGGATTACAGGTGTGAGTCACCACACCTGGCCTACATATTTTTAAAATATAGTCATTTTTTTAGAATAAAATCATAACTAACTCTAAATGGGCATCCAAAAATATTATAGCCTACCCCTTGCTTATGGCAGATTCGATTAAATCATATAAAAGAGTTTTATGATTATTACAGTATTAAAATGGTATAATATAAAAAAGCAGCAATTATAATCCTTTAATATAATTATTATTTTAATTTTTCCAGATAAGTTTCTAGCCCTTATCTAAATGTTGATATATTTCACATGGTCATAACATGGCATATTTAACATTTTATGTTGTGGGATTTTTTTTTTTTTTTACTAACACTAACTTTTTTTTTAGATATTTCTAAATAGTTTTCATAATTATCATTTAATGACTCCATAGTATTCCATTTTATGTACGTGTCATTATTTTCTTTTCTTTTTTTTTTTTTTTTTTTTTGAGAAGGAGTCTTGCTGGGTCGCCCGGGCTGAAGTGCAATGGCGTGATCTCGACTCATTGCAACCTCCACCTCCCAGGTTCAAGCAATTCTCCTGCCTCAGCCTCCCAAGTAGCTGGGACTACAGGTGCGCGCCACCATGCCTGGCTAATTTTTGTATTTTTAGCAGAGACAGGGTTTCACCATGTTGGCTAGGCTAGTCTCAAACTCCTGACCTCAGGTGATCCACCTGCCTTGGCCTCCCAAAGTGCTGTGTCATAATTTTCTAAGCCAATTTACATGGGACAAGGTTTTGGTTTTTGTTTAAATGTATAAAGGAGGGGTGATATTGTAAGTGATACCTCACTGTCTATTTTTCCAGCAGGTAGTTTCTGCCAGAAATATTTTTAAGATCACATTTGCAACTGTTACATGGAGGATGAGTGCATAATGGTTGAGTCAAACCAGAAGTTATTCCAGAACAGATTTGTTTAACCAAAAACACAGCACTTAAAAACCATCTAGCTCGGCACCCAGAAAGTCATAACAGAGCATACTAACTGCCAAAAAATGAAGATATGGGTAATTTTTGATGTTCTGAGGAGACTGATTCTCCACTTAGAACTTTGGCACCTTTCTGGAAGGATAAGAATCTATACCAAGGTAGACACCTGAAGGCTCAAAAATGCCCTTCACCAGGGTGTCTTATCTGCAGGTGGTTGCACTGAGTAGATTAATACATCATCTGGGCAAACGAGCACACAAAAACTTAAGGGATTCTTTGTGGTACCAGAATGAAACGAGGGAGAAAGCGCCTCTGGAAAAGTGTGTCAAAAACCTCAAGGGGTATAGCTTGATTAAGCATAACACAATTTAAATAAAACTGTATAAATGTAAATATTAAACATAATTTCACATTTGAAAATTTTGTCTAGTTTTCTTAGTACAGATTTCAAAGAATCAAAGTTTGGCATATGTTTTCATTTTGTTTTGCTGTTTTTAGACATGGGGTCTCACGATGTTGCCCAGGCTAGAGTGCAGTGGCTGTTCACGGGTGCAATCATAATGTACTGAAGACTTGAACGCCTAGGCTGAAGTGATCCTCCTGCCTCAGCCTCCCACGTAGCTGGGACTACTGGTATGCACCACCACACCCTGGCAAAATTTCTTTTATTTTTGCCAGCAAGGCTAGACCAATTGCATCTCAGGTGATGTAAACAGAATCCTGTAGAAAAAGGAAAAAGCTACTCAACTCCAAGGTCATAGAGCACAGAAGTTAGGGGCAAATGTTCCAATCCCAGCTCCACACAGACTAGGTTATTTATGATCTACAAATTAACTTTCATCATCTGAGACTCAAGATTCTCATCTGTAAAACTGAGAGAGCAATAACGACTACTTTGTAGGGTCGTTGTAAATATTAAAGGAGATAAAACATGTAAAGGACTTAACATACTCGGTTGGTGCAAAAATAATTGTGGCTTTTGCCCAACCTAATATTACCTGGCACATATTAAATTACCTAACAAATGTTAGGTGTTATTGTAAGCCCTTATCCTCCGCCTGCCTGAGATTCTTAAATGTTGTCTTTTATGGTAAGGCATAGAATCTTACTTATTAAAAGGGGATGTCGATTTCTAAAGGTTGACAAACACTGTTAGGACTTTAACTACTTCTAATTTGTTGGTGGCCCTAAATTCTCCACAAGGTAGTCATTTCTCTAACTTATCTCCTATTGCTGTTAGCTTTTAGTTGCACCGAACACAAATTGCAATTAGCCTGCATTCTAGAATAACATAGAAACTTATCCTGGAATTCTTCATTTTGTCCAATTTTCAGCCCTTACAAGTTCTGAGACATTAAGGTTATCATTACTTAAGTGTTCCTCACTTCCATTTTCTTTGTGTCATTCCAGGTCAGCCAAAAGAATTATTTCCCATAATGATATGTATACACCTCTTCTACATAGCTTAAGAACAACTTAATATACACATTAAGAAAGACGTGGAATAGCCAAGATTTAAAAAAAACAAAAAACTTTACCAAGTGTCTTCCTTTACACTTGAATTTGAATCAGTGAACACCACAATTAAAGCTTCCTAATGGCTTTCCTTTTTGTCATGTTTCAAGTTATGCACATTTTCAAAAAAAAAATTCAATAGGCTCAAACATTCACTCCATAAAAGGTGACTTTTTGAGGGATAAGATGGGTCTAATTTCATTGTATTTAAAGTAGCTGTATGGTGATGAAGTCCATATAACTTTGTTTTTCTATGTTTTAAGTTACACAATAATGTAAAACCACTTTCAATTATAAGCCTTCTACTTCACATAAAGGAGTCACCTGCCAGAATAAGAAACTCATCAACATGAAAAAGACCTAAGTCAAAAGTAAAGTTAATGGCATTTACAAACTTTACTTAGAATAAGACCACAGAAATTAACTATTTTGATATAAAATAAATGCTTTAAAATGCACATTTTAGAAGCACACTTTATAAATATCATCATTAAAACAAGTATACAAGCTATAAATGAAGGAGAAACATATCTGCCTTCTCTTTTTGCCTTGACCTTTGAAAAAACTAATTTTTCAAAGATTACAATTAAGATCAACTGTAGAATCAATATTTCATTTTATCTTTACGTGACAGCTGGAAATAATAACAAAAGTCAAAAAGCAAAATTGAGTAAGTTAGTCATGATGCACTTACACCCAGAAATCATTTGCAACTTGAACTCCTTGTTCATTAGTTCATCCATGTATTAAAAGCATTTACATCTCTCCTATGTATTCTACTATATAAAAATGAATATGATGAGATGTTTGCCCGTGATAGGATCTTTACCACTTTATAGGGAGGAAAAAACATGTATCCAAAACATTATAATCCAATATGCTAAGTATGATACAAGTAAATACAAGTATGAGAGTGGGAGTGTGGAAGTGATTGACACATACAGAAGATCATCTTCTTTCCAACAGGAAGCAAAAGCCATATTAATATATTCACTGGATTTCAGATTAAGATGAGGAAATGAAAGGATTTTAATTTGACTCACATTCAAATCGTAACTTTAAATTTTTATTATAATGGTTAATTAACATGGAACATTATAGAACATCTGACAAGATAAGTGCTATTCCTAGTAATTCCTACGTGTTCTTACTATGTCCCCCAGTTCTTACCTGACTTCATTCAGCCTCTGGTATTCCTGCCACCACACTTGCTTGTGTTGTTTTATTAGTGTTTGTTCTTTGGATAACTTTGAAGTCAACATTGCTTTTCTGATCTAGATTTAGAGGAACAAAAGAGGAGCAACTTCAAAGTTTTCAGAATGTGTTTTTCACAACAGAAATGCTTAATCTGAATTTTCTAAGTTAAATAGTTTCTCTTTTAAAATTCTTATTAGTGCATCTCCTAACACAAAATCTACCTAAAATAAATTTGATTTTTTAAAGCAGGGAGGAGAAAGAAAAATGGTTGGGAATACTGACAAACTTAAAAACTGTTTTTAAAGTACTTATTAAAACAAAGGCAAAGTCATTCTATTTTCCATACATGAAATAGATAATACCTTAATTCATATAACCCCAGAAAAGTTTTCAAGAGGTTTCATTTCTCCCCTTTTGGATTTATCTTCCCTGTCAGGCATAATAGCCATCTTTATTCACATTTTTGGAGGAGAATATTTATTGAATGTATGAGAAGTTAAAAGATGTGGTCAAGATTATAAAGCTCATAAATATCAGAGTAACAAAGAACCTTGATGTTTAGATTGGCTTCTATCTGATCCCTCAGCATAAGATGGGAAAGGTTCCTTGGATAAGTTTTTAGAAGGCCTGGCTTCAACACTTACTAGAAATATGACCTTGAACACACAATTTTAGTCTTTCAACTCTAAGTGCGTCTTTGTAAAAAAATTTTTTTAATTTAAGCAAATATTTATTTGAAGATACTTAAAGAAATATGAAAAATCATGTAGCATTGAAATCTAAATTTTCAACTAAATGTAATTTTTCCTCAATTTTACTACTTTTTAAAAATGTAGCACATAATTAATGATTTTGAGTTTCAGCTGAAAGGTTATATCAGCCCTGGATCTGTTTGTCTTAGATCCATTTCTGGCTGTTTGCCTGATCTGCTCCATCTCACAGAGCAGCTTGTGTTTCTCAGGCACCCCTATCAGTTGGCTTCAGCCAAAGCAAGACCCTGGGATGGGAGACTGAAGGCAGGGAAGAAAGGAGAAGCCAAAGGATTATGTCATCTTGCCTTCTCTACTCTCACAGTCTCTAGGAGCATTTGCATTGTGTCCATTGCCCCAACTTTTCTCTGAACAGTTCCACTACGGTTCCAACTATCTCCGGGTAACCTCACCCCAGGAATTTGGCATGGCCTTGCTTCTTCTGTATGTCCCTCTGACCTACTGATGGCAGTGATTTCCTGTACTTGTCAATCTCCGTATTGCCTCCCAGTCCTTTGCCTTCTCAGTGCTATCACCTGCATAAACATTTTCCTACATTAAAAACCGCTCTACTCTAAATCCTCAAGTGATGTCTGTTCCCTGGTTAGACTCTAACTTATACTCATGGGTACTCCAAACCGAAGTATTCCATATTAACAATTTTAAACTACAAACGTGTACATCAGAAACTTGATGAAATACGCATATTTCATAATTTCTCTGCTGTTAAAGTACTTAGTACCCTAAAAGCTTTAAAAGATCAATGCTGGAAATGTAAAGACTTCAGAAGACAAGTTCTAAAAAGGAATCTTTATAATGCATGCTATTTCCAGCCGTCATTCACTGATTGCTTTAACCTTGAGTTTATCTTTCTGCTGTTCTGGTTACTGATTCAAAATTAGGGGTATAAGAAAACAACCCAAAGATTACTTTTAAAAAATACAAAGTCAAAGTCAAATATTTTCCTAAGAAGGTAAGAGTGTTACAATTATAAAATTTAGGAGGAAAGTACGTTTTTAAAAGCACAGGACCCTGCAGAAAAACATTCAGCAGTCTCTACTTTACCTACCAAAAAAATATAAGTACACAGTATTTCTAAAATCTGACACTTTAACGTTCACTTTAAGAATGCTTAAAACTCATTCCAGCCATTTACCATACACAGTCTCTAAAGTTTGTTGCAACAGATACAACTTTTAAAATTAGATTTCTTTGGCATATTTGGTACATATTGTACAAAAAAATTAAAATACATTGGTGAAAGACGGGGACACATTTTTATAGTTTGAAAAAAAATCAATGCTCTCGCCTTTGGGCCCATGGAAAGTTCAATTAAGTAGACTATAAAAGTCAAAATAAAGCTACTATTTTTCACTAGACAATTCCAATATTTTGCAGAACATACTGATTTTTTTATAAATTCACTCATTGATTCCACTTCTATCCTTGGGCCAAAAATGAAAAAAAAAAGTCTTAAAAATAACAAAAAGATTTAAAGTTCTATCTTTAACAACAGAGAGATGTCTAGGTGATTCCAATTCATTTTACTGGGCAATACACCATATGAAGTCAATACTTAGGGTGGATGATAATTTGTGCAGAATGCTGACGATTCAAAAATACTCTGGAAACATGCCAAAACAATGAATTCATAAAAGAATCAGAAACCAGGGGTTTCCTGTATATGGCTTATTGTGATGGTCCAAGATAATAAAACCCTAAATAGGTACCTTGAAATATTACAAAAGCTCTTTGAACGAGAAGATCCATCTTTTGAGACAGACGTCAATAACTAGTAGACCACTGGTTACATGTATGTATATGTTTGTCAAATTTCACTGGGACGTATGTTTGAGATATATACATTTTACTATATGTGAGTTATAGCTCAATAAAGAACTGTTAACATAAATAAAAAGAAAAAACAACTACAGTAAGATGCAATTTCTCATTTATCGGGTTGACAAAAACTCAATTGTTTAACAAAACACTGTGAGGCTACAGAAAGCATGTTCTGTCTAATATTGCTAGTGGGAATACAAAGTGATACAACCCCCATAGAAGGGAATTTGGAGATGCATCACAAGATTGCATATGGATTTATCCTGTGACCTAGCAAATTCATTTATAGAAATCCATCTGAAAACTATATTGGCAAAAGTATAAAAGATATATGCACAAAGCTATTCACTGCAGTACCATTTGTAATAGAAAAAGATTAGAGCACAAAACTTCCATCAGTAAGTGTTCTTGACAAAATTAATTGAACTTGAATCTGATCAAGTCCCTAAATATAACTATCAATTTACTGGAAATACAAGAAACAGAAAAACATGTTGAATGACACCACCAGGATGTAATCTGCCCAATTCAGACTATAAGACAAACAATACAATTTCTTCAAAAAATAAATTACAAAATACAAAAGGATAGAGGAGCAAATCTACAAAAAAAAAAAGTATAATGTACAGACCATATCTAGAAGCTTATTTAAATAATCTTTAAGACAAAATTTTTGAGACAATCAGGGAAATTTAACACTATATATTTGAAATTATTAAGACATTAACATTTTTAGACATGGTAATAGTATTGTAGGCTTTTTAAAAATCTCTATTATTTCAGAAATATATGTTGAAATATTTATGGGTGAAATATTATGATGTCTGTGATTTGCTTCAAAACAATCTGGCACAGGGGGTCATTTGTGGGTAGCAGTATAGAGGAAACAAGGGCCAAAAGTTGATCATTGTTGAAGCTGAATGATGTGACATGGAGATTCACTATACAATTCAATCCAATTGTGCATATGTTTATAATTTTCTATAACATTTTTAAAAAGAATTAATAGAGGCTTGAGCTGGACAAGAAGTATCTAAGCAAAGAAATTCAAATTTAAAAATAATTGCAAAGATCTCTTTTACAGTTAAAATACTGGGAATGTACAGTTACACACAATGTACCAAAATTGGTCTCAGTTTTTAGCCCAACTCTATTATTTGTCTTCAGGTTCAATCTCAGCCTTTGAAAGACTAGATCACTGACTGTCCACTTCAGTCTTATATAGCTGGCATCGCAGAAATTGTGCATGATCAATGACACAGTGATTATATAGATGACCATCACATCTAACTTGTTAATAATATCAGTAGTACAAATCAGACAGGTAGCTAAGTATTCTAGATGTAACTTGAAGCAATAATCTCTTTATGTGCTTTAAATGTTAACATTTTATCATTTTATTTAAATATGTTTATATTTAATATTGCCAGAGAAAAGTGCTGTAATAATTAACAATGATTATTAAAACTGTTAATTACATGTCTAAAAAAAGAGTTTATTTAAAAGGTAAAATAAACAGGGAAGTAGGCTGATAATACAAATATTTAGAGAGAATGTGTTAGCTATGTAATATTAAGAATAATAATACATTCTTTTTGAGCCTATGTATTTTTAATTCAAGTAATATATGAAAGAATAAGAGAGATACTATTATAATAATAATTCTAGTTAGTGTGGATTGTTTGGTATCTTAGCATTCAGGACATTAAAAAAAACTTTGAGTTGTATTTAATTTCCAGTTATTTAATTCCACTTAAGCCATGAGTCTTTTAAGAAAAAGTCCTATTTGGCAATTGTTCACAACTTACAAGAATAAATTAAAAGCAAAATGTCAACTTGCCACCTCTAAATTAAATTAGAAGACTCCAAAAAATAATGTACAGCAATATTCCCAATGCATCTTCCTTAATCCAGATATAATAAAAAATGAAAACTGCATGAAGAAAAAAAAGCAAGTGTTAGAAAATGATGAAGTACCTAGGACACATTTTGTTCTCACTAACTGAAATTCAAAACAACAGACATTCCAAAATGCTTTAAAAGGACAATTCCTCATCATCATGAATCTACGGAGACTAAAAATGGAAGCAAAAGCTTGTCAAAATGATTGCTACAGACTGTGAACCATTTTCATTAAAGACAAGGGATTTTTTGAGATTTGCCAAGCTATGAATCTCAGGTACACAGTTATTTCTAGAAAAGCTTCTTCCTGAATTACATTCCACTATAAACAAAAAGGTTACTGATGTTATTTAAAATGCCAGTTGAACGTGAGCATCTGTTTAACCGCACAAATATGTAAATACAGAGACCACAGTAGCCATCTAGCAGCTAACAGTGCTGAGAAATTATTGTTCCTGCACTTGATATTAAATTGTAAAAACCACAATAATTAAAAATCTGAAATATATTGATGCTTTCATAATGAGTCTATCACCAAAGAGAAATTCACTTTGATAAAATACTGATTTTAACACTCAACCATTCTACATTCAGCCAAAATGTCTTTTTTGGTACATCTCGAATGGATGGATGGTATTAGAAATATAAGTGTGTATATATACATGTATGAATATTTATTTATCTATTCCAATACTGACAAGGGTGTAGAGAATACATTTGTTTGGTATCTTTATTAAAACAATACCTTGGGAAAGAAATTTGGTAACAGGTCTCAAAAACACTAAAAAACACTCACACTTTTGGTCCAGATGTCCCAATCATGGGAATTTTTCCTATGAGAGTAGAGGATTCTAAAACATGAAAAGTATCTATGCTTGAAGTAGCATAATTTCTATTATCACAAAATTGGATACATCTCAAATATCTAAAAATTGGGGTGGGATAATGCATGCATCTTTTTCTCTTTGGAGTACTTGTCACTCCTGTTTTTACCTAGTTAATTCTTTTGTATTATATTTTTAATTGACATATTGTAATTGTGCATATTTATGGGCACAATTTGATGTTTTGATACATATATATGTTATATAAAATATACGTTAAATCAGGGTATTTTGCACGGCCATCGTCGTGTGCATTTATCATTTCTTTGTGGGGAGTATATTCAACAGCCTCTCTTCTGTTTTGTAATATACAATACCTCACTGTTACTCATCCTCACCCTACTGTGCAATAGAACACCAGAACTGATTCCTCCTATCTCATTGTAACTTCATACTTTATTGGCCTTGAGATCCCAATTCCAAAATCACTTCCTCAGAAAAGCCTTCCCTAACCACTCAGTGAAGATCAAATCCTATTATACACCAAACAGCATGGTTTTTATTGCAGTTTATACTTCGGATAATTTTACTTCCAGGCTTATTTGATAAACACTGACTCCTCTCCCTCCCCCAGCAAACAGTAAACTTCATAAAGGTAAGGGCTGACCATAGCCCAAGATGGCCGAATAGGAACAGCTCCGGTCTACAGCTCCCAGCGTGAGTGACGCAGAAGACGGGTGATTTCTGCATTTCCATCTGAGGTACCGGGTTCATCTCACTAGGGAGTGCCAGACAGTGGGCGCAGGTCAGTGGGTGGGCGCAACGTGCGCGAGCCGAAGCAGGGCGAGGCACTGCCTCACTTGGGAAGCGCAAGGGGTCAGGGAGTTCCCTTTCCGAGTCAAAGAAAGGGGCACCTGGAAAATCGGGTCACTCCCACCTGAATACTGCGCTTTTCCGACCGGCTTAAAAACCGGCGCATCACGAGATTATATCCCGCACCTGGCTTGGAGGGTCCTATGCCCACGGAGTCTTGCTGATTGCTAGCACAGCAGTCTGAGATCAAACTGCAAGGCGGCAGCGAGGCTGGGGGAGGGGCGCCCGCCATTGCCCAGGCTTGATTAGGTAAACAAAGCAGCCAGGAAGCTCCAACTGGGCGGAGCCCACCACAGCTCAAGGAGGCCTGCCTGCCTCTGTAGGCTCCACCTCTGGGGGCAGAGCACAGACAAACAAAAAGACAGCAGTAACCTCTGCAGACTTAAATGTCCCTGTCTGACAGCTTTGAAGAGAGCAGTGGTTCTCCCAGCACACAGCTGGAGATCTGAGAACGGGCAGACTGCCTCCTCAAGTGGGTCCCTGACCCCTGACCCCTGAGCAGCCTAACTGGGAGGCACCCCCCAGCAGGGGCACACTGACACCTCACACGGCAGGGTATTCCAACAGACCTGCAGCTGAGGGTCCTGTCTGTTAGAAGGAAAACTAACAAACAGAAAGGACATCCACACCAAAAACCCATCTGTACATCACCATCATCAAAGACCAAAAGTAGATAAAACCACAAAGATGGGGAAAAAACAGAACAGAAAAACTGGAAACTCCAAAAAGCAGAGTGCCTCTCCTCCTCCAAAGGAACGCAGTTCCTCACCAGCAACGGAACAAAGCTGGATGGAGAATGACTTTGACGAGCTGAGAGAAGAAGGCTTCAGACGATCAAATTACTCTGAGCTACGGGAGGACATTCAAACCAAAGGGAAAGAAGTTGAAAACTTTGAAAAAAATTTAGAAGAATGTATAACTAGAATAACCAACACAGAGAACTGCTTAAAGGAGGTGATGGAGCTGAAAACCAAGGCTCGAGAACTACGTGAAGAATGCAGAAGCCTCAGGAGCCAATGCGATCAGCTGGAAGAAAGGGTATCAGCAACGGAAGATGAAATGAATGAAATGAAGCGAGAAGGGAAGTTTAGAGAAAAAAGAATAAAAAGAAATGAGCAAAGCCTCCAAGAAATATGGGACTATGTGAAAAGACCAAATCTACGTCTGATTGGTGTACCTGAAAGTGATGGGAAGAATGGAACCAAGTTGGAAAACAGTCTTCAGGATATTATCCAGGAGAACTTCCCCAATCTAGCAAGGCAGGCCAATGTTCAGATTCAGGAAATACAGAGAACGCCACAAAGATATTCCTCGAGAAGAGCAACTCCAAGACACATAATTGTCAGATTCACCAAAGTTGAAATGAAGGAAAAAATGTTAAGGGCAGCCAGAGAGAAAGGTCGGGTTACTCTCAAAGGGAAGCCCATCAGACTAGCAGCGGATCTCTTGGCAGAAACCCTACAAGCCAGAAGAGAGTGGGGGCCAATATTCAACATTCTTAAAGAAAAGAATTTTCAACCCAGAATTTCATATCCAGCCAAACTAAGCTTCATAAGTGAAGGAGAAATAAAATACTTTACAGACAAGCAAATGCTGAGAGATTTTGTCACCACCACGCCTGCCCTAAAAGAGCTCCTGAAGGAAGCCCTAAACACGGAAAAGAACAACCGGTACCAGCCGCTGCAAAATCATGCCAAAATGTAAAGACCATCGAGACTAGGAAGAAACTGCATCAACTAACGAGCAAAATCACCAGCTAACATCATAATGACAGGATCAAATTCACACATAACAATATTAACTTTAAATGTAAATGGACTAAATTCTCCAATTAAAAGACACAGACTGGCAAATTGGATAAAGAGTCAAGACCCATCAGTGTGCTGTATTCAGGAAACCCATCTCACGTGCAGACACACACATAGGCTGAAAATAAAAGGATGGAGGAAGATCTACCAAGCAAATGGAAAACAAAAAAAGGCAGGGGTTGCAATACTAGTCTCTGATAAAACAGACTTTAAACCAACAAAGATCAAAAGAGACAAAGAAGGCCATTACATAATGGTAAAGGGATCAATTCAACAAGAAGAGCTAACTATCCTAAATATATATGCACCCAATATAGGTGCACCAAGATTCATAAAGCAAGTCCTGAGTGACCTACAAAGAGACTTAGACTCCCACACATTAATAATGGGAGACTTTAACACCCCACTGTCAACATTAGACAGATCAAGGAGACAGAAAGTCAACAAGGACACCCAGGAATTGAACTCAGCTCTGCACCAAGCAGACCTAATAGATATCTACAGAACTCTCCACCCCAAATCAACAGAATATACATTTTTTTCAGCACCACACCACACCTATTCCAAAATTGACCATATAGTTGGAAGTAAAGCTCTCCTCAGCAAATGTAAAAGAACAGAAATTATAACAAACTATCTCTCAGACCACAGTGCAATCAAACTGGAACTCAGGATTAAGAATCTCACTCAAAACCACTCAACTACATGGAAACTGAACAACCTGCTCCTGAATGACCACTGGGTACATAACGAAATGAAGACAGAAATAAAGATGTTCTTTGAAACCAATGAGAACAAAGACACAACATACCAGAATCTCTGGGACACATTCAAAGCAGTGTGTACAGGGAAATTTATAGCACTAAATGCCCACAAGAGAAAGCAGGAAAGATCCAAAATTGACACCCTAACATCACAATTAAAAGAACTAGAAAAGCAAGAGCAAACACATTCAAAAGCTAGCAGAAGGCAAGAAATAATGAAAATCAGAGCAGAACTGAAGGAAATAGAGACACAAAAAACCCTTCAAAAAATTAATGAATCCAGGAGCTGGTTTTTTGAAAGGATCAACAAAATTGATAGACCGCTAGCAAGACTAATAAAGAAAAAAAGAGAGAAGAATCTAATAGACACAATAAAAAATGATAAAGGGGATCTCACCACCGATCCCACAGAAATACAAACTACCATCAGAGAATACTACAAACACCTCTACGCAAATAAACTAGAAAATCTAGAAGAAATGGATAAATTCCTCGACACATACACTCTCCCAAGACTAAACCAGGAAGAAGTTGAATCTCTGAATAGACCAAGAACAGGATCTGAAATTGTAGCAATAATCAATAGCTTACCAACCAAAAAGAGTCCAGGACCAGATGGATTCACAGCTGAATTCTACCAGAGGTACAAGGAGGAACTGGTACCATTCCTTCTGAAACTATTCCAATCAATAGAGAAAGAGGGAATCCTCCCTAACTCATTTTATGAGGCCAGCATCATTCTGATACCAAAGCCGGGCAGAGACACAACAAAAAAAGAGAATTTTAGACCAATATCCTTGATGAACATTGATGCAAAAATCCTCAATAAAATACTGGCAAAACGAATCCAGCAGCACATCAAAAAGCTTATCCACCATGATCAAGTGGGCATCATCCCTGGGATGCAAGGCTGGTTCAATATACGCAAATCAATAAATGTAATCCAGCATATAAACAGAGCCAAAGACAAAAACCACATCATTATCTCAATAGATGCAGAAAAAGCCTGTGACAAAATTCAACAATCCTTCATGCTAAAAACTCTCAATAAATTAGGTATTGATGGGACGTATTTCAAAATAATAAGAGCTATCTATGACAAACCCACAGCCAATATCATACTGAATGGGCAAAAACTGGAAGCATTCCCTTTGAAAACTGGCACAAGACAGGGATGCCCTCTCTCACCACTCCTATTCAACATAGTGTTGGAAGTTCAGGCCAGGGCAATTAGGCAGGAGAAGGAAATAAAGGATATTCAATTAGGAAAAGAGGAAGTCAAATTGTCCCTGTTTGCAGACGACATGATTGTTTATCTAGAAAACCCCATTGTCTCAGCCCAAAATCTCCTTAAGCTGATAAGCAACTTCAGCAAAGTCTCAGGATACAAAGTCAATGTACAAAAATCAGAAGCATTCTTATATACCAGCAACAGAAAAACAGAGAGCCAAATCATGAGTGAACTCCCATTCACAATTGCTTCAAAGAGAATAAAATACCTAGGAATCCAACTTACAAGGGATGTGAAGGACCTCTTCAAGGAGAACTACAAACCACTGCTCAAGGAAATAAAAGAGGATACAAACAAATGGAAGAACATTCCATGCTCATGGGTAGGAAGAATCAATATCGTGAAAATGGCCATACTGCCCAAGGTAATTTACAGATTCAATGCCATCCCCATCAAGCTACCAATGCCTTTCTTCACAGAATTGGAAAAAACTACTTTAAAGTTCATATGGAACCAAAAAAGAGCCCGCATCGCCAAGTCAATCCTAAGCCAAAAGAACAAAGCTGGAGGCATCACACTACTTGACTTCAAACTATACTACAAGGCTACAGTAACCAAAACAGCATGGTACTGGTACCAAAACAGAGATATAGATCAATGGAACAGAACAGAGCCCTCAGAAATAACGCCGCATATCTACAACTATCTGA
Organism: Homo sapiens; assembly: GCF_000001405.40. Lineage (NCBI taxonomy): Eukaryota > Metazoa > Chordata > Mammalia > Primates > Hominidae > Homo > Homo sapiens. The sequence goes on from NC_000002.12 coordinate 158,355,945, forward strand.
TCTTTGACAAGCCTGAGAAAAACAAGCAATGGGGAAAGGATTCCCTATTTAATAAATGGTGCTGGGAAAACTGGCTAGCCATATGTAGAAAGCTGAAACTGGATCCCTTCCTTACAGCTTATACAAAAATCAATTCAAGATGGATTAAAGACTTAAACGTTAGACCTAAAACCATAAAAACCCTAGAAGAAAACCTAGGCATTACCATTCAGGACATAGGCATGGGCAAGGACTTCATGTCTAAAACACCAAAAGCAATGGCAACAAAAGACAAAATTGACAAATGGGATCTAATTAAAATAAAGAGCTTCTGCACAGCAAAAGAAACTACCATCAGAGTGAACAGGCAACCTACAAAATGGGAGAAAATTTTCGCAACCTACTCATCTGACAAAGGGCTAATATCCAGAATCTACAATGAACTCAAACAAATTTATAAGAAAAAAACAAACAACCCCATCAAAAAGTGGGCGAAGGACATGAACAGACACTTCTCAAAAGAAGACATTTATGCAGCCAAAAAACACATGAAAAAATGCTCATCATCACTGGCCATCAGAGAAATGCAAATCAAAACTACAATGAGATACCATCTCACAACAGTTAGAATGGTGATCATTAAAAAGTCAGGAAACAACAGGTGCTGGAGAGGATGTGGAGAAATAGGAACACTTTTACACTGTTGGTGGGACTGTAAACTAGTTCAACCATTGTGGAAGTCAGTGTGGCGATTCCTCAGGGATCTAGAACTGGAAATACCATTTGACCCAGCAATCCCATTACTGGGTATATACCCAAAGGACTATAAATCATGCTGCTATAAAGACACATGCACACGTATGTTTATTGCGGCATTATTCACAATAGCAAAGACTTGGAACCAACCCAAATGTCCAACAATGATAGACTGGATTAAGAAAATGTGGCACATATACACCATGGAATACTATGCAGCCATAAAAAATGATGAGTTCATGTCCTTTGTAGGGACATGGATGAAATTGGAAAACATCATTCTCAGTAAACTATCGCAAGAACAAAAAACCAAACACTGCATATTCTCACTCATAGGTGGGAACTGAACAATGAGATCACATGGACACAGGAACGGGAATATCACACTCGGGACTGTTATGGGGTTGGGGGAGGGGGGAGGGATAGCATTGGGAGATATACCTAATGCTAGATGACGAGTTAGTGGGTGCAGTGCACCAGAATGGCACATGTATACATATGTAACTAACCTGCACTATGTGCACATGTACCCTAAAACTTAAAGTATAATAAAAAATAAAAAAAAAGAAGACAAAAAAAAATAACATAGCCTGGGTGGCTTAAAAAAAAACAAAAAAAAAGGTAAGGGCTATATTTTGCTGACTATTGTATCTTCAAGGCAAATAGTAGGCACATAATAAATATTTATGGGCTTGAACAATTAAATATTTAAAAGATTATGTGATAGACTATTAGGGAGAAAAGTATACATGATTTCATGCCTATGTTTATCATGAGAAAAATAAAATATGTATTATGTTTATGTTTACATATATGTGTACAATAAACAGAAGTCAGGAATATGAAAAGTTTTGTTAGGATGATAGTAATATAAGTGACTTTACCATAAAATTTCTTTGAATGTTCCCATAACATTAACTTATTTTAAAGTTATATAAACCAAATAAATAATTCCCTGGCTTTTAAGTGGTCGCCTTAGTTTGAGGAGATATGTCCCATGAATATACGGTAATCTCTCCAGAATAGAGTATCAAATGTGCTTTGAAATAATAACAATTGCCTTCTATAAAAAAAGATATTAACAATAAAAGGCAAAACAAACAAACCATGAAAATTTTAAATACAAATAACTTGTAAATTACGTAACAAGTTGCTTCACCTAACCTGTTTTTTGATGCAGCCAAGTAATGAAAATACTGTTTTCAATGAACGCTATTATTTGCACAAGAGAGAATCACAGTGTGTGAGTAATCCTAAACTACACATGGTCCTAAAATACTGTGCAAAATCACTTGCACATAATCTCCTTTCAAATCTAGCCTAGGTTCACCCTGGCTTGGAACATATATTTAAGCCAAAAACAGAATTCTAGAAAAGAGAGCACCTGAGGACATATTTGTATAGTGTTGGAGAAGGAGCCTTAATCAGATAATAGTCCATGGCTGGTAATTACTAACAATTTTTATTCTTCAGATTAAGTTGGAAGTTGTTGAAAGCCAATAAAATAACTGTCTTTAAAAAAATAAAGTTGAATTCAGACCTGAAAGAGTTGTTCTGAACATTAAATGGGTAATGTATGAATGCATGTAAACTATATAATGGTGTCCGAGAGCATTCGATAAATGTTAGCTGCTATTCACTATTATTTCTACTTGGGAGTTTCTAACAACTATTTGGAATGTCATTTATTTTCACATTGACAATGTAAATACTTTCCAGCAATTCGATTTTCTAAAACTAGAAAAACACATACACACACAACTTCTAACCTTTAGCTTTGCAGAGGCAGAAGCCAATTTCTTTGCTTCAGTTAATGCACGCAATTGTTGATAGTCTACTGGTTTGTACTTGATGTTTCTCATCTCATTTTTCATATGGAATACCAGATTATCTATTAGTCATAAAAATAGAAAAATGACAAAGAAAGAATATCATGTTATTGGAAGTCAAAATATAATTAGGGCAACATGTTGACTTCAGATCTTATTTTTAAATATTTTTAAGCAAATATAAGAAATAATATATTACAATATTAATAATATATTTGAGGCCTCTATTTCTAGAAATTATTATAATATAGCCACTTTATTTCTTGCACAGCATTACTTCTGAAAGGGTACAGAGGGAATGCTTTCATCTAAGTTAGTACCATATATTGAAGATTTTAGAAAATTATAATACCAAGCTACAAAGTATGACGACTGTTAACCCATTCTTTTTATTTAAAATGTGATAGACATCAACTGTGAATATTAAGTATCACATCATTATAAATCAAATTATATAAACAGATTTTTCAGTCATAGATGCATTTTTAACTTAGAAAAATCTAAATAATTTTAACTAATTTGAAAAAACGGTTGAAACTGAAAGCTAAAAGTTTAATACGTTGAAAAATATTAAAATGATGTAAAATGTCTGAGTAATCTACATCCAAATACATACAATGTCCTAGTCTGGTATGATATGAAAACCATAACATAAAGTAAAACATAAGTGAGGGTTACTCTAAGTTCAAGTAGCATAAAGTACAATAACTTGAGTAAATCGAACAAAACATGTACTTCCACCTCAATTATATGAATAATTCATCTGTGTCATATAAAGTAATTGGATTTATTAAGTAAATCATGGATCACATGACTATAGGAAGCTCTCAAATGATTTCAGGCCAATCACAGTGAAAGAAAACAAGGGTAGGGCGACCTGGCAATATGGCCAAATAGGAACAGCTCTGGTCTGCAGCGCCCAGCTAGATCGATGCAGAAGGTGGGTGATTTCTGCATTTCCAACTGAGGTGCCTGGCTCATCTCATTGGGACTGGTTAGACAGTGGGTGCAGCCCACAGACAGCAAGCCGAAGCAGGGTGGGGTGTCACCTCACCCAGGAAGCACAAGAAGTTGGGGAAACTCCCTCCCCTAGCCAAGGGAAGCCATGAGGGACTGTGCCGTGAGGAATGGTGCACCCCAGCCCAAATACTACACTTTTTCCCATGGTCTTTGCAACCCACAGACCAGGAGATTTCCTCAAATGCCTATGCCACCAGAGCCCCGGGTTTCAAGCACAAAACATTACAGCAGACACCAAGCTAGCTGCAGGAGTTTTTTTCATACCCTAGTGGCACCTGGAATGCCAGTGAGACAGAACCATTCACTCCCCTGGAAAGGGGGCTGAAACCAGGGAGCCAAGTGATCTAGCTCTGTGGATCCCACCCATATGGAGCCCAGCAAGCTAAGATCCACTGGCTTGAAATTCTCACTGCCAGCACAGCAGTCTGAAGTTGACCAGGAATGATTGAGCTTTTGTGGGGGTAGGCGCATCTACCATTACTAAGGCTTGAGTAGGCGGTTTCCCCCTCACAGTGTAAACAAAACCACAGGGAAGTTCCAACTGGGCGGAGCCCTCTGAAGCTCAGCAAATCTGCTGTAGACAGACTACTTCTGTAGATTCCTCCTCTATGGGCAGGGAATCTCTGAACAATAGGCAGCAGCCTGAGTCAGGGACTTATAGATAAAACTCCCATCACCCTGGGACAGAGCACTTGGAGGAAGGGGCAGCTGTGAGCGCAGCTTCAGCAAACTTAGACGTCCCTGCCTGTCAGCTCCTTGCAGCGGATCTCCAAGCATAATGTTCGAGCTCTGCTAGGGGTCAGACTGCCTCCTCAACTGGGTCACTGACCCCCATGTCTCCTGACTGGGAGACACCTCCCAGCAGGGGCAGACAGACATCTCATACAGGAGAGCTCCAGCTGGCATCTGGTGGGTGGCCCCTCTGGGACAAAGCTTCCAGAGGAAGGAAGAGGCAGCAACCTTTGCTGTTCTGCAGCCTCCACTGGTGATACCCAGGTAAACAGAGTCTGGAGTGGACCTCCAGCAAACTCTAGCAGACCTGCAGCAGAGGGGCCTGACTGTTAGAAGGAAAACTAACAAACAGAAAGGAATAGCATCAACATCAACAAAAAGGATGTCCACTCGGAAACCCCAGCCGAAGCTTACCAACATCAAAGACCAAAGATAGATAAATCCACGAAAATGGGGAGAAGCCAGTGCAAAAAGGCGGAAAATTCCAAAAACCAGTACGCCTCTTCCACTCCAAAGGATCATGACACCTCGTCAGCAAGGGAACAAAACTGGATGGAAAATCAATTTGACGAACTGACAGAAGTAGGCTTCAGAAGGTGGGTAATAACAAACTCCCCCAAGCTAAAGGAGCATTTCTAACCTAATGCAAGGAAGCTAAGAACCTTGAAAAAACTTAGTTGAACTGCTAACTAGAATAACCAGTTTAGAGAAGAACATAAATGACCTGATGGAGCTGAAAAACCCAGCACAAGAACTTTGTGAAGAATACACAACTATCAATAGCTAAATCGATCAAGCAGAAGAAAGGATATCAGAGATTAAATATCAACTTACTAAAATAAAGCGTGAAGACAAGATTAGAGAAAAGAGAATGAAAAGGAACAAACAAAGCCACCAAGAAATATGGGACTATGTGAAAAGACCAAACCTACGTTTGATAGGTATACCTGAAAGTGACAGGGAGAATGGAACCAAGTTGGAATGCACTCTTCAGGATATTATCCAGGAGAACTTCCACAACCAAGCAAGACAGACCAATATTCAAATTCAGGAAATACAGAGAACACCACAAAGATTTTGCTTGAGAAGAGCAATCCCAAGACACATAATCATGAGATTCACCAAGGTAGAAATGAAGGAAAAAATGTTAAGGGCAGTCAGAGAGAAAGGTTGGTTACCCACAAAGGGAAGCCCATCAGACTAACAGCGGATCTCTCTGCAGAAACCCTACAAGCCAGAATACAGTGGGGGCCAATATTCAACATTCTTAAAGAAAAGAATTTTCAACCCAGAATTTCATATCCAGCCAAACTAAGCTTCATAAGTGAAGGAGAAATAAAATACTTTACAGACAAGCAAATGCTGAGAGATTTTGTCACCACCAGGCCTGCCTTACAAGAGCTCCTGAAGGAAGCACTAAACATGGAAAGGAACAACCGGTACCAGCCACTGCAAACACGTAGCAAATTGTAAAGACCATCAGCACTACGAAGAAACAACAACAGACAAAATAACGAGCTAGCATCATGATGACAGGATCAAATTCACACATAACAATACTAACCTTAACTGTAAATGGGCTAAATGCCTTTAATTAAAAGACACAGACTGACAAATTGAATAAAGAGTCAAGACCCATCAGTGCGCTGTATTCAGGAGATCCATCTCATGTGCAAAGATACACATAGGCTCAAAATAAAGGGATGGAGGAATATTTACCAAGCAAATGGAAAGCCAAAAAAAAAAAAAAAAACAGCAGGGATTGCAATTTAGTCTCTGACATAACAGACTTTAAAACAACAAAAATCAAAAGAGACAAGGTCATTACATAATGCTAAAGGGATCAATGGAACAAGAAGAGCTAACTATCCTAAATATATATGCACCCAATACAGGACCACCCAGATTCATAACACAAGTTCTTAGAGACCTACAAAGAGACTTAGACTCCCACACAATAATAATGGGAGACTTTAACACCCTACTGTCAATATTAGAACAACGAGAAAGAAAATTAACAAGGATATTCAGGACTTGAACTCAGCTCTGGATCAAGCAGACTTAATAGACAGCTACAGAACTCTCCACCCCAAATCAACAGAATATACATTCTTCTCAGCACCACATCGCACTTACTTTAAAATTGACCACAAAGTTGGAAGTAAAACGCTCCTCAGCAAATGCAAAAGAATGGATATTATAGCAGTCTCTCAGATCACAGTGCAATCAAATTAGAACTCAGCATTAAGAAACTCACTCAAAACTGCACAACTACATGGAAACTGAACAACCTGCTCCTGAATGACTACTGGGTAAATAATAAAATTAAGGCAGAAATAAAGATGTTCTTTGAAACCAATGAGAACAAAGACACAAGGTACCAGAATCTCTGGGAAACAGCTAAAGCAGTGTGTAGAGGGAAATTGATAGCACTAAATGCCCACAAGAGAAAGCATGGGAAAGATCTAAAATTGACACCCTAACATCACAATAAAAAGAATTAGAGAAGCAAGAGCAAACAAATTCAAAAGCTAGCAGAAGACAAGAAATAACTAAGATCAGAGAAGAACTGAAGGAGATAGAGACACAAAAAACCCTTCAAAAAATCCATAAATCCAGGAGCTGATTTTTTGAAAAAATTAACAAAATAGACTGCTAGCCAGACTAATAAAGAAGAAAAGAGAGAAGAATCAAATAGACACAATAAAAAATGATAAAGGGTATATCACCACTGATCCCACAGAAATACAAACTACCATCACAGAATACTATAAATACCTCTATGCAAATGAACTAGAAAATCTAGAAGAAATGGATAAATTCCTGGACACATACACCCTCCTAAGTCTAAACCAGGAAGAAGTCGAATACCTGAACAGAACAATAACAAGTTCTGAAATTGAGGCAGTAATAGCCTATCAACCAAAAAAAAGTCCAGGACCAGATGGCTTCACGGCTGAATTCTATCAGAGGTACAAAGAGATGCTGGTACCATTCCTTCTGAAACTATTCCAAACAACAGAAAAAGAGGGAATCCTCCCTAACTCATTTTGTAAGGCCAGCATCATCCTGATACCAAAACCTGGCAGAGACACAACAAAAAAAGAAAATTTCAGGCCAATATCCCTGATGAAAATCAGTGTGAAAATCCTCAACAAAATACTGGCAAACCAAATCCAGCAGCACATCAAAAAGCTTATCCACCATGATCAAGTCGGCTTCATATCTGGGATGCAAGTCTGGTTCAACATACACTAATCAATAAACGTAATCCATCGCATAAACAGAACCAAGGACATAAACCATATGATTATCTCAATAGATGCAGAAAAGGCCTTTGACAAAATTCAACACCCTTCATGCTAAAAACTCTCAATAAACTAGATATTGATGGAACATATCTCAAAATAATTAGAGCTATTTATGATAAACCCACAACCAATATCATACTGAATGGGCAAAAACTGGAAGCATTCCCTTTGAAAACTGGCACAAGACAAGGATGCCCTCTCTCACCACTCCTATTCAACATAGTGTTGGAAGTTCTGGCCAGGGCAATTAGGCAGGAGAAAGAAATAAAGGGTATTCAAATAGGAACACAGAAAGTTAAATTGTCTCTGTTTGCAGATGACATGAATGTATATTTAGAAAACCCCATCGTCTCAGCCCAAAATGTCTTCAAGCTGATAAGCAACTTCAGCAAAGTCTCAGGATACAAAATCAATGTGCAAAAATCACAGGCATTCCTATACACCAATAATAGACAGAGAGCCAAATCATGAGTGAACTCCCATTCATAATTGCTACAAAGAGAATAAAATACCTAGGAATACAACTTACAAGTGATGTGAAGGACCTCTTCAAGGAGAACTACAAACCACTACTCAAGGAAGTAAGAGAGGACACAAACAAATGGAAAAATATTCCATGCTCATGGATAGGAAGAATGAATATCGTGAAAATGGCCATACTGCCCAAAGTAATTTATAGATTCAATGCTATCCCTATCAAGCTACCACTGACTTTCTTCACAGAATTGGAAAAAACTACTTTAAACTTTATATGGAACCAAAAAAGAGCCTGCATAGTCAAGACAATCCTAGGCAAGAAGAACAAAGCTGGAGGCATCATGCTACCTGACCTCAAACTATACTAAAAGGCTACAGTAACCAAAACAGCATGGTACTGGTACCAAAACAGATATACAGACAAACAGAACAGAACAGAGGCCTCAGAAATAATGCCACACATCTAAAACCATCTGATCTTTGACAAACCTGTCAAAAACAAGCAAATGGGGAAAGGATTCCTTATTTAATAAATGGTGTTGGGAAAATTGGCTAGCCATATGCAGAAAACTGAAACTGGATCCCTTCCTTACACCTTATAGAAAAATTAATTCAAGATGGATTAAAGACTTAAATATAAGACCTAAAACCGTAACAGTCCTAGAAGAAAACCTAGGTAATACCATTCAGGACATAGGCATGGGCAAAGGCTTCATGACTAAAGCACCAAAAGCAATGGCAACAAAAGCCAAAATTGACAAATGGGATCTAATTAAAATAAAGAGCTTCTACACAGCAAAAGAAACTATCATCAGAGTGAACAGGCAATCTACAGAATGGGAAAAAAATTTTGCAATTTATCCATCTGACAAACAGCTAATATCCTGAATCTACAAAGAACTTAAACAAATTTACAAGAAAAAACAACCCCATCAAAAAGTGGGTGAAGGATACGAACAGACACTTCTGAAAAGAAGACATTTATGCAGCCAACAAACATGAAAAAATGCTCATCATCTCTGGTCATTAGAGAAATCCAAATCAAAACCACAATGAGATACCATCTCATGCCAGTCAGAATAACAATCATTAAAAAGTCAGGAAACAACAGATACTGGAGAAGATGTGAAGAAATAGGAATGCTTTTACACTGTTGGTGGGAGTGTAAATTAGTTCAACCATTGTGGAAGAGAGTGTGGTGATTCCTCAAGGACCTAGAACTAGAAATATCATTTTACCCAGCAAGCCCATTACTGGGTACATACCCAGAGGATTATAAATCATTCTACTATAAAGACACATGCACACATATGTTTATTGTGGCACTGTTCACAATAGAAAAGACTTGGAACCGACCCAAATTCCCATCAATGATAGACTGGATAAAGAAAATGTGGCACATATACACCATGAAATACTATGCAGCCATAAAAAAGGATAAGTTCATGTCCTTTGCAGGGACATGGATGAAGCTGGAAACCATCACTCTCAGCAAACTAACACAAGAACAGCAAACCAAACACAGCATATTTTCACTCATAAGTGGGAGTTGAACAATGAAAACACATGGACACAGGGAGGGGAACATCACACACTGGGGCCTGTCGGGGGGTGGAGGGCTAGGGAAGGGATAGCATTAGGAGAAATACCTAATGTAGATGACGGGTTGATGGGTGCATCAAACCACCATGGCATGTGTATACCTATGTAACAAACCTTCACATTCTGTACATGTACCCCAGAACTTAAAGTATAATAAAAAAAAGGAAGAAAGCAAGGGTATCCTGACCACTGTTGAGGATTAACACAAACCCATTGTAAAGAACTGGCCGGTCATTCAATGTAACCAGAAAGTGAGCTTTCCATTATTAAAATTTTGAAAAATCAACATTCCAATTGTGTATCATTTCAAAAGTACATAATCCACTGTAAATAATAAAACAGAGTTGGAAGTAAGAAAAATACCTGAGCTATCATTTCTCTGAATTGTCATGAATGGTTGGTCTCTTTGATTCATGTTTTCCGTATCTGTTAAGGAAACGAGAGAACTAAAATTTCATAATATTATTTTATAAATGTTTTTAAAGCTGTGTTACTTGAAGTATTTTTAAAAGTAAGACCCAGGACTGGGTGCCATAATGCTTTTAATTTTATTAAAATTTGCTTTTCTTGCCCCTAGAAGCCTCCCTCTGTTAGTGTTTTTTCTGTGCCTTTCTTGTTCTTGGTCCTGTCCTTTCTATTTTTTCCCTCTTAATCCTCCTCCGCTGGATTGTTCCAGTGACTGATAAAAAATTTGTTATTAGAAAGTTGTTATGTGTTTTATTTTGTGTTCCTGGGAGGAAAGAAATTACCTAAATTGAAGAATAAATTATTCACTACTTCTATTACAAGTAATATGGCACTTTTGGTAGATACAGAGATGCACCAGCCAGATCAAAGGACTCGCTGCCTTGCTGTGGGAATGCAGTCTACAGATAGCCTCCAGCTGTCACCCCCTTCAGGTTAGGACTCAGCTGCAGAGAAGAGCCTCGTCCAAAGGCATATGCTTTCCGGGGCAGCCCGTACCCAGTGACTGAGGAAGGCAGGGGTGTAAAGCTATTTGGGCCCAATGTAGGACACTCTGATACATAATATTTGCTCTGGAGCTTCCTGCCACGCTGGCCTAGACTTTGTTGGACCTGCATTGAAGTTGTTGTCTTCACCTGCCCAATCCCACTTCCTTCTTCTCCCTTTCACAGGTAAAGATGCCTGCTAAACATCTTCCACTCCACGCTCTTCTGGTGGCTCTTTAAATAACAGTACTCACTTTTCAAAAGTTTGTGTTCCATATCCACTAGGTTGAACTACCCATGTCTAGTGGCCCTTTCAGTAACCTAAACCTTCTTAAAAGGAGGAGAAGATAGTTAAGGTCCATGACTTTTGGAAACTCTGCCAAGTTACCAAGAATTCCTAAGTCCTTATTATAGCCTCCCCCTCCCTACCATAGCCTTCCCAGTTATTTTAATCTGCTTTAAGAGTATAACCTACAGACAGGAGTGGCAAATGTAAATGCACTCAGCAGCCATCAGTAAGTTAAAGGAGAGAAATGACAAGGAGCAAGACCACAGGAGTGGCAGAAAATTTGGAAAACTGAAGAGCATTCCACACCCAAAGATAATCAAATATACCTTTTTCCTTTTTATAACACAAGTACCAGGCAAAGCACGCCTCCAGAAATAAATCTATGCTGGTTTGTTAGCTCTGGCCTACTGCATCCCCTCCCTAGTTTTCATTTAATTCTGCCATCCATAGCTTAGCTGTCCAAGTTTGCCATCTTTATCTCATAGGAGACCTCTCCTGTCCTCTTATTGGTTAGTTGTGTAGTTTTCTTTCATTGGAGAGCCAGCCCCTTTAGATTTAGGCCTCATTTTTCTTGGCATTGAGACTCAAACATTGAGGTTCTGAAACAAAATAGGATTTTGCAGATTCCCTTTTGGCTACCTTGGTCTAACCCTGTCTAATTTTTTCCTCCTGGTTTTCAGAAGAAAATCATGCAAGCCATAAAATGTTTCTCACCATCTCTATGTACTTCAAATTTTAATTATGGCCATAAGAAATCTGACATTAGAATATATTCTGGAAATCAAAGTTGTAGCCAAATCTGTCTTCATGAACTGGAAACCTCATTTGGTTCCAACTATTTAGAAGACCAAGTGGAAATACTTCCTGACCTGCATACTTTAATCGTTATATATAAATCATGTATAATTTCTACTTGCCTTTCAAAAACATTGAGGGCCTGTGAACTAAAGCTGAGGTATTATAAAACTGATTTCATTGTAATGTTTCTTATGTGAGAGAAATGATTAGGCATTCAGATTTAGATCTGAAAAGTTCACAAGTAATTTACTTAGTTCAGTTCTCATTTTAGCACTTGAGATGATTGAGGCTCAGAAAAATGACCAAAATCATACACCTAGTCAGTAGCAGAACTTTCAGTTTCAAACTCTCACATTATAATACAAACATCTCTGAAAATGAAGGTTTATTTCATAATTAATACACTGGCCAAACCCAACCTGAGCTGCAATCATTTGGTGGCAAACCTGACCCAAACTGAAGTTTACACTATGAATGTGAACATTCATACATTTATGTAAAAATATTAATCTGTTTAATTATGGGATGATGCCTGGGCCCCACCAGGGTTTCAAAAAATAATGGGCATATGTTCTTTATCCCATTTCTAAAAATCTGAAAAACCTAAAAACTATCTGGCTCCACATATTTCAGATAAGGGATTTATGAAACTGTATTAAAACCAACATTTCCTGGTTCCCAAAGAAGTATACATCATCCAGGCTATTTCAATTTTATGTTTACTAGTGAGAAATTCAAAGTGGCCACATCAGCCTGTTGTTAAAATACTTTTGGCTGCATAACTGCTACTTGAACAGAATTTTTTATGTTAAATAATTTAAGAACAGTTAGTTTTATAAATTATTCCATATTCACATTATATGACATTTTAGAAATTGCTCATGAATGTTATCAAAATGCTAAGCCTTTTAGATCTACTCAATTATGGAAAATATCTTAAAATAATACTTTTGTAAGAAATTTCTTATAGCACAGGAAGAACACTTTGATATATAATGGAATGATAGTGTCACAATAGCTAGAGGGTTGAAAAACATTTTAGTGAAAAGTTAATTATTACAGAGTTGATGGGGAATCTAAACTTTTGTAAAATAGATAAATAAATGATATTTATCTATTTATGACCAGTCTCTACAGGGAAAAATCAGGACTTCTTTAGAGATGTGAAAAAATAAGAGAGAGATCATTTATATAAGGAGGCAGTTTTTTTTAACACTGTTAATATTCTTATTCTTCTCTTTTCTAAGAAAATCTTTTTTTAATACACTGAGGAAGGAAAAAGTCAATTATATTTAGGGTTAAGGTTGTACTACATATGGATAGCATTTAAACTCTAAACTGATTATAAATATGTAGACTAGTCAATCACCCCATGACGGTGAGTCTTCTATAATGGGGATTCTGCCAGGCGAAATGATGTTAAAAACAATACCAATATGTAGAAATAGTATTGTTTCACTATACGGGCTCTTTTTTTGTTCCATATAAAGTTTAAAGTAGTTTTTTTTCTAATTCTGTGAAGAATGTCAATGGTAGTTTAATGGGAATAGCATTGAATCTATAAATTACTTTGGGCAGTATGGCCATTTTCATGATATTGATTCCTCCTATCCATGAGCATGGAATGTTTTTCCATTTGTTTCTGTCCTCTCTTATTTCCTTGAGCAGTGGTTTGTAGTTCTCCTTGAAGAGGTCCTTCACTTCCATGGTTAGCTGTATTCCTGGTATTTTATTCTCTTTGTAGCAATTGTGAATGGGAGTTTATTCATGATTTGGCTCTCTGCTTGTCTATTGTTGGTGTATAGGAATGCTTGTAATTTTGCAAATGATTTTGTATCCTGAGACTTTGCTGAAGTTGCTTATCAACTTAAGAAGCTTTTGGGCTGAGACAATGGGGTTTTCTAGATATAGGATCATGTCATCTGCACACAGAGACAGTTTTACTTCCTATTTGAATATTCTTTATTTCTTCATATATTTCTCATGCCTGACTGCCCTGGTCAGAACTTCCAATACTATGTTGAACAGGAGTGGTGGGAGAGGGCATCCTTGTCTTGTGCCAGTTTTCAAGGGGAATCCTTCCAGCTTTTGCCCATTCAGTATGATATTAGCTGTGGGTTTGTCATAAATGGCTCTTACTATTTTGAGGTATGTTTCATCAATACATCGTTTGTTAAGAGTTTTTAACATGAAGGGATGTTGAATTTTATCGAAGGCCTTTTCTGTGTCTATTGAGAAAATCATCTGGTTTTGTCTTTAGTTCTGTTTATGTGATGAATTACGTTTATTAATTTGTTGAACCAGCCTTTCATCCTGGGGTTGAAGCCGACTTGATCATGGTGGATAAGCTTTTTGATGTGCTGTTGGATTCAGTTTGCCAGTATTTTATTGAGGATTTTTACATCAATATTCATCAGGGATACTGGCCTGAGGTTGGCCTGTCAGGGGGTTAGTGGAGGGAGAGTATCAGGATAGACAGCTAATGCAAGTGGGGCTTAATACCTAGGTGATGGGTTGATACATGCAGCAAACCATACGTGCAGCACATATTTACCTATGTAACAAACCCGCATGTCCTGCACATATATCCCAGCACTTAAAATTAAATTAAATTAAATTTTAAAAATATATACATGTAGAAACATCTTGGATGTGGTATCAAATTATTGTAAAAAATTAATTTATCAAATAATAAAAGTTGGCCATGATATTGATTATAAAATAAGCCTTCATTTTTAGAGATTCTTGTATTATAATGAAAGATTTTGAAACAAAAGTTCTTTTGCTACTGACTAGGTATGTGATCTTGGTCATTTTCATATGAAAGATCCCACAACATTTTCATTCAAATATTATGGCCAAAGTCCAGCTGAAGCAATATTTTTCTAACATCCAGAATTCATTTTTAAATTTTAAGCAGAATGTTACACATCACTTTCATTATAAAACATTATGGACTGTAGTTTGTGTAAGATAAATTTATTGTCCTGAAAAAACTGATGGAACCAAAAGATGTACTATTAGAACTAATATAAATGGTTAAACAAAGTGCTCAGTCACATAATAAATATGACCAATTCAAATATAATGGGAAAAATCTCACTCAAAACAAATGAAAAACAAAATATCTAGGAATAAACTATATAAGAAGTTTGTAGGACATAGACTGTAAAAAAAAAAAACTACCAAAGTTGATTACGGGAAATTAAAAAAAAAAATTGAACAGAAAGAAACTAGTCTAATTCTGCATAGCAAATATTTAACACTGGCAATTTCTGGGTAGTAGGATTATACTTAATTTTGATTACTACTTTATGATTGAGCATAATTTCTAAATTTTTCTTATTTTATAGGAAGAAGAAAAACACAGTTTTAAAAGTACTAAGCAGAGGCAATAGCTATTTTACTATATTCTGGGAAAACACTACCATGGTATGCCTATTTTACCAATTAAAAAAGAAATTGGATTTCATGACATCAAGAATCCTTCAAGATATAAACATATGTAAGTGTAATTCATGATATTGATACTGAATTGATTCTTGCTAACCTTCTACTAAAAGGCAGACTATATTAAAATACACTTGTTGCACTGTATAGAACTTTAAAATGTTAACATTAGAATATTCACCACGTCATTTTTTAATGCTCTTTGGGAAATAAGTAGTTTAGTTTAAACTATTCTTTAGTTACAAATGTACTGGTTAAAGTAATAAACTGTATAGAAAATTGTGTGGTAAGAACTAAGATTTTCAGTCCTACTTGCCTCTAACAGAAGAGCTGGAGGAACAGTTGCATTTAGCCCTGGTAGTCATTATCAAGGTTTTATTTTGTATTATTTCAAAGAATTTCTATGCATTTGTAAGTACTTATATATATCCAATTTTATACAGGTATAATAATGACATTTATACAATTCCACAAGTTATTTAATAATGTAACTTGGCCATCTTTCCATATCATTCTATTTGTGTGTTCATATACATATATATATATATACACACGTGCCTTTAATGACTGAAAATGGCATGTATACATATATATATATTCATTCAACCACTACAAGAATCAAAGACAGAAATTTTTCTCAAAGAATTCTGCCTTTTTTACTGAAAAATAAAATTCATAATCAGAAAAATAAAATCTATCAAATCTCTGCCCTCTTTATAATTCATATAAATTTGCTTATGAACCAGTTCCACATATAGTCAACCTATATGATTTTCTCTATTTTTAAAACAGCTCAAAGTAGAGAGTCTCAATCAACCTTGCTAATAAAATAATTCAAATACAGATCTATACATCTCATAGGCTTTTCCAGTCTGGGGAACACAGTCCGGGAGAAAGAAAAGAGTTAACCACAGCAAACAACCTAAAAGGGCCCAGTTTCCATGGGACTTCAGAGTCCCACAGAGAGTGAAGGTAACTGCAGTGGAGCCTCTCATGCCCTTACTCCCTCTATATCCTCCAAACTGTTTTAATAATTCCAAAACCCCAAGAGAAAAGGTATAAATTAGGTATATGCTACATAAAAATGGGAATTTTCCAGAATTTTTTTGGGGCGGGGGGAAAGGACAAATTCACACAGCTTCCACTGACTGTCTCGAAATTCTGACCAGAAACTATGACTGGGAGTTTTGAGTTTTGACAAATCACCTTAGGGAAACTAAGTACTTAGTTATGAAGAAATACTGTTTTGCCTCTAATTTTTCCCCTTGAATGTGGGATCCATAAAGAAAGAATAATGAAAGTAATCCTCTGCTTTGGAAAGACTTACCACTTATCTTCCTACATGACTTGCCATTTTGGACATGCTTAAATTTGTCAATTTTCTGACACAATTTGGGAGTCTACTTTCCCAGCCTACATACCTGGACTTGATGTAAGAGGTTCACCTGCTTCCCCTTGGTCCCTTTTACGCCTAACCTCTCTGACAGCTGCAGGGTATTATATAATTCACTCCTTCCATATCCTATATGTAGAATTTTATCAATATCCTTTTATCTGCTCTTCTAGCCCAGCTACCATCACACAATTGCCTGGATGAGTGATGTCTCAAACACCCAAATACATCATAGAACTCCCTGACCTACCAAATGGTTTCTAATTGCTCTCCAGGACAATCTAACTCTTGACTCTCTAACCCCTTCATTACCTATTACCTTATTTGTACTTTACCCTTGAGCATTCCCAAACCATTTGCAGATCCCTGAACGGACAATGCTTGTGAAAGGCAGAATAGTGCCCCAAAGATGTCCATGTAGGTCGTAATCCTCAGAACTTATGATTATGTGATGTTATGTGGCAAAGGGGAATTAAGGTGGCAAAGATAATTTAGATTGCTAATCAACTGATGTTATATAAAAGAGTAGCCTGGCTTATCCAGGTGGGCCTAATGTAATCAGAAGGGCCTCATTAGAAGGAGGCAGGAAGGTCAGAATCAGAGATGTGATGACAGAAGCAGAGGTGAGAAAGCAGGAAGGTTTGAAGATGTCATGCTTCTGGCGTTGAAGAAGCATGAAACCATGACCCAAACAATGCAGGTAGCCTCTAGATGCTAGAAAAGGAAAGGAAACAGATTCTCCCCTAGAGGCTCCAAAGGAATACAGCCCTGCCCACAGCTTGCTGTTATTTTGGATGTCTGACCTCCAGAATTGTAAGATCATAAACTTGGATTGTTTAAGTCACTAAGGTTGTGGTAATGTTTTTTCAGCAATAGGAAACTGATATGCTCTTTGATATCTCTCTCATTTGAAATAGTACACACACTATTACCTATGCTTGGAAGGCCTTTCTGTGCTGTTGCCTCTCTGACCAATACCTACTTATTTTTCAGTCTCATCTTAATTATCCTACTGGAGCTTCTCCTAATCCAGACAGAGATGATCTTTCCTTTCCCTTGTACTACTATTACACTTTGTGTTTGCTCCTACTGTTTCTCTAATTTATTTATGAGCTTATTACAATGTTTATTAAACATCTATCATACACTAGATAAAGGGCTATAGATTTATTCAGGCCTCTGCAGAGAGACCATCTCTGGCAATGTCATCTAAAGTAGTTCCTCTACCCCCAATTATTCTTCACCCTCTCATTCTAATTATTTTCCTTTGTGGTACATCTCACTGTGTGGCATTATACTACATATTTATTAACTTTCCTGTTGTTCACGTCTACAATTAGGATATATGCTCCATGAAAACAAGGCCTTTAGCTGATCATCTCTGTTTCTCCAGACTGCCTAAAATAATATCTGGTCCCTGTTAGATATTCAATACATATTTGCTGAAAGAGCATTAAGTGATTACATTATAGATCACAGTCCTGCACCTAATGCATGGTAGTATTAGAAGCAAACATATAGTTTTCACCTGCTTTTCCCCTACATTTAAATCTAGGGTCACCTGTATGAGATGACAACTATTATCAAGAACAACCTCCAAGTCAAAATGGTCAGTAGATTGAGGTATATGTGAAGAAGTGAGGAAGAAAACACATGCCCGCTTTAAAGTTTCAGCACTGGCTCTAAGTTCACATTAACTGCAGTTGACCGGTGCCCCAGACCAGCTACTCAGGTGTCAATCATAGCACACAACCCCCGCATGGAGAAACTTGCATTTTGTTAGTAATCTAAGGATATCTATGCTATCTTACTTCTCCAAGAGCTTGGGGTTAAGAAGGAGATTCTATGCATAGTAGACACAAATAATGTAGTTTTACCTCCAACATATATTATTGAGTGAAAAAAGCAAGTTTCACTATGATACATACCATATGATACCATTATATAAACATTAACAGACTTCAAACAATACTACCCCCTTCTCTTGTGCGTGCGCTCTCTCTCGAGAAAAAAAGCCTAAATGCCCACACGTAGACCAAACTGAAGAGGATGCTGCAATTGGAGGTTAGTGTCAAAGGGGACTTTAGCTTTAACTGTAATAAAATCACTGCATTTTTACAGTGATTTTATATATGAGTGTATATATATACATATATATGTGTATATATGTGTATGTGTGTACATATATGTAATTAAAAGTAATCAACATAGCCCCAAAAGGTCCTATTACTACATACAGTCATCTCTCAGTATCTGCAGGGGACTGGTTCCAGGACCTCCAAGAATACCAGACTGTATGGATACTAAAGTGTCTCATAGAAAATGGTGTAGTTTTGCAAATAACCTAGGCACATCCTCCTGTATGCTTTAAATCATCTCTAACTTATTTATAATACCTAATACAAGGTAAATTCTAAATAAATAGTTATGCTATATTTTATTTGTATTTTTGTTGTTCTATGTTATTTATTTTAAAATATTTTCTATATGAAGTTGTTTGAATTCACAAATGCAAAACCTGCAGAGATGGAGGGCTGACTGCAATTCTCATTTCTATTGTAAAATTAATGCAACAATATTAGAGTCTATAAAGATTACCAAGTGGGTTCTACTGGTGAGAACCCCAGAGTCTGATCACTTGTCACTCACATTTCTGAACCTGCCAAGTTTGGACCACTTCCCAGAGCCCCTTGACCCTACCAAGTCATACAAACCCTGTGAAGGCCAGCCTGAAATACCCAGTTAACTTTAATTTTGTATATAATGAAATAATTTTTATACAAATTTGTTCTGCCTTGTAAGATAAATTTCTTCTGGCCCCTTTAACAAAAATGATTCAAAACACAGCTTTTCTTCTGATTAATGGTCACAAATGCATTGTCTTTCTCTTGATTACAAGCTTGATAATTAAAAGAAAACCATGAAAGCGAAGGCCACAAGCAAGGTTATAGAGTTCAACAATTAAATGGTATTTTGATGTGCTTTTCACTATCACTGCTGAGGAAATTTTATCCTCTGAAGTTTAAAACTGGAAGACACAGCTAGGTACTAATATTCATTCTACTTTTTTCCCTTTCTAACACATTCTAATTTTGTTCAGGGTAAAATATTGGCTTTCCTTTGACACCTCTGAGACTGTAAATGACCATGTGATACACTTCCAACCAATGAGACATGACTAGAGAGAGGTCTGCTGGGAATTTCAGGGCAAGATATGTTTTCTCATACAGGCACACCTCCTTATTCCTTGCCCTTTCTCCTTTCTTCCTGCATGAAATGCGGACGTAAAGCTAGACATGGAGCGAGTATTAAGATGAAAGATTCATACTAACTGTTGCAGAGAAGAAAGCCAAGGGGAGCCTGGGATGTTGTTATCAAGAATCTGCTGTACCAGCCCTGGACTCTTTCCCTCTGGACTTGTTGTATTGAGAAAAATAAATCCCCAAGCTTCTGCAATCAGGTTCTGTAACTTTCAGCCAAACAAAATCCTCAACTGAGATAGACTGGGATAATATGAAGCACCCAGGAGATTCTGATGTCTCTGTACATAAAGCAGTATAAAAATTGTTCTAGAAAAACACCTATCAATATAGACATAGGTAAAATACTAGAAAATATTACTGTCATTGCTTTTCAATAGTAGCATGAAAAAATTACATCTAGCAAAATTTCCTGTCTTAAAACTCTAATAGAATTTCACATGCAGTTTTAACATAGCTAAAAGAGAGCAGGTTAAAAGATATGTCAGTGGTTCTGGAAAGGGAAAGAAAAAAATCCTCAGAAAGTTAAGTATACTACCAAAAAGTAACATAAAAGAATGCATCTGTAAGTATACAATACTCCAGAATAGTTTTCCATGAAGGATCAGTTATGCAAGGAGTAATTTTCCTCTAAAATGTTACACAAAGGGTATTTTTAACATTTTTAATAAAAAATAGCAACCTACCACTCTTTAACAACAAAGACTATAAAACTCTATTAAATTACAGTGCCTGGAACATGGTAGCCACTAATATGTTTTGAATAAATAAGAGGTAAGAAATATTAATGCATTTTGTATTATTGCCAGTTAAATTTGAAAGATCTCCAGGTTAGGAAGTAAATAAATGAAGGGGAAGATGAAAGGAGTTAAGATAAAGTTTAGAGGGAGGGAAAGGAAGAGGGAGGAAAAAGAAACGCAGAGGGAACAAAAAGAGGAAAAAAAATTTCCTTATTTTCCTATCTCCTCTTTTCAATTCTAAATTTAAATCATAAACGAAAATCTTCCTCCCTATAAAGGCAAATTTATAGTTGGCATTAGCTGCACTGAAGTGGGTAGAGTTTTTACTGCAGAGGAACTAGAGGGGCTAATTTTGAAGCATGAAAGGTGGGCCCTCAGGTCTGGGTAGGGTTTTCAGGGAGAGGCAGTGACTGAGGATGAGCAGCTACCTGGAGAAGAGGGAGGTGATGTGAGGAGAGGGGCTGAATGGGGAGTGCTCATAAGTCAGTCTTCTCTTGTTTCAATTTTTGCTTCAACCTAGTCCTTCACAGAGGCAAGGAGGGGACGATTCTCCACTATCCTTTATTTCATAATCTCTTTGCACAAGGATCCATATTCTCTGAACAATGATTTGAAAGTCCTTTTTCAAAAAAACCTCAATGTCTATGAAAACTAGGGGAAGTGGAGGAAAAATAAACTGCTCTTCCTTAGAGAAAGAGGGAAGGGATAGTTTTTCTTTCTGCCTGGAGGGGTAGGGTGTGTCGATGGTGTGGGGGGGGTGGGGTACAAATTACCATGTAACACAAGGACAAACAGAAAGTGGCTGCATAGGATTTTCCATTTGGCTTTAAAAGTACCATCAAATACTTTGTTTCAAAATATAATGGTCAGTAACATGAAATAGTCATTAACATACGACTACCACTTGTTACTGGCAGTCAAAAACATGCAAATTAAAATAACCACAACATTCCCAATCAAATTAACAAAAAATAAAATGTATGTATGTAATTGGAAAGGTGGCAGTAAATTAACTCTCATACACATTGTTGGTGGGTATCTAGGGGGCTATCTGGCGACATACAGGCATACCTTGTTTTGTGCTTCATTTCATTGCACTTCACAGATATTGAAGTTCTGTGGCAACCCTGTGCCAAGCAAGCCTGTCAGCACCATCTTTTCAATAGCAGTGCTTGCTTCATGTCTCTGTGTCTCATTTTGGTTATTACTGCAAAACCCTTCATTATATTTATTATGGTGATCTATGATTGGTGATCTTTGATGATACTATCGTAATTGTTTTAGTGCACCTCAAACTGCATGCACATAAGAAAGCAAACTTGATAAATGTTGTGTGTATTCTGACTAATTCGTTCCAGCTGCTTTCCTCTGTCTTTCCCTCTCCTGGGCTGTCCCTATTTTCTGAGACACAACAATATTGAAATTAGGCTAATTAATAACCCTACAATGTCCTGTAGGTGTTCAATTGAGGGAGAATAGTACATCTTTAACTTAGAATCAAAAGCTAAAAATGTTTGAGCTTGGTGAGGAAGACATGTCAAAAGCCAAAATGAGATGAAAGTTAGACCTCTTGTGCCAGTTAGCCAAGCTGTGAATGCAAAGGAAAAGTTCTTGAAAGAAATGAAAAGGGCTACTCCAGTAAACATGCAAGTGATAAGAAAACAAAACAGTCTTATTGCTCATATGGAGTAAGTTTGAGTGGTCTGGATAGAAGATCAAACCTGCCACAACAATCTTTAAGCAAAACCCTAATTCAGAGCAAGGCCCTAACTCTCTTTGATTCTAGGAAGCCTAAGTGAGGTGAGGAAGCTACAGAAGAAAGTTTGAAGCTGGCAGAAGTTGGCTCATAAGGTTTAAGGAAGGTTGCTGTATTCAGAACATAAAAATGCAAGATGGAGCAGCAAGTGCTGATTCAGAAGCTGCAGCAAGTTATCCAGAAGCTCTTGCTAACATCATTGGTGAAGGTAGCTACACTAAACAATAGATTTTCAGAGTGGATGAAACAACCTTATGCTGAAAGAAAATGCCATCTAGGACTTTCATAGCCAGAGATGAAAAAACAATGCCTAGCTTCAGAGATTCAAAGGACAGGCTGACTTTCTTGTTAGGGTCTAATGCAGCTGGTGACTTTAAGTTGAAGCCAGTACTTCTTTACCATTCTGAAAATCCTGGGGCTCTTAAGAATTATTATAAATCTACTGTCTGTGCTCTATAAATGGAGCAACAAAGCCTGGGTGATAGCACATCTGTTTACACCATGATTAACTGAATATTTTAAGCCCACTGTTGAGACTTACTGCTCAGAAGAAAAGATTCCTTTCAAAATTTACTGGTTATTCACAATGCACCTCGTCAGCCACGAGCTCTGAAGGAGATGTACAGGAGATTAATGTTGCTTTCATGCCTGCTAACATAACATTTATTCTGCAGCCCACGGATCAGAAGTAATTTCAACTTTCAAGTCTTATTATTTAAGAAACACATTTCATAAGGCTATAGCTGCCATAGATAGTAATTCCTCTGATGCATCTGGGCAAAGTAAATTAAAAACCTGCTGAAAAGTATTAACTATTCCAGATGCCACTAAGAACACTCATGATTTCTGGAAGGAGGTCAAAATAAATAGCAGCATTAACAAGAGTTTGGAAGAGGTTGATTCCAACCCTTGTAAATAACTTTGAGGGGTTCAACAATTTCATGGAGGAAGTAACTGCAGATGTGGTGAAAATAGCAAGGGAACTAGGATTAGAGCCTGAAGATGTGACTGAATTGCTGCAATCTCATGATATAACTTGAACAGATGAGGAGTTGCTTCTTGTGGATAAGCAAAGAAACTGGTTTCTGGAGATGAAATCTATACCTGGTGAAGATGCTTGTGAACACTGTTGAAATAATAAAGGATTTCGAATATTATATAAGCTTAGTTGATAAAGCAATGTCAGGGTTTGAGAAGGCTGACTCCAATTTTGAAAGAAGTTCTATGGTGCGTAAAATGCTATCAAAAGCATCACATGCTTCACAGAAATCTTTCATGAAAGGAAGAGTCAATTGATGTGTCAAACTTCACTGTTGTCTTCCTTTAAAAAATTGTCTCAGCTACCCCAACCTTCCTCAGCCACTACCTTGATCAGTAAGCAGCCATCAACATTGAGGCAAGACCCTCCACCAGCAAAAAGATTATGACTCGCTGAGGCTGAGATGAGCATTGGCATTTTTTAGCACTAAAGGATTTTGAAATTAAGATATGTACATTATTTTTTAGACATAATGCTATTGCACATTTAATAGACTATAGTATACTGTAAACATAACTTTTACAGGCACTGGAAAACCAAGATTCATGCCACTTTCTTTATTGCAATATTAGCTTTACTGTAGTGGTCTGGAATCAAACCTGCAATATCTCCAAGGTACACCTGTACCAAAATTCTCTTTGTGTTTGAGATGGGGTCTCACCATGTTGCCCAGGCTGGTCTTGAACTCCTTGGCTCAAGCGATCCTCCTACTTCAGCCTCTTGAGTAGCTGACTATAGGTGTGTACCACTGCAGCCAGCTCTGTATCAAAATTCTTAACATTTTTATATCATTTAACCCAGTGACAATTTTAGAGATTTATCCCAAGAAAACATGTACAAAAAGATATATTTACAAGTATGCTTGCAGCCGAATTATCTATTTGGAGAAAAACTGGAAATGACTTTAAAATTAGTGATCATAGGGGATTGGTTACATTAAATTATGAGATACCCATACAATGCAAGGTTTTAAGACAATAGTACTGTAAAAGAAAGCATTACAGTAGACCAATAAAATAGGTTCATTTAAAATATAGTTGAAATAAAAATAGCATATCCTCAAAACTAAGGTACACCTAAACTCTAGGGTAGTGTTGGTCTTTGGAATCAGGCTGTGAAAGACTGAAAGACTGAATTCCAGGTCCACCACTTATAAACTGTGGCACCCTCAGCAAATTACTTAAATGGTGGAAAAGACTCAGTATTGTAAAAATGTCAACTCTTCCAAATTGATTTATACAATCTCAACTGAAATCCTAGAAAGTTTTTTTGTGCATATGAAAATTGGCAAGCTGGTTTAAAAATATGTATAGAAATGCAAAGGACAAGGATAGCCAAGAGAATCTTGATGAAAAGAGTAAAGCTGGAGGATTTATAGTACCATATACCAAGATCCATTATGAAGTTCTAATAATCAAGACTGTTATTGGAGCAAGGATGGGCAAATAGGTCAATGAACAGTATAAAGAGCCTCAAGAAACAGTTCCATACATACATGATCACCTGATTTATGAAGAAGTGAGTCATACTGCTGTGCAGTATGGAAAGAACAGTCTTTAATAAATGGTCCTGGTTCTGTTGGATACCCACATGGAAAAAGTGATTCTTGATCTCCTACTTCCCAACAGTCACATAGATCAAATCCAGATGTACTGCAGATCTAAATGTGAAAGATAAAAATGAGCATTTTGGAAGAAAACAAAGGAGAACATATTCATGACCTTGGAATTGGCAAAGATTTCTTTTTAAAAAAATGTTCATCTTAAATGGAAAACATAATAAGTTGGGAAATACTAAAATTAAGACCATCTATTCATCCAAAGACACCATTAAGGGAGTGAAAAGGGAGCCTGAAGAGCAGGAAAATCCATTTGCCATATATCTCTTCAAAATATTTGAATCCAGAATACATATGTATATATTAAAGCACATACAAATTAATGAGAAAAAGGCAGACGACCCAATAAAAAATGGGGCAGAAGACCTCAACAGACACTCCACAATAAAAGGATACCCAAGTGGCCAATAAACATATTACAATGCGCTCAACTTTATCCATTAGCAAAATCCAATTTAAAACCACAGTGCAATACCTCTATAAACACACTAGGGTAGCTGAAATGAAAAAGATAGAAAATACCAAATGTTGGTAAGAAAGTGGAGCAACCAGAGCGTTCACACACAGCTGGTGGGAGTGTAAACTGGAACAACTTCTTTAGAAAAAAATTACTAGCAGTTCATCTACTATGACCTAGCCATTATACCTTTTATATACTCAATAGAAATTTGTACATACATTCATCAGAAGACATATATAAGAATGGTCATAGCAGCGCTATCTCCAGTAACACATGTTAGAAATGACCCACAGCCTGGGCAACAAACAGATACTGACTCTACAAAAAAAATGAAAAACTAGCCGAGTGTGGTGTTGCATGCCTATCACCTTCTCAGAAAGCTGAAGTGGGAGGATGGCTTGAGCCCAGAAGGTCAAGGCTTCAGTGAGCCATGATCACACCATAGCACTACCTGAAACAAACAAAAAGAAACTACTCAGATACTATGGTCTGAATGTTGGTGTTTCATGCCCCCACCCCCTGGCTAAATTCATATGCTGAAACTGAATCCCCAACGTGTCTGTATTAAGAGTTGGGGCCTCTTAGGAAGTTATTAAGTCATGAGGGCTTCTTTCTTCTGAATGGGATTAGTGTCCTTACAAAAGAAATTGAAAAGTGTGTATTTGCCCCTTCCACCATGTGAAGACAGAGCAACAAGGGCCCATCTTTGAGGCAGAGAACAAGTCCTCATCTTGCCTCATCAAGCTCTCATCGCCAAATGCTGCTGGCACCTCAGGCTTGGACTTCCCAGCCTCCAGAACCGTAAGCAATCAATTTCTGAAGTTTATTAATTACCTAGTCTACAGTATTTTGTTATAGTAGCTAAAATGGACTAACACACCAGATGTCTACCAATAGTAGAATAAATTGACGTATATTCACAAATTCACTATTAGATTTTTGTTATTGGGAAAAGGGCTGAGAGGGAAAGTGAGTATTGAAATATTCATTAATACTAGTGCCGACTTATGTCTAGAAAATGATGCTTCTAGTCCTGTCCAATGGGAAATGTGTATAAGGCAAAGGGTGTGTAAACAGCTACTAGCATCATTCTTCTCTGACATATGTATTAACTTATTTGCTCCAAGATATATTTTATAACTGCTAAGGCTAGTTTGACATAACCAAGTGACAGAGCTGACAAATTTGAATAGAAGTGTTAAGATAATTTTAAAACCAAATCTGAGGCCAGGCACAGTGACTCACGCCTGTAATCCCTGTACTTTGGGAGGCCAAGGCAGGTGGATCACGAGGTCAGGAGTTCAAGACCAGCCTGGCCAACATGGTAAAATCCACCCTGTCTCTACTAAAAATACAAAAAAAAAAAAATTAGCTGGGCATGGTGGCAGACGCCTGTAATCCCAGCTACTCGGGAGGCTGAGGCAGGAGAATGGCTTGAATCCGGGAGACAGAGGTTGCAGTGAGCCAAGATCACACTACTGCCCTCCAGCCTGGGTGACAGAGTGAGACTCCGTCTCACAAAAAAAAACCACAATAACAACAACAACAAAAATCTGAATATTTCAATGACACAGTTTTACACGTAAAAAAGTTGCCATAAAAAATGATGACATAGGCTGGGTGCAGTGGCTCATGCCTGTAATCCCAGCATTCTGTGAGGCTGAGGCAGATGGATCACCTGAGGTCAGGAGTTCAAGACCAGCCTGGCCAACATGGTGAAACCCTGTCTCTACTAAAAATAAAAAAAAATAAAATAAATAAAAATTAGCTGGGCATGGTGACGTATGTCTATAATTCTAGCTACTTGGGAGGCTGAGGCAGAAGAATCGCTTGAACCTGGGAGGTGGAGGTTGTGGTGAGCTGAGATCACACCACTGCACTCAAGCCTGCGTGACAGAGAAAGACTCCATCTCAAAAAAAAAAATTACAGATGACTATTTAGTGACATATAGCTTACATATAATATTAAAATTCTAAAGCAAGATAAGAGATAGGAATAATTATAATTTTATTTTAAAAGTGTATATATGTGTGTAGATGTATATTTAATAAATGACTGCAAAGCTATACATCAAAATGTAGTAGTAGTAATCAATGTGAATAGAATTATTTTTATTGTCTTCTTTGTGTTCCATATTTTATAAATTTTCAGTGAAAGAAAAATTTTTTTCTTTTTAAAATTTAAGTTATGTTTTTATGTTTAGAAACAATCACAGACTTATAGAAAAGTTGCAAGTAGAGTATAAGGAAGTTTATTTTTCTGAAGGAAGGTTCCATTTCAGAGGAAAACTGTTGCCCTGATTTCCCATCCCTCCTGAATACTTGAGGGTGTCTTTCCTACAAACAAGGACATTCTACTACATAACCACAAGACAACTCTCAGCAACAAGAGATTTACCATCGATAACTTTACTGTCAACTGATCCTCAGATCTCATTCACGTTTTGCCAACTGTTTCAATAATGTCCTTTATAGAAAAAGGCTCCAGTTTTGAACCAAGCACTGCATATCGCTGTCACGTCTCCTTAGTCCCCTTCAGCCCAGAATTGCTACTCAGTCTTTGACTTTCAGGATCTTGACACTTTTGAAGATTACATGCCAGTTATTTTGTAGCATGTCCTTCAGTTTTGGTTTGTCTGATGTTTCTTCATGATTAGGCCCAGAATATGCATCTGGCAGGAATATCACAGAAGTGATGTGCTCTTCTCATTGCATTACCTGATTTCCCTTTGTCCATTACTGATGCTATTGACTTTGATCGCTTAATTAAGGTAGTGCCTGTCAGGTTTCTCCACTATAAAGGTACCTTTCTTCCTACTTGTATTTTGTGGAGAGGTACTTTGAAAGTGATAAAGTTTAATTTCTCGTTAAATATGTAAGTTTTTGTTTGTTCATATCTGCATAGATTTGTTTTATTCAATGGTGATACAGTTTGGTTCTGTGTCCCTACCCAAATCTCATGTCAAATTGTAATCCCCAGTGCTGGAGGAGGGGTCTGGTGGGAGGTGATTGAATCATCAGGTGGACTTCTCCCTTGCTGTTCTGTGATAGTGGGTGAGTTCTCATGAGATCTGTTTGTTTAAAACTGTGTAGCACCTCCCCGTTCATTCTTTCTTCCTCCTTCTCCAGCCATGAGGATATTTCTGCCTTCCCTTCACCTTCTGCCATGATTGTAAGTTACCTGAGGCTGCCCCAGCCATGTTTTCTGTACAGCATGTGGAACTGTGAGTCAATTAAACCTCTCTTCTTTATAAATTACCCACTCTCAAGTAGGTCTTTATAGCAATGCAAGAAGGGACCAAAACAAATGGGTTACAATCTGTTACTATATTTATTTATTTTGAAGCTCAAATTATCCCAAATTTAGCCAGTGGAAACCCCTTCAAGCTGGCTTCTGTGCCCTATGTCTTTAAACAACAATACCCATTCTTAGCTCACAGTTCTGCAGGTTGGAAGTCTGGCATGGCATGACTTTGCTCAGAGTTTGATAAAGCTGAAATCAGCATATCACCAGCCTGAGTTATTTTCCAGAACCTTAAGGGAAAACCCATTTGCCAGCTCATTCTTATTGTCAGTCAAATTCAGTTACTTGCAGCTATTGGACTGAAGGTCCCCCCACTTCCTTGCTCACCATCAGTCAGGGACAGTTGTCAGTGACTACAGTTGTTTGCATTCCTCATGTGGCCCTCTCTATCTTCAAAGCCAGCCATGGATAATCACCCTCATGCCAATTCCTTCTCATGGTTTGGATCTCTAATTTTCTCTAGACCTAAATTTAAAGGGCTCTTGTGACAAGATCAGGCTTACTTGGATAATCTCCCCTATTCTGAGATCAACTATCAGGAACCTTAATTACATCTCTAAATCTCTTGCCATATAATGTAACATAGTCATGGCAGAGATAGCTCAACAAGTTCATGCTACTGGGAATTACACAGAACATATATGCTAGAGGGCAGGAAATCTTGGGGCCCTCCTAGAATTATACTACACATACAAAGTACTAAAACAGTACGTAGCACATAGTAAGCACTATACATGTATTAACTGATATTATTATGTATAATTGAACAAATTCACAGACATCTTTAAAAAAGCAATGCCAAGGGCATAGCAAAATAACATTCCAATTAACCATTAAGGAAATAGACATTGGTAGAAACTTCTGGCAATTTGTTAAAATGTATATAGAAATCCAAGTACTTCCATTTCTAGGAATTCATCCTAATGATATAATCAAAGGTATACACAAAGATATATAAAAGAAGATATTAATTATAATTAAGCTTCTGTGGCATGTCATGATAGGTCTTAGCCTCCTGACACTGCTGTAGGTCAAACAAGGCTTCTGGCAACTTCTTGGGGAGCCCCAGCCTTCTTCCTGGAATGTGAGGTGGCTTTTGGCAAGATAGGGCCTCTTGAAAAGCAAGAGAGCATACCCTGTTACCATCTGTCTATGGTAACATCTAGGTCATGCCTATCTGCCAAAACAAGGGCATCCTGGGAAGGAAGCCTCTGCACTGTCTCCCTGGTTTTCTGTGCTACTGCCTCATCCAAGCCCTAACAAATAGTGGGGTCTGGCCTCTCACTCCTAATGTGTTGTCCCCTTTACACTAAATTGGTTATATTATGCCCAAGATTCTAGAGTATGGCTTTTGCTTGGTTTTAGCAACAATATGAAGCATCCTAGAGAACAAAGTATGTATCAGCGGTTGGGGGGCAGTGCGGGGAGTTGATGCAGAAGGTAATTACCAAGAGAGCACCTGTTGCATACATTATAACACTATAAAATAGCTGCTATTAGTCTCATTTTTCAGGTGAAAAAACTGAGGCTCAAAGAGGTTAAACAACTTGTTCAAGGATGCACATTTAGAAAATGGAGAAACCATGTTTTGAAACAACTGGTTTCACCCTTTTTACCATACCAGTGATTGCTATTAATTTCTGAGATTGTGTATTTATTTTAAAAGCTCACCAAGAAATGTTCATAATTAGTCTACTTTAACACCTACTGCAGTAAGCATTTCTGCTTCCCGGTACATGAAGGCAAATTAACCATATACAATGTGGTTGCAATGCAGATTAATTTTTCTCCTACACATTTTTTTCAGCTGTAGTCTCCCACAACTTAAATTTCAAATTAACAGATGTACCACAAGTTCAGCTTGAATAATTTTTTTCCCATCATCTCAACCCAAAGAGAGATGCTCCAAACTCCATGATCTTTGGAACTATCATCTTTCCATAAATTCAACAACCAAGCTAGTTTTGTCTACCTCATACTATTCTCTGACACAATTCTTGATTTTTAAAAAAATCAATACCTAGGGCCCCTGAAGTCACCAAATTGCCCATTTCTCCTTCAGGGATTTTCCCCTCATCCTTCCCATACTCCTTCCCACATATTCTACCTCCCCTCATATGCACAGAACAATTCAATCTGCATTCACCTTCATTCACCTTTCATTACCACTCATTTCTAGCTCCAACAATCTGCCCTATTCTTGTTCTAGTTTTTGCCAGTGAATCTCTGGCAAGCAATTCAAACTCATGGTTACATTCCAGCCACATAACAAGTGTCTTTGCAGGGACAAAAATGGGACTATAAAAAATACATATATGGTTGTGGAGTTCTGTGTTCTTTTGAAACCTTTCTTTGAATGTTTCCTTTCTTTCTGTCACAACATAATTTTCCAGCCTCTTCTGGGTCTTTGCTCGTCACAGTCTAGATCAAATATTTTTCCAAGGAGCTCTGGTTCCTTGGAGAATGGCATTAGAAGGCAAGCTTTGGGCACTAGATGTGTTCATGGCCACTGAGATGTCACTACTTCTAGGCTCACCCAGTAGGCAAAGCTAGAAAACACAGGCCCACACATTTATATCATTATCTATATCTATATCTATATCTATATCTATGAATATACACTGATATCTCCAACTGCAATACAACAGTGTAGGGTTCATTATAGTTTTCTCCTCTCCTATATTTGTAACTTCTTTCTCCAACAGTGAGAAGTCCAGCTGCCGTTAACTTTTTATCTTTTATTTGATCAACTCCCTATATAAAATCTCATCCCTCATCTATAATACCACCTCTCTTCTACACAGATGCCTCCCTTATCCCATTTGGGTCCCAACAGCCCACAGTCAGTGCTCCCCTGCCTTCACTCACATGAGCTACAATATTCCATGGCAGATTCTACCCTTCCAAATATACTTCTTCCTCACTCTGACTCCCCATTCTGCCCCCCACCCCATTGCGTGAGCCTGCTTTCCACTCCAGTTGAGTTTCAAAACCCCATGTCAGGCTGTCCCTCCATGATGATGTTCTTCTCACTCTGCTTGGGCACTGACACAGTGCACTAGTCACCCATTCATGGTACCTCTTCCACCCCCACCTTGCTTGTGCTCTGACACCCATATCAGGCCGCCCTTACACATAAATGTGGTCCTTACCCGCATTGGTCTCTGACCCAGTGAAGGTCAGCCTTCCTAAACAAATGCCCTCCTTTCCCCTTTTTGGGCTCCAACACCATAGTTTGGGCCACTGCAGTTCCCTCCCAGTTCCAGTGTAGAGACCAGCACTGTTCTGCTCCTTATAAGGATTTAGGACTGAAAGTTCAGGAAGGGACAAAGAAGAGAAGGAAACTGGGTAGAGGAAACATTGTTTTCTTCCTATATGGATAATGCACATCAACAGAAATTCTCTAATTTGTTGCTATTATGGCTTAACAGTTTTCTATTGGTAACTCTAAAAATGTTTGATACACAAATTAATTCCTTCTATAAGTAGTCATACCCTTAGAAAAGAAGCCAGTCAGTATTTTCTGAAGTCTTGTTATTCCAAGAAATTGAAACCCATATTCATCAAATTAATGAAATCAGTTACTTTTTAAGTGCTCATAATTATGGGTAACCAATGACAAGGGCAGGGAACAGTACCCATTATCCCCACCAGGGAGGAAAGGGTCACAGTACTCAAGAGCATGAACTCTGGAGCTAGAGTGTGGGATTCCAAACCCAGCTCTAACACCCTTGGCAAGTTCCTTAGCTTCTTTGTGTTTATGTTTTTCTATCTTTATTTTTATTTTATCTATTTATTTATTTTGAGACGGAGCTTCACTCTTGTCACCCAGGCTGGAGTGCAATGGTGCAATCTTGGCTCACTGCAACCTCCACCTCCTGAGTTCAAGCGATTCTCCTGCCCCAGCCTCCCAAGTAGCTGGGACTACTGGTGCCCGCCACAATGCTCGGATAATTTTTGTATTTTTAGTAGAGACAGGGTTTCACCATGTTGGCCAGGCTGGGCTCGAACTCCTGACCTCAGGTGATCGACCTGCCTGGGCTTCCCAAAGTGCTGGGATTACAGGTGTGAGCCACCACACTGGCCTCTTTCTATGTTTAAAATGAAGAAAATAGTAATACTTTCTAGAGTTGTGAGGATTATAGCAGATAATACATAAAAACTTCTTAGAAGACATCTGGTGTCAAAAATATCATCTGAAAATATTAGTTATTAATGTTGTTACAAAGGTAGTTGCAGATGCCTGAAAACATGTCCAGAGATTCTGTGATTCTTAGAGCCTGATTTGAGAAACAATATATTAAAATGTAGACACTGTCACAAAGGTAACTCTTGGCACTAATGTCATAAATCCACGGACACAAAAATAGGCATCAATATTGTATGGATGGATTTAAACTACACATACTCTTCCTTAAAAATTACGTTTGAAATAACACAAAGTATTTAAATTCTCATAGAGAACTTAAAAATCTCACAGCATATGTTGGTGGTCCCCAATATGAGAAACACGTTTGTATAACATAATATATTTTTCATTCTCTCTACGACTTGAGGAAATATATAAAAAGACCAAATAGTCCTTCAATGAATTTGGTTTTAACCAGGACTCCTTTCAACTATTTTAAATAAACAAAACACAAAACAAGAATGAAAAAGAAACAAAACAAAATCAAATGAAGTTTATGTATGACAGAATTCATGCTAATTTACTGCAAAACATGACAAAACTGTGATAAAGTTAATTGGGCTGATCCCAGATCAATTTCAATTCTCAGTTCACATTCTCTTAAAAGAAGGGCCAGATAATTATTCTTTCAAAAGCACTTATCCATGTCGTCACAAACTAATTAAAGTAAAACTTCATCTTTCTTCATTTTAAAATCATTTCACCATAGAGCTAAGTGAAAAATGCTCTGTAGGACCACAACATTACCTATTTATTTGTAAAGATGTCTTCTTTGACTAGAATTCATCCTGCTCTGACTTTACTTGTAATTATTTTCTCATGATTCAAAATGTATTTCCAAGACAACTTTTGCACATTTAAAAAATTCAGCACAAAAGTTTAAGTGGAGTAGTGCAGATGAAATGTCCTGCTCTAAATTAGGCTTACACTTCCTTTGGTCATTTTAAAATGCTATTGTCAAATCTGACTCAGGACAGGCTTTGCACTGGCTGCTGTAGGAGTAGAAGCCTTAATTGCCTTTCCAGAAACAGAAAAGAAAGATTATATTGGTAATTCCCATGCTTCAATATGTATGTACCTTTTTACTGATCAAGGTCATTTCTTAGCACTTGTATCAGAGAAAATTCTAGTCTAATGACTGAAGGTGTCCCACTTTACAAAAGAAGTTATTTTAAGAACTTCTACCCTATATGCTGCTTAGGACTACAGTAGATATAAAATAACTGCCTTTTGTCCTTTAGTGAAAACCATTTGAAAGTACAAGGAAGACTTAAAACAGCTATGGTTTATATAATCTTGAAACTTACATATTATATGGCTCAATTCCTCCCAGGCAAAAAGCTGGAAGGGGATTCTCTGAGAAACCAGTCTTCAGTCAAGACAAAGGGATAGAAGGACCAAACGACATACCAAGACACAAAGAACAGGAAAGCTAAAGGCCAAATAGGCCAGGAAGAGAGTTAAGAAGTGAGAAAGACTGGGCCAAGAGTCCAAGTTTGGAATTAAGGAAATGATGCTGAGAAAGAACAGATGGGAATAAAAGTGGGAAAGTCAAAAAAGAGTGGTGGGGCTGCAAATTAACTGTTGCAGCAGAAATTTCTGAAACTCGTTTTAAATAGCCAAACTCTTATAAACAAAATTCCTTCTCCAAAATTTTAAACTTGAGGCCAAAGAAAGCCTGAAGTCAGTCTTTACCCAGTGACTAGAGATCTAAGACATACCAAAGCTTAACAGCTGTCATAAGCTATGTTTCCCACTGAAAAAACAGGTCTGCAGTGAGCATGAAGCCAACATGCTGAGAGATGAAGGTGATGTTTATTCTGAGACCAGGCTGCATTCTAGCCTTTCCTTGGTGTCTTTTGCGCTACCTTTTTCGGCATTTCTAGCCAAGAAGTCTTTTTTTTCTTAAGGTAGATTGCATTGTAACTAAGAATCCTGACAAATAACACTCCAGCAGTGTAAAGGTTTGACAGAAAGCAATTTGCTATTGGCAGAACCACTCAGCATCTCCACAGAGCACCAAGGTTCCCCAGGTCAGAGACTGAAAACCACTGCCCTATACAATAGCTGTTATTTGAGACTTATCTTTATGGGCAGGCAAAGGTGTAATACATGGCTGGTGCCAGGGGTGAACATACACATACTTCATTCATTCATTTGACAAAATATTTGTTGTATTCTTATTACATTCTAGACACTCTACTATGCATGGAGGCTACAACAGTGAGTGAAAGGATATGTTTCCTGCTTTCATGGTGCTTACTGTCTAGTGGCCTCTTGTGATGATGAACCGTGAATTACAGAAGGGCAAGCTCCATTTACTATTGATGGCTGCAACTCTTTCCCAATAATGTAATAAAAAATATTTGTGCTCAAAATGGATATTCTATATTTATCATGAACATTTAATTAAAAGGTCAATATTACTTGTGAATTGCCTATATTACTACTCCTAAACCATACAAGCTAAGCTTATAACTATCATAAAATTTTAGAGAACATTTAACCAAGATGACACAGATGAATTAAACATTTGCTACCCAAGTAATGAGACTTTATACTACTAGTTGCTGAAATTGTTTTGCTCTATTAAAATATTAGAAAAATGATCTTTCCTTATTTCTGAAAACACAAGTATATTGCTAGTCCATATTGCTTGCCTCAGCACTTATTATTATTTAAGAATAAAAATAATTAACAGATCCCTCTATTAGGAACCCACAACATCCAAGGATAAGTAATTCTTAAATAGTAAAACAATTGAGGCCTAAGGTGAAATTTTTGTTGCAATATCATGACATGAATTAGATTCTTTTCACTTATACTGAAGGATGAGGCATGGGCTTGCAGAATTGTGTAAGTAAAGTTGTAATCATTTATCAGAAAATAGCTTTGGGACTGTGATTACACAGACATAAGCAAAATCACTCAGTAATTCAGGTGAGCATATCAGGCAATAAAGGTTCCTTGGTAACAGGGGCACAAGTGGTGGTGTGAGGGGATGAGACCTGGAGGAGGATCTGAAAAAGAGGAGGCAGTTTTAGGGTGAAATCAAAAGGAGAACAGTCCCAGATTCTCCCCAACTGGCAGTATCTCCCTTTCCCCATGAGACAGAAAGTGATGACTTCACCAGATAAATTCACGCTGCAGAAGGGTCATAATTTCATTGCATACTCAGACATAAATCCACTTCCTGCATCTGAGTCATCAGGTTCTTTCATCTTGGTTTCTCACCTCTAGTTTGAGATTATAACACTCCCCATCCTATATTCATTCTTCTATTGATTTATTCACTCATTCAATATTTACTGAGCATATAATATGGTCCAGTCATTGTGCTAGGCGCTTGAGCTACAAAGATGAAAACAATACAGTCTCTATTCTGCAACAGCTCTGGGCATTCATCTCTAAATTCATAGTAGTGGTCTGTAACTTTTTTATTACATATGCCTACTAATGCACTTTTCAGCATGTTCTGTCAATAATGAATATTTATTACAGGTTGAGCATCCCAAATCCCAAAATCCAAAATGCTCCAAAATTTGAAACTTTTGAGCACCAATATGATATTCAAAAAAATGTCCACTGGAGGAGTATTTCAGATTTTAGATTTTTGGATTTGAGATGTTCAACTGGTAAGCATAATGCAAACATTCCAAAATCCCAAATCCAGAACACTTCTGGTCCCAAGCATTTTGGATAAAGGATACTAAACCTATATTTGTAAACTATTACAATTATCATAAATTATTTGCATTACTATATACTATATAAATTATTTGTATTACTATATTACTTTCATCTACTCTCTCAGGGCAAAATAAACCCTTAAGATAATGTTACTAGACAGCAATAGTGAAACACAGATATAAATCTATATTTTAAATTATCTGAGTCATTTTAAATCTTCTATAAGATGTTACTGGATTGCTACTGTTGTTGTTACTGTGATGGGCCTGATGTCAGAGACATTGCATACGACTGCACACAACCACATGCCATGCTATTGCTGACAGTGTTTGTAGCAGTATAGAGGAGTCAGCTCTGGCTTTTTCCTGTCATTTGTGTGCTTACATTACAAGTATTATCTACAAGTCAGGGTGTTTCTGTAGGAATATATTTAAGATACTTGTCCATCTTGTGAAGGTAGTTTTAGTTTAAAAAAAAAAGTTAACATAATCTGTAAATCCTCTTAAAACCAGATAAAAATAACTATAACATTTCATAATATGCTGAATATAAGCAAATGTGTGAGAGCAAACCTGGAATAATAGGGGAACTGAGTGAAGGTGCCAGGATGGATGTATACATGAAACATTAGAAAAGCTTACCATATTGCCTTAGATTTCAAATCAATAAAAATAGGTCGAATGCTGCCTGGATCATCTTGTACTCTACATGAAGGAACTCTGGTCTGTGGAGTGAGGCAGAGATCATGATATCGTAGCTATGCTACTGGAGCACAAAAGGCAGATAGCCTAATTTTGCTTAGGATGGAGGGCCAAGGTGGAGAAAGATAGGACAGGTGATGTATAAGGTGAGTCTTTAATAGCAGGGGGCTTTCATCAATTATAGGGAAAGGGAAGGCCTTAGAAAACACAGATATTTGAGTGATGGGGCCACAAGGGTGGGATATGTTTGAAGTAGTACAAGCAAGCAATTCTGTGTAGCTACAGGTTAGGGGGCCAAGTGGGCAGACTCAGATACAGACAGAGAAAAAAACTGATAAAAAGAGGATTGACAGAAATCTGCTGATGCCAAGAACACCGATGGCTTCAATTTTGAAAAGGGCAGCCAAAATTAAATAGATGAGCTGACAAGAGAGCAGATCACAGAGGTGGATGGATTTTTAAAGAGAAATCATTGAGGAACATGTCATATTAAAAGACATTGCTATAGATAACCTTTCTTGGGAACTAAATAAATGGGTCTTTTCTCCAACAGTATCACAAAAAATAGAACAGTTTCACCCATAAAAGCCTTTCCTTATACCAGATATCTGTGGGATAGACAAATGGAATAATTATATAACAAATTTGATTTTAAAGGATGTGATTGTCATTTTGCCTTTAATGACCAAAGAGCCTTCCGAGTTCCTAGATCCTAATATTCTTCTTTGTAGATCTCTTACTCTTCAATACCAGTAAGGGACTCTGAGGACTGACCAAAGAGGTATGTTTAAGGTTCAAATGGATAAGTCATTATCACCTGACTCATTCCACTTACAACCACTGTCCATCAGTTTTGAGTTTATTTACAGAGGGTAAAGCTTAGTTATTATGCACTAATATATGCAAAACATTTGCATATATTCTTCTACTCCTAGAAAATTCAGAAATTGCAGAGAGACAGTGTATTATAGTAAGGCAAAGCAATAATTTCCATTGACAAATAAATAGGGAAATAAGTTGAGGATCCCAAGCTGCATCTGAACCAAAATGAAAGAATAAAATTTTTCATAGCTGATATCTAAAATGAACAAAAAGGGAAAGAAAATAGAACTATTCTGAGACTTCTAAAAACTTGGGAGGTAGGATTCAGGTTACAAGAAGGCATGAGCAAACTCTAGGAAGGCTGGCACAGTAAACATTTAGGGCTGTTTTGGGCAAAGCTGTCTAATAAATAACAGTCAGTACTAAGGTTTAACAGATGTCAGGGAATTCTGAGTACTGAATCACCCTGAATTCTTCCAAATTCTCATTCTCACTTCCAGAAGGAAAAAAAAAAACTGTGGAGAAACCCCACATTCCTTGGGGCTTCAGAAGTAGGGAGAAGGAAAGACCAACTAAAACTTGGAGAGTCGGCCCCTCCTCTGTTCCCTTTCATGAGCCTCATACCCTCAATAGGGCCTCTCTCCTTGAGGTAATCACAGATGCTAACTCACAGGCAGTAAAACTTGCCCACCTCATTCTGACTACACCCTGACAACTAAGAAATTTTTCATTCACCCTCCTCCAACGCCAAAACTCTATTGTTTGTTCTCCTTCTAAAATGAGTTATCTTATTATAAAAAATTCAAACAATACATTGAAAGTCCATAATCCTATCCCTTAGAGAGAGCTATTTTGTGATTATTTCTTCAGCTTTGTTTTCTCTTTAATTATTGACAGAGTCTGTTCCTTAATCAGGAAAAAAGAACATTAATTTTCTAAAGATAATAGTTTTATTTTAGAAACATAAAAAATATTCAAAATCTAATTCACAGCCAAAAAAAATGCTACATTTCTGTACCATAAATATAATAGGATAAAAAACACCAGCCAATAATATGGTTTTGTCTAGTTGAGGGGACAGATCTAGGCAAAAGGTAACATAATTAACAAACTTCTGTGCCCACTCTTCTGCTTCTGAAGCAGCCAGAAACCTGCCCGTGGTACACAGGGCCTATCCCAACTTCCACAGCCCAGTCACCCCATCTAATCAATGACACATATTTCTGAAGAGCCACTTCCTCCTCCCTGCTGTCCAGGGAAATTCCTATTATCTCAGCTAGTTGTTTGAAGGATATAATCTGATTAACTTCATGTTAACAAGTGAATGAAGGAAAGACTGCTTGAGCAGGCACCTACACAGGAGTATGCTTGTTAAAACTAAAGAATCTGTAAAGGCTCAAATTTCAGCCTGAGTGATAATGTGAAAGGGAATAATTTCTGGTAGTGTACAAAGATAATTTTGATTAGAGGAATCTCCTTGTTGAAACTGAAAGTCATGCTGAACAACATGGACAGCCTTTCCCTGCCTATGTGAGATCCAGCATAATGCCAACTTCACAGCAATATGTCACTGTAAAGGCAGCAGAGCTGAGCAGGAAGACAAAGGGCTCTGGAATCATGCACATCTGGATTCACACCCCACACTGCCCCTTGCTAGAGCTATACATTTTTGGCAAGTTGCTGCTATTATTTTTTGACCTCTCAAATATCTATCCTCACATGTCTAACAGGAATGTTATGGGAATTAAATAAAATAGCTATACAAAGTGCTTGGCACATAGTAGGGGCTTAAGAATACAATCATTATTACTTATGTGATTTCTTTCAGTCTTTATACAACATTTAATAAACTGGGATTTCCCCAGAGTCTTCCGTAAAGCAATTGTTGATGGAATGGCTAAGGACAGTCCAACTACTGGCCAATACGGAAGATTATATCTCTTATTGTATTGTGTCATCACTCATTGACATGGTTTGAATGTTCCAAAATTTTTCCCTGAGAGAGGTAACACATCAGGCCCAACTTGGTCCCCAGACATAATTATTTTAACCCTCACAGTGTTTTGTTTAGCTTTTCATTTGCATCTAATGCCAATATTTAATAATTGAGAAATATTATATAAAATCCATGTTTTCATCATCTTTTTAAAATTTCTGCACTAAAAAGTTTATTTCTCTATGAGAACAACTGCTGGATTTAGTAGTAGCTGTCATTTTTTTAGATAGGACATATGTTCTCCAACAACCCCAGTCCCCACCATGCCTCATAGCACCCCAACACTGAGGAAGAATGTCAGTTGCCATTTATCATCTAGCTTGCACTGCTGTCTTCCTAATTCTGGGCCCTGTCCACCAACTTTCACTTCTGAACTGGCTCCTATAGGCATTTGAGTCAGTGGCCTCTGCCCCAAGAGCCAATTAATGTATTCCAGAATGTGGAACAGTGTACTCAGGTTCTGAAATTAAACCTGGCTTTGAATACCGATTCTCCATGTTACTACTCAGGCAATTTGCTTCACCTGCAGAGCCTCAGCATCTTCAACTCTACAAGAGAAATAGTGACAGACTCACCTCACAGGGTCATTGGAAGGTTTAAATCATATAATGCATGTTCAGAAGTTTTCATCATACTTTGTTGTAAAAAGGGGCAAAAATGTTAACTACTACTAAGACAATGATGATGACTACTACTACTACTATTATTATTATTGCTGCTGCTGCTATTACCACAATTACTTCTAGTAGCACTACCAAAATTACTACTACTCTTAGGTGGGAAGGTTAAAAACACTTATTGGCTTTCCTCAATCTTATTTCTGCTTTCTCAAGCTAGAACTTGAAATTCATTTGGAAACTCTTATGGAATATGGAGTCTTTCAAAAGTGGGAAAGAGCAGTTTCTATCTGCTGCTGACCTTGAGAACAGGGATGTACGGTGCAAAATGAAGTGAGAGCACTCCCACTCTCCAGGCAGCAAGACCACTAGCAAGCCAGACCCACACTTAAGCTCAGGTGAAGAAGGCAAGAATCTGTCTCAAAATCTCAGTAAGAAATATTTTTCAGATAAACCAACCCAGGAGACAGAACTATGGCATGGGGAGGATAAGACCTCTAAAGATTTGAAGCTAGACAAGGCAGGCCAACATTCAAATTCAGGAAATACAGAGAACACTACAAAGATAATCCTCGAGAAGAGTAACCCCAAGACACCTAATTTTCAGATTCACCAAGGTGGAAATGAAGGAAAAAATGTTAAGGGCAGCCAGAGAGAAACGTCGGGTTACCCACAAAGGGAAGCCTATCAGACTAACAGCGGATCTCTCTGCAGAAACCCTACAAGCCAGAAGAGAGTGGGGGCCAATATTCAACATCCTTAAAGAAAAGAATTTTCAACCCAGAATTTCATATCCAGCCAAACTAAGTTTCATAAGTGAAGGAGAAATAAAATCCTTTATATACCAGCAAATGCTGAGAGATTTTTGTCACCACCAGACCTGCCTTACAAGTATTCCTGAAGGAAGCCATAAACATGGAAAGGAACAACCGGTACCAGCCACTGCAAAAACATGCCAAATTGTAAAGACCATAGACACTATGAAGAAACTGCATCAACTAATGGGTGAAATAACCAGCTAACATCATAATGACAGGATCAAATTCACACATAACAATATTAACCTTAAAAGTAAATGGGCTAGGTGCCCCCAATTAAGAGACACAGACTAGCAAATTGGATAAAGAGTCAAGACCCATCAGTGTGCTGTATTCAAGGGACCCATCTCACGTGCAAAGACACACATAGGCTCAAAATAAAGGGATGAAGGAAGATCCACCAAACAAACAAACAAGAAAAGCAAGGATTACAATCCTGGTCTCTGATAAAACAGATTTTAAACCAACAAAGATCAAAAGAGACAAAGAAGGCCATTACATAATAGTAAATGGAACAATTCAACAAGAAGAGCTAACTATCCTAAATATATATACACCCAATACAGGAGCACCCAGATTCATAAAGCAAGTTCTTAGAGACCTACAAAGAGACTTAGCCTCCCACACAATAATAATGGGAGACTTTAACACCCCACTCTCAATATTAGACAGATCAACAAGACAGAAAATTAACAAGGATATTCAGGACTTGAACTCAGCTCTGGACCAAGCAGACCTAATAGACATCTACAGAACTATTCATCCCAAATCAACAGAATATACATTCTTCTCAGCACCACATCACACTTATTCTAAAATTGACCACATAGTTGGAAGTAAAACACTCCTCAGCAAATGTAAAATAACAGAAATCACAACAAGCTGTCTCTTAGAATGCAGTGCGATCAAATTAGAACTCAGGATTAAGAAACTCACTCAAAACCACACAACTACATGGAAACTGAACAACCTGTTCCTGAATGACTACTGGGTAAATAACAAAATGAAGGCATAAATAAAGATGTTCTTTGAAACCAATGAGAACAAAGGCATAACACACTACCACCTCTGGGACACATTTAAAGCAGTGGGTAGAGGGATATTTATAGCACTAAAAGCCAAGAGAAAGCAGGAAAGATCTAAAATCGACACCATAACAACACAATTAAAAGAACAAGAGAAGCAAGAGCAAACACATTCAACAGCTAGTGGAAGACAAGAAATAACTAAGATCAGAGCAGAAGTGAAGGAGACAGAGACACAAAAAACCCTTCAAAAATATCAATGAATCCAGGAGCTGGTTTTTTGAAAAGATCAACAAAATAGATAGACCACTAGCAAGACTAATAAAGAAGAAAAAAGAGAATAATCAAATAGACACAACAAAAAATGATAAAGGGGATATCACCACCGATCCCACAGAAATACAAACTACCATCAGAGAATACTATAAACACCTCTACGCAAATAAACTAGAAAATCTAGAAGAAATGGATAAATTCCTGGACACATACACCCTCCTAAGACTAAACCTGGAAGAAGTTGAATCTCTGAATAGACCAATAACAGGTTCTGAAATTGAGGCAATAGTTAATAGCCTACCAACCAAAAAAGTCCAGGACCAGATGGATTCACAGCCGAATTCTACCAGCGGT
The DNA here is from genome assembly GCF_000001405.40 of Homo sapiens. NCBI lineage: Eukaryota > Metazoa > Chordata > Mammalia > Primates > Hominidae > Homo > Homo sapiens. Next base: position 158,399,196 of record NC_000002.12, read on the forward strand.
ACAAGGAGAGCTGGTACCATTCCTTCTGAAACTATTCCAATCGATAGAAAAAGAGGGAATCCTCCCTAACTCATTTTATGAGGCCAGCATCATCCTTATACAAAAGCCTGGCAGAGACACACACACAAAAAGAGAATATTAGGCCAATATACCTGATGAATATCAATGGGAAAAATCCTCAATAAAGTACTGGCAAACCAAATCCAGCAGTACATCAAAAAGCTTATCCACCACGATCAAGTCAGATTCATCCCTGGGATGCAAGGCTGGTTCAACATATGCAAATCAATAAATGTAATCCATCACATAAACAGAACCAACGACAAAAAACACATGATTATCTCAATAGATGCAGAAAAGGCATTCGACAAAATTCAACAGCTTTTCATGCTAAAAAACTCTCAATAAACTAGGTATTGATGGAATGTATCTCAAAATAAGAGCTATTTATGACAAACCCACAGCCAATATCATACTGAATGGGCAAAAACAGGAAGCATTCCCTCTGAAAACCAGCAGAAGACAAGGATGCCCTCTCTCTCCACTCCTATTCAACATAGTATTGGAAGTTCTGGCCAGGGCAATCAGGCAAGAGAATGAAATAAAGGGTATTCGATTAGGAAAAGAGGAAGTCAAATTGTCTCTGTTTGCAGATGACATGATTGTATATTTGCAAAACCCCATCATATCACAAGCATTCCTATACACAACATACAAGCAAAGAGCCAAATCATAAGTGAACTCCTATACACAATTACTACAAAGAGAATGAAATACCTAGGAATCCAACTTACAAGGGATGTGAAGGACCTCTTCAAGGAGAACTACAAACCACTGCTCAAGGAAATAAAAGAGGACACAAAGGACACAAACAAACGGAAGAACATTCCATGTCCATGGATAGGAAGAATCAATATCGTGAAAATGGCCATACCACCCAAGGTAACTTGTAGATGCAATGCCATCCCCATCAAGCTACCACTGACTTTCTTCACAGAATTCGAATAAACTACTTCAAAGTTCATATGAAACCAAAAAAGAGCCCACATAGCCAAGAAAATCCTAAGCAAAAAGAACGAAGCTGGAGGCATCATGCTACCTGACTTCAAACTATACTACAAGGCTACAGTAACCAAAACAGCATGGTACTGGTACCAAAACAGACATATAGACCAATGGAACAGAACAGAGGTCTCAGAAATAATGCCACACATCTACAACCATCTGATCTTTGACAAACCTGACAAAAACAAGAAAGGGAGAAAGGATCCCTATTTAATCAATGGTGCTGGGAAAACCGGCTAACCATATGCAGAAAGCTGAAACTGGATCCTTTCCTTACACCTTATACAAAAATTAACTCAAGATGGATTAAAGATTTAAATGTTAGACCTAAAACCATAAAAACTCTAGAAGAAAACCTAGGCAATACCATTCAGGACATAGGTATGGGGAAAGACTTCATGACTAAAACACCAAAAGCAATGGCAACAAAAGCCAAAATTGACAAATGGGATCTAATTAAAATAAAGAGCTTCTGCACAGCAAGAGAAACCATCATCAGAGTGAACAGGCAACCTACAGAATGGGAGAAAATTTTTGCAATCTACTCATCTGACAAAGGGCTAATATCCAGAAGCTACAAAGAACTTAAACAAATTTACAAGAAAAAACCCCATCAAAAAGTGGGCAAAGGATATGAACAGACACTTCTCAAAAGAAGACATTTATGTAGCCAACAGACATATGAAAATATGCTCATCATCCCTGGTCATCACAGAAATGCAAATTAAAACCACAATGAGATATCATCTCACGCCAGTTAGAATGGCAATCATTAAAAAGTCAGGAAACCACATATGCTGGAGAGGATGTGGAGAAATAGGAACGCTTTTACACTGTTGGTGGGAGTGTAAATTAATTCAACCATTGTGGAAGACACTGTGGCGATTCCTGAAGGATTTAGAACTAGAAATACCATTTGACCCAGCAATCCCATTACTGGGTATATACCCAAACGATTATAAATCATTCTACTATAAAGACACGTGCACACGTATGTTATTGCAGCACTATTCACAATAGCAAAGACTTGGAACCAACCCAAATGTCCATCAATAATCGACTGGATAAAGAAAATGTGGCACATATACACCATGGAATACTATGCAGCCATAAAAAAGGATGAGTTCATGTCCTTTGCAGGGACATGGATGAAGCTGGAAACCATTATTCTCAGCAAAATATCACGAAGACAGAAAACCAAACACTGCATATTCTCACTCATAAGTTGAACAATGAGAACACATGGACACAGGGAGGGGAACATCACACACTGGGCCTGTTGGGTGGTGGGGGACTGGAGAGGGATAGCATTAGGAGAAAATACCTAATGTAAATATGAGTTGATGGGTGCAGCAAACCACCATGGCACATGTATACCTATGTAACAAACCTGCACATTGTGCTCACGTACCCTAGAACTTAAAAGTATAATAATAATAATAAAAAGACTTGAAGCTAGAAAATGTCAGAGGGAAAAGGGAAATGTCCTCAAGTTGATTCTGACTCAAGTAAGACAAGCCTTTCTCTTTGGGAATAAGGGAGAGGGCAGGGCAAAGGAGATTACGGGGAGAACATATCAGAATTGTTGCAAAGTGGAAATGGAGTGCAAACTGTGGCCAGAGCAGAGCAGCCCAGACCTCAGCTACAGAACCAAAGAATAGACCAGAAGAGAAGGATGGCCATGTAGACAGTGAGAATCCCACGAAGCATGAGTGCACACAATCTGAAATTTATCTCCTTAGGGCTTCCACAAAGTGAAGAAAAACAACTGAGTTGTGTATTTAATGTACCTAATACCCATAGGCAGGACTTGTATCATCAACACTATAACTAACATCTGTCTTTTACAAAGTACTTTCATAGTTATCATTTGATCGTAAACTAGCCATGTGAAGTGTTATTCTCCTATTTTAAAAGTAAAGAACAAAAAGATTAAATCAATTGTTTAAAGGTACAGAATCAGTTAAATGGTAAGGACTAGAGTTTAATTTTTCAGAAACCAAATAGTTTGTACTGTTCACTGCATTATGTTCAGAAATTTCACATCATTCACCACATACTTTCCTGGTTTGTTTTTTCTTTATAATTTTCCTTATATGATTAAGGAAGTTTGTGTTGCTTGTTCTTTGTTCGTAATGCAGATTGGCTTTGTTAAATACAGAGAAAGTAGTCAAAAAAAAAAAAAAGGTATATCAAAACCTGGACCAGCATAGCTAAAGAGATCAGTTTTCCTGAGGTGTCAGGTATGGGATCATCAATAGTCCCAGCTACAGATCAGAGTAAGCCTAATTCCATCACCATTACTCTAGCCTTCAGTTGGGGATTATAATGTGGTATACTTCCATAAGGGATTTATAATAATTTCATCCAAAATATCTTCATTCTTTTAACAGATATATTAATCCTATTGGAAATGAAGGATTACAGTTGAGAAGAGACTTTTAAAAGTTGTAGAAAAATGTAACTCAAAGGAATATTCTCTGCCAGGATTTGGAACTTGCCTATTTAGATAGTATAACTTTGCCAAGGTATTTCCAGTTAATACTATGCTTTCAGGGCTGATTAGAAAGTAAAGTGTACTATTTCAAACTAGAGTAATATCTTTATTTGAAGGTCACGTGATTTTGTTTTAAGAGATTTTCCAGAGCTGAGAATAGAACATGTCTCTAAGGCTCCCAGTCCAGTGAATTAAACAATGTGGCTTCTTCATTTTTAAATGATCTGTTTTGAAATGAACAAATCTTAACATTTCCTCAAGCTACGAAAAGAAACAAAAAGAAAGAAAGAGTTTCTTGGGCAAGGGAAAAGCTGAGAAAGGTCTGAAGATGCAGAAGTTGAAGTCCCTTGTTAGGCTGCCAAGCTAAATTGAATCAATTGATTTCATTTTTTTAAAATCAAACAGAATCTACAACAAATATTTTTTTCTTTTTTTTTTCTGACCCAAAGCCTGTATTTGCAAGTTAAACAGTCAAAATGTCTGTCAACTCCAATGATATATGATAGATTCACAGTAGATGTTGATATTTCATAAGAAAGAGATTGAAGAATACAGTTTGTAAGTTTGTAAGACTGGGGCTTTCAAACAAGATGTGCACATACACAGACACACACATATTCCCACACCATACATACAGACACCTTCTCCAGAAGGCACAAAAGGTATTCATTTCAACCACTGAGGGAAAGTACCTGCAACACATATAAAATGTCTATTACATCACCCATTAAAGTGTGTATTTTTAGAGCTACTGACCTTTATATGAACTAAACAATAAAGCGGTTCAGAAACCTGACAGAGAGCAGCTTTTCCAAAGTGAAACAGTGATCCACTGTTCCTAATGCACCCATCAAACTAAACAATTAAATTGGCATTTAGTACAAAATTTAAAAAGCCATAACGCTGCCAAGATTATTGGTCCTGTCTCAAACACACACACACACACACACAAACACATGCAAACACGAAACACTGTTTTGTCTTGTCATTTATTAAAAAAGAAAAAGAATGTATTTATTTAGTTGACAGATGAATGGGCTGAATAAATTTAAGGCAATCAAAAGAAACTCAGTTGTCCCAGCACCACAAGTTGTTACCAACCTAACTTGGGCTCAGTGGCCACAGACTTGTTCTCATAAAACAGCAAAGGCACAAACAGTTACTGTGCAGATACAACAAGTCTGAATTCAAGTCCCAGTTTATCAGTTACTAGCTGTTTGACTTTGGGTAAATTACTTAACCTCTCTTGGCTCCCATTGCCTTTTGTAAAATAGCATTCCGATACAGTTGCCTAATGGAAGAGTTATGCTCTGTGCAGTAATAAAAGAAATAATATAGGCAAAGACCTTAACACAGTGCCTGGTATAGAGCAAATGCTCAATAAAAGCCATTATTATCATTGACAGATCTCACAGATTGACCACAGAATTTAACACCAAATCCAGGGCACTCCTGAGGTTGAAAGGGGGCTCTATTTGCAATATAATGGCAAGGATGGAAGCGCACCCTAACCATGGTCTGTGCAGCATAGTCATGTATCATGGAATGCTGAGGACTGGGAGCAAGGTTCTAATGCTACACAACATGAAATACAAAATCATATTAGTAAATGAGGATGCCTAGACACCCTGAATGGAAATATTAGCAATGAGAAGGAGGAAGCGCTTGAGTGAATAAAAAACTTCCAATTTTGTAATTAGTTGGTGATATGATCACACAAGAGATAATTGTTAGCATCACAAACTCCTCTTCAGCATTCTAAATTTAAACAGTTCAAACTCTTGAAACATCACTTTTTACAAGACTTTAAAATTACAAGTTTTTAAAATTTGCTTTGAGCATAAAACATCCTTAACCATTTTTGAGATCTGTATATACTTTCCTATGTGGTGCCTTTAGCAGAGATTTTATGCTAGAAATTAAATTAATTTTTAAAATATGAAAAAAATAGCTCAGCAGTTATCCAAATCATCAAGCCAGGAAGGCAGTAACCTGCATAGTGCGCCAGAACATTCCAGTCACTAGGGAGGACCAGACTCCCTCTCTGATGTCCTTAACTCAAGCACTGTGTTTCCAGCAAATCAACCAATCCATTCTGAAAACTTATAAGAGTGGAATCAATGAACAATTATTTAAAATCATCCTGTTAATTTTGATAACTTTATAGAGATCTTGTGAATGCATACATAGATGATTTAATGAATTCTCTTTGCAAAGAAGTAAGTTACCAACTGGAAAAATAAGTCAGCAGCAAGGTTAAAAGGCGTTGTGGGCAGAATTTTTACACATCACCTGTTTTTGAAAGAAAGGGAGAAAAATAAGAACATATATTTGTGTTTTATTTTCATTAAGAAACACAGAAATGATTAATAAGAAGCTACAAAAAATGGTTCCTTATAGGGCCAGGAGGAACAGGGGAACAGGGAAGGAGTAGTCACAAGACTTCTCCTTGTATACATTCTGACATTTTAATTTTGAACCATTATCAAGTATTACATATTGAAAACATTAACAGAATTTTTAAATTGCCTATTTTAAGAAAATAAAAAGCCCTACAGATTATCTTGAACCTGCAAACAATAATACAGGGTTTAAATACAAAGGAAGATATAGTGCTTGTATACCTCTTATAACTATAAGCTTCATTAGTGGCAATATGTGACATTCAATAAGTCTAAATGAAGGAAATGGAACAGCCTTAATTGAGGATAATCCAAACTGATACAAATAAAGACATAGACACAAATCACATTTGATCAGCAATATCTTATTACCCAGATTTTCGCTGAATTTGCAAAAGAAGATAGAGCAAAAGCTAAAGAAAATATTGAAAATAAGTGTAAAATATTTTTAGCGTAATCATTTATGTGAATAAAATGTGTTAAGTGTTTGGTTAATTAGCATTAAACATTAAAGAACAGTTCAATAAGATTGGATCGTGGTTTCAAAATTCCTCATATAAGTTAATGATTTACCTAATTTACATGTTTCATATTTTGTTAGAGTAGACATAATATGAATTATTGACATTAATTGCATTTATTGGATAGTACATTCATTGAATATTGTAATAGTTTAAAGTAACTCATATGAAAGAATGGCTAGCATTCATGAATATAGGAAAAATGTATATGAATCATGTATAAATGTATGTGTATAAATACAAATATGATGATTCTGGAATGATTTCTATGATTATTTATGAAAAGATTAAAATTACAAGTAGTTTCTGGATGGAAGAGCAGACTGGCTGAAACATCTGCCTCCTTATTGATCGTCAGGGTGGCTCTACATGGTGTGGCTTGCTGAACCAGTACCTCTTTCCTTTTTGATCTCCCCACCTGCATCTCTCCCAAATTGCTGTTCTGTAACCTTCCTACCCAGATTCACATTGACATGGATAGCTGGAATGCTAGAAATGAATGATAATATTGTAGGGGCTCTGGCTTGCAAGAGACCTGAATGTCCTTACACATACCCAAAGGCTGTCCACATCCCCTCTGCTGCCTGAAGCCTAAGCAGAAATTCAGTTCTTTTTAACAGGGTTAACACAGTTAACACAGAGGGATGGCAATGGAGAGAAATGGGCACTGATATCCCAACTACATGGTGCTCGCTAGGCCACAGGTCCTAGTGGGGGGCTGGGCCTGTATGTTTCTAGTTCAAAATAAAATGTCCTGTGGGCTAGTGTGAGGTCTGAGCCATAATTTGACATACAGGGGAGAGGCTGGCCCTTTTGTTCTCTCTAATATTCCTCTACTCACAATGAAGCATAAAGTAGTACATATACACTTTCGGTAAGTAATTTTAAAGTGCACACTCTTGAGGTTACAGCCAGTTAAACAGATTAAATTTCTTTTTTTTTTTTTTTTTTTTTTTTTTTGAGACAGTGTCTCCCTCCATTACCCAGGCTGGAGTACAGTGGCATGATCACAGCTCACTGTAACCTCGACCTCTCAGACTCAGGTGATCCTCCCACCTCAGCCTCCCAAGTAGCTGGAGCTAGAGGCATGCACTGCCATGCCCAGCTAATGTTTGTATTACTTGTAGAGACAGGGTTTTGCCATGTTGCCTACTCTGGTCTTCAACTCCTGAACTCCAGTGAGTCTCCCACCTCTGCCTCTCAAAGTGCAGGGATTACAGGTGTGAGCCACCACGCTCAGCCTGGCACATTACATTTCCACAAGATAATTAATTAGACTATTTTTGTATAGATTAATACAAGTGTGGCTTCTTTCCTGAGCTTCTCTCTCCCTCTGTCTCCCTTTCTTTCCCCTCTACTCGCATTTCTTCCCCACTCAGTATTTCTCTCTTTCTACCGCTGGATCTCAACTCTAAGACCTTGAAAAAAACAAAATTATTTCTGCCTGGGCTTTTGATACAATCCTCAAATTCGGGTTGAAACAGTTTTCTCTGTGGCCATCTGCCACCCAAGCTGTTTTCATTCCTCCCTGAATTCTCATTTCTAAAACAAGGGAGGGACCAAGGGCATATGCTGCCAGCTCTCTGAACTCATCCCTTTGACTCCAGTATGCACTAGGCTTTTTGTGGCTGGCTTCTGGTCACCTCACCTCCTTCCCCCAGGCATCTTCCTTCTTGAATTGCATGATCAGGAGTCTATTAGGAGTCACCCTATCTCAAGGTATTTTTCCCTCTATTATTCCACCAATAAACTGTCAACTTTTTACTCTTTCTATACATAGCTTCTCCAAAACTGGAGTTGTATCAAAATACATGAGATTTTTTAAATTGACATATTAAGCAAAAGAAGTACAATGGCAACATATGTCCTATTTAACTGGAAAGAGAGGTATATACAGCCAGAACCCTGGACCAGTTTATTAAATTTTGGCAGTACAGCATCCGGCAAGAAAAAAAGTTAAGGGCAAGGCTAAAATACTTAGTATAGAGCAAAATTAAAAATAATGTGGGTCCCAGCTGAAGAATAGACCTTAAACTGGTCCATGGCTGGAATTCACTATTATATGTCTGGGTTCATAGAAGCCTGGTAATTGTATGCAAAATTTGCATGTGTTAATTTTCCTGGGGAGAGATCATGCAGATTTCATCAACTTCTCAGAGGGAATCTGTGACCCAAATAAGGTTAAGATATTGAAGGAGAGTCAGTTACTAAAATATTAAAAGAAACTTACTCTAAGTAACTGATAAAATTATCTAATATTTAGCCTATTTTAAGTACAAATTCTAAATTCTTTGAATAAATATAAAAATGGTCCATTCATTGGTGGGAGTATACTATGGGTCCAAGTAAGTTTTTCAAGTTCCATTCAAAACACTTTATATATGATGAAGAAAATGTGAAAGTATTTTTCTGCTTTATTGGAGTATAGTTGACAAATGAAATTATAAATATTTAAGGTATAAAACTAAATCTTTTGATATATACATACAATGTGTACCACAATCTAATTAACGTATCTATCACCTCACATAACCATTTTCTTTTTTCTTTTCTGTGGTGAGAACACTTAATATATACCCTTTTAGCAAATTTCAAATATACAATACAGTATTATTAACTATAGTCATATTGCTGTACGTTAGATCTCCAGAATTTATTCACCTTGCATAACTGAAACTTTGTACCCTTTGACCAATATTTCCCCATTTCCTCTTCTCCCAACCCCTGGCAAGCAACATTCTACATTCTAATTCTATGAGTTTGACTATTTTAAATTCCACATATAAGTGAGATCATGAAGCATTTGTCTTTCTGTACCTGGCTTATTTCACTTAGCATAATATCCTCCAGTTTCATCCATGTAGTCACAAATGACAGGATGTCTTTCTTTTTTAAGGATAATATTCATAAACACACACACACACATACACAGACACACATATATATACATACATATATACCACATTTTCTTTATGCATTCATCCATTGATGGACATTTAGATTGTTTCCATATCTTGGCTATGTGACTAATATTGCAATTAACTGATTTCATTTCCTTTGAATACATATATTTTTTGAATATATATATATTTTTTCCATAATGGCTGTACCAATTTACATCCCCACCAATAATGTCCAGGGTTCTATTTTCTCCACATCCTCACCAACTTTCTGATAATAGCCATTCTAACTGGTGTGAGGTAATAATTCATTGTAGTTTGGATTTGCATTTTCCAAATAATTATTAATGTTGAGCAACTTCTCAAATACTTGTCAGCCATTTGTGTTTCTTCTTTTGAGAAATGTCTATTCAGATTTTCGCCCATTTTTTCATAGGATTATTTGTGCTTTTGCTAGTGAGTTGAGTTGTTTGAATTTTATATATAGAGAGAGAAATATATATATGTATATATAATTTTTTTCTGGTTATTTATCCCTTGTCATGGAGAACCTCTGCTAGGGCAGTGCAGAAGGGAAACATGGGGTCAGAGCCCCCACGCAGAGTCCCTACTGGGGAACTGACTAGTGGAGCTGTGAGAAGAGGGCCACTATCCTCCAGACTCCGGAATGGTAGATCCACTGACAGCTTGTACCATGAGCCTGGAAAAGCAACAGACACTAAACGACAGCCCATGAAAGCAGCCAGGAGAGGGTCTATATCCTACAAAGCCACAGGGGTGGAGCTGCCCAAGGTTGTTGGAGCCTACCTCTTGCATCAGTGTGACCTGGATGTGAGACATGGACTCAAAGGAGATCATTTTAGAGCTTTAAGATTTGACTGCCCCGCTGGATTTCAGACTTGCATGGGGCCTGTAGCCCCTTTGTTTTAGCCAATTTCTCCTATTTTAAATGGCTGTATTTATCCAATGCTTGTACCCCCACTGTATCTAGGAAGTAACTAGCTTGCTTTTGATTTTACAGGCTTATAGGTGGAAGGGACTTGCCTTGTCTCAGATAAGACTTTGAACTGTGGACTTCTGAGTTAATGCTGAAATGAGTTAAGACTTTGGAGGACTGTTGGGAAGGCATGATTAGTTTTTAAATGTGAGGACATGAGATTTGGCAGGGGACAGGGGCAGAATGATATGGTTTGGCTCTGTGTCCCCACCCATATCTCATCTTGAATTGTACTCCCATAATTCCCATGTATTGTGGGAGGGACCCGGTGGGAGATAATCGAATCATGGGGGCAGTTTCCAACATACTGTTCTTGTGGTAGTGAATAAGTCTCACAAGATCTGATGGTTTTATAAGAAATCCCTTTCACTTGGCTGTCATTCTCTGTTGCCACCACCATGTAAGATGTGCTTTTCACTTTCTGCCATGATTGTGAGGCATCCCCAGCCATGTGAAACTGTGAGTCCATTAAAATTATTTTTTCCCTAGTCTTAGGTACGTCTTTATCAGCAGCATGAAAACAGCCTAATACAATGACCTCCTCTAGAACAGTTTTTGATTTAAAGTCTATTTTGTCTAATTTAAGTTAGCCACCCCTGCTCTTCTTCAGTTACTATTTGCATGGAATATTTTTTTCCAACCTTTCATTTTCAACCAATGTGTGTGCTTAAGAATAAAGTAAGTCTCTTGGAGACAAGATATTGCTAGATCTTGTTTTTAATCCTTTCAGCCACTCTAGCCTTTTATTAGAAAGTTTAATCCATTTATATTTAATGTAATTATTGATAAGTGAGAACTTCTTATTGTCATTTTGTTAGTTGTTTTCTGCCTGTTTTGCACTTGCCTCTCTACCTTCCTTGCTTTCTTGATGTCTTTTTTTGTTACGACATGATTTTTGTAGTAATTTGGTTTGATCCTTCTCTCATATCTTTTGTGTATCAATTATAGGTGTTTTTCTTTGTGGTTACCTTGAGGCTTGCATAAAATATCTTGTATTTATTTATTTTAAATCGATATCAACAACTTCAATCACATATAAAATCTCTATACTTTTATCACCCCTCACATACACACGTTGTGTTCTTACAGTCAGAGTTTACTTCTTTTTGTATTGTGTATCCATTAACAAATATTTTGTCCTTTAATATTAGGGTTAAAATTTACACACTACCATTATGGTATTAAATTATTTGTTGTCTATATATTTATCTTTATTAGTGAGATTTATGCTTTCATATGCTTTTATGTGTCTGTTTAGCATATTTTTGTTTGAAATTGAAGAACTCCCTTAAGCATTTTTCAAAGGAAAATCTAGTGGTGACAAACCCTTCAGTTTTTGTCTATCTGAGAACTATTCTAACTACTTTATTTTTAAAGGATAGTTTTGCAAGGTATCATCTTGGTTTGCAATTTTTTTTCTTTTAGTACTTTGAATATACCATCGCACTTTTCTCTGAGCTGCAAGGTTTCTTCTAAGAAGTCTACTGGTATACTTATGGAGTTCTCTTATATGTGATTCCTTTTCTGTTTGCGTTCAAAATTGTCTGTCTTTGACTTTTTACAGTTATAATGTGCCTCAGAGTAGACCTCTTTATGATCAAGCTATTTGGAGTCCTTTGGGTTTCTAAAATCTGGACATCTATTTCCTATCCCAGATTTGGGAAGTTTTCAGTCATTATTTCTTTAAGTAAGCTTTTTGCCCTATTCTTTCTCTCTCTTCTCCTTCCCTATGACTCTGATAATTTGTATACTGGTTCACTTGAAAATGTCCCATAAATCCTGAAGGCTTATTTCACTCTTTCTCGTTTTTTCTTTTACTTCTCTGACTAAATAGTTTCAAGTAACTTGTATTTAAGTTCCCTGATTGTTTCTTCTGCTTGATTGAGTTTTCTATAGAAACTCTTTATTGCATTTCATTCATTACATTGTTTAGTTCTAGAATTTCTGTTTTGTTCTTCATTGTTATTTCTATTCCTTTGTTGAACTCATTTTGATTATGTATTGTTTTCCTAATTTCATTAAGTTGTCTAATTGTGTTCTCTTGTTGCACATCAAGCTTTTTTAAACAAATTATTTTAAATTTTTTGTCAGGCAATTTGTAGATCCCCATTTCTTTGGGGTCAATTACTAAAAATTTATTGTCTTCCTTTGATGGTATCATGTTTCCTTGATTTTTCACATTCCTTGTAGTATTGTGTTGGTGTCTGTGCATTTGAAGGAGTTATTTCTTCCATACTTTATGGTCTGGCTTTGGTGGGGAGAGACCTTCACCTGCAAGTGTCTGTAAGGGTACTAGCTGGGTGGGATGTGCAGCAGTGCTGGGTGCATGGGTGCACAGTGGAATCAGGTCAGGGGCATAGGTGTACATCACTGCTGGGGCTGGGAGTAGTGCAGTGGCTCCAGCTCCAAGGGTCACAGAGGCAGTTCTGGCTTGGGGTGATGCAGTGGTGTGGGCTGTGTGCAGCTCTGTCAGCTGGGGTTTTACTGACAAAGGCTGTGGGGATCCTTGGCTGAAAAGGTGAAGGGTCCTGATGGTGACAACTACTGGGGTCCTCCTGCTTTCCTTTTCCACTACATCAGGAAGTTTCAGCCAAGGAGACTCTTTTTGACACTGAGTTGTGGTGGCCTAGGTGATGGGATAACACAGGTAAAATGTTTCTGGTGCTTTTCTACGTGCCTATCCCCAGTTGTTGTGCTACCTGGGTTGCTGTAGCTTTTAAATTGTACTCTAAAGCTCTCCTAGAGCTATTTTCATCCGTGGATAGTAAGTCATTGTTTTTGAAGGAGATGAGGAATGGGACTCCTAGTCGGTCATCTTGCTGACATCACTCCCATGAAGGTATTCTTTAAATCAACATTTCCTAAATTCCTCTCATGATTTGAATAACTCAGAGTGCTTGTATTCTAAAAATGAAAATTCCCCAGTTCCAGCCCACAAATACTGAATCAGAATTTAAAAGAGAGAGGCATAGGAATTTTTTGAAAGAAATATCTCAGATTATTTCTATCAATAGGAAGCACTTTATGGAAAATTGCCAAAGTTATAAATAATTGATGTCCTTGTTCATCAAACAAAAACAAATGAATTAAAAACAGAAAACAAGAAATCTATGCCCTAATTTTAACAATTTTAACATAGCAATTATCCACTTAAGGCTAGGTTTGTTACTTTGTGAAATTCTGCATAATACAAATGATTAATAAATTATAATTGTTTAAAACATTTGACCTTTATAGCAATATAAGTATTTATTATTATTATTATTATTATTATTATTATTATTATTATTATACTTTAAGTTTTAGGGTACATGTGCACAATGTGCAGGTTAGTTACATATGTATACATGTGCCATGCTGGTGTGCTGCACCCATTAACTCGTCATTTAGCATTAGGTATATCTCCTAATGCTATAGCAATATAACTATTAAAAATTAGTTTTGTAATTCACATGTAGCCACATACAAAGGTTTTACTACCTAAACAATTTTTCCAAACAAGGTACTAAAATAAACTTACAGAAAGTATTTGTAGAAAATGCATTTGAGTTTAGTAATTTGATGACTTTTTATCCCTAAAGTATTAAGAAATTGTAAAGGAGTCTTAGCATAAAAAGCAAAATGTTAAAAGAAGCAGCAGGTGGTCAAGCAGTCTCTCTCAAACATATTATCCCATTAAACTAACAGTTTTTTTTTCACAAAAGGAATGTTTTTCTAATGTATTACAAATCACCCCAGAGAGATTATTTATAATGGTCACTTCAGTGGGCTATCCCAGCTAGTTTACTCTACAGTGCCATTTTAATAAAAACCTACTGGGAGGAAATCTCTTTATAATTTAAGCCATTTAATTTTAAAAATTAATGTAAAGTAAAGCCATAGTCAACTCAATTCCATAAATATTTGATTATTATCTCATATAAATAAGCCCAGCTGTAGGTTAGCTACTAAGGATAAAGTGACGAGTAAGACACATTTCCTACACTCAAAGAGCTATCTTGCTCTAGAACATTTTTTTCTCTTGCCTTTTTTTTTTCTTTTGAGGAAACTAAATCAGGGGTTTGCAAACTTTTTCTGTAGAAGGACAGATAGTAAATATTTTCTACTTTGCTTGTCATTCCGTCTCTGTTGTAATTATTCAACTCAGTTGTGTAGCATGAGAGTTGTATAGCCAATGTGTAATTTTTAAAGCATGGTTCTAATAACAAAAATAGGCTGCTGGCCAGATTTGTCCCTTGGGCTGTAATTTGTTACCACTGGACTAAATAACTCGTGAGTGCTTATTTAATCTTTCAAATTTTTATCATATCTGCCTTACTAAAATGTTTATACCAGAAATAGTGAAAAGTAGATATACCAAGAAGATAGGAAATTTAAAAAGGAATTACAGAAAAAACAGACTGAGATAAATCAAGGAAGTTGTTAAAGGAGAAAAGGCAGTGTCACCCAAATAGAAAGTGATACATCAATAAAGGTCGAGCTCTCTGGAGGAAATTTGAAAACTTTTAAACAGTAACAACAGTAATAGTAACATATTATGAAATAATCCACTTCTATGTAAAATCATCTTTATAGCTTTAACTTGCTTTAAAAACAGATGTGTTAGGCATAAAATCTAAAATGCTTAATTATACAAATAATGCATAATTTTGTAATTAAAAATACAAATAAGCCCAAAGAAAAAAATAAATATCTCCACAAATCTTACCAAACCAGAAACACTACTGTTTTACTAAAAAAGGTTTCAAATACTTTAGAAGAGCCAAGTCTTTATAGGATTCTTCTGCAGCTTGTAGGATCAGATAGGATCAGAGCTTAATCCATTCATTCACTCCCAAAGTTCACATTTTAGAGTGCTGAATTTGCTCAAGTGGGGCAAACTGCAGTGCCCAGTGCCCAATAGCCTATCACCACAAGAATAATGTGTGCTCCACCATGGCACACGTATACATATGTAACAAACCTGCACGTTGTGCACATGTACCCTAAAACTTAAAAGTATAAAAAAAAAAGAATAATGTGTGCTAGGCACTATATGAGGAGCTTTCTGGAGATCATCTCATTGAATCCTTCCCACAATCCCAGAAGGCAGACACTATTATGATTATGTGCAATGTTAGAAATGAGGAATGTGAGGCATGAATGAAGTATGTGAGGCATGAATGAGGAATGAAGTAATTTACTATGGTCAAGCAGCCAGTCAGTGCCAGAATGATGATATAAATCCAGAAATTTGGTTTCCATCATCCATGATCTGAAACTTTAGCATTTCTCCTAAGGAAAAATAGGTACATCCAAACCCTGTGGTATAAACCTAGAGCCAGTAGTCAGACACTCCTTGCTTTCATTGAGATAGACATGAATGTAAAAAGTGTAAACGTCTCTGTCACCCATAAAGAGATAATGGCAACAATATCACAATTAGCAATGATTTGGTATGTATTACTTACCAAACTCAAGGTAATAAATTTGAGTCCATAGTTTGGGGCCATAATTTAAGTGTGAATTTGTCCATTCTCACATTGCTACAAAGAACTGCCTGAGACTGAGTAATTCATTAAAAAAAAAAAAGAGGCTTAAATGGCTCATGGTTTTACAGGCTGTACAGGAGGCATGGCTAGGGAGGCCTCAACAATCATGGCAGAAGGCAAAGGGGAAGCAGACACATTCTACATGGCTGGAGCAGGAGGAAGAGAGTGAAGGGTGAGGTGCTATACACTTTTAAACAACCAGCTCTCTTAAGAATTCACTCACTATCATGAGAACAGCAAGGGGGAAGTGCACCCCCTTGATCCAATCACCTCCCACTGGACCCCTCCTCTAACATTAAGGATTACAATTCAACATGAGATTTGGGCAGGGACACAAATCCAAACCATAACATTCTCCCCTGGCCCCTCCCAAATCTCATGTCCTTCTCAAATTGCAAAATACAATCATCCCTTCTCAACAGTCCCCCAAGTCTTAACTCATTTCCGCATTAACTCAAAAGTCCACATTCCAAAGTCTCATCTGAGACAAGGCAAGTCCCTTCTGCCTATGAGCCTGTAAAATCTAAAACAAGTTATTTACTCCCAAAATACAATGGGATATAGGAATTACTCCCTTTCCAAAAGAGAGAAATCTGCCAGAAGAAAGGAACTACAGGCCCTGTACAAGTCCAAAACCCAGCAGGGCAGTCACTAAATCTTAAAGCTCTAAAATAACCTCCTTTGACTCCACGTCTCACATTCAGGCCATACTGATGTCTGGAGGATGATGGCCCTATTCTCACAGCTCCACTATGCAGTGCCCTAGTGGGGACTCTGTGTGGGGGCTCCATCTCCACATTTCCCCTCTACACTGTCCTAGTGGAGGTTCTCCATGAGGGCTCTGCCCATTCAGCAGACTTCTGCCTGCACATCCAGGCTTTTCCATAGATCCTCTGAAATCTAAGCATAGGCTCCCAAGCTTCAGCTCTTGTCTTCTGGGCACCTGCAGGCTTAACACCACATGGAAGCTTCCAAGGCTTGTGGCTTACACCCTCTGGAGGAGTGGCCTGAGACATATCTGGGACCCTTTTAGCCATGGCTGGAGCTGGAGTGGCTGGGACACAGGGAGCAGTGTCCCAAGGCTGCACAGGGCAGCAGGGCCCTGGGCCCAGCCCAGGAAACCATTCTTCCCTTTTAGGCCTCCAGGGCTGTGATGGGAGGGGCTGCCACGAGGTCTCTGAAATGCCTTGAAGGCATTTTCCCTATTTTCTTGGCTATTAACATTTGGCTCCTCTTTACTTAGGCAAATTTTTGCAGCCAGCTGGAAGTTCCAGTTTCAGATCATCTCTGCTCACACATATGAGCATATCCTGTTAGAAGAAGCCAGGCCACATCTTGAATGCTTTGCTGCTTAGAAATTTCTTCTGCCAGACACCCTAAATTCTATCTCTCAAGTACAAAGTTCAACAGATTCTTAGATCTGGGGCACAATGCTGTATTTGCTAAAGCCTAACAACAGTGACCTTTGCTCCAGTTCCCTATAAGTTCCTCATCTCCACCTGAGACCACATCAGCCTCACTGTCCATATTACTATCAGCATTTTGGTCATAACAACTGAACAAGTCTCTATGAAATTCCAAGCTTTTCCTCATCTTTCTGTCTTCTTCTGAGCCCTCTGCACTCTTCCAACCTCTCTGTCTTTACCCAGTTTCAAAGTCACTTCCACATTTTCAGGTATCTTTATAGCAATGCCCCACTTCTCAGTACCAATTTTCTGTATTCATCCAGTCTCACATTGCTATAAAGAACTACTGGAGACTGAGTAATTTATAAAGAAAAGAGGTTTAATTGGCTCATGGTTCTGCAGGCTGTACAGGAAACATGGCTAGGAAGGCCTTAAGAAACTTACAATCATGGCAGAAGGGGAGGCAGACACATTCTACATGGCTGGAGCAGGAGGAAGAGAGCAAAGGGAGAGGTGCTATACACTTTTAAACAACAAGATATCATGAGAACTCACTCAATATCATAAGAACAGCAAGGGGGAATTCCACCCTCATGACCCAATTACTTTTTACCAGTTCCCTCCTCCAACACTGGGGATTACAATTCAACATGAGATTTGGGCAGGGACACAAATCCAAACTATATTAAGGTGTCTGAATAGTCAGTTGTTCTGAACTTTCTTTGGAACCCAAACACTTTGTAAATGTAACAACAGCCACAGATAATTCCCTCAAAGGAGTGCAAATAAGCATACTGTGGTGGCCCTGGAAGTGTACCACCCAGATCTCCTTCATAGAACTCCTGCCAGGAGCTGAGCTGATGGACAGCCCCAGCTACTACCCCTTGGATTCATGACTGCTCATAGCACTTGCCCTAGGGCTTCTTGGAGCCAACAAATAAGCATGGAAGAGGTAATGGTGCTTGTACCTTTCTGCCCAATATAGGATGCTTCCAATAAGCAAACTTTGCTTGGGGACTCCACATCAGCTTGGATGAGATTTTCTTAGAACTATACTGCAGTCTGAGGCCTCCAACCAAATCCTCCTTCCCGTCTCTCCTTTCACAGATGCCAGACCTGCCTTGTGGTCTCAAGGCTCTTGCCTTCTATTCCTCCTCCCTCTCCTTTACCGTCCACATGCACTCCCCCATAAATTAAGCTTGTCTAATTCTGTCTTGTTGTCTATTCCTTGGAGGACCTGAAATGATAATCACAGGTGTGTAAAACATTGTGCATTTTTTCAAAGGATTAGTGGAACCCTGAAGTTCATTTGTAGATCCCCCTGAGGCATAAAGACATCAGGTTAAGAACCTCAGCAGGTGGTACAATTAAAGGTAATTAAAAGATGGATACTAAGCCAATTTTTGCATCATTCTGCTCTTATAAAACTTTGGCAAATGATTTTTTAAAAATATGCATAGTTCAAATCTAAAACAACTATATTTAAATACTTGTTAAATTATAGTAATCTATTATTTTTTTAAAAAATCAAATAGGTAATAAGAGAACCATTAAAACACCATAAATGTAAAAATCCCTTGAGTGTTTTTTTTTTTAGTTTTCTGGAAAGAACATCACACCGTGTAATACTAAAGCCTGAGCTCAAATCCTAGCTTACCCAGGCTTGCTGATTAACCTCCTACAAATCACTTAACTTTTCTGGGTTCAAATTGCCATATCTCTACAATGAAGGGGTTGGACTAGGTAATTTCTAAGGAATCTTTCCATTCTAAAATTTTATGATAATATATGGTTTTCTCTGTAGCATAATTAATAGTATCAAGAAGGCAAAACTAACTCTAAGTCCAATATAATAATATCAGTAATGTCATTTCAGAAGAAACTGAAGGAAAAATTAAATGTATTTAAAATCCTCAAGGGCTGGCCTCTGCCTCCTCTTCCAGCCTTAAAAACTATCCTAGTAACACCTTCCTTCTGTTCCTGGTATCTCCCAAGTTCATTTCTGCCTCCAAGTCTGTTGCATTTGTTTGGGAAGTAGTTCCCAAATGGCTAGTTCCTTCTCATAGTTCAGGTCTTGTTTCAAAAGTCACATCTACCAGATCTTATGTGACAATCCTGCCCAAAATAACATCCCCAATCCCCAACTGTTTTTTTTTCAGAACACTCTCTTATATCATCTTACAAACAATTATCACTATTTTTTTTTTGGTTGCTTGTCTGTCTTTCCTCACTAGAATAGAAGCTCTGTGGAGCAAACATGTTTTCTGTCTTATTTATCATATATATATCTCTTAGAATAATGCCTGGCATATAGGAAGCATACAATAAACGTGTTTTAATGAACAAATGAGTGAATCAATGAGTGAATCATTACGTGCGTGCTAACAGAAAACAAAATTGTAACTTTTAGAAGAGTGAAAGAAAGTATAAAAATCATCCCCATTCCATTTTTTAGGGTCATATAGAAGCAGAAACTTGGCTTTGCATGCTGTATTTCATAATTAGAGAAGATAATAACCCAAATGTGTGCCAGGAGTAGCATTAGGTTTAGCTTTGGACTGAGTTTTTTCCTGTGGGACATCAATAGAATTGTATGATGATCAACACTAAGATCATGTTCTAACTAATTGAGTTCACAGGCTTAAATTACTCAGCTTTTAATATTTGGAAACAAGCAAGCATCAAAATAATTCTATTGACTTCCAAAGAATTAAAACTCACAATGCCTAATTTTAAAAAGTCATCAAATAGCTCTATGAAAATTTAAATACTATGGAAAGGTTATATTAAGAATGAGTCACTGAAGTTTTAAAAAACCTTTTTTTACAAGATAATTTTGTGATTGAGTTTTACGTCACAAAGACCAAGAAACAGCCAAATGTGAAGTCAGCTCTCAATTTTCCATGATAAAACCAGGAATTAGCTCATGAAGAAGTAGTAGGAAGGGTATATATTGGTTTTGGTACTTCAGAGATCCTGGCCTTGCCACTTACTAACTATGGCTTTGAACAATTTGCTTAATTTCTCTGGGTCTCAATTTTTTAATTTGTAAAATAGGATTAGTAATGTTTGTATGCTTGTTTTGGAGATTAGTAATACTCTAAAGCACTAAACATAGAGCTAGGAACATATGAGATAATAAAAGGCAGCTAAGCCAAACAAGAAAAATACATTGACTACTTAAGTCTATGGTAATCAGGAGTATGTGTGAGAAAGGGGATAGATGTCAGAACTACCTCTACAAGCCCATTTCCCTCATTAGAAACTGGATAACCATCCCCTCCTTTGTGAAAATATACAATCTATACAGTTGAAAGCTGAAATATTTTGAAAGTAGGTCTTTCCCCACCCCTAGAAAGAAAAAATTTTCCCACCCCTAGAAAGGAAAACTGGAACCAGGAGGTAAATCTTTTAACCATATTAAATACAGAAATAGTTGCTCTGCCATCACTACTGCAGCAACCTAGTCTGCATGCCAGCACCTCTCTGCTGACAACTCCTTCACTGTGGAGGACATGAACAAATACAGCAACAGAATTCACAGAGGGACCCAAGATGAATGCAAGCAAGAATGAGCAAGATGATAGTAAAATGTGTATTGGAGGTTTGAGCTGGAATAAAAGCAAAAAAGAGAATGGAAACAAGTTGGAAAACACTCTGCAGGATATTATCCAGGAGAACCTCCCCAACCTAGCAAGGCAGGCCAACATTCAAATTCAGGAAATACAGAGAATGCCACAAAGATACTCCTCGAGAAAAGGAACTCCAAGACACATAATTATCAGATTCACCAAATGTAAAAATGTTAAGGGCAGCCAGGGAGAAAGGTCGAGTTACTCACAAAGGGAAGCCCATCAGACTAACAGCAGATCTCTCGGCAGAAACTCTACAAGCCAGAAGAGAGTGGGGGCCAATATTCAACATTCTTAAAGAAAAGAATCTTCAACCCATAATTTCATATCCACCCAAACTAAACTTCATAAATGAAGGAGAAATAAAATCCTTTACAGACAAGCAAATACTGAGAGATTTTGTCACCACCAGGCCTGCCTTACAAGAGCTCCCAAAGGAAGCATTAAACATGGAAAAGAACAACCAGTACCAGCCACTGCAAAAACAAGTCAAATTGTAAAGACCATCGATGCTAGGAAGAAACTGCATCAAGTAACGAGCGAAATAACCAGCTAACATCATAATGACAGGATCAAATTTGCACATAACAATATTAACCCTAAATGTAAATGGGCTAAATGCTTCAATTAAAATACACAGACTGGCAACTTGGATAGAGTCAAGACCCATCAGTGTGCTGTATTCAGGAGACCCATCTCACGTGCACAGACAAACATAGGCTCAAAATAAAGGGATGGAGGAAGATCTACCAAGAAAATAGAAAACAAAAAAAAAAGCAGGGGTTGCAATCCTAGTCTCTGACAAAAGAGACTTTAAACCAACAAAGATCAAAAGAGACAAAGAAGGCCATTACATAATGGTAAAGGGATCAATTCCACAAGAAGAGCTAACTATCCTAAATATATATGCACTCAATACAGGAGCACCCAGATTCATAAAGCAAGTTCTTAGAGACCTACAAAGAGACTTAGACTCCCACACAATAATAATGGGAGACTTTAACACCCCACTGTCAACATCAGACAGATCAACGAGACAGAAAGTTAACAAGGATATCCAGGAATTGAACTCAGCTCTGCACCAAGCAGACATAATAGACATCTACAGAACTCTCCACCCCAAATCAACAGAATACACATTCTTCTCAGCACCACATCACACTTATTCCAAAATTGACCACATTGTTGGAAGTAAAGCACTCCTCAGCAAATGTCAAAGAATAGAAATTATAACAAACTGTCTCTCAGACTACAGTGCAATCAAACTAGAACTCAGGATTCAGAAACTCACTCAAAACTGCTCAACTATTTGGAAACTGAACAACCTACTCCTGAATGACTACTGGGTACATAAAGAAATGAAGGCAGAAATAAAGATGTTCTTTGAAACCAATGAGAACAAAGACACAACATACCACCACCTCTGGGACACATTTAAAGCAGTGTGTAGAGGGAAATTTATAGCACTAAATGCCCACAAGAGAAAGCAGGAAAGATTTGAAATGGACACCCTAACATCACAATTAAAAGAACTCAAGAAGCAAGAGCAAACACATTCAAAAGCTAGCAGAAGGCAAGAAATAACTAAGATCAGAGCAGAACGTAAGGAGATAGAGACACAAAAAACCCTTCAAAAAATCAACGAATCCGGGAGCTGGTTTGTTGAAAAGATCAACAAAATTGATAGACCACTAGCAAGACTAATAAAGAAGAAAAGAGAGAAGAATCAAATAGACGCAATAAAAAATGATAAAGGGGTTATCACCACCGATCCCACAGAAATACAAACTACCATCAGAGAATACTATAAACACCTCTATGCAAATAAACTAGAAAATCTAGAAGAAATGGATAAATTCCTGGACACATACAACCTCCGAAGACTAAACCAGGGAGAAGTTGAATCCTTGAATAGACCAATAACAGGCTCTGAAATTGAGGCAATAATTAATAGCCTACCAACAAAAAAAGTCCAGGACCAAATGGATTCACAGCCAAATTCTAGCAGAGGTAGAAGGAGGAGCTGGTACCATTCCTTCTGAAACTATTCCAAATAATAGAAAAAGAGGGAATCCTCCCTAACTCATTTTATGAGGCCAGCATCATCCTGATACCAAAGCCTGGCAGAGACACAACCAAAAAAGATAATTTTAGACCAATAAACCTTTCCTTTATTGAGGAAAAATCCTCAATAAAGTACTGGCAAACCGAATCCAGCATATCAAAAAGCTTATTCACCATGATCAAGTGGGCTTCATCCCTGGGATGCAAGGCTTGTTCAACATATGCCAATCAATAAATGTAATCCATCATATAAACAGAACCAAAGACAAATCCACATGATAATCTCAATAGACGCAGAAAAGGCCTTTGACGAAATTCAACAGCCCTTCATGCTAAAAACTCTCAATAAATTAGGTATTGATGGGACGTATCTCAAAATTACAAGAGATATTTATGACAAACCCACAGCCAATATCATACTGAATAGGCAAAAACTGGAAGCATTCCCTTTGAAAACTGGCACAAGGCAGGGATGCCCTCTCTCACCACTCCTCTTCAACATAGTATTGGAAGTTCTGGCCCGAGCAATCAGGCAGGAGAAAGAAATAAAGGGTATTCAGTTAGGAAAAGAGGAATTCAAATTGTCCCTGTTTGCAGATGACATGCCTGTATATTTAGAAAACCCCATTGTTTCAGCCCAAAATCTCCTTAAGCTAGTAAGCAACTTCAGTAAAGTCTCAGGATACAAAATCAATGTGCAAAAATCACAAGCGGTCCTATACACCAATAACAAACAGAGAGCCAAATCATGAGTGAACTCCCATTCAGAATTGCTTCAAAGAGAATAAAATACCTAGGAATCCAACTTACAAGGGACATAAAGGACCTCTTTAAGGAGAACTACAAACCACTGCTCAACGAAATAAAAGAGGACCGAAACAAATGGAAGAACATTCCATGCTCATGGATAGGAAGAATCAATATCGTGAAAATGGCCACACTGCCCAAAGTAATTTATACATTCAATGCCATCCCCATCAAGCTACCAATGACTTTCTTCACAGAATTGGAAAAAACTACTTTAAAGTTCATATGGAACCAAGAAAGAGCCCACATTGCCAAGACAATCCTAAGCCAAAAGAACAAAGCTGGAGGCATCATGCTACCTGACTTCAAACTATACTACAAGGCTACAGTAACCAAAACAGCAGGGTACTGGTACTAAAACAGAGATATAGACCAATGGAATAGAAATAATACCACACATCTACAACCACCTGATCTTTGACAAACCTGACAAAAACGAGCAATGGGGAAAGGATCCCTATTTAATAAATGGTGCTGGGAAAACTGGCTAGCCATATGTAGAAAGCTGAAACTGGATCCCTTCCTTACACCTTACACAAAACTTAATTCAAGATGGATTAAAGACTTAAATGTTAGACCTAAAACCATAAAAACCTTAGAAAAAAACCTAGGCAATACCATTCAGGACATAGGCATGGGCAAAGACTTCATGACTAAAACACCAAAAGCAATGGCAACACAAGCCACAATTGACAAATGGGATCTAATTAAACTAAAGAGCTTCTGCACAGCAAAAGAAACTACCATCAGAGTGAACAGGCAACCTACAGAATGGGAGAAAATTTTTGTAATCTACTCATCTGACAAAGGGCTAATATCCAGAATCTACAAAGAACTTAAACAAATTTACAAGAAAAAAATCAAACAACCCCATCAAAAAGTGGGTGAAGGATATGAACAGACACTTCTCAAAAGAAGACATTTACGCAGTCAGCAGACCATGAAAAAATGCTCATCATCACTGGCCATCATAGAAATGCAAATCAAAACCACAATGAGATACTATCTCACACCAGTTAGAATGGTGATCATTAAAAAGTGAGGAAACAACAGGTGTTGGAGAGGATGTGGAGAAATAGGAACACTTTTATACTGTTGGTGGGACTGTAAACTAGTTCAACCATTGTGGAAGTCAGTGTGTCAATTCCTCAAGGATCTAGAACTAGAAATATCATTTGACCTAGCCATCCCATTACTGAGTATACACCCAAAGGATTATAAATCATGCTGCTATAAAGACACATGCACATGTATGTTTATTGCGGCACTATTCACAATAGAAAAGACTTGGAACCAACCCAAATGTCCATCAATGATAGACTGGATTAAGAAAATGTGGCACATATACACCATGGAATACTATGCAGCCATAAAAAAGGATGAGTTCATGTCCTTTGTAGGGACATGGATGAAGCTGGAAACCATCATTCTCAGCAAACTATCACAAGGACGGGAAACCAAACACCGCATGTTCTCACTCATATGTGGGAATTGAACAATGAGAACACTTGGACACAGGGTGGGGAATATCACACACCAGGGCCTGTCATGGGGTGGGGGGAGTGGGGAGGGATAACATTAGGAAATATACCTAATGTACATGACGAGTTAATGGGTGCAGCACACCAACATGGCACATGTATACCTATGTAACAAACCTGCACGTTATGCACATGTACCCTAGAACTTAAAGTATAATAATAAAAAAAAGGGAAAGAATCCCCCAAAAAGGGTTTTGTGGGTGGATTGAGCCCAGAAACTTCTGAAAAACAAATTAAAGAATATATTGGAGCCTTTGGAAAGTTTGAAAATATTGAAATTCCCATGGATACAAAAACAAATAAAAGAAGATTTTGTTTTCTCACATATATAGATGAAGAGCCAGTAACGAAATTGTTAGACAGCAGATTATTATCAAATTGGTTCTGGGAAGTGTTAAATCAAAGTTGCACAACCCAAAGAGATATAGAAGCTGCAACACCAAAACAAAAAGGAAGAACAGGTGCTGCAACCAGTGAATGAGGGGGCCCTAGGGGGTCGTGACCAAGGTCAAGGCATAATTGGAATCAATGATCTAGTGACTACTATGATCGCGGATATGGGAATTACAATAGTGCCTATGGTGGTGATCAAAACTGTAGTGGCTATGGCAGATATGATCATGCTGGGTATAACTATAGGAACCATGACTATGCACAGGTGTATGCAGACTATAGTGGCCAAGAGAGCACTTATGGCAAGGCATCTCCAGGGGGTCGCAATCACCAAAACAATCACCAGCCATACTAAAGGAGGACATTGGAGAAAACAGGAGATGATGCTAAAATAACCCATCTTGCAGGATGACATTGAAGACTGGTCTTTTGTTGATCTAAGATGATTATTTTGTAAAAGACTTTCTAGTGTACAAGACACAATTGTGTCTAACTGTATATAGCTGCCAATTCATGTTCTTTGTTTTTACTTTGTCCTTTGCTATCTGTTATGACTCAATGTGGATTTGTGTTTATACACATTTTATTTGTATGATTTTATATTAAACCTCAAATAAATGCTTCCTTATGTGATTATTTTTCTGTGTCAGGTACCACATGGCTCCATAAAAATATAATTTTAAATAAGCAATAATTAAGGCACAGTTTGTTGTGCGGAGAGAATTGATCCATAGGGAGAAACTGTGGTCCTTTATAAATAGCCAGCCACAGTGACACCCTGTTTCCCAATATGTAGATATATTCCATGCTCTTAAGGCTTCATCTGTCTGTTACCTGAAGTTTCCACCACATCTTTGGATGATGTTTTTCCCCTCTGGATATCTGAAGACACTGTCCTGAGACAAAGTCACAGTGTTGTGATCACTGGAAGCTTTCTAGTAGACCATGTGTCCTCTGGATTGTAACATAATGATTATTAGTAACTCCTTTTGCTTTGTTCTTGTCTCTGGAAAGCCATCTTTGAATTGCTAATTACTTCTTTGACTTTAGAGCTAATCAGTGGTCTGCTAGAAAAAGCTTTACATGCAATTATAATCATAACACCATGATGTTAATTCTCTTAGTAAAAATCCAAATAAATATAGAAAAGAACACTGTAAAACTGTGGTAGGAACTATAGTTTAAAGTAGTGAAAGTAATTATAACACAAGGAATTTCACAGATAGGTATGAGATTATCCATTAAAGTTTGATCAAAAGTTCAATTAAAATTTGAAGTAGTGGCAGAATAACTGATTTAGTTATATTCTGTTAGTGTTATGTCACAGCCATCACAACACTGAACAAAATATTTTCTATTTGGGCATTCTGAGGAAGCTGTATTACAGTTAACTGCAAATGCCGTGTGAGTTTAGAAAAAGTCATGATAGTAAATATCATTTTAATGTAGTTAGTGAATAAACTTGAGTAGGTAAGCATTTGCATATTCAGATGTAGGAAGGAATAGTGCAAAAGGTAAGTCTTAGATATGTTAATGTTGATCCAAGTGTTCCTGACTCCTGTCATTACAGTATATTTTCCTGGTTCATTGAAAAGAAATAATTTCATATCTAGGTTTTAGAGGACCTAGGTAAACACAAACTTTGAATTTGGCATTCAGTGTAGTTAATTGGATTTAAGGATGTTTGTCTCCAGGTTAACTACTGGGATTGGCACATGTGTCCGCATGCAGAGTAGTTAATCTTGTGCAACCAATTTAAGTTTTTTATGCTTATGAACCTGCCTTTTAAAAAAATTTGGTGCCTGTAACTTTATTTGTTCCAGTGATATTTGCACTTGTTGTGCTATAAAGTTACAATGCTCTTGTCCGTTTTTCCTTCTGTTTTTCTATTACACCTTACACCTAGGATAAGTACCAATGTTGGCTATTGCAAAGGATTCTGCTTATTCTTTTAACATGCAACTTTAGGGACTAGAAGGCAGTTCATTTTGTGTTGTCAGTAGGCACAGTGTCTAGGTAGTGAATCCTGTAAGTTCAAACGTATAATTAAGTGAAAAGTTGACCTTGAGATTGTCCTTTTCTCTGACCAAAAATGAATAAAGGCTTTTGAAATAAATAAAAATAATAAAGAAATAATAATTTGACCTCACAGTGAGAGTTTATCTAAAATTGGCTATACTATAATTTCAATAAAATATAAGCCTCATTTTAAAAGGCCATAAATAGTCATTCAGAACAGATGAAATGATAATGCACATTAGGCAACAATTCATAAAGTGTTTAACAAATTTTCATTTATGACTTATTATGTTCATGATTCTATAAAAATAAATGGAAACCACTGAGTAATTCATCCACTTATCCATTCAAAAATATTTATGTAGGGCCTAGTGCTGAGGACATGGATCTTATTTTCACTGGGGGACAAAGTGGCAGTGACATAACCAGTTTTATACAATTATAAACAAAGTATGTATTTAAAGGGAAAAAAGGGCTTTCTTGAAGAGGTGGCAAAGCTGAATCTATAGATATTATAAATAGGAGTTAACCTGGAGCAGAGTGTGATTTAAAGGTAGGAAAGGATATTTCAAACAGAATTGCATATGCTGAGATACTATGGCAAGGAGGAAAGAGGGAACCAGGTATGGTGGCTCATACCTATAATCCCAACACTTTAGGGGGCTGAGGCAGGAGGATTACTTGAGCTCAGGAGTTCGAGACCAGCCTGGGCAACATGGCGAGACCCCATCTCTAAAAAAAACACAAAAATTAGGTGGGTGTGGTAGCACATGCCTATAATCTCAGCTACCTGGGAGGCCTTAGGTAGGAAGACAGCTTGAGCTGAAGAGGTCGAGGCTACAGTTAGCCATCATCACACCACTGCACTCTAGCCTGGGTGGCAGGGTAAGACTTTACTGAAAAAAAAGAAGGAAGTGGGGCATTTTCCAAAAACTGAAAGAAGCCAGTTGGTTGGGGAACACAGTCAAGATCATTGCGGTAGAGAAGAAGCAGGAGAGGCAGACAATGGCCAAAACACAGAGAGTCTTTTAGGCTTTATTTAGGATTAGAGTCTTTATCCTAAAATCAATAAGAATCTATGGAGGAGACTTAAGGAAGGGGCTGACATGCTCAGATCTGATCTTTGGAAGGTCACTTTATTCTGGGGTATTGAGAGCAGATTTGGGTGGAGGATTAGAGGAGATACACAGAGGCCACTTAGGAGACTGTTACAGTAGATCAGATGAAAGATGATATGTAGCTTAAACTAATTCAGTGGCAATGATGAGAAGTAAATGGGGTCAAAAGACTTAAGAGGTAAAACTACAGAACTTGCTGATGGAGAGAATATACAAGGTGGTAGGGTCAGGGATTGCACGGAATAAGAAAAAGGAAACTGTCCAAGATCTGATCCTCATTTCTTAACAGCACAACTAGATGGGATGGAGGAATAATTCGTTGAAATATGAAACATTGGAAGAGGGCCAGATTTGGAGGCAGGTGTCAGGGAAGGTGAGAAGATAGCAATTTCATTAACTTGACTTTGAGTTGCCTTAGAGATGTCAAAGCAGGCAGGAGGGTTTAGAGCATGTAAGAGAGGGCTAGGCTGGAAATAGAAGTTTGAAACCACAATGAGATACCATCTCACACCAGTTAGAATGGTGATCATTAAAAAGTCAGGAAACAACAGGTGCTGGAGAGGATGTAGAGAAATAGGAACACTTTTACACTGTTGGTGGGACTTTAAACTAGTTCAACCATTGCGGAAGACAGTGTGGCGATTCCTCAAGGATCTAGAACTAGAAATACCATTTGACCCAGGCTTCCCATTACTGAGCATATACCCAAAGGATTATAAATCATTCTACTATAAAGACACATGCACACATATGTTTATTGCAGCACTATTCACAATAGCAAAGACTTGGAACCAACCCAAATGTCCATCAATGATAGACTGGATTAAGAAAATGTGGCACATATACACCATGGAATACTATGCAGCCATAAAAAAGGATGAGTTCATGTCCTTTGTAGGGACATGGATGAAGCTGGAAACCATCATTCTCAGCAAACTATCACAAGGACGGGAAACCAAACACAGCATGTTCTCACTCATATGTGGGAATTGAACAACGAGAACACTTGGACACAGGGTGGGGAACATCACACAGTGGGGCCTGTCGTGGGGTGGGGGCAGGGGGGAGGGATAGCATTAGGAGATATACCTAATGTACATGACGAGTTAATGGGTGCAGCACACCAACATGGCACATGTATACTTACGTAACAAACCTGCACATTGAGCACATGTACCCTATAACTTAAAGTATAATAATAATAAAAAAATAAGTTTGAAAGTCCTTGGTGATCTTTAATGTCATAGGTAAGATTTCCTAGAAAGAGCATGAATAGATAGATAGATAGATAGATAGATAGATAGATAGATAGATAGGAATACTTAGAACTAAGCCTTGAGAAATTCCAAGATATAATGTTAAGGTAAAGGATGATGAGCTAAAAAGGAATCTTAAAAGCAATGGCAAGAGAGAAAGGAGAAAAATCAGATTAGTATGATATTCTAGGAACTAGTGGAAGAGAACCTTTCAAGAAAGAAGGAGCCAATAACATCCAATGCGTAAGTGCATACATAAACAAAAATGTAAATTGTTAAAAGGTTTTTCTGAGGGATTAAGGTAGTAATAATAAAATTAAGAATACAAACCAGACATCTGCTTCTGGCTATAATGGAGTATCAAAGACCAGGCTTACCCTTCCACTGTAACCAACTAGAAAACTGGACAAAATATATAAAACCCATGTTTTCACAAATTGGATAACAGGCAAAACATGTCTGTGATCACTGAAGAAAATGAAACAAGTTGGGTGGGACTCATGATTGCCATGGCTTTCTGACTGGAGGTATACTTCAGGCCATACAACAGGGAGAGCATTCTCAGCATTAGTAGCCTTCAGTAATCAGAGATCAGCAGTCAGGGAAGTGAAGGCATCTGGAAGTTGTGAAGCAGAGTTATAAAAAAGAGGGAGCTATGCATAAAATCAGTTCATAAATCTGCATGTGGCTCTTCTTGAGTCTTTGCTGAATACTGAGAGGTGTGTGCGGAGACGAAAGTAGTACAAATCCCAACAAAAATGGAACAGGAAGATAAAAGGCGAGCAGTTATTCGAGTTCACACAGGGATGAAGATGTTTGACCTCTTACTAGTTAAGGTGGAAAGTCTTTGTAAATCACCCCAATCATTCACAGTAGGGACCTCAGGAGCCTTAGGAGGAAAACTGAAATTTGTTAGAGTAAAGGCAACTCCACACACATTCTACCAAAGCTTAAAAACAAGCCTCAACCTGATCCATGAGTCTTAGCAGCCTGCCAAAACAAGGCCAAAAACTAATTTTTTTAAAAAAGACAGACAAATCAGGCATTCAACAATATTAACATTTACAACATCCTGTATCCACTCAAAAAGCACTCAAAGCACCAGGAATCAGACAAAAAAGTTGATCAATGAACAAAATAAAAATCCGTAAATAGTGATGGGTACAAATATACAATTAAACAGAAGAAATAAGACCTGGTATTCTACAGATCAGTAGCGTGACTACAGTTAATATTAATTTATTGCACATTTTGAAATAGCTTGGAGAGAATAATTCAAATGTTCATAACATAAAGATAAATATTTAAGGTGATGTATATTCCAGTTACCCTGATTTGATTATATGAATGTATCAAATTATCACATGTACCCTGAAAAATATGTATCTATTATGTATGAATTTTAAAAAGCACAAAAAATCCAGTAAATAAAACAGAGAAATGGCAAAAATGATAGAATTAGTATGAAAGAACTTGAAAATAGATCAAATAAGTGTTATGAGTATGCTCCAGGGCTTAAAAGAAAACATAAACATAATAAAAAATGAAAGAGACAAATAAAATTTCTAGAGCTGAAAAAATATAATATGTAAAATGAAAATGTCATTGGATGGAATTAATAGCAGATTAGATCTGCAGAAGAAAAAAATCAATGAACTTAAAGACACAACAATAGAAATTATCTAAAATGAAACACAGAGAGAAAAAAGACCAAAAAATTAACAGAACCTCAATGATATATCAGATAATACCAAGAATACTAATATACATGTAAGTGGAATGCTAGAAGAAAGGAGAGGGAATGAGGAAAAAAATAATTTAAAAAATAAAAGTCAAAATGTTTTCAAATCTGAAAAAAAAGATAAAATCACAGATTGAAGAATACCAATGAACCACAAACCAGGAATTACAAGCCTTAATAAAACCATTCAAAGGCATTTAATAATCAAATTGTTAAAAAAAACTGTCATAAAAAAATCTTAAAAACTTCTAGTGATGGGGTCGAGAAGGGAGACATTCTATATAGAAAAACACAGAGAAGAATGATCACAGACTTCACAGATAAGAATGATCACTGTAAGAAACTATACAAGTCAAAAAAAATGACAGAACATCTGTAAAGTGCTATAAAAAAGGTGTTTTTTAAAAAAAAAAAAACCTGTCAATTTATAATCCTACACACGCTGTGAAATATCTTTGAAGAATAAAGACAAAACAAAAAATTTTTCAGGAAAACAAAAGAGAAGAGATTTTTAGCTGCCCAACAAGGATTATTAAAGAAAGACCTGCACCCTAAGAATTATTAAAGAAAGGCCAAGCACAGTGGCTCATGCCTATAACCCCAGCACTTTAGGTAGGTCAAGGCAGGCAGATCACTTGAGGTCAGGGGTTTGAAACCAGCCTGGCCAACATGGTGAAACACTTCCTACTAAAAATACAAAAAATTAGCTGGGTGTGATGGTGTGTGCCTGTAATCGCAGCTATTTGTGTGGCTGAGGCACAAGGATAGCTTGAACCTGGGAGATGGAGGTTGCATGAGTCAAGATTGTGCCACTGCACTCCAGCCTGGGCAACAGAGCAAGAAAAAAAAAATGATACCAGATGGAAAAAATATGTAGCACTGTTTACCACACATATACATGAAAAATAAATTTTAACAATGGCAAAGTACAGAATAAGAAAAATGAAAATATCTTGTGTTAAGGGTTTTATATAATGAATAAGCTGATAAAACATAATTTAAGATATACTGTACTGAGCTAACCTATAAATTCTAGAGGAACCACTAAAAATTATAACTAATAATATCATAGTACAGATAAAGTAGAATAAAACATAATCAAAAGGGAGCAGAAAAAGGCAAAGAAAATTAAAAAAAAGATGATGAAAATAAAAAAAAACAGCAGGATGGTAGGCTTACATCCAACCATAGTTATAAGTATATTAAAGGTAAATGACATAAATACTATAATTAAAAGGCAGAGATTGTCAAACATGATAAAAACAAGACAAACAATATGGTATTTACAAAAAGCCCACTTTAAATACAAACAAAAGTATGGGTAAAAAATACAAGAATGGCAAAAGATATACCACAAAAATACTAAATATACTATAAACAACTTTATGCCACAAAATTCAACAATGTAGATGTAATGTCCAAATTCCTAAATGACACAAATAGCCAAAAATAACTCCAGAAGAACAGAAAATCTGAATTCCTTACATCTATTAACTCAATTTCCTTATTAACAACTCCCTCAAAGAGAAAATTCCAGATGTACACTATTTGACTGGCAAATTTTATCAATCTTCTGAGGAATAAATAATATCAATCCAATACAAACTCTTTCAGAAATTAAAGGAGAAAAGAACACACCCCAAGTCTTTTCAAAATGTTGGTATCTGCCTGATACCAAAGCCAAAAAAATAAATTACAGGAAAAGAGACCAGGCGTAATGGCTCAAGTCTGTAATCCCAGCACTTTGGGAGGCCAAGGTGGGCAGATCACCTGAGGTTAGGAGTTCGACACCAGCCTGGCCAACATGGTGAACATGTGTATGATGTGATGCCTCAAATCATACACAAAAATTAACATAGGTAAAATTATAGGTTGGGTGCAATGGCTCACACCTGTAATCCCAGCATCTTGGGAGGCCAAGGTGGGTGGACTGCTTCAGCTCAGGAGTATGAGACCAGCATGAAAAACATGGCAAAACCTCATCTCTACAAAAAAAAAAAAAAAAAATATATATATATATATATATGACTTGGGTGTCATGGCCCACACCTGTAGTCCCAGCAACTCAGGAGGTAGAGGCAGGAGGATTGTTCAGGCCTAGGAAGTCAAGGCCACAGTGAGCTGAAATCAAACCACTGTACTATAGCCGGGGCAACAGAGTAAGTCCTTGACTCAAATATATATATATATATAAAACAAAAGCACAAATAAAAGAAAAACAATACAGTGGACTTTATCAAAATTAAAACTTTTGTCATAAAGACACTGTTCAGAAACTCAAGTTGCAAACAAAATACTAGGAGAAAATATCTATGATACATATATCTGACAAAGCACTTGTATCAAAATATGCAATGAATTTTTAAAATCTCAATAGTAAGACAAACAACCTAATTTTAGAAAGGGTAGGTCTGCAGAGGGAGGTTCCAAGATGGCCGAATAGGAACAGCTCCAGTCTACAGCTCCCAGCATGAGCAACGCAGAATATAGGTGATTTCTGCATTTCCAACTGAGGTACCAGATTCATCTCACTGCGGCTTGTCAGACAGTGGGTGCAGCACACCAAGTGTGAGCTGAAGCATGGTGGTGCATCGCCTCACCCAGGAAGTGCAAGAGTGGGGGAATTCTCTTTCCTAGCCAAAGGAAGCTGTGACAGACGGTACCTGGAAAATCAGGACACTCACATCCTAATACTGCGCTTTTCCAAGGGTCTTAGCAAATGGCACACCAGGAGATTATATCCTGTGCCTGGCTCAGAGGGTCCCACGCCCATGGAGCCTCGCTCACTGCTAGCACAGCAATCTGAGATCGAACCGCAAGGCGGCAGCGAGGCTGGGGGAGGGGCGTCCGCCATTGCTGAGGCTTGAGTAGGTAAAAACGGCTGGAAAGCTCCAATTGGGTGAAGCCCACCGCAGATCAAGGAGGCCTGCCTGCCTCTGTAGACTCCACCTCTGGGGGCACAGCCTATCTGAGCAAAAGGCAGCAGAAACTTCTACAAACTTAAACGTCCCTGTCTGACAGCTATGAAGAGAGTAGTGGTTCTCCCAGCACGCAGCTTGAGATCTGAGAACAGACAGACTGCCTCCTCAAGTGGGTCCCTGATCCCTGAGTAGCCTAACTGGGAGGTACCTCCCAGTAGGGGCCATATGACACCTGATACAGCCAGGTGCCCCTCTGAGACGAAGTGTCCAGAAGAAGGATCAGGCAGCAACATTTGTCATTCTGCAATATATGCTGTTCTGCAGCCTCCACTGGTGATACCCAAGCAAACAGGGTCTGGAGTGGACCTCCAGCAAACTCCAACAGACCTGCAGCTGAGGGTCCTGACTGTTAGAAAGGAAAACTAACAAACAGAAAGGACATCCACACCAAAACACCAACTGTATGTCACCATCATAGAAGACCAAAGGTAGATAAAACCACAAAGATGGGGTAACCAGAGCAGAAAAGCTGAAAATATTAAAAATCAGAGTGCCTCTTCTCCTCCAAAGGAATGCAGCTCCTCACCAGCAACAGAACAAAGCTGGACGGAGAATGAATTTGACGAGTTCAGAGAAGAACGAATCAGACGATCGGTAATAACAAACTTCTCTGAGCTAAAGGAGGATGTTTGAACCCACTGCAAAGAAGCTAAAAACCTTGAAAAAAGATGAGACGAATGGCTAACTAGAATAAACAGTGCAGAGAGGACCTTAAATGACCTGATGGAGCTGAAAACCATGGCATGAGAACTACTTGACACATGCACAAGCTTTAGTAGCCAATTTGATCAAGTGCAAGAAAGGGTATCAGTGATTGAAGATCAAATGAATGAAATGAAGCGAGAAGAGAAGTTTACAGACAAAAGAGTAAAAAGAAATGAACAAAGCCTCCAAGAAATATGGGACTATGTGAAAAGACCAAATCTATGTCTGATTGGTGTACCTGAAAGTGACGGGGAGAATGGAACCAAGTTGGAAAACACTCTGCAGGATGTTATCCAGGAGAACTTCCCCAATCTAGCAAGGCAGGCCAACATTCAAATTCAGGAAATACAGAGAATGCCACAAAGATACTCCTCGAGAAGAGCAACTCCAAGACACATAATTGTCAGATTCACCAAGGTGGAAATGAAGGAAAAAATGTTAAAGACAGCCAGAGAGAAAGGTTGGGTTACCCACAAAGGGAAGCCCATCAGACTAATAGCAGATCTCTCGGCAGAAACTCTCCAAGCCAGAAGAGAGTGGGGGCCAATACTCCACATTCTTAAAGAAAAGAATTTTCAACCCAGAATTTCATATCCAGCCAAACTAAGCTTCATAAGTGAAGGAGAAATAAAATACTTTACAGACAAGCAAATACTGAGAGATTTTGCCACCACCAGTCCTGCCTTACAAGAGCTCCTGAAGGAAGCAATAAACATGGAAAGCAACAACTGGTACTGGCCACTGCAAAAACATGACAAATTGTAAAGACCATCAATGCTAGGAAGAAACTGTATAAACTAACAAGCAAAATAACCAGCTAACATCATAATGACAGGATCAAATTCAAACAAACAATATTAACTTTAAATGTAAACAGGCTAAATGCTCCAATTAAAAGACACAGACTGGCAAATTGGATAAAGAGTCAAGACCCATCAGTGTGCTGTATTCAGGAGACCCATCTCACGTGCACAGACAAACATAAGCTCAAAATAAAGGGATGGAGGAAGATCTACCAAGAAAATAGAAAACAAAAAAAAGCAGGGGTTGCAATCCTAGTCTCTGATAAAACAGACTTTGAACCGACAAAGATCAAAAGAGACAAAGAAGGCCAATACATAATGGTAAAGGGATCAATTCAACAAGAAGAGCTAACTATCCTAAATATATATGCACCCAATACAGGAGCACCCAGATTCATAAAGCAAGTTCTTAGAGACCTACAAAGAGACTTAGACCCCCACACAATAATAATGGGAGACTTTAACACCCCACTGTCAACATCAGACAGATCAATGAGACAGAAAGTTAACAAGGATACCCAGGAATTGAACTCAACTCTGCACCAGGCAGACATAATAGACATCCACAGAACTCTCCACCCCAAATCATCAGAATATACATTCTTCTCAGCACCCCATCACACTTATTCCAAAATTGACCACATAGTTGGAAGTAAAGCACTCCTCAGCAAACGTCAAAGAACAGAAATTATAACAAACTGTCTCTCGGACCACAGTGCAATCAAACTAGAACTTAGGATTAAGAAACTCACTCAAAACCACACAACTACATGGAAACTGAACAACCTACTCCTGAATGACTACTGGGTACCTAACGAAATAAGGCAGAAATAAAGATGTTCTTTGAAACCAATGAGAACAAAGACACAACATACCAGAATCTCTGGGACACATTAAAAGCAGTGTGTAGAGGGAAATTTATAGCACTAAATGCCCACAAGAGAAAGCAGGAAAGATCTAAAATGGACACCCTAACATCACAACTAAAAGAACTAGTGAAGCAAGAGCAAACACATTCAAAAGCTAGCAGAAGGCAAGAAATAACCAGGATCAGAGCAGAACGGAAGGAGATAGAGACATGAAAAATCCTTCAAAAAAATCAATGAATCCAGGAGCTAGTTTGTTGAAAAGACCAACAAAATTGATAGACCGCTAGCAAGACTAATAAAAAGAAAAGAGAGAAGAATCAAATAGACACAATAAAAAATGATAAAGGGGATATCACCACTGATCCCACAGAAATACAAACTACCATCAGAGAATGCTATAAACACCTCTACGGAAATAAACTAGAAAATCTAGAAGAAATGGATAAATTCCTCGACACATACACCCTCTCAAGACTAAACCAGGAAGAAGTTGAATCTCTGAATAAACAAATAACAGGCTCTGAAATTGAGGCAATAATTAATAGCTTACAAACCAAAAAAAGTCCAGGACCAGATGGATTCACAGACAAATTCTAGCAGAGGTAGAATGAGGAGCTGGTACCATTCCTTCTGAAACTATTCCAAATAATAGAAAAAGAGGGAATCCTCCCTAACTCATTTTATGAGGCCAGCATCATCCTGATACCAAAGCCTGGCAGAGACACAACCAAAAAAGAGAATTTTAGACCAATATCCCTGATGAACATTGATGCAAAAATCCTCAATAAAATACCGGTAAACCGAATCCAGCAGCACATCAAAAAGCTTATCCACCATGATCAAGTGGGCTTCATCCCTGGGATACAAGGCTGGTTCAACATACGCAAATCAATAAATGTAATACCTCACATAAACAGAACCAAAGACAAAAACCACATGATTATCTCAGTAGATGCAGAAAAGGCCTTTGACAAAATTCAACAGCGCTTCATGCTGAAAACTCTTAATAAATTAGGTATTGATGGGACATATCTCAAAATAATAAGAACTATCTATGACAAACCCACAGCCAATATCATACTGAATGGGCAAAAACTGGAAGCATTCCCTTTGAAAACTGGCACAAGACAGGGATGCCCTCTCTCACCCCTCCTATTCAACATAGTGTTGGAAGTGCTGACCAGGGCAATCAGGCAGGAGAAGGAAATAAAGGGTATTCAATTAGGAAAAGAGGAAGTCAAATTGTCCCTGTTTGCAGATGACATAATTGTATATCTAGAAAACCCCATCGTCTCAGCCCAAAATCTCCTTAAGCTGATAAGCAACTTCAGCAAAGTCTCAGGATACAAAATCAATGTGCAAAAAGCACAAGCATTCTTATGTACCAATAACAGACAGAGAGCCAAATTATGAGTGAATTCCCATTCACAACTGCTTCAAAGAGAATAAAATACCTAGGAATCCAACTTACAAGGGACGTGAAGGACCTCTTCAAGGAGAACTACAAACCACTGCTCAATGAAATAAAAGAGGATACAAACAAATGGAAGAACATTCCATGCCCATGGGTAGGAAGAATCAATATCGTGAAAATGGCCATATTGCCCAAGGTAATTTATAGATTCAATGCCATCCCCATCAAGCTACCAATGACTTTCTTCACAGAATTGGAAAAAACTACGTTAAAGTTCATGTGGAACCAAAAAAGAGCCCGCGTTGCCAAGACAATCCTAAGCCAAAAGAACAAAGCTGGAGGCATCATGTTACCTGACTTCAAACTATACTACAAGGCCTCAGTAACCAAAATAGCATGGTACTGGTACCAAAACCGAGATATAGACCAATGGAACAGAACAGAGCCCTCAGAAATAATGCCGCATATCTACAACCATCTGATCTTTGACAAACCTGACAAAAACAAGAAATGGGGAAATGATTCCCTATTTAATAAATGGTGCTGCAAAAACTGGCTAGCCATATGTAGAAAGCTGAAACTGGATCCCTTCCTTACACCTTACACAAAAATTAATTCAAGATGGATTAAAGACTTGAAGGTTAGACCTAAAACCATAAAAACCCTAGAAGAAAACCTAGGCAATACCATTCAGGACATAGGCATGGGCAAGGACTTCATGTCCAAAACACCAAAAGCAATGGCAACAAAAGCCAAAATTGACAAATGGGATCTAATTAAACTAAAGAGCTTCTGCACAGCAAAAGAAACTACCATCAGAGTGAACAGGCAACCTACAGAATGGGAGAAAATTTTTGCAATCTACTCATCTGACGAAGGGCTAATATCCAGAATCTACAATGAACTCCAACAAATTTACAAGAAAAAAACGAACAACCCCATCAAAAAGTGGGCGAAGGATATGAACAGACACTTCTCAAAAGAAGACATTTATGCAGCCAACAGACACATGAAAAAATGCTCATCATCACTGGCCATCAGAGAAATGCAAATCAAAACCACAATGAGATACCATCTCATACTAGTTAGAATGGTGATCATTAAAAAGTGAGGTAACAACAGGTGTTGGAGAGGATGTGGAGAAATAGGAACACTTTTACACTGTTGGTGGGACTGTAAACTAGTTCAACCATTGTGGAAGTCAGTGTGGCGATTCCTCAGGGATCTAGAACTAGAAATACCATTTGACCCAGCCATCCCATTACTGGGTATATACCCAAAGGTTCATAAATCATGCTGCTATAAAGACACATGCACGTGTATGTTTATTGTGGCACTATTCACAATAGCAAAGGCTTGGTACCAACCCAAATGTCCAAGAATGATAGACTGGATTAAGAAAATGTGGCACATATACACCATGGAATACTATGCAGCCATAAAAAAGGATGAGTTCATGTCCTTTGTAGGGACATGGATGAAGCTGGAAACCATCATTCTCAGGAAACTATTGCAGGGACAGGAAACCAAACACCGCATGTTCTCACTCATATGTGGGAATTGAACAATCAGAACACTTGGACACAGGGTGGGGAACGTCACACACCGAGGCCTGTCGTGGGGTGGCGGCAGGGGGGAGAGATAGCATTAGGAGATATACCTAATGTAAATGATGAGTTAATGGGTTCAGCATACCAACGTGGCACATGTATACATATGTAACAAACCTGTACGTTGTGCACATGTACCCTGGAAGTTAAAGTATAAAAAGAAAAAAAAAGATGTCTGGATAGTTACATGACATTAGCCATGTATATATGCTGGCAACATGATATCCAAAAAAGAAAGGGTAGACTATTTGATCATATGCTTCACAATAGAAGATATAGTAATGCTCAATAAGCATATTAAAAAATGTTCAACATCCTTAGTCATCAGGAAAATGTAAATTTAAACTACAATAAGATGCCACTACACACACATTACAGCGGATAACATTTATTATTATTACTTTACTTTTTTATACAAGGTATTTCTCTGTTGTGCAGGCTGGAGTGCAGTGGTGCAATTATGGCTCAATGTAGCCTCCACCTCCTGGGATGAAGCATCTTCCTATCTTACCTCCTGAGTAGCTAGGACTACAGGCATGTTCCATCACACCCAGATATTTTTTTTTTTTACTATTACTTTTAGTAGAGATGAGGTCTCACTATGTTGCCCTGGCTGGTCTTGAACATCTGGGCTCAAGAGATCTTCCTGCCTCAGCCTCCAAAGGTGCTGAGATTACAGGTGTGAGGCACAGCACCCAGCCTAAAATTTAAATGTTGATAATATCAAGTGTTGACAAGAATGTGGAATAACTGAAACATTATAGATTGCTGTCAGGAGTGTAAAATGGTGTAGCCATTTTGGAAAACTGTTTGGCAGTTTCTTAACTGTTAAATAGTTAAACATA
Source organism: Homo sapiens (assembly GCF_000001405.40). NCBI lineage: Eukaryota > Metazoa > Chordata > Mammalia > Primates > Hominidae > Homo > Homo sapiens. Next base: position 158,440,313 of record NC_000002.12, read on the forward strand.
AACTTATTTTGGGACCCAGCAATATCAAGCGAAACAATGTACACCTCCAAAAAAACTGTACATAAATATACATACATTACTCATAATAACCAAAAACTGAAACAACTCAAATGCCCATCAACAGGTAGATGAATAAAGAAATAAATACATGCACAATAGTCCCCCGTTATTCTCAGGAGATGCATTCAAGACCCCCAGTGGATACCTGAAACCTCGAATAGTACCATAACCTATATACGCTGTTTTTTCTTATACTTATGTACCTATGATAAAGTTTAATTTATAAATTAGGCACAGTAAAAGATTAACAAAATAACCAATAATAAAATAGAATGTTTATAGCAACGTACTATAATAAAATTATGTAAATGTGGTCTCTCTTTCAAAATATCTTAATTTTTTGGCAGGTAACTGAAACTACAGAAAGTAAAATCACGAATTAGTGGGAGACTACTGTAATGGAATACTACTCAGCAATAAAAAGGAATGAACTAATGTTGAACAAACTGAATGACTACTAGTATACTCCAGACTGTTCATGTATTTTTGTCTGATAGCTGTTCAATAGCCTATTAAAAAGAAAATGAGCCAGGCATAGTGGTGCACACCTGTAAGTAGCAGCTACTTGGGAGGCTGAGTCAGGAGCATTGCTTGACAGGCGTTCAAGGCTGTAGTATACACTGATCACACCTGTAAATAGCCACTGCACTCCAGCCTGGGTGACACAGTGAGACCCTGTCTCTTAAAAAAAGAAAAAAGAAAGGAAAAGTACCATACTTGACAATGACAATTACCCCCTATATAGGCTATATAAACAAATAGACCAGCAATTCCAGGGAAAGATAGCTTGAAAGAGAATCTGCACTACTATTATAATACTGGGGTGAGTGGATCACGCTACAGTCCCAGGTTTGGACAAACTAGAGAGATTTCAACATCTCTTCTTCTGAGTCTTTGGAAAAATGGAATTTTTATTTCTAGGGCTGCCAATTTACCAAAATGAACTATGAAACCCTAAATGAAAAATATGCAAGATAGAAAATCAAGATTTCTGAATGAATCGTATTTAAAATAATATTTTCTAACTAAATATCACACCAAAAATTTTAAAGTAAATCAGAAATATCTAATTAAAAGTTTACAAAATAAGTACAGAATGTAGTTGACTTATACATACAGAAAAGTCTAATGATTTCTGACATGACCATGCAATATGTGATTGTTTTCCTCTTAACATATTTGAGATAAAAAATATGCTGAGGATGTTTTATTAAAAGGCCAAATTCTTTGCTATGTGACATCCTATGGCTCAGGAATTTTAATTCTTTCTTTTGTTGACATATTCTTTTTGAGCTTCAAATACAGTATTTATGATCTGAAAAAGTACATGTACTTATTAGCCTTTTGTCAATATTGTTTAGTATTATTTTACTTCTGCCTTAGAAGAGAGGAAAAGTGAAATACTCATTGATTTATCCAGATTTAATATTAATATCTTCCATGTTCATCAAGAATGTGCAATATTATTTTCTAAGTACCATTGAATTTTAACTTTTTACCAGCAAAAATCTTTTTATGTGCCTTCTTTTCATATGACATATTTGTTATGCTCACTCTACCAAAGATTTGGCATAATGGTACTTCTTAATCAAAATGGATAAATACCCTCTTATTTAAAAAACCTACATACTTCAATATTGAGGTGGAAAAATATGTTTTACACCCAAACTAGAATCTTGTTATTAGATTTGGCTGCCTTTTTCTTATAAAAAGACCTGCTGTATTTAAAAAATTTGCTTTGATAGACAATAGAAAAAGAGCTCTGTTATAAAAAACAAAGGCTTTTTAAAGGTAGTATTGAAAATAAATAATTGGCTTTTGTTCATCAGAGGCTAAATCTATTTTGCGGTTTGAAAGAGCTAAGAACAGATTGCTTCCCTCAGATTCTTAGCAAAGAAATGTTTTTGTCAATTAATATTCTTTGCTAAGAACAGTTTTTCCAGTGCTGTTTTTCAACTGGAATAATATTATAAATAGGCCTGTCGAAAGGACAATTCTTGGGCTTTTTTCTAAGATCTTAAGGTCTTAGAGCATAATAATTATGGTATGCCAGTTCAGAAGCATGGTAGAAAACAAAAAATCACGTTTCAAACAGGAAATGTACTGGGAGAAAAAGTTGCCATAGGTAGCCATTCTTTCAAATTAAATGAAAGGAACATCACCCACAAATTATGCCAGTCTTCCTCTTCTCATCAGGCTTTTGCCCAACATTTGCATCCCAGGATGATAGCAGGAAAAGAGCAGGAAGCAAGGAATTGAGTGCCATTGCAAAAGGCCCAGAACTATAAGAACACAGCATTCCACTCATGCAGTGTTGTTCCCCTGCTTCAGCTTTATCCTCTCTTCCAGCCTGCGCTGAAGTCACTACCACTTTATGAGAGTCAATAGCAATTACTATGTGCCAGACACTATTCTAAGAGTCTTAGCTCTTTTAACTCATTAAATACTCACAACAATGTTTGAGTAACACTGTTCTTCCCATTTTGCAGATGGAGAAGCTGTGGTTTGAGATCATCCAGCTGCTGAGTGGAGAGACCAGATGCAAACCCAGGCAGTCTGGCTCCAACGCCTGCAAAGGTTTCCATTCTACCCTCTCTCAGTAAAGGGAGATGACTACAGGTAGTGGCTCCTCAACAGGCATAGAAGAAGATCAGTCATAGTTTTTGTTTGTTTGTTTGTTTGTTTGTTTTTTAATAAACAGCTGCTCCCTTGTTAAGGTAGGGGTAAGGTCCTAGAGTTAGGGACAGGAAGGCAAGATATAAGTAGGAGTAAAGGGGAAAGGCATATCTTGAACAAAAAAAAACAAACAAAAAAAAGTCACTCAGGCACAGTGGCTTACACCTGTAATGTCAGCACTTTGGGAGTCGGGGTGGGAGGATCTCTTGGGAGTCCAGGGTGGGAGGATTCTGGCCAGAAGTTTGATACCAACCTGGGCAATATAGTGAGACCTCATCTCTACAAATAACAATAATGATAACAAAAATGATCAAGTGTAGTGGCCTGTGCCTGTGGTCCCAGCTACTTAGCAGGCTGAGATGGCGGGATCATTTGAGCCTGGGAGATCAAGGCTGCGGTCAGCCATGATGGTGCCACTGCACTCCAGCCTGGGCGACAGAGCAAGTCTATCTCAAAAAAAAAAAAAAAAAAAAAAGAAAAGGAAAAAAAGTGAAGGCAGGAGAAAAGTCTATTCAAACATAGGTTCTGGAAAACTGAAAACCAACAAGGGGATGAAAATAGACTTAAGGGCTATAGCAATGTGATAAACATATTTGGGAAATTTCTTTCAAAATAAAAAAAATCAAAATATAGACTGAGATCATGTAGTATTTCATTTTATGTGGAAATTAACCTAGGCCCAGGGAATATTTCTGCCCAGCTGAGTCATTTTACAGACCAGTGAACACAGGGCCATAGAGATTGAATGCCCTGCCCAAGACTTGAGGAAGCAGGCAGGACAGGCAAGGCTACAAGCCAGCCACACCTCCTGACTTTGAGATCAGTGCTCTTCCACCAACTATATTAAACACAATTTATCAGCTTTTAAAACACAGAAGCCATAGTCAATAGGTTGCAATTCAATTTTAGGAACATAAAAAATAATTACAGTGTACCCATATCGAAGGTTAAATACAAAATACGTCAGGCTATCACTTTCTCAATAGCCAAATAATATTTTAGAGTAATAGTCAGATAAAGTAGTCATTTTTAAATATGAGGAGGAGAATTCTTGGCATAACTGCACATTTTTTTCTTCTAATATTTTATCCATATAACATTTTCAAAATTTACATTATTCTAGACTTGGAAAATTTAGTCACATGCATACACACACATATATATATACAGCAAACATGGTGAAATGACTGAATCTTATTAATTTCTTCTTCTCTATAAGGGAAATCAAAAGGTTGAATAGAAAGGGATTTAAGCTGAGAGTTATTGGGCCAGTATTAATACTGATTTATAATCTCTAAGATTCCTCTAGTCCTAAAATTCTATAATTTTAGAAAGCTCATAATTGAAAAAAACATTGGATTAAAATATTAAATTTAAGTATTTGACTAATGAGATTATGACATACCAACTAAAGAAAATTATTTCTAGTGGTTTCAAAAAAGGGAGAAAATGCTGGGTGCAGTGGCTCATGCCTGCAATCCCAGCACTTTGGGAGGCTGAGGTAGGAGGATTGCTTGAGCCCAGGAGCTCAAGACCAGCCTGAGCAACATAGGGAGACCTCATCTCTATAAAAAATAAACAAAATTGGCCAGGCATGGTGGCACATGCCTGTGGTCCCAGCCACTCAGGAGGGCTGAGGCAGGAGGATCACTTGAGCTGGGGAGAGGTTTAGACCGCAGGGAGCTGAGATTTAGCCACTGCACTCCAGCCTGGGTGACAGAGCGAGACCCTGTCTTGAAAAAAAAAAAAAAAAAAAAAAAAAGATTTACAAGAAGTTGATAAAATGCTGGTGATTATGCTATCTATGGGATTAGAAATTATGTTAGTTAATAAAGAAATTTTTACTAATCTTAACAAATAGAAAGAAGGGGGGAAACAAAAAGTTAATGTAAAGTAGAAATAAGGAGTTCTTTCCTGATATAAACTCTTAGATACAGAAGCCTTCCGTGTTTATGCACACTAGCACAGGAACACTAGCATACTTATACAAAAAGTTCAGAAGCTTATACAGTTCACACTTTTTTTAAGTTTAAAGGTTAATAATGTTTGTGAGAAATGGAGAAGTACATTAAACCTCATTTTCACAGATGTGAGAAAGAGACAATAAAAAAAAAGTGACTTTTCCAAGGCCCAACAGTAAATCATTAAATGCCTATGATTTTAAAAATCAAGTTTTCAATTGACCATAAAAATGAATTAATTCTGTGTGGGCAGATATTTTTCTTTTATCAAATTCTCTACATTATAGGAATTTCCTTTTATTTTTTCCTATTGTGTTTTTCTTATTTATGTCCTACTTTTACATCATTTAGAAGTGTCCAAAGGCTACTCCTCTCAATACCACTGGAGATTTCATTGACCTTTCTCAGTCTGAATCACAATAATGATCACTGTCTCTGATAATCACCGTGTCTGAGATTCAAATTTATTGGAGCTAAATGATTTAAGTGATGTTTAAGACAAAGAAAAAAGCAAAAGAACAAGATTAAAATATAGTCTTTCAAAGACTTACTTCCAGTAATTGGGGTAGACAGAAGAGAAAAAACTAAAACGACAACAAAATACACAAATGGCAGGGAAAGAATAAACATTTTATCTAAAGATATTCTACTAAAACGTTGAAGTCTCATTCACACATCTCTGTAAATAACACTTTTGAGGATATATTTCCAAATGTATTTATTTTACATTCTTTAAGTGTAATCTTGTTCTAAATTATGTATATTATAAAATATAAATATAGAAAATCTATAAGTACAAGAAAAAATATAGTATGGACATATGTAGTATAGACAATTCGAATAAATGTTAGTGAAAATTATGTGATGGACTATGCTTCACTACTTGAAAATCTTGGTTTAATGGTTGGTCATAGAAGAATTCAAACTCTAAGGACAGTTCACCCCCATACTTGGCTTTAATGAATATAGTCATTAAAATAGACACTGGAAAAAATATGGAAGAAGTACAAAATAGGCTTTATGTAATCAACTATGATACTCAAATTTCAATTCCAGGGCCGGGGGCTATGGCTTACATCTGTAATCCCAACACTTTGGGAGGCCAAAATGGGAGGATCATTTGAGGCTAGGGGTTTAAGACCAGTCTGGGCAACATAGTGAGACCCCATCTCTACAAAAAAACTACAATGTAAAAATTAGCCAGGCATGGTGGCCCATGCCTGTAGTCCCAGCTACTCAGGAGGCTGAGGCAGGATTGCTTGACCCCAGGAGTTTGAGGCTGCAGTGAACTATGGTCACACCACAGCACTCTAGCTATCTGACAGGGCAAGAACTTGTCTCAAAAAAAAAAAGAATCAATTCCATCCACCAATTATGCAAAGATTGTAATTTAGTCTTTTTCTCTAGTAAATTTCTGGCTTCTCTGAGGTCAACTAGTTTTCCTCACAAAGTTTTTTTTTAATGTTTAACAGCTGGGTTCTGAGCCACTGAAATGCCATTAGGAATATTTTTAATCATGTTAGAAAATGTTTTCAAATTTATTAAGTGTTCATATAAGGGAGTTTTAAGATGTGTTTATGCCATTATTTTTAAAGTTTTTTATTTATAATAGCTTTATTGGGGTCTAATTTACAATTCATAAAATATACCCATTAGAACTGTATTATTTTTAATAAATGTATTGTTGTGGAACCATTACCACTATCCACTTTTAGGACATTAACATCACCAGAAAACATTCAGTCATAACCACTTGTATTAAATCCTCCCATCCCAGTCTAAGGTAATCACTGATCTGTCTTCTATCTCCATATTTTTTCCCTTTTTGGGAGTTTCATATAAATGGTATCATACAAATGAGGCCTCTTGTCTGGCTTTTTCTCTCTTGGCATAATATTTTGGAGGTTTATCCATATTGTACCATGTATCAGTAGTTCATTATTTTTAGAGATGAATAGTATTCGAGTATGCCATGTTTTGTTTTGTCAATCATCAGGTGATATTTAGATTATTTCCAATGTTTTGCTATTATTAACAATATTGCTACTGTTCATGTAAAAGTCTGTGTGGACATACATATTTATTTCTATTGAAGTAAGATTGCTGGGTCATATGGTATAAGTTTATATTTATATATATGACTTATTCTTTTTTAAAGAGAATAGGCCTCTCTACATTGCATAGACGGGCGTGCAGTGGTATCGATATGTGCAATCCCACTACTGATCAGCACAGGAGTTTTGACCTGCCCTGTTTCCAACCTGAGCTGCTTCACCTCTCCTGAGGCAACGTGGTGGTCCCTTCTTCCCAGGAAGTCACCATATTGATGCATAACAGTACAGACACCTGATCAGCATAGTGCACTATAGCCCAGAACTCCTGAACTCCAGGGATCCTCCTGCCTCAGCCATCTGAGAAGCTGGGTCTACATGCATGCAACATTGTGTCTGGCTATGTTTATGTTTTCAATAAGTTGCTAAATGACTCCAAAAAGTGTGTATACCATTACACATTTAGCAATTTATGAGAGTTGCAGTTTTTTCACATCTTTGTCATCACTGTGTATTGTCAATTTTTGGTTTATAACCATTTTACTGGTAGTGTACTGGTATCGTATTGTGGTTGTAATTTGCATTTCCCTAATATGTTGAACATCTTTTCATGTGCTTATTAATCATTTGTATACCTTTTTGGTGAAATCTCTATTAAAACATTTTATTTTTAATTGAATTGCTTATCTTATTTTTCACATTTAGCATGCTTTATATATTCTAGATACAAGTACTTTATCAGATATTTGACCTAGGAATTTTTTCACAGGCTGTTATTTGTCTTTTCACTTTCTTACCAGTATCTTTTGGAGGGCAAAACTTTTCATTTTTATAAAATGCAATTTATCAATTTCTTCTTTAATGGATCACAATTTTGGTATTGTATCTAAAGAAACCTTTCCAAAAGCAAGGTTGCAGAGATTTTCTACTGTTTTCAGATATAATTTTAGCTCTTACAGGTAGGTCTGTGATATATATAAATTTTTTTCTGTATGGTGTTTGGTAAGAATTTAAGTTCAGTATTTTGCATATGAATATGCAATTATTCCAGTAGTATTTCTTTAAAAAAAATCCCTTTCACTATTGCTCTGCCTTGTCATCTTTGCTGAAAACCAACTGATTGTAAATATATTAATTTCTGTACCTTCTATTTCATTGATCTAAGTGTCTATCATTATGCCAATATTACATCCTATTATTATAGCTTTATAAGTTTTGAAATTAGTATTGTAATAACTCTTACCTTTTTTTTACAAGATTGTTTTTGATATGTATTTCCATTTTATTTTTTTTTTATTTATTTTTGAGATGGGGTCTCATTCTGTTATCCAGGCTGGAGTTCAGTGGTGTGATCACAGCTCACTGCAGCCTTGACTTCCTGGGCTCCAGCCATCCTCCCACCTCAGACCCCTGAGGAGCTGGGACCACAGGTGTGAGCCACCATGCCTAATTTTTGTATTTTTGGTAGAGATAGGGTTTTGCCATGTTACCCAGGCTGGTCTTCAACTCCTGAGCTCAAGCAATCCACCCCGCTCGGCCTTCCAAAGTGCTGGGATCACAGGCATGAGCCACTGCACCCGGCCTGTATTTCCATTTTAAAATTGACTTCTCAATTCCTATAAAAATGCTTGCTAAGATATTGATAGAGATGACATTTAATCTATAGATTAGAGGTCTTATGCTTGTTTTCTAAAATTTATTCTTAAATATTGTCTTCTTTCTCATGTTATTATAAGTGGAATTGGGTTTTTGTTGTTGTTGTTGTTTTTGTTTGTTTGTTTTTCTGAGACGGAGTCTTGCTCTGTCACCCAGGCTGGAGTGCAGTGGCGCAATCTCAGCTCACTGCAACCTCCGCCTCCCAAGTTCAAGCAATCCTCCAGCCTCAGCCTCCTGAGTAGCTGGGATTGCAGGTGCCCGCCACCACATCTGGCTAATTTTTGTATTTTTAGTAGAGACAGCATTTCACCATGTTGGCCAGGCTGCTCTTGAACTTCTGACTTTGTGATTTGCCCACCTCAGCCTCCCAAAGTGCTGGGATTACAGGCATGAGCCACCGTGCCCGACCGGAACTGTTTTTTAAAATTCATTTTCAGATTCCTAGTTCCTAGCATATAAAAATACAACTGACTTCTATATATTGATCTTGTATTCTGTGACCTTGTTAAATTCATTTATTAGGTCCTAGTAGGATTTTTTATGTATAAGGTCAAGTAATCTGTAAATAAAGACAGCTTTAATTTTTCCTTTCCAATCAATATGACTTTTTCTTTCCTTGTTACACTAGCTAGAACCTCCAGTAAAATGGTGACTAGAAGAGATGAGAATGGACATCCTTATTTTATTCTCCCATCCAAGTACTAATGAGTTCTGTCCCTTCTTGCCCTCCTTGGTTTCTTTTTTTTTTTCCGAGACAGTCTCGCTCTGTCGCCCAGGCTGGAGTGCAGTGGTAGGATCTCGGCTCACTGCAGCCCCCACCTCCTGGGTTCAAGCAATTCTCCCTGCCTCAGCCTTTCGAGTAGCTGGCACTATAGGCACCCACCACCATGCCAAGCTAATTTTTGTATTTTTAGTAGAGATGCCATTTTGCCATGTTGGCCAGGCTGGTCTTGAACTCCTGACCTGAGGTGATCTGCCTGCCTTGGCCTCCCAAAGTGCTGGGATTATAGGCATGAGCCACCATGCTTGGCCCCTCCCTACTTTCTGAGATCAGACAGGTACGTTCAAAGTGGTATGGCCATATACTTTATTCTCAGATTTAGAAGGAAAGCATGGAGTCTTTCACCATAAATATGTTGTTATCTGTTGGTATTCATAGATGCACTTTATCACACCAACAAAGTTCCCTTCTATTCTTAGTATGTTGAGCATTTTACCGTGAATCGGTGTTGTATCTTGTCAATTGCTTTTTCTGGCACATATTGTCATCTTCATTTTTTTTTTTTTGTATTTTAAAAATTAACTACAGACAAATGTGGCAGTTCCTGACAAGATGATGTATTAGTAGGTACTGTTGTCTTGCTGTCCTGATCCAACCCCAGGGATGTACAGAAAACAACAATAAACAGTGGCCCAGGGATGTAAAGGGCCAGGCATCACGGCTGAAGGATAGAGTGGGGGCATATATTTTTTGAATGATTCATTTTCTCTCTGCTACTGCTTTAATAACCTTCTTTCTACCTCTACGAAGCAGACAAAGAGCTCTGAAGTTCAGGAAATAATGAGGTCATATTTTCTGAGGATTTATTTTAGAAGAACTTCAGATCTAGCATTTTACAACAGCCCTCTACTGTGGTGATCATTTGATGACCCAGTGTTAGCACTGAGTAAAGAGCTGCTTTCCAGCTGGAGATGATGGGTGACTTGCCAGGTGCCCTGCATCTGTCTGACAACCTTCTTTTACTTTGAGCTTTGCACAAAGCTGCTGGCTGTATGGGATCTGGCAGTAATTAGCACACTTCCAACATAGGTCCACTTACGGTAAGTGTCACCTTCATTTTGAAGAACAGTTTTGCTAGATATAGAATTCTTGACAGGTTTTTTCTTTCAGCATTTTGAATACGTCCTTTTACTATCCTCTAGTTTGTTTTGTTTCTAATGAGAGGTCAGCTGTTAATTTTACTGTGATTCCCTTGTGTAAAATGAGTTGTTATTTTCTTGCTGCCTCAAAATTTTCTTGTTATTTTTGTCTTTCAGCAGGCTAAGATGTATCTAGTTGTGCCTCTCTTTATGTTTATTCTATTTGGTGTTTGCTGAGTGTCTTTGATGTGTGGATTAAGATTTTAAACAGATTGGGGAAGTTTTAGGACATTGCTTCTTCAAATATTTTTTCTATACCCTTCTATCCCTCCTTTCCTCCTGGGGCTCCCAGCATAAATTGGTATACTTCGATTCTGTCCCACAAGTCCCAGCAGCTTTGTTCATTTTTCTTCAATCTTTCTCCTATTCTTTAGGTTGGATAGTTTCTATTAGTCTGTCTTCAAGTTCACTGATTTCTTGTTCTGCCATCACAAATTTGCTATGGAACCCATACAGCAGATTTTTAAATTGTTATATTTTTCAACTCTAAAATTTTTCATTTCTTTTTCATAGTTTCTATTTCTCTATTTAGAGTCCATATTTGTTGAGTCATTTCATCTTTAAGTTTTAAAACATACTTATACTAGCTGTTTTGAATTAGTTGTATACTAAATCCAACAAGTGGGGTCACTTAGAGTATCTAATGGCTGATTATTTTCCTGAATTTCAGTCACACTTTCCTGTTTTTATGCAGGTCTCATAATTTTTGTTGATAATTCAGTATTTTAAATAAAATATAGTAGCAATTTTGGATGACATCTGATTTTCCTCCTGAGAAATTTTTAAATTGCTGGAACTTAAACATCAGAGTCTATTTCTCCTGCATTGTATAACTACTGATGTCTCTAATAAATTATTTTTATTTTCCAGCCTGATTCCTAAAATGTATAATAGAAATACAAGTTCCAATATTTTCTTCCCATACCAATGATGCGGCAAAATGATTCTACCCTGAAAAAACAATTATATCACTAATTTTCTCAAAGTTCTCTTATCTTCAACTTGAAAGGATGAGAACAGATTGTTGAGGAATAAAGGGCTTTGATATGGGAGAGTAGGGGATAGAGACACCGCACTAAAAAAAATTCTTTTGCCTAACTCAGGTTGGCAACAATTTGATACTAGATAGGTAATTCATTTTCTACTATTTACTTATTAAAAAAAACTTTAGGCTGTTACTCTTCATAGTTCATCAAGTCATAATATCTGTTTTCTTTTGTTGTAAAATATTTGCATAATTTGTAAATGAAGCCTTGGATGGCAAGGAACAGGGACTCACTAAAGGCAAACAAGGAAAAGAATGGAGTAGGGATGATCACAGGAAACAAAAATCTCACAAAACAAAAAGAAAATGAAGTTTATTTAAGTATGACCTTATGAGGAGAATAGTGTAAAGAAGGAAAAACACTTTTCCTCTATCCTCTTACCTTCAATGTCTGAGAATTAAACTGATAAAAGACAGACTGACAAGAGAAAAAACATTTAATTACATATGTACACAAAGCCTTCACAAATAAATGTGACTCAAGGAGGCAATTAGAATTTTTGACCTATACCATCGTAACAGAAGTGATTAAGTGTGAAGAGGCTACACAAAGGAAAGGGGGTATGGGGCTTCCTGTGGAGAACAGGGGTGAGGGGGGAAGTTAGGAAAGGTGCTAGGAAACGTATGATAAATAAGGGTTGTCTAGTAAGGTGTGTTATATGCATAAGCGTCCTCAAGAGATATTTCCAAGTAGATCCTTTCCTGGTAGTAGAGAGGCAGACAACTTTATAAATGGAAATTTATGGCCTACTCTTAGACAGAAAAGCAGGAGGGAAAAAGAGTTTTTCTTGTATCTGCTATTTCTCAATTGCTTTCAGCTCAAAATATTCCTTATGCCAAAATGGCACATTTTGGGGTAGGCATATTGTGGTCCCTTCAATAGGAACCCAGAAAACATCAGGACCAAGACAGCTGCTCTCTCTGGTTCTCTTGTTCTCTTAATTTCAAATTCCCTGGAAAATAATCTGATTGGCATCATTACCAGTTAGGGGTCAATGGTTAGGCAGTGGATTGGCTACATGGCTCAGGTCTCCCCACAGGGGCTGATGCCTTGCCAGGTGCATTGTTATGAGGTGTGCAGGGCTGCCTCCTTCAAGGGCTGTGGATATACGTACTAGGAAGCATTTCTATTACACATACCAGATGTTTGACACCATTCTGATTTTATGAAGTTGTTAAAATCTCATGACCCCACTGTTTTCCAAGAGACAGGACAACCTAGAAGTTTCACATACCAAAAAATGTAACCCTTAACTTGCTTAGCAAAGCTGAGTTTCAAAACCTCTATTCTGCTCTATCATACTTTATCTGATTTTTCCACATTGTACAGCTAATCCCAACTTTTCCTAATTCTCTCCCAACATCCTGATTCCAATTTTTTATTGTTCAAAGTCAAGTTCTTCCAAGAACTAAACAAAGGACTAATAAATATTGGCTTTTCTTAGTGTGGGAGGTGCTTCAGCAGTTTAAGGCAGTGAGGGACACAATCATGATCATGATGTGGATCCTATCCCTTAGGGGAAAAGGCTCACACAAAAATAACCACACCATTTGATATAGAGTGTCAAGGGTCACAATACAGTAAGGAAGAACTCACCCTCTCAAGAAGGGGGAAGGCCAGGAAACTTTCAGAAAGTTTTTACAGGTAATCATTAGGCAGAGCCATGGGAGGATTTGTATAATATATTCAGAGGATGGGGATGGGGTGGGGCTCAGCCAATCCTGAAACCACCAGAGCCACCTGAGCGGAACTATTATTAAGCCCTAGCAACCCTTCTCAGGCCCCGCTTATTCCATTACTCTCTTTCCCTCCTTTGCCACCCACCTCTGTTTTAACATTCCTCTTTAAAAAGAAAACCCCAAAATTATCAGTATTGGCGTACTTTTTGAAGATTTTATCTTCACCTCCCCCACTCCTCCATAGACACCCAGGTATGACAAGAGACTCAGTGCTCCTGCTTCCTCCTATTCCTTGCTGCCTCTGCTATGCTTCTTAGGGAATTTACCACTAATCTTTAGGGGATAATATGAAAAAAATAAACATTGGAAAGTTACAAAGTTTTCGTAATCTTAAAAGTTTCAGGTAGACTTCTTTCTGAGCTGGTAATTGAAAAGTTGTTTGGATTTCTGCTGTTTACTTTCGTTCTTGAGGGTGGAGTCACCAGACCTCCTAATATTCTAACCTTGCCCTGGGCCCCAGTGTCAGCCTGAGCACAGGCCCTCTCCCCACCCCTACTTTCCAGCACTTTTCCCAAGGTGGCCAGGCTAGCAGTTTAAATCATCCTCTTCTCAAGCCAGTCATTTGCATTTCTGTGGATCCTCAGGCTAGGTAACAGTGGTTTCATTCCTTCACTGGAAATCTGGAATTGGGCCATTCCAACTTGGAGGCAAAGGACATTTTTGTAGGAGAGAACTTAATTGGCAAAATAAGCTAGGATTTTGAGGACAAAGAGCACAATCTTCAAAATCATTTCAGTGGTATTCAAGGGCCAAAACATTGGCAACAAAGTAGAAACCTCAAGAAATTCCCTTCAGACAGTTTCTTGGTGAAAAGAAAGGCCAATAGATAGAGATGGTGGTAGGGTAGAAGGAAGGTGGTTTTACCAAAAGCCAGATATTTGGAAGGCTTAGGAAAAATCTTTGGAGGAGAGGGTGTAACACATCATGTAAGAGAGAAATTATAATCAATAGAGCAAAATCCTGGTAGAGAGAAGATGGCTCATGTTTAGGAGCATAAGTGGAGTATGAGCCTTGAAGAGAAATGTGGTCACCCTTCTCAGCCATGACTGAAGGAGGTGAAGATGTGTGAAAACTAGGACTGAGGTTTAAGAAAGTTAAGTTGAGGAACCTCATGGTGGATCCTTCAGTAGAGTACGAGGCAAGATCATTTGCAGAAGTGCAGGAAAACCACGTAAAGTGGGGGCTTCAGGAGAGCAGACATTGGACAGGTTTGGAAGTGGCCTGGATAATGTTCCTGGATAAGTGTTCCAGATAATCATCCTCCTGATGAGGAAAGGAACTGAGAATCAGTGAAGACACAGCCAAGTCTGAATAGCATGAACTTTTAGTGGAATGAAGTGATTCTTTAACCTTGTCTAGCAATGCTTAGTAGCGCAGGAGCAAGTTCAAAAGAAACCTTTCAACTAAATACAAAAATAAACAAAAAAATTAATGTTGAGTGGCAACTTATTTCAGGGGACATTATTCATGGTGGATTTCAGTAACATTTTAATTATGACAAACACGAAATCTACAATATCAAAATAGTCATCTGAGAAAAACACCCACACAAAAAGATTATTGGAGTAATAATCTTTTATTTTCTTCTTTCTATGCTAGCCTAAGGCAAGAGAAAAGACCCATTTTTTCTTTCCATTAGACACAACTTTCATTCATTTGATGTTATTGAAATTTAAAAGAAGCAAAATCATTGGTATCTTTTCATTAAACATGTGTCTCATATAACAATTTGTGGTTTACTTTTTCTGTTCTATAAACAAAAACACACATTAAAAAGCCGGAAGAAGTAAAAAACAGCCTATTTCCATGATGGCCAGCCATGGCACAGCACTTCCTGGCCCCTGCTGATCCCTTCTCAATTCTGAAAATATTTAGGGGGAACATACACACGTTCACCTGTTTTGTTCCACAGTCCTACCCTGTGTAGGACTGTCAACTGAGTTCACATTTTACTACAAATGTGGAGAGGTTTTTTTTTTTCCAATCAAGGCACCATATTAACATTTCTTAGGTTACATCTTTGTAATCTTCAATTATAGTAAGATAAAAACCAGTAGCAAAGCATATCACCCAACTTAAAATTCAGAACAATACTTAGACATATGCAGCTTGCACACACATTAACCTGTTTCTCCCAACAAAATATTTGTAATTTCCAAAATCCTATCAGCTTTTTCACACAATATGGTCCCTCCAATTTGAGGGGTAGTAACATAGTCTCCTTACTAAAGAGATTAGTCTAAAAAAAGTAAAATCGCCAAAAGAATGTAAGAATATCAGTGGCTATAGGCTAGAGCAATATCATCTTTTAAAGCCTAATATGTTCATGAAATCTCACTTTAAGAAGGTGATATCTAAACATAAAATTTATTGACAAAAAACAATTAGTATTGATAAACCACCACAAAATGATTTTAAATGAAAGTAGAAGACATTATTAAAGCTCAAGATTTTTGCGTGTACTGATTTCATGCCTCAGGTTATTTCCATATCAAATTTAAAGAGATACTGGAAAATAGAAAACAAAATCCATCAACTGTAATCCATTTCCCTTACTCTTTTGTGAAATCATCACAAGGTGTGAAGGATTGTTTCTGTTTCCTCTATCTTTAACAAGCCTGTAACCTCTCAAGTGAAAGAACATGCACCTGTCAAGCTCATAGTGCGGGATGTACACACAGATGTGTTTAATAAATATCTGCCCACAGGGAGATTAGAGGTTTGCTTTGAGAATCAGGGAACAGGCTAGCTCATGTGTTGACGCTTTGGCATCTATCATACAATCCGCCACCTCGTTCCCTTACCAAAATATCCTCAAAGGAAATCCTCTTTGAGTCTTTCAGAAGAGTTATGAGTTTGAGGACCCAAAACGTTGAGGAAAGATCCACCCCAGGGAAGGGGGAGTGGCTGCAGAGAACAAACATAAGTAGGATTTAGGTGGCTCAGTGACGTCAGGAGGAAGCAGCGATGGAAGGGATGGGGTGCAAACTCACCTGGAGAAGCAGAAGCTGCACACATGTCAAAGGTCAAAGGGCATAGCCTCAGGGACTCCCCAAACGCAGGAAAAGTGAAACGCCCACTCCTGGGCTCTCGCCGTCAGGGGTACATCTAAGGGCTCAGCTGTTCCTACCTTTGACGCCAGGGACAAACCCTACCAGGCACAGTTGGGATTGGCAGTAAGGCAAGGAAAGCCTGCCCCAGATTTCAGAGCCAGCGCTGGGGAATCTCCCTGTCCTCTCCGCCACCCCCTCCCGCGCCCGAGACCTGAGACACCTTCTCTCTCACACCCACCCTCTCCAGGCCCTCTCGCGCTGAACAGCATCGGTCTCTATGGCGACCTGAAACCGCAGCTCCCATTGGCCTGTTCAATATGAGGGCCGGGCCAATGGGGAGGGCCAGCCCTCTCCTTCCCGCCAATGGGGTGGCGGGAGCTGGCCCGGGGACGGCGGCGTGCTGACGTTCCCGGGAGCCCGGGGCTGGCCGGGCGGGAGGGCTGGCAGCGGGGCGGGCGGCGGCGGCGGCCTCTGGGCAGTAGAGGGGGCTCCGGGGCTGAGTCCGCGTCGACGCCGGCCGCGGAGGCGGCACCATGGGCAAGGGGTAGAGGGGCAAGTTGGCCACCGCCGCCGCCGGGGGTGGTGGGAGAGCCGCTCCGGGGGCGGGGGCCGGTGGGGGAGGGAGGGGCGGGCAGCCGCGCCGCCGCGGCACTTTTTTAATTTTTTCGGGTGCCGCAGCGGCGACCCCTCGGCGCCGATGTCCCTGATCCCTGGAGCGACGACGGCCGCTGCCTAAGCTGGAAAGTAAGTGTGTGGGCTCGCGGGAGGGCGCGGAGACTCCTGCCCACGAGACCCTCGGCCCTCGCCCCGAACACGCGCCAGGGCCAGGACCTGCGCGCCGGGGGCCGGGGGCCTCCCTCCCGCTGCCGCGTCCCCAGCGCCTCGCGGCCGCCGCGGCTTTCCTGCCCCGCCTCGTGTTCCTGCCCGCACTCGCCTGCTGCTCCCCTCCCCCCGGCAGGCGCACAAGTTTCACCCTCCATTTGCTTTTCCCGGCGATTCCTCTCCCCGGTCTCCCGTACGCGCAGCGCACGACCTCTGCCCACGCTGGGCTGTTCGGATTCAGAGCTCCCAGCCCCGAACTTGAGCGCCGCGCTGAGCCCTGCTGGACGCCCTCGCGGCGGCTTCCCCGCTGCCTGCCGCCGCGCGCCCCAAGTCGCCCTCGACACCACTGGGCGCCCGCCCTCCTCAGCACTCGGGGCCGGCTGTCTGTCCTTCTAGCCCCAGATCCTGCACCTTGGTCCCCTCCCCGTCTTCCCACGCCCCTGCTGCCCGCGCGGTCTTGCGTTTGTCCCCGAAGTCCTGTACTCCTTGCCGGTCCTGCCCACCCCTCTGCCTAGTGCGCCCCTCTCTACCGGCCGCGGATCCTCACGCTCCACCCCTCCCGGCTCCCCAGCGCCGAGCCTCGCCGCTGCCCTCCTGCGCCGCCGCTTCCTCCTCTCCCTGCCAGGAGTTGAAGCGGAGCTGCGGCACCTCCCTGGCGGATCTGGTATCCCCGCCCGCTGCCGAGGCTGCCGGCCCTCTCCCCTGGACCGCTACCCGGAGAGCGAGCGGCGGGGCCGGGATTTGGCTGCGTGTTGGCTGAGTGCGACACACCGCGAGCGCGGGCAGTGGAGGTGCCGCGGCGGCCGTGGCCGCTCGGGGCGCAGCGGTAGTCAGGTGTGTGTGTACAGCGGGGGACGCGCGCTGCCGGCTCCTGGGCTGGCGACAGATTGTGCAGGAATGCGAGGAATGCACCAGGGGCAGAGTCCACACAGCCCGCCGCGGCTGCCCTAGCGCCTTCCCTCCCCAGCTCTCGCCGCGCAGCCAGAGGTCACCGGAGCATCTTCGGAGCTGGTGAGCCTCATTCCACTCCTCTCCTCCCATAGCTTCCCTCCATGCGGCAGAGGGGAAGCGCGGTAATTCTTTGGGGCTCCAGCTAGCCTTTCGTCTGGGTTTTTGCTGCATTGGTCTTCAGGACCGTGAATTTGGGGCCGATGACTGTGTAGCCAAGGTTATTGATCATTGCACAGGGCTGTTGGCAAGTTTGGTGTGCAAGGTTTGGATAGTGCCTGGTTTTCACTAGGGTTTTCTGAAAACCAGCAGAAACAGGGGGCCTGAAGGTTGTTAGAGTAATGAGCTTGCAGCCAACATATTTTAGCTCTATCAAAAAATGCCTGTTAGTGCTCACGGGCATGTACTGCGAGAGAGATCTTGAATGCATCACTTTGGTATCCTAAGAAGTGTAATTTTTTTCCCTCGTCATACTGGGCTGTGTTTAGACCTCGTATAATACATAATGAATAGAAACAGAGAAGCACTGTTCGGTCAGCGATGGGACAGATAGAACTGTCTGGTACAGTTAAATTCGGGACGTGTCAGTTACCATTGAAAGTAACACGGGGACACCACAATCATGTATATTTCAAGATGTAATTTATTAGTGGAGGTCTCAGTTTTTTCTCTTTGTTACTGAGTTTGACTGAAAAAAAAAAATAAATGCTGCCCTACAAGTTTTAAAGAACGGTAATTATTTACGTGTAAAATCAATGATGGCTAGTATGCATTTTTGGTCAAATTTTGTTTTCCTTAATACGGGAGAGCAAAATTTTGACAGAAAATGGTTCGCTAGAATTGAGCTTAGATTCTTTTTATTTTTAAAGAGAAACTAGAAGAATGCTTCTCTTCTTGAATGCAGTATATTGCTGTAGGAGTATCTTCGTTTTGGTGCCTGTGAAACAGTTATGGAAAATGGCAACATGAAAACGAGAACAACTAATGTCTGAAATAAGTGTTTCTGGGTGTTGAAAAGCATCATATGTGTGTTTTTATTTGACACAATTTGCTTTGCAGGTTGCATTTATGATAAACCTCTTTGCACCTGGTTATTTTATGTCAGATTCAGTAAAATAATAAGTCAGTTGTCTGACCAATCAGCTTTCTTCCAACACCTACTTTGTGTAGATCATGGACATTGAAAACTATTAAATAGGAGCCTTTAGTTAAGGACTCAACAGAAAGGAAAAAAAATAGAAAAAAATATTTTGCACTCAGAAACGTTTATGTTTTGGTTGCTACGTTGTTTTTCAGCTATGTGCATAATCAGTGAATCTTCTAATTTAGAGGTTTAATTTGTGTCCAGTAACACTGTGGAGGATATTGGGAGGTGTTTGTAAATGCCAACAGGAAACTTTTATTATGTAACAGTATCATATTACAGCAGTGTTTAACCCATGCTTAACCCGTGCTTTTTTGACTTGATGTCAAGATTGGGAAGTAAAAGCAAATTTAGTTTCCCTGCCGCATTAGAAATTGAAAACCCTGTTCAGATGTATGGATCACACACACACACACACACACACGACACACACACACACGATTGGCTGTGCAGATAGTTTTGCCTGCTTCAGGTAAAGGTAACCTTTCAGTTAGAAATGCTTTCTATTTGTTACAGATATTCAAAGAGTGGAAGTTTTTCAACTAGTGATCCTACACAATTGAAAATAACCGAAATTGTATTTTGACCAAAGTGCATTCCCTCCCCACCCCCTACTATTATGTAAGGAGAGGGTGCTGCATCTGGTGTCTTATGTATTATACTGAAGAGTCTAAGTTGGGAAAGCTAAATATCCAATTATTTTAATTTTTACCTGTATTGTTTTTGGAGGGAGATAAGGGAGCAGAGTATTGATGGAAAACAAGGGAAGAAGAAACTAGGGGCAGCTAGTATTCAGCCAGAAAGTAAAATTATATACATTATTGCAGCAGTAATGCATTTATAAGCTGAATAAATCAAATCTAATTTTGTGACTAGTTCTGACATGATATGAATTTAAAGAAACTACTACCAAATTCAGTTTAATAAAAATTTTAGCATTTCTATGACCTTGAGTATTTGGATTAGGTTTAAATTAGAATCGCAGTTTTCTTCCTTTTCTTGTAAATAGGCAAAGTAAATTTAATGTAAAAATTTGAAACTCGCTTTAATTTTTGAAAATGCAATTATTGGCAATTTTTGACCTTAGTAATTTCCATGCTGTTACCCAGGGATCAATTTAAATAATATTCATACCCTGGATGATGCCAACCATCAGGTAAGTCTAGTCTCTTACCTGACTCTTTTGAAATATTAAGGTATTTTGAGAATGCTCTGTAATCTAATGTGTTTTTCTTTCTGTTTCAATTGAGCAGTAATTCCCTACCTTGCTTAATTCTAAAATGGACATCATATCTTCATTCTTAAATGGAAGGTAAAATAGAGGTTACTATAGGGTTATTTTAGGGCATAAATGCCTATGGTATTGTATGTCAGTTTGGGAAGTTTGCCTTCACGCCTTCAAGTGTACAGGGAGATAGTTACTCCTTCAATGTGTGAAATGATTCTGTAGTGCCCTTCCTGCACTGAAGGGGGAAGAAGAATCTGAAACATAACACCAGAGGACTAGGTATGTTTGGAGAATTAAATAACTATTTCACAGCCAGACAACACTACAGACAGCTGCAAATAGAGAAAAGAAGGAAAACTTTTAAGATACGTGGATGTAAGCTTTCATTCTTACATCAATGGAAGTGATGATAGCAGTCAGCAGGTCAGTTCGATGCTCAGTGATAAGAAATAACAGGGTTATTTCAAGGTAAGGTAATCAGGCTCTAAGTTGCCAAGAACAGTAATTCATGTACTTGCTGGTTTCAGTTCAGAAGTTGCATAACATTCAAATATTTCTTACCTTGTCACTTTAATAATTCAGTGGAATTATCTTAATTTAGTGTGCTATGTTACCATTACTAAATTGGGGATGTTACATGATGGTGATCTTCAATTAAACTTAGGAATGTTGCAGACATTTTCTTCATCATTGACCTGTTGTTTTTCCTTTTCATAATTCAGATTTGTTTGATATACCAATAAATGTTGGCTATATCACTGATCATTTTATTATTCATAGTCTTGATAACATTATAGTTTATTATGACTCATATATAATGATTCATTGCAGCTGATAAAATGTTGTTAGGGATTGTATTGTGAGATTTTATTACTACCAAATATATAAATTAAAATGTGGAAGTGTCTGAGTTATTGTAAGTCATGTGATTGCAAAGCATTTTTCCTGAATGGAATAATGCCTGGTGACTGGGTGGGTGCCAATCCAGGTAGCTAGATATAGAATAATACAGTCTTCACAAAATCCAGAACTCACAATATAGGGTAGGGAGGGAGGGGGCCAGGGGAAGCACCTTTCTTTGACATCTGAGGCATGTTTGACTTCTATAGTTTCCTCTCCACTAAATATAAATTGGGTGAGTTGCAAATATTTAATGGTGTTAGTACTGCTCTTCCTTCATCTGTGCCCCTACACTGCCCCCACCACCCTGCCACAACACACACACACTATGCCATCACCACATCTGTGAGCTTGGCAAGGCAGAGGAAGCTCCTTATGGCCTGAGACCATGTACATAAAATGTAGACATTGGTGTCCTGTATTCCAGGTTGAATTTAAAACAGGTATGGGGTTTGACACAAAAATGATACTGTATATGAAGGTTAGGTAAAATATGTATTTGAAGTGAGGCTATCAGGGTACTATGCAGGCTTTTGGGGCCTGGCCCGAAACTTGGAATGCAGTTTTTCATAGAAACCCACAATCAGTTTACAAATAGACTTTTGAAACACTGGCTAGGTGGTATCTGAAGTTTTGGCCCATTGCAAGCTGTGTCTGAATTGCAAGCATGAGGGAAGTAAAAAGCATCCCAAATCAGAAATTAGGAGATCTGCCATTAAACCTTATTACCTTGACAAACCATTTAATGTTTGGATGATAGCTTCCTCCTTTTAAAAATACAATTTGGATTATATTGATCTAAGTTATATTTTAGCTCAAGATTCCTGAAGTTCACAGTGGTTTTTAAAAATTTTTCTTAAGAAAAAAAAAAGAACAAAAAACTTTTCCAAGCTTGAATATACATAATCAGCCCTGTTTCCCCTTGTACCTCAAATCATGGCAACAAGGAAGTTGAATTTCTCTTTTGAGACTTTTGAACCTTCTTCACATTCATTTTTAATTGTTTTGTTTTAAAACAATATCATTTTGGGAAGTGAGGGGAAGGGATGAAGCACATGTTTTCAAAGTCTTGCTGTCTGCCTCTACCCTAGTCTGAGATTACATATGGTAGTTTTGGCCAGGGAAAGTGCTTGGGATTTCACCTTCATACTCAGTGAGGCTCATGAAGTGTCATTAAGGTAGTGAGGTGTCATGATTAGCAGCCTTACTGTCAGGGTCCAATTCTGGCACTGCAACTTGCTGGCTGTGTAACCTGGCAGATTGTATAATCTCTGTGGTCCTCGTTTTGCTCATCTGTAGGATGGAGTGATAAAAGTACCCACTTCATATGGTTGTTGGGGAGATTAAATGAATTAATACATGTAAAGTGCTTACAACAGGAGCTGGTTCAGAGCCAGCGCTTAATACATTGAAATAATTATTTTTACATTGTGGTGCTTTTATGATGGTTTCTGCAGCATTTACCAAATGCCAGGGAAATTATTGGCTTGCTTTCTGTGTGGGTTTTGTCAAAATGATTATGGATTTCAACAGGATATTTCAGAGAAGAAATAAACTGCTGAACAGAAACCATTGTGAGCTTGATAGTTTGCAGGACATTGTAGAAAAGAGAATCCAGCACAGTAATTAAGGGCCTTTTTAAGTAGGGAAGTTGTAGCTTCTTGCGGTAGGCAATACTTAGAGAGGCATTAACCACCGCTAGCCAACAAGTATAGGAGAATGTATACAATTATTGCGTTTGTAATCCCAGGTAGTAGTCATTTTATAAAATGTCTTTGCTAGTCAGTACATGAATAAAGCGTTAGAAAGTGTTCATCATTTAACACCATTTGCCCAAATGCAGCTTGTAAATTAACTCTTTAAGCTGGCTTTTCTGTCTGAAAGTGATCACAGTTGAAAAAAAAAAAAAAAAGGATATTTGAAATCAGCAGGAGACTCCCAAATCAAGAAAGGCTAGAAAAGAGGAAGGGGGTTTGGAATATACATGATATAAATCAACAGACAGTGGTTAAATAGATATCAAGAGGCTCTAGTTCTAGTCCTGGCTTTGCCACTATGCAGGTGTGTGTCCCATGAGCACATCATGTAACTCTCGTGGGCTTTAGTTTTCTTGTCTATAAAATGAGGGAGTTGGTCTAGATGCTCTCTAGAGTCCCTCTAGTACTTACATTTCGCAACTCTTAGAACATCAAGCCATTACATTTTTTCCTCAGCAAGAATATGCTGTCTTCCCAAGGATTTATGACAATTTACCCTCTGGGATAAGGAGGGAAAATTGAAGTTGTATACTTGAAATTCTCAGCTCCTGAAAATATGTGTCGCAGCCAGACAAACCTGTGACCCCTCTGTGGCTGAGTCAGTGGCTCCGTGTCTTGTGCGGTAGTGGTGAAGTGCTCCAGGAGTGAGGATCCCTGGGGCCCCTCGGGGCAGGAGCTGAGCAGTGAGCCTTTATGGAGCTGCACATCTGCAGTTTGTCACAGCCCTGACTTCTGGGACTTACTTGTCTACAACCAGTCCCCTGTGCACATTGGAGGCTTCACCTCTGATTGAGACTACATTTTTCAGAAGTTGGATAGAAACAAGAAAGGGGATTTAGCATGGTGGTTAGAAGGGACTAGTCTTGTTACAGTGAGAAAGATCCACTTCTTACTTGCTCAGATGGTTTGATTTGTCCTCAGAGAAGTTAAACAACTGACAGAGTTGCTCCTCTGAAAACATTTTGTATGAATACTTTAGGTTCATAGGGAACTCGTCAATCCATATCTCATAGAATAGAGGGACTTTTCATTCAAGTCTAATTTTTACATATAGACAATCTACCAGTGTTCAGAAATTGTGGCAGATTTCATGAGGAGAATTTTTTACTTGGATTTGTGCTCTTCTATAAAAAGTAATTTAAAAATTCAGTGATGAAAGTTTCTCCTAGACCCTGTTCTCTTCCTTTGTGGAGAAAAAAAATCCGTATAGAACTCTAGTATGTATTTATCTATAAAACAATTGTTTAAAAATATTGAGGTTAGCTCTTCCCCTTTGCTAATGCAATAAGCACATTATTTGCAAAGGGAAGCATTAATTATACTACTATTGTATGCAGTATTAAATGAATTGTCAATGTCACGATCAAAATAAACCCTTGAAGAACTGGCTGTTGTTCCCATACCTTCATGAGAATTGTAAACACTCATGTAAAATAGAAACCATTATTTACCACTTTGCAGTGAAATGGATCATGTGTTCTGACACCTGTACCCTGAGTTGAGTGGGAAACAGGGACTGTTTGATGAATTAAAGGTAACTTTATTCCTGTATACCACTAGGGGTGCAAGTGAGGGGACTGTAGACAATTAGTACTTTAGATATTTGTTGGAGTCCTGCTGTGTGTGCAGTATTGTGTTTCATTTTGCATACTTATTTAAAACGATACTACTTATTTGAAATGATTCATTTTAGTTCATTTTAACCAACATTTTTTAGTCCCCTACTCCATATCAGACTGATAGGCCTTATGGCCAAAAAGATGACTTCCTCCAGGGATACTTACTGTCTGTGTTAGATTCAGTAATGGGAGTCTCGGTCTTTAAGGAATCCATGATACATTTTTCAGTCTGGTTGGGAAAGATAAGACACATGAGGTAGAGAAGATTGTCCTAGAAATGTTGGTATATAAATAAGCATGTAACATTGTTTCATAAGTATTAAGGATGAGCTATAAAATAACTAGGTTGTAGCTCATACTTCTACTTGCTTAATTGTGTATTACATGATAAATTACCCGATTCTAGAGATATGCACTAACCACTCTCATTAGCTTTCTTTGGGAAAAGTCTGCACCAAAGATAAATAGTGATTTCAAAATAAGTTTTAATCATGAACTTGATTATTTTGGCTGTATCTCTTGAAACACTTTACCATATAGCCTATGTGAAATAATTAATCATAATGACAATACATGATTTATGAGAAACCATAATTTATGCTGTAAGACCTGCCATTTTATTACATTCTTATTTTTATTTTTCATGCAGCAGTATTTTCGTTTATTGTGTTTTGTGCTTTTCTTTTATTCTCTATGTAATTTGTGTGCCTTTATAAGCCCAAACTTGCTGTTGAAAATATTCCCTCCCATTGTTATGAATAAACAGAATGTTTCAAAATCTCTCGTGATGTATGCTAGAATAAATGGTCTCATTGAATCTTACTTTGAATCTCAGAATGATGCACTGATGGGAATTTTTCACTTACTGTCATTTTGTCGACAACTACATAAGCAGTAAGTCTGTTTAAAAAAGGCACTGACTAAGGAATCACAAAATCCAACTGGACTTCACAAGAACTATTAATACTATTAGTCTGAGACCTGTGATAAACAACTCAGATGTTAAAGGTCTAATTCAGACTGTCAACAGATGAAAAATAAGTGTCAGTCTGAAATCTTCGGATAGTATATCGGCAAGTGTCAGTCTTCCAAAATATTATTTAGAACTGTGAATATAATTTTTCACAGAAGCAACATTAATCCATAAATCTCCCGTCCTGTAGTGTAACTATAGTATATCAGTTCCATGGGAAAATAGTCCTGCTCTAAGCTACTCAACAGCAGGGACTTTATCTTTCTACAGGACTTAAATCTTGACCTCCAGTGGTTCTACATACCTTAAGTGAATGAATGAGTTTGAATTCTAGTTTTGAACACCTTCACCTGCTACTCTTGGATAATCGTGTCTGTTTGTGCCTAGTACCTATCCTCTGTCCTTTTGTAAACTGGTCTGAGACCCTGATACCATTTATCCTGCATGTTTCAAAGGAAAAAACTATTTAGACTTTAAAAAAATGCTTTTCTAATACAACTTGCTAGATAAATAATTCATTATACCAAATTCCTTAGTAAAGAAATTAACGGCTGGGTGCAGTGGCTCACACCTGTAATCCCAGCACTTTGGGAGGCTGAGGCAGGTGGATCACTTGAGATTAGGAGTTCAAGACCAGCCTGGACAACATGGTGAAACCCCATCTCTACTAAAAATACAAAAAAAAAAAAATTAGCCAGGCGTGGTGGCGGGCGCCTGTAGTCCCAGCTACTTGGGAGGCTGAGGTGAGAGAATCACGTGAACCCGTGAGGCAGAGGTTGCAGTGGGCAGAGATTGCACCACTGCACTCCAGCCTGGGTGACAGAGCGAAACTCCATTTCAAAAAGAAATTAATTAGAAGATTTTAAACAGATTGGTTCATATTCATTTTAAACTTAATTGCCTGGATTATAACCATAGTGAGATGAGTTTTCATAATGCTCTTTATCATACTACTAATAGGCACCAATCAAGCACCAAGACTAAGCTAAGCTTTGAAAGTGTGATATTGAGCAAACTTTCTGTATCTGTACCTTTTGTGAATCAGTAATATCTTTGTATACTCAGTTGAAGAGTTAAGACAGAAGTAGATATAATTTAAAGCACATGAAGTTTTTCAAAGGGGAAATGTTACAAAAATGCTAAGGGTTATTGGTACTATAAAATTACATAAATGTTAAGAGTAATGAAACAAAATTTCATAGCTTGTTTTGACCTAGTTGGTATAGTAAGTAAACCTTTGTTTGGTCTTAATATAGTAGATAGAAATATTCTTATACATTTTGGTTGTCCCTTTCCCAACCTCACATAATCACTGTAATAAAATTTACAGAAGGAAAGATCCTGTGTACCCTTTATATTGTTTTCCCCAGTGGTAACATCTTGAAAACTATATTACAATGTCACAACCAGGATATTAACATTGATGTAATCAAGATACACAACATTTCCATCACCACAACGCTCATCTCTCCTACTCTCATCGCCTCCTAAATCTCTGGCAACCATTCATTTTTCATTACAACTATAGTTTTGTCATTTTAAGAATGCTAGTGGCCTACACCTGTAGTTACAGCTACTGAGGAAGCTGAGGTGGGAGGATGACTTGAGCCTGGGAGGGCAAGACTGCAGTGAGCCATGATCTCACCACTGCACTCTATCCTGGGTGAGAGAGTGAGACCTTGTCAAAAAAAAAAAAAAATGTGGGCACGGTGGCTCGCTCCTGTAATCTAAGCACTGTCAGAGGCTAAGATATGAAGATTACTTGAGGCCAAGAGTTCAAGACCAGCCTGAGCAACATAGCCAGACGCTGTCTCTAAAAAAAATTTTAAAAATTAGCTGCGTGCGATGGCATGTGCCTGTAGTCTCAGGTAATTGGGAAGCTGAGGTAGAAGGATTGCTTGAGCCCAGGAGGTTGAGGCTACAGTGAGTTATGATAGTGCCACTGCACTCCAACCTGGGCAATAGAGTGAAACTCTATCTCCAAAAATAAAAAAATAAAAAAAGAATATTATATAAATAGATTTATAAAGTATGTGATTTGGGATATTTTTTCCCATTTTGCATAATTCTTTGGAGATTATTCCAGGTTGCTGCGTGTATCGATAGTCTGTTCTGTTTTATAGCCAAGTAATATTCCATAATATGGATGTACCATAGTTTGCTTAACCATTCACCTGTTGTTTCCAACTTATAGCTATTACAAATAGAGTTGCTATGAATATGTATGTACAGTTTAGCATAAGTATACTTTTCTCTGGGGGAAATGCCCAGGAATACAATTGCTGCATTGAATCATAATTTTTAAAACTTTCTTTCTACATTATGCACTGAATTATCTGAGACCTCAGTAATCCAGCCATCTTTATCAATGTGTTGGTGAATTAAAATAAAGAATTTTGTAAGGTAGATTTATAGCTTTGGTAAATTACAAAAACTTGTCTATAAAATCAAGTCTTTTATCTTTTGTTACTGTTTTACAAATAGTACTTCCCATAAGTTTACCTTATTTTTTAGGAAAACCCCATTGATTTTAAGTAGAATTCATGAAGTTGCTTTGTAGCTTGGCTTCAGGATTTGTTTGGTTTTGTTATATTTTTTTCTTTAGATAGCAGGCACATTTAATTTTCTATAACAAT
Organism: Homo sapiens; assembly: GCF_000001405.40. Classification (NCBI taxonomy): domain Eukaryota; kingdom Metazoa; phylum Chordata; class Mammalia; order Primates; family Hominidae; genus Homo; species Homo sapiens. The sequence goes on from NC_000002.12 coordinate 158,468,502, forward strand.
ATTATATTTTAAAATGTAATCATGAATGTTGGCTCTTTCAGAATTTCACTTATATATGATCATAGGTAATATTCTTGCAAAAAAATGTTGATAGTGCACCATGTTAACAGGCAAGGTGAGGATGTAAGATGAAGACAGTATTTTCCTATGTGATTGGAATTAATCCAGTCGTTAGGTTGAAGCCAGTAAGCATACCTGATACTTTAAAAGGTGAGGATTGTTTCATTCCTAGAAGAAAAGAAATTAGACATTTTCTTTTCTTCTTCTTCTTTTTTTTTTTTTTTTTTTGAGACAGGGTCTCACTCTGTCACCCAGGCTGGAGTGCAGTGGCGGTACTATTATAACTCACTGCAGCCTCAAATTCCTGAGCTCAAGGGACCCACTCGCATCAGCCTCCTGAGTACCTGGGACTACAGGCACATGCTACCATGCCCGACTAATTTTTTTGTTTTTGTTTTTTGTAGGGGCGATCTGGCCATGTTGCCTAGACTGGTCTCGAACTCCTGGCCACAAGCAATCCTCCTGCCTCAGCATCCCAAAGTGCTGGGATTACAGGCATGAACCACCATACCTAGCCAGAAAATACTTTTTTGTTGTTTTTTTTTTGAGATGGAGTCTTGCTCTATTGCCCAGGCTGGAGGGCAGTGGGGTGATCTCAGCTCACTGCAACCTCTGCCTCCTGGGTTCAAGCTATTCTCCTGTCTCAGCCCCCCGAGTAGCTGGGATTACAGGTGCACACCACCATGCCCAGCTAATTTTTGTGTTTTTAGTAGAGATGAGGTTTTGCCATGTTGGTCAGGCTGGTCTCGAACTCCTGACCTCAGGTGATCTGCCTGCTTTGGCCTCCCAAAGTGCTGAGATTACAGGCGTGAACCACCACACCCGGCCAGAAAAGACATTTTCTAAAGTGATTTTCTTATCCCCTCCTTCCCACCGTGCTTTTTGTGTGACTGTTGTACATACCTCTGCCAGAGAAATATGTTGAAATTGCATCTGGCTAAATGAAGTCTTCGTGATTGATACTTTGGTTAGTTTTTATTAATGTCTTTTCTACCTTGAAGGTCAAATCTTTATTTTCATAGTTTAAAATACCATCAGATTACTTAACAAGCTTTATACTTTGTTCAGTATTACTTTTATGTTCATTCTAATATTTTTATTATCAATACTTCAGTCTTCCAGAATCCTAGCTGAGAAGGTAAGTGTTGACTGTACAATCAGTCCTAAAATATAGCTATACAGTAACATTCATTTTTAATATGGTGCTTTTAAGGATTTGATCCATTTTCTGTATTTGAATGATATAACCTCAGCACTATTTACTTTCACAGAAATATGATCCTCCCAATAAGTTGTGTATTTCCTGAAGGTTTTTCTGTGATTACCTGTTATGTCCTTCTCTGCCTGGTGAGCCCTTGTTTTTCTTCTTCAGGGTCTAACTCAATGACCCCTCTTTAATGAAGCCTTCCCTGGCCCTTCGCTCTGCCCAACTCCAGATTTCAACCTTCCCACCTGTGCTTGTCATCACTTTGCACATAACTCTGCTTTGAACACTTGTCACATTGTGAATAGTTTCTGTGTCTGTTTCCTGGCTATTTGAGCTCTCAGCAGGTTAGAACTGTGTCATAGCCATCACTGTAATTCTCTCATGTAGCAGTATTCCTAACATATAGTAAGCAACGATGCTTTCTTTGAGTGAATGAATACTTAAATACTTTGTTTACAACCTTAGTTATCCCCTTCTCTTCTAACCTTCAGTGGCTCTCCATTGTTTACCCTGCTGGATCATATTCACATTCCCCAGCGACCTACCATATAAGGCCCGTTACAGTCAAACCTTAATTACTCTCCTTCCTGAACCCTCCACATCAGCAAGTCTAGTTTCTACTCATTGTTCTCTGTCTCCCTCCACTCTAGGTTCACATCTTCAAAGTCCTTCAAGACCTAGTTCAAATAGATACTGTAATAGTATCTAACTTTTTTGTGGTAGAAAGAAAGAAAGCGCAGAGATCCTACTCTGATGACAACAAGAACAAAAAACACAACACAATCTAATTCATTATTTTCTTCAACCCATCAGAGAGTTGAAATATCATAAACAACTAACCTGAAATCTAAGGAAGGAAAGGCATCTCCAAGGTTGGACTTGCTTACCTGGGACAGATGATGCTGGACACTAGTAAGAAGAACTGAGTTAAAAATGTTTAGCAAATTGCTAAGTGTTGAATGTGGGCAGGCAAGAGAATACAGAACCCCACAAGGCATCAGTCAGGTGGTGAATTCATACCCCTTGAGGGCTCTTCTACATGGACCTCCCCTGATGCTAATTTTAAAAAGATTGGCCAGAGTCCTGAGAAGGCCTCCCACTGAGTGCGGGGCTGGGGAGGGGAGCAGCAACCCGAGGATGGAAAGGCAGAAAACCCCAGTCTTCCTTAGGGCACTGGTGAAAACCATTGAGAATGAAAATTTCTGAGAGTATTGTTAAGCCATCCCAATTTAAAAACAGCATGCTTGCTACAAACACAGCTTCAATGCCCCTTCACCCCAGCCACCAAACTAGCTCCTCAGCAAACACTCTGCACCCACCATGAGCAGAGGAATCTCTCAGAGCCTTGGAGGTGAAGGAGAGAGAATGATGGCCCAAAACAAGGTTTTGGTTGAAAAAGTTTTAAGATAGAGTGGACTTAAGCGTGGTAATGGATGGAGTGAGGAAAGCCAAAGAATAGAATTAAAAGAAATCAGGGAGTAAGGAGGATAGGTTGTAAATCACATAGCATGAATTTTCTTCCAGAATGTTTCATCAGTGTAGATGCTTAGGCGTGCAAGTTTAATTTTTGTTTAAAATGGGGGAAAAACCCTACATGAATAGATTCCTGGATTAAATTTAGTATCAGATTTAATTTTTACAGTCAAGAACAATTAGATTGTCTGCTCGTATTTTCTGGATCATGAGATCTATTCACACTGAAATGTCTAACATTTTGCTCATTGTCAAAAAAAGCCTTCAAGTGCTGACATGAAGAATTGTGCTTTATTTCAAATTGTGCACATCACTGCAGTAGCAGAGGCTCATCACACATGAGAGAAGACATACTGGAAGTAAGATTCATCTCTTCTAGTTGATTTGACATAAGCAGTATCATCCAACTAAATATCAGTGAATGCCTGTTTTAATATTTCTCCAATCTTATTCATAGTTACAAAATCAGGACAATTTATTTCTTCTATTAAATGCCGTTTATTGAACTAAGCATTATTTCAAAGAAAAAAGAACTAGTCATTGAAAAGTAATTCCTTTTTTAGATACCTCATTAAACTTAACAATGGCATTTAAACACTTCTGATTATTGAAAAATTAAACATGCCTAAATTATTTGGTCTCATTCTACTCATAGCCAAAATTTAAATATAGCTTATCAAGTGGTTTCTGAAAGGTATAGAGTAAAAATGCATTCTTCCTCAGCTCTTTTTCTGTACCAAAAAGCGCTATCTAGGAAGCTTAGCACAGAACTGAAAGTGAATCAATAGGAAGATGTTGGTTAAAGAATATATAATTAGTTAGATTGAAAGAATGAGATCAAGGAATCTATTGCACAGCATGGTGAATATCGTTAATGATAATATATTTTTGAAATATGCTGAGAGTGGATGTTAGGGGTTCTCACCACAAAAATGACAGCTATGTTAAGTAATGCATTTGTTAATAAGCTGGATTTAACATTCCACATGTATGTATACTTCAACATCGTGCTGTACACAATAAATACATACAATTTTATCTTTTAGTTTCTAAAAAATTTAAAATGAATTTTAAAAAGTAGAATTAGGCCGGGCGTGGTGGCTCACGCCTGTAATCCCAACACTTTGGGAGGCCGAGGCGGGCAGATCATGAGGTCAGGAGATCGAGACCATCCTGGCTAACACGGTGAAACCCTGTCTCTACTAAAAAAATACAAAAAAAATTGGCCTAGGGCAGTGGCAGGCGCCTATAATCCCAGCTACTCGGGAGGCTGAGGCAGGAGAATGGTGGGAACCTGGGAGGTGGAGCTTGCAGTGAGCAGAGATCAAGCCACTGCACTCCAGCCTGGGACACAGAGCGAGGCTCCATCTCAAAAAAAAAAAAAAAAAAAAAGAATTAAAAACTATCTTCAGGCTGACCATATCAGTTTTTATGTCTTTTCAACCAAATTGGGTCAGATAGAGAAAAGGAAAAGATCTGCATACTCATTGCAACCTATGCTTTTCCTGTGAAGAAGCCAGTCATCTAATTTTTTAAAAGCAGTGAAAAAAAGGCTACAGACTATAGCATAGATTTATGTTAAATGTTACAAGCATGAAATGTTAAAATATATCCATTTACAACAGAGTAATGGGACAACGTACAGAATGGGAGAAAATATTTGCAAACTATGAATCTGACAAAGGTCTAATATCCAGCATCTATAAGGAACTTAAATTTACAAGAGAAAAACAACCCTATTTAAAAGTGGGCAAAGGACATGAACAGACACTTTTCAAAAAAGGACATCCATGTGGTCAACAAGCACGTAAAAAAAAGCTCAGTATCACTGATCATTAGACAAATGCAAATCAAAACCACAATGAGATACCATTTCACACCAGTCAGAATGACTGTTAGTAAAAAGTCAGTAAATAACAGATGCTGGTGAGGTTGCAGAAAAAAGAGAACACTTATATACGGTTGGTGAGAGTGTATGTTAGTTCAACCATTGTGGAAAGCAGTATGGTGATTCCTCAAAGAGCTGAAAGCAGAACTACCATTCGACCCAGCAATCCCACTACTGGGTATATACCCAGAGGAATATAAATCATTCTGCTATAAAGACACATGCACACAGATGTTCATTGCAGCACTATTCATAGTAACAAAGACATGGAATCAACCTAAATGCCCATCAGTGGCAGATTGGATAAAGAAAATGTGGTACATATACACCGTGCAATACTATGCAGCCATAAAAATAACAAGATCCGGTCTTTTGCAAGAACATGGATGGAGCTGGAGGCTATTATCCTCAGGAAACTAACTCAGGAACAGAAACCAAATACCATATATTCTCACTTATAAGTGGGAGCTAAATGATGAGAAGTCACAGACACAAAGAAGGAAACAACCCTTGGGTCTACTTGAGGGTAGAGGGTGGGAGGAGAGAGGGGGCGGAAAAGGTAACTCTGGGGTATTGGACTTAATTCCTGGGTGATGAAATAATATGTACAACATACCCCAGCGATATAAGTTTACCTACATAACCTTCACATGTACCCCTGAACCTAAAAGTTTAAAATACATATATATCCATTTAAAGCAATTCAGATTGTATCTTAGCTTATTTTTTGCTTTGAAGCTAGCTTATGAAATTTTAAAATCAGGTAAAATTTGTGTGGCTTGCAAGGTCAGCATTAAAAAACCTAAGGAAAGGGGAGGACTCTGATTTTTCACTGGTTATGAAGCAAGGTGATACTAAATGAATTATATTTATTATATGCATTACAGAATAAAATTTCTGTGTTTACTGGGTATTTTTTCATTTTAATTCCCAAAGTAAAACTACAACTCAAAGATGACCAGAACAATTGTTTTACTTCTTTCATCCTCATAGTCATTAACAAGTTTTAACAGAAGCTACTCGACGACAGATATTCTGCGTTTTACACGTTTGCTGCCCCTAGAGGTCTGAGCAAAGACAGAGGGAAGCTCCGAAAGTACAAGACTCTGGCTGACTTGAAGCTGCCACATAGGTGAAAACAATCGTGTCTTTCTGTAATCAGTAATGACATTTTGGGATCCCTGAGGCTCACTTGCTGTTAACGATATCACTTCTAAGACATTATAATACCAAAGCTATTAGAACCAAAAGATCTAGGCTGTGTTGATTACTGAACCCCTGCCCACTCCTAGCATTGGGCCTCAGAAATCAGTTATTGATGAGAATTCACAGAATTACATCGGAAGTGTCAAAGTTAAGCCCAATAAAAAATTTTTTAAAAAACCATGAGATTTTAAGTGAAGGCAAGAATAATTTGACAACTGCTTGTGCATAAAATGTTTTCCGTAATTCATTTTGGAAATGAAAATTTACTGCCTGTTTCCCATTTGCAATGGTTTTTCACCAGTGCCCTAAGGAAGACGGGTTTTTTGCCTTTCCCTCAGCAGTGTAAGGCTGTTCCATAGTAGAGATAGGAGAGGAGGATCCAGGCAGGATTTCTTGCCTCTCCCACACTAGCTGCTGCTCCCCTCCCCAGCCCCGCACTCAGTGGGAGGCCTTCTCAGGACTCTGGCCAATCTTTTTAAAATTAGCATCAGGGGAGGTCCATGTAGAAGAGCCCTCAAGAGGTATGAATTCACCACCTGACTGATGCCTTGTGGGGTTCTGTATTCTCTTGCCTGCCCACATTCAACATTTAGCAATTTGCTAAACATTTTTAACTCAGTTCTTTTTACTAGTGTCCAGCATCATCTGTCCCAGGTAAGCAAGTCCAACCTTGGAGATGCCTTTCCTTCCTTAGATTTCAGGCTAGTTAGTTATACTGAGATATCAGCTCTCTGATGGGTTAAAGAAAATCATGAATTAGCGATTGTGTTGTGTTTTTTGTTCTTGTTGTCACCAGGGTAAGATCTCTGCTCTTTCTACTAGAAGAAAAGTTAGATACTTTTATAGCTGTCTTAAGGAAGTTCACCTTTCCATTTGAAACGCCAAGGACCCCTGGTGCCACTTTTTAAATCTTTTTATTAGAGTTTTATTATTTTTTGATAACATATCTATATGCTGTTTCCTCACTAGATTGTGGACTTTAAAAGTCATGAAACTGATTCATTCTTTTTTTTTGTCTTCAGCACCCAGCACAGTACCTGGCATAGAGTAGGTGCCCAGTGTTTTAGACACAGAGGTTTGCATTTTAATCTCAGTAAGGGCATTTTTACTTTCTTATTGTTCTCAGTAGGTAGGAACAACCTGGCAGCAGATTCTGTCTGTGCTCTGTCCACATCCTGTGGCACTTGAAATGACCTGACAACTTTCTACTGCAATATTCTAGAATTTTTAGCCAGAAGACTTCTCTGCCACCTACCTGTGTTGGGGCAGGTAAGAAGTGCCAGTGGGTTATCCCTGCAGGAGCAACCCTCAGTCAGTAGCTCAGCATCTTCACCCCTTAGTTGGGATATCTTTGAGGTGTGTTCTTTGTAGTCTGGCAGAAGTGCCCAGTGGAAGTAAGACCCATTTGTTCACTGTGAAAACTGACTCAGTGCACCCCTTATGGACTTCCCTGCCCTATCTCCCATATCCACCTACCAGATAAACTACATGCACTGAAGTTCTTGTCTTGGGGTCTGATTCTGGAAGAATCACAACCCAATACAGACTGTTATGATTCACATAAATTTTCAGATATTTAGAATAGTTTTCTCTAATAGGGACAGTCCACAAAATCAAGGAGCCTTTTGAGGGCAATTATAGCTTTCATCAGATTTTCAAATAGTTCTTGTCTCTCCCTTCCTCTCATAGAATTCGTTTTCATTGCAATAAAGACAAAGAAACATCCTTATCTTTTTAACTTAGAATATTAAAGCAGCTATTTTCCTTTCAGAGGACCAGTACACTGAATCTTTTTAGATGCAATCAGGAAATCATTGGGGTGTGTTGTAGGTACACATGCGATTGTATCTTAGTAACTGAATTTCAAAAATAGGATTTTACTTTTATATTCATGTTATTGGTTTTCATCCACATGTACAGCGAAAAATGTGCTGGGATGTCATATGATTCCTTTCCTGCACTTTTGAATTGGGGGCTCATCCTCTGATGATTTTTAAGTTTTATTTTATTTTTTTAGAGACCAGTCTCACTCTTGCCCAGCCCGGAGTGCAGTGGTGTGAGTATAGCTCACTGCAACCTTGACCTCCTGGGTTCAAGTGATCATCTCGTCTCAGCCTCCCAAGTAGCTGGGACTACAGGCATACACCACCCTGCCTGGCTAATTTTTTATTTTTTTCTAGAGACAGAATTTCGCTGTGTTGCCAAGGTTAGTCTTGAACTTCTGACCTCAAGTGATCCTCCCACCTCTGCCTCCCAAAGTGTTGAGATTATAGGTGTGAGCCACTGTACTCAGCCCCTGAAGATTTTATTTGAAATAAAATAGTCTCAGATTAGAGACCTGCTGTTTCAAGTTTAGGCGATCTCACTTTTAAAATAGTTTTTTTTTTTTCTGATTGTAAATGAAATCCATGCATTTGCAGAAAACTCTTTGAATACAGAGCAGCACAAAAGAAGAAAGTAAAACCCGAGTATAGTTTAGCTGCATTCACAGGTGACCACTGATGTCATTTTGTTTTATATGCTTCCAGGAGGTTTTTATTTTCTAAGCCTCTGCATGTACATATCTAAAAGAATTGGAATTAATAATCATCATATTCTTACTCTATTAAATGCTCTTCTAACACAAATATTTAAAACATTTACAAAGAATTATATTCTTTGTTCTGTGAACACCTGTATAATAGAATTCTTTGTAAATGTTAATTCATCCCTTAAAATTGGACAATTTTTTTTTTGCTTTTATAAATAATGAAATTCCACTTCTAGTTTATGACTGCCTTGAAGTTAAGCCACAGATATGACCACATTTATTTGAAGATGACACTGAGGTTAGTGCTTGTAGAATCGCAAGCTTTTAGACCAAGGAAAGATGTTAGAGATCACCATATGCAGTTCTTTCCTTTTACAGGGGAAGAGCTTGAGATCTGGAGACATGGTCCCTGAGGGTCAACATGCATACCTGTATCAGAAGGCCTGGGCTAGGTACCTTGTTTCCCATCAGCTTATCTAGCCGGAAATATCAGACTTTGCTTCTCCTCTCCCCTACTAATTGAAAAAACAGGAAATGATCTAGCCAACTCAGCTGGAGGTGTGCTTTTGACAAATAAGAAATTAGAAGGAAACCATGCCAAAATGAATGAACTACTTAACTGAAGCAAAAGTATCAGCTCCTGTACCGTTGAGTTAGTAATTATGGCCTGATACCTCAGGAAGTCAAGCATCAGGGGATAGACCCCGTAAAGAAGAAAGAAGTATCAGTCTTAAAGTAAGGTTTCCTGAAATTCTGCTGTCATATTGATCAACTGGGATTAGGCTGAAGTCCAATTTCCTGGCAACAATATCCTGGTTTAAAAAATGGTTAAATTGGGGCATGATGGCACATGCCTGTAATCAACGCTACTTGGGAGGCTGAGGCAGGAATATTACTTGAACTCAGGAGATCGAGGCTGCAGTACACTGTGATCCTACCTGTGAATAGCTACTGCACTGCAGCCTGAGTAACATAGCAAGACACTCATCTCTCAAAAAAAACCAAAAGTCCAAAGCCTCATGCTAACTGAGCTATAGACCAGCTTCTGAGGTATGCCAATAAATAAATTGATGACTGTACTAATGTTTCATATATATAACTGATAAGCCAGGGACAAGGTTTATTCCCTCAGTTCTTATGTTCTAAGAGAAATTTCTAGTTCTGGCTAAAAAATGTTTTCAGTGTCCTAAAATAGACTGGCAAAGGTTAGAGATCTTAAATTTGCAGTTTTGTTTTGAAAGGGTGTGGTTTGAAGCTTAATGTTAACCTCATGTTAGCTATAAGATGTAAGGCTGTTGAATAGGAGCTTATAGCTTTATCCCAGATTTTAAAGACATTATTATTTAGATTTTTTTTTTGATTAGGGAAGCATTCAGAAAAATTACTTCTGAACCTTAAAAGTAATTGTATTAAGTTGTATGTTTTGTTTCTCCCATTCAGTGAGTTAGAATGTTGTAAAATGGGGTTTTCACAAGCAGATGACGTGCTGTGGTTTTGATTTTCATAGTAAATCCTTTAGACTATGCCGATAGTAGTGTTTTTTACATTCTTGTGTTTAAAGACATTAACATGTTTTAGAAGAGTCGTACTAAGTGCTGTCCTAATCAAGATAAATGGAATCATCAGCAAGCCTGTAGTCTGCCCACCGCTCTCTGCCTTGGCAATAGCTCATCGTTTTTTGTTAAGTAGTTTTCTAAATATTTGGATAGATCGCCTAAGTTATCAGTGATGGCTTAAACCTTAATTCATTGTGATAAAGCACAAGCAAAATGTGAATTATCCACATAGTATTTTGGTAACTGTTAAAAAACATAATTTGAACTTTTATTGTAAATGAAACTGATGAACACTAATGATAATTAAACTTTTTGCTTAGGGTTTGTATGGCACATTTTAAATATGGGACAGTACAGAGAATAATGTATGGAGTGCCCATGAAACTATTATTCATATTTTTAAAATCTTGTTTGCCAAGTTTGCTTAAGGATTCTGAAGTTGGTGTTTATCCTCTTCATTATGTTTTTATTTTTACTACATATCTGTATCTCCATAAACATGGGCTTTTAGATGTGGAAAATCTTTGTTACAGTTATGATTTCCTGTCACATTTTCCCCAGTATTGGAATTAGTAAATCCCACCCACTAAGTACTTCCATGGAGAGACTTGTTTCTATTCCTTTCTAGGCTAGGCTGCCAAGCCAGCATTCTCGAGGAGGTTTCTATTCTTTTTATTTTTCCATTAGTAGGAGTTACCTAAGTAGTATTGTTTTTTAAACCTTTTTAATTCTCAAACAATTTAGATATTAAACATTAGCTAACTTTTAAATTCAGCATTTAATTTTTAAATTTATTTTATTATTATTATTTATTTTTTGTCTTTTTTTGATACAGGGTCTCCCTCAGGTTGGAGTGCAGTGGCACAATCTTGGCCCACTGCAGCCTCCACCTCCCGGGATTAAGCGATGCTTCCACCTAAGCCTCTCGAGTAGCTGGAACAACAGGCATATGCCACCATGCCCGGTTAATTTTTGTATGTTTTGTAGAGACGGGGTTTTGCCATGTTGCCCAGGCTGGTCTTGAAATCCTGGACTCAAGCGATCGGCCCGCCTTAGCCTCCCAAAGTGCTGGGATTACAGGCGTGAACCACTGCCCAGCCCAGTTTTTAAAATTAATTTTTTATTTTGTAATTTAACATTTTTTAATTTTATTTTTCCTTAATATAGTCTTATTAAGCTTCTATAGGCAGACTGTCACTTTTGTACTTAAAATGAGAATCATGGTGATGTCTTTATCAATTTGGAAAGGAGTTCAACTAATAGCAACTGTATTAAGGAAAAAAAAGCTTTATATTCTGTCATTGATGGCAGGTGAATAAAAAGCATTAATAACTCTTGATTTATTCTTTAGTCTCTGGTTTACTGTATGACCCAGACAAGCAATCCTTTTTCCAAGTCATGACATGGAAATGTGTATCTAAAGCATTTATGATTCCTCTGTTTACTTGACTTAATATTGAAATCTAGGGCTTGCCCATAAACTGGTTCCACAGTTTTGCTTCTGCCCTAGCTACAACCGGGGCTGCTCATGTGGCTTAAATGTTTGTATCCTTCGTCAGCTGAGGAGGATATCAGAAAGGGGAGATTCATCTTCTTAGACGTTGATTCTGAACTGCTACTGCTTTACAAAGAGCACCAAATTGCAGATCTGTCCCATATCCCTAGGTCAGGAGTACACGCCTGTGTTTTTCTACCCATAAGTCAGTGCCAACTCACAGGTTTTAAAGATTTCTGTTAAATAGTTCCTTTTGTCTTAATTTTAAGTATCTAGCAACTCAAAATTTGCCTCCTATATGGAATTTATTTATTTAGTTATTTTTATTTTATTTTATTGAGACAGAGTCTTACCTTGTAGCCCAGGCTGGAGTGCAATAGTGCGATCTCGGCTCACTGCAACCTCTGCCTCCTGGGTTCAAGTGATTCTCCTGCCATAGCCTCCCAAGTAGCTGGGATTACAGGCACCCACCACCACGCCCAGCTAATTTTTGTATTTTTAGTAGAGACAAGGTTTCACCATGTTCGCCAGGCTGGTCTTAAACTACTGACCTCAAGTGATTCACCTACCTTGGCCTCCCAAAGTAGCTGGATTACAGGTGTGAGCCACCGCGCCTGGCCTCTGGGATTCTTTTTTTTTTTTCCAGTTGTTTCTACTTACAGAAAAATGATTTATTAAAATGGCCAGCATTTCTTTAAGAGGAATAAAAACCACACCCGAGATATTTAATGAAAAATTATATAAATAAGAAATTAATAGAATTTTAAAACTAAGAATTGAAGTGCATATTACAATTGAGATGTATTCTCATACCATAAATTCACTCCTATAAAGGATACAGTTCAGTGATTTTTAGTACATTCACAAAGTTGGACAATCACCATCCCTATCTAATTCCAGAACATTTTTATCACACCAAAAATAAACCCCATACTCATTAAGCAGTCATTTACCATTTCTCTCTCCCCTCAGCACCTGGGAACCACTAATCTTTCTGTCTTTATGGATTCGCCTCTTCTGGACATTTCATGATTTCATGTAAATAGAATCATGTAGTACATGTCCTTTTGTGTCTCACTTTTTTTACTTAGCATGTTTTCAAGATTCATCTATGTTGTAGCATAAATCAGTGTTTCTTTTTAAATTAATTTCTTTTTAAAAGTGATATTATACTTTTTGTTTTTAAATATTGAAATGAGGTCTCACTATGTTGCCTAGTCTGGTCTCGAACTCCTGAGCTCAAGCAATCCTCCCACCTCAGCCTTCCAAAGTGCTGTGATTACAGGTGTGAGCCACCACACCTGGCCTCATTTCTTTTTATGTGTGAATAATATTCCATCACATGGTTATACCACATTTGTTTATCCATTCATCAGCTATGGGCATTTGGATTGTTTCCATGTTTTTGGCTGTTATGAATCATGATACTATAAACATTTGTGTACATTTTTGTGTGAACATATGTTTTTAGTTCTTCTAGGTATATACCTAGGAGAGGAGTTGCTGGGTCATATGGAAGCTCTATGTTTAACTTTTTGAGAAACTCCCAAACTGTTTCCAAAGCAGCTGCACAGTTTTTACTTTCCCACTAGCAGAGTATGAGGGTTCCACTCCTCCACATTCTCACCAACGCATGTTATTGTCTGTCTTCAATTATAGCTTTCCTAGTGGGTGTTAAGTGATACCTCATAGTAGTTTTGATTTACATTTCCCTAATGACTAGATACATTTGAGTATCTTTTCATGTGCTTCTTGACCATTTGTATGTCTTCTTTGGAGAAATATTTATTTAAATCCTTTGCCCTTTTTAAAATTGACGTATTTCAAGTGCTATTATAAGTACTATGATTACTTTTAGGGAGAGAATTTTGTAGAATTGACTGATAATATATAAGTAAAATGTACGTGGAGAGTTGACTGCCACATAAGACATAAAAATAAGCAAAACTGGTTTATACAGGTGAACAGTATTCACCTACTTGTATTATTGAAATGGTGCCAAATTATTTTATAACTTTAGTGTCTGATTTTAAAAACTGTTGTAATGTTAGTGATATTTTACTGTATTCTACTTGGAATAATGTTGGTAAAGTTTATAGAGTTTTCAGTTGTGATCGCTCATGCCATAATTACGTACCTGTGCTGTCTAAAATATATCCACTAGTCACATGTAGCTATTTACATTTAAATTAATTAAAATAAAGAGTTCAGTTACTTGGTCATACTGGCCACATTTCAAGTGTTCAGTAGCCACGTATAGCTAGTGCCTACTATGCAGGACACTGCAAATATACATTTCCACATCATCACAGGAAGTTCAGTCAAGTAGTGCTAAGCTAGATGTGCTATATCCTGAAATTCTCTCTTTACCTTCTTCCTCCCTGCCTCCATTCTTTCCCTTCCTTCCTTCCTTTCCAAGACATGGTCTTGCTATGTTGCCCAGGCTGGACTCAAACTCCTGGACCCAAGTGATCCTCCTGCTTCAGCCTCCATTGTAGTTGGAATTATAGGCACATACCACCGCACCTGGTTTATTATGAAGTTTCTTACTCTAAGGAAAATGTCAGTGAAAGTTTTATTTCATTTATGTTTTAACCCACGTTATCTTAAAACCTTACCATTTGAAATTGAACATATAGGCCAAGTACGGTGGTCATGCCTATAATCCCAGCACTTTTGGAGGCCAAGGTGGGAGAATTGCTTGAACCCAGGAATTTAACACCAGTCTGGGCAACACAGGGAGACCCTATCTCTACAAAAAATAAGCAAATTAACTGGGTGTGGTGGCTTTTGCCTGTAGTTCCAGCTATGCAGGAGGCTGAGGTGGTAGGATTGCTTGGGCCTGGGAGGTTGAGGCTGCAGTGAGTCATGATCATGCCACTTCTCTCCAGAAAGAGCAAGACCTTGCTTCAAAAAAAAAAAAAGAGGGGGGAAGGGAGGAAGGAATTTAGAGAACATGCAGGTCATTGCACAGAATGGAAGTATACCTGTATGTGTTATTAAAGTTTGTGATACAGTGTTTGTTAGCCTACACACAGGCCAATTGGTTATTTTTTAAGTAGCTTTTATCCATCCAGTGTGGAAATACTGAATATTTATGGCTAGGTCCTGAAATTTAGACCTCAAGAGTAGTCATTGGTTCATCTCTAAGTCATGAGCAGTTAGCTGTCTGTTCATTAGTGTGTCCTTAAAAAAATCAGTGTTTTGAGTTGGGGAAGTTGTATCTTTTAGAAAATTGAGATAAGGATTAGGAAGCTGTGATTGGTTTTCTTTTTCTTTTTTGTTTATCCATTTCTCATGGTGGAATTTTTTTCCTCAATTATTTGTTCTATTCATTGTTAATGCATTTTATTCAAAGACTCCCCAATTTCTAATGCTTTTCTGGGAATGTTTGATCTTTCTGTAATTTTTCTTTTCTGTGTATAAACAGATTGCTCTTCATTGCTATGTGTTTTTTTTTTTAAATCATTTTGTCTTCTCATTCTCTGCTTTTATTATTGAGGTTTGGATCTCCAACTTGCTGTTTCTAAACTTTGATGATCTTATATAAGTTTCATGAGTCATGAATTGACAGCTGGTCATTAATTAACTCTAGCTACATATTAATGACAAAATATGTAATACAGCATCATAGAGACCATCAGTGTGGCAGGTTGGAAAGCAGGTAGCTTTTTGTGTATTAAATGGTGTTTGGGGGGATCTACTATCTGGAAAAGTCATTGTAGTGATTTTTTTTTAATGCCATTTTGAAACTTTTTAAAGCCCCTAACATTAAGAAAAATACTAAGGGACATAATTTTCACTAAAGTTTACTCTTGAATTTATTATTAACATCTTATTAGAACCAATTGAATTTGGAATTATGTTCTGCTCTAAGGAAATGTGTAGATAAAATTAGGAGATTAACAGATAATTAACAAATAATTTGAAAGGTATTGTTTTTCATCATCGTTCTACCAAAGTATTGTTAAAACTGCCAGCAGAAACCACGGTCAGCTGAGTTGATTTTCCTTTTTTCATCTATTGCCAGCCTGACTAATGAATTTCTTTGTGTGTGTGTATACATTAAAAGTGAGCATAACAAGAACGTGCACAGTTGCACATTTTTTCTTTTTCTTTTTTTTTTTTTTTTTTTTGAGACGGAGTCTCGCTCTGTCGCCCAGGCCGGACTGCGGACTGCAGTGGCAGTGGCGCAATCTCGGCTCACTGCAAGCTCCGCCTCCCGGGTTCACGCCATTCTCCTGCCTCAGCCTCCCGAGTAGCTGGGACTACAGGCGCCCGCCACCGCGCCCGGCTAATTTTTTGTATTTTTAGTAGAGACGGGGTTTCACCTTGTTAGCCAGGATGGTCTCGATCTCCTGACCTCGTGATCCACCCACCTCGGCCTCCCAAAGTGCTGGGATTACAGGCGTGAGCCACCGCGCCCGGCCTGCACATTTTTTCAAAGCCTCTTGAATCCGTGCTAACTCAGCGTCATTTCCACTTGTCCTTGAGAACTGAAGCATTGAGGCTCTGCTGTTGCAAGTGTCCGTTGCTGTCCTGATTTGGTGAATGTGTTAGAGATGTTTATGGTTCCAGGTTATATGCATGTTGTTGTCTATTCTTAGGAAGTATTTCTCCTTTGTTTGCATACTCTGAACTTTTAATAACTAAAATGCCTGGTTCCTGTTGAATATACACGTAGATGACTTTCTCAAAGAGGGCCTTACCTAAGAGGCCTCTGGCATATTTTCTGTGATAAAGATGATGACAATCAGCCTTTATACCAAGTGGCATTTTATAGAGTTGCAGTAAGTGGATTATCTTCGCTTATAAATGGGTTGTTAGCCATGAAACTATTCTTTTAAGATGTGGTAACACAGTGTGGTAAATAGAAGATTGCATGGTTCTGTAAATGCTGAAAACTGCTCATAAGTGGGGTGCAAGCACAGCCCCATATGGACTTGTTAGAAGGGAGTACTTCCAGTAGGAAAAGCTTTGCAGGTGACAATCAGAATAAATGGTACAGGATTTTGTTACTGTAAGCCATCCAACCTAGTATACTCATATCTCACCTCAGTATACCTCACTCAGTTCTCCCCAAGTGCCAGATCTTTAAAAAGAAAAAGAAAACCATTTGATGAGGTCACTTTCCTACCTGAATGACTTAACTGTTGCTCTGTGATAGACTGAAAGCCTCACCGTGGTCTACAAGGCCTTTTGTGGCCCACCCTTCTCTATAATTAGAATGTCCCAAGTGACAGCCTGGCCTGTATACAAGGCCAGATTTGCAGCTACTCTTAAAACAATAGTCATTGTTTATTAAGCACTTACTGTATGGCAGGCACTATTCCACACATTTTATGTGAATTAACTGGTTTAATCACAACAACTCTACAAGCCAATTATTATTAGCCCTGTTTTACAGACGAAAACACGGAAACACGTAACAGTTAAGTCATTCAGAAGTACGTAGGAAATGGCAGTGCTGGAATCTCATCCAACCCACTTAACCCTAGACCCACGTTACTATCTGAGATGAGATTGGCTCTCCATGTAACCTATAACACCACTGTTCATAATTTCATATTTGTCGAATTATTTGAAGCCTCCCCAAGACTCTAAGCTGCATGAACCGTGCATGTTTAGAGCCCATTACAAGCACCTGAAGTGTACTGGGTGGTCAGTGTGTATTTGTTGAATGAATGAAAATGATTTGATGTGATGAATCACTGAGCTTAAACATGAGAATAGGGTCTCTTTTATAAACAAAACATTTAACCCTTTAGTTCATTGTCATTTGTAAAATGGGAGAATGATACTGAAATTTCTGTATGCCTACTGGATTCTAATACAAAAAAAAGTGTAACTTCATAATGGCTGAAGATTTGTTTTTGTTTTGTTTTTATCTCAAGTATAAGAATAGACATTAATTAGTTTATGTTCAGTAACACCCATCCTTAATGTCAATAATTAAAATACATTGGCATATGTAATCTAATTAAGGTTATGTTTACAGTAAATTGTTATTTTGTTGAAAACCTTTTAAATAGCAGTTGTTACCAAACAAAAATACACATTCTAATTTTGGCCACATTAAATTTTTTTTATTTCTAATTAAATCTATGTAATTATTAATAGTGGAGTTCAAAGTAAAAGAATTACAAAAATGAAATTTGATAAGGAAAATTGGAATTTATAACATTAAATTTGTAATCATAGCATTATTATTTTGAAGATACTTGGCAGCTCAACTTTTTTAAATTCTTACTTTTATGATAGGCTATAATTAAACTAGTTGTTTCCTATGTGAATATATGTGGATATGATATAAGGAGAAAATTGTATTATATTGTATGAGGTATAGAGACAATATTAATTGTATCTTGCAAAGTAGAATTGTTTTCCTTTGAGATTGTTACTAGAGTAATAAATCATGTTGAAGTGAAGAAATTTACACAGCATATGACTGAATATTTTCCACTGTATCAAATTTAATGGGTTTTGGGAAAACGTATAGTTTGGTAGCAGTATAGAACTGAGTTTTTGGTAAAACTGAGTATTTAAAGGACGAAACTTTGAAGGACTTTGAGACCCATAAGACCTACAGATATTATTCAGCTTTCTGAGCAGTATTCTAGTTTACTAAGAATGTGGAAGGTAATGTGTGGTGGTGAGGCAAGGGGTGTTGAGAACACAGTGACCTACATTCCAAATACAACTCTTCTAAACTATAAGGCAGAGAATAGACTAAGTAAGGCATAATAAGTTAGGACCTGCCACATGGCAAACTGATTTTGGGAAGCAGTCTAGAAAGATGCTTGAAAAATGTACTGATGTGTAATGCCAGCAGCAGGCCATTGTCATGGTATGGAATAATGGTGACTGAAAGTCATTCTCCCTTGCTTGGGATGATCTGTCTTAAGCATGAGCAGCTTGAGGCTGAATTGTAGACAATAAAACGTGAGTCCAATGACAGTCTTTGTAGGTTGAGTAAGAGTATTTGTGTACTAGCCATTTTAGTTGTAATGCATTCACAGAATGATTACAGTCAGAATTACAGTAACATTTTAAATACAAAGGAGACTATCTTCCATGTCAGCTTCATAGTTCTGTACCTATTCCCAGCCCTGTGATATATTCCATATGAAACGTTACATCAGCATCCTTATATAAAGCATACCTATAAACTGGGGTGGGACAGAGAAGTAGTGGCCAGAGAATGGAGTTTGTCACGCTATGATTCAGCCCGTGGGAGTGATTTTCACACTGCCTGTCAGCTTCGTGCGATAGTTAAAAACAATTTGCAAGTGACATAGTAGAGCCTTAAGGCCATAAATAGGAATTTTTAACTGGCACAAAGCCTTTTTTTAAAAAAAAGCACATTTGTATAAACCAGTGTTTCTATATAGTTTCTCATTTACTGGTTGTCTTCACCATAATCTTTGGAAGTGCATAATCTTATAATCATTATGTGTGTTTTACACATGAGAAAACAGTAAAAGAAATCCATGATTTGCCCTAGGATCCTGCAACTTGTGAGTAATTCAGTCAGAATCCAAACTTTAATTTTCTGATGTATAAAGAAAAGGCCTCTGGTTGGATCATACTGTTGCTATGAGTTAATATGGGAGGTGTCATATGCATAAAGTACCCATGAGTTTAAAGTTTTGGTTTGTTCAAGTAAAATGTTTATATAATTATTCAAGTTAAATTTAAATAAACACATGCTGAAAGAACTTGAAGGTAAAAATAGTTTCTGCAAATACTATTCCACACTTTTTCTTTATACCACTTTGAATGCTGAGTAAGGACATTGTACTGGACCATTGCCCAGCATAGTTCTGGCTTATAGAGACTTGATGGTGAAAGAAAGACTGAGAGAGAGAGAGAGAGAGAAGAGAGAGAAGGGGGAGGGAGGGAGGAAGGAAGGGAGGAAGGAAAAAGATTTGACAAGGGAATGTGTTTTTTAAGAGAAGCTCTTTGGGGAATAAATATAGTCTTGAAATACACCATGTAAAATAAGTTTAGTAGAAAACTATGGAGATATGCCTAAATCATAAATGAAAATATTGATTCGTTTCTTCAGTTGTGGAATTATTCATTTCTGATTTCTTTGCACAGGATCAAGCTATATTCTAGGTAGACCCTTTATGTTTTTCAATCTGTTCCACCTATATCCACAAATTTATTACTGCCACCTACTAAATTGTTTATAACCATTGTATGATCTGATTTTTGTATACATGTGTTGCTAAGTAAGTTTCACATTGTCATGAAACCAAATTATAAAAAAAATTGGAGGCAAGGGGTGAAAGATCTAGGTAGTGTATGAAAGTTTAACCAGTATTTGTTGAGCCTACTATGTGCTGGGGCATCCTCTTTAACACTTCCTAGGCGCCATACCCTGACTAAAGTTCCTTCAGCTTCTCATCAACACTTTTCCGCATTTCCTTCTGAGATGACTCTTCATCTGTTTTTATTCTGACTGTTGAAGCTTTTCCAGAAATGGTGCCTTGCTAAATTCCCATATATACCATGTGCTCTTTTTTTATGTTTATTATGCCCCTTGTATTGTCCCACTACCTCTAAATAATGTGGGGAAGCAGTCACAGAGAAGAGAGATCATTGCCAACCCTGTTTTGATTCTGTTTGACACTCACTGTCTCACTTACATGCAGATATCCTTTCACCAGTAGGTTTATGGTAGGCAGCTTTAAGATAGCCTCCAGTGATCCCACCTCCTGGAATCCATGCCTTAGTGTAATCTCTGTCCCTTGAGCATGCCTGAATTTATTATTCATTTCTAATGAATAGACTATTTATTTGGGTGATTGTATATCACTTCCAATAATAGCAGTGTTAACAATATCTCAGTGTTACCAAGGATTATCAGTGATTGTTGATAGTGTTCAGGAAAAAGAGCTTAGAATTCACTCCTGAGTCAGGGAAAGAATGAAGTCTATGGGTGTTTAAAAGAGAGCTGTCCAAGGAGTGGCTGGAATCAGATAGGAACAGGTGTGCAAGGCAGTGTGTCTTCAAAAGATGTGTCTTCATTTGCATCAACTATTTTAACAACCTTGGGGAAGGCATTACATCTTTCAGAGCCGTTATTTCGTCATCTGTACAATGGAGTTGAACTTGATGATGATTGTTTTGATAAATCTTTTCAATTCACATTCTCTACATCCAGAAATCCAATATTTTACATTTTGATAAGATTTTATTTAAAACAAAGTTCATCCACATACAGTAGAGTCATTTTTTTTTCCTTCAGAAATCATTATTGTAGGTGTGAAATTTATATAACATCTAAAATCTTTTGATATTATTTCTCTGGGTGTTAGCATATCTGGGCTTCTCTTTTTTGAACTGCTATTTATAGTAACTTTCTAGGGTTTTGCTTTTTATAGTTATGGAGTTTTAATGTGGCCACACTATCTTAATCATTTCAAGTTTGTGTCCCTGACAAATGAAAGAGATTTCTGACGCTAAAACCTATCAATAACCCTTCTCAGAATTCCTTGCTAGAAGAAAATGATTGGCTGCTTGTCTTTTGTTCCTCCAGTGGAGTTGGTATGTCATCCCTGAAATCATCTTCTGTACCTAAAATGTTCCAGCTACCCATCGCAGCACTCAGAATGCTGATTTGGGGCTTCCCTGACTCCTCTGCCCCCTGCAGCTGCCTTAGCTGGATGCAGGGTTTTTGCTGAGGCTCTTCCCACGCTGGGCTAAAGATTTATTAACCCTTTCTTTTCAGTGTTACAGTATCAGAAATGAAATTCTACTCACTTGCTGCATTTAAACCTTATGTTATTCATGTCATTTACAAAATGTTCTTTCCTTTTGGAATCATTTGCAAATCAATTTAAGCTGTGTTAAGCAAGACAAAAGTATACATTTTAAAAAACATAATTATGTCCAGCGAAACTCTCACAGTCTATAGTAGGAAAACCTTAAGGTGAGAGGAGTCTGGATTCCTCAAGTGTGGCCCTAGTGCTAATGAGCTTCAAAACCCAGGCACAGCCAGTTACTTCACCCCCTTCCCCCGTGAGCAAAACAACAAAACAACTAACAGTGTGAATCATTTTTCTTCAGCTCTTGGTCATTATTAAGACAACAATTAGGGGAAGTGTTATTCTCAGATTGTCTTTTTAAAATAGACACATTAATGATACTATATAAAACCGTGAGATTTATTTAAAATATTTTCAATTTAAGGGGTGTGCAAATCATTAACACCAGATGGCATCTACCTAGGATTTTTTAAAAGGTGGATTTGGGATACTTGTAGCCAAAATGTAGAAATTTAGCTTATAAACAGTTACTGTGCCAACAGATTGGTCAGTGCAAATTGAACGTGTCGATGCAAGAGGATTTAGAGCTTTTGTTGTCCATCTTTCCTGCTAAGCTCTGGTACCTCCCTGATAACAGACCTGGTCACCAAATTGATTTAAAAAAAAAAAAAAAAGACGGCAAACAAATGTGATATTTACAAGAAAAAAAATACTAGAATATTTTAGGGGGTTAAAAGATGCATAAGTAAAGTCGATGAATTTTTCTTAGATTTTCAAAAAGCTTGTAACAAATTTCCACTTGTTATTTTTAAAAGAATGCTGTTGAGTTGTAAATGGTAAGAATAGCTAATTTGTCATAGAGGATTGAAGTTTAGAAAGGGGAAATAGCAAGTTGGGATAAGCAGGCATTTTTCTGGAGGAAGAAGTACAAATAGGATTCCTCAGGAGTCAATGTGGACAATAATTTTAAACATTGATTTAATCTGTCTTAAGGAGGGCATGAGTCTCTGTAGGTTTACAGTAGCAAATCCCCTGGAAGACTGATCTGACCACCTCCTGTTTATTCTCCTTGGCTCTGGATTCTCTCTTTTGTGTTCACATTGCTGGTCTTTATTTTGGAGAAATTCTTTAGTTGGATGTTAGGGAGGGTTGAGCTGTTCATGTATCTCCATTGATGGCATTTGTCAGGACCAGGTCAGTGTTTTATTTCTTTATCCCCATCTTCTACATCTACCTCCCACGGCCGTAGGCATTTCTAATGTGTTTAGTGTTTTTGTTTGTGTGTACTCTTGTATAATATGTATGTTGCATTATGTAAATCATTACATAAATGTTGTTATTCTCATTCAGTTAATATTTTTCACTTAGTTTATTTTAAAGATATGTGTCCCTGGGTGGTGTCTGTGTTAGCTTGTTGATTCTGACTGCAGTTGAGTATTTCATGATATATATCCATCCAGTTTTATCTCTCCCCTCCTTCTGTGATGGTTATTTAGATTGCATTCACCTCCTCACCATCGTAAAAAGGGGTGCGTGATCCCTTGGGACCTGTGTGACAGTTTCTGTGGGAAATATGCCTAGCACCAGAATTGCTGCATCATAGACTATCAGTACTCTTACTTTGCCTGAGCTGTGCGGTGCTGATACTCTCTAGAATGGCTGCATCCATCTATATGTCTCCACAACCCAACACTTAGCGTGGTTCAGTCTGCCAGGTGTAAATCAACTCATTTTCAGTTTGTATTTCTCTGACTACTTATGAACTTGATAATGTCTTCATCTGCTTGTTATCTTTTTTTGGGTATCCTCTTCTGTAAATTTTTTGTCCATACCTTTTGCCCAGTTTTCTACTGGGGGTTCTAATCTTATGTTGATTTGAGGGACATCATTATATTCTGGATATATATCCCTTATTATGGCGTTACAAAAGTCTTTAATATCCCACTTGTCTGTAAACTTTATTGAACAGAAATCATTAAATGTGCTATCAAAATCATCGTTTGTTCTCCCTTCACCCCCCACCCCAGCCATATAGCTTGAAGGTTTTGTTCAAATCCTTCTCTAGCCCTAGTTCTCAAGGTATTCTTCGTGCTTTCTTTTTTATTTTTAATTTTTATTTTTGAGACAGGTTCTCACTCTGTCACCCAGGCTGGAGTACAGTGAAGCAAGTATGGCTCACTGCAGCTTCGACCTCCCAGGCTCAAGCAGCCCCTCATGTCAGCCACCCTAGTAGCTAGAGGTGAAGTAGATGGAGCACAGGTGCGCATCACCATGCTGGAGTAATTTTTAAATGTTTTGTAGAGATGATGTCTCGCTATCTTGGCAGGGCTGGTCTCAAACCTCTAGGCTGAAATAGTCCTCCTATCACAGTCTCCCAAAGTGCTGGGATTACAGGCTTGACCCACTGCACCGGGCCCCTTTTTTTAACTTTATAGTTTTACTTTATACAATTTGGCTCTCTTGCACCTGGAGTCTACGTTGTGTCACTGCCCTGATTGAAAAAAAAAATCTAATGGCCTCAGTTGCCCACAGAGTGAAACAAGGCATCACAGGGAATAGGAAACTCCTCAGAATCTATCTCACACCTTCCCCCTGTTCAGATATTCCCATATTCTTATAAAAATAAGAAACCGAAAAAGCAAGTTATGCGAAGTTAATTTTTTTTAGCTGAGGAATCATCTTTGTCTTAATCTCAGTTGCTTCCTCTCCACTGGTTGCTTCTCCTTAAGTATCTTCTGTCTCCTCAGATTTTAACAACAGCCAGCAACCTGCCTTCACTTCCAGAGAGCTGTACTGGCACCCCCTCTCCCCCACACCAACCCCAACCCCGTTTCCCTTTGGCTTCCGCCACCCTGCTTCCCCTCCTGCCACCCTGCCCGGGCTTTGCTCCTGAGGATACTCTTCATCTGTCTTGCCCATCAACACTTGACAACCCACTCCATGGGAAAATTGCTTTCCTTCTTTGCCTGTTACAATAGTATTTTTTTCTGTCTCCTTTTGTCTTTCTGACTCTTACTACTTAAGTTCTGTTTCCAGCTGACCATTTTCCTCCTGCGTACCTTTTAACATTACTATTTTCTTCTTCTTACAGAAGTGTTATACGTGTTTACAGTAGAAAATGCAGACTAACCAAAAGATGGACTACCCATAATTTCATCATTTAGAACAGCTTTTTGGTTTTGTTTCTTTAAGAAAAGGGGATTATGCTT
The DNA here is from genome assembly GCF_000001405.40 of Homo sapiens. Taxonomy (NCBI): domain Eukaryota; kingdom Metazoa; phylum Chordata; class Mammalia; order Primates; family Hominidae; genus Homo; species Homo sapiens. The sequence goes on from NC_000002.12 coordinate 158,492,902, forward strand.
CATAGGCATAGTCTTTATACATAACCTTTATTTCCTCCCTACCTAATAATATTTATTTTCTAAACTGTTTATTTTTAATGTTTGTTTTAGTTTTTTATTTTAAATTAAAATATTGAAAGCCTTATAACAAATTATAACAGTCCTTTGACCCCCTTGTCTCATTCTTTTTGCCAGAAGTATATACTTTCAGTTACTTTGTCTATTTCTTCTGATACTCATCTCCTTATTTCTAAATAACATATTATTTTTTAAATCATTAATTTTAGATATTATCTATTATTGTTAATACATAGATGAGAATCTCTGCCTTATACCCCTTTGCTGTCTTCCCGTTTTCCTAATAATGACAGATCATAATTTTTTATTAAATTACTATTTATTGTTTCCATTATTTTGACTATATATATCATTCACCAGTGAGCCAAATAGTTTCTCATCGTTTTTTAAATCCAAGTGTTTTTTCCACCAGTGGAAATACCTGCCTCATTTTTCCATTTCCTTAACTTCGTTTTGATCTACAGCCAAATCTTCTCACACCCTCCTTTAGCCTCTTAGTGCCATTTTCCATGTGGTTACCCTAGCAGCTCATCAGTGAATCCCATTTAACCCTCACATTTGGGACCAGCCACCTGTCCTCCTTTTCCAGGCTGGACTGGTTGCTCTCTAGGCCTGCTGCACAGTGTCATTAATGCCTGAGTAGCCCTCTTCCAAAACTGAAGTCGGTGACACAGTGACGTTAGCAAATTGAGAGATTTGAGAAGGTCTCAAGAGGCTTCTAGTCCCTGTAGGTGTCTAGCACTGCTGCATGAGGGCATTGAGCAGCATTTGGCCTGGGCTTCTGTTTTGTGAGTGCTGCTCACTTGGCAACATGCTTTCCTCCTTGAGGTTTCAGGACTGGTGAGCTTTTCCTGCTAATCTAGGTCTTACTGTTGCCTTTCTCTCCTCTTCCCTCACTCTCCCCCTTTCCCCACCCTTGTGGACCCCTTTTTTCAGTCTTCTTTCATTCTCCAGTGTGATTATTGATTGCACTACTAATATTTCTTGGTCTTTGGGGAAGAAATGAATGGAGTCCAGGGGTGCAAAATTCATTTAAAATGAAGCTGACATTTTCATTTCAGTCTTATCAGGAGGGAGGCAGATTCTTGCCATGATAAAAGTTGGATCTTTTTTAATACAGTTTAGGAACTTTAAAAGGTAAACACTGATGAGAAGGGAAAAGCTATTTGTACTTAGCATACTGCTTATTCGACTTCAACTAAGAAGCTCATCCATTACACCAATTTAGGCATCTCACTATGTTTCTACTACTCTAGGACAGCAGAGTATATATTTATATTATGTACTTTTTTTTTTTTACTTATGGAGGGGAAAATGGGTTCTGTATAAAACAAGAAACAGCCCTAAAAAATGTGACCTTTATATAGTCTTACTTGAAGTTAGTTGAAATATCAATTGTGCCAAATAATATACTTGTAAACTACAGCGTTATTTGCAATGATATGAATAAATAAAATGTGTTAGTTATTTGAAAGTAGATGAGCGAATTATGAACCTGATATGTCTGAAGTGATGATTAATACCATTAAGGATGATTTGTTTTGTAATAACATATTTAAACTAGGTAATCATGGATAGTAAAGCACTTTAAAATATGGTAGTAGATTACTTTCATTATTCAGTTATTTAGGTTTTTAATATGAAATTTTCTAGACCAGTTGCAAAGACTTTTTCAAAGTACTAAATATCCCCATTATAAATAAAGTGCACTTAATGGTTCTTTTAATTTGTAAGCAAACAGCAAATGATTTTTTATAACCAAATAGAGATTTTAGTTTTGCTATTTGCTTGCTCTTTAACTTTGGGCAGATATTTAAACTGTTTTGAGCCTATGTCCTAATCAGTGAAGTGAGAATCGTGCCTACCTCTAGAGGTTTTGCAAAAACTTTAATGAGATGAAATAAATGATCATTGCTCTATTTTTTTTTTTAAAGTTGTGCATTTTTAGTAGTCAGGAAAACTATTAAATCAATGAGGTGGCCGGGCGCGGTGGCTCACATCTGTAATCTCAGCACTTCAGGAGGCCGAGGCAGGCGGATCATGAGGTCAGGAGTTCGAGAGCAGCCTGGCCAACATAGTGAAACCCCATCTCTACTAAAAATACAAAAAATTAGCCGGGCACGGTGGCGGGCATCTGTAATCCTACCTACTCGGGAGGCTGAGGCAGGAGAATCACTTGAACCCAGGAGGCGGAGGTTGCAGTGAGCCGAGATTGCACCATTGCATTGCAGCCCAGGTGACAGTGCAAGACTCCGTCTCAAAAGAAATAATAAAAATGAAGTACCATTTTTTTCACAGATTAGGCTGACAAACACTGGAAAGAATGATAAAACCTCATGTGGATGAGCGTTGGCAAGTTGGACTCACATTGCTACAATTCTTCTGGAGAGTTAAAAAAAAAAAAAAACAACAAAGCCCAGAAAGTTCACTTGGCTCATCACTTCTAATGTGCTATATAAGGAAATAATCAGACAAGTGGACAAAAACTGTTTTCTGCTGAGTCGCTTATACTCTCAAAAATTCTAAATATTAGTACATCAGACAATGAATTTTTTTGTAGCCATTAGTAATAACTATGTTTAAAAAAAAAGGAGTGTCCGGGTGCCGTGGCTCCCACCTGTAATCCCAGCACTTTGGGAGGCCAAGGAGGTCCTGACTTGAGGTCAGGAGTTCAAGACCAGCCTGGCCAACATGGTGAAACCTCGACTCTACTGAAAATACAAAAATTAGCTGGGCGTGGTAGTGGGTGCCTGTAATCCCAACTACTCAGGAGGCTGAGGCAGGGTAATTGTGTGAACCCAGGAGGCGGAGGTTGCAGTGAGCTGAGATTGCACCTCTGCACTCCAGCCTGGGCGACAGAGCAAGACTCTGTCTCTAAATAAATAAATAAATAAATAAATAAATAAATAAATAAATAAATAAGAGGGGTATATATGTATATATTTTTAACCTTTCATTATGGTAAATCAATATCAGTTTTAACATATATTTTCTTTTTTGTATACATTTTTACTTGAAAATATTTTATTTTATTTTATTTGAGATGGAGTCTCACTCTGTCACCCAGGCTGGAATGTAGTGGCGCAATCTCAGCTGACTGCAAGCTCCACCTCCTGGGTTCACACAGTTCTCCCACCTCAGCCTCCTGAGTAGCTGGGACTACAGGCACGTGCCACCACGCCCAGCTAATTTTTTGTATTTTTAGTAGAGACAGGTTTCGCCATGTTGGTCAGGCTGGTCTGGAACTCCTGGCTTCAAGTGATCCACCTGCTCCAGCCTCCCAAAATGCTGGGATTACAGGCTTGAGCCACTGCGCCTGGCCCAAAAATATTTTAAATAGAAATTTAAATAAACATTTGATAGTTTACCTAATAAATGCCATGTTATATTTTCTTTTTTAGCAGTGTATATTCATTTAAATTGAAGGCCTTGGCTGTAAGGATTGAATTTATCGATTCTGTGAATTTGTTGGTGCACCCCTCTTGTGAGTGTACTAAAAATCAAAAGTGGTGGTAGATCAGTCTCCTGTAAACATTCTTTTTCCTCATGGTCCACATCCATCTGTCCTCTGGTCTGAAATATCTATCTCCTTTTTCATTTTCACCTGTGCAAGTTCAGAAGTTTTTAATTTCTTGCTTTTAACCAGAATCTTGTCTTTTGTCTCTCCAGAATTCAGCCTTCACATGTTTACCTGTGTCCCCAAAATGTTCTTATTTCAGAACAAAGCAAGCTGACTGAGAAATTTGAGAGTCTCAGTCAGTGTCTCTCTTTCGCTCTCACTCTCTCTCGCCTTCTCTCTCCGTGTGTGTGTGTGTGTGTGTGTGTGTGTGTGTGTGTCTGTGTGTCTCACTCTCTCTGTCTCTGTCTCTTCTTTATCCTCCTGGGTAGGTGGTTCTTGATGAAGGAAACTCTCAAATAACCTATTATGAATTCTTCCTGTAAAAAGACATTTAGGTTCCTGCACTCTTGATAAGTTGCCTTTTTCATTATATCTTGAAAAAAATTAATGGTCTGAAGTCCCACTAACAGATTTTTTTCTATGCATTTTTAGTGATATGTTGATTTCCTTAAAAGAATAATTTGGTATTATACAGGTGTGCCACGATTCTTCAGCTCTAGGAACTTGAAGCAATTCAGCTTGGTTAAAGATGAATCAGGTTCTTTAGGCTATCCATTGGACAGTGCCTCACCTAGAGATGAAAAGATCCACAGGGCCAGGTGTCAGGGAAGGGGAACAGAGCTTCCACCCTGCAGGAACCTCCATGCATTCAACTATCGGGAAGCTCCTATGTATTTTTAAATGACTAGAGTGATATTCTAACAATACTTTCAGTGTTACGCAGTATTTGCATTTGTATTTGCATTTTGAGTGGCCTGCCTTTTCCTCTTGGTTCTTTGCCTGGTTTTTATCTTCAAGGTACCTTCCCTCTTTCCTGCTTTTTCTCTTTAGTTCACTTGCTTCTGCTTGCCCAATGCTAGATAAGAATCACACAGAGAAAATAGATACTGATTTAGGAGTTATATTCTCTTAAATTGTTTTCTTTTAATTCTCTAAAATCTGGCTTTAAAAAACAGTCTGTCAGTTATTCTGGAAACTCACAGAGTGGTGGTGAACAGCTTAGGAATCAGGTAGACCCAGGCTTGAATTTAAACTGTGTCACTAGCTGATTAACCTTAGGCAAGTTATTTCACTTCTCTGGCTCTGTGTACTCAGTTGTGAAACAGCGATAATGTGTAACTCAGTTTTGCCTTAAAGATTAAATGATATAATGTTTTAAAGTGCTTAGCACTGTATGAGTCATAGTATTCAATAGGTGGTTGCTGATGTTGCTATTATAGCATTAACTTTTCAGAGATGAAGGTAGAGGCCAGACATCTTATTTCAAATATCATTGTAACTTTAAAAATCCCAGTAAATGTTGCCTGTTCGGTATACAGTCAAAATCTCCCAAAACAAATCCACAAAACAGAAGTGTAGGGTGGGACACAGGTGCATCTGGTGTTTCGTAAGTATGAGCTTAGATATGGAGTGTGGTAGAAAAAGAATGAAGAGAGGATAATGGAGGAAGGGAAAAACTCAAGTCTTGTTTCTGACTAAATTTTTTTAGAAAAAGGAGATTGGATGCCTGCACTGAGGCAATGTGAGGATGGGCAGATTTTAAATTGTGCAGCTTTTGACACATTTTTATTTTTTGTTATTTTTATTTTTATTTTTTTGAGATGGGGTCTTACTATGTTGCCCAGGCTTTGAATTCCTGAGCTCAAGGGATCCTCCCACCTCAGCCTGCCAAGTAGCTGGGAATACAGGCATGTGCTACCAGGCCCAGCTTTTCCACACATTTTTTAGTCAATGTAAATATCAAATTACAATTGTTAGGTGACTGAGAATGGGGAAAATCAAAACCTATCCAGATAAAAAGCATTTTATAGTCCACTACATTCTCATGATGGATTCTGTACTTTGCTTCAGATTTTTTGTTGTGAGATGCTTTAAAAATGTTAACATTTTATCATGTTATCAGTTTTACATAGTTTTCCAAAAAGGTTAACTGTGTTGTGAAATGTAATTTTGTTTCTTGGGCTTCAGTTTTCTCTTCAGCATTCCTTTTGTAGTAGTGATGACTGGGAATCTCATGCACTCTGCTGATGTTGGCCTTATAGCCATCTTCCCCAGGATATTTCTTCTAAATGTCTGTGGATGCTGCAGTGTTAAACAGTGGAGATAGGTTGATAGGGCAAACAGTCTTGGCCTGTTCTAGAACCTTGACTCCTCTGTGCTCTGCTCTGATAAACTCCTGCTCAGTTTGTTCATATAATACTGTTGACCCAGTGCCTGCATTAGGTGGGTTGTGAGTGTTTTTTTTTTTTTTTTTTCCTTCAGGGGTGAGAGATTTTTGGTGATCATTCAATTCTGCCTCTGCTAACCAGGCACAGCTTTCTGCAGCACAGCTGATGGTGGTGACAGCACAGCCTGTGGCCACAGAAGAGAACAGAACTCCTGTGCTCACCTAAGGATTAAGCCCACGGGGCTGGTGCATTAGCTCAGTGCTCCTGGATTCAAAACAGTTGTAGAATATGTTCAGGAAGAACGGTAAAATACCCTCCAATGAGAGAGCCTGCGGTAGGGGTGCCTTCAGTGGTCCAAAATGGCAGTTACTTCAGATTCTCCACAATCTGAGCAGTTTATTATACTATGGTGGTAAGGGGAAAGGCTTGGTGAAGATTAATGTTAAATACATAAGATAAAATGACCCACTGATTTTTTTTAATTAAAAAATGGGCCCCTTTCATATCAAAACTGAAGATGGATACATTACCTGAGGGTGCACATCAGCCAACAAAAGTGGGTTCAGCATCCCCCCAACCCTGAACCCAGAGCAGTCCCAACAGCCTGCCCCATGTAGTACCTGTTAGTGAAGTACCACCTTTGACCCACCTTGCTCAGTTTCCTCACTTGTTCTTAAGAGAAATTAGTTCCTTGTGACCCAGTTGTGTTTCCAGCTATAGAGAAACTGTAACACCACTGGGTTTTAGCTGGATAACATTTTTAACACATGTCTGCATTTGAGTTAGAATAGCAGAGATCAGAGTACTGATAATCCTGAAGGATAATTGGGCCTGTGTCCACTGGCCTGGAGGAACACATATTTGTGTGAGTGGCCAAGCAGAGCACCACTGACCCCTCCTGCCATTGGAAAGCACAGTGGCCTTGCTTCAATGGCAGCGTGTTCTAAGTCATGCCATTTTACTTAGTCTTCATTCACTCGGTTAGAAATGAGGTCAATTATTCCTGAAAAAAAAATTGGTAATACTTGGACTAAATAAAAAACTGCACCTGCCCATAGATTTGTCTTAGACTTCTTGAATAAAATGAATGATGTTGGGACATACAGAATATAGACAGAGTTTAGAGAACAGGATGCATGAATTAAACAAAGTCTCACCTCTCCAGACTTGTATTTGCAACTTCTGATTCTGTTATGCACAACAGCATGTATCAGAAAGTGAGATAATTTCCCAGAAATGTTAGAAAGTTTTAATTAGTGTACTGATGCTAGAGAAAGCAGCCATGAAAGTCATCCTCAATACAAAGTTGCTGGCACTTTTATGGACAGTATATAAGGTAATTTAGTGTATTTTACATTCATGAATAATCAAGGCAGGTTAATCTTGCATATTTGTTTCTAATTACTCTATTTTTACTAGTCCCATCATTTCTCTTTCTCCTGCAAGAAGTTGGAATGTCCTAACCACAGTGCATCACATACACCCACAGAACAGTAGCAAATGAGGGCCCCAGTGTTTCTGTAGAGAAAGCAGTCACCCTGATAACTGCCGGTAATGACAACCTTGTTGACTGTACCAGTCAAGGTTTATTATTAAGTGTGCAGAAATTTTCATTTTTGACTCACAAATACATTTTTGTTCTTTCATAAACATGTATAATAGCAAAAAATAAAGATAACCCATCCTCATTAAACCTAAGTTCCATAAAGAAAAGACACAAAGCCTGCTCTGTTTATAGATATTTTGTTTCCCTGAGCAACAGAAAATGCAGTGCTTATTTAACTTAGCAGCAATGCCTTGTAAAAATATAAGCCTGCAGATGGCAATGGCCTCTATTTTTCTTCCACAAGTTTCTTCCAATTCAGAGCCCGTGCCTTCCTTCAGCCACAGAGCGCACAACAGCATGGATGAGATTGAGTCAGCCCTCTTACATTGTTGGCCTACAGCTATGGAGCTACCTTTGCAGAGTTGTCCACTTTGGGGTTTGAGCATGGGAAGTAAATTCAGAGATGCAAGTATCTGGGAGAGGGCATGAACTCGTGAGAAAGTCCTCATATTCTGAGCTCCTATGACAGTTTTGCCTTTAGAAGCTATCTCGTCTCTTAGCAGCTTTGTTTTGGGCAGAATGAATAGCAGAGGGGCAGGAAAGACCCAGAATCTTGATGCCCAGCCTCCCTGCTTTTACTCTGCTGCTTGATACTGCCTCTAATGAAGGAGCCGTTCTTATAGAGCAGTTACTTTGAGGCCTGAGAAACCCAGAAAAATTTATCATGACTGCTAGACCTGGGCACAGGTGGATTTTAGATTAGACTTGGCAGGGACAACAGGCATCTTGGAAACTCCCTAAGGAAGGGTCCAGATCAACAACACTGCAAACACCATATTCCCTTCAGGCAGGCATCCCTATTTTGCTGTACCAGGCCTTAATACTCTCTGGGTTGTAGCCTCCAGTGGTCCATTTGACTTCTGAGATGTATTAACAAGAAGACTAATATTACCAATGGTAACCGCTCACTTAACAAAAACAAAACAATATACCCCAACATTTATTGTTGCCTTGCAACTCTGCCTTTTTGGCCTCTCTGGATATCCACTGACATCATTTAAAATGAACCATTTTATTTCTAATTGCTACATGCCAGGTTGGTTTATATGTGTCTGTTTCTCAGCATTCCACAGATGCCACATTACTCAAAGCTGTGCTTTTGTGCATCTTCACAGATTTCTCTCTCCCTACCCTGCACAGCCTCCCTACCTGAGTTTCTCATCTAGCAGCTGCCTGCATGCCCTGCTGACATCCATCCACAGCACATGCCCAGCCAGCTGAGCTCAACTGCAGTGAATGTGGCTGTAGTGCCAGTGAACTGGCTGTGCTCCAGGACTTTGCCTCCCCTGCCATGCCATCTGATGTTAAGTGTTTTGTTGAAGAGGGAGATGTAAACGCCTCAGTGAGGGCACACCAAATTTCACAGATCTGTGAAAGGTGCATGATTATTATTTCAGTCTCTATTGTGTGCCTATTTTGATTCACTCTTATACTGTCTTCTGTCTGCACATCCACAGTATCACCATGCAGATGTTTGGCTAGGTAAGGTTTTCCTGTTTAAGGCAGGTGGCCTTGATCTTCCTACTTTTCAGTCCTTGGTATCATTAAGTTTTCAGGATCATGTGTAAGACCTCAGCAGCTTTCCTGAATGTGTGCCTCAGGAGCATGGTGGTTGGCATCAGGCAGTGTCTGAACAGTATTTATAAAGTGTGTTTGATGATGCTTACAACATTATTGAAGGTTTTCTGAGGGCTGGAAGCTCTTATCTAAGTAAAATAGAGTATTATGAAATCCAGTTAATTGACTTTGCTTTATTGCATTCATGCTGAAGAGTAGATCATCCACTTGGATTTTTAAAAAATCATGAAATGATTTTTTTTCATGATCATGAAATCCCAAGATGTTAGTGAGAACAAATGAGCCAATCATATTTTAGGAACTGTTCTTGATGATGGTTCCTGGAAATAAAGCACTGGACACAGAAGTGACCTCTAGTTCCATTTGCAGCTTAGGGTCCATAAGAATTCTGGTTCTGGTCTTTCTGAGATTGAAGTCTTCCTAGTCGCAGTAGGGGAGGGATCCCCAAAAAGTTTCCAAAGAAGTTAGAGCCCTCATTCCCAAATTAGTGCCCTGGGCTGGAAATTTTAGCTTAAATTGTCTCTCAAATCCATTTGAGCTTTGAATTTCAGTGACAGAAGGCCTCACCTTGAGTTCTCTAACACATACTTGTCTCCAAGTGAAGTGTCTTCTCATCACCCCTCACCTTCTTCCCGGTCCCCTTCCATGTGGATCGCTGCAGTCACTTCTAGTTGAAATCTCTGCTACCACCTGACTTCTTTCCAGTCCTGTAGCACAACTAGTCTGTAAAACATAAATTTTCCAAGTCACCTTTAGGGAACTGCCCAATTGCAATTGGTGCAGATGGACACAAAAGGTGGTTCAAAAGTTGGGTTAACCCGCATGCTGATAGGAGTTAATGGTGATGCAGAATATTTGTTTACATTTAGTACAACTTTTACAGTGTGTTAGAGATGGTTTTTGTAAGAATAGAAGTATACATTCATAAAAGCAAAGAATAGTAAGTTCTCTCTGTTTTAAAATAAACTTTGGACACAAATCCTCGAGACTTTCTGCTCTGTGGTCGTCTATTTATATATTAAGAATGCTGTGGGAATTCTTGCTAAGAAGTGTTAAAGACTTTAGGCCTGTAATATACCTCTCTTAGCTTTGCTATCCACATGTGTTTTGCATAATTCCAGCTAGGAACCTCCCCTTGGAGGAATTCTTCAGCCTGATTAAAAGTTTGAGCCATAACACATGTGAAGGAATTGGAAAAGCTCTTGGAAGCAACATTTGTCAGATGATGTAAGCAATATCCAATTTGTTAGCTGTACTTAACTATGCTTCTGCTATTTCATAGATGCATATCAACTCATGTAGAAGATATGTCAAAAGGAATTCCAGTAATGCGTTATCTTTCATTCAATCCATATTTACTTGGTGGCTGGCTCTAACGCTTCAGTGCAGAGTCCCTTGACTCTCCTTTTGCCTCTAATTTCCTCCCTCACCTAAGATTAAAAAATATTTTGATAATTTATAAACAAATACTTCCATGGCTAAGGAAACTTGCTACTCAAAGCAAGTCTCATGAATAAGAGGGCAAATAATATTTTTGTAAAATGAAGTTATATTCTCATATATAAACTCATATTTTATCAAATCCTGTTTTAAAGTGGAGATACACTTGTAATTTTTAATTGTGTTTTCAAAACTTAAGATCTTTCATTTCTCATTGAAATTTTATGTTAAAATTTTGGACATTCCAAGTATTTTAAACAACTTCTTTTTTATTGGAAATTTTAGCAGCTGAGCAAAGTTTGTATCATTCATATACTTAGAATTATTTTAACCCCACCACCCAAACTGCCTTTTTGTCTTTTAATTGTATACACAATTCTGAAAGCACTTTGTTCAGTTGTATTACCTCATGATGTGTTACTTTAGGACAGTGCTTGTCAACCTTGAATGTATACCACAATCACCTGGATAGATTGCTAAAAACAGGTTGCTGGGCTCTGTACCCAGAGTTTCTGATTCAGTAGGTCTGGAGCATTGCTGATGGTGCTGGACCATACTTTGAGACTACTGTTTTAGGATTTCTGGTAAATTCTGGCTTTTTTTTTTTTTTTTTTTTTTTGAGTAATGAGTTTGAGATATAAGAAAACATAGAAAACGTTTGCCATAGATTTTATAGTTCACAAAATTTAAAGTTCCTTTTTAACTTCCCTTTCTTGTTGTTCTCATAATATTGCATTTTTCTTACTTTGATTTAAATGTATTTAGTGCTGACAATGTGACTTGTATTACTTGATAAATGACCAATGTACATTTGCTACTTTAATAATTTGAGAGGTCATGAAGGGAGCATTCCAATGACTTTTATACTGTCAACATTGCGTTATTAGGAAGTCAATATAAACAAGTTCCTATGAAGTACACGGCCCAGGGCCTGACACATAGTGGACACTGAGTAAATGCTGGAATGAACAAATGAACAATTGTCCTACTTCCCCGCAGTGTAATAGTTACTCTTTGAAAACTTGATTGATCCAACTTTGAATATCTGAGAATTATCTGATTTATTGATCTTTACTATTTCTTTGCTTCTCATTCTTGTAGTCCTGAGGATGGTTGTCTCACTGGCAATTTAGCCCTTCTATTAGGAAGAGAGGAGACAAGTTAAACATAAAACTAAGTTTTCACTTTTCTCTTGTTAGTAGTACTTAATTATTTACTAGAATAGGTAGTATTAACTTAAAAGTTCTTTGAGGGTTGATTCAGGTTCATTTATTCAAGCTGGCCTTATGATCTTCTAAATATCCTTAAAAAAAAAACCAACTTTATTACCTAATCTGGAATATAAATGTATCGCAAATCAGATACTACTTTTATATCCTTCTTGCAAATTCACAGGAATTTCCAATACTCTGTTACTGCATTCTAACAAAGTTTATTATGAGAGTTCTGAAGATACTGAATATGTTGAAATCTCTTTAGTGCTTCATTTTCCAACTATTTCAGTGCAATTTCAGTGATGTTTTGTCTGTTTTTGATGGCTGTCCTGTGCTTAGATAATGGATAAGAGTTACGGTAGATTGCCAAGCCATCTGTTTGTATCAGTCTTCACAAAGATGCTTCTTCCAAAGGAGAAAATGGACAGAAGAGCTTAATAGTGTTTTCAGGTGGAAATTAAGAGTTCTTTTCCTGTTCTGGCACTGATAGCATGCTATAGAATAATTCTGTTCTGCTCCTGCTTACTTCATGAGGATGTTGTAAGAGTTGATTTAATAACTATTTTGAGTGGCTTAAGGCACTGATAGGAAAGGTACTTTGTTAGCCATACAGGTATAGGAAGAGTATGAGTTCTGCCATAGGCATGCTGAATATCTGGGAGGAAACCCTGTTGATGACTGGGAGACATGAAATCAAAACTGAGCTCAGGGACCCAGAATAAAATTTTTAGTGGGTAGCCTAGAAGTGATCACCAGAGTATTAAGATTCTACCCACCTGCCAAATGTATGCCTATCAGGAAAGCCAAAGACAACCACTAAGGAGCTCTTGGAGCTTAGGGGAAATCGGGAGATTGAACCCTAGTCATTTGTCCAGGGCTTCTCCGAGGCCCAGGTTTTTCCTCCTGTACTGTGCTGCCTGCTGACAGCTGTTGCAGTTGATAAACCAGTGAACAAAGTCTCTTCTGTACTCATGTAGCTTTCTCCTTGAGATTGGGGTAGGGAGGATTAGTAATGTATTAGGGGGTGGTGATAAGCATTAAGGTGAGAAAAGAAGCAGGGTGGGTGATAGGAGAAGTGAGGGTTTTGGAGTGGCAGGGAAGGGGGTTCATCAGGATCAGAGTCAGGTCAAGAAAGGCTTCTTAGGTGACGTGACTCAGCAGAATGAAGGAAGAGACAAAGCTGGGAGAGGGCATGCCAGGGCCTGGAACTGCAAGTGTAGAGGTAGTTGCAGGGAGGGATAGAGTGCTGCTGTCCCTGGAAGTACCGGTGTGGAGGAGGTGGGGTCTGAAATGTGCCCACCTTTCCACCAGCAGATCTGGTGAAGAAGACCATAAGTACACAGGAGGCGCATCCCTCAACTGTGAGCTTCAACAGCCCTGTTTTGAAACCTTAAGTAAAAGATTTGTAAAATAATAAGCCTGAACTTTTTCCCTCCAAGCTATACTGTGAAATGTGAATTTTAAAAAGAATGGTTGTGTAAATATGAAGAAAGTACTTTCAAATTAGATGATCAGACTGCGTTTCCTTCAGAATTGTGTTGCTTTGCTTGAACATGGCAATTGAAAGATCCCAGAAGCAAGACTGTGGACAAGTTATGCCCTGGCTTTGAGCCTCCAGTCACCTTGCTCTGCAGTGCAGTCCTTGATGTTAAGTGGCCTTCCTCCAAGCTTTAGGAAGCCTCAGTGCAGGTTGTGGTTGAGGAGATGAAGAAGGCCTAAGAGGAGCAGCTCCTGTTTTTATAATTTTTTGTATCAGTGCTCCCTCCCAAGGGTATTTAAGTAAAGGTATTAACAAAATTAAGAATTTGGCAGACAGCTCAGTTAGACGATCACCAAGGTCCTTCTCATTTCTAAAGTTATTTGAAGCTGCTGTTTTCATTAGTCCTTAAGTATATGTTGCTACCATATAATTTGGCCACAAAAATGTTTAGATATGTGTCAAAGTCCTCAGGGCTTCCTGACAGAAGTGCTTCTTGACTGATTGTGTATTTGGTACAAGGGCTTCTTTGGTGATAGTTTCTACTCTCTTTAAATACTGTTCTGTTATTTTTGAAATCTGATCAAGAATTGACACAATAAATCTCTTTGATATTTATACTTATGCCTACTTTTAACCTTTTAGGAAAACTTTATGAATTGGAATATTCTAAAATCCTGAAATAATTTGGAATATTCTAAAATTCTGAAGAGAATATGAACGGATTGTTGGAATGGAACTTTTACCCGATTCCCTCAGACTAGAGTGTTCATACGACATTTTGCCAAGAAGTTCCTATAGAGGCAATATCACTTTTAGGATGGATGGGTCTAAAAGGATCATATTTAGTTTCTGGTTATTCATGGTTGCACTCACTTTAGAGGATGTGTTCCTATTAGGTTGCTGCTACTATTTGTCTCTCCTAAATAACAGTATGGAATTATAGAAAGAAAGGTTGGGAGAATAGTCGTGTGATTCTCCTGGTCAGCATAAAGCCTGTTCCATCCAGCCACTGACTATTTTGTTCTTTCTTTTGCTTTGAAGGCCAAGATGACATTTCCATTACTTCGATGTTTTTATGTTCTATACCTCTCTCTTGCTCCATATATTTTGCAGTGGTGCAGATATATTGATCCATAAATGACTGGTATTACATACTGAATCAAGGTACATGCATTCAACTCTAGAGAGAATTGTTTCTGGGTGTTTTTCACTATGTGACTCACCACTGTGAAGGTATGAAGATGAGTTTATGCCGCTAATGGGGTAGCTTTGTTGTGATGTAATTTCAGTAGCTGCCCATGGCAGCTGTTAGTCGAAGGTAAATTCAAAGCCAGATGGTTTAGATATCACAGTGGTGAAGATCAACAGAGTACCGTGAAACCAGGACTCGGTCATGGCAACCTGAGACTGTTCTAGCTAACTCTTTCTAATGTGTTTCATCTGGCACTTTGCCAGTTCAGTCCCTTGCTTACCTTTCCCCATTTGAAAAACTCTGCTTTTGGAGGGAGAATGGATTACAGGTCTTGACAGAGGCTTGGACTCTTGACTTCTTGGTTTGTTTTTTTAAATTTAAAAAAGAATTTCAGTTCTTTTGTGACCATCACATTACTGAAGTTAACATTGATGTCTTGCTCAAACTTATTTTTTTTCTCTCACACATTTCAAAAGAACCAAGTTAATACATTGAATTGAGCAGTCTGATAAGAAGGTAGTGTGGGGGGGTCTCCGGGTCCACAGAATTTCCTTGAGTGTGGATTGCTGTGTAGGAAAAGCTCTCTAAATTTTTTCTGCTGGCTGAATGTAGAGTAATGTGACCCTGTTGCTCTCCGTGGTGAGCTTTCCATAATTGAGATATTCCTGGATTCATTGCCAGGAGTGGACTTCCTTTACCTCTGCTCTGCCACAGGGTGGCTGCTGCCTTTCTCCTTTAATAAGGTATGTTCAGTTTCCCCCACTCAAAGACCATTTCATCCCTTAGACATTCTACCCAGGACATTGAAAATAGAAACAAGGCCAGGCACAGTGGCTCACGCCTGTAATCTCAGCACTTTGGGAGGCCAAGATGGGCGGATCACCTGAGGTCAGGAGTTCAAGACCAGCCTGGCCAACATGGTGAAACCCCGTCTCTATTAAAAAAAAAAAATACAAAAAATTAGCTGGGCATGGTGGCAGGCACCTGTAATCCCAGTTACTTGGGAGGCTGAGGCAGGAGAATTGCTTGAACCTGGAGGGGCAGAGGATGCAGTGAGCCAAGATCACGCCATTGCACTCCAGCCTGGGCAACAAGAGCAAAACTCCGTCTCAAAAAAAAAAAAAAAAAAAAAAGAAGAAGAAGATGCCAGTGAAGGAAAGTTAGAAACCACTGCGTGTCCTAAGCAGTTCCTAACTCCCATGGACAATTCTAGCATGAGTTTTGTAATAGTTTATAATTGACATATAGGTAGAAAATTGATACCAAGAAACCCAGCTGTTCCTAGAGTACTAGTAGTAACTCAGAAAGAGTAGAGAATTGTACTGTAAAATGAGCAGATTGCCTTTTCACTTTCTTTTTCTACTCCATCAAAGTGCCAGCTTGCTCCATCTTTGCTAAACGTTAGATTAAATGTCTTATTTATCATGATACCTCTGATGTTCAAAATTACATATGTTGCTGTAATTCTTATGAATTGTGAGCATACATTCTTCTGCGTAAACAGATGGTACTGTTGACACAGGCTTTATAATCCTAGTAGGCTGGACATCAAAATTTTATATTTCTACCATTACCTTAATTGTAGAGAGGTTCTGGGGTGACTGTGGAAAGTCATCTAACATGTGTTCTCTTTCTTTGCACTGCTGGGTTTCTAAATATTTATTAATCATTATTTATACTCTGTAATGCCATACTTTATTGGTGAATGTACCATCTTTGGGAGGTCATTAGATATTCTTTAGTATCTAAGAGAAATATCTACCTATCAGTGAATTTCAAATTATAGTTTATGGTCTTCAGATTAATGAAAAGCAAGTTCCCACCCCCACCAAAAATTAAAATGACACAAAAATGCATCTTGGGAACATCACAATATTTTAAACTGAGAATACTAATTTTTTGAGATTTGATTATATCACATATGACTTAGATTCTGATAGATTATGAATTTGTAATCAGTTCAATTTTGTATACTGAAATTATCTTTGCACTCTGAATAAATGAAGTATCAAGCAAAATTTTAAGAGTAACAATATTTTAAGAGATATAAACACAGTTAAAATCTTTGAGGTATTTTACCACTCACTTTTAGAATTATCAAATGCTGCTTTGATCTTTTCATCAAATCAGAACAGATATCTATATTTTTATTGGCAACAATAAAAACAGTCTGTGAGGAAATGAAACAATCCAGTCTTTCATTTTCTTGCTCATTTAATCTGAACAGGTGATGTTTCAGTATATTGAGACATAAGACAATCAAGACTTTTTGAGACATAAGACAATCAAGACTTTGTTAACAGCTTTCTAGATTATTGGTGGAATTATAGCTCTGATTTATAGGGTCACATTAAAAGTACTCCTTTGTGTACACTAGGTCTGGAGGTGATGATATAGAAATACTAGTGTGGGCCGGGCGCGGTGGCTCACGCCTGTAATCCCAGCACTTTGGGAGGCTGAGGCGAGTGGATCACCTGAGGTCGGGAGTTTGAGACCAGCCTGACCAACATGGAGAAACCCTGTCTCTACTAAAAATACAAAATTAGCCAGGCGTGGTGGCACATGCCTGTAATCCCAGCTACTCGGGAGGCTGAGGGAGGAGAATCGCTTGAACCCAGGACGTGGAGGTTGCGGTGAGCCGAGATCACACCACTGCACTCCAGCCTGGGCAACAAGAGCAAAACTCCATCTCAAAAAAAAAAAAAAAGAAATACCAGTGTGACCACATTGTAACATAGGTTGTGTTATTTCCTGCTAATGGAATGTAGCTTCCTTGACTTGTGGTTATTTCCCAAAATTCTTCCTTTAAGAAATTCAAAACCCTCACCTAAAAGGAAAGAAGTTACCCAAGTAGGAAGATTGAAAATGAAATCTGATTCTTTCTGACATTTTTACTGCCAACTAATAAACAAAAGACTTCATTAAGGAAGCAGACTGTTCAGTGGTTCTTTGTGTCTGAATATGACTGATCTAATATATTAAACATTTTTCTGTAAATGTAGCAGTATAGTGCCAGTTTCTATTTTCAACTCCTCAAATAGTAGAATCAGTTCTGTCAGCAGGCATTTTATTAAATGCCTCAGAACATGTGTTAGACATCATAGAAAATACAAACATAGAAGACAGGGATCTTGGTCTTATTAAATTTAAATCTAAAAAGATGTGGGAGCATTTTAAAGAGCAAATACAAGTGGGTGAAAATGAGCATTGCGTGTTGCTAAGACTTGAACTAGATTGGTTGGACTAGAGGAGTGAGTCATCGAAAAAAGGCAATTTCAGAACACATTAATGAATGTCTTCTTAAGGATGAGGCACTTGCAAAGTGCCTGTGTGTCAAAGGAAGAAATGATTTGGTGATTCAAGTGGTAGTGGAGTTGTTTGACACTTGCTTGTGGGCTTTGAAATGATAAGAAGAGCAGGGCTGGAGTTCCAGGAGGGCTGGGCCAGATTGGGCTGGTGGGGTGGGGTGAGTCCACTTCCCCTGCCCAGGCAGCTGATGGAAGGCATGAGAATAGACCTATTCTAAGGCAGCTATGTTGAAAGGGAACTGCTTTCAGCAAGAATGCCCACTGTGCCCCCCATTTGGGGACAAGCAGATGCAGAGGGACCCCTTCCAAATTTACACCTAGATTTTGCCCGAGATTTCTTTAGTGATTGATCTCTACCACTGCATCTGCTCTACTTTTCTGTCACCATTCCTCATTCTTCAAAGTGCAGCTCAATTCCTGTTGTGCCAGACCACAGAGTGGTAGGGGAAGGCCTCTGTGAGCCTGAGTATGGTGAAGGAGGAACCCTGGAGAGAGCTGGGCAGGAGGGAGCATGCAGAGCTCTGCCGAAACTCACGTCAGGGGCTGAGCGCGGTGGCTCACACCTGAAATCTCAGCACTTTGGGAGACCAAGGCGAGCGGATCACCTGAGGTCAGGAGCTCAAGACCAGCTGGCCAACATGGCAAAACCCCATATCTACTAAAACTACAAAAATTAGCTGGGCGTGGTGGCACACACCTGTAATCCCAGCTACTTGGGAGGCTGAGGCAGGAGAATCACTTGAACCCAGGAGGCGGAGGTTGCAGTGAGCCAAGATTGCGCCACTGTACTCCAGCCTCGGGGGGAGAGTGAAATTCTGTCTCAAAAAAAAAAAGTTAAGTTGGTGCTCTTTATTTTCTGTACATAGTGTATTATGTATCAAAAGTGTGATTTTGGTTAAACAATTTTATTTGAATCCTATAATTTACCATTACTACAAAACAAATGTTCTATCCTTTGGAAGAAATTAGTAAATGGGAGAATTTTCTTTAACTTTGAAAAATTTAATCTAGTATTTAACTGATGTACTATATTTGCTCAATTAACTGTCACCTGACTTAATTTCCTTCTAGAAAACAGTGACAAATTGTATTTATCAGAGAGAGAAAGGGAGAGCCCTGCCAACCAATTAGGAATAAATTTTCAAAATTAAACATTTTTGATTTGCAGTTTTATTTTTGTACAAGCTTTCATGTAGAATATGATTATTTACCTTCCTCTGACTATGAAATGGCATTTAAATTTTACACATGAAGTAGAAGCACATGCAAACACAGGCTAGTCATGAAAGATACCCTACTCTGAATCAGCCCATTGGGTGTTTAAGAAAAAAAAAATGCTGAGTAAACCATTTTGTCCTCAAAATGGGTAGTATTAAAGCCAGCAAGAATGGTATGGCATGAGTCATAACTCAGTTTTTTAAAGTGTTATGGTATATCTTGTCTAGAGAGTATTTCTGGTTGCTTAGAGCATATTTGAAGATAATTCTATTACATATGCATTTGGATGCAGCTATGCTCTTGGGATGACTGGACTAGAAACACACAAACTATTATTATTTTAATGAGGCAGGCTTTATTTTAAAATATACAAAATTGGAATAATTGCCTAAGTTATTTCTATATATCATTTGGAATACTAAACTCGTATATCTTGGTTCTTGGATTTGAAATTGCACTTTAGGTGAAATGGAAATAAACTGCCATGAAAACAAAATCTGTAAACAGATTATTAGACATAGACAATATCTCAGAATTAAGGCATTGTTTTGGAAAAGGTGATTTAAACCCATGAATATTGAAAGAAGAGAGATTAACATGCTTGTGGTGGTGATACAGTGCATGAGCACAGCCATTGCACAGCAGTGGTAGAGAGTTGTGGAACGGTTGGCATGTGCAACATTCTCAGCCAGCTCTGTCAATTAGAGCAGATTCTGACTGACAAACTGTGGTGTGCCCATGTGGCATGGAACACTTACTCCAACAGCTGTCCCACTGTACACTTGTGAATCAACATGTAACTGTTTTCATCATGTTCTAAAGTGACTAATAGATGTATATTACCCATCATGACCAACCTTTTGATTTGTATAGGTTGATATTAACCCTTTCTTAAATTTTTGAATTGGAATAATCAGCTAGCTTATTGTCTGTGGAGAACAACCACCAGTACTGACAAGACCTCCCTAAAGTCACATCACAGAACTTTGAAGTCACTGCAGTCCTGAGCCTGTCCTCAGTTTTACAGTTCTCAGAACCTGGAGTAATATATAAACCAGAACACAAATTTATTAATTCATAATTATCAAAATGTCCATATTTGCCAAGTACACTTCTCCTTTCTAGGATCAGGTGACTGTTGCCATTGTGAACTTAGAATCTTGTCAAAGGTGAAGATGTGTTTGCAAGAAGAGTTCATCTCAGGACCATCTCTGTCCCTGAGAGCAAAGATCCTTCTTGTAATCTCACTTGTTTTTACTTCTCTGGGGAGGGCAGGAATCTGGGTTTTCCTTTTCTGTGTTTCATACTAACTATCCTCTTCTCTAATTATGACAGCAATCACATGTGATAAGTCATAATCATAATCTGATTTTGGTCTACATGTTAAGAGTCTGTTCCTTGATGATAGGTTAGAGCTCTTGGGGGATACTTTTACTGATTCTTAGTTTACGTCCACCCATTTCCGGTCTTATCCTCATTTTATTGATTTTTCTGATTTTCTTCTCTTAGAAGCAGCCTTGTTTCCTTTCTCTTGAGGTTTTGAGGAGCAGCTCCCTGATGCATCTGCCTGTGAGGATACTGAGGCGAGCAGGATGGCAATACCCGAGTACATCTTCCTAGTGTCCTTAAGTAGCCCACTTGGACAAGGAAGGACAAGGTTTCCTAGGATTCGATTTAATGATTGTATCCCCCAGGGATTTGGCACATGAGGGAGAGAAGAATCATTCTTTTCTTTTGCAGATGTTGGAGATTTCTTCTTTTTGATGTCTTTAAAGTCTTCTTTTCCTCACGGTTGCTTCCTAGCTCCTCACCGGGCTTTCCAGACATTTCCCCAGTACTCCTAAGTTGACACCATCTAACTTTTACTCTCCTGACTCCAGGTCACATTACCACCTTCACTGGGACCAGTGACACCTCATTCAGTTTGACTCTTTGCCTCAACTTTCACCGTCATCTTAGGCAAATTTAAAGGCTGTGGAGACAATCCATGTCTTTATTTGCACTTACTATTGTTCCTTCGTCTTCTCATCTCCAGAGTTTTCTTTCTCTTTTTCTCCCCCACCCCGCTTCCACCCCAATTTTAGACTGTTGGCATTCTCTGAACACAGCACGCTGTGGTGTTTTATGCCTCTCTGTCTTTGTAGTAAGTCTCATCTTCCCTGACGACCCCGCTCTCCCATGCGAAGTTGAGCTCCCCTCACTTCTGTGGTGGTAGATTTTATGCTTGTTTACTCTTGCATTTATCACACTATTTTTACTCCTTTGTTCCTGCTAGACAGCTCTTTCAGCATCATAATGGCCACAAAACCTAACACCATCTGGTGTATAAATGTGTTTTCATTGAAAACACAGATATGTTGTCATATCTTCCCTCAGTTTGTTTCATGCTCCCATTGAACAAACACTTTTGAATACCTACTGTGTTTCAGGCACTTTCTGGATCTGCTGAGAATGCAGTGGCAATCCAGATGAAAAGAGTCCCTGCCATTACTGAACCAAGAGCGTATGGTTAGATTGCAGAAAAGTAAATAAGTTATCATCCAGTCCATTGCGTTCTCCATCTGTGATCAACAGAACTCTAGAAACTTTATAGTGGTTGTTATTTTTTCTTGTACTTTCTTCAAAAAGCTGTTTGGAGATGTTAAGTGTGAAAATTTGTCTCCTTGAAAACGAAATATAGTATTAAGCACACAGATTCTAAATGGAATAAAGGAGACTGAGAGATAACCATCATTCCTCTATCCTGCTGAAGACCAGACAGAAAGAAAGGATGTTATCACAACTGAGAATCTATGGTACTTTTTAAAAAATATCTTTTAAAATCAAGAGGTTTTTTTTCTTTTACTCTAAAGAGCTACTTTAAAAAATTGCAAATTAGCCCGGGTGTGGTGGCTCACGCCTGTAATCCCAGCACTTTGGGAGGTCGAGGCGGGTGGATCACCTGAGGTCAGGAGTTCAAGACCAGCCTGGCCAACATGGTGAAACCCCATCTCTACTATAAACACAAAAATTAGCCAGGCGTGGTGTCATACGTCTGTAATCCCAGCTACTCAGGAGGCTGAGGCAGGAGAATTACTTAAACCCAGGAAGCAGAGGTTGCAGTGAGCCAAGATTGTGCCATTGCACTCCAGCCTGGGTGACAGAGTGAGACGCTGTCTCAAAAAAAAAAATTGCAAATTACTCAATGCATCATTGCTTAAATCAGCATTATTCAGAGACTTTAAACATGTATAAAATCAATTTTTCTGATGTTATAATTCAAAACTGTTGACTTTGCTTTTTTTGCCTGTGCTTTCAGTAAAGTAACTTATAAATTAACGTCTGTCCTAAACTGGACATGTTTTAGGCTAATTGTTGTATAACCCAGATGGGGGAATTTATCTGTGCAACCAAAGTACCAGAGTGTACAGTATACCAAGGTCATTTCCATGTGAGTGTTCATGAAATAAGCATGAAAAAACAGCTAAAACTTGCACCTGGCCTGGAGTAGGCTGGGCTTTTTTTCTGGAAAATCATTTATTCATTTACTTTCAAACTAAGTTGTCAAGAAATTTAAGCCTGGTATGGTGATGTGCATCTGTAGTCCCAGCCTACTTGAGAGTCTGAGGGCTCAAAAATTATTTGAGCCCAGGAGTTTGAGTCCAGCCTTGGCAACATAGCAAGATCCTATCTCTTGAAAAAAAAGGAAAAGAAAATAATTGGTACTCAGCCTTCAGCAAAAACAGAATTTCATGTTTTTGGTGGCAGGAATCTTTATTGAAAAGAGCTTTAATTTTTCTGTACCATTTCTTAAAAGTATTAATGTTTTTCCTTAATAGATAAACATCATTGGAAAAGCTGAGGAAAGCCAAATTGTGAAGGATGGAACAATGTCTCTTTCCATCTACATTTGCTCATGAATGATAATAATTATCATATTGTGGGATTTCCCAAAGTATGTTCCTCAGAATGTTAATAGATGATCCTCAAAAAAAATGGGGGTTGGCTGACCTGGTGGTGCACACCTGTAATCCTAACACTTTGAGAGTCTGAGGTGGGAAGATTGCTTGAGGCCAGGAGTTCAAGACCAGCCTGGCTAACATACTGAGACCCTGTCTGTACAGAAAATTTAAAAATGGGCTGGGCATGATAGTGTGTGCCTATAGTCCTACCTATTAGAGAGGCTGAGGTGGCAGGATCGTGTGACCTAGGAGTTCAAGGCTGTAGTGAGCTATGATTGTGCCACTGTACTCCAGCCTGGGTGACAGAGTGAGAATCCATCTTTTTTTTTTTTTTTTTATACACATGAGGGTCTCTGGTTAATAAATGTTGAGATGTAGGGTTAGGTGAGATTAAACAGGTTCTTTTTTTCATGATTTCTCGGAGTCTTTATGATGCTCCACACCAGTGCTTCTCAAAGCTGACTGTGTATACAAAACACTGGGGATCTGACCCACATGTAAAGTCTGATTTCTTTGGTCTGGGGCAGGCCTGAAATTCTGCATTTCTTACAAGTTCCAAAGTGCAGCCTGCACAACTGGCACACAGATTACACTTTAAGTAACAAGATTCTTAGGGATTTTTTAAGAGGAACCATGTTCTGCCACATTTCCCAGACTTGCTAACCATAGGAACCTCATTTTGAGATGCTGGAAGTTGTCCGTGGAGCACACTTTGAGAATTTTAAATTGAATCTTTAAAATTACACATGAATTAATGTATAATTTAAATAGAAATCTCATGCAGATCTTCTAGGTTATGATTGGCCGAACAGCCCCGTGTAAATCCCAAGACACTGAAAAAATCATTTAGCTAGTTCATGTAGAAAGAAAAACCAGTATGGGCTAAAAAGACAACCACTAGGTAAGATAGCAAGTACACTGGATTATATACTTTTCTTTTTTTTTTTTTTTTTTAAGACAGAGTTCCGCTCTTGTTGCCCAGGCTAGAGTGCAGTGGCACAGTCTTGGCTCACCACAACCTCTGCCTTCCGGGTTCAAGCGATTCTCCTGCCTCAGCCTCCCGAGCAGCTGGGGGATTACAGGCACTTGCCACCATGCCTGGCTAATTTTTTGTATTTTTAATAGAGACGGGATTTCACTGTGTTGGCCAGGCTGGTCTCGAACTTCTGACCTCATGATCCGCCTGCCTCAGCCTCCCAAAGTGCTGAGAGTACAGGCATGAGCCACTGTGCCCGGCCTACTTTTCTTATTTTTTAATAGACCTTATAAATATTGTTAAATATTCAAGTCTTTAAGCAATTTTACTTTGTTTTTATTGCCTCTAGTAATTCACATATAAATTGCCATATTTCTAAATCCCCATATGTGCTCTGCTAGTGATTTCATTAGTCTTTAATCTTTGTTAACACTAGCATTTGATATGAAAAACTAATGATGAAAACAAATCTTTTATTTAAACAGATTGAGATTTCATATGGTTTACCATACCCTAATTACAAATGACATAAAACAGCAGTCTAGGGAGGTTTTTAGAAATCTATTGAACCTAAAGCAAATTTTAAAATAAAAAAGCTGAATAAAATTAATTACTATATTATAGATGGGCTTTTTCCCACCTGGGTTCTTCTGCCCCACCTAGAATAGTGTCTTCATTTATGCATTCCTGTTGAAACTCTTTTGAGCCCCTGCCATCTGTGTTTCACCTCTTATTTCCTCATTTATCTCACACTGCATTTTATTGTAGTTTGTTAATTTGTCTTGTGCCTTTTAGATTGTAAGTTGGATGGGAGTTCAGGGTCTTATTTATCTTTGTACTTTTACACCTGGTTTATAGTGTGGTTGATACGTAAGTAGATCAATAATACATTAAATAAATAATATTGTTATAAGATAATCCTGGGTAGTAGCACATTCCTGTGCTACTTGCACATACCTGTACTCCCAGCACTTTGAGAGGCCCAGGCGGGTAGATAGGTTGAGTCTGGGGATTTGAGACCAACCCTGGGCAACATGATGACACCCCGACTCTACAAAAAAAAAAATGAAAATTAGCTCAGTGGTGTCGTGCCACTGTAGTCCCAGCTCCTCGAGAAGCTGAGCTGAGGATTGCCTGAGCCTGAGAGGTCAAGGCTGCAATGAGCTAAGATCCCACCACTGCATTCCAGCTGGGGTGACAGAGCGAGACCCTGTCTCAAAAAAAAAACAAAAGAAAATAAGATAATTTTGTACATCAGATATTATACTGAAAAAATAAGTTTAAAATTTTTTTCTGTATCCCCGTCATCTATCTTGATGGTTATTTCAGGTAGTATTGACTTATTCAGTGTGTAACAAGCCATCCTAAATCTCAGTGGCTCAAACAACAATGAGTTTTTAAGTTGGCAAGGAGGTTCTTCTGGTCTGGCCTAGGCTCAGTCAGGTGCCTGGAGTCAGCTGGTGACTAGGTCAGGGCAAGACTAAGAAGGCCTGTCTTACATATTCTGAGGTCTTGGCTCGAATGGCTGTGATTGCTGGGCTGTGTGTCCATAGCGTCTTTTAATCCCAAGTTACGTCACAGCTTAGTGATCTCAGGGTTTCAAAAGAAGCTGTTAGTCCTCTTAAGATTTAGCTTCAGATGTTGCACAAGATCACATCTGCCACATTCTGTGATCAAAGCAAGTCACATGGCCAGTCCCAGATTCCAGGGGTGGGGCAGTAGATGCTCCCTCCTCCTGCAATTTTGAGAGCAGCAAAATTGCAGTCACCTGGAGTTACTGTCTACATATTTCTTCCCCCTGAGATAAATGAGAACACTAGTGTCATTTCACTTTTATCAGCTCCTCACTCCTCTCATGTTGAGACTACACAGAAGGTATGTAGGTTTAATCTTCAGTTTTCCTAAATCATTTGCTTTGCACTGTTTCTTGTGTCCTAAACCTTCCTCTGTCATATTTGTTGTTTTGCTGCAGAATTTCCTTTTATTCAGCATTATGGTTGGGTGATTTTGGTTACAGAACTTCCTTTTGTTGAAACAAATTCTCTGAGTCCTGGTATGTCCTAAAATACCCTTTATTTTGCCTTCATATTTGAATCATAATTTTTGGTCAGTACTTGGAAGCTATTGATAAATCTATAATTGAGAAGGTGTCTGATGCTAATTTGATTTTATTTGCTTTTTCCACTATAGTAACATATATAATTTTTTCTTTATCCTTGGAACCTAGAAATTTCAATGGCTTGGTCCAGATGTAGCTTGTTTCATTCATTTTATTCACTTATTGTCTCATTTTAAGTGATTTGTTTTCAGCTCTGGGAATTTTCATTTCTTCTTGTAGTATTTCTTCTTTTTTCTCTTTTCCAAGAACTTGGAGTAAACAGATGTCATTCCTGCATCTAAGCTCTAGTCACCAAACTGTTCTTTGATCTTTTTGTAAAATCTCTCTCTTTTTTTTTTTAATTGTTGTTTCTGAGAGAATTATTTAGGTCACTCTTATGAAATACTCTGTTTTTAAAAATTCATTTTGCTATTCATCTCACGATTAAGATTTCTTTTTTATCCTGTAGCTTTTTCTTCAAGGCTTCTGGCTGTTTCTCTTTCCTACTTACAGTTTTCAGTTTTAACACTAAGGATATTAGTTCTACCTGTTCCACTTTACTTTCTTCTGTTTGGGGAATTTGGTCCCCCCTGGGTGTCAGTGTCTGAGGCCTGCTCTGTCTGAATCTCTTCTCTGCCAGTGACAAAATGCTTGGGCACTTGCAGGGTAGGCGCTGACCACCCAGCTGCACTCTCTCTCCCCTTGATTATCCTGACATTGGCCCCAGGCCTGAGAGCCTCAAGTCTGGGATATACCATACTCTGAACCTCGAGCTCTGTCACCCAATGCTCCATCCTCTAAAGCCAGCCTTTGCCTCTTTGTGTTATGGTTTCCTCTGGTTGCCTTACCAAAGGTCTATAGCAGTTATCTTTCTGACATTTTGGCACGCTGATGACATTTTTAAAATTTCTAGACTGACTAATTTTCTTATCTTAAAAATGAGAAAATGCCTTTTCTATTATTTCATGGAGTTGTGAGTTGGAGAAAAGTTGAAATTTATGCTCATCTTGCCTCTTCATCCAGTTCCCCTCCATCAGAGTTTTAATTACATTCTTAACTCTATTGATTACCTCCATCCT
The DNA here is from genome assembly GCF_000001405.40 of Homo sapiens. Taxonomy (NCBI): domain Eukaryota; kingdom Metazoa; phylum Chordata; class Mammalia; order Primates; family Hominidae; genus Homo; species Homo sapiens. Next base: position 158,519,876 of record NC_000002.12, read on the forward strand.
ATCTTTGTATACCCTTAACATTCCAGGTATAACTCTGAATTTGTCATGATTTTCATTTCGTCTCCTCCTAGCATCTATGGTGCTATAAAGGATCCTGAATCCTCAGAAAGAAAAAAAAAATGAACCCGTAGTACTTTTCAAAAAGATTTTCCTTTTTTCCTTCTTTCCTCTATATAAGAAGTAAGATATTTTGGGGAAATGTTGAAAATGCCCATGTGTAATTCGTGTTTATCAAGATAGAATTTCCAGTTTTCATTAACCATTTTGCAGTGCTTTCCTTGTGTTATAGGGGCAAGTCAATGCTGCATAAGGCCAGAGGAGCACCACTCACATAAGACACAGTGTGAGCAGCCCAGGGTGCCAACAGTGTTGACTCTGGTGTTATATGTTAACCGTGTGTTTTATTTTCAAAAATCGTTATTGAATGTTATACAGGGCTGAGGGTATTATATTTTGCAACTTTAACCTCTTATTATTGAAGTGGATTCCTTCTAGGCATTTATACATCGTAAAATTATATTTAGTCTAGTTTTAAAACCAGAAGTAGTTTAATTCTATTAAAAGTGAATAATCTTTAGTATTTAAGTTACTAAATACTATTCTATTTATCATCACTGAAATATTCTAAATTATTTGATTTATAAACTTCGTCTAATACTGTATCATGTTTATTCCGCTATATTATTCTTTTTCCATTCTGTGAGAAAACTATGAAAGTACATAAAATATACATACAATTAAAAATATTGAAAAGCAAGCACATCTATGTAAGTGCCGCCCATGTCGGGCTAGCACTTTAGAAGTTCTTCATGTGCCTCTCTGAGATCACAGCCCCCTCTCTCCACAGAGGTAGCCACTCCTCTGACTTTGGTGGTGGTCATTTCCTTGCCACCTATGCATGCGTTCTTAGTAAGCAGAGTTTTATTTTGCCTATTGTTGAAGTTTACATAAATGGAATCCCACTGTTTGTGTTCTTTTGCACCTTGCTTCTTTTATTCAGTATTACGGTTGACAGTCATCCTTGTTTTATAGAGCTTTGGTTCATTCATTTATTGCTGAAAGTGAAACACATTGAATGAATATATTACATTGTATTTATCCATTCTTCTGTTAATAGTCACTTGAGTTGTTAGCAACCTATCGCCTTCACAAAGAGTGCTGCCTTGAACATATTTCTGTAACTCTCCAGATGCCTATGTACAAGAGTGTCTCTACTTAATCAGGAATGGAATTACAGGACTACAGAGTGTACATGTCATCAGCTGCACTAGATAATGCCAAAATGGATTCCAAGGAGTGGTTCCCATTTACACTGTCATCAGCAGCATGGGATAGTTACCATTATTCCAGGTCCTCACCAAAATTTGATACTGTTTTGCCATTCTGGTGCTTGTGTATTGACTACTCATTGCAGTATTAATGTTCATTTTTCTAATTACTAATAAGGTTGAGAACTTCATTATTGGTCATCTAGATTTTCTCCTCTTCGTACAAACCTTTTGCTTAATTTTTTTTACCAGATTATCTTGCAGTGATATTTCTAGTGAAAAATAAATTCATAATCAAAAACATTTAACTACTATGCATAGATTATTCTCTTGAACTACTATGCTGTTTGGCACAGAGCTCTCTTCTAAACAAATTCTTGCCAAGAAATTTGAATTATTTTATGAACCGCCTGATTAGAAGGTTAGTATGCAACTACCTCTAATCCTCCTAAAGAGTTGCAGCTTTTGGTTATGTTTCTATTTCTAGGATATTTTAAAAATATAACTGCAAAAAGTTTATCTGATACTCCTTTTAGAATTCTAGACTCGATACCATATGCTCCTGAAGATGTTTAACTTTTCAGGCAAATTCTTAATTTCCTAGTACTTCATTCTTCTGCAATATCTGTTCCAGTTTCATTATAAGTAAAACAAAGAGGAACTTATGTTTGCTATATGATGATACTCCTAGCAATTTTTTCTACTTATTATTGTTAAAATATTTTGTTCATCTAATGCTTATTTTCTACACTTTTATCTGACATTAGTATCTTTACATTTTGAATCAAATTTAAATATTCACGCTTTCTTTAACCTTTATTTTTTATTAATTTGTTCTTAGGCATCATTATTTTGTCATATCAGTTTTGAAATTGTGTTTCTCATCAACATTTTTCTGAGTGTTCATAATGACAACTATATGTTATATTCCAGACAGCTAACTCAAGAAAGGAAAAATAACTGGAGTCCAACTTATTTTACTAAAAAGGTGAAATAAAGTGTACTTGGTATGCTTTCACCAAAAATTATTAGTAAGGCGAGTAGAAGGGAATTAAGTAGAGAAAAATCCAGTATTTAGTTGATTTGCCATCTCTGGAAGATTTAAGACAGATGATTTTGTGGACTATTATCAGCTCTGGTAAAAGAGATTACATATATATTGAATAATAGGTTACACCTATATATTACATCTATAATATGCCAAGAAAACCTTCAGAAGTCATACTAGAGTATATGTGGTCTGCAGCCTTGAGCAGAAAAATTGCCTGTTAATCACTGATAGTTGAATATAAGATTAAGATACATACATGCATACACAATTATACTGCCAGTTTCACATATGAGCCTCTTTGTGTTCAATAAAGATTGTGATGAAAATGCACAGCTGTCCATAGTGAACCCTCCTCTAAAACATGTTTTAGAAGCCTCAAAAGAATTCAGTCTAATGGTATGATTTTAAAAAAAGAGACCTGGAGGGGGAGGAGCCAAGATGGCCGAATAGGAACAGCTCCGGTCTACAGCTCCCAGCGTGAGCGACGCAGAAGACGGGTGATTTCTGCATTTCCATCTGAGGTACCGGGTTCATCTCACTAGGGAGTGCCAGACAGTGGGCGCAGGCCAGTGGGTGTGCGCACCGTGCGCGAGCCAAAGCAGGGCGAGGCATTGCCTCACCTGGGAAGCGCAAGGGGTCAGGGAGTTCCCTTTCCGAGTCAAAGAAAGGGGTGACGGACGCACCTGGAAAATCGGGTCACTCCCACCCGAATACTGCCCTTTTCAGACCGGCTTAAAAAACGGCGCACCACCAGACTATATCCCACACCTGGCTCGGAGGGTCCTACGCCCACGGAATCTCGCTGATTGCTAGCACAGCAGTCTGAGATCAAACTGCAAGGCAGCAGCGAGGCTGGGGGAGGGGCGCCCGCCATTGCCCAGGCTTGCTTAGGTAAACAAAGCAGCCTCAAAGCTACAACTGGGTGGAGCCCACCACAGCTCAAGGAGGCCTGCCTGCCTCTGTAGGCTCCACCTCTGGGGGCAGGGCACAGACAAACAAAAAGACAGCAGTAACCTCTGCAGACTTAAATGTCCCTGTCTGACAGCTTTGAAGAGAGCAGTGGTTCTCCCAGCACGCAGATGGAGATCTGAGAACGGGCAGACTACCTCCTCAAGTGGGTCCCTGACCCCTGACCCCCGAGCAGCCTAACCGGGAGGCACCCCCCCAGCAGGGGCACACTGACACCTCACACGGCAGGGTATTCCAACAGACCTGCAGCTGAGGGTCCTGTCTGTTAGAAGGAAAACTAACAAACAGAAAGGACATCCACACCGAAAACCCATCTGTACATCACCATCATCAAAGACCAAAAGTAGATAAAACCACAAAGATGGGGAAAAAACAGAACAGAAAAACTGGAAACTCTAAAACGCAGAGCACCTCTCCTCCTCCAAAGGAACGCAGTTCCTCACCAGCAACAGAACAAAGCTGGATGGAGAATGACTTTGACGAGCTGAGAGAAGAAGGTTTCAGACGATCAAATTACTCTGAGCTACGGGAGGACATTCAAACCAAAGGCAAAGAAGTTAAAAACTTTGAAAAAAATTTAGAAGAATGTATAACTAGAATAACCAATACAGAGAAGTGCTTAAAGGAGCTGATGGAGCTGAAAACCAAGGCTCGAGAACTACGTGAAGAATGCAGAAGCCTCAGGAGCCGATGTGATCAACTGGAAGAAAGGGTATCAGCAACGGAAGATGAAATGAATGAAATGAAGCGAGAAGGGAAGTTTAGAGAAAAAAGAATAAAAAGAAATGAGCAAAGCCTCCAAGAAATATGGGACTATGTGAAAAGACCATATCTACGTCTGATTGGTGTACCTGAAAGTGATGGGGAGAATGGAACCAAGTTGGAAAACACTCTGCAGGATATTATCCAGGAGAACTTCCCCAATCTAGCAAGGCAGGCCAACGTTCAGATTCAGGAAATACAGAGAACGCCACAAAGATACTCCTCGAGAAGAGCAACTCCAAGACACATAATTGTCAGATTCACCAAAGTTGAAATGAAGGAAAAAATGTTAAGGGCAGCCAGAGAGAAAGGCCGGGTTACCCTCAAAGGGAAGCCCATCAGACTAACAGCAGATCTCTCGGCAGAAACCCTACAAGCCAGAAGAGAGTGGGGGCCAATATTCAACATTCTTAAAGAAAAGAATTTTCAACCCAGAATTTCATATCCAGCCAAACTAAGCTTCATAAGTGAAGGAGAAATAAAATACTTTACAGACAAGCAAATGCTGAGAGATTTTGTCACCACCAGGCCAGCCCTAAAAGAGCTCCTGAAGGAAGCACTAAACATGGAAAGGAACAACCGGTACCAGCCGCTGCAAAATCATGCCAAAATGTAAAGAGCATCGAGACTAGGAAGAAACTGCATCAACTAACGAGCAAAATCACCAGCTAACATCATAATGACAGGATCAAATTCACACATAACAATATTAACTTTAAATGTAAATGGACTAAATTCTCCAATTAAAAGACACAGACTGGCAAGTTGGATAAAGAGTCAAGACCCATCAGTGTGCTGTATTCAGGAAACCCATCTCACGTGCAGAGACACACATAGGCTGAAAATAAAAGGATGGAGGAAGATCTACCAAGCAAATGGAAAACAAAAAAAGGCAGGGGTTGCAATCCTAGTCTCTGATAAAACAGACTTTAAACCAACAAAGATCAAAAGAGACAAAGAAGGCCATTACATAATGGTAAAGGGATCAATTCAACAAGAGGAGCTAACTATCCTAAATATATATGCACCCAATACAGGAGCACCCAGATTCATAAAGCAAGTCCTGAGTGACCTACAAAGAGACTTAGACTCCCACACATTAATAATGGGAGACTTTAACACCCCACTGTCAACATTAGACAGATCAACGAGACAGAAAGTCAACAAGGATACCCAGGAATTGAACTCAGCTCTGCACCAAGCGGACCTAATACACATCTACAGAACTCTCCACCCCAAATCAACAGAATATACATTTTTTTCAGCACCACACCACACCTATTCCAAAATTGACCACATAGTTGGAAGTAAAGCTCTCCTCAGCAAATGTAAAAGAACAGAAATTATAACAAACTATCTCTCAGACCACAGTGCAATCAAACTAGAACTCAGGATTAAGAATCTCACTCAAAGCCGCTCAACTACATGGAAACTGAACAACCTGCTCCTGAATGACTACTGGGTACATAACGAAATGAAGGCAGAAATAAAGATGTTCTTTGAAACCAATGAGAACAAAGACACAACATACCAGAATCTCTGGGACGCATTCAAAGCAGTGTGTAGAGGGAAATTTATAGCACTAAATGCCCACAAGAGAAAGCAGGAAAGATCCAAAATTGACACCCTAACATCACAATTAAAAGAACTAGAAAAGCAAGAGCAAACACATTCAAAAGCTAGCAGAAGGCAAGAAATAATGAAAATCAGAGCAGAACTGAAGGAAATAGAGACACAGAAAACCCTTCAAAAAATCAATGAATCCAGGAGCTGGTTTTTTGAAAGGATCATCAAAATTGATAGACCGCTAGCAAGACTAATAAAGAAAAAAAGAGAGGAGAATCAAATAGACACAATAAAAAATGATAAAGGGGATATCACCACCGATCCCACAGAAATACAAACTACCATCAGAGAATACTACAAACACCTCTACGCAAATAAACTAGAAAATCTAGAAGAAATGGATAAATTCCTCGACACGTACACTCTCCCAAGACTAAACCAGGAAGAAGTTGAATCTCTGAATAGACCAATAACAGGAGCTGAAATTGTGGCAATAATCAATAGTTTACCAACCAAAAAGAGTCCAGGACCAGATGGATTCACAGCCGAATTCTACCAGAGATACAAGGAGGAACTGGTACCATTCCTTCTGAAACTATTCCAATGAATAGAAAAAGAGGGAATCCTCCCTAACTCATTTTATGAGGCCAGCATCATTCTGATACCAAAGCCGGGCAGAGACACAACCAAAAAAGAGAATTTTAGACCAATATCCTTGATGAACATTGATGCAAAAATCCTCAATAAAATACTGGCAAAACGAATCCAGCAGCACATCAAAAAGCTAATCCACCATGATCAAGTGGGCTTCATCCCTGGGATGTAAGGCTGGTTCAATATACGCAAATCAATAAATGTAATCCAGCATATAAACAGAGCCAAAGACAAAAACCACATGATTATCTCAATAGATGCAGAAAAAGCCTTTGACAAAATTCAACAACCCTTCATGCTAAAAACTCTCAATAAATTAGGTATTGATGGGACGTATTTCAAAATAATAAGAGCTATCTATGACAAACCCACAGCCAATATCATACTGAATGGGCAAAAACTGGAAGCATTCCCTTTGAAAACTGGCACAAGACAGGGATGCCCTCTCTCACCGCTCCTATTCAACATAGTGTTGGAAGTTCTGGCCAGGGCGATCAGGCAGGAGAAGGAAATAAAGGGTATTCAATTAGGAAAAGAGGAAGTCAAATTGTCCCTGTTTGCAGACGACATGATTGTTTATCTAGAAAACCCCATTGTCTCAGCCCAAAATCTCCTTAAGCTGATAAGCAACTTCAGCAAAGTCTCAGGATACAAAATCAATTTACAAAAATCACAAGCATTCTTATACGCCAACAACAGACAAACAGAGAGCCAAATCATGAGTGAACTCCCATTCACAATTGCTTCAAAGAGAATAAAATACCTAGGAATCCAACTTACAAGGGATGTGAAGGACCTCTTCAAGGAGAACTACAAACCACTGCTCAAGGAAATAAAAGAGGATACAAACAAATGGAAGAACATTCCATGCTCGTGGGTAGGAAGAATCAATATCGTGAAAATGGCCATACTGCCCAAGGTAATTTACAGATTCAATGCCATCCCCATCAAGCTACCAATGCCTTTCTTCACAGAATTGGAAAAAACTACTTTAAAGTTCATATGGAACCAAAAAAGAGCCCGCATCGCCAAGTCAATCCTAAGCCAAAAGGACAAAGCTGGAAGCATCACACTACCTGACTTCAAACTATACTACAAGGCTACAGTAACCCAAACAGCATGGTACTGGTACCAAAACAGAGATATAGATCAATGGAACAGAACAGAGCCCTCAGAAATAACGCTGCATACCTACAACTATCTGATCTTTGACAAACCTGAGAAAAACAAGCAATGGGGAAAGGATTCCCTATTTAATAAATGGTGCTGGGAAAACTGGCTAGCCATATGTAGAAAGCTGAAACTGGATCCCTTCCTTACACCTTATACAAAAATCAATTCAAGATGGATTAAAGATTTAAACGTTAGACCTAAAACCATAAAAACCCTAGAAGAAAACCTAGGCATTACCATTCAGGACATAGGCGTGGGCAAGGACTTCATGTCCAAAACACCAAAAGCAATGGCAACAGAAGCCAAAATTGACAAATGGGATCTAATTAAACTAAAGAGCTTCTGCACAGCAAAAGAAACTACCATCAGAGTGAACAGGCAACCTACAACATGGGAGAAAATTTTCGCAACCTACTCATCTGACAAAGGGCTAATATCCAGAATCTACAATGAACTCAAACAAATTTACAAGAAAAAAACAAACAACCCCATCAAAAAGTGGGCGAAGGACATGAACAGACACTTCTCAAAAGAAGACATTTATGCAGCCAAAAAATACATGAAAAAATGCTCATCATCACTGGCCATCAGAGAAATGCAAATCAAAACCACTATGAGATACCATCTCACACCAGTTAGAATGGCAATCATTAAAAAGTCAGGAAACAACAGGTGCTGGAGAGGATGTGAAGAAATAGGAACACTTTTACACTGTTGGTGGGACTGTAAACTAGTTCAACCATTGTGGAAGTCAGTGTGGCGATTCCTCAGGGATCTAGAACTAGAAATACCATTTGACCCAGCCATCCCATTACTGGGTATATACCCAAATGACTGTAAATCATGCTGCTATAAAGACACATGCACACGTATGTTTATTGCGGCATTATTCACAATAGCAAAGACTTGGAACCAATCCAAATGTCCAACAATGATAGACTGGATTAAGAAAACGTGGCACATATACACCATGGAATACTATGCAGCCATAAAAAATGATGATTTCATGTCCTTTGTAGGGACATGGATGAAATTGGAAACCTTCATTCTCAGTAAACTATCGCAAGAACAAAAAACCAAACACCACATATTCTCAGTCATAGGTGGGAATTGAACAATGAGATCACATGGTCACAGGAAGGGGAATATCACACTCTGGGGACTGTGGTGGGGTGGGGGGAGGGGGAGGGGTAGCATTGGGAGATATACCTAATGCTAGATGACGAGTTAGTGGGTGCAGCGCACCAGCATGGCACATGTATACATATGTAACTAACCTGCACAATGTGCACATGTACCCTAGAACTTAAAGTATAATAAAAAAAAAAAAAGAAAAGAAACTTACTAAATGAAAAAAAAAAAAAAAAAGAGACCTGGGCAAAGAAAACATTCATTAAGTAAAGGCTGGGATAAAATGAGAACACAGATATGCATACCCACACATGTAAGAGTTGGTCACAGGTTCATCTCTGAGCTTTGTATAGCCAAAGAGAAAACAAGCTAATGCTACAATTTCCAGTATCATCCAGCATTCCCTCAGGAAAAGCCCAGGTCCTGGCTTTCAGGTGGCTGATACAGAGACAGTGTTATACAGTAGACAACATTCTGAAAACTCCTGAGGAACATTCACATCTGTTTACAATGTAGAACTTGTTTAATCTTAGTGTTGGCCTCAAGATTTAGAGTTTCCTGTCTCTGCCACACACAGTGCAGCATCTCTTCTACACTATCCCTCCTGCAATCATCATCGAGACTCTGATTAAAGATCTCTCATCATGGGAGTGTGCTACCTTCAGAGGCAATCAGTTCTGGAAATTTTAAGCATTTTACCATTAGCTCCAAAAGGAAAGGCCTCCGTTATTGCTCCAACCTTTAATTTTGATTCCAAATATAAAGACAGTAATAATACAGGTTAATACACATTTGTTACAAAACCATTAGCTTTTAGTCTGGCTCTTGGGATTATAGCCTAAAAAGCCTCCTTCAGAGGCTTATAGGCATCTGCCTGTCAACATTGGATTTCTCTTCTTCAGGTCAAACTTTCTTTTCTTGTTCCATTAACTACCACTCTCATGTCTCCCAGTGAGCTTTGAGCTCATAAAAAACAGGAGCTGTGTCATTCACATCCTCCCTGTCCCCTTACCTGGAAATAATGACTGGATCCCTTTAACACCCCACTCATCATCTCTTGAATGGATACAGTGTGTGCATTCCTGTTAATGTGCTGCCCTTATCTGGAAGTAGTTATGTCCCAAGGAGCCTGAAGGAAAATTGTAAGCTCACTTAAACGCCCTTCCTATCATCCTAGTGACTTACATCAACACAGCATAAGATCACTTAGGTTTGGGCAGTCTTGTTTCACTTATGATTCACTCATTTTGCTCTTGAACCTGAAATGCCTACATTTCTTTCCCAATATGCTGCTGAGCTAACCTAAATACAGGACCTTGTATTTATTCCCGTTGTTTTTAGTCTCATTAGAGGCAGCTCATTACTGCAGTGTAGCAGTATATTTTTTGTATTTTAATTTTATCTCCCTCTGCCAAATTCCATATTCTTAGTCATTGAAGAACTTGTATATGACTTGTATTGATATCATGGCTAAAACATTTGGTAGGGTTGGGTCAAGGTCAGACCTCTGGCATTATGTTAGAAACCTCTATAGGTTGATGTATTTCATTCAGCTGTTTACAGATTGTTGAAGTCAGCAGTTGCCCTTATTCCAGCCACATTTCTATGTTAATGACAATGTGATGGAGGACTTCTAATATCATACACGCCCCACTAGAGTTTGGGCAACACTGCATTTCCATGGTTACGCTGCCACAGACATTAGGCCAGCTTAACATGACTTTTCTGTGGTGCCCCATTTTAGTTCTCACAAATCACCTCTTGGATAAAATCCTTTAAAGAATCTCACCCAAGATCTGTGTCTAGCTCTGTAGTTTGTAATGTGAAGAGTCTACCTTCCCTTTTTCCAAAAACAGCCATGGCATTTTCCTCCTTCCAGTTTTCTGGCATGCCTTCATTCTCTGTAGAACCCTCAAAAATGGTTCAGCAACCTATCTGTAAGCTTTCCCAGGTCTCCTGAATGTGATCAGTCAAATCAAGCAAATTGAGGTCACTGAGGGAAGCGTGAGGCCTAATTTCTCACAGTCTCTTTACGATAGAAGTACTCTTTCTTTCTTTTTTTTTTTTTTTTTTTTTTTTGCTAGTGGAATGGAGCAATATCATTATTCTGTGACTCCAGTCTTAGCTTGATACTTTCTAATTCATTAAATGGTCTTACAATTATGAAAACTACAAGAAAATGGATAGGAAACCTTCATAGGTTTATAACTTGTCAGCACAGTGGTATCCCTCCCCTGCCCCATGTTGGTTGTGGCATATTGAGACTGCTTCAGAGATAAGGGGTAGGGAAGTGTCTCACCCTTAGTAACGACAGGTACCATTGGCTTTGCTCCTCATCTAATGACTGTTCATGGTTGCCTGTGGTGTGTCCTAACCTTTGAGGAATCAGAATAGATATCATCCATGTCTATGAAAATTTCCTCTCCTGCCAAGCTTCTCAGCATTATATTAGTTTCTTTTACACAGTTATAAGCTCTCTGACCCTCCTCCTCTTGACTTTAGCATTACTCCTTTGCATTTACATCTTGCCGTACTCTGCCTTGATCCTATGTTGCTGCATCAGCTAGGTGATGAGCCCCCTAATGGTCAATGTCCCTGGGAGAGTGGTACTCAGAAAGTGCTCCTCTGGGTTCATTGGTCCTGGGAAGCAGGGTCAGCAAGATAAATACTGTGAAATTAAGTATGATATCCTCACAGTGATGTAATACAATTACCATAATATAATTCTATGTCTTTTTAACAGTAAGGCTCCTTCTATATTAATAAATAATTACTTCCCCAGTGACATTTCTGTTTCTCCTTTTCTCAAATTATCTTTGTTCACTGAATTTTTCCTTCTTTTTCTTCTTACACATTGGTTGTTTCATATTATACTCTTGACATTTAAAATTTTTGGTTCTTGGCATTATTTGTTTCACTGTTGCATAGTAACATTTTTGTTCTTTGCAACCATCTGCTTATTTTAAGGTGTGTAATTTTTCAATGGCTGGAATACTTTTATATCTTTACTTGCCTTAAATGCTAATCTAGGATCTTTGTGTAGCATTTTTTTCCTTTATAGACCTTAGATCTTCTCTTTAATGAGCACTTGATACAGAAAGAAGAAATTTTATTTAGTTGATAATATTTTGTTTTACATCTCAATAAGCATTCCACATACACTAAAAAATATAGATTGCCATAAAATTATTACATTGTATAAAGAACTAGCCATTTTTATCAGTGAGGAAGTGAGGCTCAGCAAGGTAGAAACTCCCCCCAGGGCACTTAGGTTTTCATCCTACTCATCTCATGTCTCAGGATCCTTCTATTCATACTTGAGAAGATCCTGCCTGCAGTTCAAAGTCTATCTAGGCCTTATGTGCCATGAAAATGAGAGATTGAGAATTCACTTGCTAGATAGAGCAGGCAAGAGAACTCATGAGGCTGGGGAAATGCACAGATAAACTAATCAGACCCACTATCCATTTATGCCTATTAATATGGCAAGAATAAAACAACCACCAGCAGAAACCTGAAACTTAGACCCTCTCCACTAACATTTAAGCCAGGAGAGTAGGGAAGAAGATGGGATCTCAGAGGGTGTGTACATCTCCCCTTTTACTTACGGATTATTATTTTGGAAACAGAAGACTGATACTGAAATTTGAGGGAATGGGGTAACAAGTCCCAGATCAAGCTATAGAATTGAAGACTGTGGAAGTTAATTGATTATAAATGAATAATAATAGTAGAGTAGTTTGCAAGAGAAAACTGAAGAATGTTGAGAAAAATATTTATAGTCTCAGATGTCCCTATTTGAATATACAGAGTGACACATCTAAACAGATAGGGTCTCTCGGGCATCTTAAGCCTTGGCGGGATTTGCCTAATGACTGGAATGAGACTGAAAATATATCATCCTTCATTCATGTATTCATTTATTTAGCAAACATTAATTGAATACCATTTAATGTGCCAGGCACTAGGCTAGTTTCATGGTATGATAAAGACTGTACTCACTAGAAGACAGAGAGACTGATGTGTAAATGAGTTATTAAAATTTTAATAACATTTTACACTAATCATCGTTTCCCCCTATTTTCCAAAACTGTAGGAAGTCCATATCAGGTCAGTAAGTCTTTTGACAAACACACTGCTCTCACTATGTGTTGTCTTAGGAAAGGCATTCCATCTGCTGCCAAGAACCTATTCTATCATAAGCTATGGGCCTAAAAAATAGATTTTCTTTTCAACACCACATTCCTAGTTATTGTTATCTTTGAATAATCAGATTCTTCTAAAGAAACCAAGCTAGCTATAGGACTCCACCAAGGGTGACCTTGTTGCTAGTTATTAATATGTTATATTTCTTTTAAATAAGCAGACTTTTATTTTTAAGCCTTCTTTAGGTTTTAAACTCTTTTTTTCTTTTCTGTTGCAAAAACCTCTTCTGCAATTGGTAAAACATTCTTCTCATGTCAGTTAACATTTGTAGATGTCTTTTTGTGTGCATATTACTTTGAAAACAGACCCCTATAGCAATCTAGAATGTTTATTATTTAGTTTCTTGATAAGTTAGTCATATTTACTTATTGGTTACCTGTTTAGAAAATTTAGCAATTTCACAAGTTTTTGATCATGGTGTGTAGACTGTAGTCTACTGTAGTTGCTAGGAACCATCTGTAAAGCCTTGGTTCCTGCAAGGGAGCCCAGAAGAAAGTGTTAACCCTTTGCCTGCTTGATTGCAGGAGGAATGCCAGCTCCTGAGCAGGCCTCATTGGTGGAGGAGGGGCAACCACAGACCCGCCAGGAAGCTGCCTCCACTGGCCCAGGCATGGAACCCGAGACCACAGCCACCACTATTCTAGCATCCGTGAAGGAGCAGGTACATCCTCGTATTGAAAGTTGCAGTGAATTATTTCTTTAATGCCTTTAAAAAATTAATCTTTGGATATGTTTTAAATTTGTGTAACGTCCTTGACGCCTTCACGTTTTCTAATTATAAGGTGTTTACATCCCTGAGTACATTGGGATGACTGGCATGTAGAGCCGCTCCAGGTGCCAGTCAGAATCGGAACATGCAGGATACTTGTGCGTCTGCAAGTAAGGACAATCTCGATGGTGATCGGTGTCTCTGTCTCTCCCACATTGCAGAGTGTGTGCATGCACGCAAAGCTGTGTAAAGCATAGTTCTCAGTGCTGACTTTTCTATCAGGACTCTGGCAACCTGAGGCCTGTAATAGCGTTAGGTATTTTGAACATTTTAACATAGGTAGTATATAGGATTGTCTCTGTGATTTTTGGATAAAGGCTATATTTGTGTGTTTGTCTAAATTTAAGTATATTCATTTTGTGAGCTAATGTTCTAAAACTTGTCGAACTGTGCCAGTTTGCTTCAATGTCATGTTTATGTTGATTTTTTTAAGGCATTAATACTCTTTATCCTTCAAACTCAAGTAACCTCCTATATTAGGTCTTATCAGTTGTGCTTAGAGAAATTGGAATTCTGCAATTTTAATTTCTTAAGATTTCAAAGCTTAATAAGGTAAATGTAAATTTAAAGCTCCAGGGATGGTTTTTTTGTTTTTTTTTCCCTGCTTCTTCTCTCCAAAACAACATTATGTGTCCCCTGTGAGGGTTATTTTGTTGAAATAATCTAAGATTAAGTTTTTTTAAAACATCTTATAATTAAGCCACTAGATGTTTTTTTCTCAAGATAGGTAATGTTGTATTTGCTGGGATATTCCTTTGAAAGTCAGTATCAGTAACTCAAATGATGAATGATGACGAAGATTGAGGAAACATTTATTACCTTATTGTTGTACTATTTTTCGTAACTTGGAATGTGGCATGAAAGATTGCTCTATAACCGTGACACATGTCTGACGTTAGAACTGTGTTTTCAAGAAAAATTATTTCAGTTTATTCTAGTAACAAGATGTCAACATTTTTTTTTATTCCTCAATGAAATTTGAAGTTTTTAAACTTTCCACAAAGAGTTTGAGAAGATGCAAGATATAGTCAGTACAATTTTCATCTTCCACCAAACTATAAAATGTCTAAGCTTCTGTTATCTTTAGGAGAGAAAAAAGGACTCTTCGATAGCACTTCATAGTTGTCAAGATTTGACCCACGGAGCTGTTAAGATGAGAAGCCTCAGATTTATTTGGGGCTCTTAGTATATACTGTGTTTTGGTGAAACGTGGTAAATTTATCAAAATGTTTAGAAATGACTTAAAACTATTAACTGCGTGCAGTAAACATAGCAATGGGAATGTCTGTTTGTACCTTGAGACCATATACCCTACATGTAAGAAAATAAGGAAACTTGTTAAGATTTTGACACTAGAATTCCTTGATGGCCTCAAATGACTTCAAAATTTTATCTTCTGGCAGTAAATAGTGTTCTGAATAAGTATTTTGTGGGAAGTGCTAAGAAGAGTTCAGCTTCTCAAGGCAGCCAAAAATGTATTCATCTTATTCATTAAAACAGTTATTATATATAATTGTTTAGTTTAGTGGGATGCTATACTCTAGTCTTTGGTTCTGTTCCTATCCTGAGAAATTGGAGTTCATTAATATATATTTGCCGTTTCATACATAATTTCTTTTAAAAATTGTAAGTACTTAGCATTTCAGTTGTTTAACCCAGGATACCACATCTGTGTCTTTTTCCAAGATACTCTCCTGGTTTTAAATAGCTCCCCTGCAATTTTTGTGGCACCAGGCAAAATATAGTTGGAATAAAAATTTCTTAAGACTCTCCTGAAATATGTCACTTCCTATCATCTACCCAATGGGATAGAGCACAGAAAAGTTAGATCCAAGTAAGAAAACTAATTACCATTCACCTTATATGTTTGATTTTAAAATTTACTGGTCAGAGTGTGACACTCTTAGCCCACTGTTACATGCAATTGCAATAAATGTTGGTCATGTTTTATATCCAAAAGAGCAATATTCTTAAATGGGATGCATAATTATTATTACTTTTTAGAGCTGGGGTCTTGCTCTGTTGCCCAGGATGGAGTACAGTGTCACCTTCTTAGCTCACTGCAGCTTCAAACTCCTGGGCTCAAGCAATCCTCCCACCTCAGCCTCCCTAGTAGCTAGGACTACAGGTGTGTGCTACCGTGCCCAGCTAATTTTTAGTTTTTAATATTTTTTTGTAGAGATGGGGGTCTCACTACCTTGCCTAGACTGGTCTTGAACTCCTGGCCGCATGCAGTCCTCCTGCCTCAGCCTCTCTAAAGTGTGAGGATTATAAGTGTGAGCCAGTGTACCTGGCCCATAATTATTATTTTTTTAAAAAGCGTCACTGCCATGCCGTAATGGTATCCACTCTGTGATCTCAAATAACAGAACTTGCTTAGTGGCAGCTGTGTCTTAGGAATGATATTTCCTTAGGTCACAAAAGGAAGGGACCCTATCAATGCAACTGGGTACATAAAATTCTGTTTTCTCTTTTAACCATGTGACCTTGGAAAGATTTCTTAACCTTTCTGTTCTCAGTTTGCTCATTTATAAGATGCAGGTAATAATAGTGAGGACCTTAAATTAACATAGGTAAAATGCTTACAACAGTACCTGGCACTTAGTAAGGGCTAACATTACGATTGTCATCATCATTTCTGCATAAGAAGAAAAGGCTCCTCTTAGGAGGAGCTAGTGGTTCTACTTGTAACCATACTAAAGATTCAGTGAGCCCTTTTTTTGGACATTGATAGCAGAAGACAAACTTTGAATATTGAGCACTGTTTATGCTGTGACAGTAGTTTACTTATGCAGACACTAAACTTTAAAAACTTCATATTGATCTCACAAAAACTGTATACATAAACATACAATTTTATGTATATGTTATGAGAAAGAGCATATAAAAATAAGTTTTATGAACATGCTAATTTATTGCAACCCCAAACATAATGTCAAGGCACTTGGTTAAGGAATTGCAAAGTAGTATCTTATAAAATTAACCTGAATTTTGAGAGGAAAAGTCTGGGTTCTTCAGTAGAGTATATCTAAGCCAGTAAAATACCTCACACATACTCCCCTTGGGCAATTCATGGTAAGTGGTAGGAAAGGAAATGGCAAGCAACCAATAGCAGTCTTGTTAACAAACCGTTAGTCTATTAAATATCTGAAATTGGACATAGAGTGTCATAAAACAGTGAAATCTTTCTTCACTGGGCTATGCTTTCCCTAGAATCCTCCAGTGCCAGAAGCTAGCTGTTCCTTGTTCTTTGGCATAATGCTAGAATTTACAATGTCTTTTATGAAGTGATAACCTCTCACAGTGGTATCAGTCATGTGGATGCGTACCTGCGAAGGTACAGAAAAATCCTTGCTCCTTGACAGAAAGAATCTTTGCTACTTGTGTTCAAACGCTGCGTTTTTGATGAAACATACCCAGCCTGAAGTCAAATCTCTCTCCTGATCTCTTTTAGCACTTTATACTACTGCCATGACTCTTAATAGTATGCTTCTTTGGATTTATATAATCAGTTACCTGAGGATAGAGCCGTGTTTTAGGCCTTGTTTTATACCTGTGTTACAGGTTGCTCCTCTCCCAGCACCTTGGATATATTAGACCTGCAATAAATGGTTGTTCGAGCAGGGAATGAATAGATAATACTTACTGTCGATTACTTTGTCACCAACTTGCGGTTTTATTAAGATAACAGAACCTGTAGCCACGTTCACAGAAACATTGTGAGCAAGAGAGTCTCACAGCACCTAGAAAACTTGTCACTCAGCCAAACCTTCTTAAGACAATTTGAATTGCACTATATCCATATTGATAAAGGATTTAAATTCAATCTTTGCATAGTACAAAATAAAATTTTATTTCATATCTATGGTCAAATAATGACATAGGTGTCATAACTTTCATCTCCCGTCTGTCCAATTTAGTCGAAAGTTAAGTTTAGGGAATAAAAGGATGTGGTTATCTTGGTGATGTCACAAAATATCCACCAGTGTTATGTGTATCAGGTGATACGGGTAACTACTAAAGAAATGTTAAGAATTATGCTTTAAGAGAAATAAAAAGTCAATCCATGGGAATAACAAAGTAATGTGATTCTGAAATTACAGGAAGTATCAGAACTTCAGCCACCACCTGGCTGTAATTAGGATCATCCTTTAGCAGATTCTACTGTTCAGCTCAACTCCTAATAAGAATCCAGGAGTCCATGATGAATACAGATGTAGGAAAGGAGGAATCTCCTAATAGTTTTCAAAAATGTCTGACAAACTTGATACTGGTTAGTGCCTAGCTTACTCTCTTAGTTGTAATAACTAGATAAATACAGCGCTGGGCATGGTGGTTCATGCCTGTAATCCTAGCACTTTGGGAGGCTGAGGTGGGCAGATGGCTTGAGCTCAGGAGTTCAAGGCCAGCCTGGGCAACATGACAAAAACCCTGTCTCTACAAAAAATACAAAAAATTGGCCAGGTGTGATGGTGTGCGCCTGTGGTCCCAGCTACTCAGGAGAATCACTTGAGTCTGGGAGGTCAAGGCTGCAGTAAGCCGTGATCATGCCACTGCACTCCAGCCTGGGTGACAGAGCAAGAACCTGTCTCCAAAAAAAGAAAGAAAAATGTGGTGCCCTCAAAGGATCCTGCCTCTTCCTGTGGAAACCTTAGATTAAACTGATTGATTTGTCATTGAAATGCACAGCACACCCTTGGATGCAGAGAAATTGGAATTTGATAAGACATTCGCTGCTTATCCAGAGCCTTGCTGCTGCCCTCTGCAACTTACTTAGATGGGTCAGAATGCTCACTCACAGGCACAAGGAAACAGTGAGCCAAGCATCATGTGCAGGGTATTATTATCAAGTGGTAGAATACATTGTAGTTTTATAATGATTCCAATATGATCTCTTGGTTTTAGAAACACTCTTTAAAAGAGAACAATATGGCCAATCATGGCTAGGATTTGCAAGTATCTTTCACAAGTATCTTTGCAAGTTGATTTCTGGTTTTGTAGAATTGCACATGTAATATTCATTAGAGTTGTTCATCTTCTGTCATAAAGTTGCTTGAATAATTGAGATCTCTATTTGAACTTGGTCATACTTTTCAGGCTCTCTAACCACTTTTTTTTTTTTTTTTTTTTTTTGAGACAGACTCTCGCTCTGTCATCCAGGCTGGAGTGCAGTGGTGCGATCTTGGCTCACTGCAACCTCCGCCTTCTGGGTTCAAGCAACTCTTCTGCCTCAGCCTCCCAAGAGTAGCTGAGATTACAGGTGTCTGCCACTACACCCAGTTAATTTTTGTATTTTTAGTAGAGACGAGGTTTCTCCATGTTGGCCAGACTGGTCTCAAACTCCTGACCTCAGGTGATCTGCCCACCTTGGCCTCCCAAAGTGCTGGGATTACAGGTGTGAGCCACCACACCTGGCCCACAAACCGCATTCTTATATTTTTGGTTAATGATTTCAGAAGCTTAGAATCTAGATTTAAGGTTGAGGCCAATCCAGATAGCATGAACTGGTAAGCAAAGAATAGATTTGGTAAAATATGCTAATTTTATATGCACTCTTTTTACTCTGGTGAGGTCTCAAGTTAGATAGTGTATGCTTCTTTTGTTATCTTTGATGAGTGAAAATTGCAATGTTCCTCATCTGTGTGGCTCTTAAAGAGAATACCACTTTCAATATATTTTCTGGCTTTTGTGAAAATAACCATTCTATCTTCAGTATGTCCTTATTAACTTAAGTGATATTTAAATATCAAAGAGTGAAATGAGAGCCAGAGATCCTTAATTTTTTGAAGATAAAATAAGAAAATCTGAAGCCCAACTGTGTCCTATTGATGTTACTTCATTTTTACATAGATATCTTAGCTTCAGTAATTACACACCCTTCCTGTATGGCAAAATGCCCAGAAGTGAACAAATTCCAGTACAATTATTTACTTTATTCCTCTGGAACTGAAACAACTCAGCTGTTACACACCTGCCTTTGTAACTTCCTTTTGTTTGGCCCCTATGCTTATTTTCAATGAAATAGTCCTCTCTGACACACCTCAGCCACATGCAGAAGAGAGAATTTTTATTTCAGCTGTAAACAAGCATAGTTTGTCACTTAACTAGAAGTCTTGTGCTGTAAGTACAATGCCTGAAACTTCTGATTTTTCCAATTGGCAACTTAGTTATTTTTCCAATTGGTAACTGAATTATCCTGGCAGTTATTGTTACCGTGTAACCCACAGTGAAGTTTTCAGTGCCTGAACTGCAGCATCTAACCCAAGATAAGATTGGATCTCAGTGGTTTTTGAGGGATCATCAAATTTTACAGCTTTATCTCCATAATATTATAAAAATGAGGTTCAAAATGAGGACAAATGGCAGAGCCTTGTGACACTGTTTGGCTTGTATTCAAGAATTCTGAACTCTAAAATGGCTCTCAGGAGATCAGTCCTCTTAAGTTGCATGTACCATGGTCAGAATTTAACATTTCCCTTCATTTTGTTAACGATGCAGGGTGTCCTCCACCTCAAGCGTCCCTGTGATTAAAGAATACTACAGAGTATGGCCAACAGGTTTATTCAGTATTTGAGTACTGCCCACTCCTCAAAGAAGTTGTCCTTCTCAACATCAAAAAATTAGACTGCCAAGAGGTAGCTAACAACAAGCATATGCATTTGGCTACCTGCCTACATTTTCCGATAGTCTGATGAATGATCAGATGGAACTGCTAGCAAAGCTTCCAGTCTTATATGTCCTCAACTATATATTCAGAATAACTTAGTATTTGTTCTCTTTGATTTCATCGGAAGCATCATTTTAGGTTGTATTGACACTGAGGGGTTTGTTTGAAAGACTGTTCTATGAACTTGAACAGACTCCATGTGGCTGTTCACACATAACTGGATCACACATTCAAACATGGAAAACATAGTAGGTGCCCAAAATATTTATTAGTTAATGAACTAAAAATGTAAACATGTTTACAGTGCCTCCATACTTAGATTAAGCTTGCTTTTAATTAATTAAAAAATGTTTATTTAAAGACTACTCTGAGCAAAGCACTTTGTCAAGGAATGGGTTGAGGGGGATAAGTAGACATATAAAGTTGACCTATTTCATATAGTTTCTACTCTCAGAAGAATGCAGAGGCACAAACCGTATTTATACTTCAATATAGAGTAATTGACACATTATGAATATTCATTAATTGATGCATAAGAGACAAGAATGTGTGTACTTTTGCCCCCTTTTAGTTTAAACAGGCTATCAGTATGTATTATGTCAGTTTTATGTAAGTTTGTTAACTTAGGCATTTTTAGGTTTAATTTTTACCACTGAATTACCATTAGCTTTTATTTACATTTGAAAGTAATAGAATATTTTTGTTTAATTTTTACCATTGAATTAGCATTGTTTCGTTTACATTTGAAAATGATAGAATATTTTTCTTTGTTAACACTTAAAGCCAACCATGACTTTATACCTTTAAAATTATAATTTCCTTTTCAGTTGAATAATCCAGTTTACAATTCTTTTCAGAGTTAAATTATGAATATATGGAATAATTTCCCCCTGTATATGCAAACTTTATGCTGTTAAATTTGAAATGAGTGACTGCTGAGTTGATGAGATTAAATGGATGAGAGGATTATTCAGCATTGAATTCTCTGCTTTGCATGATCGTTTTTCTTTTTAGAATCACTTCTGGAGAGAAAAATATTTCGGAAACATGTTTTTCCCTTCAGGTATAACCCTAAAGTTATTCCGTAGCTATTGCAAAACATAGCCTATCCAGTGCCTATCTTCATGTTTAAGGGCTCCCAATTTCTAAATTGCCATTTTTGTTACTTTGCAAAAATGTGTCCATATGGTCTCACTTCATCTGTTTATATTTTATGAATGTATTGTTCCCAAAGTGATCAGATCTGCTTGTACCTCAGCAAAGTAATTTGGTTTATGGCTATTTTATTTCAGGCATTCCTAAGAAAGATCATTTAAAATGTAAAGTTATTTTCAGTAGTTCAAAGACAAATCTATTTCTTAGCTTATAGAATCTTAAGAGTTTTTATGTACCCAAACCTTAATAATGTAGGAGTTACACAAAGTAGAAGCAGTCTGCAAGCAAATTGAAATAACACATTATTGAAACTTGAAGACAAATAACATCCTATGCAATTATATTCTATATAATTATATTTCAAATATGAAAATAGCTATAATAAATTAAAAGTATACTTAGAATTTCAATCTCTGTGGCTCTTGAAAGAAAATTTAATTTTTCCTTTAAAAATTGGAGTTCAAAGCATTTCAATTTATAGACTGTTTAGTGTTTTAACTTGTAGTCTTTTTCTTATGAAAATTCCTATAAAGCAACGCGGCATCAGTGAAGTGTTCATCGTGAGTTATCATCTACCCTAATAGGCATATATCTCATTTAAAAATTTTCCCCAAATCATTCTAAGAGCCTAAACCAAGATTAAGGTCTTAACCACTGCCTATGGCCTTCTAATAAACTATTCTGGCAGAATTAATAACTCTTACTATTTCATCCATATGTAGTATTTCTGTATTCTGGTATTCCTTCAGAAATGCCTTTCCATCACAAAGTTGACATGAGCCATGATTTCTCTTCTTTTGAAAATACTTCTGTTAATTATTTTCAAAGTAAGCCCTTTATGCCCAACTGAAGAGTCAAGTAACACCGTTTTTCATTCATAACCTTAGCTGCCTTATACACCCCATGGTTTAAGTCTAGGACTATTGGAAGGGATGCTGCTTACTGGAGATTTCCCATTGTCCCACTTTCTCATTTGTTCCTTAATAAGATAAGTAATATTATTTTTCTATAATGTAAGCTCTTAACAGCAGGATTTTTATTTTATTTCAGTTAGCAAAGAATAATGAAAAAGCAAATTTTTTAACTATGATGTGAAAAAATATATCTTAGTGATTGCTGCTGTTGACATTCTAAGCTGATTGATTAGAAGATTTGAAGGCCTGTAGGTAAGATTATGAAAAATATTTGTGTATTTATGGGTACTGAACAGAATGCTGTTGCATTTCGCTCATTTGATCTGCACTACAGAACTGGGCAAATGTGTTTTACTGATGTGGAATAATTTATCTAGTTGAATAATTTTTTTTTAAAAGCAAACTTTTTAACCTAGGATAAAACTTCAGTTTCCCACTGAAAACCTTTGTCAGAGTTGGAGAGTGCTCTTCTTACTTTAAAACCAGTAGATCAGAAATGCAAAGAATGGATCATCTCTGACAGGTCTGCCATTGTGCGAAAAAAGACCCTTCATTGCTTTACTGGGCCTGCTGCTTTTTGATGCAGCTAGATTGCTATCTCTGTTCTCCTTACTACTACTACCACCACCACCACTACCACTATTACTACTGCTTCTGCTGCTACCACAACAGGAAACAAATGACAAATCTAGAAAAATTGTAATTGTGAGTAAGATATGAGAATCAGTGATCTCTATGGAATAGAAATCCAATAGGAGACTAACAGCTAACAATTATTGAGTACTTACTATGTATCAGACATTGTACTTAATTCTATAAGTGGTAGATTTTCTATGTTCCTTATCACAAATTTTGGGGTTAATGTAGTAAAAAATCTTTCAGGTTATTTTGGTCACTGAACATTTCATCTCAATTTCTTTGTGCCATGAGTTTTCGTACCTTTTTCAACTTTGTGAGGCAATATATAGTCTTGAACTGTACAATATCCTTTCAGTTCAGATTTTTTTAAATTTTTGGAATATTTGCAAAATATACGTACAAATCGAGCATCTCTAGTCCAAAATATCTGAATGTTGGAGCATTTTGAATTTTGGGTTTTCTGGTTAGGAATGCTCAACAGGTATATATTTGGTTATCTTTGTATTTTTGTGGAATGTGTTTTAGATATGCACATTTGGTTACATTAGTGGTAGAGGCTAAAAAGAGGAGAAGGGACCAAAGAACAAGAAATGGAAAACACAAGATCAAAATTAGGGGACAGTGACAGCAACAGCTGATGGTCTTATGTCGGGGGAAGAGACAGAACAACTGCAAGATAGGTCCAGAGGCTAATGGTGTCTCCATGCAGTTGTGAATGTTCATAGTGGTGCTTTCAGTCATCAAGAAAAGTGTGTGCTCTGTATATTCTGGTTAATAAGTCAGAAAATAAGTAATAATACTAGAGTAGTATTTGAAATCAGAAAATAAATTGGCATTTGAAGGATAAACTTTGGATATCCAGAAATTACAATCCTGCAGAACAGCTCTTTACTCAAAGATGAGAGAAATGAAAAATTATTAAGTAATGCAAAGGATCAAGGTAGCCAGTTTTCAAATGTAATGCATTAAAAGGTCGTAACTCCCTTGGGAGAAGAGCACTGAGAGACCAGGGTAGTTCTCCGTACGTGGTTACTCTTACCCAGAAAAGCAAGGTAGAATTTTGTTGTTAGAATAATAATTAGTGTTCACTGAGCACTTACTATGGGTATCACTGTGCAGGTGATGACATGTGTACCTCATTTAATTTCTCATCACTTTGCGGTTCAGGAATTATGAGGATTATCTCATTTGAAATGAGAGGAAACTGAGGTGTAAATTGATTGCTAAAGCTGTTGATAGTCACACACAATTCATAAGCAATCAGCCTGAATTCTCCTCCCCACCCCTAGTCCACCACCACTCACAGAGCTTGTGCTCTTGCCAGGGCTTACTAGAGCCATGCTTAAGTGAAGCAAAATCACTTCCTAGCTTTGTGGCTCCAGGGCAGCCAGCCAGGTAGTGTTTCCAAGCCTCAGTCTGCCTGTTAGACAGTGGGGATAAGAGCAATTAGTTGACTGCCTATTACATAGGGGCATCGTAAGACTCATGAAAATAAAGGTTCTTAGAAATCCAAAAACAATTTTGTAAAAAGGACTGTTATAAAGCATTGTTATGGATATCCTTAAGTCAGCAAAGTAAAAATACACTTATTTCCTTTTGGGAAGTATTATATAACATTATGCACTAAGAAATAAGAATTAGAGTAATTTAGGCCTAAATATTGTCAAATTAGAAATTTTAATTTGGTTTTCCCCACCGTAAGTATTCTCTTATCTTCCCCTCCCCCAGCTCAACAAGAAAAGTCCTCGTTATATTGTATTAATTTCATTCTGATGATATGTAGGCTGCACAAAAAAGACAGCAAGGGTAATGAATTTGCTTCTTACACTGATCGGTGAATATGGTATGAATTGAACATCCCACCAGGAGCCAGAAGATCCTGTGCTGTCATTCAGTTGTCTCTTCAACCTGGTAAATGCAGAGTGTTTCTCTGCCACTACTCCAACTTATCTGTTATCCATATGTGTTGGATGAGTTCATGTTCCTCATCTGTTGGAGCTGCAGAAGACAAACACTGTGTCAAGAGGGCCCTTTTTTAACTGCAGGTGGAAACAGAGCAGTAGCCATGAAGTGATATTTAAGGAAGCTAGAGCTTAATGAATGAAAGTCCCCTGTCCCACCTAGAGCTATGTATTCTCCAAGGCCTCTCATTCACAGGACTAGGATTTGGTTCCATCCTCTGAATGTACAGTGCCATTGGGCACCCAGAGATCCAGCACTTGTATTTTTGAGTCCAAAGTGTAAAAGAGAGCAGGCCTAACCTAAGTCTTTCACTTTTTTTTTTTTTTTTTTTTTTTTTTGAGCCACTGGGCACAAGGCAGTTGGGTATTCCTTTTGATTAGCTTTTGTTAGCTCAGGAGGAAGCCTTTCATCACTTCCCCCTTTGGGGGCTCAGCTTCCTCACCAGGCATTCTGGGCCTTCACTCTCTCCCTCTGTACTCCCTTCTTTGACAAAGGTTTCCTTTTCCTGTTCCCTTAGCTTTGTCCTTTTTGCACTTTCTGTAATCCCACCAGCAGCAGTGTTCCCTTTTGTTTGGAAATAAGGACGAGAAAGAAAGGGAGGTGGAGAAGTTTTAAAATTTTGAGAAATGAATAAATCTGTTCTTTTAAGTCATAAACCGCTGAAGGTCAGGTGCCCTTGTTAAATATTGTTGAGCACTAATAAAATCTCATGAGCCTAATACTTTTGATAGAGCATAGCTATTAGGGAGTCTAAGCAGTTGCAGAGGTTAGGATTTTCCTAATAATACTTGCATTCAGTTCATAATCTTATACTTATTTAAACCTGTTTCTAGTCACTTTTCATCATATCCATGAATAATTACAGCTACTCATTCTTATATCCATATATAACTGCATATTTACCCCCTAGGTTTATGCTTGATTTAAACCTGGTACCATAGTTATTCCTAATTGTAAACTGATGATGAGATTTCACATGTGTATTGCATAATTTAATTAGTTTAGTGTTTGTAAAAATTCTTTGAAGGTAAAATATTTTCATAAATGCCAAGAATTATGATTACTTTTGTTATGTAATTTCTAAGACTCAATTTCTCTTGCATATAGTTCCTCTCTTAAGGAAGGTTTATATACAGTGCCTTTTAAAAATATTTCAAAATTGGAAGCATATTTTTGGTTGTAGTAGATACTGAATTATTCTTGCTGGTTTGAATCTTGAAGAAAATGAAATGTAAATTCAGATTAAATTGGTATCTCTTTAGTACCCAGAATATGTTTTTGACATTTGGATACTGCCCATTAAATTCTTTGTATTTGACTGTCTGAAATGTATTCTGAATTTGTGTATCTGTTCTGGGTTTTATTTGAACTGAATTTTAGTTAAGTAAAGAATTTTAGTATACTTTAAGTGGTATTAAATAAAATGAAAAAGACTGATTTCAAATATTAATCTTTTTAGATTCTTTTGCCATATGTTCTTTTCCCAATTTATTTTGTCATATAGTTTCCATTTGTTCAAACGTCATTTTTCTTCAGATTTTTGCTTTATTCTCTTTGCAAGATTATGAAAACTGTCTCTTCTGTAACTGCTTTCAGAGTGAAGCCTGCAAACAGGAAATGCCCAGGTAAAGATGGTTAGATGGCACAAATAGTAAGCACTGCATATTTAAACCTGATGCTTTTGAAATCTTCTTTTTTTAAGTAATCACAAGATATTTGGGAGTTTGGTTGTCCTTCTCAGTACACAGGAAAGAAACGTGAAATTTTGGTTGAGAGAAGTAGCACCATAGGGCATGAGCCAAAAAATGTAGCAGTAGGCAGCCCAAGAGAGGTGTCAAATTCAAACTAATTTCACTTTTGAGAACAAGATTTCCTCTCAGACAGTGCAGCTCAGAGGATAGAAGATAAGCATAGAAAAACAGCATGGGATCTTTGAGGTGGGCACAGGTTAAGGATAAAGAGCAAGGGGATGTGATTTACAGACATAGAGACAGTACGAAACCAGGCCTGGTGCATTGCAGAAATGCTGAAATCTCAAAGTTGAGAGAAGAAAAGGTCAGAGGATTGGCTTCACAGAGAGGCTACAGTAAGTAAAAAGGCCTCTTTTTTATGCAGTAAGATAAGAAGTAGAAGGTACACACACTGGAAAGGAAAAGTGAAACTCTGTTTTTCACAAAGGATATTATTGTATATATAGAAAATTCTTAAGCAGGAAGGAGCAAACTATAGCCTACAGTCTAAATTCAGTCTACCACCTATTTTTGTATCACCTATGACCTAAGATGACTTTTACATTTTTGGGCCATGGGGGGGCAGTGGTAAGTGTAAGATGGCACAACCATGTTGGAAAACAATTTGATAATTTTTTGTAAAGTTAAACACATTTACCCTATGGCCCAGCAGTTCTCCTGGGTCACACCTAAGAATAAAAGAAAAAGTATGTCCACACAAAAACTTGTCTAGAATGTTCATAGCACTGTTATTCACAAATACCCACCAAACTAGAAACCACTTAATTATCTGTCACTGGGTGAATTAATAAATTATATTCATAACATACAACAAGAAAAAAGAACCCAACCATTGATACATGCACCATGGATGAATCTCAAAAATCTGCTGAGTGAAGGAAGTAAGCCAAACATAAAAGAGTACGTACTGATTTACTCCATTGATAGAAATTTTAGAGCAGGCAGAATTAATCTGTAACAACAGAAAGCAAGTCCATGATTGCTGGGGAACAAAGGGAGGGGCAGTACTGCAAAGAAGCTAAGGCAATTTTGCGGGGTGGTGGCATGACCAAAATATTCTGAATCTAATTGGAGCTGTGGCTCGTTGTTGTGTACATTTAGTAAAACCCCTAACGCTGTGCCTTTAAAATGGGTGCATTTTATTGCATGTAAGTTATATCTCAATAAAGTTGACTTTTTAAAACACATTAACATGTTTTTAAGAATCACAGTAAGACCCTGGCTTAAACTAGATTATCGGCTTCCATAGAGCACAGACTCTTGGATAGACACTGTTTTACAAAACTCCAGTATGCAGCTTAATATTGGGCACTCATAAAATATTTTTGAGCAGACACCTGAGTGAAAGAAACAAGACCACACATTAGGCTGAGCGTCGAGGAGTGAAGCTCCGTGAAGTCGGCCAACAAGGCTCAAGACCGGAGTTCAAGTCTGTGCTGAGGCTGGGTGAAGCTGTTGGATATAAAAATTTTGTTTTAGATTTGTTCATCTTAACATTTATTTTTCTATTGGAGAAAAATATGTGCAATGTAATCCACTATGACTAGAATAAAGCCTTTTGAATGGCAGACAGGGATTCAGACAATTAACTGCCTGTGGAGTACTCTGTACAGGAAACAATTTTACTGAAATAACATAAGGAGCCTGTATTGGTAGTTTTAATAAAATCAAGCCTGACTCATCTATTTGAGGACCAGGATTATGGAAATAACATCTTATGCTTCAAGAGTATTTTAAGATTGGAACAGTTATACTCATATTTATGAAAAAACAAAATTTGTGCATAAGTAAAATTTTAACCCTGTGGAGAAATTTAATATTTTTATTTGGCTTCTTTATGTTAACCCTGAAGAAATTCCTTTAGATTATTCAACTTCATAAATGTTAAGTTTCACTCCTCCAGCCACCCAAGATGCCAAAAGGAAAGAAGGCCAAGGGGAAGAAGGTGGCCCTGGCCCCTGTTGTTGCAGAGAAGCAGGAGGCCAAGAAAGTGATGGATCCCCTGTTTGAGAAAAGACCTGAGAATTTTGGCATTGGATAGGACATCTAGCCCAAATGGGATCTTAACCCACTTTGTCAAATGCCCCTGCTACTACATCAGGTTGCAGCAGCAAAGAGCTGTCCTCTATCCAGAGCTGAAAGTGCCTCTTGCGATGAACCAGTTCACCCCGGCCGTGGACCGCCAAGCAGCTACTCAGCTGCTTAAGCTGGCCCATAAGTACTGACCAGAGACAAAGCAAGAGAAGAAGCAGAGACTTGGCCTGGGCTGAGAAGAAAGCTGCCAGCAAAGGGAACATCCCCATTAAGAGACCACCTGTCCTTCGAGTAGGGGTTAACATTGTCACCACCTTTGGAGAACAAGAAGGCTCAGCTGGTGGTGATCGCACATGACATGGATCCCATTGAGCCAGTTGTCTTCCTGCTTGCCTTATGTCCTAAAATGGGGGTCCTTGACTGCATTATCAAGGGGAAGGCAAGCCTGGGATGTCTGTGCATAGGAAGACCCTGCACCACTGTTGCCTTCACACAGGTTAACTTGGAAGACAAAGGAGCTTCGGTTAGCTGGTGGAAACTATCAGGACCAATTACAATGATAGATATGATGAGATCCGCCATCACTGGGGAGGCAGTGTCCTGGGTTCCAAGTCTGTGGCTTGCTTTGCCAAGCTGGAAAGGGCAAACGCTAAAGGACTTGCCACTAAACTGGGTTAAATGTACACGGTTGAGTTTTCTGCACATAAAAATAACAAAAATTCTCCTTCCAAAAATAAATTAAGTTTTCAGTATTATCAGAATGGTACTTTTACAGGGGTGGATCATATTTTATTTCATGTCTAAAAAATAGGCTTGAGTCAGTGTAGTCTGCTTTTTAATCCTTTTAAATTTTATTTATAATATTTTTCAGAGTTTTTGGGAAATCGTTTAGTGGCCCTTCACCTACGCCCCTGTGAGGGACGAGTGCTTTGGTTGAATATGTTCCTTCCCACCGCCACCCCTAGATTTAGACCTCTTTCCCCACCCTTTGCTATTCCACACACTAAGGGCTGCTGGGCCTGCAGGTGGTTAGGTGCCATTGCCCCTCTGCTTGGAATTCAAAACAGAGAACTTTTTTTCTTATAATATTTTAATAAGCAGAGGGAGGAGGTAAAGATTGATTCAACTGAATAGCCCAGTATTTTAATCTTCCGTGTTGACCAGTATGGAAAGGGTCATTAATATTCCAACACTCATATTTTGCATTTATTCACAAAAGTTTAAAAAGTTTTCTTGATTTAATTCCGATGATTTTATTGAAGGGATAGTAGTTTATTTTCATAAAACATGTTTTTTTCCATTATTGCTTAAATTCTGTGAATTTACAGAAACAAAACATTTAGGTTGTGAAAACTACTTAAGATTATGCCTAATAAATGCATGGTTGTAGTTTTAAAATTATTCAACCTAATGTAAGTAATATTTTATCTCATAGCAGTGTCGCTAATGGGAGTAGTATTGTCCAACATAGGAGGGTCAGGCACAGACGGAAGATCAAAATCTCACTCTCCTGAGGCTCCATCTATGGCTCTGCTCTCTAAAGAAGGTTACATTTATAGATCTCTCAGAATAAAACATTACTTTTCTGCCAAGAAGAAGTTAAACAATCTATTAATGTGGAAAAATGTTGCTTCAAACACAGAAGTCTATTTGTAATGTGTATCAAAGTGGATTCATGAATGAATCTATAGCAGTATTTTGCCAGAGTTGTAAGAATGTCACTTATAGCTTACAAAGTCATAACTTAATAAAAAGAAAATATGGACATGTGTGTTAATGTTTTTAAAGGCAAGCTTACTGAGGTATAATTTATGTAAAATAAAATTTAATGAGTTTTGACAAATGAATGTAGTCATGTAACCATAATCAATATATACAACATTTTCATCACCCCAGAAAATGTTCTGTAAAGCAGTTTTCAAACGGTGGTTGTGAGTCCTTGGACAAACAGTGTGACCCAACAAGCACTTTACCACCAGGGCTGACTCCCTGATGGGGTGTGATTTCTAGTCCTGCTGTTTGGCTGCACTCTCAGCAAAGGTGGCAACTTGGGATCATGTTAATGTAAGACACTGTCTGTTCTGATAGACTGGTGGGGCCTGTCTACTTCTCAGACTTAATGGAGAATTCCTGCAATTCTATGTCCCAGTGAGAAACAGTGTTTGAAACTTTTTATCACTCAAGTTCTCAAACTGTGGATTTTACATTTGTGCAGGATTGGACATTTATTGATTTAGGTACATTTACGAAGTAATATTTATTGTTAGTTTAGAATTACAAAATGAATAATTTGAGAGAAAGCTTATAAATGTCTGGGAAACAAATGTGGTGCCCTTCCGGGAATTTACAACCTAGGCAACCTGGCCTTTTAAAGATACACATAACAGAGAAAGAAGACTACATTGCCTTGCTGTGTTATTTATGTTTTTTAATATAAAATATGTGACCATATATTCAAATTACTATGCATGAATCACCATTTTTAGAATAAGATTTTACAAATACAGTTACTTAGTTGTCATTATTATTTTCACTATTAAGTATTAATTATTATTCTGTAATGTAACTCTGATTTGCTTTTAGGCTTACGTGGAAAAGAATAGTAAGAATCCTATCAGACCTGTGGTCTTTGGGTCAACTTTATAAAAGTAATTAGAGCTATTAAATAGGCACACAGTTTTATTTGGCCATTAAAGCTCTAGACAGAAAACCCCAAACTGTTTGCCTCTAGGTTGTTAGAGAAAAAAACATTAATTAGCATTACCATTGCTTCTCTGAATCTTCCCTCTTCCCTGTAGTGGACAGTGCAAGTGGGGGTGCCAGTTGCTAGACTGTGAAGCGATTCCCAAGGTAATTGATCATATTGACAGAAACTTAGCTGCCTGTTGCTCTACTAAAACCATCTCAGTTAGCATTCCCCCTTCTGGTATTCAATCACCCTCGCCCTTCCTCAACCTAAAGACTGAAACATAACCAAGAGTTAAAAGAGATAACAGCCATTTATTTACTCTAACTCCTAAGGGAAAATAGTATTTTCCTAAAGAGTAATTTCTAAAATAAAGGCATATCTGTTTCTAAAATATTTTTACTTTATGCAGAAGTATTTTTTAAATCTTTGCAACTATTTATATTTGCTAATTTACCAGTACTTATTCTACTTAGCTGTACCATCAACCTCATTTTTAAAATTATGTTTAAAAGTTAATTATACTTATTCGTAAGTGAAAAAATCAAAATAAGTATCTCACATTTACATATTAGCTTCAGAAAAGTAATTTTGCAGCTTTTGCAATATTAAGTAGTAATTTTGAAACAACTATAACTTTTTTATAGACAGGATAGTCTTATTATAAATTAATATGCTGTCTCTCTAAACTGATTGTGGGAGGCAGAATAATGCTCTCCTCCCCAGAGATTTATTATCCCAACGCTTGGAGCCTATAAACGTTATCTTATTTCAAAACTTTATGGGTGTAAATAAGTTAAAAAATCATGAGATGGGGAGATTATCCTGGATTATCCAGGTGAGTTCTAAATGCCATCACAAGTATCTGTCTATGAGAGAGGCAGAGAGAGACACACGAGAAGGCTCTGTGAAGGTGGAGGCAGGGATTGGAGTGATGTGGCTGCAAGCCAGGGAATGCCAGCTGTCCCCAGAGCCTGTAAGGGGCAAAGAAGAGGTTTTTCCCTACAGCCTCTGGAATGAGTACGTCCCAGCTTACACCTTGATTTCGGCCCAGTGAAAATGATTTCTGATTTCTGGTTTCTAGAACTGTGAGAATAAATTTTTGTTGTTCTATTCCACCAGGTTTGTGGTGATTCGTTATAGCAGCCATAGGATGCTACTACAGAGTTTGGCATCAGGAAGGGGAGTCTGCTGTAACAAATACCTAAAAATGTGGAATTGCTGTGGAATTGGATAATGGGTAGAGTCTGGAATAATTTTTAGCCCCATGATAGGGAAAGCCTAGATTGCTTTAAACAAAACGTTGGTAGAAATGTGGGTATTAAAGGTGGTTCTGGTGAGAGCTCAGAAGGAAATGAGGAATACGTAATTGGAAACTAGAGGAAAGAAAGGTGATTCTTAATATTTACAGGCATACCTTGGTGATACTGGTTCAGTACTAGACCACCGCAATAAAGCTAATATTCCAATAAAGTGAGACATAAATTTTTTTGGTTTCCCAGTGCACATAAAAGTTATGTTTACACTATACTGTAGTCTATTACCTTATGTCTAAAAACCAATGTACATGCGTTATGTCTAAAAACCAATGTACATGCCTTAATTTAAAACTGTATTGCTAAAAATGCTAGTGAAATAAGCACATATTGTTGGAAAAAAATGTGCCAGTAGACTTGCTCAACTCAGGGTTTCCACAGACCTTCAATTTGTAAAAGATGCGATAGCCACAGAGAGTAATGAAGCGAAGTGCAGTGAAACAAGATATGCCAATACTGGTAGAAAACTTAGCTGAATTGTCTCTCCCAGTCCTGTAGAAAGCATGTAAATGATGGACTTGGATATTTAGGTAAAGAGATTTCCAAGCAGAGCGTAGAAGGTACAGCCTGGTTTCTTCTTGCTGCTAATAACAAAATGTGAGAGGAAAAACAAATCAAGGGGAAACCTCTCAAGCAAAAATGAATCACAGTTTGATAATTTGGAAAATTCTCAGCCTATCCAGGTTGCAAAAAATGGTAAAATTAGGAGATTCACTTTTAGGAAAGTGCTCTAGAGAGAACGCCAAGGATGTAGATAACCTTTGACTAGTGCTGAAGATATCAGGCATGTGACTCCGCAGAAATCAGGAGTGGAGATGAAATTTTCCAGGGAAGATCTGTGGATGACCCACTTGTTTAATGGCACAAATACACAGGAAACCCACAAGTTTTTTGAAAATGTTGTATCAGCAAAAATGCTGCCAGCTTGAACTGAAAAGGACAGAGACAGGTTGAAATATAGGAAAGCTGTTAGACTTCCCAAACTGTACAGGCTTGTCAAAACAGTGCTCAGTTGCAAATATGTGGTCCCCTTAAAGAAAAGGAAAAATGACTTCAAGGATACAGCTTTGGCCTAGAGTCATAGTCTCAGACTTTAAACCTTGTCCCGCTGGGTTTTGAAATTATTTGGGAAAGGTGGCTCCTTTATTCTTTACATTTTTTTTTCCTTTTGGAATGGGAGTGTCATAACTATTATCCTATGTCTATCCCACCACTGTATTTTGGAAGCAGATAACTTATCTTTTAGCTTCACAGAATCAATAGTTGGAGAAGAATTTTGCTCCAGGATGTATTATACTCAAGTCTCCCCTGTACCTGATTTGGATGTTTAGATGATGAGATTTGGGATTTTTGAGTGATGAAATTTATGTGAGATTTGACCCTTCTAGTTGATGCTGTAATGGTTTGAGACTTTTGGAGATGTTGGAATGGGTTGCATGTATTTGGGACATGGGACAGACATGAATTTATTTCTTTAACATCTGGTTATTCTCCTGCCCTCTGTGTTCTCAAGCTAAGTAGGTGGGGTCAGCATTCTCCTTGCCCCCCGGTTGTTGCCTGCCTTTACACGTCCCTGGCTCCTTTGAGACTTCCATGCCTGGCTTTACCATGCTTCCTCCTCTCTCCTGACATTCAGTAGCCTTCTGGCACTCACTGTCATTCGCTGAAGATTCAGCTCATGGCCACCTTCTCCAGTTCACCTCCTGCTGTGGGTCTCCAGGTGACTTCAGTATCTACCTAGACAGCCCATCCAGGCTCTGGTAGGGCAGTCCCTTGGCTTTCTCATCTTGCATTTCCTTTAGACATTATATTCTTAGGCCACAAACTCCTGTCCTTCAGTTCACTTTCTTAGTATTCACTCAGAAATAATTATTATTATTATTTTTTTTTTTTTTGAGACGGAGTCTAGCTCTGTTGCCCAGGCTGGAGTGCAGTGGTGCAATCTTGGCTCACTGCAAGCTCCGCCTTCCAGGTTCACACCATTCTCCTGTCTCAGCCTCCCGAGTAGCTGGGACTACAGGTGCCCGCCACCATGCCAGGCTAATTTTTTGTATTTTTAGTAAAGACGGGGTTTCACTGTGTTAGCCAGGATGGTCTCGATCTCCTGACCTCGTGATCCGCCTGCGTCAGCCTCCCAAAGTGCTGGGATTGCAGGCGTGAGCCACTGCGCCCTGCCAGAAATGATTCTTCATCAAAAATTGCTATCCATTGGTCTTGCCACTTTCTCTATACCTCAAGCAACCCTACTCTTAATATACCAAACTCTTACGGCCCAAGAATAGGGAAGGTAGTTTCTTTAGATAAAAATCAAAATGCCACACCTAGAAGAAAGGTACAAAGATGTTAGGTAGCAAGAACAGCAGGGGTCCACTACATAATACTTGCACAGTGCATGTTTCTGTTATGATTATTTGCTATTTACTTGTTTAAATAATCCTGAATATTCTAATATGAATAGCTTCCAAAGAATATATCTCTTCTTAAAAGCCATGTTTAAACATTAGTACATGTTTTATTTAGTGAAATGATATTTTCTAATTGTTCTCCAGGTAGTTGAGGAAGCTTCCCAGGCTCCTAAGAAGGCAACATGCAACATCAGCAAAAATGATCTGTACCAATCCCTAGTGACCTGTACCAGTCTTATGTAAATTATGAGTGCTTATAAAGTAATTAAGGTTTGAGTTGTTCAGTCCGTTCTTTTTCTCTGAAGCCTGTCTGTGGTGTCTTTGTAATTGTGAGCCAGCTATTCTCCTGCCTAGCAGGCTTTAGGGACACCACCTTTCCCATACATGTGTATATTAAAGAAATGTTAGCTCATCTTAATAATAAAGCAAAATGTAATTAGATCTGCTACAGAAACATCATACTCTGCACTACAAATATAAGTGTAAATAATTTGGAGTAGACACACACCACTGGATAGCTCTATTAGCATCAATAACTAAGAATTGGTTGTATAAAAATAGCCTTACATAAATGCTTCTCTGTTCTTTGATTTAAATATTTCTGAAATGTTTTACTGCCTGCAACACAATTTATACCCAAGTGTGGGAAATGTTTGTTAAATGTCTTGTATTTGGATGTGAAGATGGATGGTAATAGTACTTCACACTCATCTGGATTTGCCTTTGGTTGATTTTCTGATTGTCATGGGTTTTGTCCATGCCACCTGTATCCTCACCTGGTCTCACTTTTGATCATGATATAATTCGTAGGGTGGCTGACAGTTTGAGTTGTACAACCCACAGACATAAACTGGTTTTTTCTTCTGTGGCCTATTTTTTTGTTTGTTCTCAAAATACCATCCCAGCTGAGTTAATAGGCCAAGTCCAAGTATAATCTACTCTGAGACTGAGCTTGGTTTTTTCCATAGCTTGCTTATTTTGGTCACTGCTGATCTAACTCAAGATACTTTAAAACTCTTGATCAAATTCTAAGGACAGGGCATTTATATTCTGTCATAATTAACAGTGAACGATTAAAGACATTTATGAATTAGAGCCAAGATTCAATATTTACTAGTGATAAAGGGCAATGTCTTATTTATCACATTATTACACTGTGACATTGGCAAGTTTTGAAATAGCTTAAAGATGTCTGCCTTATTTTCTAAATAAGAGGGAAATGGGCTACAAACAAACACATCTCAGTGTGATTGTATGTGTGAAAAATATCTTCATATCGGGTAGTTTAGTTTTTAAAGTTCATTCAGTACACTAATGGCTTACAATTTAGTTTAACAGCTCGGTGTGTTGTAATCAAGAGTGTGAAGAGGCAATCAAATACTTCTCTGAGATTCTGCTCCCCAAAGAATTCCTGGCAAGCCTGTTGCTATGGTGCAGTCTCACCTGGGACTTGTTTGGTATCTTTCTCAATTAGATATATTGACAAAAATGAGCTTAAAAACAGAACTCATAGAAAATCCAGAATGGAGAAATACGGATAGATAAATGAAGCATTGTGGCTCTTTCTCTCTTTTTTTTTTTTTTTAACTTGTACTTACCAATTCTTGTTTCTGATCCCAGGAGTCTTAAGATATGCCAAAGATACTACTTTCTCACTGTAACGGATGCTGGATGTCATAGAAGGCACTGTTTATCAGATGAGAAACTGTGAAGATGATCATCTCTAAAACCCTGCAAACTAGATTTTCTGCACCCACAGCTGCTTCCCTGGAACTTTGGCAGCTGTGATAATTGTTGCAGACCATCCCTGTTTGGTACTGCCATTGTATTTAGATAATGTCAAAGAAAGGCTTATGAGTCAGTTATTAAATTGAAGGAGATGATCACGTCAGAGTAAAGCCAGGTAGTGAGACCTCTGTTGGATTACTTAGGCTTATATTATTTTTAAGAGATTATTATCTTGCCCCCTCCACCTTGAAATCAATTTCATTTCCACACCCTGAAGATCATGGCATGGGGCTGAAAGACAGAGTGATAAAGAGCATCAACTCTGGAGTCACACCTTCTAACTGCATATCCCTGCCATGTCATCTACTTGGTGTAGCCTTAGACATTCATGATCTACACCTCTAAAATGAGATTAATAGTAATATATTCCTCGTGGGGTTATTGTAGAATTTAAATAAAAGATGCCTCTCCCATAGAAATTATTCACTGGGTGTTGGCTATATTCACACTTTTGATATGCATAGAAAGCCTTAGTATATACTATGTGGCTCATTGTATGCACTTAATGAATAATAGCCAGTAATACTATTATCATGATACCTTACATGAGTCTGTGTCAGATGTAGACTTACTGAAAACACAGGAGGAAATGTAAGGGAATGGCTAAAATTTGACTTTATCATAAATTGTAGTTGTATGAATGAATGAGCTGGGGTAGTGAACCAGAAAACATCAAGTCATTCTATATACTGTCCTGAATTATATACATGCAAGGTTTCTGGGACTAAAGTCATCCTAGCAGCCTTTGCAGTGAAAATGTTGCTGTTCTTAAATCCAGCTAAGTACATGCTATTTTAAAACACAGTGTTTTTCAAGTGAACTTAATGTGTGCTGCTGAGAAAATGCCAAGTTTTGCCAGATCCTGTATTTTTACCTGTTGTTTGATATTTATGTCATTCATAACATAATACTATTAAAATGCTTTGTTTTTATTGTAATGCTTTAGTTCATTTTAAAAGATAAGTGTCACAGATGTATAGTAAAGTGATAACTTAGGTTTAGATCCAAGGAGAATGAGAGATGGAACAGGACCTGTTTACGTTTGTGTGTGGAAGGTGATGGAGCTATCTAAGAGGATGCTTGGGTTTGAAGAAGGCAGCTGGTTACAGATTGCTAGAATTTGTGAGAGTAAACTGATGTTCTGCATGTGTGTACCTTGAGGTGATTGTGGATCATCCCCAAGAAGAGACCCATTAGATAGCTGGACACATGGACTTGGACCTTGGTCAGGAAGATCTAGGTCAAAGTTGTCGATATGAGATCCACAACCACATAGTTGTTACTTGAAGCCATGGGAGCAGCAGAGGCATGAAGAACACAGGCCCTAGGGTGATCCTCAGGGAATCTAGTCCCCATTCTTTCCCCTGTGCACCATATGACCATGGCTCTATCTCCTCTGAATAATAAGTGTTAACAGTTCCTACTTCATAGGCACAATTACAGAGATATCATTGCCTTTCAATCAATTTGATTTAAAGGCTTAGAATAACAGGTAGCACATAGTACATGCTTTTAGTACATTTCGGCCGATGCTACTATCACTATTATTATTGAGGGACTCACCCAGGGAAAATGTCTAGAGCAAGTAGAAAACTGGAAAAAGCAGTATTTACAAGAGGTGGGGAAGGAACAGGATTCTATGAAGGAGACAGTATAGCCAGAGGAGGCAGGGTGGGCAAAAAATAGAAGGTGATATCTGTGAAGCCAAAGGAAGGATGAATGTCAAGGAGGAAGTCATCAGTGATTTTGAAGGATGCAGAAAGGTCAGGGTAGATAGATGGAGAACAGAAAAGTGCCTTTTGGATGTAGCCACCAAGAAATGGTTAGTAACCTTGGAGAGAACAGTTGGTACAGAGTTTAGAGCAGCAGCCAGATGACAGAGTTGAAGAGAAAATGAGACCTGAATAAGTGGAGAGCCCTTGAAATAAGTGTGTCTGGAAAGGGAAACAGGAACTGTCTGAAGTAAAGGACTGGGGAATTGGGGTGCTGTCAAGAGAGTGATGCGATGGTCAGGCTGAATATGGAAATACATAAAGAGGAGAAGGTGAAGGTGTCATGGGTACAGGGAGTGGGTACTATTGCAGGCTGTGGAAGTTCTGAGTAGTTTAGGAGGTCCCCAAGCAAAATGAGTAAGGGAGGATCAGGGTCAGTGCTTCAGTAGAAGGTTTCCCTTTGGAAACCACGGTGCCTCCTGAGTGAATGGGAGGACTTTGGAAAAAGCTGGCCACAGCTACATTGGTGGTACTTCAGAGAAAAGTCTCACCTGGTATGTAGGATGTTGGGTTAGTTTTTTCTCTTCATCTTTTGTGGGAAACCGCAGACTCTCATGAATGGAAGGCCTTGTCTGTTTTTAGATTTCAGGCTCCAGTGTGAGTTGTAAGGATCCTAGGATATTTCTTGTGAAGAGCAAAAATTGCCCAGTGAAGTATTGATTCCTTTATGGTTCCTGGCCCTGTTCACAGATCCACTTTTCTCGCCACTAGTCCCAAGAGAATTGGGATCAACCCATAGCTTGCTCTGTGGTGATCCTTTCTACAGCCCCTTTAATTCACTTTGCTGATGAATTCAGAAGGTTGTGGGTCTCGGTGGTAGACTGTGTTGTCCTTTCTTTCCAAAGGGACCCAGTCTTCTAACCCTGTTAACACACATGCCTGAGGGAGGCAGGCAGGCACTGTCCCAGGCATTAAGGTTGATGATATCCCTGGGGAGGGTATGGGCCAGTGTGCTGGCCTCTGCTTACAGGAGCCTCAAGCCCTACGCAGGAACCCTGACCTAGCCTGGCACTCTGCGGAGGACTTACACCAAGCATTCAGTTTAGAGATGGCATTCTCTTGCAATTGCGGCTTCCTGCTTCTGGAAGGACAGAAGACAGTTATGGAAGTAAGCTTGATCTTTTCCTGTGTATTAACTGGAGGTAGGGAATTGTTACCATGAAAACTGCCCAGAGTACCTTCAGAAAACAAGGGCAGAGTTTTTTTTGTTTTTTAGTGTTTTCATAAAATAGACAAAGGAAAGGAATTTCTTAAAAGAGTAATATGATGGGAAATACTGAATTAAGACTTTGGGTTGCTTTAAATCAGTATCTGAATATTAAAGAGCAACACAAATGTACCCACCATCCCTGTACTGGCCCTTTTTTTTTTGAGGCAGAGTCTCACTCTTTCTCCCAGGCTGGAGTGCAGTGGCGCGATCTTGGCTCACTGCAACCTCCATCTCCTGGATTCAAGTGATTCTCCTGCCTCAGCGTCCCGAGTAGCTGGGATTACAGTCATGCACCACCACGCCTGGCTAATTTTTGTATTTTTAGTAGAGAAAGGGTTTCACCATGTTGGCCAGGGTGGTCTTGAACTCCTGGCCTCAAGTGATCTGCCCTCCTCAGCCTCCCAAAGTGCTAGGATTACAGGCGTGAGCCACCGTGCCTGGCTGGCATTGATATTTTGCTATCTGCAGGCTGGCTATATAAAGAAATCATGCATTTTAATTTTGTAAGGGTTGTAAGAGTGCCTAATTTGTGTAAATTTCTTGCTTTGAAATTAAATAAATAGAGCATTATGGCTGTAGCAAAAAGGAACCACTATTTTTCTCACTCATTTGTCATGAGTGGTGCTTCAGCCACTACTTCCTTCTTGTGATTTTATGTAAAAAAAAAATGGATCTTCTGTATATGAAGTTTAAGAGGAAAGAACAAAAAATGACATTGAGAACAAAAAAGGGTTATTGAGAACAGAATATGATCAGAAGATAAAAGAGGTAAATTATTAACTAAGTGTCATGATAACATTGTACAATGCTAAGAGCTTAGTAAAAATGGAATCCAAGGCATCTGTCTATGGCAGAAATTACTTAATTTTTTTTTCTCTACTTAGGAAATGAAAATATATTTCCAAATTTTTGGCAAGTGAACCTCTTAGGAAAGAACGTGGTATATTAAAAAAATAAAAATTT
Source organism: Homo sapiens (assembly GCF_000001405.40). Lineage (NCBI taxonomy): Eukaryota > Metazoa > Chordata > Mammalia > Primates > Hominidae > Homo > Homo sapiens. Next base: position 158,560,687 of record NC_000002.12, read on the forward strand.
ATATTTTACTTTATCATGCCTAACTCTTTAAAAAATAGCTCACAGCATTTAGCATTTTGTTCATGTACTTCACACCCAACTCCTCTGATGTGGTTGTTACTCCCATTTTACAAGTGATTAAACTGGGGTTTACAGATGTTTAAGTGACTTGTCTAATATTATATAGCTAGTAAGTGACAGAGCCTAGCGTCAGATCCAAGTTGATACCAAAATCCTATAATCCTTCCATATTTGTTCTAATCTTTGTCAAATCGTATGCCTTTAAAGAGGCTTACAAGTTGTTAAACTACAGGACAGGTGGCCTACCGGCTGAATCTGGCCCTCGCCTGTTTTTTATAGCCTGCAAGCTAAGAATGTTTTATACAATTTTTAATGGTTAAAAAATAATCAAAGGCAGAATATTTGATGACGCCTGAAAATTAGATGAAATCAAATTTCAGTTTCCATATATATTATAAAATCTTACTGGAACACAGGCACACTCGTCATTTATGTTTATGGCTGCTTTTGCACTCCCAGGTCAAAGGTGAGTAGTTGTGACACAGACCTGTGCTATGGTCCACAAAGCCTAAAATATTTACTGTGTATCTGGCCTTTTCTAGAAAAAGTTTGCCAACTGCTGCTCTAGGATATTAGAACAAAAATCTGTGATAAGAAGTTTTGTATGGGGCCCGAAAGCTTGTTAAAGCTCTCACACACCTTAGGTCTTTTGATCATTTCAGCAGCCAGCAATGCAGATGGTGTTGCCTTGTTGAACCAATGGGGAATGGATGCCAAGCCCTGTGGTCTCATCAGCACCATGCAGTTTGTTTATGTTCACTGACTTTCTAGGTGCCTACTTTTATTTGGCATCTTAAAACAGGGATTTGTTTTGACCCTTCAGCTTGAATGTTTTAATCCAATTCCCTGACTTCCTTGAAGAGAAACTTCATATCTAATTTAGACCACCTCTGCTCTGTGGCCCCAGGCCGACTTCCCAGGTTACATGAGTGCTCGTCGCACTTTGTTATGATTGTGGAGCGCAGGCACTGGTGTTGCCTCTGCTTTTCCCTCTTTCTCTCTACCCATCGCAGTGTTTAAACAAATGAATGTATAATCAAGTCAGTCTTTTTTTTTTTTTAATTTAAGTTCTAGGGTACATGTGCACAACATGCTGGTTTGTTACATAGGTATACATGTGACATGTTGGTTTGCTGCATCCATCAACATTAGGTATTTCTCCCAATGCCATCCCTCCCCCCAGCCCCCCACCCCCCGACAGGCCCCGGTGTGTGATGCTCCCCGCCCTGTGTCCAAGTGTTCTCATAATCAAGTCAGTCGTTTAAATTACAGAAGAAAAAGTCATAGAACTGTTTTCATCCTGGGAGATAAGGCCTTTCACTATTGAATTTTGTGAAAGTTAGTAGTTTCTTGATGGGAAAAGAAGCCAGGAGAGGAGAAAATAGAAATATGAATTTTAAGATATGTTTTGTTGCAGAATTTGGCTTAAGTTTTGTATAGACTTTTGGGACTTTAAAAAAATACATAAAAATAACCCAAGTTGTTTTTAATGACAAGTTGTTTCTATTGGCAGTCCATTGACAGATGAATGGATAAACAAAATGTGGCATATATATTGCGATGGAATATTTATCCTTAAAAAGGAAGTAAATTCTGTAAACCTTGAGGACATTATGCTAAGTGAAATAATGCCAATCACAAAAAGACAAATAGTATATACATAATTTCATTTATACAAGGTGCCTAGAGTAGTCGAATTCATAGAGACAGAAAGCACAGTGGTGGTTGCCAGAGGCTGGGTAGAAGAGGTAACTGGGAGTTGTTTTTTCAGTTTGGGATGATGAAAAAGTTCTGGAGATGGATGATGGTGATGGTTGCACAACAATGTGAATATACTTAAAGCCCTGTACAATTAAAAATGGTTAAAGTGTTACATTTTGTTAGCATATATTTTGTCACAGTAAAAATATATACATATATCATCACCTGTTTAAAATATCATGTCTACTTTGAATACCTAATCAAAATTATGTATTACAAAAGAATGATTACTCTTTCAAACTATTTGTTTATCAAATGAAAAATTTACTATGTGATACATGGTATCGAAGTGATTCAGCCCTAACATGATTCAAAATTTAAAGTTAATTGGGTCCTCTTGCGTGTTTTATTTTCAAAGCATATTTATATAAAATTTTTAAGAATGATTAGGTAGATATAAGATTACGGTTGATTATCAGTTGCTCTTTCCTTCCTTACTGATTAGCAATTTATGGAAGAAATTAATTAAAACCGTAGAGTAAGCCAAAAAGCATCTTTCTAAAGATACCAGTTCTTTATTAAATCCTGTGGAGTTTCCAGAGAAATACATACAGTAGAATCTATTAAAGCAAACAGTTCATTTTACAGCATATATATTTAAGATGTTATATATTTCATGCCCTTCATGAAAATTAATTCTTAAAACATTTTCTTTGATAGGTCAGAATTGGAACATTTAACTATTAGTAAAAATTGGGATTGTAGTGTGGTTTTACGTAAGCAAACAACTCTTACTCTATTTTATTTACAAAAATTAATAACAAAAATAAATGCCCAAGGTAGAGGGAATTAAATACTCAGAAGTATAAAATGAAAAGTAAGCCACCCTACAGGCATCCAGTCCCATTTCCCAAAGGTTAAAACTTCCTCTAAAGTTAAGTTTTTTGAGTATACATCAAGAAAAAATTTATTTCTGCATATTCTAGCATAGATGTCTTTTTAAAAACAACTGCCTGGCTTTATTTTCCTGCATAATCTTTCTTAAACATATTCTGTATCAGCACATTTGGATTTACTTCAATCCTTTCTAGCAATTGCATGGAATCCTATTATGTAGATGTATATATATATTTAGCTATTCCCATTTTGATGATTATTGGGTTGTTTCCAGTTTTATTTGATTGGTTGGTTTTGTGTACTTTTCCAAGTATATCACAACCTCAGCATTGGAACTAATGGGACAACAGGTAGGTATGTAATATTTACCTTTTTTTTTGGTATTGTTAAATTGCCCCACCAAGAGTTTGTACTAGTGTACATTCCTGCTACACCATTTCTTCATAGCATCACCAATGCTGTGTACTTTCGAATCTGATGTGTTGTTTCCAATTGTTAGAATAGGCCATAATAGGTTATTGGAATATTATTGAACACTGTTAGCATACTTTAATGGCTTCAGAAAAGCAAAAATATCAGTTGTCCACTCAATCAGAATACCACGTTCGAGGAATTGACAGTTTCCTCAGCAGGTTTGTCCTGGTACATGCAAATAATACTTCGTGTCTTTTCTTTTCTTTCTGCTTAATTTTCTGAATTCAATTTTAATTACAGAAATTGTGTTGTAACAAGTGATACAATTAAAAGAGATAATATAAAAGTGTAAATAATTGTAAATATAAAATAATATAATAATGTAATATAAAAGTATAAATAGATTGGTCACCCTTCTGAGGTGACCAATCATACTGATCTGCTGTGTCTCATTCACAGTTGTGTCTGTGTTCAAACAAACCTATGTAGGCTTTGGGTTTTTAAATTTTGTTGTGTTTTACTCAGTTCTTCAGTTGACTTTTTAACATAATCATATATAATGGTCCTTCTGAAGCAACAGATAAGAGTCCAACTCATTCTTTTGAATAAGGATATAGTATGCTGTAGAATGGAGATGCCATCGTTTGTTACAATATTACTATGTGGATGGACATTCAAATTGTTTCAAATGATGCTGCAATTACTGTTTAATATATACCATTGCTTTTATTTCTGTAGACTAGATTTCCAAGTGGGGATGGCAGGGCATGAGGAATATGGCTTTTTAATTTTAATAGGTATTACCAGATTGTTTCCTCAAAGTGTTATAGCAGATCCCACTCCCATGAACAGTACGTGTAAGTGCCCATTTCCCCCCAGTTCCTCACCAGCCCTGGCTGTTAACCGCTTTTTTAAATGTTTGCCAGTATGATGAAAAATGACATCTCATTGTTATTTGATTTTCTTTTTCCTTACTAATGAAAGTGAGCAATGTGTGCATGTGTGTGTATAGTTTGAGGTGGTAATCTAGCTTTGTTTTCTCTACTTAACAACAGCAGTACTTTTCCCATTGAATGAAATTTCCCCTTTGTCATTAGTTAAGTTCCCATGTATACTTGCATCTGGCTCTTTAATTCTTATTAAATTGCAGGGTTTTATTTGATTTGAGAAGAATGTTTTGAAGTAATAAAGTCAATTACAGTTCTAAATATAACCTTTAGCAACAGAAAATGACATAACCTTAATTTTTCAGCTTCCTATAATGGAAAGAGCAAGAATTTAGAATTTCAGTCCAACTCTTCACTTACTAATTCGTGTGACCTTGGGCAAGTCATTTACTTTGCCCCTCCCATTTTAGGATTGCTCAATTCAAAACTGTGTTGCTTTTTAAGGATTAGAGAAAATATAAATAGAGTGCCCAACCCACAGATGGCATTCATTCAGTACTGCCCGATATTATTATTTTTGTTATGACTTAAAAGGAAAGTTAGACATTTGATATTAAATTGTGCCCATTCCAAACATAAGCAAATATATTTCTTCATAAGGGAGGATGTATTTTATGCAAGAGAAAAAGAATTCTCAATATGGCAATTTAAAGATTCTTTTGGTCAAATAAATTAGTCTGAACAACGTATATATTCAAATCTGGAACTTCTTTTTCTTCTTCTTTTTTCCTTTTTTTTTTTTTTTTCCTTTTCTGCCCTATAGATCTAACACAAGTAAGAAGTAACATTACTTGTCTGCTCTTTTTTTGGTAAACAGGGAGTATGCAGATATTCAATAAGGGTAACGAAAAATAAAATTGCTTTTATATATAGGTGGAAGGAGCCAAATGTTAGGGAGAAAGCAGGAGAGTCGGAGAAAAACAGGGACATCAAATATGGAAGCACAAGGAACAGAGCACTTGTGGACCCAAAGACTGAAATCAGGGCTTTATTCTGGATGTGTATGCACTGAGGTTGGACGCAGCCTGTAGCTAGATGTGCCTGAGCTCTCCTACAGCTTTAATATTCCTTATAGGTTAGATATGGCTTATGGTTATCAATAATACATTGATCTTTCTTAACCTTCTTTCCGAAGAAGCCCACGATAATTTCTGGAAGTTTAGAAAGGAGTGATGATATTATTGAAACCATACAGATAACATGAAAAAAGTTAAGACAAAAATTTTGAACACTTGTACCTCTTGAGCCAGCTACCCAGCATTCCCAAGGAACCATTTAATTGACTAGGGCATAACTAATAAATATGTTTTCTAATTCTAGTACCCCTGCCACCCACACACACATTAAGCCACAGAATATCTGCGGACAATTGTAAAAGTAAACCTAGTATAGTCTTAAGAAAAAAATCTTCCTGTGTTAGGTGGTATTTGTTTTCATTCTCATTAGATTTCATTAACTTGCTAGCCAAACCTTAAATTAGTAATTTTTAAAATAAGTCTCCTATTCTGTAGTGCAATTTATTACATCTACTGAGGAATAGAAGGTTAAGTTTATTTAGCCTTGTTGTTTCTCTTATCATTTTTATATTTTTTACTGTGTTTTCATTAACTAGTCTACGTAGAGGAAGGAGAAAATTGGTCATTTATTCTTTTAGTTTTCCATTTCAGCAAATAATGATTTATGCGGACTATTATCATATACTGTGTAGTCAATTAACCCCCAAATAAGCATCTAACATTAGGTGATATGCATCATTGGTCTTAATAATTTTGAAATATATATATATAAAACCCAAATTGTTCATGTTAAGTCATTACTAGTTTTTGTAATTTCTTAAGGTTTAAAGTAATAGCTAATCAAATATTCAAGGCATTACATTTTAAAGAAAATCTCACCATGTTTTTTATATTAATTCTACCAAATAACTACCTTGTTGGAAAATGATAGCAATGGTTGTCATTGACAACTACAGCTTACACTCCTCCAACTATCCATTTTCCTTGTGATACCTCTTTTCCTCAATATTTATTTGACTACTAAGGCTTTCCCAAATGTAAGGAATTTTAAACATAAATTAATAAAACCTCAACTACAAGACTGAACTAGAATTATTTATATCTGCAAACACACACACACACAGCACACATATCTATACATCCTATCTATACATTCTACATTTTAGGAGAAAAAGTAAATGAAAATAAATGCCATTCCCAGTTCAACAATTAAATGTCAGTAGTCTGTTCAATGAGTTTTCAAAAGTGGCATGCTAAGGCTGGAAACTCCTGGTTTTTTGATATGCAGGACGTGATGTCTGAGAGATCAAGATGTCAGGGAGGAAGGGGAGGCTGTAATAAGGGAGTAAATCATAAAATCACCCTGAATTACTTACCAGAGTTTTCTGGGTTTGTTGTTGTTGTTGTTTTTGCAAAGAGCTGGAGAGATACTAAGATGAGTGAAATATAGATTCCACTCTTCTTTAAGAGGAGTCCTGTTTAGTAAATTGAGAAGATGTCACAGAACACTATACCCTAGGGCTGGATAAAGAACTGTAGGTGTTTATGGGAGAGTGTTTCAAGTGGATGGAACAAATGAGGAAAAGCCTTGAGTGGTGTGTATAGGAAGCCATAAATAATTCTGTGTAGGTGCATGAAAGGAAGTGATAGGAGACCACAAAAAGATATTTGGGGGCCAGACTATACAGAAGGTCTTAAAACAAGGCTGAGTTGGCTTTTTATAAGTAGTTTTATGGGTTGGGTTGGGTAGAGCGTGGTGCGCAGTGGTTAACCCATGGGGTTAGGACAGATTGAGATGATTTCAAATCTTGGTTTTGAGTGACCATAGGCAAGTCAGTTCTCTATGAAATGAGGCTGACTCTGACTCCCTCACAGGCTGATTATGTGGAGTTCATGAAGAAATACTTGGCACTTAGCGTAGAGCCTGGAGCCCAGTAAACCTTTTGTAAAACATAGAGATTATTGGTGAGTAGTATTGAACGTTGGCAAACATATCAGGAAAAAATGTAAGCAGTGGAAGCAGGACCCCACACCACCATGGCAGGGAGAAGACTTAATGAGTTTTTGCAGTAGTCTAAATTAATGTGAACCTGAAGGAATAGTGAGGAAGGAAATGGATTCAGCCTATGCTAAAGATGTGAACTGACAGAATTTGGGAAATCACTTAATGTGCAAGGAATGGGATAAGAGAAAGGGAGGAAATGACAAAAGGATGAGGACACTTACAGTTTGAGCCTGAATGAAAGAGGGATGGTGGTTCCATTAGCACAGTGGTTTTCAACCTTCCGTGTGCATGAGAATCTCCTGGAGGACTTGTTTAAACAGGTTTCTGGCTGGGCATGGTGGCTCACATCTGTAATCCCAGCATTTTGGGAGGCCGAGGCAGCAGATCACCTGAGGTCAGGAGTTCAAGACCAGCCTGGCCAACATGGTGAAACCCCTTCTCTACTAAAAATACAAAAAATATATAGCTGGGTGTGGTGGCACACACCTGTAATCTCAGCTACTTGGGAAGCTGAGGCAGGAGAATCACTTGAACCCGGGAGGCAGAGGTTGCAGTGAGCTGAGATCGTGCCATTGCACTCCAGCCTGGGCAACAAGAGCTAAACTCCATCTACGAAAGAAAGAAAAACACAGGTTTCTAAACCCCACCCCTCTGACTTTAAGAAGTTCCCAGGTGGTGCTGATGTTGCTGGTTCAGGGACCACACTTTGAGAACTACTCCGTGCAGAAATAGACAACACAGTAGGTGGGGAAGTATGGGAGAGGAGAGAGGTGTGTCTGGGTAAGGCCATGGTTTACCCATCATTTAGGTGTAGCTACATAGCAGACCACTGAAAATTCAATTAGAGATAGTGAATTTGGACATTACCACTGTACATGGACCCGTGTGATGGTCATATTGTCAAGTGAGAGGCTGAAGAGCCAAGGGCAAGTTACTCAGTGAGTCACTGTTGAGTAGACAGTCTTTTAAGAAGCCATCGGTTCACACCTGTAATCCCAGCACTTTGGGAGGCTGAGGCAGGTGGATCACCTGAGGTCTGGAGTTCACAACCAGCCTGGCCAACATAGTGAAACCCCATCTCTACTAAAAATAAAAAATTAGCCAGGCTTGGTGGCACATACCTGTAATCCCAACTACTCAGGAGGCTGAGGCACAATAATCGCTTGAACCCCGGAGGCAGAGGTTGCAGTGAGCCAAGATCATGCCACTACACTCCAGCCTGGGCGACAGAGTGAGAATCTTTCTCCAAAAAAAAGCCATCCGTGTGGGTGGGGTATGTAGGAAAAGCATGAGACTCTACCTGTCTTCTTTGAAGTTCTCATCCACACATGGTTCCAAGTAAAAAGCTTTTCTTGTGTATTTTTAATGTACCCCCAAACCTCTCCTCCTTTATTTTGGTTTCCTAATAGAGGAGCTAAGTTACAGATGAGAGCCTGAGTCTTAGAATATAAACTTCAAGCATCTGGTAAACTTTACTATTTTCTCTCTGCTTCATTAAAACTGGAGGAAAGATGTCAACTAGAACTTGGTTTATTCCTGTTTTGGTGGTAGGATAAAACAACAAAGATCTTAATATTGTTCATCTCCTATTAGAATATTAGCTAGTAAGGCAAGAAATTAGATGGGTAGCTGTATGTTGCACTTTTCTTTGATCGTGAGATCTCAAGGTAACAGGCAATGGGCATAGCATAGGGCAACGAATCCCACAGAGCTGTCCTAATAATGTATATCCTTCATGTCTTCAAAGTGATGCAATGTCAGCAGTTTCCATTTGAAGGCTAACCCTTTGTAGTGCCCTTCCCTATGTAAGTATTCAGTCTTGACAAAAGTGATTAAAATTTTGTTTTCCAATTTGTAAAAAATATTTTAAATGTAGACTATAGTATAGTACCTCTTAATTCAGCCTTCCCTAAATACAACAAATAAACTTTTTTTTCAGTGTTGCCTAAGTTGTGTTCTCAAAATGATAGTTCCTTGAGATGTTAATAGTTGTTCTTTGCAAAAGAAAAAGTGTGCTTAGTGTTCAATAAATCAAAGAAGTGCTGGGTTAAACAAAGGTAATCTGACTTCCTACTGGTAGACTTCTCAGAACTTTTAATATGGTAGGGTTGCTGTGACTCTCCAAGATTTAGAATCTCCTGGGCAGCATTTCCCAAATCTACTTGACCCGGAACCCTTCCTTTAAGGGAATATCTGTTAACATCCTGTAGGACACTGGTGTTCTCAGTTTGAGAAACATAATTTATCTTTGATTCTTAATTTCCTTTTAACAAAGGAAGCTAGCCAGTACAATGATGATTGACATCATATGCCCAGCATTTCTATAATTAATTATACATTGATTTAGGGACTACCAAGTAGACATAATAATGGTTTATCAGTTATTAAGTAAATTGTGGTAGATGGTCAGGACATTTGATTATCTCTGTCAAATTTGCTGGTTATCTTAAGGATGAGAAGTTCAAGGACCTTTGTAAATATGACTACTTTGGTTTTTGCACCAGCCTAGGTTACAGGACAATATTTAGGATGTTTTTGGGGGATTTCTTGGTAGTTCTTAAATATTTGTTTGTAAAATAGTTTCCTAAACTTGGCCCAAAGATATGATCATGACCATAATTGACTCATCTTTTTGATGTGGGAAATGGGGAGAAATGCTATAGCATGTCCTGGGAACAGGACATAAACCTGCCCAATCCCCTCTATCTTAAAAATCTAGTCAGTGATAATTAGTATTTTAGTAATATAAAACTCTCAGTATACTAAGGCAGAAAGTAGATTTTTTTGAAAGATTTTCAACCAACAACAATTGAAATAAAAATGCTTGCTTTCTTAACCAGTAATTCTATCACATAAGGACCATCTGTTTTCTTCTTTCAATATAACTGGAACTAAGTACTTTCCTGCTGAGATACATAGTCATGGAAAGGTATGTTGCCTCTTGGTGTGTTATACTGCTAGCATGAGATGATTTTTGTCACGCAGATAAACATTTCTAAAAATTACTATGTATTTTATATTAAAAATATACAAGCATTGGAAACCAGGATTTCAATGACTTCAATGCCTGGAATGATAAAGGAGTCAGTTTAAAGAAAAATACTCAATGAAAGAGATAATATAGGTCAGAGGAGAAAGAAACAGAGACTGAGGAGTCCTATAATCAACAAGATATGTTCTCAGATGAGAAAAACTTGAGCATTAGACTAAAATGAAACATAGAGGATTCCAGAGAGAAGCAAGGCTCTGGATGAGGCAGGAGAGCATGCAGAGACCAGCCTTGGGTGAGAAAGGGACACTCCCTCCACTAAGCCTGGAAGAGAACTAAGGATTAGTGTGAATGTGGGGGCAGGAGTTGAGTTGTCAAGCTGATGGCCTGAAATGAGCGCCTACTGCTGTTTCTTAATTGTCGTCATCATAATTGTAGTAGCTATTGCAGCTACTCCTGAATTAGCTGGACTAACTTGAAGTAAATCCATGTAATGATGCAAATTGACAACTGAGCTAGATGGCTCGAGGCTCAAAAGACAATGAGCTTTTGCACATATTTGGAAGCATAATGGTCTTTACTGATAAGGAAGAAAAGGAAAACATGATTTACTAATATCAAGAATGTAAGGGGGCTATGGTTGCGGATCCTGCTGACAATGAGGACAATTATATAACATATACTGACAGCAAAGAATATTATGAACTACTTTATGCTAATAATTAGAGGTAGTAAGGAGCCAGGAGCACACCATCTCTCCTCTCCCTTCTTTGAGGCACCTTGGGTTTGGGGTGTGGAGGAATACATAGTCTTCACCAGAGAGGGTTGTAGGAAAATGCAGTATTTTCGAGAAAGAACTACATTTCAATTAAAGCCTGGAAGTGGAGAGTATTCTTAGTAACTCAGAGGTGGAGAACATTCTGATTAAAAGATAAAGAGTTTGTAAAGAGAGAGTTTGTAAACTGGAATGAGACTTCCACAGGGCACAGTTGGAAAGGGTCAGGAGATATGTCACTATGGCCATCAGTGAGGACTTAATGAGGGTAAGAGACTAGGAGGCCACAGGAGGATGAAGTATGACCTGCTTTCAGTGTTACGTGAAAATGGTTCAAGGGACTGAGCCTTGAACTGGAGTGGAGCTCTTCCTGCTCATCAAAGGAGCGGGAGTGCAGAGACCTAATTCTGAAAGCTACCTAGGGTTTCTGAAAGCCAGAAGGAAGATGGTATCCTTGTGACTAGATGTGCAGTATCCTAATACTTCTGTTTGAAAGAAACACAGTAATCACCAATTTTAAGGGCTTATTTAGAACTGAGTGACTTGGGAGTTGAAGTAGACATCAACCTAAACAGGAAGAGAAAACAAAAGAAGAAAGAGATTTCACACCCAATGACCATGCAGGAACAGACATGAAAAAGAACTAATAAGAAGTCTCAGAAATGGAAAATACTGTCTTTGAAAAAAAAGTTCAGTAGATGAGATAAACCATAAACAAGACACATAGAGAAATAGTGAATTGAAGGCAGTGCTGAGAAATTCTCCCTGACTACAGCTCAAAGAAATTAAGAGAAAATATGAAAGCGCTATACTGTAGATTCGGTATTCTAACCAGTCTTTCCCCTGAAAGAAACTAAACATACTAAATAAAATATTTGAATTGTCTTTTTAAAAGCAAGGCTAAGCTAGAAAGAAAAGAAATAATTCACAAAAACTAAAACCAAAATGCAAATGAGAATCCTAAGCAATAAACCTGGCTTTTACCCTGAAGATATCTGGCAAATCTAGGTCATCTTGAACATGCTATTTGACAGCTCCATGCCACAGGCATTTGAGGACAGCCTAAGGTGAGGGTTCAAATTAGATCCTTTGCCCAAAGCTAGAACTTGCCAAAACTACAACATTGGCTAAAACTGGTAAGAAATCTGTCCCACAGAAGAGGACAGGCCTGGGTGCTGGCAGGAGGAAGACATTTTCCCCCGATAGTTACGATACCTATGAGATTCAAAAACTTAAATGGTCAATAAACATAGGAAAAAGGTGTTTGTTATCAGGGAAATACAAAATAAAACACAAGCAAAATAGCATTCTATGCCTATGAGACAACCAAAGAAAAGAGAAATTTAAGGCCCAGAATGCCAGCTGATGTCAGTGAGAATGTGGAGAAGCTGAAACTCTCATTTATTACTGGCTGGAACATAAATTAGTACAACTACTTTGAAAAGTAACCTGACAATCATTATCAAGCAAAACTGAAGATGTGTGTACCTTTCGACCAAGCAATTCCACTTCTAGGTCTCTTTGCTCTGGAGAAGTATGATTCATGTGCACAAGATGGTTTATACAAGAAAGCTTATTTTACAGAATGTTTATGATTACATAAAGTTGGGAACAACCCAAGGTTCATGATGAGAACATATAAAGACATTATGTGATAGCCGTGCAATGGAATACTATTGGGCAGTGAAAATAGATTAGCTAGATCTACATGTATTGATGTTAATAAATCTCAAAATCATGTTGCAGTAAAAGCAATCTGCAAAAACTGTACAATATACCAATTGCATAAATTGTGTGGACATACAAAACAATGCTGTATCTGTTGCCATTTATGGCTCTCTAAATAGGTAGTAGTAATATAAAATACTCATGTGAATATTAAGCACCAAATTTAGGGTAATGATTCCTTCTAGGGAGGGAAGAAAAGAGAAGAATAGGATCTAGGAAAGAGAAACCAAGGGATTTTATTGTATTTTAAAATAAAATTGTAATATTTTACTTCATAAAACATCTGAAGCAAATGTAGCAAAATATTAAGATTTGCTGTACCTTGGTCAGATTCACAGAAGTTTATTGTGTTATTGTCTATAATTTTCTGTATTTTTGAAGTGTCTCACAATATATTTAAATTGGGAGAGAGAAATCTATCATAGAAATGGAAGCCAAAAAAAAAAAAAAAAGACTGTTTCAGATTGAATTCTCACTGAGATGGAGTTTTACATGCAGAATACTTGTCAGGGATCAACACCTGTGGAGGAGAGGGGAAGGGAAAGCAGGATTAGGCAAGGGAGAATTCCAAATCAGGCTGACAAAGCCTTGGCCAAGGCCAAAGGGAGCAAATCTGGGCCTGGTCTTTATTTTCTTATCTTGATCAGTGCCTGAATGCAAGCTTCTCAGAGGGTGTGCCCATGGGCAAGGGGACTGTCTGCAGCCGAGACACCCCTGAAGGAGCTGATGACCACAGGCCACCTGCTGGCAGATGGGACAGCCAGCCTTTCCTTGGGCTTCCTTGGGCAGTGTAGCTCTGTCTACCAAATATGGCTCATCTGAAAGTGCAGCTTTATTTTCATCTATTCTCTTAATTCTCTCTCAAAGAATATTTATCAGTATACTTACTTGAGAGGAAGGAAGTAAATACAAAGAAAAGCTTTGTAACACAGGTGAACAGATTCCATTTTCATAGTATATTAGTAGCCTTGACTTTCTAAAGTCGTGTGGTATTGTTTGCTAGGCTCTACGAGGAAATTTTCATACACTAAATCACTGACAAGTGCTTTTAACATTAACTTTTTTCTTCTCACAAAAGAACAAATATAAGCTCCCCCTATAATTAAGATTCCCAATTTGGGATACTGATTTAAGAACCATTCTTCACATTTTTTGTTTAGAGGATAAAATATAAGAATTTTTAACTTCATAGATGATGTCTCTGCATCATCATCTTAATGAGCGTTATTTTGGAAATTATTAGATGTGTTTTCATATGACAGCATAATACTGTCCTCATCAGTCAGTCAAAGAGGCCAGTAGAGACTGAATTATCAAATATTGATATCCCACTCATACATCTTGGTGCCATTCACATGTGCGTGTGTTCAACTTGTATTCTTAGGAGGAATAGTAATAGTTTTGCAAGAAAGCATATTTTTTCTTTGTAAACATTTACAGGTGTTAAGTCACTTTTACAAATTCAGTGCTTTATAGCTTCTTGATATTCTGCTTTTGGCACTTTAATGAAGTACTACTTGTGAGAAGTTGTGGGCACGTAATAGGTTGAATGGTTTTGATAAAAGTAGCCAGTGATGTTCAGTATTATGGGCTCTGCATCCAGTAGGGATATAATGTGGACTTAATTCAGTCCATAAGAATGTTAAAGGAATTGCCCTACTTTTAAATAAAAAGTGTAGCTACATCATGCATGTATAGGCTTTCCTAGCAACTCAAGAACTGTAAATTGTTTCTGTGGGTACGTCAATCAAAGTTTCTAGTTGTAAGATACAGAAACTAACATGGCTAATTAAGCAGAAAAGGAATTCATTAAGGGATTATTAGTGAATTCCCACATTTGTTACAGGTACTGGAGAACAAGACTTGAGACTAAGATTCCAGGAACGGTGTCCAAATTTGTGCCACAATGTTGATCAGATAAAGAAACTATTGTTATAGCCACCAAACACACAGAATTGTGTATGGAGGTTGTTTCCATGTCAGGATCTTGACCTTGAGACCTAATGCAGGAAGCACAGCAAGAAGGCAATAGAGAGAGAAAACAAGTGTCCTCTTTGCTGGAGTCAGAGTCTCAGTGTCAGCACCTGCATCACAACCTGGCATGAGTGTACTTTCTTGGCAGAGCCAAAGTCACCCGTTCTGCTTTTGAGGGAAGGAATTATGAGAAATTCCAACTTCTGCCTTCAAGCAGGAACTTTCCCAGCCATTTCCTTGAAAGGTTGTTTACAAGGTCACAGGCAGCCACAAACATGATAAAAATTCATTCCTGTACAATGGAATTTGTTTCTATGAATGGAATTTTTTTTCTATGTTCTTATTTGCAATGTATCTTCATACCATACTGTACCTGATATGGTAACTTTTGCCCATCCCAAAATGAGGACAGTACTCCAGCCCTCAATCCCTAGTAGCCACTGAACTCAGAGGACGAAGGTATTGTGATGGCTTGGGGAATATTTTGGGATTCCTGAGTAGTCTTTTCCTGGCCCAGCTTGATACAACCAGGCAGTCTTGTGGGAAAAGATGCATATAATGACAAGTGAGTAAATGAAGTGAACAAATAGAAGTCTATAACAAAAAAAACAAAATGATGCTGTTTAAGAGCAAAGAAAGAGTAAGTGTGAGGTAAGCATAATAGTATTTTCAAATTGGTTATCTTAGCCTGGTACTGAATGCTGAACAATTTATGTCTATCTAGTCTTTTGTTACTGAACATTTATTAAGAGCCTAGGAATTGTTAGGCAGAGGCAGGCATTGTCCCACTTACCGATTATGATCATATTGTACAGCATTATTGAGCCAGCTATTATTCATCTAGGCCCTGTCCAATACTGCCACACCAGTTGGGATCATTAGGAAAGGATTCTCAGTATCAGAAGATGGTAAGGAGTTTAGGGACTGTTTCTTAAAAATTATTCCAAGAATAGCTTGTGGAATTTGCAGAGCCAGTACTGTCAAGCAATTACATGTTTGCCTGATTTCACAGGGAGTTCATATACTTTTCAATTAAAATTTTTAATGGCAAACGAATGTATACATATAATCATAAATAATATTTTAGGTTGTTTTATTTCTGAATAGTTTCTAGATTTAATACTCATATGTCTGGTATTTTGAACTAGCAGTCATCAAATTAAACTACTTACAGTTCAGCATTTGCTTTGAATAGACTTGTGAGGAGACAGTATGGCACAGGGGAGCTTGAGATGCTATTTGTAGCTTAAAACCTTTGGAATGTACTTGATCTTTAGATATTTTATAACATGACATGTTTTCTACTTACTAAAATCCCATCAAGCTAACAATGAGAGAAATACAAATAAAGTTAAAACATTCTCTCCTTTCATAGAACTTGTTTGCCTTCACTTTGCAGCATAGATTCAAGAATATAATTTCTGTAGACTATCTTCCAGCTTTTGAATATATTTTAAATTCTATGTTATGGCTTAGTCTTTTTCACTTCTTGTGTTCCTTCTCTCCTTTGCACAGTGGCACATGATTGCTTTTGGACATAGCAAATTTTTGTTGGTTATATTATAGATAAATACGGCAAGACTTTTTCTGTGGCATTGGAATCATTTTTTTTCTTAATTAAAAGACTATATCAAACATGGTAAAGTGATTCTGATCACGGGGATTTATATTTTTTTAAACTATGCTGACATATAGTATAAGAAATATAAAAACTAGCCATTGTTTGCTGTGTCTCTGATGTAGATACATTAAGTAAGGTCTCTGGAAGCCTTAACTTTAGTAAGGCACTGTAGCAGAAGTACTGTTTGAAGACCTCAGAACCAAAATCAGAAAAGGCAAATAAAGATCTACATGGTTTTTATGCCAAATAAAGGCTGATATTCTATTGCCTTTAGATTTGAAAAAGCTAGGAATCAATAGGTCATTTATTTCATCCAAAAATTGCATTTCACAAAGCCACACCATAGCTTTATGTTATGGGTACGTTCCTATGTTTCCTGTGACATACATTAATTCATATATCTGCCTGAGCAGCATACCTTGGCGCCTTATATGCCTTTTATTTTCTTGAATCACAGGAGCTTCAGTTTCAGCGACTCACCCGAGAACTGGAAGTGGAAAGGCAGATTGTTGCCAGTCAGCTAGAAAGATGTAGGCTTGGAGCAGAATCACCAAGCATCGCCAGCACCAGGTACAGGGCCAATGGCTCCATCTTTATGCACACTCAAGTTACATGCCTTACTAGGTTGTTCTCTATGCAGCAAAAGATTCTGTTAGTGTTGTTACTGTTAACTTGCCTTCCAGAATTTGAAACCAAAAATGTCCATTTATTCTAATTTTGAGAAGCCTCTTGCAATCCCTCAGTCCTGTGCTTGAAATGTTTTCTATAGCATTGGCAAGCTTCTGTAGCAAAAGCTACTGTGCTGCCTTCAGATTCCTCATATGTACACACAGTTAATGGGTGTTGTCGTGATTAATTGCTAATTATTTGGTAAAGTTAATTGGCTGGTGCTTTGAACACCTGGTATTGATTTTTTTAAAACTAAGAAATATTTCTAAATAAGATTGCATTAACTTTAAAAATGTCTTCAATTTACTTTGGGTTTTTCTAGAACTCTATGAATCTACCACACAAACTAATTACTATATGGAATAATTTACTGTACTCACATACAGTAAATACTAAATGAGTGCATTACTGTAAAAACATAATCATGATTGTTATTTTTTATTTAAGTACCTCTTATGCTATTTAAAAGCATAATTCCTGTAAAAATTACATGTTCCGAATAGTTAAATCACTGCTTATCCTATCTATAGATTTCTTTCTTAATAATTACATATTTCTGTAAAGCCTACTGTAAAATGCTTTCATTGCTTGCAGTTTTAAGTTTGATCTGCTTACACTTAGGTAGACATGCCTGCAATAACTTTTCTCTCAGTTATTTCTAACCTCATAATTATTCTACTTTTCAGTATCTTGTGTTACTCATGGGCAAAAAAACTTCTTAGTGAATAGAATTCTGTCTGTTGTTTCTGATTGTTGGTATGAACATTAAACTATTGGGCTGGTAAGTTGTAGTAATATGAATTTTTCATCTCTCTTAACAGTTGTGTATATTGATATGTTTGGTAAGGCATAAAGTATATAAATAAAGGTCGTCAAAACTTTTACAAAACAAATATAAGATTATGTAATTATTTTATAAATATCCAGGAAGGTTTTTATAGAAAGAGAATTATAAGCAAGGTATAAAATAATAAATTAGAAATTTCTAACTCAGACTTTGCAATACCCAATGAAATAATTCGTTAAGTTAAAACTGTGAAAACAAAAATTAGCTTTAATTCTCTATAATATTTTTTAGAAATTATCCGTATCTTTAGCACCAAAAAGAACAACTCACAAACTCAATAATATGGTATTATATATTTCTAAAAGGTATGAACCAACTGGTTTTGTTTTTCTAACCAGAATTATATTTTAATAGAAAAGTAATTCAACATTTAACAGAATTCTGTTAGTACTTCTTATTCTGGCAATATTACTAACTAAATTAAAATAGAAATTCTCTTGATAAACTCCTAGTAATACTTGGTATATCAATAATAAAGACCAATACCTAGAGGAAATGGCACAAGAGGAGGGAAAATCCCCAGATATTGAAACTAGAAAGAGCACTGAAAACCAGAGCCAGAAGCTTGAGCTACCTCTGTAGGAGATGTGAGAACAGTTGTCAAACCTCAAAGTAAGCACTAGAGGTGGATTTTATACCCATAGAGGAGCTAAAGAATGAAGTTTTGTGTGTGCTCAAGATGGTATGTTTGAACTTAACATCACTGCACTAAGCCATGTCCTTTAAAGGACCCCATGATTAGCAAACCCCAGGCTTCTATCATATGTGGGTTTGGAGCCCAAATGTAACTATCCACATTGCTCAGGAGTCCCCAGTGAGAAAATGGCACCACTAAAGATGAGCTCACAGTGAGATAGTATAAAACACAAATTTATGAATGACATCAGCAAGATGACAGAATAGGACTTGTCAGTGCCCATCCTCTCACAGAAACTTCAATTTGAACAACCATTCACACACACAAATACCTTCACTAGAGCTAAGGAATCCAGACGAGAGATTACAGCACCTGAATGTAGCACAGAAATAAGAAAAGATGTATTGAAGAGGGTAGGAAGGACAGTTTCACACTGTGCTTTGTTCGTCATGTATTTCCAAATTAGTTCTGATTTTGTAAAAAAAAAAAAAAAGCATTGAATTACATATCATAAAAAAACTTGACCATGAGTGAGAGAATCAGTGAGCAAAAGAGTAGGGTTTCACAGTCCAAGAACTGGATACCATTGGAGGAAGTCTGACAGGTGTGCACAGTAAAACAGATACAAAGCATGCTCATTGCAGCACCATTTGCAAAAGTAAAAAATTACAAAGAACATACTTATTCCTTAGAATGGAAATGGAAAATAAACTGTTAATAGGTACACTCTAAAGCAGTTAAAATGAAACTCTAGAGCAGTTAAAATGAAATAACTAGATCTACATGTATCAACATGGACATGTTTGCAAAACAGACTTGAAAAGCTGTAAGTTGCAGAAGAATAGCTGTAGGAGGATATAATCTATGAGCAATTTAAAATATATATATATAGCTATATATATATTGCTATATATATAGCAATACTGCATAATAATTAAATAGTACTTGGTATTGTTTGTCAGTGTGTGCATGTGGAGTAAAATTATAAAATATTTTGGAATGACACCAATTTAAGATAGTGGAACCTCTAGAAAGGAAGAAAGGAGGACGATACTAGGAATTAGGCTTTTGCAGAATCTGTAGCATTTTATTCAAGAGCCATCTGGAGCAAATATAACAAAATGTTAACAACTGTTAAATGAGGGAGTGGTTGATATATGCATGGCTATTAGATTATGTTCTGGACTTGTGAATTTTAAAATGTTAAATAATTTTAAGGCTATATCGTTCATTGGCTGGTTCCATATGTTTTTTTAAAATCTCTAAGTAAAGTACATATTGTGGGTAGTAGTTTCTGTCAGTGACTTTTTTTGTGGTTCCTGTCTGGTTCTCAGTGCCTGGCATTTGTGCCTGGCAAGTGACTGTGGCACCACCAGTGAATGTCGGGTGAATGAATGGGTCATGCAGAAATGGGAGTGGGGTTGACCAGGGAAAGGAGGAAAATGTGCACAAATGCATATATGGCCCCACAAACAGTTGTCCCGAGCAGTAAGAGGCTCAGTGTCTAGGATATGTCCTAAAAGGACCTACTGGCTTATGAAATTGGAAAGGTGAAGCTGGCATTTAATTGTGAAGAACTTTATTAGATCTTTAAAGGAGACCAACTGAAAGTTGTTATTGGTGGTGGTGATGGTGATTAGAAGTTTTCCTTTTTTGAGAGTGCAGTGTGTAAAACAGAATAAAGAGGCCAGGCAGCCAGATAGGAATCTATTATGAAATTTTAAGGGTTATGAGTAAGGTGGGTTTCTTCATTCAGTGATCTCTGAGCTGTGGTTGGAATGGTAATTGATCTACTTGGATTGCCCTACTTTCTTCTCATGTTGAATTCCCATGTATTCTTGATGTCCCAACTAAATGCTTACCCTTCTTTACAACCTTTCTCAAGTTTCTCAGGAAAAGTCACCTCCCTCATCTGAATTCCCATCACTGTTTCCCTGTGCATGTTAGCTGCTCAACAGGTAGTAAGGCTCATTCCACCCCCATGGCCCTGGCACAGAGCCTGGCGCTCAGCAAGTGGGCACCCAGCCAAATGATCATTGAATGGATAATGAACCTTAAGTCCAGGATGCTTCGGGCACATCATGTAAAGGTGCTTTGCCATTAGGGGAGCTAAAGTTTTTTATTGTGTCACTTGAGAGATCCCCCTTGCATCTCCAGTGTGTTTCAATTGTCAGTCTTGGAACCAGAATCTAAGTGATACAGAGAAGAACAGAAATTAGCTCTTAGACCCAGGCCCCCTTTCCGGTATGCCATTTCCGATTTGCTAAAAAATAACAATTAAAAGTGGAATTGTTGCTTTGGGCCATCAAGCTTCTGTTTGATTCAGTTCGTTCTTGCATGAAATGAGTTTAATCAGCAAACTGGGGGATTTGATCACCAGTTACCTTTCATACTGTTTGATTTGGATCCTGTGGCAGAGTTGGTAAGGTGATCTGTAAGATTTTCTTACTTTTCCTGGTCCAAAGATGACACTAATGACTCAAAGGAAAACGAAAAGCATTTGTTTTTATTTACCTTTTCACCCATCCAAAGTTTTTGTCATTATTGGCCTCACCCTGTGAAGAAGGACGTGGCAGTGGCATGAGGTTCTGTTTAATACCTGTTTAATGACGCTTATGCTGTGATAAACAAACTGTGGAATCCTCTTCCCCGAATGGGTGGCTCTAATAGTGAGTAGTTCGGTTCCCTCACACTTGTAGGATCAAAGATTCATTTTTAACCCATGCCAGAAGATGTTTCCATTTTATAGGTAGAAACTAGTCCTCTGCATATATTTCCACCTATCAGGAAATGTCCCAAAAAGGTGAACTGCATAATAATCATTGGCAGTTTATTTGCAGTATGCCTTCTTGAGAACATTTTGAAAATCTTAAGATAAAATTCCTTAGTTTTTCTATTAATGACTCTTTAGAATTAGTAGTCTTCCAAACAAGGTAAAAACCTCATTTCTGATGACTTTTCCATTGGTTTTATTTACTTCTTAAAAATTAATAAAACTAGCACTATCAATATATTATAATGAACTTTCATCTGAAGTTGATGAAGTCTGTATCAAGAGATGATATATCAGACCAGAAATAATCGCTGCAACCTTGAAAAGCCCTGAAGGTGGGTTATGGCCTCATTTAATAGAGCAGTTGTAGCCTTTCTTCATTTGTACCAAGTACACTAAAGTTATCTATGCAGGTAATATTATCTGTGTATTTAATATTTTACTCATTGAAGTTTGGTTTTGGAATGAATTAATAAAGAAGTTATGGTTTGTCTGCATTTATATTGAGTAGCATATAGTTATATTTCACCTCATTGAAAGGAACCAGTTAATTAGGGAAGAAAAAACTTTTCTGCATTTGTTCTGAATATGCTATAGTTACTTATGCATTCAATATTTCACCTCATCCAAAAGTATTTGAAACACCTTTCAAAATACAAAAATTAAAAGTTGGGAAATTAGGGCAAAAAGAAGATAAAATTTAGAAAAATAAGATGAAGCCAAGTTTAAACTAGTACACAAAATGTGTGTTGTAACCTTCCATGCCACATTCACTCTGAGTGACCTAATAGCCATGGTAAAGACAAAAACGCTAATGAATTCCACAATTCATGTGTCTGTAAGAGAAAAACAAACTAGGTTGCTCAGGAAGATCCACCATTCCTGGGGCTGAGGCTTAAGTGGTTTCTCCCGTGTGTCCCCATTAACATACTGCTGTATGATGAGGCAAGCAGTGTCCTCAGTGGTCTCTTTCCAGTAAATTACAAAAACAAGCTCATAGGGCTCTTTCTTCCATTGTTAAATGGAATATAAATGGATGGAATAGCACCTTAACTAAGAGTAATTTTCCACGGGGCCAAGTCTGACACTACAGCTTGGCTCCAGGATAATACTTAGCATATGTAGATGGATGAATCAATTTTAGGTCCACTAAGCAGGCAGCCTACCATGACTATTTCTGTCTGTAGAGCCTTTTAGAGTCATGGATGGCAATGAGTGCTGAGATGTGAGATGGCTTGTGTTGCTTGTCATTGTGCAGGTGCATAGTGTATACATCTTAGCAACAGAAATGACTCCCAGGGGATGCTGGGGTATGTACAGCTCATCTCAGGAAATCTCACAGCATAGAATCTTCAGAGGGAAATATGTCCTTTAAGTCTCATGTCTCCCACGGGCTAAGCAACATCCTTCAAATCCAACTTTTGATGAGCATGGGACTTGTTCTTTTATTCCCTGCAATATCATTGATGGGGTATCATTTTCACATTAGTTGGGTTGAGATTTCACTGGATACAGTGAGAGTAAAAGGGTCCAATAGCCC
This sequence comes from Homo sapiens, assembly GCF_000001405.40. Classification (NCBI taxonomy): domain Eukaryota; kingdom Metazoa; phylum Chordata; class Mammalia; order Primates; family Hominidae; genus Homo; species Homo sapiens. Next base: position 158,583,280 of record NC_000002.12, read on the forward strand.
ACATTGCAGGGCCCACTTAGATTCTGTACCTATCTACTCCTCCCTAGGACTTCCCCTTATGCCTCCACTCCAAGGACACTGAAGCAGGCAATGGTGTAGATAAGACCGTATTCTTACTCCGTATTTTATTGATTGTGGAGTTAAATGGCATTCCTTTTAGACAAGTTGTAAAGGTCAGGAAAGTATAAAGAGAAAAATTCCTGAATCTATCATTCAGAGATAACTACTATACATTTTAAGTCAACTTTATTGAAGTGTGATTCACTTACCGTAAAATTCAACCCTTTGTAGTGTAGTTTTACAATCCTTTACTAGCACTTTTGGTATACAGTTGTGTGACGACCACCACCACTACAGCTGACATATAGAACATTTTCATGAACCCCCCTAAAAAGAGGCAACCACTTTTAAAAGTTTGCTGTATTTCTTTCTCTTAAAAAAATTTATTTTTTAATTTAATTTTGAGGTAATTCCCCACAGGTGACTTTTTATCTTGTTCCTAAAGTCCCACTTTGGTATGCCAGGGTATTCTTTAAACAATCTTTTTTTAATGTTTTGTTTGTTTGTTTCTTATATTTTTATATTTTCTGATTTTTTTTAATAAACCTTTGTGTCGAGGGCAGACTTTCAATAGATCACAGCGAGGGAGCTGCTCCACTACATACGAAATCCAACCCAGAAACAGGTCGTCTACAAATGGTTTAGCGCCAGGTTCCCAACAAGCGTTACATGACGGGTAAGGGGGAAGCCGCCTTTCTGGCCGCATTCCGTTTCCCAGGACCAGGGGCTCTCTGCACTGGGGTCCCAGCGCACGTCCAAGTGGCCTGCTGGCGGGGACCCAGTGATTCGAGGCCAACTGAGGCTCCGGCTCCGAGGCCAACCGAGGGTCTGTGGCCCTGCTGTATGGTTCTGCCTGGGCGGTATTCTGACTTAGAGGTGTTTAGTCATAATCCCACAGATGGCAGCTTTGCCCCATTGGCTCCTCAGCCAAGCACGTACACCAAATTTAATGGTTTCCACGTGCCAGCGGAATTCCCAAGTGCTGAATACCTTGGGGCCTAGGGATGCTAACTTAGTAGGTTAGGGACCAGTGCAGCCTTCCAATGGCAAGCGCATTCTAGTGGAAGACTCGGCCAGGAGAAATACTGCAAGATAAATTCACCGTTCCAGTAGGCATTGTACGATCTGTGTTCACATTTCACGCAAGCAGAGAAGTTACACTAGTGGTTCAGCTTCTTGTGTAGCAAAACTGGAAGGATAGGCCAGGCACAGTGGCTCATGCCTTTAGTCCTAGCACTTTGGGAGTCCTAAGCAGGAGGATCACTTGAGGCCAGGAGTTTGAAACTAGCCTGGCCAACATAGTGAGACCCTGTCTCTACAAAAAATTTAAACAATAAAAACTAGAAGGATTAAAAGTATATAGTTAGAATTGAAGATTTCATAAATGAAATATGATCATCTTAGAATTCTAGAAACTATCCCTGAAATTTTATAGTAAAGAATTTCAAAACTATAACTGTTCTTGACAACAGACTTGGAATGTTACTATTTCCCAGAAACTCATCTTGGTTATCTATTCTTTGTTTTTTATTTACTTCTCGATAAATTGTAAACAGTGAAAGAGAAAGTTTATTTCTTTGTACATCATAAATTGGTTCCAAGTATTTGATTTTACAAATCGTAGTTTGTCTCCTGACTAAAACAAAGCCCTAAGTTTTTATTTATATTGAAGTAAAAAATATATATTTAAAAATTGGGCCTTTTAATAATTGTAGAAAACATTAATGGCAACTTTTGGAAGTAAAGCACAGTTTAGATTTTCATTTTCGCTTTTTGCAAATGATTTTGAAATTTGATTATCCTGTTCAGAAGCATTTGGTCCCTTCACATTGTTCATTCTTTGGCTGGCTGCTGCTGGTATTAGGAAAATGGGTGGCAATGTTGAAGTTAAATAACTTCAAAGTCTTCCCAAGATTATCTCCCCTTTTTCAGTTAGTTTAAAGCCCTGCTAAAATAGAATTCTTTCTGATTTCAAAAAGGTCATACAGTTTTGACAAATAGTGTTCTTACTACCACTTAAGAAAAGAACTGGTTTATTTTAATGAAAATATTTGATTCCCCACTGCCATTCAGATTTTTTATTTTTTACACTTGATCGAGTCATCTGCAGATGCCCATCAGGTTTCGATTGATATTACTAAAAATCCTAAAAATGTTTTAGAGCTGACAGCAGCATAAAAGACCTTTTTGTGGTTCAAATCTTTTCTTCAGTGAATATTTTTAAGTCAATGAGAAATCAACCTCTTCAAATAATGTATTCTTTAGAAAATGAAGAATCTTTGAATAGATTGAATGTTTGTGCTTTAACAGTTTATTACTTATTTAATATACCACTTCAGGAGGATGTTTGAGAAAGCTCTGTCCCTTTGACCTTCAGTGCTCTCACCAGGCAAAACCTGAGAGTGCTTTTTATAAAATAACTATTTTATTGGGATACATTTCACATACCATAAAATCCATACTTTTGAAGTGTACAATTCAGTGTTTTTAAGTATATTCAGAGTTGTGCAACCATCACCACTACTTAATTTTAAAACATTTTTATCATTCCAAAAAAAAAAAAAAAACCCTCTAGCCTCCCCCTTTTTTCCTTTTCCCTGTCCTCAGAGAACCACACTAATCTACACTCTGTATCTATGGATTTGCCTATTCTCAACATTTCTAATAAATTATATCATTACAATTTGTGGTCTTTTGTGTCTGGCATTTTTCACTTTGCATGAAATTTTCAAGGTTCCTCCATGTTGTGGCATGTATTGGTACTTCATCTTTTTTTATTTCCAAATAATATTCCATCATGTAGATATGCCACATTTTATTTATTAGGCATCAGTTGTACATTTGGGTTGTTTTCACTTTTTGGCTCTTATGAATAGTGCTGCTGAGTATTGTATTTTAAGAGGGAAAAATATCAAGAGCTTTGCTCTAGACATTCTTAAGTTGGGAGAGGTGGGAGCAAAGGGAGATTCCCCTTGGCCTGTCCACCCATCCTCCCAGTCTGTCATGTGGGCTTGCCTCCTTTCCTTTCTCCTTTGCTTCTTCTTTTAATAAATGCTTGTTTATTGGTGGGTTAGTTGTCTGTAATTATTTAGTTTTAATTTTTTAGTGTATTTGGTCACTAGTGACTCTCTTAATGGTCAAATATTCTAAAGCTCCCTAACTTCATTTCTAATTCAGACTAAATGAAGAATAAACTGTTTAATATCTGAATATAATTACCGGAAACCCTCGGGATCTCTATGGTGAATATTTATTAAATTGATGCTCTTACGAGCAAATTTGGTAACACTGCATTTTTGTGATGCAACTCCTATTGTAAACACAGTAAAGAGTTCCACATCTGAAAGATACCAAATGAGTCAAAGCTGACCTGCAGCTCTACAGAAGTTGTTTATCTAGAGCAGTTTGCTCAACCACAGTTCTTCCAGAAGGCATTTTTAATTATGATATCTCATTGCCATTCCAGTCACAAGCCAGTTTCAACTGGGACATACAAATCCAAATGACAAGTATCTCTACACATGTGAATTAAACTAGTATAACTGAGTCTTGCCTAGGACATGTGACCCCAAGGTATTTCAACCAGTATTGCAGTAAGCTAACGTATTTTAAGCTAAAAATGTCACCATGAAGAATTTTAAACAATATATCTTTTATGAGTAATAGAATCTTTTTTGAACCTAGAATGTTTTAATCACAGCAAATAAGTATTCCAAAATAAATTACCTGTCTCTTAGACTGAGCATTTTAAATGTTAAATGGATAATGCAGTTAGGAAGAACCACAAAAAAGATCAGGTTAATAGCATAAATGTTTCAGATTATTTTAAGACTATTTTAATATATGTGGTTAAAATGGAGGCACCTCAGCTGTATTAATTTTTCTAATACTTTTAAAAATTCAGAGGCCCATACATCTAAAATATGTATATCATGCCATTATTTAATCATCTTTTAAAGAACAATTTTAGTTAAAACAGTATTTCATTTTCTGTAATTTTTCATAGTTTGCTTTCTGTAATTATATTATTAAATTATTTAACAGTATTGAATTATTGAATCAAAATAAGAATTATAATATTAGCCCTTACCCTTCATCATTAGAGTTTTTGAAATTATGTGTACATATTGATAAAGTACTTTAATAGGTTATACAGGATATTTCAAGATGCTTGAACAGATTTGCCTTCGCTGCTTTATAGGAGTTAGTAATTACATTTACCATCTCATAAAAGCAACAATGCTCTTAAATCCTGTATTTTCTTATTACTATTATTATTTTCCCCTTATCTGGGTTTTAAAATCTTCTTTATTTTGAGAAATGTTAAAAATTGTAAATGCAGAGAATAAAATGGAAATGTTAAGTACTCACATCCTGTAATTAAAAATTATTAAAAATTCATTTTTTATAAAAAATATTGAACATAAAATTCAAGTCCCCTTTGCCACATTTTCTCTTCCCCATAGCTAACCACTAGTATGTAATGTTTCAATTGACTTTGTATACTTTTATGTCAATACATATACAGTACTTATATATTATATACATATATATTAACACCTGTGTAACCAATATTTTGTGTTGCTTTTTTTTTTTACATCAAAGATTGTAGGTGTAGTTTATGTGCCATTGTACACCTTGATTTTTTCCATTTGAGATCCAGCCACATTGAAATGTGTAAATCTAGTTCATTCTTTTAACTGCTCTTGTATATTTATATCATAGACATTAAACTGTTTAGCCATTCCATTGTTGAAGTTTTACAATATTGTAAGTGAACATTTTTGAACATATATCCTGGTTCACATGTGTAAGATTCTGGAAAATATATAATGAGAAGTAGACTATTTGGATCATAATGAATGTACATTTTTAATTTTTCTAGATCTTGCTGGTTTGAAGCAGCTTTCTGAAGTAGCTCAACAGTTGCCACCCCCTTGAGCAGTGTAAAAAAGTTCCCGGTTCATTTTCTCTTGCTTGCTTGCTTTCTTTCCTTCTTTCTTTCTGCCAATATTTAATATTGAACAGGCTCTTTAATTTTTGCCAAACTAACGTTATCTCATTTAACTTTGCATTTTCTCAATTACTGTTGGGGTTGAATATGTTTTCATATGCTATGGTCCATTTGAGTGTCCTCCGGCTGTTGATGTTGTTTGCTCATTTTTCTAATGAGTAATTTGGCTTGTTATTTTTGGTTCTATCATTAGTTTTTTAAAGCTAAAATAACTCTGGGATATATTTCTTAAAATAGTACAGATCCTAGTACATTGTAGAACAAAGTACACCATATTGATCTATTTTAAGAATATGAACATTAGTACAGTGACACGTATGTGGAAGAAATAACTTTCTTTCTACCTATAATATAATAATAAATCTCAAATTATCCAAACCTGCCACTTAGGGTAGGTGAAGGCCCAACTAATATTACTCTCAGTTTCTATTTCCATATTTTCTTTAGTGACTCTGCATTTATTTTTTTCTGCAAATATTTATGATGTCTTTTCTAAATTCATTCACTAAATACTTAGCTTTTCCTGTTTTCTAGAGCTACAAAGAGACAAGCTTAGAAATTTGCCTTCTATCAGCAAGAGACCATTGTGCGTAACTAAACCAGGTGATGAAGTGTCTTCCTAGCAGCATAAAATGTATGCCTGTATTTTATTATTTTTAGTTTTGTGAAGAATGCTGTTGATGAGGTTGCACTGGTTCTCCTAGCTCTGTCCCAGGATGCCTTACCTTGGTATCTTTGATTATCATATCCTTTGGTAAAAATCCCTTTCTATAATTATAGTGTAGGAAAGAGAATAGCAGCAGTTGAACACCTATTATGTAATTTGCAGTTTGATAGTAAATGTCTCGTGCATGTTATCCTCTTACTCTTCAGTAGCATTTCATTTTTGGTCTTGGCGGTGGTGGTGTGTTTTGCTTTGATTTGGTTTTATTTATTGTACACCTGAATCTAACATGAGGCTGACATTTTCCCCTAAAGATAGTGTTTTTCTCTTGCTTTACCATTGGAGTGTCAAGGGGGTGGGAAGACTTCAGTACTCCATTTACCTCCTTCTTGCCACTGCACCCCTCCAAACACATGCTATCTAGGTAAAAGTTGTGTTGGCTGTACCGAGGCATCTGTGAGAGTCCTCGTCTCCAGCCCCACCTCCACTACCACTATTTTGTCTCTCCTATCTGGAAACTCTGAAGCGCTTGATATTTCTATTCCTGGTCTTTCACAAACATGTACAAGAGGTCATATAAATGTTAATTCAACAACTCTAGGAAACAACCTTTAAAAATATATTGTCTGTTGCCACTAATGTACTTAGCGCAGTTAACTATTTTAGGGGGAAATTTTTTGTAATTCCTTCATCTAATCACTTTAATATTCATGATGAAATAAAGGAAGGTTGGTAGTAAACTCTCATTCTCATTACCATTTGGCAGGTTAAGGACATAGAGCAACAAGAGCAATATGTGTGATGTTTCCTTAACCCTTCAAAGAACTACCCTAGACAGCTCTAATCCAGTGATGTATGGGAAAGGAAACTGAAAATGTGATTATCTACCTAAAAGTGAGGGCCATCCACTAGTGCGTTTTCAGCAGTTAATCAGCTTGTCGTAAAAATGTACATGGCATGTCTGCCTAGGGATGGGGGTGGGGGACAAACATGACAAGTTTGCCAGACTTTATATTGTCTGAATTGTTATTATAGTTATCTTCCCTGAGGCTTCACAATGTATTTAATAAGAAATCAATATAATCTGTTTTTGCATAGATTTTTCTATGCTGCTGTTGTGTTACTCCACAATTAAATAGGAGAAAAACACTCTAAAACTGAAGCAGGAAAAAGTGTGTAGACTACAGATTTTCACAGCTAAAAAAACTCCCATTAAATACCTACACATTTTAACCACTGTCAAATGTTTGGTTTGCATTAATAGACTGCTTATAATCCAAGGAGGAATGTCTTGAGTGTGTGTGTGTGTGTGTGTGTGTGTGTGTGTGTGTGTGTGTGTGTATTGTGTATTTCTTCTAGACTTTTTTTTTTTTTTGGAGAAAAATAATAGCCAGTTATTTTAGGATCCTATGATGTGTAGTCTTTGCTTCAGTCCAAGTCAATTAAAGATTGATCTACTTCCCAGATTTAGTTACATTATCAATAATGGGGCTATTTCAGCCACAGAGAAAATTCAAGTAAAATTATCAACCATAATACAAGAACTAATGCTTACAAAGTACAAAATGCAAAAGTGTATCTGTTTTCTGAACAACATTAGCAAATGTCTTTCAGTAAAGACATTTGTAAATGACAACTGAAATAGTATTATATCATAAATGAACATGAAACAAAGGGAGAAATTATATTACTGAATGAAGTAGTTTAATCAGAATAAGTCTAGAAGTTAACTTGGTAGAACTTCGCAACCACTAACAAAATAGTGACAAACCAATGATCACCAATGGCCACTAAAATCATCAGCTGGAAAGGTAGTGAGAAGTTTTACAATGAATGGATCAGGCTGACAGGACATGAACCCACTTATCTATCTTATGTTAATATCACAGAAAGGGAGACAGCCAGAAATCACAGTCACCTGATACGATGCAATGAGAAGTATGTAACGTCACCCATGACATGTTCTTGCCCTAAAATTATTTAAGCATCTAGATATTAATATCAGTTTATGGGGAATACAGGAGACAGAGGAACATGTCAGTTGATACTGTACTGATACATTCATTAGAACCAGGCTAAAATTCTACAGAGCAAATGAAATTATTTCAAATAGGAAAAAGAAGAGAGGGGGAGGTAAAACTATATATCAGAAGATTTTTAGAGACATAGCAACCAAATGTAACATATGGACCTTGTTTTGGTCCTGATTTAAACCACCCAACTGTTTTTAAATTGAAACAGGGAATATGAATACTGACTAGATACTTGTTGATACTAAAAATTTTAATGTTAATTTTTGGTGTAATAATATTGTGGTTATGTTATTTTTTAAAGTATCTATATTTAGAGATACATTTCAAGTATTTATTACTGAAGTAATAAGATGTCTTGAGTTTGCTTCAAAATAATCCAGTAATGTAGAGAATATAATGTAGAATAAAGATGTCAATGAAATAAGTTTGGCCACATGTTCATTTTCTTGTTGAAGCTGGGTAATAAATACAAAGAGTGTTTGTTATACTGTTTTTTATTGTATATATTTTAAATGTTGCATAACAGTTTTTAAAATGTTAGGTGATTCAGATCTTAATTTTCTGACTGAAATTGCATTTTAAAAATTAACCATAATTTCAATGTTTATAAGATTAGTATGGTTATATTTCTTACAATCTGAGTAATAAATATTCTTTTTGAAAATTTAAATAAATGTCATTTATTAGCTCTAACTTTTACCATTTAGAGATTATAAATTTACATAATATGTTCCACATACCATGTAATACCTTTCCTATCAATGATGTTCACTCATGGCAATGAATGGGACAGGGAGAAAAAAGAGGGAAAGAAAGATTAAGTTAGTCAGCCTCTCCTCTGTTATGTTGTAAATTGTCATTTCTTTTTGGATTCATGTTTCTTAAAAGAAACCTGGACATTAAAGCTAGAAATTTAAGGCAGTCTTGACCAACCACTTACCTTTTCTGTTTGCCTTGAAGGGTACCTGTTCAACTCCTGATCAGTGTTTATGGATCACACACTGTTTATCAAGAATGCTGTTTTAAGAGACTTTACCCTGTCTCTCCATTATCATTATCATCATTCCTTCTTATTCATCCTCTTAGGCTTTTTTCTGCTTCATTCCCCTACAGCAGTAGTTAGGAACATGTGGGTGATAGAGAAGAGTAGGAAACCAGAGTGGTGGGTAAGGGGATATGGGATGAATTAGGGATCCATGAGAGTTTTCAGAGGGATTTAAAACATTCTAGAACCACTTTTCTAGGATCCAGATGTCTTACTACATAGAAACATAGTATATGCTATGTAGAATATTGACTGTTTCCTTATGGGTCCACTCTTTTTCCAGGATAGTTATTAATAATCCTGGGTCTGTGGACTGTCCCACATGTGAATTCATTCCTCCTTCTGCACTAAAACAGCTATTCATGTTTCTTGTCCATGAATCAAGAGCTGAAAATGCTGTTACAGAGAGAAACCTTTCTTTTTCAAAAAGCAAGGCAGAAATTTAACAAGTGTATTATGCTCTCTCTTTTCACACTTACAATTAAATTTATTAATGAAATTTTTACTGTTTATAAAAATTAAAAATCTTTACTCTGGATAATTAGTAGACAGAAAGTGAATATCATTCTTTAGACACACACCAGATTTAATAGTACCTTTACATGAGTAGCAAAGAATTCTCTGTGTAAATGATTGGGGGAATAAATGTTTAATTACAAATTTAGGCTTAAAATTCCTTTTAAGTAAATTTTTACATAGTCTTTTCAAAGCACTTAAAATATGAAATAATGTACGAAATTAAATTGTATGCATCAAATAAAACTATTTGTAATTATAAATTTCAAGGATTTGGTATCCCAGCGTGTCTCTTACTGTAGACTGCTACAGCTTAGTCCCATGTTAATGCTGTGCCCAGTCTCACATAGAACAAATAGAAAAACAGGGCCCTTTTCTTGTTCCTTACCAGCATCTGCTTTATTTACAAGTATAACATATAGATGCTTTTATGCAGTTCTAGCAGAAAATAGTATGTTTATATGCCCTTTCTTATTTTAAATTTTTTTAAATTTCCTTTCTATTTCTTCACCTTTGGAAGGTTTTAGAAGAATAGAAATGAGGAAGGCAACAGCATTTTGTAGACCATGGACACAAATAGTTCCCAGTAGCCCCTCTGTTTCAAGGCCAAATCTTTGCCCAAATAGGATCCTAGGTTTGTGGCAGGATATTTAGGAAGAGAGTCTGTTGTTGTGTTTAGCCATTTTACTCTTTTCATCTCAGTTGCTTTCATTCTTTCAAATGTCACTTGAAATATTAGAAAACCTTCCTTTTCTGATTTCTACTTTGACTAGTTGGAACACCTGTTGTGGGATGGGCATAAACAGAAGTCATGTTTCCTGTATAATTTATAGGGATACCAGAGGGAACTGTTTGTCTCATTTTTGTCTAGTACTACGTCCTTTTTGATCTTCCCTTTCCCATATGGTCTTCTGACTCTTTTATTCATAGATTCAAGGCACTAACATAAAATGCTTTTGTCAAAGAATATTTAACATCTTCTGAAATTTGTTCACCTCTAGTCCCTATGAAGGTTACTTGAACTGTATTTCCTGTTCCTTTCATGTTTTTGCTGTGCATCAAATAAGCAACTTTCGCCTTCAGGAGGCTGATCATGATATTGTTTATTTAAATCTTAACTTTCCCTGGAATGCGTTTTAGACAGCTGTTATAGGGATCCAAAAATATACAGTAGAGTAGCACAAAGGAAAAGTAGAATGAAGAACTGAGAAAACAAGTATGAAAACAAAATAGGGCCATGAATAAGACCAAACATGTTCACCACAGTAGCTGGGCATACATTTTACTCAAACTTGCTAGCAGCCAATGTAAACCAAGAGTGGACTTTTTTTCCACATTTTGCTGTCCCTGTTGCTCATGATTTTGTAAAGACTAAAATTGTAAAAGCACATTCTGAGCATGGCCAAGTTTTTCAGGTAAAGTGTCACTGAGGGAAATATGAGTCTGACTCTAGGCCCTTGACCTTTTCTGCCTTCCATGAGGTATCAGGTCTGCCTTCCTATAGCCATCTTGTTTGCTCATTCTGTTGGTCACACCAGTGGTTGGGTTTGGAGTGGAGATGGATTGACGCAGAGCCTCACTGGTGGAAGGCAACTCAAGCCTCATGTCCTGTTGCTGATGGGTCAGGAACAGCTATAGCCTACATGAAGGGTGTCATTTTTAATTCAAGTGCTCTTGCTTTTCTGTAACCTCGATATCACCCTCAGATCATATAAATAATTATGAAAAGAAGCCCTTTGCCCTGTCTCATTTGTTATGCCTTGCTTAGTTCAAACTATAGGCATGTACCATTTTCAGGGGCAAGGTCATAACACATAAAAATAACTAAACTACAGTTAGGCACCTGTTGTCACATTTTCACTTTTCCTGGCTGCTGAGATCTTGGGAATAGCCTTAGGAAGAGAGGGGACTAACGGCCATTCTGATGAAAAGCCAGGAAGAATTAATTAGTGGCCCTTTCTTGGGAAGAAAGAAATCAGTCTCCATCCAACAGAGAATTGCCCAGGATCTGACAGCATGGTAAAGAGACACTTGGTCAGTGAAAAACCAGGAATTTGGAGGAAGAGGTTTTGTTTTGTTTTTGTTTTCATTGAGATTGATTGTGAATGGACACTAAGTAAATTTGGAAGGGGTTTCAAAAAATATAGTTAAATACTAAGGAGGATTGCTTTCAGAATATTTTTGCTAAGAAATCATTACTGCCTGGATTTGTGATTTTTCAAACTAGGGTCCTGAGAGCCCCTCCGAGGTGGTAGTGAATGTGGTGGTGGAGATATTTGTTTGCCTTCCAACTCCCTCGTCCTTCAGCTGGGCAAAGCAGTTCACTTTCACTGTCTTCACGTGTTGACCTTCCTGTCTTCACCTTACTGAACTAGCTTAGTGCAATGATGAAGAGCTATCCAAACTTGTTTTGGGAAGAATAATCATGACATATTGTTTAATTTGTGTAACTGCTCTATTTGTTCTGACGTTAAGACAGAGAGCATAAGTCTCTAGTGTAAAGAATTTATTTCCCGGGCAATCCTTACCTGACTAAGAGCAACAGATAAAGGCCCTGTTTCCCAAACAGGAAAAACGGAACTGGTTGTAACCTAACAGTTACCTATTAGTAAGTGGTATGAATTTTCAGAACATCAGAAGACAGGTTATAGCATTAGAGAACCCTCTATTCCATCTTAGTCTTCTAGATCCTACTTCTCACCATGCTTATTGTAAATATAAAATGAGCTCACGGACATTCTTCTTGAGGGTCAGGGTAAGGAGAAATCTGACCTGCCCACAGGTGAATGCCTGGTCTTAATAAGACCAGGGACTTCCATAGGAATTATATTCAAAAAGCGGTATTCTCAGCATAAATTCACGAGCACTCAAGAAAGCTAAAGCAAAGAATGCATTTAACCTAGCTAAGAATTCACAAGAAACTAATGGAATATTTTACAAATGCATTAAGAGATAGACGGAGTAAAGTTTTAAATGTACTAATTAAAACAGAAGCCAAAGCAATGTTAGATAGAAATAAAAATCTTAAAGTATGTTGTATCTCCTGATCATAATTGAAGATTTCATTTAATTATAATTAATGACGATATAGAAATTTAAGTGTTTGACAGAATGTGTTAAACTTAGTTAAGGTAGTTTGTTTTAAATTTATCCTGTAACATTCTTAAGTAGAGACAAACTTAAGAATCATTAGTAGTTATTTTGTCATATTTCCTTGGGGAGGGGAAAAAAAAATCCCAGATGCATAATGGGAAATACAGAGTGACAGGGAACTATGGAGCCCAGTTCACATAACTAAGAGGATTCTGGAATAATTCTTTAAAAAGCAATTTGTAATGCCTAGAGGATAACAAGGTGTTAAGTAATTGCAATGTGAACTCATTGCCAAAAAATAAAATCACAAAATGAGTTTACCTTTTTTTTTTTTTTAACTTAGAAATAGACCTTGGAATTGACTAAAAAGTAGACTTAGCTAGAACTTCTCACAATAGATTTGGAATCCAGAAAGCCTATACATTTGCTAATGGAGTAATTTTGATTAGTGGAAAAATAAAGCCCACCAATGGCACAATAAAAGGTGAAACATATGTTATAAAATGAGCAAATCACAAATTGAAAGTAAGATAATAAAGAATTGGTGGAAAAAGAGAGAAATGCAGTTTGGAACTTATGTCCTGAAGCCACTGAGATTTCATCTGTAAACGTGGGCGTTTTTAAACTCTAATTCAATAATTAATATGTACAGAAATACAGACTTGTGTGGAACTTAGGATCAGAGCTCAAAATGGTAAAACTGAGAGAAAATTGAGGAGTGAAACATCAAGGAAAGGCCACAATGTACAAATGTATTTTAAAAATTTTTCATAGTAAAGATTAATATACACCTGATTCATGTATTAATTACATCTATTTAATAGAAGAACACTTAAGAATAATTTAGAGAATATTGTGTACCAGGCACAGTGGCTCATGCCTGTAATCCCAGCCTGGGCAATGAAATGAGACCTTGTCTCTTTAAAAAAAAAAAAAGAAAAGAATATTGTAATATTGTAAAAAACTATGGTGTGACAGTGAAAGTAGATCATGTAACGCTACTCATTTGAGATGGTTTAAACAGCCATTAAAGAGATCATCTGTCATGACACAGAGGGGGAGAAATGTCAGATTTCTTACACATGCAGCGTATTATTTTGGTGGTCTCCCAAACTGGCTTATTCCCAACCCCTTACGGTTTTTGAGCTGTGGAAGTCAAGGTGCAGTCTAGACTATGGCGTATAGTTCATATTCCATACCTGTCTCACTGGGGACTTCATGTTCAGATTCCTACCTGGGTGCTCCCAGTACCAGTTGACCTTCTTTTCATAGATGAGTATAAGGAGAGTTAGGTCTTTGTTTTTGTTTTTAAAAGTTGCTTCACACTTTTGTTTGTGATAGATATGTGAATGTCTCTTTAGTCGGCATAGTGCTGGGCCCTGTGACATTGACATCAGAGTCCTCTCTTGTAGAATGCTCTTCTCACCATGTATTCCCAGCCTCTAACAATGGCTGGTGCTCAATAAATGATCAACAGATATTTGTTGAATGAATCCATACGATATATGCAGTAAACATCTTTTCTATAAGATACAAAGAGCCCAAATCAGGAGGAATCTGTCTCTTTTGCAGAATGATTGAAACAGTTTCTAAAATTATGTAGCATTAATCTTTAAAACAACAACCCAAAGAGTGAAGATCAGCTATCATCTATTTAAGCATCCTACTCAATGCCAGTTCCTGGTTAGATGCAGGTAGAATTAATATACTATCTTTACTCTCAAGAAGGCTGCAGTCTGCTAGTAGAACAGGTAGGTAAACAAATACTATGGTTACAATGTGAAAAGTGCAAAAATAGAGATAAATTATTGGGTACATTCACGATAAAAAGGAGGAGGTGACCAACTCTCCTCAAGGTAATTCTGGAAGGATGATTGTTGGTCACCAGAGAGAAGGCTATAGATGGTACATAGTCTAGACAGTGGGACACACCCATGCTCCATTCATAAATAAAACAATTTCTAGGATAATTTGAGTTATCCCTTCTAATTAATACTGAGTAAAATTTAATTTGTTATTGGCTATGGTTTATTTTTTCAGCTATTAATGAGTTATATTCATATATAAATATACATGTGTGTGTAAAATTTCTTGACACAATTATTTTTGTTTATTTTTTTGAAACAGGGTCTCACTCTGTTGCCCAGGCTGGAGTGTGGTGGCATGATCACAGCTCACTGCAGCCTTGCTTGCCTTGAGCCTTGCTCTCAGGCTCAGGCAATCTTCTCACCTCAGCCTCCCAAGTAGCTGAGACTAAAGGCACATGTCACCATGCCCGGCAATTTTTTTTTTAAACTTTTTTGTAGAGATAGGGTCTCACTTTGTTGCCCCGGCTGGTCTCAAACATCTGGGCTAAGCAATCCTCCCACCTTAGCCTCCCAGAGTGGTGGATTATAGGCGTGAGCCGCTGTGTCAAGCCTGATTTTTTTAAATAAAGCAGTAAATTTTGCAATTTGACCGTATTCTGATTTCAGGCTAAGAACTGTTTCTTTTTCAGAAAGGAGTAACCCTTGGATCTTGTCCTAATTCAGTATGTCTTGCTAAGAGACTAGTAACAGTAGCTTGTGTATACTTGTGATAAAATGAGCCCTACCTGAAAGAAGGTGAGGGAAATGGCATGGCAGAATTACCATGTGGCTCCATCCAGTTCTCTACTGTCCCCTCTCCTAGCGTTTACCTACTGGTATCCACTAAAGCAGGCTTGCTCACATCAGACAGAGGAACCAGGAGAAAATTGGGTACCAACTTAAGTAAAACATTTTTTAAAAATATTCCTGTTATTGCCGGGCGTGGTGGCTCACGCCTGTAATCCTAGCACTTTGGGAGGCTGAGGCGGGCGGATCACGAGGTCACGAGATCGAGACCATCCTGGCTAACACGGTGAAACCCCGTCTCTACTAAAAAAATACAAAAAATTAGCCGGGCATGGTAGCGGGCACCTGTAGTCCCAGCTACTTGGGAGGCTGAGGGAGGAGAATGGTGTGAACCTGGGAGGCGGAGCTTGCAGTGAGGCGAGATCGCGCCACTGCACTCCAGCCTGGGCGAGAGCAAGACTCCAACTCAAAAAAAATAAAAATATTCCTGTTATTATAGAACGTGATACAAAGTGAAGGTAAACTTTAGAGCATTCTGTTTCATGGGTATATAAACAAGTTATATGGTACCTGCATGTGCCATTCTAGAATTTGAGTAATTCTGAAAGAATTTCCAGACTCTATTCCTGCATGTTCTACCCTAAAAATAGCAGTGGAAGTGTGAAACAGTATGGTGTGTGAGGCAACTGCAAGCAGTTAGAAATGCTTCAGATGTAGGTTTGTGTGGGAAAGGGCACACTAGGAGGAGCCAGGTGGTGCAGGGCCTTCTGTGCCATCTGAGATGTTTGCATTTTATCCTGTATGGATCTGTTGTGCATTAGCAGCAGAAGAATGACATCAGAGGTGAGTGTTTGAAAAAAATCGCAGTAGTAGCAGCGTGGAAGAGAGCCTGGCAGGATGAGAAATGAAAGCCAGGAAGACCAGTTAGGAGAGAGACTGAAAGAATGACCCAGCCAAAAGAGGATAAGAGGATAAAGGCCAGAACAGTGTCAGTGGTAGTAGAGATGAATTCAAAATGAGTGATAGCCATGTGTCAGATACTGCCTTAGGCTCTGGCCATTGTCTGTAAACAAGGCCACCTGCCATACCCTCATGGAGGTTACACACTAGTGGGAAGAACAAATAGTAAAATTACTCCCTGCTCTTCAGTTTGAGTGACTGAAGGTGGGAATCACTAAACAGGAGTCAGTTTAGAGGGAAATAATTTCAATACGTTGAATCTGAGCTGTGTTACATATCCAGTATGCAGTTGGAAATAGTCTACAGTTATGAGTCTTGGGCCCTTTTCAGAGGGCTACTTTGTCTTTGTTAGTTTTAGGATAACATCAGTCAGGATTTTTGGTTGCAAACAATAGAATCTTCTCTGGCTTATGTAAGCAGAAAAGCAACTTTTTAGGAGCTATTGGATATCAACTCATGGAGTCTCTAGGAAGGCCAGGGAGCCAGAATCTGAATCTGGGTTTCAAGGAGCAGTGCCTACTGCCACCACTGTATCCACCACAAATGCTCAGGATCACCCTATCTCCACATGTGGCTTCTTGTGAACTTCACTCACTGGCCTGCCCTCTGGCTGGAGGGGATTATGAGCAGGTAATTTTCTGACTCCTAATATGGGAAACAGCAAAATAAGGAGAGTTTTCAAAGATATTGCACAGCTGTCAATGTCCAACAAAGATATTTTTGCCTCCATTTGCATCTGAATGAAAAAAATTAATTTCAGGAGTATGTAGAATTTTATAGTGATCTACAACATATTTTCATGTAATATTATGATGAAGGCACATTGTCTTCCTGTAAACAAAACTGATTTTTCGTATTAAAATGAACTGTTTTGTTAATTTGGTAATAAATTTGCTTTTGATTGATGTTCACCATCTGACTGGACAGCCCCAAGGTTATTAGTGGATTTCATTCTAAATGATTAAGTTATTAACGTATTAAATTATGAATATATCTTCCCATTGAAACAAAGTTATCATGGGTGACTCAGTTCCTGTGTGTATTTTAAAATGTGTTTCACATTCCAGTGGAAGCTCCTAGAACGCAAGCTGCTTGGCATCTTCAGAAGAGAAGTGAAAGGGAACCGGGATGGAGTCATTTGTGGGCACAGTGCCTACAGACACATTGTAGCCATTCAATAAAAGTTGAGGAAGTGTTTCTAGGAATAGATGGTTGGAGGGAGAGAAGGAGGAAATAAGCCTATGTTTCTAACATGAAGCTGCCTGTGATTGTTGTAATAAACATGGGTTTATTAGAACAATTGCCTTTGGTGGTTTAAAACAGCATTTCAAAATTCCATCTGTTTTGTTGTCCAATCCCTGAGTCCCAAAGTAGTGAACAATTTGAGAGTCATTTGAAGTGAGTAATTCAAAAAGAAAATAGGCTGTTATGAATAACATGTAATGACCAGTTATTTCTCAGAATTATAGAAGTTTCTGTGAAAGTAGTTGGGCTGAATAGATGATCTTCAGAGTATACCATGGAACTATTTATTTATTTTTAATTTCATTATTAGCTTGTTTTTCTAATGATTTATATATGGTACCTTAAATGGAGGAGGGAATATTATTGAGGCTTCCCATTGCCTTCACCTAGGAATACCTATTATATTTTGGTAACCAAAGGTCCTTTCAGCAGCAAAAATGCTGTTTGCTTGATTGTTACACAACGAGGTTGCTGGAGCTTCCTACCTAGACTCGGGGAGAATAAGTTGACCTGCTTATACTAGGTAATACCTGGTAATTTGTATAATCTGACCTTTCAAAACATTAAAGAACTTGATTTTTTCACAATTTAATTAAGCATCTGCTGTGTGCCTGGCAAATGCTAGGCACTTGGTATAAAGAGATGAGCAAAACAACCACAGCCCTTGCCCCATTTGAGCAATTAGCTGGAATTATATTCTGTGACCTACAGTTTTGAGGATAAAAAGTCTTGTATTTCATTAAAGTTGATATAAGTTTCAAACTCAGAAGATAAAACTTTCTTAATATTCCCGAGAAACTTGAGGTATACTAAACATTTCCGGATGGCAGTTTGATTTACCATGTATTTTAATATTGACATAAAATATGATCCTTTTGAGGAAACAGAGTTGGGTAATACCAATCTCAGTGCTTAGAAACTAATTTAGATAATAGAATTAAATAACAAAAACAGATTGAGGAGAAATTGAAATTCAGTGTGCAGAACCACTTTTGGAGTCACAAGACAGTGATGGCCTACCCTTAGGAGCAAGACAAATGTCTCATTACTGATATTTGACCAAGTTTTCACTTTTTCCTATCAGTCCATTTTGAAATCAGCTAAGAGTGTTTCAGATAAAGGAACATCACAGAGCCCTGGAGGAGATTAGCATTAACTGATTGACTCCACTTGCTGGGAGAAGGTCACCCTGCTTGCAATTCGTTCAGTGGTCCTGGAATGTGAACTACTGCACCTGTGATGGAGAAAAGGCAAATCACACACAAAATTGAAGTTCAGGGAGTTTCTATGGAATCTAGGGTTTTCAACCAGCAAGTTTCATAACCACATAATGACTTGGGGAAAGTATCAAGGGGGTAATAAGAACTTAAAATCTCAGAAATATAGCACTAAAAGGACGGTTCTTCCCCCACTCCAAGTGCTTTATTTGGCAGAATGTTTCCTTAAGCCCAGAGTCACACTCCTTTTTCTATAAATTTAATAAGCACTCAAAAAAATACCATGAATATATGTCCTTTTTCTGGTTTTTTAAAAGGAAAAAAGGTATAAATGATTAAAAAGAAAAACATGTAATGGCTGTACTCAGGGATATAACTGCTAGCACATTCATTTTTATTTTTCTAGACTTCTAGTCATATTGTCTATGTGTCTGTATGTGTTTAATGCAAAAATGGGATCACAAGCTGTTCTGCCAGGTAGCACAGTGATAAGGTGCACGAGTTTGGAATCTGACCAGGAGTCCTGGGTGTGGTTCCAGCTCTTCGAGTTACCAGCATGTGTTTCTTTGTCTGTAAGATAACAATAAGGGTGTACCTATTCACAAGATTGTGATAAATAACATAAAGGAGATCATATGTGAAATGCTTAATCTAGCATTTAATAAATGCTTAATAATCCATTCTGTTGTTCCTGTATTCTGCTACACTGTCCCTGTAACACCATGGTTTCCTGTATTGATTGGGGCAAGAGAGGTGGCAAGCAGGGAGGCACTGATATGTTTTTATTCACAAATTTTTTAAATGCACCCTCTAATAACCAAGGAAAATACATAGCTGTCACTTTATCCTGGCTTATAGGACCTTATATTTTTGATATGAAGTTCTGCGTTTTAAATTTTATAAGGCAATATTCAATTCAAAAGTGGCCTCAGTAATTTTTGTCTCTGTTCTAATTGCTGCTTTTGAAAATACATAAAATAAACTGTTTAACAGCCTTTTTGGTTCTTTTTCATATATATGATACGTATGTGGTTTTCATATTATCACGAAAAAACTGTAGTACATCATGTAAGTACTGTGAATATCATACAGTTGTGCTGTTTTGTCTTCTTCAAGTAGAATTTTATGTCATTTTATAATTTGCCTTAATTTCCAAATAGAAACAATTTTTGTCCCAATTTTAAATACTATCTAAAAATTAACTTAGATAAGTTTAAATTTTATTTAAGGTTTTTGTGCTCTTGTATAATTTAATGTGGAAATTAAATGTTAATATGCAAAACAGGTCCTAAGCTAAATTTTATGACAAAATAAATAAATGTTCCATTTTTTTCTTTCTTTTTCTTTAGCTCAACTGAGAAGTCATTTCCTTGGAGATCAACAGGTATGTTTTTTATTATATAAAAGTTATGTTTGATAAACACAAATTACATAGCCTACTCTCTTAACTTACTATCTCTTGGTGAAATAAGCCAAGCAAAGCCTTTAATAGTGACAATATTGCGCTACATTGCTTTGGAATAGTACTTAATATGCTTAAGTTTTTAGTATAATTGAGTAAATTTGTGTATGTCAACTGTAATGAAAAAGCATTGAACAGCAGCATTTTTAATATTAACCCCATATCTGAAAGTTTCCATTTCCATCATAAGAAAACACAGGGCTGACTTCAAAAAAAGTTATTACGTAATCAAGAAAGCTGCTAATTATACAAGTTGGGTATTTCACTGTGTTTATCATACTCAGAGAAAAGTCGCTTGAAGTTTTCATTTTTTTAATGTATCCACATGTAGAATATCTAGTAGCTTCTAACATAGTGTGGTAGCTTTCCATGTAGTCTCTCTATCTTTTCTTTTTAACCTAAATTCACCACATAGGAAGGATGAATTACATTAAGGAGACTGTCTGTCACTTACATAAATCGTTGATGTCTTCATACTCAGCCTTCACTCAATAAATGTTTATTGAGTATTCACATAATGTACCGGGTGCTGTGCACATTGCTGGGCAGAGTGATGGGCATAACACACACTTGTCCCTGTCCCCTTCCCCCATGGAGCTTACATCGTAATCAGTAATGTGAACAATGTTGTAATGCTGGAATAGGCATTGATGTGTAAATACTTTGGCCCTTTTCAAACAAGACTTGAATTGAGGAAGACTTAGATAACCAAATGCCCAGTATCTGAGTTTATCTAAACCTAGTGCCAGGATTCTGGTGTTCCTTATACTGCATACAAGGCACTTGGCTGTCATACAAAGAAGTTCTTTCCCCCAGAAAAATAGCGTTAACTCAAACTGTTGATGAGGCAGAAACGTGAAAAGCTACCTAACAATAAGGCTTCTAAACAACAGTTTAACACAAGGCAAGTCACACCATGAAATAATATGTGGTTAACTGCCAAGTAAGTATTATGTGGGAAATACTGATATAAGTGGACAGCCCACATCTGAGATGGCAGAGGAGATGGTCCTGCAGCCTTGGGCTTGATGGGCGGCTCTGGAGAGGGCATTGTCACTGGGCAAAAGAAGAGACAACACAAGTGTCACGGGAAGGGAACATTTAAAACTGGTTTGGGAGGTGATAAGACGTGCAAAGTCTAGAAGGCTGAATTGGCTGAAATTACAGAGATCTGTAAGTTCCAGGGACTTTATACTCTCTCCGTGATCATGGGGAGACACTGAAAATTCTTGAAGCAAAATGTCATATTATTTAAACATTTCTCAGAAGAAACAGCAGAGGTGTGAACTGGTGGGAGGAAAAATTAGTGACAAGATAGACCAATTGAAAGCTTACTGCAGAATTTGGTGTGTGAGATCATCTAGGCAATTCATAAGGATTTAGAGGCTGGTGTGGTGGTCAGGTGGGTAGGCAATAACTGTGAGGTTTTGCGTTTGGGAGGATGGTACAGTTAAAACAATTAGGAGTGTCAAAATGGAGAGCCAGTTTCGGTGGGGGTGCTCTGGACCACAGTGTGAGATGTGTTGGATTTGAGATGATTAAAGGGCAGCAAGTGACACCACTCAATAAGCATTTAGAAATGTGATTACTAAAGAAAGCCTTTATTCAAATGTGAAGAAAACACTTCTGTTAAACCGATAGGTCCATGCATATTAATACTTTATTATGTGGTTCAGACATGTGGGCCAGAGTGCTGTGGATAAGGGACAACTGAGTTAGAGAAAGCATGCCTGAAACCTAGGAGAGCAGCCTATGCCAGGAGAAAGCTGCTGCTTCTTATTCTTGGGAGGTAATGAGAGAATGATCTGAAATCTGACCAAGGCGGACAGAGGGAGTCAGGTGAGATGCAGTGTTATTTCCCCCACTTTGTCACAGCATTTAAGGTCGTTACTGAGAGTGGGAGCCATGTCTGCTCTGTTCAACAAAGTATTCCAAGGGCCTTGTGTGTGGATGGTAGACCCTAGGTGATTCACCACCTGAGCGAATGAATACTGCATACATGAACGAATAGTAAATGCTGCTTTACACGTCCTAGGAATATTTCGTGTGCATATATTAGCTTCACAGCCAAATTCTAAGCTCTTGCAAAGTGTCTCTTTTTTCTCTCCTACTTCATGCCTAGAAAATGCCCAACCTTTAGAAGGTATTAAAAGTATACCTAATGAGTAAATGAGGTGAATATTTTCATTTAGTAACAAAATCTATATTTTGAAAAAATATATACACAAGGAAGTTATGTTTTTAAAAGTGACAAGAACTATTTTTGATTCATAACTTGACTCACAATGCCTTAAAACCTTTATAGCCTAACAGGACGTTAGTACAGTATTGCAGGTTTGTTTTTTTTATGGCAAATTTGGCACACATGCATGTGAACTTAATTTTTTGTTTGTTTCTCTTAACAGCCTTTTCTTTCTTTATGTATAATATACAAATTTCTTTATTATAATAGCTTTATTGAGAGATAATTCATACTATATAGTTTACCCATTTTAAGAATACTCTTAAATTTTTTTTAGTATATTCTGACTTGTGCATCTATCACCACAATTTTAGAACATTTTCATCACCCCTAAAAGAAACCATGTGCCAGTTAGCTGTCACGCCATTTTACCCCCAAACTTACCAGTCTTAGGCAACCACTAATCTATTGTACTTTCTTTCCTTATGGATTTGCCTATTCTAGACATTTCAGTTGAATAGAATCATACATGTGGTCCTTGTGGCTGGTTCCTTTCACTTGGCATGATTTTTTCAAGGTTCATCCTTATCATAGCATGTAACAGTAGTTTATTCCTTTTTATGGCTGAATAATATTTATTCATTCATCAGTTGATGGACATTTAGGTCTTACTACTTTTGTCTGTTATGAATAATGCTTTTATGACCATTTGTATAAAAGTTTTGAATATATGTTTTCAGTTCTCTTAAGTATAAACCTATTAGTGGAATTGCTAGGTCACATGGTAACTCTGTGTTTAACCCGTTAAGCAACTACCAGATTATTTTCCAGAGTGGCTGTACCATTTAACATTTCCACTAGTTAAAAATAACGGTTCTACAGGAGAATGGTGTGAACCCGAGAGGCAGAGCCTGCAATGAGCGGAGATAGCACCACTGCACTCCAGCCTGGGCAACAGAGCGAGACTCCTTCTCAAAAAAAAAAATAATAATAAAATAACAGTTCTGATTTCTCCACGTCCTCTCAAACACGTTATTATCCTTTTTATTATAGCCGTCCTAGTGGGTGTGAAGTAATTTGTTGTATTTTAACCTTACCAACTGCCTTCATCTCGACTTTCTTCTTTACTTTGTAAATATAATTTTTCTCCTGATTCTAAATGTAATATATACTCATCAAAAGATATTTGGAAAATATTTAAAAAGTACAAAAAGTGGATAAAATTACTTATAATCAAGCTCATCACTTAGCCTTTCTGTGCATTTGTGTGTTACATACAGTTTTTTTACCTTTTGAGAGAAATGGGGAACATACTGTATATGCAGTTACATTTGCCAGTTTTTTTCATGTAATATAAAATTCTTCAAATTCATCTTTAAGAATGCATAATTAATTTATTTCTGAAATAAATAAACACTTTTCTAGCATGTAATTGTCAATGTTTAAAGCAAACATCCTTGCCCTCTTAAGAACTTCAGGTTTAATGAAGGTGAGCTATAGTGGAGATGTATAACTATATTCAGTTACAGTTGGGAGATAGGGGAATTCTATAAGGGAAAATCATAAGTATATACGTATTTACCCATATCTCTAGTATCGGACATTCAGATTTTTTCTTATTTTTTACTATTTTAAATAACAGTGTGGTAACCATCCCTATATATAAAATTGTATTGGTACCTTTGATTTGCCTTAGGCTGGAATTTCAGGAAGAAAATTATTTAAAGTACTTGAATATTTTAATGCTTTTGCTATATGTAACCAAGTTGCTTTCCTGAAAGATTGTATTAATTTTCCCTCCCTCCAGGTGTATGGGATTGATCTTCTCATATTGCCACATTAGTGTCATCATTTGTATTTCTAATTATCTAGAGAATATAGAAGTACAATATAGATTGCCCTTTTCTTTTCTATTGGAGACTTAGTGTTTGATGGATAAGAGTTCTTTGTAACCCAAGGATAATAGGTGTATTTATTAGCCAGGGTTCAGCTGGGAAAACAGAACCCATGCCAGGTAGTTCAACATACGGAATTTGATACAGAAAATGTAGTTACGAAAGTGTGGGTTGGAAGATATGAGTGATTAAACAGGATGATGAAGCACCCAAGAGATAATGATACCAGAAAGCTGCTATCATCCCTAGGACTGCAGAGGCAAAGGGGTAGGTAGATGGTTTTGTCAGTGTCCTAGAGCTGGAGCAGTGGGAGGGGCTTCAGACGGGGAGATTTCCAGCATTAGGTGAAACCAGGAAGGAGATGCCACCCGTGCCAGAAATGTTGTTTAAAATAGAGCCAGAGAAATACCCTGATTTCCCCATGCAATTTTTCTCCTAACCCTCACCAGTCTATACACTGGCTGAACTGAGCTGGAGAGGGCAGTTGTGGATTTTTAATTACCAAAAGCCAAGCAGACACTGCATATAATCATGTGTTGATTTACAGTCTAGAGAGAATGAGTTTAGATTATGAAGACACATTAATTATAGTGGACCTATGGCCTTGGCATCCTTTCTACCCCTTCCCCGTTGCTTAAGTCATTTGACTGCCATCTTCAGGGTTTTTATCATGGCCAAGTAACAAATATAAGAGTACAAAAAAATAGAAAAAAACAATAAGACCTACTATTTGATAGCATAACAGGGTGACTATAGTCAATAATTTAATTGTACATTTCAAAATAACAAAAGTATGATTAGATGATTTATAACGCAAAGGATAAATGCTTAAGGGGATAGATACACTATTCTCCATGATGTGATTATTATGCATTACATGCCTGTATCAAAACACTTAATATACCTTATAAACATATATACCTTCACTGTACCCACAAAAATTTAAAATTAAAAAATTAAGAGAAACCCATATATACTATTACGTGCTTAGTATTTTCCTTTAAATTAAAGTTTTCAAATCTTTTTTTTACTTTTCTAGTAGGCTGTGCAATCAGCTGCTAAATATAAAAATATATATGGTACACAAATGTATTAAATGATTTAAATTGAATACATAATAATTAAATGTTGTCCAAATAGCTCCTCAAGTACTCAAGTACTTTAGTGTTAGGCAGATACTAATTCAGTGGCTAATCTCCCCTCGCCACAGGTGTGTCCATAATTCACACTTAATAACTGCATAGTTCCTTATTTTTCTCAGAGCACACTCTTGCCTAAAACTCATATTCAAGCCTAGTAGTTACATTTACTAATTTTTTTTCCTTTGAGGGGAAGGAGGAAGGGTATTAACTTCTAAACACAGCAATCACAACTGGTATTTACTTTCTAATATTTTAACTGTATAATGTTGTGGTTTTTCTTAAGTTTACCCACTTTTCAGCCATATTTATGACATTTAAATTGTAACCATGGCAATAAGCTATAGTTAGAAGAGTAGCAAATTGAAAATTTATGAATAAAATAGTAAAATCTTATTTTCTTTTCTTTCTTTTTTTTTTTTTTTTTTTTTTTGAGACGGAGTCTTGCTCTGTTGCCATAGCCGAAGTTCGGTGGCGCCATTTTGGCTCACTGCAACAGCCACCTCCTGGGTTCAAGAGATTCTCCTGTCTCTGCCTCCTGAGTAGCTGGGATTATAAGCGTGCACCACCATGCCCAGCTAATTTTTGTTTTTTTTAAATTACAGACAGGGTTTTGACATATTGGCCAGGCTGGTCTCGAACTCCTAACCTCAGGTGATCCGCCCAACTCTGCCTCCCAAAGTGCTGGGATTACAGGCATGAGCCACTGCACTGGCCCATATTTCCTTTTCTAGTAACTGTAGATGCTATTTATAACTTTGAGTATATATTAATAATTGGGATAAAACAGCAGTGTTGCTGCTGCTTTTTCTATAAATTTTGACAATTGTTTTTTTTCTTTGCTGCTTTGACTGCAAAGATACTGAAGATAATATGAAAATCATCTATCTTAGAATTAGGCAGTCCTACTCAGAATAAATGAGGAGTGGCTTAAATTTGAAAAATATTTAAAAGACCATCAGTCCACTTAGTCTTTGGCTGGGTCTTGACAAAAGCAACCTCTTTATTCGTTTTTTGGTTTCCTATACAAAATTTCACAAAAGGATTTAGGATTGAAGGTCCTCATTTATCCTCATTTATTTTTATACTTTGCATGTTTACTTTCAGACACTTTCTCTACCTTTTTTCTTAAGTTTTACAAATTTGACTTGAAAAGCTTAGCTCTTTAAAAGCCTTTCAGCAATAGGTGGATTGTTAGAGATGCAATGGTTTGATCACTGCTTAGGAGCGATCCCTGCTTACTCAGGTGTTTTCAGGATGTTATATTCTGTTGAAATGTGGTAAACTGGAACCAGCCTTTGAATTGGATTTTTAAATAGCTAACCTACTGCAGCATCATTTTCTAAGGAAGAGCTTAGGATGCCCTAGGCAGAAGAGATTTTCATTTCACTCTCATTTCATTAGATTCAGGAGACTCTAGCTTGCTTGTTTGTGTGTTTATTGTTGAGGGGCTGGGGGCAGAAGTTAAGGAGGGTAGGACATTTGAAAACAAAAAGCCCAAGTTTCTGAAGTATGGGAGCTGAGAAAGATACTTCCCAAAGAACGAGGAAGAGCTGCCCATTCTGCCAAACATTTTTATTTTCTCAGGTCTTTAAACTTCTTCCCTAGAAGTAATAAAGTTGTTTTGGAGCATTTATGCTTTATTATTATCTTGACTTTTGCCCTTTCTCTTCATTATTCTGTACCCTCTAGCTTACCAGTGTTACATATTTGCATTCTAAAAATATAAATGCACATCTTTTGTGTTTTTTTATGAGGAGCAGTTTATTTATGTTTCAGCTTTGTCTTTTCTTGCATGTCTTATAACCTTGTGTATTCTGCTGAAACATTTCCGAGGGAATGTTATGTTAGCGCTCCCTTCTGTTTCCATAATATTAGTGTGTCAGTTTTTCCATTGTTCACTGCTTCACATCTCGAAATATACAATCTCTGTGTGCCATCAAAATTTGAGGTAACTTGTAAGAACGTATATAATACAATAAAAAATAAACATCAAAATCACAGAAAATACATACTAGAATAATAGGTAAAGGGTGATGAAAGTGAGAAGCATGTATAATCATAATTCTTCATGAGCGAAAATGCTATACAGAATCTTTTTCTTTAAATCCTTTGAACGTACCTCTTTTTAAAGAAAAACACCAACTCAATAATAAAAATAGCTACACACAGTATATGCTACCCATCAGAAAGAATCTATAGGTTGAAGCCATGGATTGAAGTTTTTTTGTCAAAACAGTCATTGATTGTTACTTAGGTCCCCCAGTCACATTCCATGAAGTGAATTTTGCTGCAAGTCACAATATCACAGTTTTTCTGTTTGCGAGAAAAAAAAATTACTAGAGTTTAGGTGGTTGCCAACTTGAGTAGATCTGTGTAAAATGCAGGGGAGGAGAATCGGCCTCAGAATCCAGCCTCCCTCCGCCCCAGCTCTTCCTAGCACATTAGACCAGGAGCAGTCCGTCTTACAGGGCTGGAATGTGCTGCTCTGTCCCCACCAGCCAGCCAGCCAAGCTCATTCTTTTTAACACTGCTGTGTTCCTAGAAAAAGAAAGTGTTCGAGAAATTGATGGATGTTACGTAGGTGATAAAGAATTGGTGCTCATGGGTAAGAAATTAGAGGCCAAAAAAGATTGGAATCTCTACCAAAACAACAAGTGAGAGAAATTTTCTGGTTGACTCAGAAGGCACTGAGGGGTTAATAGATTTGGATGAACAGGAGAGAAAATAGTAACAATTCTGTGCAGTTAGGAGTTTTGATGTTTGACAGTAAATATGGAAGGGAAGAAAAAAGACCATAGTAAAATAGGAAGTTTAAAACTGATTCTATAACTTCACAGTGCTGCATTCATTTATTGTATAACAGGTATTGAAGTGGTATGATTTTAACATACTATTCATTTAAATCATTACTGTGTGAAATACTGGCATTAGTTAATGTTTACTACTAAATTTAAGACTGTAGGAGCTAGGCTGTGCATTTTGTTTATGTATTTAAATTTTGTTTCTAAAATGTATAGATACAAGTTTCTTCCACTGGGATGAGCTTTAAAAAATAAAAATAAAAAAACATCAATACCGAAGATAAATGACAAATGAGAAAGTAGTCCTAAGTCAATTTATCTTTTCTTTTTTCCTCCATCTGGTGCAAGTAATTTACAACACAAAAATTCATCAGCACATCATGAGATAAGAAGTTGACTTAAATTGAAACACTTTATGCCTCAGTAGAAATGTACTGAATTTATAAAGGAGATACAGTAGGAAGTGAGTGTTGTATTGTACATGTTCATAAACAAAATATTAGATCAGCAATCATGTATAAAGGACTATTATTGAGGATTTTGGATGCCGTCATTTATTATAGCCATAAACTTTACAAATGACAAAACTTTATCATATATTTCTTCCTGTTTCTCTTCTAAATATAAGGATGATAAGAATTTCTTTTAAAATCAGCTGTAGAGTACAAGTTTCTCTCCCTTATTTTCTACAGGCCCATTTAGCCACACAGTCTTGACTGCCTTTTTACCAACTGCAGTGCTATAGCTTCCTGATTGCCACTATAAAAGCTCTTCTTAACTTACTGTTTTAAGATGAAAATAAGATATGCTTCTTTAAAAAAAAAAAAACAGCCTGGAAGAATCTGAGTAAAAGGTAGAAATTTCCTTCATTCCAACATGTTCCCATACCATGACCAACACACCTACACAACTGCACACACACACACACACATAATGTATAGGAAAAAATCTGGAATAATGAAACACCCCAGACTGTTAACTGTGTTTGTATGTATGTCTAAGTATCCACACACATTTGAGTTGTTTGTTTTGGTTTAACACAAATGAAGATACACTCTACGTTATTCTGTGACTTTTAAGTTTTTCCCCTAACATTACAAAGTAATGGATGTGTTTCTATATCAGTATATAAAGCCCTATTTCTTTTTAATGGCTAAATAGTATTCATCGTTTGAAAATTTATATAACCAGTTTCTTATCAGTGAACATTTTGTTTTTTCCAGTTTTGTACTTTGACAGACAATGAGAAGATTCTTTCTGCACATATATGAGTGTCTCTGATAGGATTTCTGTAACTGAAACTTCCTGGACAAGGGTGTATACATTTTAATTTTGACAAATATTGTCAGTTTGCCCACCAGAAAGCTTAACAATTTATGCTCCTACTGATAGCACCTGGTAGTCCTATCTACACTTACTATGTTACCAGAGTACAGGAATGTAAATCTTCATGATTATTTAAAATTTTAATAAGTTACTAGGCTTTAACAAAAACATTTGTTTCAAATTTCTCTATATCATAAAACAGGAACAGATTGAACAAAGTAAGATAATTTTTAAATATCATTATTAACTATTCATTAAATCATAACACTCCATGGAAACTTGAGCATACCCCGGACCATCATGCTAATTAACTCGTTCTCATGGAGATTGGAGATCAGCATGACCTTAGAATATAGTAAAAGTATCATACTGTTTCCTGTCAGTTTGGCTTTCTTCTGTCTTCATAGCTGGCTCAAAATGATCAGATACATTTTTCTATCATGAAAAATGCAACAACCACTACCAAATCAAGCAAAAAACAAACTTAAAAAATCACCACTGGATATAATTGTGGGTGCCAACATCTCACTCCAGAGGTTCCTACACACTGCTATACTTCAGAGTCACCTGCAGAGCTACTAAAATCTTGACGCCCAGGCATCACCCCCACACAATTTAGTTCGAAAGTCTGAGTTGGGAACCAGGCGTCAGTGGGGTTTAACGAGTCCCCAGGTGACTCCAGTGTGCACAGTTTGAGAACCACTGCTTTATTCTAAAACCTAGTCATTAAAGAGAAGAATTAAAAATTTATCCTGCCTGTCCTGTTCATATTTCAGGATAAGTAAATAATCCTAGCTATTATGTAAAATATTCCAAAAGAATTCCTGCTGATAAATGTAGAAAGAATAACAAAATTAGAAAAATCACTAGTTTGCAAGCCCTAATGAAATAATTCAAGCAAAGATTGTCAGTGGATGCTAAAACCTCTTAAGTTCCCAACCCTAGCTGCACAGTAGAATCACCCTGGGAGTTTTTTAAAGTTCCATTATTCAGAATACAGCTTAGACTGATTGAATTGGAATCTCTGAGTGTGGGACTTGGACAGCAATAGTGTTAAAATTCCACCCAATTTTCAACCCAGGTGATTGCATTGTACAACCAAGGCTGAGAACCATCGCATTAGGAGACAGATTGGTGGTAAACTTGACAGAGGATTAGGCTGCCACTACCTGCATTGCCTGATAGATCTTAGCAACCCTGAAAGTTGTAATGTGAAAGGTGTGATGTACATGGCACCATTCATAAAGTATGCTACCCACAAAGGCTTGACCTGAAAGCTTTTAGCTATAACCTTCTGCTTAAAGAAATAGTGTATTTAGAGGAATAAGTAAATGACATGAGAAAACCATCAGATAAATTCAGGATGTGGAACAACTTAAAAGTGTATTGCTGCAGTTTCCTCAGTTCATCAAAAACATGAAAATGAAGGAATGGGTGCCCCTTTCTAAATTGAGGGACTTAAATCAGTTGTACTCAAATGCAATCAGGAAACCTTATTTCAGCTTGACGAGTACAAGCCAACTGAAGAAACACATTTCCAAGACATCTGAAAAATTTGAATTTGAACACACTATATGGCATTATGGAATAATTATGGTTTTATGAAGTCCTTATTTTATAGAGATACAAATGGAAGTATTTAGAGTTGAAATGATCCGACGTGAGAGATTTGTTTTGAACTTCTACAACAAAGGAAAAAGATAATGGAAAAAAGTATGCATAAAGTAGAACTTTTATATATGTTTAAAACTTCAATTACAAAAAAATTAAATACAAATGCTTTAAACAAAAGTTTTGAAATATCAAGGCAAAAATGGTGTGCTGGAGTGACATGGTAAAGCCAGCAAAATTTTGACCATATTCTGAAGGTCAGCCCTGACATAAATGATATGAAGAAACCAACTATGAAATGGATGCATGAGTTTCCCAGCCAGTGGATATTACTTAATTTGTAGTTTCCACATATTTGGGATTTTATTAAATGAATTTTTATCGAACAAATTACCTATATTATACAGAAGATCAGCCTTTCAAGTTTAGAACGATAGATGTCTCAATATGTTTATCGTGGGCCACCACCAAATAAGAATATTAGATTTTGCCCTAGCAAACATAACATCTAAATATTCCAAAGCCACTTATGCATGATATATGAACAGATTCCCAAAAGCACATTATATGAAAATCAAGAATCCAGTTTTAGCCTTTAATATTTTATGTTTGATATAAACATGCCAAATATTTAAACTTTCTCATGCTTTTAGTGATATGTGAAGAAATGTGCTACTATCTAAAATAAAATAGAAATTGTCAAGTCTGAAAACCCTTCTTTTTCTATTACCACCTCCTCAAAACACAGAGCCTTCGATCCTCAATTTACAACTGTTGCTTTGGGAAACATCTGAAAGCCACCCTCTATAATTTCACATTTCATTCTTATGACAAAGTTAGTCTGCATGTGGCTTTATCTTAGTATATTTTACAAAAAAAAAAAATAACTAGTGGAAAAATATAGAAGATCTTATTTCAAAAGAATCGTTTCTTTCTTTTTGATAGTGAATATCATCCTTTATAGGTTTGTGTTTTTAAGAAGGTTTTTTTGGTTTTTAACAAAAGGAATCTTATTTTGTATCTCCCACTGACAGATATTCCCATTTCTATATTTGGTAATTTTTTTTCCCAAAGAGAATAAAAAGTGTCTTTGAAAAATATTTTAGAGTGATTTTTGATCACTTAATTGTATTTTCCATAAGCTGACTTTTTATATCACAATGAATCCCTTACTTATCCCTTTTTCAGCTTTCCTAGATAGGAAGCAAGAGCCCCTCAGCCATTTATGAAGCCTGTTAAACTCAGTATTGGGCAATTTATGTCTTGTTCATTTCATTTTGTATTTATAATTCTTAGTTTCTTGGTTTTTTTCTTGTTTTCCTTTTATAGGTATAAAGTATAAATTTTTATGGTAGCTGTGACATCTGTATTTTAATTAGTATCCAGACTAAAAATACTTAACACTCATTTTTATATGACTATTTGTGGAAATTTCTCTTCAGTTTATTTTTTGTAAAATTTATTTTTAATGGTTTTATATTCTTGGACAGAATTTATATATGACCAGGAGATCTCTTTTAGTTTAGTCATTGTGGAAATCACTACGATACCAGTTTATGCATTCACAAAATTTGCTTATACTATAGATTCGAATCCAGGCAGTCAAGCTTTACAGTGAATTTCAAGACAGACTAGTTGATGCTTAAAGCAGAGTTTAAAGTGAAGTAGAAGATACTTCGTTAATGGTTTCCATTTTCCGAGGCCTTTTTATACAACACTTTTTAGACGGGTAAAATTTTTAGAGCCATTGCCTGATTAATATTGATAAGATAATATAAATATGCACAAGACCCAAGAATCTAGAAACCCTCAAGAACCAGACCAGAAATAGTTTCAAGAAACATGGTCTTTCTGCCTTTCCTTATGTCTTCACTTCCATTGAAATCCAACTTTTAAATGATATCCTATGTATATAGTAGCTTATATTTGAATCAACAAACTCCAAGTATGTGTAATATTCTTAAAATATCTGTCAACTTGTATTTTCTCCTGTGGAGGAAGGAATACTATTGGTGCTTCATGTTTCCGTCACCCTGAAACAACATTTCTCACTCTGAAACAACGTTTCCCAGTGACCTCATTCCCTCTGATGATAAGCATACCTGCTATAGAAATAAATCTTGTATGTCACAGAAGGTACTAAAGAGGAGAAATCTTTTTGGTGCCACCACCTATGTTCTCTTCCAGAATTTGGCTTTGCTTTTTTGCCGTAGGAGGCACTGGACAATTTCTGCACCTCTGTGGAAAGTAGACTCCTTCGTAAGCCTGTGGTCCTACAGGAAAGGAGAGCCCCATGACCAGAGAGGAAGTTGAGTCCATGTAACACAACAGTTTCTACTCATTTTTTCCACAAAATGTTGCCCTCTGGGTATGACAGCCTAACCTCAGCTCACAAGCCAGAGAGTTGGAAGAAACCGTCAAGGAAGAGTATCATCTGCCTTAACCTCGGGTGCTATTGCTGTCCCAAGAGTCCTGCCAAAACTCACACCACACTGTCTTTTATGTAAGGGCAAACCCCTAAACACCATAGCAACTCAGAACAGACTCAAACAAGGAGAACCTGTCATGAGGTTCCAGTGTGCTGGACTATGAAAGACTAGTCACAGGGTTGTCTATACTAAAAATCTCCTTACTGATCTCTGGGTTCCTGTTTCCATGGTGATTTTACACACACTACAGACCCTGTTTCGTACAGCAAGACATAGACTAACAAAGCAGAACCATTTTAATAATTTCAGGTTCATTAAAGAGGCCTTAGACTCTTTTACTAAGCATATCTTCATGCACACACTGTATATTTGGGGATGTACATTATAAAAAAGATAAAATATCTCACTTTGTATTCCATCTTTTACCATGAGCTTAATGAGGTGGATAATATACCAGATTTTCATAGCCCTACAGCGTTATTGTCCCTTACCCACTAGTATTTTCTATAGATGCAATGTAACACTTTTTCTAATTACATAGTTTTAAATATTAGAGCACTCAAATGAAATGTAATAAGACAAGAAAGTCCATGATTCCAATAATTTTGCAGTCTTAGGCACAAATGGAGATTTCATTCTACCTTGAAGCTTGTTCAATTTCTGTATTTTTAGACATACATTTTCGAAGATGCTAATTTGATGTTTGAAAGTTCCCCATAGTATATTTCTGGTGTCCCAGAAAACATGTTTGTGAATTTTTTTTTTTTAAACCAACACATGTTCTTCAGTACACTGATTAAAGAAGTAACATTCACATGCTGTTTGCCATTTTTACTTATAAAAATGTCTCTTGATTTCTTATGCTAATTGTGCTAAATTTTAATATTCCAACTATTTAATTATAGGTTACAGCATTCATCATGAAATGGTTATTTGCACACTATATACCTCTTCTCTAGTGAATTTGACTAGTATCTTTCATTCCACATAGCAGAGGTTTTTAAAATTCATTCATCTTAAAGTAAGATTGTTTAAATAATACATAATTGGTAAATGTGAACCTTACCATACTACAGTGAGGAATACTTTATCCAGTAAAATTAGAAGATGTGTCTTCTGTTTACCTGAGATATGATGTCTGTGCATATATAGGTTTATGCATGTATATAGATAATTTGTGGATCACAAGTTTTCAAAGAAAATAGTAAAACTATTTTGAAAACCATTTAAATTTCTTTTCATAAATCAGAATAGATTTCAGGATACTTTGATCTCTGCAGCTATTCTTCATTATCATTGGGCTCTACTAAGGAAACAGAAAAATAACTGAATGGCCGAGCACAATGGCTCACGCCTGTAATCCCAGCACTTTGGGAGGCCAAGATGGGCAGATCACTTAGGGTCAGGAGTTTGAGGCCAGCCTGGCCAACGTGGTGAAACCCCATCTTTACTAAAAATACAGAAATTAGCCAGGCATGGTGGAACACATCTGTAATCCCAGCTACTCAGGAGGCTGAGGCACGAGAATCACTTGAGCCCAGGAGGCAGAGATTGCAGTGAGCCAAGATCATGCCACTGCATTCCAGCCTGTAGAGACTCCGTCTCAAAAAAAAGAAAAAATAACTGAAGACCTTATTTATAGAATAGAAGTTGATTGCTTTATACTAAAGTTCATATTAAATAAATCTTTTATTAACTCTTAGTTTTATATTTACTTAAAGATAGGTCACAAAACCTAAGTCCTATCCTTTAAACCCAGTTACTTAGATTTTCAAATTAGATCCTGGGTACCTGAGAATTTTGTATTTTAGTGTTCTAGTTAGCATCTCAGTGTCCTTTTCTAGATTCTGTTTTCTAGGGCGTTGCATTAAAAAATATATGAAACACAGGTCATAATATTTAAAAGGAATATGGCTGTCATATTACTTTTGGAATAATTTTGTATTGTTTGAGATACTAATTTCGTGAAGTTTTATTAGGGCAACCAGTATGGAATCACATATCTCATGATTTGTGCTTTCTCTAAGGTTATTTATTTTAAATAGCTTCTCATAAGGAAGAGTTTAAATGAGCAAGATTGTTACATGGTTTCTGAGAATATGTTTCATTGAGTGAAAAGACACAATTTCTGAGCTACAATTTTTAGGGTATGTTTCTCTTTTTCTGTTTTTTTTTTAAGCTCTGAATAGCTTTTTTTAAAAAGTGGGTGGGCAGCTTACATAAAATTCTAATGGTTTTGGTTTCCATGGTGAAAAATGTTGAGACCCTGACACTACATGCCACCTAGTGTTTCTAAGCCAAAAGCTTTAATATATTGGTGTCCTAGATTTTACCTTATATTTAAGTAAAGCTGAGAACTATCTGAACATCTTTTTCTTTTCCAAGACAGAACATTTTTCCATGTATGTGAAGCCTTGAGGCTACCACAGTGGTACTTTTTATCTGTAGTTTCTTGCTAGTTCGTATTTGCTTTCCCAGGGTTTCCGTCCCTGATGGAACAAAGGTTGACTGCTGCATAGCTCTGATTTCAGGCCAGCACCTGTGCAGCTATTCCCAGCTATTCCAATTCCTTGGTATTTTACTTAGTCCTTAGCAAAACTCCTTTGAGAATTACTGTATAAGAATGTTTAGAACTCTGGAAAACTCATGATAGAAGATGTACAAGTAAAGCAGAGCACTTTCTGGTATTGTCAGCCTGACAGTGACTCAGCTCATGTTTCAACGTGTACCAGGGAAACCATATACAATCTTTAATCTTTGTTGAAATTCCAAACTGAAGCAATCAGAACTGTCACAGAATTCTACCATACAGAAGCATTCTGTCAAATAATATAACAGGAGACAGGTCGGTAAAAACCTATACTAAGAATGTCAGCTAATCTTTCCAGAGGCTAGGAAACAAAACCTTGAATTGAATCTGACATCAAGTTAAAGGTTTAGAATGCAGTGGGATTTCCCACTTCTCCCTTAAACCTTGTATTCACCTTCTAAAGCAGCTTAATCAGCAGTCCCTAAGAAGTTTGCTTTACATAGCCAAACTTCATTGAACACAGTAAGGTAAAGCCACAATGCAATGCCAGGCATGAGTCAGCACTCAGTAAAAGGAAGCTGCTGTTGTTACTGGGAATTTGCTTGTTCAACAAATATTTACTGAGCACCTACTGAGTACTCTGCACCATCCTAGACACTGAGGATATAACAAACCAGATAAAAGTCTGTCTGTCCTCGTGGAGCTTATATTCTAGTGGGGAGAAATGGTGATAAGCGCTATACAGAAAGAGAAGGCTGGCCTCCTGTGGTAAATGGATGCTACTTAGATGTTACTTCCTTTAGGAAGATTTTCCTAAGCTCCATTCCCCCAGACACACACACACACGCACACACACACCCCTTACCTTCTCTCATAACTGCATAGGGCCTGGCATGTAATAGGGCCCAGAGGGAGACAGGGAGGGAGGAAAGGAGGTAGACATTTAAATCCTTAGGATTGTATGTTAAACTCAGAATGTGATAAGAACTTAATTATCTTTGAAGTGAGAGTGAAGTAGCATTTCTGAAAGAAAGTTTGTTAATAATATAAGGGTTAAATGCAAGGAAGGAATGGCTTGTATTGAAGTCCATCAGAAAATGGGAAAATACATTTTGAAGATATTAGAGAAAGAAGGACATACGGGAATCGAATTGGGAAAAGGAAGCATGATCTACACCACCTAAGTTTACGGCATAAAAAACAGAAGTTTGAATGGGGTTTGTTTTTTTCAAGTTCAGGATGGCAAATGGTACTGTTAAATTAAAGCAGATAATGGAAGAGATGAGTTTGGCTGGAAGAAACAATGGTTAGGTTA
Source organism: Homo sapiens (assembly GCF_000001405.40). Classification (NCBI taxonomy): domain Eukaryota; kingdom Metazoa; phylum Chordata; class Mammalia; order Primates; family Hominidae; genus Homo; species Homo sapiens. The sequence goes on from NC_000002.12 coordinate 158,620,414, forward strand.
GACTTGCCTATATTCCTTTAAAAAAGGCTAAAGGAATAAAATAAGCAGGTGAACAAGAAAATTTTCATTGCTTGCAATTCTAAAACTTTGTATAGAGTTCCTTTGACTGTAAGTGACATGAAATATAACATAAAATGTGCTCTACCTTCAGAGGCTTCATCACCAAGCTCAATAATATGAACGTTGTGTAAGTTTTCATTTTTAATTGTTTGGAAGATGGAGGACCCTTCTTGAAATACTTGGTCTCCATTCTCAGTCTTTTAATCCCTTGGAGGAAGGTGTCTGAGAGGTCAGTTTTCCAAGAGGAACAGGATCAGTTTTCAGATTTTGATTTAATATTGAGACTTACAATCACAACAAACAACATTCATGAAATTCAGCAAAATATATTAATGAAGTATAAGTATATGGAACACATTCATATAGTTAAGAGTCAGATGTGCTGTGTAAGCTGAAAATAATAGCCTTGTATTAGCATATAGATTCTAAGATGCTGTTGACAAACATCTGAACCTTTTTTAGCAAGTTTTTATGTAATGTTATTATATTTAGCTGATTAAACTTTTCTTGTTACAGACGTGCCAAATACTGGTGTAAGCAAACCTAGAGTTTCTGACGCTGTCCAGCCCAACAACTATCTCATCAGGACAGAGCCAGAACAAGGAACCCTCTATTCACCAGAACAGACATCTCTCCATGAAAGTGAGGGTCTGTTGTGTTATCTTTTAAGTACTGGATTTGCTTTTAAGATTTTATTCTTGAAAGCGAGTGTCAGAAGTGTGTATAATAAAGATATTTCTTGGTTTCATTCTTACAGGATCATTGGGTAACTCAAGAAGTTCAACACAAATGAATTCTTATTCCGACAGTGGATACCAGGAAGCAGGGAGTTTCCACAACAGCCAGAACGTGAGCAAGGCAGACAACAGACAGCAGCATTCATTCATAGGATCAACTAACAACCATGTGGTGAGGAATTCAAGAGCTGAAGGACAAACACTGGTTCAGGTAAGCCAAACGCATCAAGATCTCTGCAAAGAAATACCTTCCGGCCGGGCACAGTGGCTCATGCCTGTAATCCCAGCATTTTGGGAGGCCGAGGCGGGTGGATCACCTGAGGTCAGGAGTTCAAGACCAGCCTGCCTAACATGGCGAAACCCCGTCTCTACTAAAAATACAAAAATTAGCCGGGCGTGGTGGCGGGCGCCTGTAATCTCAGCAACTCGGGAGGCTGAGGCAGGAGAATCACTTGAGCCCAGGAGGCAGAGCTTGCAGTGAGCCGAGATCGCACCACTGCACTCCAGCCTGGGCGACAGAGCGAGACTCCGTCTCAAAACAAAAAAAAAAAAAAGGAAAAAAAAAGAAATACACTCCTAGTTGAATATCTGTTATAGGTATTTCTTATTAGAAATAAATGTGTACAATTTTTATAGAATGGATAAAATAGTAAAATCATTTTATTCTATTTGAGATACAATGTTAAATATGTTTGTTTCTATGAGTTAGCTCCCATTGATGAATTCTGATGAGTTCCTGGATACAGTAGAGTAATTCTTCTGGAAACAACAAGTTTGGCATGAGGAGAAGAGTCTAAGGGGAATGTAAGAGAGTTGAATGGAATGTTTTGGTCCCTGAGGGGTTATGAGTTCCTAAAAATACTAGGGCTAAAATATGCTATAAAAAGCTCTAGAGGGCAGGGTGCTATACCCACACCTGCATAAAATGGGATTTGCCCATTCTAACCAAAGGTTATTACCATCATCACTGGAATTATTCTCTAAAACTACATTTCTTTTCTTTTACTAGATAGAATACAGCTATTCCTGCTTAAAGAAAGTTATTGTATAGAAACATATCCATTCTGTTAAGTTAGGGTTCTCTAACTTGATAGCAAAAAATATATATTGCATGTATATTTATAAAAACTCTTCAGCTCCTTTCTCATTACCACTGTATTCACATCAGTCCACCAGCATGTCCCAGGATTCAGAGAGGCAATAGGAGTCCTGCATGGTGGTAACCAGTGAGGCTAACTATCTGTGCCAGGACCCCAAAACCCCAGTGCTTTCTTTAGAGCTGAAAAGTAGCAAGATAATCAAATAAGTTAGGAGGACACTGTGCTGCTTCTACTGCAATACAGGAAGCTCTACAGGTACACAGCAATGGGTCACGGTTCCCAACGCCCACAGAGAAACATAATACAACTTTGGCACTTTTGCTCAGCAATTCAGGAGAAATTTCAGAGTCATTTAAAACATGTTTGTATTAAACACAAATATAACATATGAATTTTTCAAGCTAAAATGGGAAATCTTGTGCATGTGGCAAGCAACTTCAGGCTGCACCCCAAGTCCTCAGATTATATATTTATTCTTTTGCTGTTGGGGATGCTTTGGTGGAAAAGTTTGAGAAGCTCTGGACTAAATGCTAATGGGAGTTCATCCGCTTAGGTGAATTTCTGTGTCAGCAGGTCTGAAATCACACTTTTCAACAGCAGTTACCTTATATCTATATAAATTTTATTGCCCTTAGTAATGATCATGTAAACACTTTTTTCTTTAAGAGTAAGTTGATTTTCTCACTAGAGCTAAAGAATTGTTTGCAAGGGGGTGTCTGAGACTTAATTTGCATGTAGTCTAGGCAACACATTTTCTAGTTGTCTGGACCAACTTATCACTTCATTTTGGTAGTTGCAAGTCATGTGGGATTTTCTTTGCATTTTGTTACCACTATTACCACCCAATCATGCTTTTTTTGTTGTTGTTCTTAATTAATAGAGACAAGGTCTCACTCTGTCACCCAGGCTGGAGTACAATATGGCAAAATCATAGCTCACTATAGTCTCAATCCCCTGGGCTCAAGCGATTTTCCTGACTCAGCCTCCTGGAGTAGCTAAGACTGCAGGCACATGCCACCATGCCCAGCTAATTTTTTTGTTTGTTTGTTTTTTGTAGAGGCTGGGCCTCACTATGTTGCCCTGGCTGGTGTCAAGCTCCTGGCCTCAAGCAATCCTCCCTCCTCAGTCTCCCAATGTGTAGGGATTATAGGTGTCAGCCACCACACCCAGCCCCAATCATGCTTGTTAACTTTCCAGCTGTCTACTAATTTTTAAACCCCATCTTTTTTGCCTTGTTGTTTACCATCCTCTTTCCTCCCCATGTCTTCTCCCCTGCTATTGCCTTCCCAAAATTGTTGAACTTGAACACACAGTGAGTTCTCACTGCAAGTGTTTCAGCCAGCCCAGTTGCATGCGACACCTGGAGGCAGAGCAGACATCCTCATATGACCCCTAAGGGTATACAAAGCCCTCATCTGATCCCTGCTTCTTTCCTTACCTCCCCACCTAAAAGTGGATGTGGGTTGATGACAACTAGACTCTAGCAGCCACTAAGGAGGTAACAGAGCAGCCTGGTCCTAGTCTTCTAACCTGGATCCCTAATGTCTTTATTTCTCAGTTGGCTCTCCTTTTTCCCATACATGTTTCCCTTGGGCCCCTTCTCCAGCCTAACCATTCCTTTTTATTGTTGCACAGCATGAAAAACAGTGTCCAGCACCTGCTGTAACTGCAGGAATCAACAGATTCAGAGTAGGATCAGCAATGGCAGAAATGTTCACTTTCCATCCTGGTCTTTTCCAGCTGTCTAGGCCAAGAACCCAAAAGAGGCTTTGACCATTCCTCCTGCTGGAATAGATTTGGGGGTGCCTTTTTTTTGCATCTCTTTAAATCCACCAATTAAAGCTAAGAACTCATAGATCAGAAGAGGTAAAAAGAAATGGCTAAAGTGAGAAGCTATGCTTGATCTAAAGGAATCAACAAATTTGCCTAGAGCACCTGTGTAGCCAAGCTGTTCCCCGAAGTAAATTCACAGTGGAGAGCGCCAGACCCACACTTGATCCAAATGTTCATTTATTCCACAATGAAAGAACATGTTCCTTTTGTTAATGGGACCAACCCATAAAGAAAAACAATGATAAATATTCCACTAGCTACATTTAGACTGATATATTCAAATTATATTCAAATTTTTGTTTTACATAAATGCATTGCCTTGGCCAAACTTTGCTTCATAGGGAATGAAGTAAGTACATTGTTCTGGTGCCCCTTCACGCTCATGAATTACATGTAACACTTAGAATAAAACATTTTATGTGCTGTGAAAAATGCATAGGCAATAGTTAAAAATGTAAAGATAAAAAAGGAGTATTAAATGTCTTCAGATCTCTTTTTACAGGTTAATTTTAGCATTTGGTTTAAACCACCAAAAAAAAAAAAAAAAACTAAAACAACTAAAGCACCGTGAGGAAAAATTAATGTCTGGCTCAAAGCATAAAAAGGAAAAGAATCTTAGATGCCTAAAATAGTGGATTCACATTCTGTAGTGAGCTATGTGTATTTCTTTTGTAATGGCAATGAACACAAAACCCTGGATAAACCCATTCTCTTTTTTCCCCCCCTTTCATCAGCCATCAGTAGCCAATCGGGCCATGAGAAGAGTTAGTTCAGTTCCATCTAGAGCACAGTCTCCTTCTTATGTTATCAGCACAGGCGTGTCTCCTTCAAGGGGGTCTCTGAGAACTTCTCTGGGTAGTGGATTTGGCTCTCCGTCAGTGACCGACCCCCGACCTCTGAACCCCAGTGCATATTCCTCCACCACATTACCTGCTGCACGGGCAGCCTCTCCGTACTCACAGAGACCCGCCTCCCCAACAGCTATACGGCGGATTGGGTCAGTCACCTCCCGGCAGACCTCCAATCCCAACGGACCAACCCCTCAATACCAAACCACCGCCAGAGTGGGGTCCCCACTGACCCTGACGGATGCACAGACTCGAGTAGCTTCCCCATCCCAAGGCCAGGTGGGGTCGTCGTCCCCCAAACGCTCAGGGATGACCGCCGTACCACAGCATCTGGGACCTTCACTGCAAAGGACTGTTCATGACATGGAGCAATTCGGACAGCAGCAGTATGACATTTATGAGAGGATGGTTCCACCCAGGCCAGACAGCCTGACAGGTGCGTACAAGGTGACAGTGCTACATAAAACCCAGTGAGGAAATCTTCTGTGTAACTTAAGTTGAAACAAAGAATGAAAAGGTGGAAAAGGCTCATTCGTGTTTTTAATCTCAGATTTTAAACTATAAACTTAAGGTTAACTTGTCTTTCAGGTTCTGTAATTCTTAATACATGAAATTATATACATTTATATCAATAGAATCCTTTTGCAATGGATATAACTCTTTTGTAATATTTTCCCACTAAATATTAGGGTTTAAAATGTGCTTTTTTTGCATTTCATAAGTATTAGTTGCAATTCTAAGCAGTTGACTAATTTTTTTTAATGAAATATTTTTTACCAGCCAGGCCTACCCCTAAACATACCCTAAAGTTATGTTAAAAGGTGGTATCAGAATATCTGTTTAAATGTTTAAATTTTTTCTTTAGAAATGCTTTGGTAATATAGACTAGACTATGAATTTTATCCCCTACTTGATTTTGGCATTTTAACGGTAAATGCACAAAGCGCTTATGAATCACTTTTACATGCCACTCCTATTAAAGCAGAAAGACACCGGGTCCCTAATACAGCTGTTCCAACTTCAGGGTTTTTCGTGGAGGGTTTCCTACATGGTGTAAAGATTTGGTTATTTTAAATAAAATGCAATTTAACTTTAGTGTTTTAAATTATATTTTAAAAGTAACATATACAGAATGGTAAAAATTAAAACTATATGGGAAAATATTGAAATAAGTGAAAGCCTTTTACCCTCACCCAGTCCCATCACAGTTGATGTGGCTTTCAGAATGTTTCTTTGCATTTACAAATATATGCAATCCATGCAAATCTGCACACACATTGTGTTTTCTATTGATGGAATTCTATCATATAGATCTTCTATACTTTGTTCTTTTCACTAACTATGTCTTAAGAGCTCTACCTCATTCTTAATAGATGCATGGGACCCATTTTTTATAGATATATCATAATTTATTTGCATTTTCCTCCTAATGGACAGTTAGGTTGTTTGTTATGTTTAGCTGTTAGAGATGATGTAGTACATACATTGTTCTCCCTGCATATTTCACATAAGTACTAGGGTAACTGGGATCCAGTAGAATTGCTGCATCAAAATATATGTGTATTTTTACTTTGAGAGATATTACGTAGAATTGCCTTCTAAGAAGGTTACACACGGATTTATATTTCTGCCAGTAGTTTGAGTGCCTGTTTGTCTATACCTTGTCTACACTGCACTAGTGCTGCATATTCCAAGTTTTTCATCTTTGCCAATCTGATAGGTAAAAAGCTGTACCTCATTGTTTTTAAGGGCTTTTATTGAGTTATGACTGAGGTTGAAGATTTAATCTGTTCATCAACGACTTTATTTCATTTTGTGAAACTACAAGTTCTTTTGTCTATTTTTATAATTCGTGAAAGCTTTTTTTTACTAGAGATAAGCTAGCACCTCGTAATATGCTTCTCAAGTATTTTTTCCATTTTGTCACTTCTTTTTATTTCATTTTGGTTTTAATTTACAAAACTGTTTAACATTCTTACATAGTAAAATTAGTATCTTTTTTATGTCTTCTAAGAAAATTTAAGCCTTTTTGAGATTTTTGTGATTGAATAATTTTGCCTGGAGAATTTATATTGAACTTGATTTTTGAGCTCAAAGAAATTCTTAGTGGAGAAACCACCTCTTTTTCATTCATCTATCCAAGAAGTGTGCTTGACTTAGATATTTTCTGAAATGCCTCTGAAAAGTATGCAGCAAAATGATGTAGGAATCATTTATGAAATTCTACCTCCCAAGGAAATCTTAGAAAATAAATAGTTCTGAGGACTTCCATATTCCCCCGTGTGTATAGAACAGCTATGTAGAAATCTCTGCTTGTAAGAGAGTAGAGAGGAGACTGGAGGAAGGAAGCCAGCATATAAATTATTGTCTCCATATTTAACCCTAAGAGGACTCATTTCCTCTGGTTTAAACAGTCTGTTTCTCTGACAATGCAGGTAAAATTAGACTTTATGTCTTGGGGGGAAAATATATATAATGTCTATTTTTTAGGCCCAGCCTCTCAGTGATTTTTTTCTAGAAATACTGCAGTGTTCTCAAGAAGCAAAGTGTTCTTGATTTCAAAGGACTAATAGCCTGCTAATTGATAAGCAATGTTTTGTACTACATTCAGGGACTTGGGTATTTGATGATCATAATTTAAATGATACAAACTACAGAAATATATATATATATACTCTAAAATGTTCATTTCAGAATAATCATGGCATGTAAAGAAAACTTTTGAGGAGATAAAGAATTGATCTTTGAAAGATAAATTTATGTTTATTTCTAATGCCATAAATATAAATATTTTTAATCACATGGAATCACCGTAATAATAGCTAAACTAATATGTTTGTGGAATTGCAAATAGAAAGTATTGGTTGGATAAATAATGCAGTGGCGTATCAGTGTTTTCCATTATTTGGAAGGGGAAGTAATGTTATTAAAAATTAATCAGTGGAAATGCTTCTGAAAAAATTATTTTTTATTTATTTTTATTTATTTTTATTTTTTTATTTTTTTTTGAGACGGAGTTTCGCTCTGTCACCAGGCTGGAGTACAGTGGCACGCTCTCGGCTCACTGCAACTTCCGCCTCCCGGGTTCAAGCGATTCTTCTGCCTCAGCCTCCCGAGTAGCTGGGACTACAGGCGCCTGCCACCATGCACGGCTAATTTTTGTATTTTTAGTAGAGACGGGTTTTCACCATGTTGGCCAGGATGTTCTCGATCTCTTGACCTCGTGATCTGCCCGCCTCAGCCTCCCAAAGTGCTGGGATTACGGGTGTGAGCCACCACACCCAGCCCTGAAAAAATTATTTCTAATACCAATTATAGAACATAATTATTTGAATTCCAGTTTCAATAATAGTAAATTATAGTGAGCTGTCTACACATATTCATTTTACTTAATCTACAGAGGCTATTTACTGTAATTTTTTAAAATGCTAATCTATAGGACTGTGTACTTGTGTTTTTAAACACACGAGCGGGTAAACAAAAATAGTTTACTACTATTTATTATGTCATTCAGAAGGATTCTTAATATCAAGAAAGTGCTACATCCCACTAAAGTTCTAAGTCTTTTATTTCCCATTATAGCCTATCACATAATAGTAATTCCAATTTACTAATGATCCTATAACGAGTGAACATCTGCTGGTTATTTTTTATATTTCTAAATGCAAAAAGCTCATTTTGTTACCTTTCTCATGAAATCATAGTCTGTGCTTACAAAACCTTTCAGATTGCATGGATTCCAGTGACGAATCCAGCCAGATACTTGTAAAATGAGAATATAACATTGTAATCGTGGTGCAGAATGCTTTGTCTTATTTCACATCCCTGTGCAGTAGTGGGAACATGAGGACTCAACCGATGTCAGAAGCATCCAGTCTTCGGCTTGGCTCTGTCCAAGTGTAAATGATCCTCAGTGTCTTGCACTGAGTCGTGAGTGTCTGTGGCTCTGTTGGGTGTTACAATAGCACCTCATAATGATAAGATTATCGAGGACTAGGTACATTCACCTGTCTGCTTTATGTCACTGTTAACAAAAACTGTGCACTTTTGTCTAAGGTATTCATGGGCTCCATAAAGAAATAGAGCTTAGACTCTGCTAAAAATGATAATAATAATGAGAAATTGGCCAGTGCCTAAAAAGCTGAAATCCTCAAAAGGGAATTTTGCAATAGCAATCACAGTGTCATCTTTAAAGTTGGTTTCCATGGCCCCCTCCTTGGTGTGCTTACCTTCCTCTTTAACCTGGTGTTTGTGGAGGGCTCTGTGGAGTTCAGACTTTTCCTCACCATGTGCCGTTGCTCCATGAGGGATAGCTGTGTCCAGTATTGGGTGTATAATGACAGAACACTGACCTGTGCTTTCCTGTCAGCTCGGCAAGGAAGTAGCTCTCTAATGGGGGCGAATCACATTTCCTTTTGGACTCTGTTTCCTCGGTTTTGAAATGAGGTTTGGCTGGATAATCTCCCAGTTATAAGATTGTATAAACCTGTGGTCTTCGTTATAGCAAGAGGGGAGCCAGTAGCTAAAACCCACATTGATTCGTTTAGTTTCTTTCCATGTCACATTGCTGTCCAGGGTAGGTAATAATCATTCACTTTAGAAGCTTTATGCATGTGTTAACTTTCTTGCCTCTCCTCACTAACCAACATGTAATTAGCACTCTTATTCAGGTCCATTTGCTTTTAGTTGTGATTTGATTAACTGAACTAACAGGATGGGAGCAATCTTTTTTTTTTTGAGACAGACTCTGTCTCTGTTGCCCAGGCTGGCGTGCAGTGGCGCGATCTCGGCTCACTGCAACCTCCCGCCCCCAGATTGAAGCAGTTCTGTGCCTCAGCCTCCCAGGTTCAAGCAATTCTCTGCCCAGCCTCAGCTGGGATTACAGGCGCCTGCCACCATGCCCAGCTAATTTTTGGATTTTTAGTAGAGTCGGGGTTTCACCACCTTGGCCAGGCTTGTCTTGAACTCCTGACCTCGTGATCTACGTGCCTCAGCCTCCCAAAGTGCTGGAATTACAGGCATGCGCCACCGTGCCTGGCCAATCTTACCTTTTTATAATTACTTACTTTGTTAATGATTTGCTATTTTTTTAAAAGCAAATATATGCTGACTGGCTTCAGATATGTTTGTCCTTTCTCTTATATTTGGGATATACCCTTAATTGATATTTTTACAAGTGACAGATTTTACTTACCAATAATGGAAGTCACAAACTTCTGAGCATCATAATATAGAAAATATTCAGTCTTTTTAAGAAATTGAAATGTTTGGGTTTGAAGTATACCTTTTTATCATGAGTCCCATGTGTAAACATTAGTTATTAGCAGTTTGAATCAAAATATTTAAAATGATTTAAGGTTCATGTACTACTAACTTTGTACTTTTTCTTTATACTAGAAAGAAGGTAAACAAGAATCTGGTATGTGAGTTCTTATAAAAACAGTTTTTGGGTTTGATTTTTTTTAAAAGAAAGGAAAAACAATGATAAATAGTATTTCATAATAATGTTAGTTCACTGATAATATTACAAAACTTATAGCACAAAACTTCCAGTGTTTTTCTGTAAAAATTATATGTGAGTTAATTGACATTTCAAAACAGCTTTTAAACATCAGCCTTTACCAAGTACATTATATAGGCGTTCTCTTAGATGTTGGGATTCAAAGAGGTGCGAGATGGTGGGCTTTGTGCCCAGAGAGAAGCTGATTGTCCACTGAATGAGACTGGCAGGTCCGCAGGATAGGAAGAGAGCAGCATGAACCACTGCTCATATAAAGCTTTTAAAGTGAAAATGATATAATAATAAGTCATTCTCTGTTTGATCAGCATCATAAAATAGCTTACTGGAGGATGAATCTCAGTGTATCAAATCATTTAATTTTTTGTTATTTTTCTTAGAAAACCTACTTTCATCCTGCTGCCAAGAGAAAGTGTTTTTGTTTGTTTGTTTGTTTGTTTGTTTTTGAGACGGCGTCTTGCTCTGTTGCCCAGGTTGGAGTGCAGTGGCGCAATCTTGGCTCACTGCAAGCTCCGCCTTCCGGGTTCACGCCATTCTCCTGCCTCAGCCTCCCGAGTAGCTGGGACTATAGGCTCCCGCCACCACGCCCGGCTAATTTTTTTTTGTATTTTTAGTAGAGACGGGGTTTCACCGTGTTAGCCAGGTTGATCTCGATCTCCTGACCTCGTGATCCACCCTCCTCGGCTTCCCAAAGTGCTGGGATTACAGGCGTGAACCACCGCGCCCGGCAGAGAAAGTTGTATTTAAAATATATATATGCAGTACTTTTCACGTGTGGCATTTCTCTTTGGTAAAACTTACTAGTTTTAGTGTTTAGACTTAACACTTGGTCCTATTGGTTAGGATTTTCTTAGTATATATCTATGTATGTATATATGTATTTATTTATTTTGAGACAGGGCCTCACCTGGTCACCCAGGCTGGAGTGCAGTGGTGTGATCATGGCTCACTGCAGCCTCGACATTCTGGGTTCAAGCAATCTTCCAGTTTCAGACTCCTGAGTAGCTGGGATCACAGACATACACCACCACACCCAACTAATTTTTTTTTTTAATTATTTTTTGTAGAGATGGGGTCTCACTCTGTTCCCAGACTGGTCTCAAATTCCTGGGCTCAAGCCATTCTCCCACCTCTGTCTCCCAAAGTGCTGGGATTACAGGGGTTAGGAATTTAATTAGGGTTTATGTTTTTAACCTCACTGTGATTGTCTCAGTTCTTAACGATGTAATTTTTGTGCCTCTAGGCTTACGGAGTTCCTATGCTAGTCAGCATAGTCAGCTTGGGCAAGACCTTCGTTCTGCCGTGTCTCCCGACTTGCACATTACTCCTATATATGAGGGGAGGACCTATTACAGCCCAGTGTACCGCAGCCCAAACCATGGAACTGTGGAGCTCCAAGGATCGCAGACGGCGTTGTATCGCACAGGTTCAGGTGGGCATCAACTCTGTTTACTGGTTTCCTGATTTCATAGGCCCCACAGTAGAAGTGTTTTATTGAGATTGGGTTCCCTGTTAGAAGGAAATCATGTTGCCCATTTGGTTGTCAGATAAGCAGCTGTGACAGCAGATCAATAAGCAATAAAACAGGTTCATTTAGTACCTATTTATAGGTGATATATTTTTACCTTAGTACATTCTAATCAATGAACATAGTGATTATACTGTTAATTCAGGAATAAGTTTGTAAAACTGTAAATCTGACTCTCCTCGGGTTAGATGCATATTCAGTATCAAAAGGAAAGCCTTGTTGGAATATTTCTTTGTAATTCTTTTGCCAAACAAGTTTTTGGAGAAAATCCATACATGAGTTACTTGGCCATCTTTGATTTAGCAAGCATGAAGCCCAAGTGTATTTGGCATTACTCCTTTTTTAATGTTGGATGTTCTCTGAATAGTTAAATGTAGAATGTAAAATAGATACCCCTTGCAATGGACTCAAACTGGTACAGGATTCAATAGCGACATTTATAAAAGCAGGGAGCTGGAGCATCACACCCTTGTACCGCCAGTCCTCATGTTTATGCCATACCATCAAGGCTCATACAGCAGATGCTGTAGCCCATGGTGGTGTGAGCTGCCAGGTTGTGCTGCACGGCTAGCTCATGGAGTCTCAAGACTACTTTTTTTTTTTTAGTAAGTATCACAAATTTATTAACATGCTTACAAATGAACCCTAGGTAGCAATAATAACCCCTCAAAGGTACAACTCTAGAACACCAGAGTGGGGAAGACTGTATCTGAATTTGTTCTTTGCAGGAAACTGACAGTTTGATCCACTGAGGGATTTATCTTCTAATAAAATGTACCATTTCTAATAGACATTAATAAAGAAATATTTCGCTTTTCCTTATGTCTGTAAATTGAGGAATTCCTTTAATAAGACTAAGAAATAGATATTGTTTAAAATCTTTTTAATTGCAGGAAGATATGTACACAGTTACTGGAGGGATACCCACTGACATAATTAGTAAAGTCATTTTAAATACAGTGTAGAGTATCTTTGTAATAGCATCATACAGTAATTTAGGGGAGTAGCTGTAGAATCATTTGATATATCAGTCTTCTTTCCCTCTTGTGAAGTAGATTTTCCAGTGTTATTACAATCCACAGGTCTAGAAATAAAATGTATAATAGTCTGTCTATATCCATGGAGAATACGTTCCAAAACCATCAGTGGATGCCTGAAATGGCAGATGGTACTGAACCCTGTATATACTATGTGTTTTCCTATACATTCATTCATGTGATAAAGTTTAATTTATAAATCAGGCACAGTAAGAGATTAACAACAATAACAAAGAATGAAATAGAACAATTAAGTAAAATAAGGGTTGTTTAAACACAAGCACTGCAGTACTGAGACAGTAAATCTAATAGTCAAGACAGCTGCTAAGTGACTAACAGACTAGTAGCATCTATAGCATGGGTACACTGGACAAAGGGATTATTCACGTCCCAGTGGGATCACAGCTGAATGGCACAGATTTCATCATGTTACTCAGAATGGTGTGCAATTTAAAACTTATGAATTACTTGTTTCTGGAATTTTCCATTTGATATTTTTGGACAATTGACCACGGGTAACTGAAACCATGGAAAGCAAAACCAAAAGATAAGGATGGACTACTGTAGAATAAAATAAGTAACCTGGGTACACGAAGTGTTAAAATTTTGATGGTTTTAATTACTTACAAATTTGAATAAATATCTTGTTTTTACCACTAGAATGAAATTAATAAATTTTGCTATTTTATCATTTATCTCTAAGATTCTTATATTTCTCTCAGTTTTGTTACTGAACCTCAATGAACATACTATATAAGCAGATTTGTAGTTTCACTTTTGCTGTTTCTTGCTAAAAAATTAACAAAATATTTATGTACATTAAAAACTTAAGTACCCTTTTTAGCACTAATAAGGTAGAATTTTAAAATCTAAAAGTAAGCGATTTATATAATTGCCAAAAAATATAGTCCTTAAAATTAAAAATGTTTTACCTTTAATTAAAGTGTGATCTCATGGAGAACATACTAATCTTTTTCAAAATGTTGACTTTCTAGTAGGTATTGGAAATCTACAAAGGACATCCAGCCAACGAAGTACCCTTACATACCAAAGAAATAATTATGCTCTGAACACAACAGCTACCTACGCGGAGCCCTACAGGCCTATACAATACCGAGTGCAAGAGTGCAATTATAACAGGCTTCAGCATGCAGTGCCGGCTGATGATGGCACCACAAGATCCCCATCAATAGACAGCATTCAGAAGGACCCCAGGCGAGTACCAGTTAGGAGTCTCTAGAAGGCTACAGTATTGCAGGAGTCAGCCAGTTCCTCCATTTTGACTTTTTTAAGTTGCTAAGTCTATTATACTATCATTATACTATCATTAATTCCATATATATTAATACTTCCAGTTGTATTCCAGCTATATAGGTCATTGAGGTTAATTTCATTTTAAAGATAGATTCCTTCTTTCCATCCTTTCATAATAAGTTAGAGAAGGCACAGATCCATGGGAATATCTGCAGCATTCATCACTGAAATATTTCATCAAGACAACAACCTGGAATAGCCTCTTGGAATTAAACAAGGCTTTGAAAGATCAATTTACCCTTTGCCCTTATCCTGACCGACTTCTTCGATAACAGCTTCAAAAAATGGATTTGGTTATTACAAACTAGAGAAAGACCCGTGTTACATGTTTTCAATCATAGTGGTCAACAATATATAACGCTGTTATTAACCAGGTCCTTTGAAAACAATTTGTGACATTTAGGAGAAGACAGTCTTTATAAGAAATTCTATCTAATAAGCAAAAAGTGTTTGGCAAATCATAGACGTTTCCTCCTTCTGATTTTATTTGGCCCTGTAGACAGCATTTTTATTAAGATAATATGAGTCATTTAATACTTGATTGATTTTGAAAAACTGACCTTGTCCTTAAAGCCATTTAAAATATTCAGGAAATAAAGATATTTTGAAACTAAAAGAATTTTCATTTCTGAAAGAGTGAAATTGTTGCTAAATTTTAAGCGCTTTAGTGTTATTTTAAGGCATGTATGCAAGATTTCATTCACTCTTCGCCCACAAATAGTTGCTTCACTGGAAAATTGTTATAATTATCAATTCATTTTTAGCAGCCTACCAACTTGTTTTAATGAATGTGAATTAAAATGATGAGTGAGGTTTTGGTCATTAAAACAAAATGACTAAAGATACCTTAAAGTTGAGTGGGAAATCCACTGCTTCACTAAAACCGCTTCACTTATTCACTTCTATTCCTGAAATTCTTTAAGCTATATAAATGCATTTGGTTCTGCTACTCCTGGTTTGCCACCTTTTTGTCATTTTTAAGGAGTTTCAAAAATAACTTGTCTAATAACACCTACAGCTTGTCAGAGATACTCTTACTGATTTTGTTTTTTCAAATCCTCAAAATGACAAAGACCTAAGGCACCCAAATAGATGCAGAAATTCCCAAAAGAGTTTTGAATTGTAGGTAATTTAGACCATCCCTTGGCTGGACCTGAAGAGAAAATAATAGCTACCTAGAAAGGCAGTGAAATGTGATGAGAACTTTGAGTTTAATATGTGTCCCTGAAGACTTCAGTTTTGACCTCTAATGTGAGTTGATTCTCTATAAACAAGGACTTCATGTATGATAATATACCTCAGCTATTCATAGTGTGATAATTTCATAGTCTAATGCATAAAACTGATGGCTGTCTTTGATTATGTGAAACTTTACTGATAATGCATTTCGTAAGGTGAATAAGTGATTATTTGGTAGGTGCATTTATTCTAGCTAAAACTGGAATTCAGGTGACTTTGAAGTTTGAATATTTAAACCAAAATTAAAAGCTCATGACAACTGTTAATTTTTAGTTTTGAAAATAGCAATTTGAAGTAATTCACTACAAGTTTTATTCA
This sequence comes from Homo sapiens, assembly GCF_000001405.40. Taxonomy (NCBI): domain Eukaryota; kingdom Metazoa; phylum Chordata; class Mammalia; order Primates; family Hominidae; genus Homo; species Homo sapiens. The sequence goes on from NC_000002.12 coordinate 158,635,946, forward strand.
CTTGTAAGCCTTTATTATTAATGCTACATTACAGTTGGCCTGAAAAATTCTCTTTAAGACTGAGGAAGTTATTGATCTTTACTGTATAAAAGGAAATCTGTGAGTTTTTTTATAGTTGTCTACTTGGAAACCATATTTATTAATAACATCAATGATGCTTCTGAAAGGAGTAACGTAAAAGACTTCCTGTGTATTCACGTTTCCATCTCAACTCATTTCCCTTTGGCCTAAAGAACTTCCTTTAGCCTTTCTTGTCTTGCATTTCTGCTTGTAACAAATTCTCTCAGCTTTAGTTTATCTGAAAATATTTCACTTGTTTTTTTAAAGGATTTTTTTTTTGCTAGATATATAATTCAGGATTTACAGGTGTGCATTTTTTTCTTTCTGTATTTTAAAAGATGTCATTCATTGTCTTCAGATCTCCGTTGTTTCTGTTGATAAGGCAGACATCATGTGCATTCTTCTCATTATGTAATGTGTCTTTTCTTTGGCTGCTTTTCAGATTTTTCTCTAGCTTTCAGCTGTTTTATTCTGGTGAGCCTAAGTATAATTTTCTTTGCATTTAACCTGCTTAGGGTTCACTGAGATTCTTGGAATGTAGGTTGATGTTTTTGTCAAAATTGGGAAATTTTCAGCCATTAATTCTTTAAGTTTTTTTTTCTGCCCCAAACTCTCTTTTCTCCTTCTAGGACTTGAATTAAACACATAGGATCACTTTATTATTTTGCAGATTACTGAATCTGTCTTCATTTTTTAAATCTTTTTTCCCTGTATTCTTGTAATCAGAAATTTTTATTAATGCCTTCAAATTTAGTGTTCTTTGTCCTATAGACTACAATCTATTGTGAAGCCCTTGCAAATTTGTTTTTATTTCCAATCCTTGAATTTGGTTCCTTTTATATATTCCATGTTCCTATGAGATTCTCCATCTCTTCACTCCTTATATACATCTTTTTCTTTAAGTCTTTGACACATTTATCATAACCATTTAAAATATTTCCTCTGATAAGTTCAACATCTGGGGTGAGTCTGGGTCTGTTTCTATTGGTTGCCTTTTTTACATATTTATAAGTCATATGTTTCTGTTTCTTCTCATGTTTAGTCATTTTAAATTATATACTGACGGTTGTAGATGATACATTATAGGGAATCTGGATTAAGTTGTCTCCTGTTAGGGTGCTGAGTTTTGTTGTGGCAGAGAACTAAATTACTGGCAGATCCTTTCAATCCCATCAAGATTGGTTTTGTTCATTGTTAGGTCTAGTTCATATTTCTTTTAAGCCTTAGAACATGATCCTTACCCCTAAAACTTGGCCTTTGTGGAGTCTTGACTAAATTCCCAAGGTGTTCAGTGAGGTCTGCACTCTGACTAGGCTGGGAGTCCACATCACGTGGTACCTGTTCAGCCTTGAGCCGTGCAGCAGCCACTTTCCACCAGACCTGTGCATGTGCCCTACAGCTCAGGGTACAACTAAGGACTTCGGATAGTCCACACGCAAACCCGGAGAATCACCTCTGCTTAGCTCCCTTGTCTCCAGTACTCTGCCTTGCACATTCTAACCACTTTGGCACCCACAAATTCCACTCGCTCCCTGCCTCAGCTCACTAAATCCCTCACATACTACTTGGCCTCAGCTTCCTGTGTCTTGGTCCAGAAAGTGCCCTCAGGCAGAAAGCCAAGTAAACATGGGACTCGTGGATGTTTCCCTCCTCTCAAGGATTATATTCTTGTGTTGCCTGTTTTCGAGGGTCTAAAAACAGTTTTCTCCTACATTTAGCTAAATTCACTTTTATAATTGTTTATGGTGGGAGGGCGAAATCCAGTACGAGTTACTCTATCATGGCTGGAAACAGAAGTCTGGGCTTAGGTTATACTGAAGCAAATCCTGGCAGGCATTGATGCCATCCAGCCAGCCTACAAATTGATAGCAGTTTTTCGAGGGTAAATTTCTACTGAATTTTCATCGAGGTTGGAGTTGAAGCCAAGCAAGCCTAATTGCCCAGCTCTGGCAGGAGCCCACCCTCGGGGCTGTCTGGCCCTCATGGCACCGGGGATGTCAGGAAATCTTGACCCTCAGTGTCCCATTTAAAGAGGACAAAAATGTGTATTTGTAATGATTGTGAGTCATCAAAGAAAGAGTAAATCACACTCCTTGCACTCTGTTAATTACAACAGAGATTTACATAATAGGCTTTAGACAGATTTTCTGAGAAACGATTGATAACAGTTTCAATATATAAAAGGAAAACTATTTGTTACCAGGAATTCATCTATTTAGAATAGCTCATTTTTTAGGGATGATGAATATTAATAAAACATCTGTGTCAGAAGTAAAAGTATATAAAATATTTTAGTATTCATCATCATATTTAATCATCACAACCAACCAGTGAAGATTGAAATATTAGTTTCATTGATCTTGTTTTACAGTTGAGGAAACTGAAGCTCCAAATAATTAATTGGTTTTCAAAATCACACAGAAATGGAAGGACCCAAGACTGAAACCCAGGCAATCTAACTCCATATTCTGTGCTTTTTCTGCTGTTATCCTGCCTCCCTTGGCATTTGCTGTATTCTTAATGGCTGTTAGTGACATCACCCTCCAGCCTGTTCACCAAGCCAGAAACTCCATCTCACACCTGACTTCAGTTTTTAGATCATCTGGCTGCTGTATAAAGAATGGATTGGGGGTGCAGGTGGGGTGAGGGGATAATATTAGAAGCAGAGAGAACATGTAGGAAACTGTTAGACTCTTCTGGGCAAAATGGAGAAAATGAATGGATTTGGTATATGTTAAATATTTTGTAGATAGTCAACAGAACTTGCTGATGGATTCCATGAGGGAAGATGAAGAAAAGAGAGGAATCAAAGAGAAGTCTATTTCGTTTCAAGCAGATGTATAGATTCCTGTGCAGATAGTGGGTAATCTGCATGACACCCATCTTTTTGTATTCTAGGGCATTCTTTCCTTGGCCACTAGAGTTATCGTCTGTATAAATGTGACTATGTCACATCCTCTTACTCTCCTGCTTCACAGCCTTCATTCCTTATGTGTAGGCACACATATAGACCACCTGGGTTTCACTAACCTCTATCACTAATTACTAATCCTGAGTTCCTTATCTGTATCTAATGTTATTTTAATAGTGCTTACCTCATGAGGCAACAGTAAAGGTAAATGAGATAATGAAGGTAAAGTTCTTGGCACAAAGCCTGATATAAGTAAACTCAATAAAGGATAACTCCTGTTATTGGTATTAAGACTAAACTTTTTAGTTTGGCAGAGAAGACCCTGTAAATAGAATCGTATCTTACCAATATTTGTATCTCCAGCACCATAGCACAGTAAGAATTCACTAACTGAACGCATGAGGGGTGTGTGTGTGTGTGTGTGTGCGTGCGTGTGTGTTTGCGTGTGTGCACACAGGTGTGGGATGACATGCCCCTTTGCAGGGGTCTAACAAGTTAATACATGGAGACTTCCCAGATCAAGAGAGACTCTAAGGCTTCAAAAACCAGGCAGGAGAATTATCACTCGGTCATTAATTTTAAAGATAATTTTAAAGGTTTACTCAGTATGAATTCTTTTTTTTAATAAACAACTAACTTTATCCTGTAATCAGAGTCTGCATATTTGTTGTTCTGTGAACCATTTTCTAACAATCTGCTTTTCACATAATATAAGCACAAACTCACATTTAACAAGAATTCCAAACAGTACACCAATCAGATGACATTAGAAAATCCTGAAAATGGATGTTAGCTGAAAAAAAGGAAAGTATAAAAGTATATATACATAGCATGATTATGTATTCATTGTTCAAAAAAATGGTATAGCATAGTGTTGGAGGGCACAGACTCTGAAGGCAGGGTACCGCTTCGCAGTTTACAGCCACGTGGCCAGGCGCATGGCCTTTCTGCCTCAACTTCCGTTTCTCTAAGGTTGCCGTAAGAATAAATTAATAAATATATATAAAATGCCTGGAATAGTGCCTGACACAGGATAGGGGTTTATGAAATATTAACTACTATTTAATAATAACCCAGTTTTATGGAAAAAATTCCAAACTCACACATGTGTGCACATTTGCACACATATATAGAAAAACAGGAAATGTCAGCAGTAATCCTGAATATAGGATGACTGGTCAAATACTTGTTTATAGTTTTCTGTGTTTCTGTGTTATACTCAAGAGCAACCATAAACATTGTTTCTTAAAAATCCTCAGGCCCACAATGTTTGTGATTTCTAGGCTGACGCCAGCCCTGTCTGTTCCCACCAGCCCTTCCTCTCCCTTCAGGCATGACATCTCACTTCGCTACAGTGCACGTGTTTACCTGAGCCTTGCACCTGCAGATTTCTTACATAGGTAGAAAGACATAAAATTAGAATCAGGAGGAGGAACACGAGAGTGGAAGTTACTTATATTAAGAATTTTCTTTGTTCCCCTGAATCTCTTTCTGTGCATCTGTGCGTCATGATTTCCTTAAGATCATAAGCATCTGGGCCTCTGCATATGTTCATCAGGGGGAAAAATTATTTAGGTATGTATTTTTTAGGATTTTTGTAACTTCCCATTTTTGTCTCAGCTGAGCTTTTTTTCCTTATACCAAGTGTTTTTTTCAGTGTATTTTTACAACATGGGCCTTCCTTTCTGAAGCCATGTTTTTCTCATGTAGGGAGTTTGCCTGGCGTGATCCTGAGTTGCCTGAGGTCATTCACATGCTTCAGCACCAGTTCCCATCTGTTCAGGCAAATGCAGCGGCCTACCTGCAGCACCTGTGCTTTGGTGACAACAAAGTGAAGATGGAGGTACAGGACATGGTGCCTGGGATGACTGGGGAAAATAATGCCTTTGCATTTAACAGCCACGTGCTTCTGTATTTAAGAAATTACCCAGTGTAATTCAAGAGTCTTTTTAAAGGGATATTTTGATACCAGATACTCTTTCACTTAACTATGCATTTCAGTATCTCTCAGGAAAAACTAGGATACATATATTTCTTGGAGTGCTTTCAGCATTTTCAAATCGTATGTCTACTTCATTAGCTTATTTATAAAACCATGAAGCAAAAATCAATTTAACTTGCATTTAAAAAATATTTTAGGCCAGGCACAGTGGCTCATGCCTATAATCTCAGCACTTTGGGAGACAGAGGCTGGCAGATCACCTGAGGTCCGGAATTCAAGACCAGCCTGGCCAACATGGTGAAATCCCTTCTCTACTAAAAACACAAAAATTAGCTGGACATGGTGGTGCATGGCCTGTAATCCCCGCTACTCAGAAGGCTGAGGCGGGAGAATCACTTGAACCTGGGAGAAGGAGGTTGCAGTGAGCCGAGATCAAGCCACTGCACTACAGCCTAGGAGCGAGACTCTGTCTCAAAAAAAAAAAAAATTATTAGGTTAAAAATTATAGTATTCATTGAACTAGTGAGCCAATGTGTTTTATGGGATTCTAGTCAGATTGGTGCCAACTATAAATAAGTTATAGAGGATTATAACCATCACTAAGGCTGAACATACATGAATATTTTATTTCAGGGTTTTTTTGGTATTTATAGAAACATAGCAAGTTACTGGTTATTGGCTATAATTCTATATAACATATAGATTCTTTCTTTAACGTTTCAAGCCTTCTTCTGACCCACTGTGTTATATAAAACTGAAGTGTTTTTCATCATTTTAATGTGCATAACAGTATACCAGTTCCAGACCTAAAAGTGAATGTAGTACATAAAGCCCAGAAATACTCAAATAATGTACTAATGAATTGACAAATGGAAGAAAATTTAAGGAGAGTAGCCTAGAGAACTCATTCTAGAAACTAAATAACTTAAGTCAAAAATTATTTCCTATATTGCCTCAAGCCCTGCAGATAGCTTTGCTATGTTTGTGTATTTGCACATTGCACTGCTGGAGTGAAAGCACAATTCTTGATGTGTGTTCTGAGGCTTGGAGGAGGACTGTGCTGCCTGCCGATGGACATTAAACCACTTAAATCTCCTATCTTTTTTTGAAGCCATGAACCCAGGAAAAGTATCATCTACAAGAGTGTCCTTAGAATTCTGTTTTTTTGGTGGGGGGTGGGGGGCACAGAGTCTCACTCTGTTGCCCAGGCTGGAGTGCAGTGGTGCAATCTTGGCTCACTGCAACCTCCACCTCCCAGGTTCCAGCGATTCTTGTGCCTCAGCCTTCCAAGTAGTTGGGATTACAGGCGTGTGCCTCAACACCCAGCTAAGTTTTCTCTATTTTTAGTAGAGACGGGGTTTCATCATGTTGGCCAGGCTGGTCTTGAACTCCTGACCTCAAGTGATCCGCCCATCTTGGCCTCCCAATGTGCTGAGATTACAGGCATGAGCCACCGCACCTGGCCTCTCCTTAGAATGTATAAAAGTTGTCTTATTTGGAATAAAAAGTAACCTTTGAAATGGTCTAGAGATATCCACATCCTGTGATCTCTCCATAACGGACTTCTGTATGATCACTGATTAATTGCATGTTACTTAGGCCTGGTACCTAATATTTTTCATTCTAGGTGTGTAGGTTAGGGGGAATCAAGCATCTGGTTGACCTTCTGGACCACAGAGTTTTGGAAGTTCAGAAGAATGCTTGTGGTGCCCTTCGAAACCTCGTTTTTGGCAAGTCTACAGATGAAAATAAAATAGCAATGAAGAATGTTGGTGGGATACCTGCCTTGTTGCGACTGTTGAGAAAATCTATTGATGCAGAAGTAAGGGAGCTTGTTACAGGTAGGTATAGAATGTGATCTCGTCCTAGAGGAAATGTTGAAAACAGTCTGGACTGTGCCCTTGTATAGTGGCACTATGGAAGAGTTGGAGGTTCCAGGTAATAGATAATGAGATATATATAGTGCTCACAACTGTGAAGGCTGAGAATTATTTAGTCTAATGAGTCAGAAACCGTTTAGAATGCAGTCATCTCTATTAGTATAAGTTATTGTACTTATTAATTTGTAAATATCAGCTAACAGATGTCTTTTTCATGGAGGACTAAATATGACATTTTTTACATGTATTTCATAGTAAATCTAGTTGTATTAAATAGACTATCCTATATTATGAAAATAAAATATACTTAATGGATTGGCAGTCTTTTACGTTAGCTCAGCTGGTGTCTGAGTGCCTGTTTGTATTCCCACGTACTTTACTAGGCCCCAGGGATAGAAAGATGAATAAAACTCAGTGCCTGCGCTTAAGTCACCCTCAGATTGGTGAGGAACACAGGTGGTTTTGTGAGCGTCAGGGAAATGTGGCAAGTCTCACTCAACAGAGGTTGCATTGGGCACAGAGGATGGGTAACGAAGTTCCCTGGGTGACATGAAACTGAAGTTGGCCTAAGGGATGAGGAAGCATTGGCTGGATAGGCAGAGGTCTTTCTAGTTACAAGCTCCGAAACAGCATGGGATATAGTTCTGGAGCTACCAGCAAGAGGGGGCTGCTGTGTTAAAACCTCGTGAGGGCCAAGTGTGGTAGCTCACACCTGTAATCGCAACACTTTGGGAGACCGAGGCAAGAGGGTCACTTGAGGCCAGGAGTCCAAGACCAACCTGGGCAACACAGGGAGACCACATCTCTACAAAAAATAAAAATAAGTAGCTGGATGTGGTGGCACATGCCTGTGGTTCCAGGTACTTGGGAGTCTGAAGTAGGGGGATCACTTAAGCCCAGGAGGTTGAGGCTGCACAGTGAGCCATGATCACACCACTGCACTCCAGCCTGGATGACAAGTGAGGCCCTGTTTCAAAAAAAAAAAAAAAAGAAAAGAAAACAAGGCCAGAGAGAGATAGAGTCTTCATTTAGGGAACTGTTTTTTTAGACGGAGTCTTGCTCTGTCACCCAGGCTGGGATGCAATGGCATGATCTGAGCTCACTGCAACCTCTGCCTCCCGGGTTCAAGCGATTCTCTCGCCTCAGCCTCCTGAGTAACTGGGATTACACACACGCGCCACCAAACCCAGCTAATTTTTGTATTTTTAGTAGAGATGGAGTCTCACCATGTTGGCCAGACTGGTCTCCAACTTCTGACCTCAGGTGATCCGCCCGCCTCAGCCTCTCAAAGTGCTGAGATTACAGGTGTGAGCCACTGCACCCCGCCCATTTAGGGAACTTTTATAAGGAACTTAATTGTGTCCCACATGCAGTAGGGACACTGGGGTATGGCATGGCCAGTTTAGGCCTTTAAATGCGTTCTTCCAGCAGGCAGCAGGGTAGAGGATTGATATGAAGTGGGAGAGCGTGGGAGGCCTATGAACAGACCAACAGTCTACTGATAACAGCTTGAACTATTTTAATGATGAAAAGGAAGAGTGGGGTGGAGCAGTCAGAGAAATATTTTGTGGTCTGGGCATGATGGTCGGAAGTGCGGAGTGAGAGAGAGGGAGAAGTGAGTAATGCCTGGATGTTGCAGTGCTAGTGGCTGGATTCAAGGATACTTGAGATTGAGCTGGAAGAATGGTTCTGCAGGAGGACACATTGATGACAGCATTGCTTGTAATAATAATTCAGGGAAAATACTAAGAGTTCATTGACAAAAGAATGGTTACATCAATGGCAGTACTCTCACACAGTGAAACCACATACAGCAGTTAAAATAAGCACAGTAGAATACACATAACAGATACATGCAGCTTTAGAAATACTTGCAGAATGATAACTACAGAGTAATACTATTTGAATAAAGTTTTTAAATATGTAGATTGATGTGGATATATGCACATGCAATAAAGTTAAAATTTCTAATTGGAATAATAAAAATAGATTCAGGATAGGGGTTACCTCTGTGAAGAGGAAGGAGGAAAATGGGACTGGGGGTTGTATTCCACCTCTGTTTCTTTAGAGAACTCTGAAATACATAAGACAAAATGTTAATATTTGACAAAGCTGGCATACCTGGGTGTTTGTTTTATATTTTCTTTGCCTTTTTTCATGCTTGAGATATTTAATTTAAAATTTTAAAACAACATTTCTTCAAAATTAATTTCATTCCCCCCAGGTTTCCACTGTGAAATCAGAGTTGTAGTTTCTGTAACACTTGGGAATGAATAAACTATCCTGCATCCAATATTTAAGGGGAATCAACTTTCTCATAAGATATTAATGTTCAAAATACAACATTAATATTCCCTTGTACTCTAAATAAAATACCAAAAGTAGAATATACGTTACAAATAATCATAAATCTGGAATGGACCATCTGCCTTAATGTATTTTGACTATTAATGCTTTAGCGCTTCTAAATTAGTACTCCCACTTTCTAAAATGCTTTTGAGGCATCTCACCAAAAAACAAATTATAATTATTTTTGTTTACGTGTACATGTAGATATAAAATGAAAATTAGAGCAAGCTAAACAGAATTAAGAAAAAATAAAAATGTAGCTATGTTCATCCTAGAAGTCAACACAGTCACTGTGATTACGCCCACAAATTTACCCTGAGCCTACTGTTAGGGAGGCATAGAGGAGACAGAATCATTTGCATTACATGAGTGCTTTCCTGCTTTGTCTGATGTTTCTCTTCCCATCACTTTGAACTTCCTGTGTCATGTCCAGTTGTCTTCCCATAGTAACACCGTGCAGCCAGGAGGGCTGCAGTCCATCGTGTGCGCTACTCCCTGAGAGAGCAGTGGCGATCCAGGGACAAATGACATGGAAAACACAGCTTCTCCTCAAATTTAACTAGCCAGATTCATCATGACTCGATCCTTACATCCTTAATGTGAAGCTTTTTCCTGCTCTTCTGTCCTCTCATAGGAGGAATGAGTCTTTTCTGAATTTCTGTTTGAGTTTTTTCCTTGGGAGAGACTATTACAGTGCCTTTCCTGAGCTGAGCTCAAGGAATTTGTAAGATTTAGTGTTAAACAGGAAGAAAAGTACATGATTGTGTGCTCTTTTTTTGTTTACATTTAAAAATAAGTCAAAATTACTTTAAGTAGAGCCCGACTTTACTACCAAGGGCTTTTATGTACTAGGTTACCTGGAGCACACTCTGGAATTGAGTGCTAATTTAGATGATTTCCTCCTTATTTTATAGAGAACATAAGATGTTTTAAGACATGGACCTTGGCCTTGAAAAGAGGATATAAGTGTTTTCTAATTCAGAAAGAGCTGTTTTCCTAATAGATCATATCAATCACTTCTAATGTAAAACTAAGAAGTACCTCTGATATTTGTCTTGAAAATATCTGCCGGTAGCTTTTAGGCTATAAGAAACAATTTTTTGCCATACTTATAGAGTAGGAGACATTAAGAATTGCTTTATAACTATATACTGTTACCACTAATCCTTTATTTTGACATGTGGACTGATTATCAAATGTTTTCTTCAAAACATTGAAATGAGAGTGGTCAGTGGGTAAACACTTCATGCAATTGCCATAAGTAAAGTAGGTTGGACCAGAAGACTTCAGAAATGAGTTCCCAGTTCAAAAAGCCAAATGGCAGCTGTGTTTGATTTATACCTAAACATTGTCTAACTAACATGAAACAAGTCACAATATAAATCTAGCATAGTTGCTTTTTTTGTGTGTGTACATGTATTTATAGTCTAAGCTTTATAGAGACAGCAAAATTGCTCACATTTCCCAGTCCTACAATTTAGTGGTACCAATCTTAACTGATGTTCAGTAATATTTTAAGGGTGATTGATCCTTGATACATATTAAAGCATGAAAACATCAAAAAATGCTTGAACTCTTCTTTCTTCTTTCATTAAATCTTCCTCACATCAAATGCTCAAGCCGTCTTTAATTGTAGCACAGGGTTGGGGGAGACCTCAGAACTCATTTTGTTCAGTCATCCATCCAGTGCATGAATCTCCTGTACAGTTTCCATACAAAGTAGCCGCCATCACATGCATGAACCCACAGCACAGGAAGCTCATTACCTGGTGGGGTTAAGTCTGGACAACAAGGTTATCCAGAAAGCAGCAAGAAGTTATCTGATATAACTTGAAAAGGCAAAAAATACAGACCCTCAGGAGGTCATTTTTGCATAGGAATGGCCCTACAAAAAGACCAGTTCCACCCTAGATCCAGCCACCAGCACTCCTAACCAAGGAAGTAAGCCCCCAGTCTGAACTGTCGTTAAAGCACGTCTGCTCTGAACTCAGGCTGAAGGTGCTGTGTGACCGTGTCACCCAGCATTCCCCATCAGGTGCCCATCTCCTATAAAGTCCCCTTTGAAAACAGAACATTAGCCTTAGATTTTAGTGTTCTGCTAGTATCATTCACAAATACCATGGCTAGCCTTGCACGGTGCTTGGCCTTTGTAGGTACGGTCCACACATTCCTAAGTGAAAATTATAGTCAACTTAGGATCATGAGATGTTAAAATACAGTGAACCATTGTGTTCCAAATATTATATAATTTGAAGAAACTACTATGCCCTTGAAACTAGGAATTCTTTGATTCTTAATATTAAGTAATTCAACCCAGTTATTAATCCAGTCTTTTTTTCTAGTTCCCTTTGTTTCAGTTTGGCAGTTTTTACTGTACTTAAGTGGAGAAATTTTAGCTGTTTTTTATAAAGATGCCTTGCCTTTGCTTTAAACACAATAACTGCCCAGGGCCTATATTTTTGGCCACATCTTTATTTTCAGAGGGAAAAAAGGACTTTTCTTCAAATGTATTTTCCCAAGACAATATGGCTGTCATTGTTAATTAAAATGGTTCTCTAGTATGTAACATGATTCTTGTGTTTTCCTCATTGTGTTGAACATTTTCCAGTTGAAACCTAATGAGCTTTTCTTTTAGTAAGTGCTGATATATGTGAGTGCTTAGGGTAATTTTTCTTTTATTCCAAAAGTATTTTTTGCTGTTGTTGTACTTAAACTTGAAAGCTGGATGAAGTATGGTTGTTCCCCAGTTTGGTTATAAAATGAATGTCTGCTAGGCCACAAAGTATGGAGGACAGATGGGAACATCTTGTCACTAAAAAAGATATGTTGAACTCATTTGTTCAAAATAATTAAATAGTGTTTCTAAGCTAGGAAACATGAGTTTCAAGTTATTGAGCCTCCTGAAAACATCATTTTTTAAAACTATAGACATTGAAGATATTGCACAAATCTGGAGGCCTGCTTTTTAATGTACGTACCAGATGTCCCCAACTGTCACACTTCTATTACCCTCTTAAATACCAAAAAGTAGCCTTTGTTCTTCGGTAATAATAGACTTTGTTCATATGACTGCTACATGTACATTTCTTCCAATTTAGTAAGTGATTATTCATCCATATAGCTAAGTAAAATATTTCCACTGTTTATTGTGAAATGTTTGGATGCCAGCAATGGATTCCAGACACTGCAGAACATGAAATGAAGTGTATTGTTTTCCTGATCATTAGCTCCATATTTTTAATTCGATGATAAATTAATAAGAAAATAATAGTTGTAACTAAGGAAGGGTAGATGGGCCAGGCTAAGGTTTAACAAAGGGCAGAACAGTCTGGCAAGAATTAGTCTTATATACTATAAAAAGCAGGAGCTTAGTGGACATGCCTTTTGGACGATTACTTGCCGTTACAGGATGAAAACAGTTTACGAAGCATGTCCCCTTAGCCTAATTAATATGCCTTCAAAACAGGTCATTTATGCTCTGGTCCAGAGAGGAGTCAGTCCTACTGTTATGGGCCACTAGGGCTGTTAGAAGCTATGTGGGTCATTTTTAGAAATCTAGCAACATCTCCTCCCAATTCCCAGCCCAAATCAGTAAGGATCCATGTCACTTGGTCCACTTTATAAAACATAGCTGGGTGCAGTGGCTCACACCTGTAATCCCCACACTTTGGGAGGCCAAGGAAGGCAAATCACTCGAGGTCAGGAGTTCAAGACCAGCCAGGCCAACATGGTGAAACCCCATCTCTACTAAAAATACAAAAATTAGCCAGGTGTGGTGGCACATGCCTGTAATCCAGCTACTAGAGAGTCTGAGGCAGGAAAATCGCTTGAGCCTGAAAGGCGGATGTTGCAGCGAGTCGACATCGCGCCACTGCACTCCAGCCTGGGCGACAGAGACTCTGTCTCAAAAAAATAAATGAAACAATCACAACAGAAACATTCCCTTATTCACTGAACATTTCAAACCCTGAAAATGTGTAATGAGAAATGACAAATTTTTAAAAGTTTAATTACTAAGAAGACAAAAAATGTCTATTATGAATAGACCAATTCTCAATTGGTAGAGAACTTTGAACTGGAAAGAACCCTAAAGAAATCTCCTGTCTACCCCTGTTATTACAGATTAGAAACCGAAGTCCAGGAAGGTTGAGCAGGCAAGTCTCCAGGCTGAGTTCCTGATGTCCAGGCTGGAGGTGTTTCTTCCCTGACCCTTCCCCTGCCTACCCTGGCCACTGAGAAGGGCTGAACAGGAGCTAAATCTGGAGGGTACAAATGTTATTTCCCTTGTTCTTTAAGATTACCACCAAAAAGGGAAAAGAAAAAAAGCCCCACAATAAACTACTCTCTGAATTTTACCCAGGACCATAGAGAAATATCCCTGAATTTCACCACTAGCACTATAATATCAAACTAGTGATCAAGTATAATCATAAAGCTTCAGTTTGCTTAGGAAGTCTATGAAACGTGATTTTAGGTCTTGCGTCTATTTCAAGATTTATAGTTTTGAGTATGAAAAGATTCAACCCTCTAAGTGGAATATGACCCTGTATTTTGAGTGTAGGCTTCCGAGTGCCAAGCACAAGGAGGCAGTCAAGTAGGGAGTCTCAGAAGGTCACTTATAAGACTTGGGTATTCAAACATCAGTCAGAGTGGAACTTCTCAGCAAAAGAGAGGCCCTGTAATAACATGCTCCCTCAGTTGACTAGACGTCCTACAAATGCAAGAAAGGTGGGAATATGGAGACCCCAGGCCAGGTCCTGCAAATGCTTTGCAGTTTCTGAGTATGATGCTCTATAGCTTGCAGCTGGAGGCACCTTTGTCTCTAAGCTTCTGCCAGCACCAGACAACTGGGTTGAAGATCTAGTGCAGTTACAGATGAGCAAGTGTGTTCCTGGAACATGTAGGTCAGCTGTGGAGTATATGACTTCAGTGACAGTTTCTTGGGCAAATCTCTATGATAGTGTAACTGTGACAGTATAAATGACCTAATTCTGTGTCACACTGAAATAACCTGCAGAACAAGGGTGGCCAGGGCCGCTGCCCCCACTGCCGTTTCTGCCCCAGAAGGATTCTCTAATTTCCTTTCATGTGACCTGTTCCCTTTTATTAGCTCTGCTTCAACAGAAGGAGCCACTCTGTGTGTCCCATATGGGCAATTCTCAGTCAGCATTTCTGAATTGTAAGCTTATTTATTTTCTGTAGAAATGCCTTTCCAGGGAACATAGAACTGTATAACTACATTATGTCATTAATCCTCAAAACATATCCAAGAAGTGGTAAAATTACCTAGAATAAAGAAGAATACATTAAAATGCAAATATGATTCTGTAAATGGATCTCTAAAAGTTGGTAGATCTTTTCAAAGGTGCTGTGATCCACCTTTATGCCTGCAAAATCGCAGAGACTCGGGCTAACCCTTATATTCTCTAAAGGCACTAAAGATCTATCTTGTCCCAACTGGGGACAAATTTCAGCAGCAGGAATGGTCACCTTCAACTGGAATATGCAGGCTGGGGCCCCTGTGTGCAGCCTCTGTGACCAGCCCAGTTCCTTACTTCCACACAGCTCCCTCCTAGGAAGCATCTTGCCCTCAGACCACCTGAGCACCCACTTCCCACTGCGCTGAAAGCTGAGATGGTGGTGTTCCGAGCACAGCTGGACCTGAGTGAGCTCCCCCGTGCCCCATGAGGATTATGCATCTGCTGTGCAGGAAATCCCAGAGAACACAGGGGTGAGCAAGGCAGGCCTGTCCACCACCTGCAGTGCTCTGTGCCAGGCAGCAGGGAGTGCAGCAACTGGCCTCTCATGCTTTGGGGCAGGAAGGAGAAAGCCTCAAGCCACACCTATAGACCAGGAGCCTCACTGCATGGAGGGGTCACTGCACAGGTTTCAGGAACTCTGCTCAGATAGTGGCATCTTAGAAACTCTGGGAATGGCTATATACCACCACAACTTGTTTTCCTCAGCATTTATCCAGAGAAAGGTATTTTTCTATAACTGAGGATAGTAGTTTTATCCCTGTCTCGTAATTGTTTTCCCACTATTTCAGTTTCACTTAGATTTCGTAATTTGTTGACAGCCTTCAGCCCTGTTAGAAAGCTTGGGCAATTGATTAGCCCAGCAGACAGTTTTATGGCACTGATTCTCCCCACCACCCCCTTGACTTCCTCATTTCTGTTAACAGTGCCATATTTTCACACGTATTCAAACTCCTGGCTTACCTGTGACACCACCCTCAGTTTGCATCTGGCTCCAAATTCTCACTACAGGCACTTCCCTTCCCTTTTGGCCTCCTCCCTCCTCCATCCTGTCCTGTGAAATAGGCTCTGCCCCTCCTAGCCCATTGGCCTCACCCCCTCCCTGGGATAACACCTGTGCCTGCAGTTCAGGTTTTCCCACCTGCCTGTCCAAATCAGTAGCTTCTGTGACCTCCTGCCAGCCAGCTCCAGCATGTGCCGTCACCTCTTCTGCTTCTTTCCCAGGCTATATATAGTTGGCCTGAAGAGCTCTGCACCCCAAACCTGCTTCTTTCTGGCCTCTGTCCTTGACACTGCAACTCAAATGTGGTCTCCCATCCTCCTGTCAAACACAAGTTCACACACTTTGAAAAACATCCAAGGAGAAGCGGCATGGTCTCGAGTGAGTGTGAGCTTTGGAGCCAGGTTGACTTGTTTCCTTCCAGCTCTGTGGCTCCAGACACATCACCACTGTCAAACCCCAGTGTCCCCGGCAATGACACATTACCTGCTGCTTGGTGTTTTTGTGATGATGTGTGTTGAGCTCCTGGCACACAGGATATTCAAGCCATACCTGTTGCTCTTCCTGCCCTTTGTCACAACTGCCTGGTGGTGTAACTGTTTGTGGTAAGGCCCCCCTGAGAACAGATGGCTCCCCTGTGTGTCTCCCTCGGAGTCTGGCATGAAGCAAGCAAGCATCTCTGCCAGCGCTGTTCAATAGGAGAATAATATGAGCTGCATATTTTCTACATTTTCTAGCAGCCATGGGAAATCTATTTTAGTAATGTATTTTATTTGGCCTAATAGTTTCAAAGTATTTCAACTTCTAAGAAATATAAAAATTATTAATATTTTGTGTTCACTTCTTCGTACCAAGTCTTCATAATCTGTTTTTTACTCAACAGTGCATCTCAGTTTGGACTAGCCATATTTCAAGTAGCCACATGTGGCTGATGGCCACCGTATGGGGCAGCACAGGTCTATACTGCATTTGGGTAGAGGTAACGTAAATGTCAAAGGTATGAGGTGTGTAACTTTAAGGCTGGCGGGAGGCCATATTGTAGCAGGATGTAGGTGCCATAGCATCTTGGCATTACTCTCGTCCCAAGAAAAAGCCGCAGAAGTTTATAAAAACCCATTGGGCTAAGGGGAGAACTTCAAGGGCAGCTGCATAGAGAAAGAAATGAAGATGTGTGTTTGCTAGATCCTGAGTGTTTCAGCCAGAGACTGTATAGGGAATGATAATGGAGGCATGTGCTAGGAGAAGCAGGCAAGGGCCGTGATACAATCTGCAGCCCTGATATTATTATGTTTGTGCTATTAATCTAATATTTCTACCCCCATTTTTCAAGAATGTTTGCAGGGTGGTTCCAGTGAGCCCATAGATGCAGAATAGCCAGGAGCTGGGGCAGGAGGTGGGGAGGATTACATAAGGAGCAGTGTTCCCCAGAGCTTCAACGGGAATGCACAGTCCTGTTAGCCACTGGTCATGACACTTGCTTTGTACTGGGAATGGAGTGGGGGTTGAGTGTGCACAAGACCTTAGCATCCATTATCTCCTTGATGGTTCCTCACACCCTGAGCCTGGGTAGTTTTACCTGCCTCCATCATGAACGTCTTGTGAAAGAGCACGACTAAAACCAGAGCACTCAGAGCGAGGTTCACTCAAGAAGGAAAATGCAGGGGCCTGTCCAGTGATGATGTTTGAAGCACACTGGCACCTTTATGGCTGTTGCTTTTTTGCTTTTGGCAATGTCTACAAACACTTGGGCTCTTTTTAATATAATTAGGAAACATGGCATAAATTGAATGCTGTCTAAAAATGAGTGGTTTAAGATTGTCTTTCATATCAAAAAGAAAAACAGTTGTATAGGCTGCCATGCATATCTGCCACCAGAGAAATCGCATTTTCCAAATGTTTTGTTTTTTTTAATATCCTTTAAGAAGTACATTTTTCAAATAGTTGCTATTATTTTAATTAATCAGTAAAATCAGCTTCTAATTTGACTATAAAATTATCAGTTCGCCATTAGAATAGCTATAAAGTTAGTTTTAAATGTGAGCTCTTTCAAAATTGTGCAGCATAGGATTTATGTGAAATGGTATTTTAATTACTTTATTCATTCTTTGTGAGGAAAATGAACTTTCATTTCTCATGGCAGTATTTCATTGTGATTATTGGTTACTCATAATTATATGTACTTGTTCCTGTGACAGGGAATAAGCAGCGTTTTCTACAATAATATGCATGAGACTCCCTAATATTTTCTAAATTAGTTTGTATGTTTATATTCTTAGTCCTCACAACAAATAGCTAATTGCTTTAAATTAAATAAAACCTCAAGCTTCCTCAACCAAATTCTAGTTTATTTTTAACTTTCCCTTTGAGAACCAGGAGATAATGGAGTATGGTGATAAATATTTTTGAAGCAAATTTTGCATTAGGATGTTGGAGTTAGAGGTTATCATGTTGATGGAGAAGGCTAATCCTACAGCTCTTCATTTTCTCATCAGTCTTACTACATCTGGGAGTTGGTGTATTCTCTATTCATTACTTACTGCCCTAGCAAGATTCTTCCTGACCCATTAAATGAAGCCCTAGACAAAGTGGAGAGAACATTGTTTTAGTGAGGTCGAGCACACACAGGTGTTATTAGCCGGTCTTAAGAGAGGTGCTTTTTACTTTGAGCAAAAAAGCCAAATTAATCATTTCATATCTAAGGCTTTTAAGTTTAATTAAATCTTTTTCATCCATTATTTATTGACTAGAGCTGGTTGTTTTGGCTTTATATAACCTTAGTTTTGGAATAGAAAGTGAGGAAGAAAAACCAGTCAAAATGGTGAGTTAAATCCATACCGAAGGTTGCAACTCTTTGTGTTACATGGTGAAGTGCAGGATTAGAGGATAATATAACACACAATGCAGGGTGATAAAGCTGCCTTTTGGTGGGTCCCTTGAACACCACATACTTAGCAAAAATAGAACCTTTCCTTTTTTCTGATCAAGAATAACTGTAAACATTTTTTTTTGGAAGTTGCAGAAATGAAAGCCTGAATTTCTATAGTAGGCTAGTGTTATGATCAATAAGTCATTTTAGTTGACTAAAAGATAGCATAGTCAACTTGTCTACTGAAGGGTAACATATTTTTTAACAACTTTATATTTTATAATTTGGCAGCACTGTTCCTTTCTATTTTGCACTTTGAGGGATGGGGATTCTGGCATGTTGGTGTGACTTTTCCGATTCTGGGAGATAGAATGGCAACTGGATTCTCCTATCCCCGTAACTAAGATGGTGGTTTCAGCAACCATCTGTTTTGGTCTCAATGTGAAAGGCAGGCAAAACTATGCTGACAAATTTTGTTAGAGATCCTCTCCCCCAGTTGCAAACTTAAAGGACACTCCTGAATACTCAGTTTTACAAAAAGGCACAAAGGGGAGGTAATAATAATAATACTTATAAGCCAAGTCTGATAGGTAGGAAATAAAAGAGAAATCTAAAAACAAATACAGGATATAAAAATAGATCCATCACAAATATTTTTGACCACCTACTATGTGTCCTGCATATGTGTCACACAACATATATATAAAAGGATGGATAATGATAGGGTATTTCTTCCTCATTATATAATACTTGCCTAATGAAATTAAAATTTAATTTCAGCATATAAATGTTCATCTTTTTTTAAAAAAAAATCAACATGTAGAATTTCAAACCTATAAAAATATTTAAAAGGGAAAGTTAATTAATTTTGTACAACTTGGCTTTTTAAGGTATTATATGTAAAGCACACAATGCCTGGCACAGAGTAAAGCCACAGTAAATGGTGATGCTACCATTGTTTACATTGATTTATGAATGTTTATGCTATGTCCAATCCCAAGTATATATACTGGCTAATACTAAGCTGTAGAATGACATACAACTCCATCAGTCATTCTGAATGCCTGGGAAGAAAAAGACAGAGCAGGACAAAATTCTACCACCAGCATGAAAATCAGGGAAATTCTCAAATCAGAGAAATATTCTCTTGCCAGAAGTAGGTGTTAGAAGTAGCTGGGAGTAGAGACAGAAACAACAAAAAAAAACAGGTTTTTCTGACTGCAATCAGAGAATTTCTAGGCATCAACTCCAGGATCCAATATGCTGAAAAACTACTCTTCTTCTTAGTCATGTTTTCACCTGAAGTTTGTGACACAGGTTGTTTAATTTTCTGTATATATATCCAATATTATAGTATGATATAGACTTTACTTTCCATAAACCTTGCCTTGCAGCTAACTTTACTGGAATGCATTTATTCTGTGAAGTTGAAAATATCCTATTGAAAAATGCAGCTCTCTGCCATGCATTGAGGAATTCGAAAGCTGTGACAGAAAATTTGTGCCAATGGCATTAGGAATCACATGTTATGAAACTGTCAGCAGGGGAGCTTAGGGAGTCACCCTTTTCCCACTGATGACTTCTGGGCTGCATGCTGCCACTGTGGCTGGCTTATGCTCCTGGAGGCCCCATCAGGGCCCAGCGTGACTATGGTTGGCCTCCCTAGCAGGAAATGTTAAAGCCCATGTTAGTGACAGAGTCTGTTGTCCTCTCCTGCTATGCCTTGACCCAACTCTGTCTTCTGTTTTCACTCCCTTGCCCTGTTATTTGGTCAGGACAGACTGCCAAAAAAAGTGTTTCTCATGCTTAGCTCCCGGATCCTTTCTGTGGTCGTCAGGCTTATCAAATGTCTTTTAGATTTGAAACAGAAACCCAATTAAGCCCAAAATTGAGCATAGATAATATGAAGCTGCTCTGAGTCAATTGAGGTGGGGATCTGGAGCCTTACGACCAATTCTTCCTCAGTTCCTCACATGGCTGCCCCTATGGGAGGCCAGCAAAACCCCCAGGATCCAGGGAGCACAGTTTAAAACCATTGCCCAAAAGCACTTTATATAGAAGCATGGCCAATTTTCTAAGAATCCGTGGAGAAATAGCTCCAACTGTAGAATTTAAGTTCTTTTCATAAGCACCCATAATGCGTGCTGCCTTCTAACGGGACCCTAGCTTTTGTGTACCCCAAGATAATTATATAAGCAAAGGTCTATCATGAACAGAAGAAAAGAAGAACAGAGCAAGCTTTTGGAAGTAAAGCAAGGTCTTTACTTGCCTGATTCAGAACTGTCTTAAGTCTCCCGCCCGTCCTGTGTCCTGAAGGCTGTAGTTATGGTGGAATAGGAGTAGAAAAGGGGTAAAAGTCCTTGGGGAACAAGGGAAACCAAATCAGCAAGGTCCAGAAGTCAAAGCCAAGTGAAAGAGGAGAGTTGTGGGCACAGGTGCAGAGCAGAACACAAGAGGAGGCCAGAGCACAAGCATCAGGTTCCAGTCCGACCATTCCCTCCACAGCACATGGACAGGCCTGGGAAGGGGCAGTCCTCACGCAGTTTAGAGTCAGAAGATTGTTTCACTCTCTTCACTTCTAGCCCTTGGCTTCTACATCCCCTTCCTCCACAAAGGAAGGAGCTCCTGTCTTCCTCCCCATACCACCCTCTTTTACAGGGGGCACCCAGAGAAGGCTGAGCAGGTGGTGTCCAGGCTGGCTTCTTGGGCCGTGACAGCTGGAGCAGCAGTGCTCAGTCTTGTCTCCGGGCCACGCTCTTGATCAGTCATGTTCACAAGCCTGACACGCTCCCATGGACATGGGCAGATTTTGCCACCCCTCCCTCTGCAAGGCCACAAACGTTTTTGTGTGTTGGTAGTTGTGAAAGCACTGTACAGACTCGAGCAACTTGCCAAGGGTATGTCAGGAGTGTAGGACTCTGGGGGGGACTTGAATGCAGAGAAAAACCAGCTGCACCATCTCTTCTCCACCTACTTTCCTCTTACTCAGGAAGATGCACTGATGTGAAAATGACATTAGGGTAGGTATCATCTCAAATTTGCTCCAATGTCTATGAGAGCAATTATTGGAAAACCTGTGCTATGATAATAATTTTAGCTACCTCATACTTGGTGCAAAAATTAAGGCCCTCTAATATCATTAAACAGAACTCTAATAAGCTCCATTTAAGATCTGTTATCCTGAAATCTTGATATGAATTACAATACAGGCGATTCTTAATTTATTGTTAGTTTCACCTATTTCCAAAAAGGAATGACAGTAACGTGTGTTTCTAAAGCACATGATAATAAAACTCTTAAAATTGAGATAGAAGTGTTTAAACCTTATCTAAGTAAGGTGGATGAAGCAAATATAACAAACATCCATGCCAGGAAAGTTACGGCAAGTGCTTTATTGAAGCTTGAGCTTTCTGATAGCAAAAGTAAGAAAAGGAAGCAGATGAAGAAAAACATGCCAGTCTTTCAAGAAAAAGAAATATTTTTCCAAGTACTAAATTCTAAAAATGGTTTGTCACACAGACATTAAATGTAAAATACAATGCAATGAATAGCAGTTTTGTAAAAATCACAGATGCATTATATTCAAGACCCCTGCTTGGATTGTGCCCCTCTCCCTTTGCAGAGTAACTAATTTGCTTTGCAAAATCCACAGTCACCTTGCCTAATAGATACAGAGGGTGTATAATATTCACCCTCTAAAATCCAAGAGGGTGAATATTAAGAATTTGTAATATGTTGTCGGAGGCTCATACCTTCACTCAAAACTCATTAGAGGTCTATTCCCACCCTGGTTGCAAATATAGGCCATAGATTAGGTTTGGAACAGACTGACTTCATATTAATTAGAGCTAATACGTTTATTTTATTTCTAAAGCCACAGGATCTCTATTTGTTTGATTTTTTAAATCTCCTTTTTTAGGAGTTCTTTGGAATTTATCCTCATGTGATGCTGTAAAAATGACAATCATTCGAGATGCTCTCTCAACCTTAACAAACACTGTGATTGTTCCACATTCTGGATGGAATAACTCTTCTTTTGATGATGATCATAAAATTAAATTTCAGACTTCACTAGTTCTGCGTAACACGACAGGTTGCCTAAGGTAAATTCTTTATTTCTTCTTTCCAGTTAATTCTGTGATTAAATATGTGTCATAGGTAAATTGATTTTAGGAGGACTTACTTTATTAACATCTATCTAAGTTTCCAGTTTTTATTTCAAAATTTAGGCCACTGGACTTTGTTATTCTGGGAGAAAAACATCGTGAGCACAGACTTGTGGCCTTAAAGAAGTTATCTTGTAAATGACTCTTCTGTGACTTACTCAGAAAGGCCCTTTCAGTCTAAGATTACTGCCAAAATTCCAGTGTTTTCCACTTTAACAGCATTTTTCTGGTAATCGCATTCTGATTGCTAATGTGTTTGCAGCCTGCTGTTTGTTTAAATTCAAAATGTGATGGTTAAAACCATTTTGCTTTTAAAGAGGTGTGTGATTTAAACAATCAGTTTCAAGTTGTATAAATAAGTGAAAATGAGCCCAAATACTTTTTTAGTCATTATCTTTTACAGTTAAAATCTATATATAAAGCCTCTTTCGAGTGTGCACAGTAGAGTTCATTATTTGCCCTTAACACTCATCAGCTCCATTTTGACCCTATTTCCCAGCCTTACAGTACCCTGGGAACTGGAAGCAAGCCTTAGGGCAGAGTGGCACAGGGACAGAGAGAGTGGGCTCTGGTCTCAGACCACCTGGCTTCCAGGACCCGTTTGAGCCTCCGTTTCCTCATCTGTAGAATAGGGATGATAATACCACCTCAGAGCTGTGAGGGGTCAGCAGGTACTTGTGGAAGGTGCTTAGCACAGTGTCATCGCATGAGCACTCAGTGAGTGCTGTTTAACATCTAGCATCACCAAGACAGGCAGCCTGAAAGAGAGCAAAGCTTGTGTGGCTGGTCTGCAGCCTTCTAGCATTGAGACAGGTGGCTATCGGCCCTGGTCAGGGGGCAGTGTTGGTGGGGAGGTAACAAGAGTCAGGATCCCAGAATGCAGGCCAGCTCCTCCTAATTCAGATGCCCACATCTCAGGGTGGGTCTCATGGCCTAGCAATCATCCAGGGAGCTAGGATTACTCCTCAGCCAGCCAGCTAGGCTTCAGGGAGAGCCTGGGGCAGGACTCACTGTAGCTCCCCCAGTGGGTCAGGGATAGAAACATTTGGTGAATGCCCTCTGTGTGAAACCAGTGACGAATAAAACAGACTAGATCCCTGCTCTGATGGAACCACATTCTACCAGGAAGACAGACAAACAAGGAAACAAGAAAATAACAGTAGGTGCCATAAAAACAAATAGGGTGATGTGAGGGTTATTGAATGGTTACTTTGGTGGTCAGGGGGTCTCTCAAGGAGTTTAAATTTAAGCCTACATCTGAAATACCACAAGGAGTGACTCACTAGAGGGTGGTGTTGGGGAAGACAAGAGTCATAGGCCAGTCAAGGAAATGGTTAAGGTAAAGGTTCTGGAGCAGAAATGAGCTTGCAGCCGTAGCCTACTGAGCAAAGGGCAGAGTGGTACCAGATTATATAGGATTTTGTAAGTCAGATGGGGTTTGCATTTTATTCCAAGTGCCATGGGAAACCATCAGAGTGTTCTAAGCAGTGGAGTAGTGGGCCTCATTTCTGGCTGCAGTGTGGAGGAGTGAGTACAGGCAGAAGTAGAGACAGGAACATCAGACTGTTGCAGAGATCCAGGCAAACAGTGAGAGTGGCCTAAACCAGGTGCTGGGGTGAGGTAGGCAGATTTGGGTTATTTTGTGGAGGAAGAGCTGACAAGGCTTGCTAATAGATCGAATATTAAGAGCGAGGAAAGGGGGGAAATAAGGATACACCTAGATCTTTGGCTGGATCAGCTGCAAGCACAGAAGTGCTGTTGATGGGGGGAAGGGACAGGAATGCTTGGAAGGGTGAGCAGCTCAGAGTTTTGACAATGTCCAGTTTGAGAAGTCTAATTAGCTGTCTATGTGCCAGTGTCAAGAAAGCATTGGAGAAAAGAATCCGCAATTCTAGAGAGCAGTCAGGGCTAAAGGCAGATGTGTGCCAACCTATGGCCCTGTGTCCATAGGTTGTATTAAAGACAAGGAGCAGAAGGCACCTTGGAGAGTGCAAAGATGAAGACAAGACAGGACCTGGGGCACTCCTGGAGGTGCCCATGGGCAGATGAGTCTGAGAAGTAGCAAGGTGAGAGAGAAGCCAGGTGGGGTCCCAGAAGCTGTGGAGAAAAGGAAAGTGCTGCGGAGAGGCAGGGCAGATGAGAGCCGCCATTCCACCGCCCCCTCATCTAGTCACAGTTTTGCAAATTCTCAATTTGCATAATTTTACAGTTAGCCTAGAACCATTGTTAATGGGACATAAAATAGATCCTTATTTGGTATCAATTTATGAAGGCAAATTGATATAAAAAAATTTAGACACAAAACCGTTTTCTGGGTGTTTTATAATTGAAAAGATCAGAAAAGTTTTAGCATAAGCAAATATCTATATTTAACTTGAAATGTTTATAATACAAGAAATTATATGTTTCCTCTGTTCATCCAAAAAACATTTAATGACCACCTACTTACTGCACGCAAAATATTATAATAGGCCCAGGGGACTGCAAGAAGCTTCTGGCCTAACAAGGGAGGTGAAGCATGTCTAGTAGTAGCCACCACCATGACTGACAGCAGGCCACCTTCTGGGAAGGAGGCACTTTTCTAATTGCTTTCTATGTAGCAACTCGTTTCTTCTTCACAGCAACCCTGTGAGGTAGTTACTGTTATTTTCCCCCTTTTACATATGAAGAACCTCAGGAGAATAGGCCCCTAAAGAATTATATGAGGGAATTAGAAAGTGACACGTCATGAGAGAGATACAGTCCAAATGTGCAGGTTCCCTTCCATGTGTGGATAATGGGGAGCGGGCCATCATTGTGAGCTTCAGGATGTTACCATGCAAGCCCCCAGTGCCTCCTCCGACCTCTAAGTGGCTGCCACCTGTTGTTCGCTCTCTCAGATCCTTAAGGTTAAGTCCACGTGGCTGATGAGTGCATGGTTCATCTCAGCAGCTCCTCCTGTCTCCACCCCTTTAGGAACCTCAGCTCCGCGGGGGAAGAAGCTCGGAAGCAAATGCGGTCCTGCGAGGGGCTGGTAGACTCACTGTTGTATGTGATCCACACGTGTGTGAACACATCCGATTACGACAGCAAGGTCAGTGCCGGCCTGGTTGCAGGAGGGCGTGGTGGCAGGTGACCATGATGCCTGGTGCCACTATTTGCATGCCATTGGTTCTTTCTGACCTGCGGATCCTGTCCTCCTCAGGAGGCCACTCTCCAGATCAAAGGGCAAGTCTCCAAAGTTACAGGGGCAAGGACGTGGCAACTTAAGAAAATATCCTGAGAACCGTGAGAACAGAGTGGCTTGGTGTGGTAAAGGCTTTCTCTCTGGTTCCCCTAGGCTCATTCTCAGGGTGGTGCCCATGCTGCTATTTCCTCCAATTCTGTATCCGCACTAGAATCAGAGCCATCAGTATTTGAGTATCTACTGACTAAAAGTTCCTGGTTGAGGCACTGTAATCCCCCCAAACTCTCTGCCCTCCTGGCTGCAGTGCAGTCCACAGTCCCCACCCCCAGCACTAACTGTTGTTGCACCTCTCTACACCCCCTCCTGCTGCTGCTGCCTGTGGTTGGTCTGTCCCCAGCATGAGCCCCTTACCCTCTCCCTCCTGTGCCCGAGTACAGGGCATTCTGCTCATCATTTGTCAGCTGTGACGACCATCCAGGATCCTCCTGGGGGCCGAGGAAAGTGGAAAGAACAGGAAAGAGGGACTGAAAGTGTCAGGACTTCCAAAGCGGGCCAGTTACTTGGTGTCAGGATGGACTGGACTAGGAGAGGCCATTGGAAGGTGTTGGATTGTAAGGGTGAGCCTGAGAGAAAAAAGGATGAAGAGTGCCTGGGAGAAGAGAGAGGAATGCAAGGGAACAGCCAGTTTTTGAGCCTTATTGAACCAGGAGATCTGCAGATGAAATTGAGAGGAGTAAGCAAGTTGGAAAGGGAAGCTTGCTAGATAGACAAATGCTGAACTTGGTTTTAGACACTCAAACACTCAGTTAAATGACAGTTGGCCTCCCAATCAGAGGTGTGATGCAGTCTTTTAGGGAACAAAAGACCATGTACAGAAGGCAAATGTCAGCAGGGAAAGACACCGCTGAACATGGCTCAAAAGGAGGGTGGAGTTGGGAGATTGAGAAGGAGGCAGACATGGGACTTGGGGATATAGTTGTCCCCAGGGAGGGAGTTGGGGCATCTGTTGTCACGCCAAGGATCTGCAGTAGTGAGAAGTGAGGCTCAAGCATCATGGGTGCAGTCTGCACGGCAGCAGCCCTGAAGAGAAACACTGGGCCGGAGCCTCAAGCATTTCGGTCGGCATGAAGTCAAATCCTCAGCAGGACTGAGAAGGGCTCTGCATCCTGTCATCTGGGTATTCCACAAACACTCTAGAATCATAATTCTCTCTTCAGATTGTTTCAAGTTCTCATAAATAAAAAGTAGTTCTTTCATATTTCCCATTTATTTCCTGTCTGTAGTGTTCAGTACAGAAGTGTTTTGCTCTAATGTGCCGAGTTGTTTTTAATTATACGCCATGCTGGGTTTCAGACGGTGGAGAACTGCGTGTGCACCCTGAGGAACCTGTCCTATCGGCTGGAGCTGGAGGTGCCCCAGGCCCGGTTACTGGGACTGAACGAATTGGATGACTTACTAGGAAAAGAGTCTCCCAGCAAAGACTCTGAGCCAAGTTGCTGGGGGAAGAAGAAGAAAAAGAAAAAGAGGACTCCGCAAGAAGATCAAGTTAGCATTTTATTTTATATGAGACTCTCAAGTTTAATTTTTCTGGGAGTGAGGAATCACATATTTGGCAAGAAAATAAATTTTCTGCATAGCTATAGCTGAGTCCCGCAAAGGTGAATGTTTTCAAGTATTGGAGATCATGTTCATTCTGCCTCCATTTAACGTGTGCTGTTTGTCTTTCAGTGGGATGGAGTTGGTCCTATCCCAGGACTGTCGAAGTCCCCCAAAGGGGTTGAGATGCTGTGGCACCCATCGGTGGTAAAACCATATCTGACTCTTCTAGCAGAAAGTTCCAACCCAGCCACCTTGGAAGGCTCTGCAGGGTCTCTCCAGAACCTCTCTGCTGGCAACTGGAAGGTAGGATGACTTCCACTTATCTACACTTCTTTCCATCTTTGCAAACTAACTTGAAATGTTATATATATATGTTCTGCCTCAGTCAGATCAGCCCTGATGGTGAAAGGGTCACAGCTACTTAGCTTGTGTGTGAAGGGGTTAAAGGGAAAAAAGGGAGACAAGCAGTTGCTCTGGGGATACAAAGATAAATACAAGTCCCTCACTATGAGAAACAGAAGGCTAGTGAGAAAAACAGATGGTGCCAGCACAGTGTAGAAGCCACAGGATGTATGTGCTGTGGGGTCCTGAAAGAAGACATCTAACCCAGCCACACAGTGTAAGGGAAGGTCAGGAAAAGAGCGGAGTAAGGACGTGGAGGAGATTTCCTGAAGGGGATGCTGCCCGGCAGAATCTCTGAAGATGAGTGAAAGTAAGCCTGTAGAGGCTGAGGCTGTGGTATGGAAGGAGCCATCCAGATAACAGGGACAACAGGAGGAGGACAGTCTTGTGGTGCAGAGAAGACGTGTGGGCCAGGACTACTGGCTGCCCACTGGGGCCCACCATGGAGCCAGGCATCATGGATAGGCCTGAAGGCCAAACTTCAGGAGCTGAATCCTAACCTACACACAGGAGGGACTACCGAAAGAGTCTGGGCAGATGAGTGACAGAGACGGGCTAATATCATCACTGCTCCCCCACTTCCATGGCAGTGCAAAAGGTGGATTCGAGGAAGGGAGAGTTAGAAGCAGGGATTGGATTTGGGAGCCAGTGCAGCAATACAAAGGTGAGAAATCTTGAGTGGCAGGACAGAACACAGGTTGGGCAGCACTGTGGGGAGGGATAGAGGACCTCTGTTCCTCTCAGACCGTTACAGACATGCCTGTGTCTAAGGTTTCTGCATCTTTTTGCAAATGTATGAGTATGAAAACTGAAGACAGTTTCCTTTTGTTACCACTGTAAGCAAGTTCTCAGAACTTTCTAAATGTCCCCCAGCAACTTCCCAGACAGTCCTTGTCTGAGACATTTTCAACCTCTAGTAATTTCTTGACAGGTGTATTTTAGTAGAGTTACTACAATGCTTGCTGTGGGCTTCTTCCCCCACCTTAACCCCCCAAAATGAGAATCTTTTGGTGATGGTGTTTTCAAGATAGTGAAAAGCATTGATAAGCCTAGGTATGGTTTGTTTCGTGCACGTGGCCACTATGTTGAATATAGAGCGATAACTATGGTCTAGTGCTAAGCCGGTGTGGTTATTTTGTTGTGGCTCCTAGTTAAAGTGCCAGTGACTGAGTGTGTAAGTGCTGGCTCTGAATCCAGGCCACTCTGCTTACCGTCTGGCAGCCTAGGGGCTCTGCCCACAGTTTCCACCTCCCTAAAATAAAGTGAATATTAATACCTGCCTTATAAAGTGGTTATGAGGATTTAGTGAGATACTCCCAGCACATAAGTATTTATAAACATTTATGTTGTAGAACAGCGTTCACCTTCAGCTTCTGTGACCAGAGGATCATTTGATGATAATAAAAGACAGTAATTGAAATCGATGTGATTTGACTTATTTAGAAGTTCATGTCTGGGATCATTTAGTGAGAGAGTTAGATGGCAAAGCTCATTTAAAATATAAACATTATATCTAAGCGATTTCAATAGTGAGTTAAAATATTGGACCTTCACTAAGAAAATGAGATAATCGTGGCCACAGATGTTATCAAGTAAGAAGCTATTTCAGGAGCAGTGATGACTGTAGTTCTCCAGAAGGGAGACGGGCTGGGCTGGGCTGGGCTGGTAGGTCTCCAAGTGAGACAGAAGGAGATGGTTCTGTTGTTGCAGGTTTCAGAGAGAAGTTCATAAAACTGCCTGAGTGCTTTGCCTAGTAACCAGTCATGTACTTCATTTTCCCCCCATAGATTTCATGTGATTTGAAAAATAGGAGTATGCATTTCATATGCAGAATATAAATAGGATCTTTGAAATGCATCTTTCCCTCTTATTTGTATTATTAAAATATTCTGTTGGTATTCAAGAAACTGGATGGTCAATCACATATTTTAATGTTCGAAATAATACAAAGGGCTGGTAGATCTCTGTCCTACTGTCTTGGTCACAGCAGGAAAGTATATGTTTTATGAGCAGCATCTTTCAATTACCCTAAAATTTGAAAGATGATTTGCATTGGTTGAAAAAGTCAATTAAAGCTCAAAGCTGGAAACAAGATTAAAGAACCGTTTTCTAACGTTACTCTTTTTGGTTGTTTCACTGATGACTTAGCGCTCATTTCCATTTTATAAGATATACAAACTGACTCACAGTACAGAGTTGCTTCATAGTCACAGAAAAATTTCTTGACTATGGATTTTTAAAAAACAGCATCAGCAGCTAACTAATCTTGAGTGAGAATGCATTTTGCACACAAATATACTTACTTTTTCACCAGGCTGTATGAATTATGATGCTGGATGTTTCTGGAGATTTCCCTTTCTTCTGAGGCAAGGGATT
This sequence comes from Homo sapiens, assembly GCF_000001405.40. Lineage (NCBI taxonomy): Eukaryota > Metazoa > Chordata > Mammalia > Primates > Hominidae > Homo > Homo sapiens. The sequence continues at coordinate 158,665,921 of NC_000002.12, forward strand.
TTTCCAACTAATCTCTTTGACAGGTTTCTGAACTCGAAATATTGTTGCAGGGAATATAGAAAAAAAATGACTTGATGGAGACAGGTTCTCCTTTCATGTGTGCTGATGGGTTACTGTCTCTGCCATCCTATTTATAGCCTCTGGGTTTGGCAGGGGACCAACTGCAAAGAAAACACACGATCCTTCCTTAATCATGTTTATGTATCTGAGATAGAAAGTAATCACTGCCTTCTCTTTTCTGCACAAAAATATCTGGCAGATGGTGGTTTGAGATTTTCAGGCTTTGGGATTTCTTTTTAAATCAGTCATTCCAGCCTATCTTTCTCCCCAACTTTGGTTTTCTCTTCACTGACACCACAGATTTGATCTTCAATTGGAAAGAAACCATTTAATCTATTAGTTCATCTTTTGGAAACATCTTTTTTAGGTGACAGTAACATATGAGACTGGAACTCTGTTTTATGTTACTTCCTGCCTTATTTTTCTCACTAGTTTGCAGCATATATCCGGGCGGCCGTCCGAAAAGAAAAGGGGCTCCCCATCCTTGTGGAGCTTCTGAGAATGGATAACGATAGAGTTGTTTCTTCCGTGGCAACAGCCTTGAGGAATATGGCACTAGATGTTCGCAACAAGGAGCTCATAGGTATGTTCTGGTGACAAGATGAGCTGTAAATGTGAGAGCAGCTACAAAATTCATGAAACTCTTCTTTTGATTAATAAATATATGGCTTGTAAAATCATTAACAGCTGAGCCCTAGTCTCCAGTTTCTTGGCATATTTGAGTACTCCTGTTTTGTGACCATTCTTTTTCAGCAGGAGGCAAGCTCATTAATTAGTCATTGATTAGGGAAGGTAAATTTTCAGAAAGGCCAGCAATTTTAGTTGTACCTTACAACACTAGTAGGGTTAATGTCTCTCATTTCTAAGAGAGTTCTCTATATCCTGAGCAACAAAAAATCTTAATCTCCCTTTCCAATTTTTGGACTGCTACCTGCTAATTCACCAACACTACCATACTCTAAATAAAAAATCACATGAATGTTTTGTAGCTTTCCCCTCTCACATTGGTATAAATCTTTATCCCAGAGAAGAACCACTGTCCCAACATCATTTCCACCCTGGGCAGGGGCAGGACTAGGGTGAGCTAAGCAAGGCGCCAAAGGCACAACATTTTAGGAGGCCTTTACTCTCAGGTTTGTACAAGGTAGGGTTGGCACATGCACAAACCAAACAGTGAGGACCTCTGTACGCTCCGCACCCCAGGCAGCTTGCTTGCCTCTGCGGCATTGCCACATCCTAGGCAGGATGCGGGCTAAAGAAGACATCAGGGACCCCCATAAACCTGAGCTTCGTTCCCAGGATGTGCTGCTCACTGGCCATGCAACCTGGGGTATCCTATATAACCCCGTTCAGGCTCCGTAATTCTATCTAGATTGGAAATGAAAGGCAACTCCTCATCTCTGAAGGGGAGCTGTTGATGCCTGCTGTCCTAACTGGGTTTGCTGTAAAGAGGAAATGAGAGAGCTCCATGCCAAGTCCCACAGCTGGTGACAGGTCAGGGGAGAAGGAGGGGAAATGGGACAAGATCTTATGTGGATTCATGTGAATCTATAGTAAACTTAAAATACACCTGCCATGAGAGAAGGAGAGAGAAACAAGGGCGATGATGTTTACCATAAAGAATTGCTGTAAGGATTAAACGTGATGACTTACAATGGAAGCCCTTCACACAGTGCCTGACAGAATTGCTATTTTGAATTGTTGCCCAGATTAACCTGCTCTTAACACACCATTCCTTTAAGCCAAATCATCCCCCTACGGAGAGGAAAGGAAGTTCCTCCTCACCCTGTTCATGGTCCAGCTCATGCCTGATTCTTGTAGATGTGCCATATCTCTCAGTTCCCACACTTCCTTTACAGAAATCCTTCAGGTCCCTAAAGAGAGATATTCTTTAAAGTTATTTTTCTTACGTCTGTATTGTTTGGATTTCTTATAAGAAGCATGTATAATTTGGGCATTTTTAATGCTAAAAAATAAATGGTTGACACGTATATCCTGTGGCCTGTCATATTTCACAACGCAAAGACACAGGTAGACAGGAGTCCTTGAGCTGGTACTGTGAAGTGCTAAGACCTTTGGCAAGAGGAATGTGTGTTCCAAGTCTTGGCTTCCTCTCAGTGCATTTCTGTGTTTTCTGTGAATAACCCTTTTTAACTTCCACTGGCCTTCTGCCTCTCCAGTGATGAGCTTTTTTTTTTTTTTTTTAACCTGGCTGGAGCACTCTTGAACTGTTCCATCAGTCTGTTTTTTTGTTTCCCTATTCCCGTCTTCCTGTGAGATCTGCCTCACTCTTGGATTCAGTATTTGGCTCTAATTTACCCAGTACTTCAGTTCCTAGGAACCTTCCCCTTCTCTGACCTCTTCCCTCTTTTTTCACATTCATCATCAGCACTAGCAAAGGACTTTCTTTTCAGAGCCATTTTTCACAAAGAAGCAAAGTTTTATCACTTCATAAAAGTTACTACATACTCAACTGAGTGGGACCCACCCTGCTGTCTGGAGCTGCAAGTTCTGAGGGGACCGCCAGGCTCACTCATTCATAGGCAGAGTGAGCTGCCTCGGCCTAACCCCCAGGAGTGCAATTTAAAGTTATGCCTTAGCAAAATGACAAATTACATGTCATGGGCCTTTTGGTCATTCATGAGTATTCAAAATCACCAGAGCTAACTTATCATCTGCTCTGAAAACCACATTTATCTTGTGGCCTTACAGTGTCAGCACTGTTTTTCCACTCTTCATAGCAGTGTTTGTCGTGAGCAAGCCAGAGCCTTCCCTCTGACGTGCTGTACATCACACAGCATGTAGCTGAGACCTGTCTTCTTCTGCTTACCACTGTAAATAAACAGGCCTTTATAAAAAGCGATTGCACATCCACTCAATTATTAGCATAGGGGAGAACTAAGAAGATGTTTACTTGCACTTTAGTTCATTTCTTTTGTTTGTAGTGCACTTACAGTTTGTCAGTTGGTAATCGAAGTTGAAAAAGCTAGAGGTAATCTCTTTTTGGAGAGGAATAAGAAAAATTCAGTATCTATAAAGAAATACCTCAATAACTGTGAAACTCCCCTTGCCTTGTCTTAGCAAGAATTTCATTATTATTGCATTATTCCTGGGAGATAACATACCTATAATTTTAATACCAGAACTTTTACTTGTGTCATCTTTTAAAGAAACTAACATGTTGCCACCGTTGTCAGATGAGTTGCTGTACACCTCAGCTCTATACACAAAAATGTGTAACTGTACCCAGTTCATACATTAAGATCCAGAAAGATCTAACGAAAAGTATTGTTTGGCAGCCTGACTTGGTCCAGATTCAAAGGTAAGTTTTAAAAAGCTCTAAGAGGAAATTGAGGTATTTGTGATGCATAGGAATTCCATTGAGAATAAAATTTACTATTATAATTCCTTCATTACTCAATGTTACTGAAAATACTCGAACGAAAGTAACTTGATTTGTCTACCCAATTTTACGCATTGATTTACATTTGCTTTCAGCAATTGACAGTAATGTTTTATAAATGAATCATTTCTGCAAGTGACGTTGCAATAAATGTTAGCTTTCCCCTTATAATGACATTTGTCCTTTTCTTCTTTGCCATGGGTTTTGATTTTTTCCCCTATTATTGTCTCTTTGGGGGTTTTATTTTTAAGAGATTGCATGCCACCAGAATCTGAACAACAATAACAAAAACCTAGTACCTTCTGGAAGTAGAATTTACTCTTTTGCCGTTGGCAGGCAAATACGCCATGCGAGACCTGGTCAACCGGCTCCCCGGCGGCAATGGCCCCAGTGTCTTGTCTGATGAGACCATGGCAGCCATCTGCTGTGCTCTGCACGAGGTCACCAGCAAAAACATGGAGAACGCAAAAGCCCTGGCCGACTCAGGAGGCATAGAGAAGCTGGTGAACATAACCAAAGGCAGGGGCGACAGGCAAGTCTGCGGCAAGGAGGTGCAAGCAGTGCTCTTATTCCTGAGATTGTCCTGTGATGAGGCCTTTGTTGAGGATACCTTTCCTATTGGAAAGGATTTATTTTTGCATTTCTTACATGCCGATAAGCTAAGCAGTCTCCAGCACTTACAACCTGCTATGCTGGGAGAAGTGTTTTCTGTTATGGGGCCTATTTTTGGTTTTCACTTTATTGTAACACCCTCACTCCTACATTGGTATTTGTCTCTGTCTTAGTCTGTTTGTTCTGCTGTAACAAAATGTTGTGAACTGGGTGGCTTATAAACAACAGAAATTTATTTCTCACAGTTCTAGAGGCCGGGAAATCCAAGATCAGGGCACCAACAGATTTGGTGTCTGGTGAGGGCCCCGATTCTGGTTCATAGATGGTGCCTTTCAGCTGTCCTTGCACGGTAGAAGGAGGGAGAGGTCTCAGGCCTGTTTTTATAAGGGTGCTAATGCCATTCATGAGGGCTCTACCCTCATGATCTAATCACCTCTCAAAGGCTCCACCTCCTAATACCATCACCTTGGGGGTTGGAATTTCAACATATGAACTTTGGAAGGGACACAGACCTTCAGACCATAGCAGTCCCTAAAGCCACAACTGGTCATGCCAACTCCTGGAAGAATTGGAAATGCCAGGATGAGAAAAATCTAGGGGGCACCATTTCCCTTGTGCCCTTGTCTCTCTGCTCCAGGCCTGAGTGCCTGTTCTGCAGGAACGTCTTCTTGAATCCCCAGTTCTGGAATTGAGTTTTCTGCCACATACCCAGAAAGTATTAAAATTACTGCTCTGCAGCAGGGCTGCTGTGTGGCCTCAGGATGTGCCCCAGGCTTGGATGGCGCATTTCCCTTTGCTTCTGCATGACACCTCACTGATTAAGCAGGAAGGAAGGACTAGAGAATCAGTGGTAAAAATTGAAGGCTGCTTGTCATGGAGCTGTAGCAGTGACTATAAGTTTGCCTTAGTATCAGATCAGAGAAATGGTAAGTAGGATGCCTGGTGCCATCTCAGAACAGCAGGACAGCAACCTCCCTGAGCCACAGTAGCATGGCAGCCCTCTCCCCCAAACCCCCTGCTTTGCTCTCTCCATAGCGCTGATTTCCCCTTGCTGTGGAAGTTATGTCTTCCTCTTATACCTGACTCTTCCATTGCAGAGATTTTTATTTCGGTTCACTGCTATATCCTTGGCATCTAGAATAAGCCTGGCCTGCTCATAACAGGTGTTTGGTGAATATTTATTAATTGGCCAAATGACAGTGCTGGAACTCACATTACATCTCATCTTTATACTTTTGAAGGAGTTTCTAAAATATAAGAATAATCTAAAACCATATTCTCATCTCCCAGAAACCACACCTATCAGCAGTAATGATATTTCCTTTCAGTCTTTTTTTTAAATGTATTTTTTTCTATTTAATTAGTAATAAATGGTTATAGGGGGTGGGGAGGGCTGGGAAGGGGAGTGAGTGGAACCATAATCACTTATGCTCTTAAAATGTCGCTGGACAGCCTGCACTTGTGAGCAGCATAAGAAGAGGCTGAGATGCTGAGCCAGTGCCAGAACCTTTCCATATTAAGAAAATTGCTACCCAGTCTAATCTGTTTTTCAAAACCAGAGATTCGGAAAGTCCTGGACCAAATCAAATTGTCTCCTAGCTCCACACACTTAACTTCTTTCACAAGTACTTACTGCCTGCCTGCTGTGTGCCAGACGCTCTTCTCTATGCTGGGCTTGCAGCAGCAGACAGGTCGCATGACAGCCCCACCCGAGGTAGCTTACGTTCCATGGGTGAGGTAGACGCAGACAAGGTGCCAAACGAACAGAAACGCGTGGAGCGTGGTGGGTGGTGCTGAGGGGCAGGGCGCATAATAATGTCAGGGTGGGTGGTGGGCCATGCTGGGGAGAGGAATGCTAGTCAATGAAGGCCTTGCAGAGACAGTGCCTTTTGAGCACAGAGCTGGAGGAGGCAGGGAAGGAACAGTGCAGCTCCCTGGGGGAAGAGCATTTCGGTTAGAGGGGGACATCAAGTGAGAGAGCCCTGAGAAGCTAGAGGACCTTGTGTGCTTGAGGAACAGAGGGAAGCCGGTGGGGCTGGAGCAGAGCCAGTGAGGGGTATAGGAGGCCCACCCCAGCGTGGTGATCTGACGGCCTTGGCCAAGGCAGGGCACCGCATCCCCTCTGCACTTATCCGTGAAGCTACTGACTTAGAGCAGCAGCTCCCAAGGTGAAATACAGTGACTCAGGATGAGGACTGCAACTTGACCTTCGGATGTAACAATATGGAGGTCCTATATTTAAGAGAAGATGGGATGGTGGAAATTAGAGATGCAAGTACATAACTCTTTCAAGGAGTTTTGCTGCAAAGGAGAGCAAAGAATCTTCCTTGCTTTTCTCATGGGTCAGGTTTCTGCTCATGGAATTTGTGTCTGAAAATATGTAGTCTGTTTTTGTCAAGGCATATCCTGGGCACAGTCCTGCCTGGTCGAGTGTTTCAGTTGTCATCCTACCAGGCAGCTGTGGAATCTGCCTTTTGAGCCTCATCCTGCTGCCTAGCACTTAAAGACAGACGGGTGAACAAAGCAGCAATGGCCGGGCCCAGCTGAGAACAGGGTGGCTATGTGGGGCAAGTGCCCTGCTCCCCCAAATCTGTCTTCCAGAGGCTGTCTTGGGTGCCTGAAATTTCATCTGTGTTTATTTCTTTGGGGTATTTAGCTATTGCCTGTTCCATAGTCCAATTTGGAAATAAAAAGGTTAGAAAGGCTTTGAGTGGGTTGGCTTTACCTGGCTCTGCTCACCTAAACCCTCAGAATCATTAGCAACCCATGTTCTGTTAGGGGCTGAGGAAGTAGCTCACCACCTGCTCCCCTCCCTTGTCCTCCTCCACTTCATGAGAGTTTAATTGGGAAGATAACGGAGTAGAAGAGAAAACCAGATTTTAGATCGGGTATATACATTTGAAGTCAAACTGTCAAAGGAGCCTTAAGATTGAAGTGTTCAGTTGTCCTTAGGGCTAACTCTGCAAGCACTGGTCCATGAGTACCACCCAAATGTAGAGATCTGAGGGCCTTAGCTGAGGCAGGAAGTCCCCTCTTCAGTTACTGGTGAGGCCACTGACTTAACAGCAGCAGCTCCCAAGGTGAATCCAGTGACTCGGAATCCAGTTGGCTATGCTTAAGCAGAGCACCAGCATTTGCAAAATGTCCTCAGAGAGGGGAAATAATATCTGTGACCATGTTTTCCAAATTCAACATTAGAACGCACATTAGTCTACTTAGAGGTATGAATGATAAGGCAATGGAGGTATTTAGATGAAGGCTTAATAAAGAAGGAGGGATAAAACATACTCACTTGGGAGGGTCTCCAGACACTCAGAATGTAGAGTCATGGTTGCATGAATCCCAAAGCCCCAGTGAGATCAGTGGCCCTCAGTAAAGATTCGGAGGGAGGTTGGGACTGACACCTACAGAGATCCTCAGCTCAGGTTCGTCCCGGCCACAGCTGCTCCACAGAGCTCACTGCCTGATGGCCTCACTTCAGTTCTTGCCACCTCTTGCCAGTTCCGAACCTGATCGACTCCCAGGCACACCTGGTCCCTTTGTGGTGTGTCCTGCAGTAGCCTCCATCCCTGTGGCCCTGAGAGCGATGGCCTGTTGGCCACTGATTTTCATCCTGCACCCCTCTGAGTGGGGCTGAGGCTGTGTCACCCACATTCATTAATATCCTTGCTCTCTACCTAGATCATCTCTGAAAGTGGTGAAGGCAGCAGCCCAGGTCTTGAATACATTATGGCAATATCGGGACCTCCGGAGCATTTATAAAAAGGTAACCTACAAGAATAGCTCTGGCATAATTAGCATTCATCAGAGCACACACTCATAATCATTTATTGTAATGAAATGTCATTATTCATTTTGAGAGGTTTCTTTTTCTCTTAACTCTGCAGGATGGGTGGAATCAGAACCATTTTATTACACCTGTGTCGACATTGGAGCGAGACCGATTCAAATCACATCCTTCCTTGTCTACCACCAACCAACAGATGTCACCCATCATTCAGTCAGGTCAGTGGGAAAATGCCACTCCTTGGCGAGAACCTTTGTGTGACAGAACATTGTTCCCCAGCCAGAGAAGATCAAACATAAGCTGGTTAAGCCTGTCATCTCCAACACTACCCATGCAGCAGAGAACCTTCTGTAGGAATCACACACCATTATAAACCACAAGCCCACTTTCTTCCTTTTTAAAAGTGTATACAATTTTACATCAGCAACAGCGCCCCAGGCCCTGCCCTCAAGTCTGCCTCACTAAGTGTGAGAAGGGGCCCTGAAACCTGCAGTTGACAGACTGGACAGGGGATCGGGGTGCCTGAGAGTGGAGGGCCACACTTCGAGACGCACTGGGTTATGCCTGAAAGTGGCTGCCCTGTATGCCAGCTGGCCATAAGGTTGGAATCTCCTCCAAAGTGAATTTTTTTAAGTTTTCTTAGTGAAACCTTTTAGAAGCAGGGTCCTTTACCAGAGGACCTTTAAGGTCTTCAGATCCGCAACCTGGGAGAGCTGCCTGCTTTCCAGTTAAACCTCCTTCCTCTGCAGACCCCCAGCATCTGCTGCTAATGGAAGCAGGCCTTACAGTGTGGGTCTGTAGGAATTCCTTTTGATTTTTAAGTTGGGAATCCTGGCAACCATACTACCTACTTCTTTGTAATGTTTAACTTGATGGAAAGAATGTTTTGAGATTCAGACTTAATTTTTTTACATGTAAGGGCAGATTATTACTGCCAAGCCAATCAGTCCTATAAATCTAATTCTTTCCAAAATGAGAAAGGAAAAATAATAAGTATCTTATTTTTATTTGGCTTTAAGTCACCCATTTGGACTTTTAAATATTATCTATTTTATTCAGCAGTGCTACTGCTGGCAGTCTTATTTCTCATGTGGACAAATGTGGCCAAAAAGACGAATATACATGGCCAGTGGTTCTTGCCACATAATTGGATGTCCCCACTTGAACTAGAATTTTTTTTAATTGTCTGTGCTTGTTGTGTATGGTATATATCTTAGTTTTTAAATTATGGGTTGCTTTCTTGAAAGAAACCTACGTGTCTGGTTTTTAACATCCTTGCTAAGCTCCCAGGTATAGCCTGAAACTGCTTTCTTTTAGAAAAATGCTCAGAACCTTTTAGGGTCTTGGGAATAGAGGTGCCAGGGAAATTAAGATGTGTGGCTCTATAACAAAAGGCACATAGACAAGCAAAGGATAATTTTAGATTAGTACGAGCTTGTCCAATCTGCGGCCCATGGGTTTTATGCGTCCCAGGATGGCTTTGCGGCCCAACACAAATTTGTAAATTTTCTTAAAACATTATGAGATTTTTTTGGTGATTTTTTTTTTTTAGTTCCTCAGTTATTGTTAATGTTAGTGTATTTTATGTGTGGCCCAAGATAATTATTACTCTTCAATGTGGCCCAAGGACGCCAAAAGATTGCACACCCCTGGATCATTAGCACATAGTTACTGAATAGTGACCTTGTTTTCAGGACCCCTTAAATATACCTGCTGGACAGTGTTGGCTAGCCCCATTCAAATTCCTAGGTGCCTTTTGGGATTCTAGTCAGTGGTAGGGAATACTCCACTTCTGCTTCTCCAGTTATTCTAAGGGCTGATAATGCATCCCTTCACACTAGTGTGGGATCTGCTTCCGGGCATGTCTGATGCCTTGCTGATGTCATTGGAGGCAGGCGGGTATGCTTTCTGTCCTACTACTTTCTGGAAAGTAAGCAAGGTGAGCAGCACATAGACATTGTCCATACATGCTTACATGTTTAACACTGAACAATCCTATGTCAGTGAGGTGACTTTTTAGGAAAAGTATTTCATTGTCAGTCTTCCTCTGAAAGCGTCAATTTATGCAAAACCACTGGTGTCAAGGTTTGGGGGGCTGTTGCTTTCGAGTGTATCAAGTGAATAAGTGGCCACTCTTATTTGAAATTAACTTTAGGGGAAGCAAGATGATTTTTTTAATAAGAAAAAGAAAAAATGTGAAATATTTCTCTCTTCTTTCTGTGCCACAGTGTCCAAAAAGAGTCCTAAGGATAGATACGGTGTTACTAGATGTTGGCTGAAGCTGGGGTAAAACAGTCCTCAGTCCTCTGGGCCTTTCTGAGGTCAGGGCTTAGCACCATGTGCGCTTCCTAATGAGCCAGGCTTACTGGGTTTAAATTGTTTCCTTGATCACCATAAAAAGAATTATAAATTTTATAGAATGGGTGCTTTTATTCAAACATGTTTAGAGATGTGGATATTTTGGAAATAATTAGAAATCAAAACATGCCATAAAACTTCTGTTGGCTGAAGAGCTATACATAAAGGATAATAGGTGGGTATTTTGCAAGCAACTGAACTGGGATCATAAAATAACAAGTATAACTCTTGCATGGCTAGTAAGTTATTATCACTCAGTTTCAAACGCCTAGTCAAGACATTGAGACAGACTAGTGGGGAAAGCTGCATGATCTCTACACTGTGCCTCTTTAGCCGGGCAGCTTGCCCTCCAGCTTGAGAGTGAGCCCCGGTGTTGACTTTGCTGATTTGTGCAGTGGCAGGCCTGCATGCAGGTAGCACTTGCAGTACTTGGGTCTAGCTGCTCTTCCACTCCCAGCACCTCTGAGATATTTTCAGCACCAGCTGTGTGTCATTTCTAGTTACTGAGCTTTGTGTTTCTGGAGAGGATTTTCCACAGATACTGATGCTGATTTCTCTTTCTACCCCTCTTTCTCTCCTCCTTTGCCTCTCCCTTCAGTCGGCAGCACCTCTTCCTCACCAGCACTGTTAGGAATCAGAGACCCTCGCTCTGAATACGATAGGACCCAGCCACCTATGCAGTATTACAATAGCCAAGGGGATGCCACACATAAAGGCCTGTACCCTGGTAAGACGCCAGTTGGGTGTGTGATACAGTCTCTTGAAAAGCCGCATTTCCAGGCGCTTGGCCAGTGGCCTGGGAAGTAGCCTGTGCTTGTATTGAGACAGTCCCCCAGCAGCAAACCATGTTCCAGTCATTCCCTTTCCTACTTTGGGGATTGTTGCCTTTTCTGCTTGTTTAAAGTAAAACAAGCATGTACTTGTTTGTATGTATGTATGTATGTAGTTGTACGGTGGGCACAAATAAAAAGAGGGCTGTATCCAAATAAATCATTTCTGGCTGCTCACTGGCACAGTCCCTTTGCTCCGTCCCCTCCTGGCTCGAGCAGTCTCTGTGTTTTCCACATGCATCAGAACCGTCAGCCCAGTGTCACTTTGCAGGGGCCACATCTTCTAGACTGGCTCATCTCTTAAATTCAAACCAGAGAATGGAGATCAATTTCATTTACATTTTCATGGAGAAGAGTTTGAATAAATAGCAAAAGGTATAATGTGATTCTTCTCAACGTGATTATTTTTTAAGAATAACAAAAATAATGTTACATAGTGTTAATATTTTTATATCCTATTCAGAAAGCTGTGCATACAATTTATTTAAAGGATACCAGCCCAAAGGGTTACTAAGATTTCATACTGTTCCCATTCTCAACCGTCTGGCGATTATAACTACTTTAGATGTTCCAAATAAGTCAGTGTGAGCTACCCCACAAAAAGTACTCTTTTCTCAAACCTGTCTATTAAAAATAAATAAAAGCTGGTGGCAGCTTTACTCCTGCTGGGGGGGCAGTCTCCATTGTACTGTTGTCTTTGAAATTGTGATTTCACAGGACTATTTACTAATCGACTGTTGTTACTATGGCAATTAATAGCTCAGAAAATTGCAGATGCTACATTTCAACACCAAGCTCTGGGCAAAAGGAAATGCACATACCAACTGAAGTGCATGGTTGCTTCCGATTTGCAGCAGCCTGCTTTATCTTACAGATCACCTCTTTAGCATGCATGCCCTTCTGTATCTTCTTCGCTTGCTTCAATAAACTAATTTGCCTCAACTACGTTTCATTTTCCTCATTAAAAAAATAAAAATCTTTGCTAGCCTTAATAATAATGGAAGGGTAACATCATCAGGAGTCTACTATGGACTTTTGAAGACAATTATCTCATTATTACCAAGTTCCTTTTGTATTAAAACATACTTAAATATGCCAGGTACAAGACTGTGCCTCCATTGTTGCTCCTTCCTTGACCTGAGATTTTGAATCCCAGTTGTTTGTTTGGAAGGCATGGGGCTTGTTCGAATATTGTGTTTCGCTTCTCCTCTCTGACCCACTGCCGTAGCTCAGAGCCCTGGAAAAGGAGTGTTCCTCAGCTCAGGATCCCGTGCTGCTGTCCAAAGCCAGCTGGAGAAACCCTCCCACATGTGAGCAGAGCTTGAGCAGGAACCTTTGCGCATGGGCTCTGCACTGGCATTGCTTTTTGGGGAAACACACACAGCCTGTTTCTGCCATAGTTTTGCCATTAGCCCCCACCAGCCCTGAGGTAAGCAGCAGCCAGGCCAGATCCAGGGACCCTGAGCTGCTACCTCTCCCAGCCCGCATTGGCACTGGGGAAGACAGGCCCTGTCGGGGACAGTGCTAGCCCTAGTGCAGGGGAGACCACCCAGCCTAATGGACCAGAGTAATAAGCACTAGTTTTAATTTCATAAAATATTTTCTTACAGGCTCCAGCAAACCTTCACCAATTTACATCAGTTCCTATTCCTCACCAGCAAGAGAACAAAATAGACGGCTACAGGTGAATTTGCAATATCATTTTTACAGAAGGCTGATTAGCAGTTAACACAGTAAGGGGTCCACGTCGATTGACTTCCCAGAGCTGGGCCAACATGGCAGGGTCCTAGATGCTTTCCCTGGGGATCTTCACTCCTTGGAAACTCAACGTGTGGTTTAAGCAAAGCATTTCCACGGTAGCCTCACGTTCTTGAGTATCCACATCGGTACTGCTGAGACCACCGTGCCACTGATGGGGACAGCCGAGAAGTCTTTAGTTCATGTCTTTTGCCCAGCAGTGTCCTCTTCCCACTCTTTTTCTGTTAAGCTCTAAAATCTCTTCCAGCCTCTGAGTGAGGGAAGGTTGGTAAGCACACTTCATGCCCTCATCACATTGTTCTCTTTTGTGTATACCTCGTTCTCCATCTCGCCCCTCCCTGTCCAAGCTCCACAATTTAAAAACACTGAGTCCATCACCAGGTCTGTTTGTCTCAGTGGTCAAGGTGGACTCAGCCCCTGCCGGGATGGACCTCACTGTGGGAGAGTGGGACTGGCGGTTATAACACACCCAGGCTTTGCTTTCATGAAGGGCCTGCAGTCAGTCTCAGGTCCTTACCAGTGCCATGGCGAACTTGGACCATCTGGTCTCTCCTCTTCCCTTTCAATGACACAGAGCAGCTGGAGTTTCCTAAAACAAGACTGTATCCTGTCCTTCAGATAAGGATGTGTTCTAAGACCTCTCCTTCTCGTCATCTTTTCTCTGTAGGTGGAAGAAAAAGAACTTTCCAAGTTATTCATAATTTATGCTATGGTTTTTTAGTCAGGAAAAATAGACCAGAATCATAACTCTGGCTTGAAAGGAGAATTTAGCTCTGAAATCCTTATAATGTTAGAATGCATTGAGTTCCAGGACATGACATTGGTTTCTATGTGGTAAATTTGTTACATCTTACTAAGTAGGGGGATTTGGGCATAATCAAGAACATAGACATAATAACCATCACAATTTGAAGAAATTAGTGTGAGGTCAAAGCTAAGACTGAACAAAAGGAAATGGAGAGCAGTGTGCCCTGTGTGGGTGCCCACGTGTGCCTGGTCTTGCCCACTTACAGATGGACTTAGCCCTGGCTTGGGGAAGCCTTTTCCTCTAGAACCATATTTGCTCACGTGTGTCTCCTAATTTTACTATTCTTCTGCCTTGAGATTGCTTATTCCTTTAATATTACAACTTACAGCAGAGTTTCCAAAGTGTGACTGTTGTTCACCTAGCCACATACATCTTTTAAAATGTAGGGGTGGACTCCATCTTCATATCTGAAGTAAATGTTCTAAAAGATGGTTCGGTAATTATACAATTATCCAAGGCCCAGAAACCCAGTCCTTGACTAAATTAGTGATGTGCTAATAATTCCCCTGTGTCAAACCAAATATCAAGACCATCCTCTCATTCGGCATGCCCAGGTAACAGGTGCCTCCACAGCTGAGCACACAGCAGGGCCTCCAGTAAAGAGGGGAGGTTTCTGGGGCCACCTGCCCTGAGATCTCAGGCTTTCTTGAGGCACCTGCTTCTCTAGAGGTCTTAGGACAGGAAACTCAGCAGCCTGCCTGAGAATGCAGCTTAAAATCCTTAGAGTCCAATAGTAAACGCATAGTGTGCACCAGAAACAGCTTTTAACCTTAAACTGCAAATATTGAATATTGCTTTAAAAATATGAAGCAGGAAGCCCACATTAATTTTCCTAACACATGTATTTTTAAAAAATTGCTTTTATTTATTTGCCTTTTCATTTTGTCAACAGCATCAACAGCTGTATTATAGTCAAGATGACTCCAACAGAAAGAACTTTGATGCATACAGATTGTATTTGCAGTCTCCTCATAGCTATGAAGATCCTTATTTTGATGACCGAGTTCACTTTCCAGCTTCTACTGATTACTCAACACAGTATGGACTGAAATCGACCACAAATTATGTAGACTTTTATTCCACTAAACGACCTTCTTATAGAGCAGAACAGTACCCAGGGTCCCCAGACTCATGGGTGTAGCATCAAGATGCCCAACAGAGGAACTCTTTCTTTCTAACCTTGTTCAGATTGAGGTGAAAAGTCCATCTTGCTGATTTGATGATTGAAATGTGAAAGTGAAGTGGAAGGAATGAATGAAGTGTGTTTTTTTTTTCTTTTTTGAGGAATTATCAGGGAAGTGAGGAAATGTTTGGGAGAGGACTTTCTAAGCTCTATTTAGGTGTTAGATCTAATTACTTATAGATTCTGTAGTCTGGTGAAGGTGTGGGTGACGTGATGAGAGGTTTGAGAAATGGGTGAAATGAAATGGGGGATATGTAGGTCAAATCAAATTAAAGATGATTTTTTTAATGTGAATAAAGTTATGTTCTGATAGTTTGTACAGAAAAAATAAAATGGATGCCCATGTTTTATTGCTATTACTAAATGTCAAGATTGTATGCTATTATGTCTTGTAAATTTCTTTTGTTGGTGTAAATATGGAAATGCCACATTGGTTAAGTGCCATCATTTGTAATGCAATGTGTCACTTGAAAAGAGATTTGAAGAAACTGACAACTTCAAAAACAAATGAGAAGCCCAAGGAACTGTGAGCAATTAAAAGCAAACCGCGACACCCTTTGTCTCCACCACACATAGTGTACTTTGGAAGCACAACGTCCAGGCTGGTACCGCAGCGCCATGCCCATTCCTCGCCTCATTCATAGGACACTTCACTGCCATTTTCTATTCACATAAAAGAAAAATAAATGTGGAAATTTCATCCTTGGAAATGTGTTCTCTATTCTTTTTAAATTTTCTGTATGTATATGGAAAAGCAGATTTAATAAACACAAATCTAACTGCATGTTGGAAACAGCTTAAATATATCCAACTATTTTGGACTTTTCCTAGTTTTATATATACTTTGTGAGATGGACCACACCAAAGAATTAAGCTATGAACTTTCCTTCTCTGACAATCTAGGTATTTTTATTTCTTGGAATCTATTTCAAATCTAGTACCCTTCACAGTTTTATCATGTTTTTCTATATGGCAGCCCGGCCATAACTAAATTGATATAACTAAATTGATACCTTTTTTAGGCATCATTTTTAAGAACTCAGTAACTTCATAAGAACAGTGGTTGGGCATTTATTTGGTTGGCACCAATATAATAAAACAAATTCTAAATTATGATCTTGTTGAGTAATTCCTGGATTAGGAATGGGGTAGGGGAAAGAAGCCCCACAGTAGGGTAGGCAGAGGTCCCCATAGCACCACACAGCATTACTTGGGAGCTTTTCTCCATCTGTGGAGGCAATGAGGGACACCAGGCCCAAAGTCTGAGGCCTTCTCAGGTCTTGCAGTTTCCACCCTTCAGTCCTAGCTCCTGGATCTTTGTTGGTGTAAATATGGAAATGCCACATTGGTTAAGTGCCATCATGGAAAACTAGGAACTAGTTTACCTGTAGCTGTACTAGGAAAACTAGGAACTAACGCCCATGGCAAGTCAAACCCAGAAGTGTTGTCTTAGCTCAATATACCCTGCAAGTGTAATACAAATCGCAGATTAAAACATTTGTACTTATATTTGTGAGTATATGGAAAGACACCCAAGAGAAAACTGCGTTTTCTTGCCGAATGGACAGCAGCCCAAGATGAGCATCCAAAGTGAAATGGAAATACCAGTGCGAGCATGAAAGTTCCTAAGATCTGCAAGCCGGGAGCCCTTCTGGGGTGCCTTCTGAAGAACACTCGAGCCAGCTTGCGGAGTCGACTGCCCAGCTACTGAGCCCTGGCTGCCTCATACCTGGCGGAGCTCAGCAGACAGCCCTTGTTAGATGGCAGAGGTCGCCAGATGTTCCTGAGGAACTGGCATCAGGACTTCTGGGACGTAACCACTTCAGTTTCCAATCACTGACTTCCCTGAACCTGGTATCTTCAGATCTGGGTTGAAGCTGAAGGCTCAGTTGGGGAATCAGGAAAACAAGGGAATCGGAGCCAGCCCAAGCCAACTGACAATAACTTTCTTTTAGTGACTGCATTAGTTTGGGGTAATGCTGTAACAGGCAGCATTTCAAAAACGGATCCAAATTTGGGTTGAAAATAACTCACCTGGGTCTCCAATCAGACCTAACAGAGCCAGAAAGAGGCCTGTACACGGGGACTGGGCAGAAGATCTAATGCCGTTTAAGACTCCTCCCTTGAGACCAGAGAAAAGAAACTGCAGACACAGCCTGAATGATACAAAAGTGCATCATTGATGAAAAAACAAAGCCTACTGTTCCTTCAAGGTGTGGGAATAAACAAGCTCTGCTAAAACAAAGTTGACTTTTTATTGCTGTCCTTACGTCACTAAGTAGCATATAGAATTCAGCCCACTTCCACCCTGTTCCAGAGGGTCAGGGCTGAACTGAGCCAATGTCAGTGAGCTAAACAAGGGTTTCCTTACCGTGATTGCACATTAAGAGTCACCTGGACCCCACCCTGACCACTCAAAACCACAGAGGTGGTGTCCAGACATCAGTATTCCTGAAAAGCTCCCTGGGTGATCACAGCATACAGTCCAGTGAGAGCCACTTGGTACTACTCCCCATTCTCCCTCCATCCCTTCATGCCGCACCACCTGAAAATTTAGCAGCTGGGGTTTAGGGTGCGGAGTTTGCCTAGAAGAGAGGGATAGATTTGGAGTGTTATCATTGAGATCTTAAACTTGGAAAGTCAGATGTGAGGTTTTTCTTTTTGCCAGAGTATGTCTTTTTGCCTGCGCACACTTGTTTAAGGTTATGTCCTTTGAAGTCCATGAGTATCAGAAGTGATGACCACACAGTCCCGTAACTGTTCCAATCATTAATCCCTGGCCAGTGTTCTGTTGTCCACCTGATGCTGATTCTTGCACTGAAATACCAACAGGTCACTTTATTGACTGCTGACTATGTGCTCAGAGTACCACATACATTATCATCTAACCCTCACAGCACATGTGTGACATCTGTACTAACAGCCCATTTAACATATCCTGAAGCAAACTTGGAAGACTAACTTGCTGAAGATCATACAGCCAGTAAGGGGCCATTAGCATTACACTCAACTACATTGCCAGTGGTTTTCATATTTAATAATTTGAGTTTCAGCTGAACTTCTACAAAGTGTTTTTCATCATTGCTTCAAATTTGCCAAAGGACTTTCTATTACTACTCTAAAAGGAGAAAACCATCACTTGCCATAAACTTTGGGCAAGTGATGGTTTTCTCATATACTTTTTTAGTAACCATAAAAATGAACAATTAACTATTAAACATAAAAAATATCAAATTGTTTTTAATTAGCTGGGCATGGTGGCATGCACTTGTAATCCCAGCTACTCAGGAGGCTGAGGCAGGAGGATCACTTAAGCACAAGAAGTCAAGGCTGCAGTAAGCTATGATTGCACCACTGCACTTCAGCCTGGGTGACAGAGGGAGACCCCATCTCAAAAAAAAAAAAAAATGCCTACGTACCACCAAAATTTATCTTGTCTACCACCACTGGTGTTACATGAACCTCATTTTGGGAAACTTGAGTTCTGATTATTCTGATGTGTGTGATGATTTAGGTTTGGCTGATAACTCCCCCTAAAAGAATGCTGTGAGCTATGCCTATTAATATAAGCCACTAAAAATCTGTCACTAGGCAACCCTCCCATTTGGGGGCCTCAGCAGTACATTTGATGGAACACTTATCCAAACCTATTGGATGGTGGTTTTATTTCCATGATCAAACTGGCTTACAAGGAAAAGACATTTGAAAACTTGGCCATTGCTATTCACTTATTAGATTTTTAAAATACCATTGTTTTTAACAGCGTTATTCATAATTGCCAAAAACTAGAAACAACCCAAATCTCCAACAGAAGAATGGATAAACAAAAGTTATATCCAAGAATAGATAAAATTATGGTATATTCATGTAATAGAATACTAATCTACAATAAAAAGAATGAGCCACAGTACAGAGACATGGATGAATCTCAAAAATATGCTGCTCAAACGCAGGAGAAAGTTGCAGAAAAGAGAACATAAAGCATGACTGATTCAAGAAGAGGTGGTAGAAGTCAGAATCATGGTTGCCCTAGGTATTGACTAGAGAGCTAAGCGATGGAAATGTTCTGTATCTAGGTTGGGGTGGCAGTTACACAGGGGTATACCTTGATCAAAACTCATCAAAATAGGCTGGGCATGGTGGCTGACACCTGTAATCCCAGCACTTAGGGAGGCCGGATGGGTGGATCACCTGAGGTCCGGAGTTTGAGACCAGCCTGGCCAACATGGCCAAACCCCATCTCTACTAAAAATACAAAAATTAGCTGGGTGTAGTGGCAGATGCCTGTAATCCCAGCTACTCGGGAGGCTGAGGCAGGAGAATTGCTTGAACCTGGGAGGCAGAGGTTGCAGTGAGCCGAGATCACACCATTGCTCTCTAGCCTGGGCAACAAGAGCAAAACTCTCTCAAAACAAACAAACAAACAAAATCAAAATGTACACATAAGATCTTCATTTCATTGTATATACAATTTGCCTCAATAAAAAAAAATTTCTTCAAAAATCAGTAAGGAAATACACAACATTGTCTGAGACTTAGTTTTATGAACTAGAATCAAAATTTTGATTATTAGTCTCCCATGAGTTAAGAAAAATAAACAAAACATAATTCCTTTTTTTTTTTTCCCCATTGAGATGGAGTCTCACTCTGTTGCCCAGGCTGGAGTGCAGTGGCGCAATCTGGGCTTACTGCAGCCTCCAACCTCCCAGGTTCAAGTGATTCTCCTGCCTCAGCATCCTGAGTAGCTGGAATTACTGGTACCTGCCACCAAGTCTGGCTAATTTTTGTATTTTTAGTAGTGACGGGGTTTCGCCATGTTGGCCAGGCTGGTCTCAAACTCCCAACCTCAGGTGATCCGCCTGCCTCGGTCTCCCAAAGTGCTGGGATTACAGGTGTAAGCCACTATGCCTGGCCTAGAAAACATAGTTTCTTACACAAAAGGTTTGAGCACAAAATGCCTTTGTAGTTCTATACACAGCCTACCAAGTTAAGTTTAAACAGAATTCTGGAAAATATACACTTGGAAAGCACTACAGGGGGTGTCCTTTTGGATGAGCTATGATTGTACAGATTCAGGTGTGTGCTGACAAGAAGGTAAGTTAAGAAGCAACACTCAGGCACCTGTCTCAACATGTTGCTGAGAGTGAGAAGTGTGTCACCCCTTTTACCTAACGATCCAAAGAGTTGTGTAAATAAGCACCTCACCCATCTCAGTACTTCCCAAGCCACAGGACGGAGTGTGGGAGCGAAGCCCCTTCATCAAAGCACCAGAAAGATGTCAGCAGAAAAACAAACAGGTCAGTGAAATCAGAGGCAGAGCAGCTAATGGGGTTTTTTTAATGTTACAAATGCAGGGCAGACTTTGAATTCAAAGGAGAACTTTGTGGCAGGTAAAAGGCATCGTTGCTGTGGAGGAACCAAAGTCTTTAATTAGTGTGCAACTGGGAAGGGAGTTAGCGGGCAGCAAAGATAAAAATGATGTTTGGAATTCCATGGGGCAGCTTCCACCGCTGATACACAGCTGCCCTTTGCTGGCCTGTGCCAAGAACTGGACTGGGCCTCAGAGACCATGTGCAGCACGGGCTGCCACCCACACAGAGGAACGCTTCTCAGCTGGGACTCATCAGTTCCGCCACCCTTTAATCAGTCTTGTCTTTGGTCTCCAGCCTTATTCATCCTCGTGATAGCAGTTTGCTGTGCCCCAGCGTAATGGCTTGACTTAACTCTCTGTCCTTATGAATACCCTTATTCAGGACAATCCTTAAAGGCTGCAGACACAAAAAGGAAATTATTAGCGAGCAGATTATGACTTGGATTGTGTCTGTTTTAGTGCCTTTCCCTGTTTTCATGTCAGCAGCTTTGCTGGAAGCAGCTGGCATGTCCCCGAAGTGGCTGTTTGTGCCTATCGCTATTGCCTAATTCTAACGAAATCACTAAAAAGCATTTTGTGCTGTCATAATCGTTTGCATGAGCCATAACTAGCTCTTTCATTATTAAAGCCCCATCCAATGCTTGGGGTAATTTTGATAAAGACTTAATGATATGATGAGCTATTTCACCCTCCATTCACATCCAGTGATTCCAGAGCTGACCAATGCATTGTCTTAGAAAATAAAACACAACTTATGCTGGGTCAAAGGTGTAATTCTGAGATCAGTGGGAACATATCCAATTCTTCCTTCAGAAATCCCTTATAACTATTAACTCACTCCCCAGAAGCCCCCTGAAATGTGCCTTTATTTGCTGGCAATGAAATGTAATGTGTTTGGCTTCCAAGGCCTTGAGGAGCTGCCACCCACTGAGTAATAATCTAATAAAATGACTTCAGGGAGGACGAAACCCCTCTAGGGTCTTTATTTCGGATCTCCAGAGTCAGTGGTTGTGCCAGCACAACCCAGGGCAGCTCTCTCCTTTCCAGAGGTGAGAATGAACCTAGTGAGGTGTGCCCAGTTTCCTGGGGACCAGAGGAAAGGATTCAATCCTCATGGGTTCCAGGTTAGAAATGATGATCACAGGAGGGGTCCTGGCCATCGTAGAAATGGTTGTGTTGTGCTATGAGGGAAGCATTTTGAGCCTTCACAAAAACAAAAACCAGGAGGTTCTATCACTGAATGATGACCTCTGCACTTTTATTTCTTCGGTTCCTATGAAAGTATGCTCCAAGCTGGAGACCTGTGTTGTATTATTCCCATGGCTCCTAGACATGAAAGATAAGTAAGGCTGGATGAAATATGTGTCCACCAAAATCACTGTGATTATGGCTGGCCACAGTGACCAGCAGTCTCCTTCTTGTCTCTCACTGTGGTCAAAAGATAATGGTGTGTTTATTCAGCTTGCAAATGGTGAGGTTCTCATTTTTCATTTTCCTCTCATCTCTGCGTAACCTTTTAATCACTTCTTTGAAAATTAACACTGCTTTGGAAAAGGCTATCAGAGGAGAGGTGGAGTGGTATTGAAATCAGGTCTGTCGATATATAACATCTTAATTGGAGAAAAGCTGATGCTAAACCACCTGAAGCTACAAATATTGTCCTCTGAGGCCACATCAGTGAGTGTGGTGATGATATATCATCACTGAGAAACTGCATTTGGCTGGCAGTAAAAAAAAAAAAAAAAATTCCAAAATTGAGGCTTCAACAAGACAAGTTGTAAGAGGTTTTATTTGTAGTTTTTTCCTCTACCACATAAAGAGATGACCACAGAAAGTCTAATGTCTGTCTTCCTAGTATGGGGTTCCACAAATGCCCTCATGGCATAAAGTAAGCTTTATCCTACTCTTTGGGTAGGACCCTCATCCTCATGGCTTCCTGGCTAGCTGCTGGAGCTCCAACCATCACATCCTCATTCCTCAACAAAGAGAAAGGAGTTGGGAAAGTGGAGCTTGGCAATTGAGTCAAAACCCCTAAAAAAGCTTTCCTTGAATCCCTGCCCATACATCTCATTGGCCATTCCTATCTATAAGAGACACTTGGAAAAGGAATCTTTACCAGGTCCTATTGCCACCTCTACTCATGTAGGTTGTGTTAGTAAGGAAAAGGAGGGGGTGGATAGGAGGAAGTCACTCTCAGTCTCTGCCCAAGATGATAGATGACCTCTGCACTTTTATTTCTTCGGTTCCTATGAATGTATGCTCCAAGCTGGAGACGTGTTGTATTATTCCCATGCTTGGGCAGAAGCCATAGTACCCAGGGCTCCTAGGCATGAAAGATAAGTAAGGTTGGATGAAACTTCTCAAGCTCAAGTTGTCCTAGAGGTAGGAGTCCTCAGCAGTCAGGCTCCATGTCATAGTGTAAAAGTTAACCACGGAAAGCCAGTAACCATCAGCAATCTATGGTCAGAAGCCCCACCCTCCTGGTAGCTTCCAATCTCCATGGGGTAGAGCCATGGGGAGTCCACAGAAGTGCGAAAGTCAAGGGGAGGGATGCCAGGTGCCTCTCCCCACTGCACCAAGAGCAGCCCACTGTGCGCTGCTTTCTATATTCCATGTCCACCTGAGATCATTTTAGCAAAGGTTATATAGCTAAAAACAAAAATAATGATAAACCATGTATGGCCAACACCTGACCTTAAAAAGTAGCTCCCTAGAGACAGCTCTGTGTGCTCCTGACTGGCAAGCCATGTAGGCTGAGGCAGCAGCTGCCTCCCTCAGCCACCCAGATGAGAGTCGCTGCGACTCACTGTATGTCTGTGGCAATCTTCCTTCAATGTTCTGGGCACTGTGGGGTAATCTGGGGCTGACACGTCTGCCATTGCCCCCAAGAATTTGTAACATTCCTGAGTCCATCGGAGCAGTTAGCAGCTACCAAGTCTGGGTTGAGCTGTCAAGGAAAGCCCAATAGAACAAGATGTACTCAAGCTAAACTTTGGGTTAACTTTAAACAAAGGAAATACATGAGAATGGTGGGATGCAGACTACAGAGAAAGCCAGGGAACGTGAGTACAGGAAGAAAGTCAAGAGGAAGAGACAAAAAAACAAAACCAAAACAAAACAAAACAAACAAACAAAAAAACAAGTTTCTCTCAGCGGTTTGGGGTGAAGATGAAAGAAATCTCAGCCTTTTGATCACTCCTAAAAATAATAATAATAATCTTTTGATGAGTATTTGCTAGGATGTAAGATATCAAGGACAGTACTGTATGCTTTAACCACATTATCCCATTTAATCTTCATAACAACCCTAAAACAATGTCCAAGAGAAAACTGTCCTCAGAACTATAAAGTGGCCCAAGGTCACCTCAATTGGGGATTGCCAGATGAATCTGTTGGATTCCAGAGACCCCATTAGCTGTTCCTGCCTCCCTAAGGAAGCAGAACAGCCGTCCCCTCCAGCCTTGATGTTTATGCTAAAGTCAACCCTTGTGACAAACCCTCTCCCAGCCAGGAATCCCCCTCCAGCTTCCTACCAGCTTCCCAGCCAAATTAGGCTCAAATAATACAAATCCATTTTAACGTTGCCTTAGCAAAGATTACTAGGAAAATAGCATGTTGGCGCAAATCAAAGTTGATGCCTTCGAAAAGAAAACTATCAAATGGCCTGTTCACAAAATATGCTCCGAGTCCAGACCTGTGACTAAACACTTCATGGAATCAAAAGAACCCAGAAGAGAGGCCCTCCCCTGTACGGGCCAATCCCACTGCACCTCCCCACCCCTCCAACCTCGCTTAGCCTCAAGGAGCAACTCTGCTGGGCAGGAGCAGGGGCAGGAGGCCAGGCAGTTCAGCTGGGAAAGGGCTGTTGCCTCAAAGGGAGGGAAGGGCCCTACCACCAAAGACCATCTCCAATAAGGACTCACTCATAGCCCTGCAAGTCTATAAAAAGGGAAGCACAGACATTCTGGAAGATGTGGAATGAAACCTTGTATCTTTGTCTTCACTGTTCACTCCTCACTCTTCTTCAGGGGCAAAGGAGGGATCATCTCATGAGACTAGGAGAAACAAAGTAAGCTCAAGGAGCCCAGCTGCCCAGCAAAGGGCCGGAGCATCTGGCCTCCCTCGCAGGGCAGACTATCCTGGCTGGTGCTGCACTGCACGGAGGCCTCAAGTTTTGGTTGGGTGAGTTCAGTTAACCCAGGTATCTATAGAAGACTGATTTTTGTTCTGGTTCAAGCTATAGTTCCCAAATCCACCTCAGGAGTGAGAAAGCTGATAGTGTTCTAATCCACGTGACCCCTGGGTGTATTCCTCTGCAGTTCTGGTCTCAGCCCTAAGGTATGTCTGGGCCTTCAGAAACCCCAGCACATCCAAACTTCTGGACCAAACTGAATCTCAATATGTGAAATAGGACTCTTTCACGGGAGTAGATAAGAAGGGGCTGTCACCAGTGCCTCAGGGCTAACACACACTGAGGGCAGAAGTCCCACCAGGTTAGCCTGGGCCAGCACCCATCACCCCAAGGGACAAAGCTTCAAGCAAGTTCTTTGGAGAACATGGCTGAACCTGAGGTTGAAGTTGGTTTTCCCACTTCTCTCCTCCCTTCCCCAGATGGAACTTCGGACAGCCAAATCCAGTGAGGTGTGAGCTAACCTCCCCACCCAGTCATGTGCTTACACATGGGAACAAAACCCAAGAGGGTGGCCAGCCTTCAGCCCAGTGCCCAGGGATGAAACATGGCCCAAGAAATAACACCACCACCATCAGCTGTCCATGCTTCCACCTCAAGCACTGAGCAAGATCCTCTGGCAAATGACCTCACTGGGAGGTAAAGAGGAAAGCGCTATTGTCAACTCCATTCTTCAGGTGAGGAAACCCAGTAAAGGGAGGTTAGAAAGCCCACCCCAAGTGACAGTGCAGTGTCAGGCTGTCACCTATCAGATCAGCAATGGCCCTCTGCTGGGGAGCACAGGGAAAGAGGGACAGGAGCTCCTCTTGGCAGCCTTGTCTCTTGGGAGAGTAAGCATGGATGCCCTATTCTTTTGTTTGTTTTTTTCTTATACTTTAAGTTCTGGGATTCATGTGCAGAATGTGCAGGTTTGTTACATAGGTATACACGTGCCATAGTTGTTTGCTGCACCCATCAACCTGTCATCTACATTAGGTATTTCTCCTAATGCTATCCCTCCCCTAGCCCCCCACCCCCCGACAGGCCCTGGTGTGTGATGTGTTCTCATTCATTGTTCAACTCCCACTTATAAGTGAGAACATGCGATGTTTGGTTTTCTGTTCTTGTGTTAGTTTGCTGAGAATGATGGTTTATGGACTAGCTCTCATTCCATTCCAACTCCCTGCACTGTGACTGGGTGGGTAAGGCAGGTGAGACCTGCCTTGGGCTTCTCATCTCTTACAGCATCATTGTCCCATCTCCGCGCTGCTCTTCCCCTCCCATCCCCAGTATCCCACATTCTCACGAGATCTAAAAAGCTTCTATTCTATTTCTGCTCTCTACCCAGGCCAGCCCTGGGCTCCAGAATCACCTCTCTCTCCCCTCTGCTACATTGTTCACCATCAGGTTAGGCTGAATGCTTCCTGGCCCACTCCACCCTCCACCAGACCCACCCGGGCACCCCCAGAGTACAGGGCACAGCCAGCCCTCCCTGTTCTCGCACTGGAGCAAGCAGTTGGGCTTGTAGTCATTGAGCAGCTCTCAGGTCTTTGGAGCAGTTCATCCTTTTGCTGAGTAAAGCATTTTCCCAAAGTGCGTTCCTTGGAACATTAGCTCTGCAAGTCATCCCTAAAAAAGTTTATGATCAAATAAGTCTGGAAAATACAGCGTAGTGTATTTCTCTGGGAGATTCACAATACTTCTAATGTTCATATTGAAGGCTCAGAGAAGACTTACAGTAAATATTGGATTCAGAAATCCAGTATCTCTGAAATAAGAGAGTACATAAAAGTTATTTTTCCCTACTCATAGCTGAAGGTGCTTTTTTTTCTTACATAATCTATACATTTATAATTAAAATATATCTTCTTGACTGTAAGGTCCCCTTAAATTCAAAATAGCCTAATTCAAATCCAGACCCATTTGCTCATTCTGTAAATGTCAAGAGTGAGCATATAAAGTGGCCCAGATCCCCTGATGCCACATGATGTGGGGTGCTCTATAGACTCAGTAATGTCAGTAGTTCTCAAATTTTTGGTCTCAGAATTCCTTTACATTCTTAGAAAATACTGAAAAATCCAGCAAACTTTAGTTTATGGGGGTTATTGGAAATTTTAAAACTACCTAATAATACATTTTTAAAAATAAGTTCATTATATGCTAACATAAATTATATATTTTATGAAAAATAACTATTTTTCAAAAAATCAGGAAGCATAATGACAGCATTTTACATGTTTGCAAGTCTCTTTCCTGTCTGGCATAAGAGAAGACAGCTGGATTCTCATACCTGCTTCTGCACTCAAACTGTTGCGACATCACACATCATGTAGCCTCCAGAACACACCAGTCTACACTCATGAGAGAGTAAGAGTGAAAAGGGAAATTGACATGTTAGCATCATGATAATAGTTTTGATCTTGTGGCCTACCCCAAAAAAGAGTCTCTAAGACCCCTGGGGTCCCCATACCACACTTCAAGAACCACTGCTTGGGCTAAGTGACCCAGTGCCTCCTTACTCTGCATACCCATGAGGTGGTGAAGGGATGGATGTGTCTCCGTGGCTCCTGAGATTAACAGGTTCACAACCCGGAATGGGGCCATCTCTCAGAGAACCCTGGGGTGGGGCTACCTAGAAGTCAGCCTGTGCTGTCATCCACTATGGCCCAACCAGGCTGATGCCTTTTTCTGTCCCCTCCCCACCACTTCTCACCATGGTTCCTGGGCCCAGAGGAATAGGGTTCACTTTGCATGATCTTGACTCAGAGGTTTTTAAAGGGCTTTGATGTATAGAATTTCATTAAAGCCATAGGGCCCTGAGGTAGTCATTGTCCAAACACAGATATTGCCTTCATCTGTAAGCTGCCTAATTCCTGCAAAAATGGATTTAAGTTTTATCTATAATCCATGCTCTGTTCTACAGGGTGTCAGTGGGTCTATGATATGAGCAAGCCAAGATCTATCTTTTGTTCTTCTTCACACATAGAACAAGATGAAACAGTGTTTCATCTTTGCCCTGGGGAGGTTTTTAGACTAGACAGAAAAGGGACAGAGAGAAAGGAAGACACCAGCCTCAGCAGATCTGAGCATAAAGGCCACATGCTGTTGGCACCCGCACACCCCAAGGCAGGGGCCCCCTCCCTTGGGCCAACTTCCTAAGATGGAGTGAGAGATGGGTCTAGAAGAATAAGGCCTGGGTTGGTCCTCATTCTGTAGAGGCCACAGGTGAACAGTCAGACACAACTAACAAATTTTCTGCTTTGGGCCAAAATGAGAGAAAAGGAAGGCCTGGGGACCCCTCTTGTACCATGGCAGTAGGGACACCCTTGTTCCCACAGGCAAGAACCTGCATTTATGAAGCTCAGATTGGAAGGTCTGATTTTGGAGTTAAATGGCTAGGATATAGATCCCATTAGCCACTAACTACTGGGGTGACCTTGAGCAAAGTACATGGCCCTTCTGAGTCTCAGTTTCATCATCTGTAAAATGGGTTATTGTAGGATTGGCTGAGATCATGCATGTAAAGCACTTACCATGGTGCCTACAGTAAGCACTCACTAAATGCTAGCCAGTATTCCATACTCCTGCTCACCTTCTAACATCTCAATAAATGCTGGCCAGTATTCCATACTCCCACTCACCTTCTAACATCTCATAAATGCCTTCTAACATCTCAATAAATGCTGGCCAGTGTTCCATACTCCCGCTCACCTTCTAACATCTCAATAAACGCTGACCAGTATTCCATACTCCCGCTCACCTTCTAACATGATTAGAGAAGTAAAAGTGCAGGCCCAGCCTTAATGTTTGCAGAGCTCAGTGCAATACAAACTTAATTCTGGACACCGTACAGATATATAGATATTTTAAAGATATATCTGCTAACAAACTGTTACATAAACTGTGTCTCATATGTTTATCTTAATTATTTTTTCATAACAACAAAATTTTTAAAGTATCCATGAAGGTACGATTTTTTTATATGACTAAAAGTTTGCAAAATGTAAAATATGATTGAATTTTATTATTGCATATATCTCATTCAGGGAAAGCATTATTTGGATGAGTAATAAATACAAACACAATTTATTATTATAAATATTTCATAAAACACTTCCTCCCTTTATTTTGGCAAAGTCACTGATGATTTATGGTCAATATTTTTACATAATTTTTGTTCTATTAACATTTAAATTAGAAAATAAAATGTAATTATATTTAAATTGTTGTATATTCAAAAAGTAGAAATAGATTTTTATCAAGGTATAAAGTATACGTAAAAGTCAAAAACATAAAATTACTTTTCTTTTATTTTTATTTTTGAGATGGAGTCTCACCCTGTCACCCAGGCTGGAGTGCAATGGTACGATCTTGACTCACTGTAACCTCCACCTCCCAGGTTCAAACAATTCTTCTGCCTCAGCCTCCCAAGTAGCTAGGATTACAGGTGCCCGCCACCAAGCCCAGCTAATTTTTGTATTTTGTAGTAGAGACGGGGTTTCACCATGTTGGCCATTCAACTCCTGGCCTCATGATGCGCCCACCTCAGCCTCCCAAAGTGCTGGAATTACAGGCATGAGCCACCACCCCCAGCCAAAATTACTTTTCATATGTTTCCAAAATATCATTTTGCTTTGAATATATTCAAGATGATAAGGCAAATTATACATTTTAATGTATTAATATAAAATTTTAAATCAAATAATTTAAATAAAGCTGCCATTAATTTAACTTTTAAATTTTCAATTAAATATTTCACCTATTTTGACAAATACGAAACTTTTCATAATTCTAGCATGTATATCTACCTAGTACCAGAATAATCATTTTCATGTTTCGTGCATGTTACTTTTAGACTGTCATGCATTAAAATTTAAAGTAACTTGAATTAATACTGCACGTGTTCCTCAATCACCATGTGCAACTGTTGTGTATACAGTGCTCCTTATTTACTACTGTGGGAACCACACATTAGAACTTGAAGAGACGACAACAAAAATCAACCAATTTAAAAATGGGCAAAGAAGTTGATTAGACATTTCTCCAAAGATGATATATAAATAGCTAACAAGCATTTGCAAATATGCCCAACATTACTAATCATCAGAGAAATGCAAATCAGAACCACAATGAGATATCACCTCACACCCATTAGGATTGCCAATGTAAAAAGTAAAATAAAATAAAAGCAGAAGTGTTGGGAAGGAGGTAGAGAAATTGGAACCATTGTGGACTGTTAGTGGGACTATAAAATGGTGCAACCATTATGAAAAACAGCTTCCTCAAAAATTAAAAATAGAACTACCATATGATCCAGCAATCTCACTTCTGGGTATACATCCAAAAGGATTTAAAGCAGGATCTCAAGAAGATATTTGCACACCCCTGCTTACAGCAGCAGTAGTCACAATAGCCAAGAGGTAGAAGTGACCCAAATGTCTATCAATGGATGAATGCATGAACAAAATGTGGTATACACATACAATGGAATATTATTCATCTTTAAAAAGGAAGGAGGCCAGGCACAGTTGCTCATGCCTGTATTCCCAGCAATTTGGGAGGCCAAGGCAGGAGGATTGCTTGAGCTCAGGAGTTGGAGACCAACCTGGGCAACACAGTGAAACCCCGTCTCTACAAAAAATACAAAAATTAGCCAGGCCTGGTGGCACGTGCCTGTAATTCCAGCTATTCGGGGGCCTGAAGCAAGAGGATCAGTTGAGTTCAGGAGGCAAAGGTCACCGTGAGCCAGGATTGCACCACTGCATTCCAGCCTGGGTGACAGATTGAGACCTCATCTCAAAGAAAACAATCCTGTCACGAGCTACAGCATGGATGAACCTTGAGGACATTATGCTAAGTAAAATAAGCCAGTCACAAAAAGACAAATGCTGTCTAATTATATAAGTTTCTATATAAGATTCTAATTATATAAGTTTCTAAAGTAGTTGAATTTATTTAAAAAAAAAAAGAAAGAATGGTGATTACCAGGGACTGAGGGCAAGAAGAAAGGGAAGTTGTTATTTAATAGGTATTGAGTTTCAGATTTGCAAAATGAAAAAGTTCTGGAGATCTGTTTCACAACAATGTGAATATATTTAACATATTGAACTGTACACTTAAAATGGTAAATATAGTAAATTTTACATTATGTGTTTTTTACCACAATTTTAAAAAACAGTATATATCTAATTTTTTCCTCTAAATAGTTATGGTCAGTCAGTAGTCAAACCTTTGGGATTTGGGAAAAACACTACATATATTGCCAAAAAGATACACATTGAGAAATATAAAAATAAAATGATCTCAGTAAAATAGAAGTAACGGTGAACTTCCTCAACTTGCTGAAGAACATCTACAAAAAGCCTACAGCTAACATCAATGGTAAGAAAATCTAAGATTTCCCACTAAGGTCAGGAATAAGGCAAGGATGTCTCCTCTCACCACTGATTTTCAACATTGTACTGGAAGTCCTAGTTAAAGCAATAAGACAAGAAAAGAAAATCAAAAGTACATGGATTGGGAAGAAATAAAGAAAACTTTTTTTTTCACAGATGCCATGAACATTTATGTAGAAAATCCAAAATAACTCACCCCAAAAGCCCTCCCAGAACTAAGTGATTATAGCCAAGTTGAAGAGTACAAAATTAAACAAACAAAAGTCATTTGCTTTCCTTTATACCTGTGATGATTAAGTGGATTTTGGAATTTAAGATACATTGCCATTTATATTAGCACACCCCCCAAAAAAATTCTTAGGTATGAGTCTAGCAAAGTATGTGCAAGATCTATATGAGGAAAACCACAAAACTCTGATGAGAGAAATAGAAGAAATAAACAGAGAGATAGTCCATGAGATTGTCAAGCTGTCAATTCTTCCCAACTTGATCTATAGATTCAATGGAGCCCCAATCAAAATCTCAGCAGGTTACTTTGTAGATATTAACAAACTGAATCTAAAATTTATACAGAGATGCAAAAGACCCAGAATAGCCAACTCAATATTGAAGGAGAACAAAATTCGAAGACTGACACTCCCCAACTTCAACACTTACTATCAAAGCTACAGTAATTAAGACAATGTGATATTGATAAAAGGATAGACAAATAGAGGAGAGAACTCACAAATAGACCCACATAAATATGTTTTACTAATCTTTGACAAAGGGGCAAGAGCAATACAATAGGGCAAAGATCATCTTAAATAAAATGGTGCTGGAATGACAGACTATCCACAGGCAAAAAGATGAACTAAACACAGATCTTATACTGTTTATGATAATTGATTTAAAATGGATTGTAGAACTAAATAAAATGCAAAACTATAAAATTCCTAGAAGGATCGCTTGAGCCTAGGAGATTGCGGCTGCTGTGAGCCTTTATTGCAACATTGCACTCCAGCCTGGGCAACACAGCAAGACACTCTAAAAAAAAAAAAACCTGAAAACAGAAAAACTAGAAAACAGAGGAGAAAATAATTTGGAGTATGGAAATAACTTTTTAGATATAGCACCAAAGACATAATCCATGAAAGAACTAATTGAGAAACTATACTTCGTTAAAATTAAAAACCTGCTCTGCAAAAGACAAGGTCAAGAGAATGAGAAGACAAGCCATAAACTGGGAGAAAATATTTGCAAAAGAGGCATCTGATAAAGGACTGTTATCCAAAAATATATGAAAAAATTCTTAAAACTCAGCAATAAGAAAACAAACAACCCAACTAAAAATGGGCAAAAACCATTAATGATAGACTGGATAAAGAAAATGTGGTACATATACACCATGGATTACTATGCAGCCATAAAAAGGAATGAGATCACGTCCTTTGCAGGGACATGGATGAAGCTGGAAGCCATCATCCTCAGCAAACTAACACAGGAACAGAAAACCAAACACCATATATTCTCACTCGTAAGTGGAGTTGAACAATGAGAACACATGGACACAGGGAGGGGAACAATACACACCA
This sequence comes from Homo sapiens, assembly GCF_000001405.40. NCBI lineage: Eukaryota > Metazoa > Chordata > Mammalia > Primates > Hominidae > Homo > Homo sapiens. The sequence goes on from NC_000002.12 coordinate 158,698,228, forward strand.
GGGCCAGTCAAGGGGTGGGGAAGAAGAGGACGGAGACCATTAGGACAAATAGCTCCTGCATACTGGGCTTAAAACCTAGATGACAGGTTGATAGGTGTAGCAAACCACCATGGCACACATATACCTATGTAACAAACCTACACTTTCTGCACACGTATTCCGGAACTTAAAGCAAAAAAATTAATTAATTTAATTTTTTAAAAATGGGCAAAAACCTTGAACAAACATCTCACCAAATAAGATATGCAGATGATAAGTAAGTATATGAAAAGATGTTAACATCATATGTCATTAGGGAAATGCAAATTAAAACAATGATATCCCACTACATGCCTATTAGAATGGCCAAAATCCAAAACCTTGACACAAAATGCTGATTAGGATGTGGAGCTGTTGTTCCACAATGAACTCTTATTCATTGCTGGTGGGAATACAAAATGATACAGTCACTTTGGAAGACAGTTTGGCAATTTCTTATAAAACTAAACATAGTCTTGTCATACAATCTAGTTGCACCTCTTGGTATTTACTCAAAGGAACTAAAAACTACTGTCCGCACAAAAACCTGCACGTGGATGTTTCTAGTGCCTTTATCCATAACTGTCAAAAACTAGTGAGTGGATAAGTTGTGGTGTACACAGACAACGGAAAACAATTCAGGCCATTGCAGCACAGAGAAAGTAAAAAGGCAAAATATATAAATTAATAATTCAAGAGACTAGACAATAACCTGAAATAAAGTTGAGCATAGGATAGATGTATATTTCAGTCCATCTCTCCTGTGAAATGTGGAAAACCAGATTTATGAGCTAAGTTCTGCCTCCAGGAGGATTTCCCTTCACCACTACCTTTCAGAGCCATACTTGTGTTAGATTATAATGATTATTCCAGAATAAAATGCAGACCTATCCAAAGAAGAGAAGGACAGGATGAGGAGGAGGAGGAGGAAGGAGGGGGAGGAGGGAGGAGGGAGGAGAAGAAAGGAGAACAACAACAACTTGAAAAGAAGCAGGCAGTGAATTCCTGTCCATTGGGATCTGACACTGTGTGATGCAGGAATCCATCACATTCATGCTATCGGAAGGGAAGCATGATTGTGATGGATTCCTTTTATTTCTTTTCTCTGTCCTTGGCATTTTCACTACTGAAATTCTTCCTGCACTCTGAAGCACTCTATCTCTGACCTAGGCCTCAGTTCTACCCACACCTTCAAGGCCTTCAGTCTCAATAGCATTGGGTTTTGAGCTTCTGTGGCACGAGATGGGAAGAAGTTCCTCCCTGAGGCATGCGCAGTGTGTCTGGACAGCAGTCGTTGAGAGTTATGAGTCCTGAGTGACTGAAGCTCTCATGTCTTCTTTAATAAATGCTGTGTGTGCATGTGTGTGTGTGTGTGTGTGTGTGTGTGTTATGTGTGTGTGTGTGTGACGTGTGAGGCCGGGAGCAGGAACCCCTTTCTTCGACCAGGTCTAAGGTCAGGACTGTAAAGGGCCTTGGTGAGTTCTCCCGCCAAGTGTGAGAGGGTGCTTCATTGTTGTAGAGATGGACCAAATACAGCAGTCCCTTCTTTTCCATGGTTTTGATTTCTATGATTTCAGTTACAGTCAACAACTGTCCAAAAATATTGAGATATTTTTAGAAGGAGAGAATAAGGGAGACCACATTCACATAACTTTTATTATAGCATATTGTTATAATTGTTCTATTTTAGTAGTAGTTGTTGTTAATTTCTTACCTCTCCTAACTTATGAGTTAAACTTTATCATAGGTATGTAGTACAGCAGGTCCTCAAATAATGTCATTTTATTCAACGTTGTTTCATTGTAAAGCTGATGAGAAAAAAAATTGATTCAGTGCCGGGGCCACTGTCTGTGTGGAGTCACACATACTCTCCACGTCTGTGTAGGTTTTCTCTGGGTACTCTGGTTTTCTCCCATACCCCAAAGATGTGCACCTTAGGTTCATTGGCATGTCTACATTGTCCCAGTGTGAGTGAGTGTGAGGGTGTGTGTGAGTGTGCCCTGCGATGGGATGTCGTCCTGGCCGGGGCTGGTTCCCACTTTACGTCCTGAGCTTCAGAAACAGGCTTCAGCCACCCATAAATAAGTGGGTTGGTAAAAGAATGAGTGAATGAATACAAACTATTGTAAAATTTTTTTAAAGTAGACAATAATCATACAAATGCATGACGATAAACTATGCAAAATGAAAGGACTCAGCAAGCCTGCAGTATTTATGACTGCTTCTGAACTGTGTGGTGGTATGGGGTATTCCTTAAAATTTTCTCTTTGTAAATATTTATTCCTTGATTTAACCCACCATGACTACAACGGCTGTCACTCACTGACTCATCAAAAATTAGGTAAATCATTATTTTGTTTTTATTACTTTATTAAATGTACGTATAGCTCACATTTATTTCAATGTTTAATGTTAGAAGCATTTTGGTCTTTATTGAGAAGTTTGATGATGTTTTTGTAACCAGAAATCTGCCCTAGGAATTTAACCCTTGTTTATATCAATTAGCTGTATGGTAAAATTGGTTTTACTATATTGGTTTCATTATATTTTGCTAACGTCCCAGTTTCCATGAACCCACTGATGACATTAAATGAGGACTTACTGGATAGTAAAAAACATAGCACACACAGGGTTAGGTACTATCCAAGGTTTCAGGCACCCATGGAGCTTGTTGGTATGTATTCTTCACAGATTCGTGGGGAGGCTATTGTCCTGCCAGACATGGGGTGGGAGGAGGGGCATTGAGGGTATTGCGCTGTCACACTCTGCTGACTCGTTTTGAAGTATGGCTTCCCCACCCAAAGAACCAAGGCAGAAAAAAAACAAACAAACAAAAAAGAAAATCAACTCAAACAGCCATGTTCTGGTTATTTTTGTGGATCTCCCAGATGTTTTGCTTCCCTCCCCTAGTGGTCTGTCTTTGGGTATCTCTCCTCTCCCAGGCTCTCAATGAAATGTCAAAGCCATGTTGAGGAACTCCAGTGAAGGTTGGGATTATCTGTGGTTCCCATTAGCTACACATCAGTAACTCCTGTCACTACGAATAAGAAAAAGTCAGCTGCACCTGAACGATTAATGAGTTGACTCTTTAGGAAAGAAAATGAATGTTGTCAAGATTAAATGGGAAAAAAATCAATAGATGTGTAAATCCTGTTTTAACCAGGCTGTCTTCCTCTGAAGCACTAAGGCCTCAGAGGAACTGGCTGGACTTACATTCACAGTTCCTGTCTCCTGTCTGCCTGTCCTCCGGAGCCATTCTCCAAGGAGCCAAATTAGGCCAGGGTATAGGACTCCCTGTCACAGCCACAGAAACTATGACCCTGATTCTAATGTTCCAATGTGACCTTCTAGGAAGGCCCCTGCTGAGACCAGGGTAAAGACCTGTGTTGGGTGGTTGGGTGTCGGGTTCTGCAACCACCTGTTTCTCTCTCTCTCTCTCTCCTCTCCCTCCCTCCCTCTCTCTTCTCCTTTCTCTCTCTCTTCCTCTCTCTCTATCTCTGTCTCTCCTTTCAAGATGATGAGTTATAGAATGTGTCCAGGCTGAGAGATAAATCAAGCAGAGAAGAGACAACCAATAGCATTGTCAAATCAATTTTATTACCTGTCTTCTGTCAGCCTGCAGAGAAACCCAGAAGGCTGTATTAGTCTGTTCTCACACTACTAGAAAGTACTGCCCATGACTTGATAATTTATAAAGAAAAGAGGTTTAATTGACTCACAGTTCCACATGGCTGGGAAGGCCTCAGGAAACTTACAATCTTGGTGGAAGTGGAAGCAGATACATTTTACATGATGGCAGGTGAGAAAACACGTGTGAAGGAGGAACCACCAAACACTTAGAAAACCATCAGATCTCACAAGAACTCACTCACTATCACAAGAACAGCATGGAGAAAACTGACCCGATTATCCAATAACCTCCCACTAGTTTCCTCCCTCAACATATGGGGATTATAAGGATTACAATGATGAGATTTGGGTGGGGACCCCAAGCCAAACCATATCAAAGGCAAAACCCCAAGTGTTTATTTGCTTCCAATTCTTCAGAGCAGTCATCTTCATGGGTCACAAGCTTGTCTGTCTAATGCAGTGATTCTCAAAGGAGGGCATTTGGCAATGCTAGAGAAGTTTTTGGTGTGACAACTGTGCTGAAGTGCTACTGGCCAGTAGAAGCCAGGGACATTGCTTAACATCTCGTAGGACAGCCCACCCTTTTGCAATAATAATAATAATAATAATAATAATAATAATAATAATAATATAATAATATTGGTATTATTATCTGGCCCAAAACATCAATACTGCCAGGGTTACAAATCCTGCTCTAATGTTTCTGTGGATCCAAAGTCCACCCATGGATTTAGCCTATGTATCAGTTTCCTGGACTGCCATAATAAATTGGGCAACAGAAATTTATTCTCTCACAGCTCTAGAGGGCTAGAAGTCCAAAATCAAATTGTCACCAGGGCCATGCTCTCTTCAAAGGCTCTGACGGGGATCCTTTCTTTCCTCTTACAGCTTCTGAGGGCCTCAGGCGTTTCTTGACTCGTGGCAGCAAAACTGCAATCTCTGCCTCCGTCTTCACATGGCCTTCCTCCCTGTGAACCTCTCTGTCTTCTCCTCTTCTTATAAGAACCCTAGTCAGGCCTGGACCAGCCCATTCCCCCTTCCCGCTGGCTCCATGAGGCCAACTGTGAGCAGCCGAACAGACAGGCGGGTGCACACAAGAACTGACAGGTGCACACAGGGAGGGCAGCGGGCATGCAGGGCCCGGACTGGCACTCAAGGCCCTCCCTGGAGGGCTAGGGCAGGGCTCAGGTACTGGGAAGAATGGAGGGAGGTCCTACTAACTAATTTTCCTGAGAGCGGTCAGAGAGTTCAACAGAATTTTGATTTGGCTGCTACCTTGAAATCCAAGCCCTAAAAATGCCAGCTTGTTTGGACTTAGAAGATGACCTGGATACATGATAAAAATTTAGAAAGAGATTCTGGTTTTCTTATTGGCCCCTTGGCGTACGCTTCTGGAATAATATTCACCAGGGTTTTGGATGACCTTCCAAACTTAGACGACATCTATATTTCCTTGTGTTCATCAACAGTGGAAGACTCAGAGATGGATTTTGACTCTGGACTAGAAGATGATGACACAAAAAGTGATAGTATTTTGGAGGGTTCCACAATGTTTATGGCCTTCAAAGGAAATACAGAGGATAAATGTGCCCAATTTGTTACACATGGGTAATTTGCTTCAATTATTTTTTCCCTCTTGTTACTGTTTTTGAAATGTTTGCCCTTCCTGGTTATCTTGAGTTTTACAAAGTAAGTTTGCTAAATTGGGGTCAAAAGGCTGATTTTAAGGGCAAAGGTGGAATTTTCAGATTTTTTAAAAATAGAAATGTTGTGTTTCTTTTATGTACATAGAAGAACTGAACATAATAAAGTATTGCTTATCATGGAAAAAAAAAAGAACCTTAGTCATCGGATTTAGGACAACCCTAAAACCAGGATGATTTCTTCTCAAGATCCTTCACCAATTACATCTGTAAAAACCATATTTCCAAGTAAGGTCACATTCTGAAGTTCCAGGTTGATACAAATTTTAGGAGGACACTATTTAACCCACCACACCCTAGAGAAAAATTACCTTTTAGCCAGAAGTAACAGCAGGGCAGTCGATGTTAAAAAACAAAACAAAACAAAAAATCCACTGCCTACCTTTAACTCCTAAATACCCAGGTTGCAGCTACAGAGAAGTGAAAATAAAGAAGGTGAATCTGGCATTTCCCAGCCTTCTACCACCAATTTTAGACGCCAAAAAGGCAGGTTCATTCCCTTCCCGCACGAAACCATTTTTCCTTTTTCCTTTCTTTCCACAATATAGGACAGAAAAATGAAGCCCAGAGGAACACCAGGGCCTGTGTGGAGTCTGTGGTATTGATGGCAGTTTTAAAGCATGGCCACAGCTTCTTTGGCACTCCTATTGAAAGGCAAAGCCCATGTCCCCTGTCCTTGTATCTGGGTGAGCCTGTGTCTACCTCAACCAACAGAGTAGGGTGAAAATGATGCAAAAACTTTCAAGACTGGGTTGTAGATGGCTGTAAGAGTCCCACATGGTTCACTGGAACACTGGGTAAGGAGTCCAACCATCCTGAGGCCACTACGGTGGAGAGACCACACGTAGAGAGAGAAAGAGAAAGAGAAATGACTCATGAGCCCCCTGCCCCCAACTCAAATAATGCCAACCCTGGTGGTAGACCTCTGAGTGAAGAAACTTCCAGAAGATTCCACCTCCCAGCCTTCAGTCTTCCAGTTGATGCCCCAAATACCACAGAGCAGAGACAAGCCATTCCTACTGTCACCTGTCCAAATTCCTGAGCCATTGGCTTTATTAAATGATTGCTGTTTTAAAACATGAAGTTTGAGGGGGTTTGTTACACAACAATAGACAATTGAAAGTCTCCAACTCCATTTTCACCCAGGGAGGGCCTTTGTCAGATATTGATATGGTTTGGCTTTGTGTCCCCACCCAAGTCTCATCTTGAATTGTAATCCCCATAATCCCCACATGTCAAGGGAGAGACCAGGTGGAGGTAATTGAATCATTAGGTCACCCTGCAGATCCTCTTCTTTTTGTATCATCCATGTGTTCTGCAAGTCTATGGCTACAAGTCCATGCTGTTCTCATGATAGTGAGTGAGTTCTCACGAGACCTGATGGTTTTATAAGGGGCTCTTCCCCCTTCACTCAGCACTTCTCCTTCCTGCCGCCTTGTGGAGAAGGTGCCTTGCTTCCCCTTCACCTGCCACCATGATTGTAAATTCCCGGAGCCCTCCCCAACTATGCTGAACTATGAGTCAATTAAGCCTCTTTCCTTTATAAATTACCCAGTCTTGGGCAATTCTTTATAGCAGTGTGAAAACAGACAAATACAGATATCAAGTTCCTCATATTTTTTGTGGCTATCCTCCTTCCCTGTCTCTGGGCCGCTGTATTAGCAAACAGCTCCACAGGAGGAAAAAGAATGAGGTCATTGCAGCACTTATTTACGCCCTCCATGTCGTGAGCACTGTGCTGAATGCTTGACATGCATTCTCCCGTGTATATTCACAACTGCCCAAAAAAGTGGGTATTATTCTCCCTGATTTGGAAACAAGGAAACCTTGGTTCACAAAGTTAAGTAGTGCAGGTAGTGGAGTTCCATCGGACTCTGGGGACCTTGCTCCAAGCCTTTATGCTGTCTTGCCTTTGAGCACAGCTTGTCTAGATAGTCACCTAAATAATCTTCATACAAAGACCATACAAATTTTCTAGAAGTTTGTGTTCTTGAGAAAACTAAATTAATGTAACCACCCAACAGGTTCACCTTGCCAATTTATCACAACAGGGGAATTGCAATAGAGAAAGAGTAATTCACACAGAGCCAGCAGGGTGTGAGACTGGAGTTTTATTATTACTCAAATCAGTCTCCCCAAGCATTCATAGATCAGAGTTTTTATGGATAATTTGGTGGGTGGGACACCAATGAGTCAGGAGCACTGATTGGTCAGGTCAGAGATGAAATCATAGGGAGTCGAATTGTCCTCTTGTGCCTGGGTCAAGGCCTCAAGAGTCAGTTCCTGGGTCATGGCCACAAGAGCAGATGAGCCAGTTTATCTATCTGGGTGGTGCCAGCTGACCCATCAAATGCAGGGGTCTGCAAAATATCTCAAGCACTGATGCTGGGCTTTACAATAGTGATGTTAATCCCAAGAGCAATTTGGGAAGGGTCAGAATCTTGTAGCCTCTAGCTGCATGACTCCTAAATCATAATTTCTAATCTTTTGGCTAATTTGTTAGTCCTACAAAGGCAGTCTAGTACCCAGGCAAGAAGCGGGTTTGTTTTAGGAAAGGGCTGTTATGATCTTTGTTTTAAACTATATGTAAACTAAATTTGTCTCAAAGTTAGTTCAGCCTATGCCTAGGAATGAACAAGGACAACTTGGATGTTGAAAGCAAGATAGAGTTGGTTAGGTCAGATCTCTTACACCTGTCTCGGTTATAATTTTGCAAAGGCAGTTTCGTTAGGACACTATTGAAAGGGGCACAGCATCACAGGAAGGATTAATTGTATCAAAGCATCCCTGGCCATGCTTTGCCAAGATGGCACAACCAATGTTCATTTGGTTCCTTTACGTGGATGTTTCCCTTAAAGCTTATGACAAATATCCTTCTTGACAGTCAGAGATCTTGCAAGGGACAGGGTCCTGATTTCCAAGTCTATCCTTTGTGGGAAAGCAGGTTGACAATGGACAAACCATAGGGTTTCTAGGCAGAAAATAAATGCTGTGCTCACTGGCTGCTACAACACTCCTCCGCCCCTCCAAGGGTCCTATGCTTCCTGGGGCTTTTTCTTCATATACCCTGACATCAGTTTGTCCAGAAAAAAAAATAAAGTAGCTTGCTTACCATGCCAATTGTAAAATAGAAAATTGAAGAAACAACTGTATATTTCTTTTAAACAACCCTTTAGACTTGTGGTTTCTGGTTCAGCAGGTAAGGAGCTTGGAAGTTGCCACTCCATCCCAACAAGTAAAAAGCCGAAAAAACTGAAACTCAACAGCTCTTCTTAGATCCAGCATGGAAGTGCGGTCTTAGAGCAAATTGCTGCCCCAAAAACTGCAGAAACAGACAGGAGGATACAGAGAACCACAACTTACTGGAGCAGAAACCTATGAGCAGAGACCCCCATGGGAACCAGAGCTGGGCTAGGAGACCCTAAACTGTAATTGCTCAATTTCTGGAACCTCAATGTGGATAAGTCTGAGGATTAAAAACCCTAGGGGACCTCAACACTTTTGTGGGTTCTACCTCTAGGAGCCCAAACAGGTTCTGACAGCAGATAAGAGAAATATCCCCTTGTAGCTTTTACACACACACACACACACACACACAAGAACTATTTTGAAATATATCAAAGTATTCTAAACAGGGCCTGACCTCAGGAGAAACTATTTTACTAGACCCTAACCTGCGGGAGTTTTATCAGAGCCAAACCTTCCTGGGGAAAGGGAAATACCCAAGTCCAGGCCCCTCTAGACTTACTGTCCCACCTAAGGCTCTGCCCCTGGCAGAGACACACTTGTGGAGGTCATAGACCAGGGGTACAGACTCACTAGAACACTGAGGCTAATCATAGGACTATAGAACATTCCTCTCCCCAATATCCTGCCACTACATTACTAAATACCTGTTTTCTTCATGTTCTTTTACCCAATGCATCATGTCTGGCTTAACAAAAAAATCACAGCGAGCTCAGGCCTTAATGCTCCCTAGCCCACTGCTCAGCTGCTGTGTGGCCCGGTTCCTAACAGGCCTCAGCCCAAGGCTTGGGGACCCCTGATTTAGAGGGATATATTCCTTCTCCATTACAAACTAAACTTTCAGCGCTGAATTATACTAAATGACTTAACTTCACACCGCAGGAGGCATAGTACAGTACGCTGCATACATGCAGCAGGGGTTTCTAGATAAATCTCAACTGATGCCAGCGTTTGGAGTCCCATCCTGAATCTGTGACTTCTAGACCAACTGCTGGAGGATATCTGTGTGGGAGGCTTTCACTCACAAGGTGCTGTCTGCTTCTCACAGCATCCCTTTATGGTACGGTTATCTCCATTTGGCCAATTTTAGCACTGGGACTCATAACGTACCAATGGTCACATGCTAGTAAGTTAGGAAACTGAGGCTCACACCCAGGTCTTCAGCTGTAAATACAGCACTCTTCTACTACACTGTGCCCCTTCTCCTGAGACATCTGCAACACCTTAGTTCACTCTGCAAGTTGCCTTTCAGACAAGCACCTGTGCTGGGTGAATGCCAATCCTGCCAAGCATGTGAAAGGGAATTTTAATTTCATCTGCTCCTCTACCCATGTAGAATTTTTAAAATTAAACTTTTAATTTTGCAATAATCATAGTTGTAAGAAACAACTACAATTCCGTAACATGTAGTTGTAAGAAATAATACATCTCAGGTATCCTTTACCTAGTTCTTCCAAAGGTAAAACTTATAAAACTATAATACAGTATCACAACCAGGATATTGACATTGATAGTCAAGGTACAGAACATTTTTATCATCACTAGATTCCCTCAAAACTCCTGACATTCACTAACCTGTTCTCCATTTCTATAATTTTATTACTTCAAGAACATTATATAAATGGGATCATAGAGTCCGTAGCCTTTTGGGATTGTCTTTTTATGTTCATCTCTGGGGACTCCTCCAGGTTGTTACTGTACTAATAGTCCATTCCTTTTGACTGCTGAGTAGTATCCTGTGGTATAGATGTACCAGCGTGCTTAGCTATTCACCTATTGAAGGACATCTAGGTTGTTTCCAGATTGGGACTATTACAAAAACTGCTATAAACATTCATGTATAGGGTTTTGTTGTTGTTGTTGTTGTTTTGTTTTGTTTTGTTTCAGACATGGTCTCTGTCACCCAGGCTAGAATGCAGTGGTGCAATTTCAGCCCACTGCAGCCTTGACCTCCCGGGCTCAGGTTATCCGCCCCCCTCAGCCTCCCAAGTAGCTGGGGCTACAGTGACATGCTACCATTTCCGGCTAATTTTTTTTTTTTTTTTTTTTTTGTAGAGATGGGGTTTCACCAGGCTGGTCTCAAACTCTTAAGCTCAAGGGATCTTCCTTCCTCGGCCTCCCAAAGTGCTGGGATTACAGGCATGCGCCACCACACCCAGCCCACATATAGGTTTTTGTGTGAACATAGGTCTTCATTCCTCTGTGATAAATGACCAAGGGTGCAATTGCTAGGTTATATGGTAATTGCATGTTTCTTTTTTTTTCTAAAGAAACTTTCAAACTGCTTTCCACAATGATTATGCCATTTTACATTCCCACCAGCAATCTAGAAGTGATCAGTTCCTCCACATCCTCTCTAACCTGTAATGTTGTCACTATTTTTTATGTTAGCCATTCTTATAAGGGTGTATCTCACTGTGCTTTGATATCAGGGTAATACTAGCTTCATATAATGAATTAGTAAATATTTCCTTTTCTTCTACTTTCTGGAAGAGATAGTGTAGAACTGGTGTTAATTATTCTTTAAACATTTGGTAGAATTCTCCATTGAAACCATCTGGCCTGGAGATTTTTTTTCTGAGAGTTTTTAAATTAGAAATTAAATTTCCTAATTTTCTTTTCTTTTCTTTTCTTTTGGAAACAGAGTCTCACTCTATCCCCCAAGCTGGAGTGCAGCGGCAGGATCTCAGCTCATTGCAACCTCTGCCTCCCTGGTTCAAGCGATTCTCATGCCTCAGCCTCCCAAGTAGCTGGGATTACAGGCACGTGCTACCACACCCCACTAATTTTGTATTTTTAGTAGAGATGGGGTTTTGCCATGTTGGCCTGGCTGGTCTCGAACCCTTGACCCCAGGTGATCCGCCTCGGCCTCCCAAAGTGCCAGAATTACAAGCATGAGCCACTGTGCCTGGCCTAAATTTCCTAATTATTATAGGGTCTACTCAAATTATATATTTCATGTTGGGTGAGTTGCGGTAATTTGTGTTTTTCTGAGGGAGTGGTTCATTCAGCCTAAGGTGTCAAACTATGTATATAGACTTGTTCATAACAGTCTATTATTATCCTTTTGATAACTGCAGGGTCTGTAGTGATAGCCCCTCTTTCATTGCTGATATTGACAGTTTGTGTTTTCTCTCTGTTTTTGTCAGTTTTACTCTTAAAATTGACTATTTTATTGACCTTTTCAAAAAAAATAAAACCTCTGTTTCATCAATTTTCTCTATTGTGTTTCTATTTTCAATTTCATAGATTTCAGATATTACCTTTATTATTTCCTTCATTCTGTTTGCTTTGGGTTTATTTTGAGCTCTTCTAAGTTCTTGAGTTGGAAGCTTCTGTTATTGATTTCAGACTTTCCTTCTTTTCTAATGTAAGCATTTTGTTCTATACATTCCCTTCTTGGCACTGTTTTAGCAGTGCCCCACAAATGCCAAGATGTTGTATTTTCATTTTATTTACTTCAGGGTAGTTTTTATTTTCCTTGAGCCCTCCTCTTTGACCCATGGATTATTTTGAAGTGTGCTGTTTAGTTTCCAAGTGCTTGGAGATTTTCCATTTATCTTTCTGTTATTGATTTCTAGTTTGATTTCACTGGGTCAGAGAACATACTCTGTATGTTTTCAATTCTTTTAAATTTCTTAAGGTCTGTTTTATGGTACAGGATATGGTCTATCTTGGTATAACGTTCTGTGGGCCCTTGAAAACAACATGTATTCTATTGTTACTGAATGGAGTTTTCTTTTCTTTTCTTTTTTTTTTTTTTTTTTTTTTTTTTTTGAGATAGAGTCTTGCTCTGTTGCCCAGGCTGGAATGCAGTGGCACAATCTCAGCTCACTGTAACCTCCACCTCCTGGGTTCAAGCGATTCTCCTGCCTCAGCCTCACAAGTAGCTGGGATTACAGACGCCCGCCACTATACCTGACTAATTTTTTTTTTTTTTTTTAGTAGATACAGGGCTTCACCATGTTGGTCAGGCTGATCTCAAACCCCTGACCTCAAGTGATCTGCCTTGGCATCCCAAAGTGCTGGTATTACAGGTATGAGCCACTGCGCCTGGCCTTGAATGGAGTTTTCTATAAATGTTGATAAGATTCTGTTGATTAATATTTGCTGAGTTCTTCTATCCTTGCTGATTTTCTGTTTAGCTTTTCATCAATTATTTATTTATTTATTCGAGACAGGGATTTGCTCTGTCGCACAGGCTGGAGTGCAGTGGCACGATCTCAGCTTACTGCAGCCTCTTCCTCCCAGGTTCAAGTAATCTCCCAGCTCAGCCTCTTGAGTAGCTAAGACTATAGGCGTGCGCCACCACACCTGGCTAATTTGTGTTTTTTGTTGTTGTTGTTTCTTTTTTTTTGGTAGAGATGGGGTTTTGGCATGTTGTGCAGGTTGGTCTCAAAGTTCTGGGATCAAGCAATCTGCATGCCTTGGCCTCACAAACTGCTGGGATTACAGGCATGAGCCACCGTGCCTGGTCTACATCAATTTTTGAGAGAGGCGTGTTGTGCTTTCTAAATACAGTTGTGGATTTTCCTATTTCTCCTGTCTATTCTGTGAGTTTTTGCTATCCATATTTGGAGCTCTGTTGTTTGGTGCCTATGCAGTTAGAGTTGCCACTTTTTTCTTGGCAATTGACCCTTTATCATGACATAACATCCTCCTCTGTCTCTGGTAATTTTCTTTCCTTTGATATTTACTTTAATATTAATATAACCAATCTTGCTTTCCTTTTATTAATGTTTGCGTAATATATCATTTTCTAGCCTTTTACTTTTTTAACCACTTTAGCCATTTGTAGTGTACAGTTCAGTGGTGTTAACTACATTCACATTGTTGAACAACCATCACCATCATACAGCTCTAGAACTTTTTTAATGTTCCCAAACTAAAACTCTATACTCATTAAACAATAATTCCCCATTTCCCCCTCTCCTCAGCCCCTGGAAATCAACATGCTACTTTCTAGTTCTATGAATTTGACTATTGTAGGTACCTCATAGAAGTGAAATTATACAGTATTTGTCCTTTTGTGACTGGCTTATTTCACTTAGTACAGAGTGTATTCAAGATTCATCTATGTTGTAGCATATGTCAAGTTTCTTCATTTTTAAAGCTGAATAGTATTCCATTGTATGTATATATCACATTTTTGTAATCCATTCATCCATTAGGAGACACATAAGTTTCTTCCACGTTTTGGCTATTGTTAATAAATCTGATATAAACATTGGTATACAGATATCTTTTCAAGTCATCACTTTCATTTCTTTCGGATACATACCCAAAAGTAAAATTGCTGGACCATATAATAATTTTATGTTTGATTTTTTGAGGAGTCACCATGTTGTTTTCTATAGTGACTTCAGCATTTTGCATTACTACCAGCAGCACACAAATGTTCCAAATTCCCCACATTCTTGCCAACACTTGTTATTTTCTGTTGTGTTTGTGTGTATTTATGTGTATCTTTAATAATAACCATCCTAATGGGTCTGGAGTGCTTCCATCTTTTGCTGTTAACCTGCCTTTATCATTATATTTGCTGCAAGTTTCTCATATACAGCATACAGTAGAGTTATGTGTTTTGATCCACTTAGACAATGTCTGCCTTTTAGTTGGTGTTTTTAGACCATTTACAGTTTAAGTGATTATTAATATATTAGGGCTTATCTCTGCCATTTTATTTCTTTTGTTTTCAGTTACTTTTTTCCTTTTCTCACTTTCTAGTGGGTTGCTTAAATATTTTGTAGAATTCCATTAGGATTTTTCTATAATTTTTTGGTTTATCTCTTTGCAGAGTTTTTTTTTTTTGTTTTTGTTTTGTTTTTTTACAGAGTCTTGCTCTGTTGCCCAGGCTGGAGTGCAGTGACATGATCTCAGCTCACTGCAACCTCCAGCTCCCAGGTTCAAACTATTCTCATGCCTCAGCCTCCTGAATAGCTGGGATTACAAGCATGTGCCACCATGCCCGGCTATTTTTTTTTTTCCCAGTAGAGACAGAGTTTTGCCATGTTGGCCAGGCTGGTCTCAAACTCCTGGTCTCAAGTGATCTGCCCACCTCCGCCTTCCAAAGTGCTGGGATTACAGGCGTGAGCCACTGCGCCCAGCCATCTTTGCATAGCTTTTTAGTGGTTGCTCTAGGTATTGCTTTATATGTACATAATTTATCACAGTCTACTGGTGTTGACATTTTACCAGTTTGAATAAATATAAAAACCTCACCTTCCTTTATATTACATTACACTCCTGTTTTTATTACTGCCTTAAATATTTCCTCTAGATATATTCAGAACCACATTAGAAAGTGTTTTAATGTTTGCTTCAACCATCAATCATAATTTAGAAAACTCTCGTAAAGCCTATTGTAATAGCTCATATTTTTGCTTAACACTTTCTTTCTTCCTTCCTAATATTCCAAAGTTCCTTCTTCTTTTTTTCTTTTCCTTATGTGTGGAGAACTTCCTTTAGGGTTGGTCTACTTGCAACAAATTCTGTTCATCTTCCTTCATCTCAAAATGTCTTGATTTTCTCTTTATTCCTGAAGGATATTTTAGCTAGCTATAGAATTCTAACCATTCTTTCCTTTCAGTACTTAAAAATTATTATGCTGCTTCCTTCTGTTTTCCATGGTTTCTGATGAAAAAATCCACCTTCATTTAAATTTTTTTCTTGTACATAAGGTTTCATTTTTGTCTGGCCACTTTCAAGATTTTTTGTTTGTCTTTAGCTTTCAGAAACTAAATTATCATGTCTTGGTGTGGATTTCTTTGAGTCTATTCTCTTTGGTATTTGCTCAGCTTCAGAAGTCTGTAATTGTATATCTCTTGCTTAGCTTGGAAACTTGCCAGTGATTGTTTCTTCAAATATTTTAAAATTCCTTTCCTCTTTCTCTTCTTCTGAGACTCCAATGATGCAAATGTTAGATCTTTTGCTATGGTCCCAACAGCATCTAAAGCTCTATTTGTTTGTTTGGGGTTTTTCTTTCCAGTTTGTTTTCTCTCTGTTGCTCAGAATGGATAATTTCTATTTTTCTATCTTCCAGTTCTCCAATCCTTTCCTCTGTCCCCTCCATTCTCTTGTTGAGTCCATCAATTAGGTTTTAAAATTTTGCTGATTGTGTTTTTTATTTCTCACATTTTATTTGGTTCTGCTTTATATTATCAATTTCATTGTTGAGAGTTTTTTTTCACTGACGCTTTCTATTTTTCTATTTGTTTCTATCGTGTTCATAATTGCTTGTTGAAGCTTTTTTACCACAGCTGCATTAAAAACCTTCATCAAATGATTCTATCATCTGTCATTTCAGTGTTGCCATCTATCAATTGTCTTTTTAAGTATGATGACAATTGAAGAGAAACCTGGACATCTTCATATTATTTTCTGGTTTAGCTGGCTTTCTTTGACAATGCAGGGGAAGAGGGAACTTGCTGCCTCATTATTGACACATGGAGGTAGAATACCAGTTTCTCCACTCAGGCTCCATTGACATAGGGGAGGGGAGTGTGCGTTGCTGTTGCTGGTGGGTGGGAGTTCTGGCTTCCAATGTGGTCTCCACTGACGCCATTGTGGAAGTGGCCTCATTATTGCTGGGCAATTGTAGAAGTCCTGACTCTCCACTAGGTCTCCTCTAACACCACCCCAGCCGAGGATGGAGGTGCATGTCATACTCTCAGGTGGGGAGGGAAGTCCAAGCTCCCTTTGTGGTTTCCACAGACATGGTGGGGAGAGGTGTGCATCATGACTGGCCAGCAGGGACAAAAGTTGGCTCTCTGCTTGGCCTTCTCTAATCCCACTCTTTGGGGGCGTTAGGGCTCCGCATCATGGCGTAATGAGGACAGACATCTGGGCTCCCCACTTGGCTTTCACTTATGAGGGTGGAAGTGGGCCAAAGTTTTTCCATGGTGTCTGGCTGCAGTAGAGCTGTCATTGTCTGGAAGGGTTCTGTCTTGCTAGGCTGCCCCTTTCCTGGTACTTTGGCTAGAGAGAGCTAGCTTTTATGGGCACTTTTTTGCCTGTGCTTGTTGCTGTTTCCAGGTTTCTGGCTTCTTCAATTGCAAGTCTGGGACGTATGAGGCAAAAAGAAAACCCAGAGAACTCATCACTGTGTCATTCCTTGGGTCCCAAGGTCCTAACCACCTGCCTTCTTCCCTCTACCTTTCAGAGTCTTTATGTGTTTGTTTTATATATAATATTAATGGCTTTAAGTTGTAGGAAGAATAGGGGAAAGTATGTTTATTCCATCTTCCCAAAAGTACAAGTCCAAGAGAATGGTTTTTAGCAGTGGATTTTTTTTTCTAATGAGGCTCATTTCAAGAACAGCATGATGTTGTTTAGTCAAAATCAATAAAGACTATAGATATTTTGTATAGCCAAAGGCATAAGAATGAACATCAGCACTTACCACCCTGTTCTGAGACACACGAATAGTTGTTCCATGAGAAAAATACTTCTCCGTGATCAAAAACATCTGGGAAAGGTTGCATTTTATGCCCCCTCACTTCGGAATTCTTGATGAAGTTAGCATATTAAATACTCTGAGAAGATCTGAATGTAGTGAATTTTTTCAATCCAGTGTTTCCCAAATTCAGCTAAGCAGGAAACATGCTTTCCCAGCGTACTTACAATATCCTATACTATACTCCTGTCCACTTTGGAAATAGTGTCCACTGAGCCATATAATCTGGGGAGTTATCTCAGGACCCACCCTTCACAAGGGAGGGGACTGGCATCTTACTGGGTGTGCTGTGCCCCCAGGTCCACAAAATGATCAAAGGTCATTCTGTCTTGACAAAACATGCAGAGGAGAGTGGTGGGGAGAACATAGTAATCCTTTTCATTTTCCAACTCCAATAACCTCTGTGCCTTTATTGTTTTCTTTAAGTCTACACCAACCTCTACCAGGTAAGAGGGAAAAGTATTACTATCTCCATGTTGCAGGTGACAGAGGCTCAGAGAAATAAAAGTATATTTGTTGAAGAGCCAGATCTAGAACTGCAGGCTTTGGGCTACAGGGCCCTCCATAATTATTGAGCCCCTGTGATTCTAGCCTGGAGCCCGACCCTGCCAGAAGCAGGTGCAGTCTGACCTCCTGTGCCTGCCCTCCAGGACCCTGGGCCCTGAATCCTAGCTTGGCCTCCCTAGCAAAAAATAATAATAATAATAAATAACCCCAAGGGGCTTCCAGAACATGGCTCCCTGCTCACTGTCCCATACAGGGCTCTTCCAGGATGGCCTTCTTGCTTTCCAGAAACCTTTGTTCCATGGAAAACAAGTGCTGTTTTCCAGAACAAAGCCTCCAGGGAAGTGAGGGGAAGCTAGAATCCTAAATACAGGATGAGGCTCAGAATTGCTCCCTGGCCCTCACTTCCTCTGCAGCCATCACAGCCCACTGTGTGACTTGAGAGAGGAAGTGGCTGGGACTTCAGAAAGTGGATTTACTGGGAAGAAATGATTCCAGTAAACATAACCTCCAAGCGGCATGCCCCCGCCTCCCCCTCAGAACTACACAATAGTGACTTGTCTGCCGTGTCGCCTTCAGGGAATGGGGAAAAGGAAATGACCACTCTTATTTTGAGGAAGGTTCAGCATGAGGGCAAGGTCATTGAATAAAATGAGCCAAGGGATGATGCTGTAAAAACAAAACATTCATCCCAGAAAAGAGCTCCTGTCTGAAGGATTACATTTCTCTGCCTCCATGGTTATAGCACAGCCTCCCTTTTCTCCGCAAATGGCCACAGAGGAGGGCAATTCTTTGGAAAGGGAAGAACTGAGAGAACAAGGGATTTTATGGTTGACATCACTGGTCTGACTGGCCTTGCCAGAAAATGGAATTTATTTTGGCCCTGCAATTAGTTCTTCCTTCCCACTTAACAATTCTTCTTGCTGCTAAAGACATTAACTGAAGCATTAAATTCTTAAAATATTTCCCCCACTAGCCAAGCCTGGCTGCTGCAATGGCAATAGGAGTCTTTTGCTTTAAGTCATTGAAGGCCACTGTTAAAATCTAGCTACAACCTGCAGGAGGGAAAATAGCATCCATTGTTCACTCTTTAGCTGGGATTAGTTTTTCCAGCTTGACCAGATAGGCTTAAAGAATCCGACATAAGACTGATTCCTGGACATAAGACTGATTTGACTGGGAGAGAGGTCAGGAGAACATGGAGCATGTCCGAAACAGCTGGCCCAAGAGGGGTCCCCAAAAGTTACTGTGATCAGGCTGGGGCCAGCACGAGAGCCCCGGGCACTTGGGCAAGCCCAGGAGACACAGTGAGAGGGAAGGAGGGGTGTGAAAGGCAGGTGAAGGAGCGCCAGCCTCAGACCATAGTTCCACCCCCACCGCGCGCTAGCACCGCCACTGTCCTCTAGGCAGCTCTGAGAGGAAGGAACAAGGAGAGTCCAGAGAGCCAGGTTCTGTCATTACCACCTAGCTATAGAGCCTGGGGCAATCGCTTCACCTTCAAGACCACTTCCTCCTTGGGCTAGATCTGCTCCAAGGCCACTTTCAGCTCTAACATGCCATGTTTAAAAAATATATATTTTAAGGTATTTTTTTCTTCCTTCCACCACCCCAGATTTGCATATTTATCACATGATCACCTCAATCAATGACAGAAGTGCATGAAGTAAAAAGTGAAACACCCGCCCAGCCCCGCAGCCTCACCTCACCCAGGTTGTTGACCCCAGGGCTTCATTTCCAGACAACTGGAGCGGAGGGGAGTGTTTAAGATCCCGGGCTCCAGACGCAAAAGGCCCAGTTCAAACCCATGCTGTGCTCCTTCCCACTGTGAGGCCTTAGACACAGCTCTCCCTGCCTGCCTGCTTCCTCATCTGTAAAACTAGGACAATAATAGTGGCTGTGTTTCTGTGAATTAACACACAGAACCACAACAATGCCCGGACACCATGTTCCCTACATGCTAGCTGTTTGTATTGCATCTGACTTTCACTCACAGTAAGGGAGCGATAACTATAACAGAGGTGAGTGCTACCTTTAAGGAGCTCACAGTTGAAAGTCACCCCCGCAAATGTCAAGACCCACTTTTTGTCTGTTCCATGCCCCTCTATGTGGAAGGAGGGAAGGAGATGTCGGTTAGAGTGGAGCGTAGCTCCCGGGACTGACCCATCACACAGGTCGCAGCATCATGTGGAATCACTTCAGCCAGACGAGCCATCAGAAGGAAGCTAGATAACCCATTTAAAAACAAACATCTTAAAAGGGCATTGCAGATAAAACAATAGAGGAAAAAAACTGAATTTCCTATTAATTATGATGTGTTTTTTAAAAAATACAATCCATGCGGAAATTCCCAATCAGGCATTGTCTGGTGTTGAATACTCTGCAGTAGAGAAATGCTGCTTGTCATGGGGAACACAAAATTCCTCCTGTCCTTATGCACCCTAGTTCCTGAGGATTATGTCCTGTCTTTTTCAGCCTGCACCCTAAAAATAGCTGGTGCTATTTCCAGGTTCCCCAGCAGAGTCTCCATCCAAATGTATCCTATCAGCTTCTCCAGCTCAAGATCACAACAGCTCACCCCTGGATTGATTTGGGAGCCCATGACCTCAGGCTTCCAGTCTCCCCCACTGGCCAGGTCCCAGTGAAGCTTTTGCCCCTACCCCCTGAGTGCCAGCTTCCCCTTCCTCTGACTCCTTAATGCTTTATGCCTGTTACAGAGGGGCATCAGGGGCTGGCAGAAACCAGGGGCTGATTGGAATCAGGTCCTGCCCTAACCTCCATGGTTCTCAGTATTCTTGCCTATAAAATGTGCCAATAATAGCGTCTGCTTCATAGCCTTACAGCAAAGACTAAGTGGGATGATAATGTAGATAAAATGCCTGTCATCATGTCCAGCACATAGATAATGTTCAAGAAAAATTGTCCCCATTGTCACTTCCCATTAGAATGGCATGTTTGTTGGGGCTGTCTGCCTCCACAGACTGTGAGCTCCTCAAGGGCCAGAACTATGCATTATCCACCTCTGTATCTCTGATTCTCTGTGGCTCCAAACTCTAGAACAGCAGTAGTATACAGTAGGTACCCAGGGGATCAGTTATTTATTGCCACAATAATGCTGCACAGCAAACCAAACTTAAAACCACAATTCATTTAGCCCATGATTCAGCAATCAGGCTGTTTAAGCCAAGCTCTGCCTGGGGGGTTCTTCTGGTCTCCACTGGGCCCAGCCACAGGCCATGTAGGCACTGCTTCTACTTATGGAGGTGGTGGGGAGAGATGGACCACGTGTCCGTCATCAACCAGCAGCAAGGCCTGGCAGAGTTCTTACAGGGAGAAGAGCAAAAGGCCGCGGGGCTTTTTGAAACTGGCACATTGTTACTTTCACTACATTCTATTGGCCAAAGCAAGTCACAAGGCCCGCTCAGATTTAAGGGATGGAAAAATAGACTCTGTCTCTTGATGGGAAGAGTGGTGAAGCCACGTTTAAAGGGCATGGATTCAGAGAGGGGTGGGAATTGTCACCCCTTTCTGAATTTTTGTGATCTACCACACCCAGTTTTTCATATGAAAGAGGTAAGTTAGAGAAAAATGAACGAAAAGAGCAATGAGAAGAAAAACCCAATTTATGTCCTCACAATCATGGGCAAGGACACTTAAATTCTAGGTTGCTCAATACAAGCAAGATGAAAATTGACCTCTCAAACCATTATGTAGTTGAGAGTTCTCTAAGGTACAGTAAAGAGAATATGTGCCAATCAGGGCATAAATCAAGACACTCCTTTCCTGGTGTCTTGGGAAGGCAGATGGGCCTGGATTTATCGAGGACACTCAGCCTCCTGACAGCAGTATAATTACAGACACCAGCGTCATTAATCAGCAATCCGCCAGTGACCGAGGAGTCTATAAACCTCCAACTCTCTCGGTTCCAAAATTGATTTGACTTAAAAACAATTATTTAAATTCCACATGCTTGAGCATTTGGCTTAGGAGAATGTAGGAAAAATATCAAAAAGAAAAGTTTGTGTTTTTTATTCATCTCCACCTTCAGAACATTGAAAGTTTTTATTAGCCCATCAGTAATTGGATGAACCTTCTGTTTCACACACACACCACCCACCTTCTATCAGAGAGACTCTCACCAAAGATCCTCCAGCTGTGATGTCTGAAAACTCAATTCAGTGATGAGCTAAGGGACCCACTCACCTAAAAAGGTGCTGAAAGGCACAGGCATGGAGTTAGGTGACTTCCATGGAGCCAGCTCCCTAGAGAGACTAGTCAGTTTCTGCCTATGTGTAACCATCCTTTCCAAAGGTTCTCCATCCTTCTGGACCCCCCTTTTCTTCAATACCAAATAAAATGGTATTGGTATTGAGAAAAGTCCCCATTCCTGGTGCAGGAGGTCTAGCATCCCTGAATGTATCCATGCATTTGTAGCAGTAAGAGCTCACATTCTTCTGGTCGGTCCTTGCCTAGAGTCTGCTTCCTCGCTGGACCACAATTCCTGCAATGCCCCCGTCTCCCCTTTCTTGGGATGTTCTGCTATGGCACAAAATCTCTTTTCTGCAAGGGTCTTTGTACACAAGCTACACATAACAGATTTTACTGAAGGTTTGGTGGCCAAAAGAGGGTCATTACAGCATAGACTACAAGGTAAATTCATGATCAGGCAGACATCACTTCTAGTTTTAGGCTGCCTCTGCTTCCCAGGGAGGCTTCCTCTCTGGTCCCGTCTTCCATATGTTCCAGCCTTAGGCCATGCCACTGGGCCCCATGACCCCCTCAGAGCTGCCTCTAGACGACTCTGTCATCTCCTGCTGGTCTGATCTTCTAGCTTCTCAACTCATCTACATCCTGGACACCAAAAACCTTCAACATTTCTTCATTTCCAAGAGCAATTTAGCCTTCCTTTGTTTCATCTTTACTCATCCAGCTCAGGCCCAGAACCTGATCTCTCAGCAGTAGCAGGGCTCCTGTCATTTTTCCCAAACAATAGGGCCACTCAACCTCTGGGAACAATTATCTTCCTCCCAGACCAATGAAAAAAATCGCACTCGACTTTTAAAGTAACAGATGTTTTCTCTCATCTTTCCACACTGTCTACCACGTGATTTGAAAGCTTAGAGAGACCTGCCTCACCCCCCATGCCTGACACCCCTGCCAAGAAGGTCATCTCTTCAGGTTAAGGGATTATATCCAGAAGATGCACATAACCACACATTTCATTTGGGAAGAGTAACCCACCAGGTCTCAAACTACAAGTTCTCAAACTTTAGCGCATATACCAATCTTCTGGTGCACATGTTAAAAATACAGCTTCCCTGGCCCTAACCTGACACAGCAGACAGTAGAACCTAGGAATCTGCATTTTTAAAAGTCTTTCATCTCCACCCTCCCCCAAGTGCTTCTGATGCAGGGGATCAGCTGCTCACACCTGGAGCAATTCTGTGCTTCTGCTTGATTTATAGCATGGAATGCAGGAAGGCCGAGGGTCCAATCAACATCTCAAGGTTTCCTAGGGCTGCTGTAACAAATTGCCACAAACTTAGTGGCTTACAGCAACAGAAATGTGCAGCATTGTTCATAATGACCAAAAAGTGGAAGCAACCCGAATGTCCATCCACAAATAAGTGTATAAACAAAATGGATGTTACACACAGTGAAATATTATTCAGCCTGAAAAAGGAAGAAAACTCTGACACATGCTGTGACATGGATGACCCTTGAAGACATGATGCTACATGAAATAAGCCAGACACGGAAGAACAAATACTATACGGTTCCATGTATATGAGATACCTAGAGGAGTCAAATCCATAGAGATGGAAAGTAGAATAGTGGTTACCAGGGTCCAGTGAGGAGGGGAGGATGGATGATTTATTTTCATGAATATAGAGTTTAAGTTTGGGATAATGAAAAAAGTCTGGAGATGGATAGTGTTGATGGGTGCACAACAACGTAAATGCACCAATGCCACCAAACTGTATATTTTAAGAGGGTGAGAATGGTAAATTTTATGTGATATGTATTTTTACACAATTTTTTAAAGCTAAAAGATAAACAGTCCCAGCCCCAGAAATGTACTCTCTCATCGTTCTGGAGGTTGGAAGTTGAAAATCAGTATCACTGGGCTGCAGTCAAGGCATTGGCAGCCCCACACTCTCTCCAGAGGCTCTAGCAGACAATCTTTCTTTGCCTCTTCCAGCGTCTGGTGCATCCTTGGCTTCTGGCCACAAAACTCCAGTTTCTGTCTCCATCTTCACATCACCTTCTCCTCTTCTCTCTGGTTGGGGAATCTCCCTCTGACTCCTTCCTGTAAGGGCACTTAGGATGGCATAATCTTCCCATCTCTAGGTGTTCAAGTCCATCGCATCTGCCAAGTTCTTTTTCGCCATATAAGGTAACATTCATGGGTTCCAAGGATTAGGATGGGATATGTTTGGGGGATCATTATTCGGCCTACCATACTCTCCGTCAGAGTTGCCAGGAAATGGGGGCCACAGTGGAGAGAGGCGAATAAGAGGCAGTAGAGAGCTGGGATTTGGGCCTCAGGGGCAGCAGGTCCAGGGGAAGGATAGGCATCCCAGGCAGGGGAAGGCCCCACTCTGTAGGTCCTGGGTGTCGGGGGTGTTCTCCCAACCCAGCAGGAGCCCAGCTCAAGATGAAGCCACCTGTCAGGGAAGGGAGTAGCTGGGGGTGCAGTGGTTGTGTCAAGGTCACTGCCCAGCCTCACAGACATGATGGGTACCCAAGCACACACAGTGTCACATGCTCTGAGGCAGAAAGGGAAGCAGGAAGTGACTCCAACCCCCCTCATGCCTGGCTTGGGCCTCGATGAGAGCACTCCAGGTCTGAAGAGGACAAAGAGTCAAGTTAACTCCTACAGTGTGCCTAGCAGAGCAGGCACTCTTCATACTTCATCTTAGCTAACCCCCACCCCAGCCCCAGAAGGGGGTCATATTAGCCCCTCTTCACATGTAAGGTACCTGCAGCTCAGAGAGGTGAAGCAGTGGGCTCACAGTTACACAGTGCGTCCATCTTCTGAGTCCTGCAAGTCCTGTCTTGGTGAAGAGCTCCCATGCGAGTTGGACAGAGCTGGGATCACATCCTGGCCCTGCACTTACTGGCCATGCGACCCTGGACACCGCCTTGCTATACTGGCTGCGTCTATCTCGTGGGTTAATTTTTGTAAGATAAGCACAGTGCTGAGCACAGCATTTGGCATGAAAACACTCAGATAACTCATATTAATATCCCCAGCCCTGCCTGCCCAGGTGTGGAGAGCAGGGCCTGCCCCAGCACAGCTCCTCCCTCCCTTGCATGGTGAGGAGTGCCCAAGCAGGGATGCTGGCTGCTTTGCCACTATTGTCTGCAGCTGGTTGTGCTGGCCTGGTTAGAAAGGGGTTTCTAGGCAGAGGAGCCCCTGGGTTTGTAACAGCTGGACTCTCCTAGCCCCTGCCCTTGTGCCTCCCAGCAAGTCCACTATGAACCCTTGGCAAAGCAGAGGGCAGGGAAGCCTCAGGATAATTCCCCATTTGTCCTCCACCCCCACAGCCAACTTGAGTCTCGATGGGCTTCAAGGACTGTGTTGTTCCGCTGCTCGGAGCCTCTCACAGGCCCAGCCTCACAGCCAGTGCCAGCTGCAGTCGCGGGGCTGGCAGCCAGACTGGGGAAAGCAAGGGGCGGCCCCGTCCCTGCCCCCAGCCTTCTAGGGGGTTCTGCCTGGACAAGAAACCCTTTCAGAGTCATGAATCCAGTTGTGGGACAGGCCTGTGATTGTGCATGTTGTTTTAAAGAGCTTTAACAAACACAACTGGCCCAACAATGGCCTGACTAACATTGACTCTGGAGGTCACCAAGCCCAGGGCGCCCACAGGGAAAGCATTGTGGCCCTGCCCCAGTGGCCCCAGGCACTCCAGGGCTGGCAGGATCTCCCATAACCCACAGTCTAGGTGCACCTCACAGTCATCCAGAAAGGAGGGAATCTACCCTTGTATAAGTGCCATTGCATGCCAACCTCTGCCCTCCCATCACAGGTGAGGGGTTGATGCCCTATAAAAATGCACTATCACTCTGCCCAAGGCCTCAGTGAATTTGTCCCAAATGAACCTTCTCCCCTCAGTACCAAACCTACCGCCCTGACCTGCTATCTCTGGTTCCAGCTCTGAATCCTATCACTGGCTTCCGCTTCTCTCCCCAGCCCCTCAGAGAAGGCAGTGTGACAAGATCCAAGCTCCCCAAGGAGCTCTGGAAGCTCCCTGGTGACTCATAGCCAAGCACCTTTCTGTTTGTCACAGCCTTGCCCAAATGTAAACAGCCAGTGCAGGCTGGCCCCAGGGCTCACATCCGGCTCACGACAGTATGCCCTCTCTTCATCAAAATTTCACAAGTCTTGATGTTCATCTTCTAAAATGAAAAGTATTGCAGGCATAGAGACATGCCCCATGTGGACGGGGCCTGCTTATCTATGACATCAGTAACAAAACAAAACAAAAAGGCATCCCTGACAAGTGGGCAAACTTCCTTGGTTTTTACGAAAACTAACCAACTTTGCCACAGCCACTGAGGGAGCAGTTGCACTCTCCACCACCAACCTCAAGAGGGAGCTAGCCTCAGTCGCCACTCTAAACACCCTCTCACCCGCCAGCCTCCTCTGTCCTCGCTAGCTGCCCTCTGCCTCCACCCACAGCTTGTGCTCTTTTGTTTGAACAGAACCATCCGACATCTCCCATATGCCCACTGGCTCCAGCAGGGGCGGTGACTGCTAACAACAAGTCCCATTCCATTGATTCCCTCCCCTAAAGGTGTCTGCAAGGGAGAGCTCTCCTGGACGGACACACACAGGAAGAGAGGGCAGGTGGCTTTCCTCACAGTGAGAGCATGCTCGTGAGTTATGGAGATGCTGTCAGCTGCAATTGCACCAGGCAGTCTCCATGTGGGTCTCCCCTGTGGCTCTGATGCCTGGCAGGGAAGGGACCCTGGAGGGGGACTGCTGCTCAGGTGTCCAGACACCTGGCTGAGGGAGAGAGGGACCCACAGATCCTCTAGGACCGCAACAGCCCAGCCACCCTGGACGGGATCTGCAGCCGGCTGTCAGGGCATGCTCCTTGGAGCTTGGTTTGGCTTCTCTTTGCTGTTCTTGGAAGCTGTGTCTTTGGAAAGCAGAAGCTGGAGTTCCCCCAGCCCTTCAGGTGGCTGGTGTTTGCCTTCTCTCTCTGCCCTAGCAGCCACACCTCTCTGGAACACTCTGATGTGCGTTTATGGAATGCCCCAGTCACTAATCTTACAATTTGTTTAATGAAAAGGAAAAAAAAAAGTCACCCAATCACATATCTGTGGCATTAGTCACAAAACCCTTGACCTGAAGTGCCCAGACTACACCAGCTGCTCCATCCCACGAGGCAAATGGTACCCACCTCACCACTCCCTCCAATGGATGGGTCCCTGAGCACTGGCCTGGCAGACTTGAGACTCACTTGGTGCCCTGTTCTCCTGTCCAAGCCGTGGAGAACTCCAGAGGCAAGACTGCCTGGGTTCACTGTCCAGAGCTGATACTCCCTTGGCACGGGCTCTCAGACAAGTCATTAACCTCTCTGCGCCTCAGTTATCTCTAAAGGGCGGGGGGTAATTTTAGTGCCCACCTGATAAAGTCATAATGGGGATTAATAAGTTTCCTGAGTACCTGGAAAGTGCCAGCTGTTACTGCTGACAGTAATATTATGGCCGCCCATGGCCCGGTAGAGCTGCGGAGAAAGCCTATGCAAACAACCTCCCAGAGCAGAGATGATACTGCTTGCTCCGAGCCAGTTAACCCAAGGGCGAAATGTGATCCTTTAACAAATGCACAGCTTGCTTCCTGCTATAGCAGGCTGTTCCCAAAGACATCCACCCTTTCGCTGTCTCCATCAGGACTGAGAGTGGCATCCCTTTAACAGGGTAGAGTCCCTCTGGCTTTGAATGGCTGCCACTTATCAAATGCCTCTGCAGTCTGGCTAGGAGTGAGCCAGACAAAGAGCTGGGTGTGTGCAGTGCATAACCAATGCCTGGCCAGCGCTGGGCTCACTTGGCTATGTGTTGCACCTGATGACATCAGGGGTTGCCTTGCTCCCCAAGTGGTGACAACTCGGCTGTCATAGGGACAAATTATGAGGGGATTCCTGTCCCCTCCTGTGAAGAAGAGAATGGAGAAGCCAGGGAGAAGCTCTGCTCACTGGCTCTGTTCTTCTCTGCAACATGGGATCTGTACTGATCTTCAGCTGAAACCTAGTAGCTGATGGGCCACTGTCTCCCCCATCAACTGAGATCACCTCTCATTTCCTTATATCTGCAGGACTTTTCTTTATGTCTATGAAATTAAAGGCCTTGGGGTGTGGGGGTGCAGAAACATGCAGTGAACCCATCCCAGACTCATAGCACCCAAATCCCTGCAGGCGGAGCCCAGTCTTCTCCGCCTGAATCTGATGCACCTCTGTGCTTGAAGACCGTGGATTTACAGGAATTACCTGACCCTTATGTGTATGCAGCCAGATGGTCATTTAGTACAAGCCTAGTGGGTTCTAGCCAAAGGCAAACAAAAACTGGCCAGTCTCTGTCTAGACTCTGGTTTTCTGAGAACTGCCCAAAGAAGTGAATACTTGAGTCCACATGAGAACTCAACTGATCTTTACTAGTTGAATTCAGACTGCCCACTAGGTAGCTTCTCAGCCTCATTCTGCAGGGCCATATGCTGAGATAGGTGCCACCACCCAGGTAGGAGACTCAGGTTGAGCTGTGCCCTGGTCCAAGTACAGAGCAGGCAGGCACTGGGAAGGAACCCAGTGGCCTGGCTGGGAGGCAAAGTGAGAGGCACTGCAGGTTCTTAACCAGGCCCAGGAAAGGAAAGGGCTGTTGAGCAGGCTTTATGGATGAATGGAGGTAGCTCCCATGGTTCCCACCCCTCACTAAGAGCCTGGGGGCTCGGCAGGGGAGCCTAGGCCACCCCTTGGTCTTCCTCTGAGTCCTTTAGATGCTGTTTGGCCACCTCAGGCACAAGTGTGGCTGAGATGTTTCCCTGCAGGCTTGTTCCTGAGAACAGTCACCTGGGCAGTCAATCTGAAGGTGGCTGCTGGGAAACCTCAGGCTTAGGAGTTGGACCCAGGACTCACATGGTGTGAACCCAGCTCAGAGAAACAAAGCTCATCCTTGGAGCAGGGCCAGCAGAGGCAGCTGAACTTCACGGTCCAGACCAACAAAGCCGTCCCCAGTGGAGCTCTTGGGAGAGGAGCCTGGAAGGGACAAAGGCCAGACACTGGCCACTCTTTAAAACATAAGGAGTTTCATCGTCTCATACCCTGCTGGTGGGGCCAACGGACAATGAGGACTGAACATCTGTGAGGTGCCACGTCACTTCTCAAAGACAGATCACAGAGGCCTGTGCTGTTAATCTGGGCTCTGTCAGCTGCATCAGCTGACAAGCATGGCCACTCACCAGTTTCTAAGGCTGGGGAACATCTGTTGCCATTGTTTTGCCTTGTCTCTTCTTGACTTGCTGCAGAAAAGGCTTGTAATAGTTATTTGCAAAAACAGGTGGAGTGCTTTGAAGAAAAGCCCTATATAAACAGAAATAACACAAACAGGTTGCTCTGCTGCGAGGCTGACCTGACTCCACCCTGGCCCAGCTCTGTCATGTCAGCAAGGCTGCTGCCTTCCCCAGAAAAGGGCCATTAGAGGCCTTGGGGAGGAGAATACTGAACACAGCACTGGGGCGAGAAGACCTTAAATCAAGCCCTAACCCGACCCTTACTGACTGTGTGACCTTGACTAAGTCACTCAACTTTTCTTCCTCAGCCTGATTCTGTCATCTGGGAAATGTGGGTAAGCAGAACTCTTCTGGTGTTGTATGAAGATTAACTAGACAGTGCTTATGAAATGAACTGGCTCACATTAGTTAGAAAAGTCATAGAAAGTTCTAGCTTGAGGTATGGCTTTATTCAGGTTCTAAGAATGCCAGCAGGTTTTGCCCCTTGGTCCTTCTTCCCCTGGGTTGGCCCCCTGTTCCTGACTCCATCTGGAAGCTCTGGCAGCCTCAGCCTCACACCGTAACAACACTTAGCCCAGCAGACCAAAGCAGGTAGGTGCCTGTCACCCAGTGCTCTGGCAAAGTCCTGAGATTCACTCTGCCTGGACCAGGTTAAGTCATGTGACCCCCAAACCAGAACCAACCAATATGTCTGGGACACTGAATGCTCAGATTGACCTCATTCACTCACTCATCAAGTGTTTATTGAGCATCTACTATGTACCAGCTACTATTGTGCATTCTGGGGGCATAATATTGACAAGGCAGTAAGCTCTGTTGGGGCTTACTTACCAGTAGGAGACAGAAAACAAACAAATACATCAAACAGAATGATACAAAATTAGGAAATAACAGATATTAAAAAAATTAACCACCTACAGCAGATTCAGAGGGTAGAGATTGATGTGGGGTATGGGGTAGAGTGCTGTTTAAATAAGATGGCTCTCTTAGGAGGTGACATTTGAGACCTGAATGCAATGAGAATAGAAGCTGCGAGAAGATCCGGGCACAGAATATTCTAGGCAGAGAGGGCCAGTGCAGAGGCTCTGAAGCAGAATAAGCCAGGCTGGTGAAGGAAGAGCCAAAGTGGCCAGTATGGACAGAGGAAAGTAGACTGACAGAGAACAAGGGGAGGAGAGGTGGGGAAGTGGCAGACGCCATGGGAGGCTGGGCCCTGCCGGCATGGGGAGGAGACAGAGCTTCATTCTGACCATGGTGGAGTCTGCAGGCTTTTCGGAAGGGAAGAGGCATGACATGAGTTATGCTTGGAAAAGCCCCCTTGCTGCTATGTGGAGAGGGGTGGGGGCCACAGGGGCCAGACAGTAGTGGCTGGAACGGGGGTGGTGACAGAGCTGGCGAGAAGTGGCTGGACTCAGGACATGTTGTAGGTCATGAGTTCCATCCCTGGAAGCAGAACCTCGTGACCTTCCCAAATGGAAATCGGGAGCTATTGCCAGAAGTAATGGGGGTAGATGCTGGTGGACAAAAAGCAAGAGTTTTCCATGACTTTCACCATTTGTAGTTTCATCAATGTTTCCGTGTGGTGCTATCGTTTCACCATCATTAGTGTTCCCTTGGATGGAAACTGTATCTCCAATTTCTTTTTCTTCCTCCAAGGCCTAGAATCATTTCGAGGGATTTTAGAGACGATGTGGTCCAAGTCCAACCTCCTTGCAGAGCAGAATCCTAAAGCTTAGGAAAATTTTGGAATTGTACAAAGTCCCCCAGCTAATTAGAGCTGGAACTGGCATGCGGCACTCCTGGTTCCTAGTGCTGGCTCCATTCATGGAACAAAGGCTTAATTTGGGATGCTGCCAAGAACTGGTGGAGGTGATGGGAGAGGGTCTTACCCTTCTGCATTCTCCATCAGCATCTCCCCAAAAGCCAGTGTGCTCAATAAGCAGAGACCCCACCCTCTCTGACCACCACACTGCCCCCAAATCCCTCAATACGTAAGTCCTGGAGCTGCCCCCGTGTACAGTCAACAGCCTTTCTTCAGCAATGCTAATGAGAGTCAAGCATCCAGGCCGTAAAAGGCAGGCTCACATATGGGAAACACCGGGGTAGTGCCTTATTTTTGTTATTTTTTATTTTTTAGAGGAAACTTTATTTGAAGTACAGTCTTTTTATTCCTGCCGGGAGAGCTGCCAGTGGACAGCTCATTGCTCCTCAGCCACAGGGGCAAGTGTCTGCCTTTGAGGCAGTTCTGCAGTCCATAAAGCAAGATGGATGGGCAGCTTTGCAGGAGCAGAAAGGGCCAGCGTGGAGCAGCCTGGGAGGGGACTGCCTAAACTCTCCTGCAGATGCTCAGTGTGTCCTGGCCGGTCTCCTGTGGTAGAGGGGCCTGGGGACAGCTTTTGCCCTTGGGCCCAGCACAGTGTCTGACACTCCGGAGGAATCAATATGCTGGGTGAGGAAAGGGCCAGAGTGGTTGGATCCCCATGACATGCACACTTGCTGGGCCATAGCACATGTCCTCTGGGCCATCTTCTGGGTGACAGGGGCGCCTGGTATCATGAGAGGGACATGGCTTGAGCAATCTGGAGTTCTTATTAAGAGCATTACAGTGGAATGCACTCTCCCTCTATCTGTGTGTATGTGGTTTTAATTTTCTACTAAGAAAAGTAATCCCGATTCTCTTTAATCAGTAACCACCGTGGTCAGAAGAAGCTGTCACAGGCCAATGGGAGTGGTTAGTGGGTTTAATCATGAAAATGGCTGGCTGTCCTCTCTGAGGAGGAGACGTAATGACGCCTTGGATGGCTTTCTTTCCTTGCTCATCCTGGTTTCAGTAGAGGGCCAGCTGGCTGTGCAGGGCTGCCATCTCTCAGGATCTGTGCACTGCTGAGGGGACAGCCAGGGAGGTGTAAATACCAATAAGCTCCATGCAAGCGCAGAGGATCTCGACAGAAGCTCTTCTGAGATGGTGAAGGCAAGAAGAGCAGCATGTCTGGCATCAGGCAGAGAAGTAGAGAGAGGGAGCCCCGACCGCAGGACACACGTGCTGTGCCTCTCTGGACTGAACAGACATTCTTTCTCTCGGGCCAGCTGAGGCGTGACAGCAAACAGACAGAGGCAGTGATGGCCCTGCAGCCCGTGGAGCATAGGGGAGAGGAGCCGGGGAGAGGAGCCAGAGAGAAGCTGCTGGCTGTTGATGTGGGGGGATGGCTAGTGAGGGATGCCGGGGTCCTGACTGATGACTGCCTAGTGCTGGCTTTGGCGAAGACGTGAAGGGGCTGCCCACATGAATGCCCACTACTGACACTCTTGCTACTAACCTTCAACAGGGGTTTGGGGTTGCCCCTGGGGGGCCAAGTAGGCTGTGGACTTCAAGGGAACACTTTCTGTGGCCGCTGGCCATGGGGAAATTCCCCTTGCCAACAAGGAGGAACATGCGTGGGCAAGTGGCTGAGAGCGCTCAGGAGGCTTTAGCTAATGTGTCCTCCTCAGGAGGCCAGCTGGGAGGGGCCAGTCCTGCATGGAGGTTTCCTCCATCCTCTGCTATTCCAAGCTCAGCCAGCTGCCCAGTGCCCCTGCCCAGCCAGTGACAACCTGGCTCCTGGGCCTCCCCCTGGCCTCTCACTCCTCACCCCAGCACTGTGTGGAGCCTCTATAGCCAGGTGGAAAACAAGTCCAGGTGAAAGGCTGGCTCACATCTTGTCTTTCCTTCCCTCTGTCCCCCGCAACGAGCAAGGGCTCTGTTTGAAGAAAGATGCCTCCCACTCCTCGGCCTACGTGTCCTCCAAGAGGCTGCCCACCTTCCTTCTCACATGCAACCTGCACACACCTGCGGGCGACAGATGGATTTTTCTAACCATGCTCTACTCAGAGTTTTCTCTCCTCAGAATTTCAGCATCCAGAATGTGTGTGTGTATGTGTTTTTGTGTTGACGAATTTCTGCCCACCTAAAAAGCAAATCATCTCTAATATCTTTGCTTACATCACTGTGAGACCCGCAGGTGAGGCCTCACCTTAAAAGGCATTAAATTCACTGCAAGGCTTTGTTTAGAGAGCAAATCTGCATTGTCTAGGGGTAACAGCACCCCAGAGCCACAGCACAAAGGGCTCTCTCTTGAAGGGGAGAAGTTGCTATCATTCTCGGTCCACGCGTGGAACACATGAGCACCACAGAAATGCCAGTTGTCTTTCTCTGGTAACCACTCACATCAGAGATACAGCCTTGGCCCTCCCTTGTCAGATCAGTTTAATTACAGGCACGGATGCCCACTGGGGGGTAGGGAGCAAACTGGGATCCTTGGATTTCAATGAAGTCCAAACTGCTTTGAAATCCAGATACAGCCAACCTTCAATTATCCACACTGAGGAAAGGGAGCATGGATAATCCTGAACAGCAGATGATTAAAAAATCATTTCTTTTGGCTTTTGGGGAGGTACCATATGCTATTTGCAACAGAGCAGCAAAATTTCCTCTCTAGTTGTGTTTTGCTCAGATTAATATTGCAATGAGCTTGCATTTCTCCTCATGCACCAGCTGCCAGCAGAGGGGTTCGGACAGAGGTGGTGAGGAGGGAGAGGGATGGCCTGGGGTACTGACGAGAAGCCAAAGGCTCGAAAGAGAGAAGGAGAAGAAAAGAAATGAATTAAAAACTCCACATGGAGGGACCGGCTATTAGAGGGTAAATCCTCCTGGGGCATTGCCTTACTCTTATCTAACTTTCAAGCATATACTTTCTGCCTGTGTGCATGAACCATCTCTTTAGATGCCTGGTCGACTCTCTATGGTGTGTGACTAGTGCTCGCCTGCCTCCTTGCCTGGGCTTATGCTGTACCACCTGCCTGAAATGCTCCTTTCCTCTCCTGTCCCAACCAAATTTCATCTATCTTTCAAGATCCAGCACGTTTCTAGTCTTCTCCACAAAGCCTTTTCCAATCACACCCATATGAGGATCTTCTTCCTCTCTTCCATGCCCCTTCTGAATGCCCCTAGCACAGTATTCTCTGTGGCAACCTATCTGGAGCATAGGCTCCATGAGGTGGGGACAGGTGCTGCGCCAGGCCTCTCGGTGTTCCCTCTGGCAGCTGCACAGTGTTTGGGACATGCCCGATAGTTGTCCCCTACTGGAAGACTGATGGACTAAATATTGCAAGAAGGCACGAAGACACTAAACCAGTGGTTCTCAAGCTTGAGTGGCCTAAGACTTCCCTGGGGGACTTGGTAAAAGGGTTTCCTGGGATCAGCCCCCAGAGATGCTGCTTCAGCAGGTTGGGTGGAGCTCAGAGTTGGGCATTTTCAACAAGTCAGTTCTTAGGTGACTGACCGCTGTGGAGTCAGTTGTAAAGGCACATATCACCAACACTCACACACCAAGGAACTTTCATCCTTGTGTTCCAGTTACAAAGGTGAAGCCAAAAGGTTAAAAACAGACACAGCAAAACACACTGGGGTTATTAGTGTTGTCTCTCATAATTCCTAATGCTGATTTCAGCATTTTCTTAAAAAGGAAAAAAAAAAGTGGAAGCTAAAAGTACAGAGGTTTGCAACAGATTCTCCATATTTCTTTGATCCAAAACTGCACCTTCTCCACTTTTTAGCATCTCTGATATCAGAGTACAGCTTGCAATCGGTGGTATGCTACAACTAGCTTGGTCCTAGCTCCACTCCCCGCCATCACACTTCAGTGAATTATGTGCTGTGCTGGCACTACACATGTTGAGTTTCACTGCCATTTAAGAGCTTTCAAAAAGATTATGTGACAATTTGGCATTGAAATGAAAAATTACTGCATATACAGAAGAGCATGAAAACAGAGCAGCAAGACATAAATTTGATATTAGTGAAACCATTTGTTGGAGGAATAATCACACTTCCATATTTTCTTGCAAAGAAGCAACAACCAATAGGATCAATTGCTTTATAGCTTTGCTGCTCAAACTGTAGTGCTGGGGCCGGCAGCATTGGCCTCAGCTGGGAGCTTGTGAGAACTGCCGGATCTCAGGCTCTAGCCCAGACCTGTTGTATATCTACTGTTTAGCAAGATCCCCAGGTGATTTGTATGAACAGGGAAGTTTGAGAAGCATAGCTTTATAGGGCTTATGAAGGGAAGATATCCACAAGTAGATAAAGCTGAGTTAGGTTTGTTACCACGATATACACAAAAGGATCATCTATCACACACTAGGCAAAAAAGCTTGTAAAAACAGATGTCAGCGGCTGAAAAAATACGGGAGACCATAAGAGAGTGTATCGCCAGTTCACATGAAAGCCCAGAGGATGTTAATTGTGTGGTTTGGAAAAAATGTGTGGCATTGATGACTGCAAAGTGGTTCAGAAGAGTGAGAATGTGAAGTTTTGTGGAACACCTTAAGCAATTCATTTCACTTGTGTTTTCCTTTTTAGATACGTCGAGTGCTACACGTAACAAGAGATGTTTAAATAAATATGAAAGAGCTCTTTCAATATGGAAAACATTGTATCAGGAAAGAAAGCATTGTGTCATAGTTTAATTTGCAACTATTTTTTTCCTTAACTATATAGAAAATGAACATATCTTATAATAAAAGGCATCTCAGATTTAATGAAATATATATGGAAGTTGCCCATACTTTGCTATAATTGCCTTTTGCCTTTTCTCTTAGAGTTGAAATTTCAGTAACCATTGTCTTCACTCTGGTGATTACTAACATCAAGATATTTTACTTAAAAAACAAAATTTTGAGTTTGTTGCTTTTGCTTTTTTTTTTTCCTTTCCTTGAGACAGAGTCTCGCTTTATCACCCAGGCTGGAGTGCAGTGGAGTGATCTCGGCTCACTGTAACCTCCGCCTGCTGGATTCAAGCAATTCTTCTGCCTCAGCCTCCTGAGTAGCTGGAATTACAGGCACATGCCACCACGCCCAGCTAATTTTTGTATTTTTAATAGAGATGGGGTGGGGTGGGGCGGGGCGGGGCGGGGGGAGGGTCACCATGTTGGCCAGGCTGGTCTCGAACTCCTGACCTCAAGTGATCCGCCAGCCTTGGCCTCCCAAAGTGCTGGGATTACAGGCGTGAGCCACCACGCCCGGCCATTGCTTTTGCTTTTAAACTTTATGTTTTTAAGGGCTATGTACTCAATGCCATTAATCTACTAAGAAAAGAACAGTTTGTCTGCTCTAGCCGCCGTACTTTAGAATTTAGAAAATTAAATAAGAAAGGAAAAAATGTCACGCAAGAGGTGGAAATGATACAGCAAGACTGCCGTCCAGACAGACTTTAACAGTGATATATCCTCTTTTGCTATTTCAAACAATGGCAATCACATTTTAAAAAACCGAATAGCTGCTTTCACAATGAGCTCAACCTGAGCTCATTTAATCCTGAGAAACCTGTGTAACAGGTAGTACTATCTTCTTTTTCACAAATAAAGAGAGCGAGGTCAGTGAAATGAAATAACTCACCCAAGAAGAGAAGTGTTGTCAGTGGTGGGCCCAGAATTCAAAGGAGGCATCCCCCAGCCCCCTAAGCCAGCGTCTCTGCAGTGGCAGCTCCTCCATACACACTGGAGCCTGAAGCCTGGATTGGCCCTCTGGCGACAGATTATTTGAAAATCATTCCTCAGTTTTAGTGAACAATCCATACATTGTCTTCGTGGACTTGAAGGTCTTCAGTGGGCTGCCTCCTGAGGCTGCCTTTTGCTGGGTAATACCTTAGGATGTGAGAGCCGCTTGCCTTTAAATATGGAACCAGCTGCTACGTGCTCTTGACCACGGCAAAGCTGGCAGGACCTCAGATTTCCTTATGCGCAAAATGTCCCCATTTTTTGCAGAGTTTCTTGGAGCGTCCTTCTAAGGTTGAGCTCAGCTCACTTCACTAGGTTGTCATTTAAGAGCATATTGTGGGATGGACCTCATGCCTGACCCTGGGGTGCCATCTCACTGCCAACCTTTGACCCCGCTTTATGGCCTCACTGAGAACCTTCTCCCCCAAGATTCTCACTCCTTTAAATAACTCAGAATGCTAGTCTAAAAAGTTATCCCTCTTCCTTCTCATTAACTGCATTAGTGGTTTTCCATCTTTGCCAACATTGGAATCACCTGGGGAGCATTACAAAAATCTCCAGGCTCGGACCACACCTCCTGTCAATTAAATCAGAAGCTGTGGACGTGGGATCCAGGAACAGTATTTTTGAAACTGTGCAGGTGATTTCAATATGCAACCAAGTTTGTGAGACAGTACATCAGGTTAGTTGTCCACGAGCTTTACTTTTATAAACCTTTCCAATTAAGTTTTTCACTTTAAGTTAAAAGCCCTTCAGTATTAGACCAGGTGGGGTGGCTCATGCCTGTAGTCCCAGCACTTTGGGAGGCTGAGTGGGCAGACCACCTGAGGTCAGGAGTTCAAGACCAGTGACCAGCCTGACCAACATGGCAACCCCATCTCTACCAAAAATACAAAAATTAACCCTGCATGGTGGTGCCTGCCTCTAATCCCAGCTACTCTGGAGGCTGAGGCAGGAGAATCACTTGAACCCAGGAGGTAGAGGTTGCAGTGAGCCGAGATGGTGCCACTGCACCCCAGCCTGGGCAAAAGAGCGAGACTATGCCTGAAAAAAAAAAAAAAAAGAAAAGCTCTTCCGTATTCTTCCCTCACCTGCATAACCACTTTTCAAAAACACCTTTTGTTTTTATTACAAAAAGAACACACATTTATTGTGCAACCTTTAGTTTTGCAAATACAGCTAAGCAAAGAGAAGGAATTACAAATCACCAGTGATCTTACTATGAGGCAATAATTCCTGCTAATGTGTTCATATGGATTTCTCTAGCATCTTTTCCTTGTTTCTATCATGTGCATGTGTATTTTATTGTACATATGGTTTTGTAGCCTCCTTTTCTCATCTGAACGCCTTTTCGATTGAACTTCTCAACCTCCTGTCTTTTCCTCCTCTGACCTGACCTCTGTAACTTTAATAAGTCAGTTTTTCTTGGGCCTTTCAACTTGACCTTCTGTGAATTCTGAAGCCTCCTTTTAACCTAATGGCCAATTCAGTTCACAAGTGCTAAACCTGTTCCTTCTGGAGTCACTGTCTTTCCAAATGGCTCTACCATCTGGCTGCCCAACTGCTCAAGTCAAATGTGTCTGAGGTCATCCTAGATTCCTTGGACACATTACACTGCATTTCTAACCAACTATCAAAGCATGTCTATTGTGCCTCTTAAATATTTTTTGAATCCTTATTCATCTCTCCATCCACATTTGCAACTTCCATCCAGGGCCCCATTACATTTTGCCTCCATTGTCACAGCCTCCTAACTAGCCTCTTTATCCCCAGCCTTGCTTCCCTCTAGACCACTCCCCCACAACATCTGGGTGATATCACAAAGTTATTACCTTTGAGATAAAGTCTACACTCCTTCCTAAGGTTTTCAAAGCCGATATGAGCCAGCATCTGCTTAAATAATGCCCACTCTATCCTTCTCCCATGACTCCACCACACACCTGGTCCATGATGCTTCAGAAACATTGACTGCTTCCCTCTTTGTTCTACCTTAAACACGCTTCTCGTTTCTTCTGGTGAATGCCTGCTCATTTTGCAGGTCTCAGATGGATCCCCGCTTTCCTGGAGAAGTCTTTCCTGACTCCCCAGAGCTGGATCAGATGCCTCTCTTTGTGCTCCCCTAATACGCTGTATCTGCCCTATTGCAGCACACATCACATTGAATTGCACTGGCCTCTTTTCTTGGCTGTGTCTTCTCCAAACTGGAACACCAGGGCCACATCTGTTTTGCTCGACATAATGTCTCCAGCATCTAGCAACACTAACGAAAACATCTGTTGAATGAATGGTGAATGATTGAAGCCCTTCATACCACAACATGCAGTCTTGCGGCACAGACAGGGGTCTTTTCTGTATTGTGCTCTCAGTTGCAACACAGAACATCAACAGGTACTGGGCAGTGTCTTCTCTATAGAGCAAAGGGGCCCAGTGATAAGGGGATGACTTCCTCCTGCCCTATAGACCAGTCTCCCAAACTTTCTCGACTGCATAGCCTTTCCTAGTTCTTTTTTTCCCTCTTCCTGGCTTCCTCCAGCTTTGCAACCTTCAAGTCAAATTAGCCAAGTTGAATTTTATATGAGCTTAGTTTTATTTTTCACAGTGGAAGCTCCTCATCTCTTCATCAATAATAGACATCACTGTAACCCAAAGCTCTGTGGCTTTTCCAATAGAATCATGTTAATAAATATCTGGTGTTAGTTTGCTGTTGATAGCAACATTTCCAACTCTTTAGTGTTGGCCAAAAAAAAAAAAAAAAAAGAAAAAGAAAAAAAAGAAAAAGAAAGGAGTTGGCAAAAGCAGAGAAGAGCAGGCATGGTTTCTAGCCTTTCTCTCAAAATGTGAACCCTTAGTGCCCCTGAACTAGCTGGATGCCATTCTGGGGATAGAGCAGGTTTTACAGAAGCTTGTGTATTTATAATTTAGGGGTTTTCTTTAAGAAAAAGAGTATAAAACTATAGATATATGGCTTGCAGTTCTTGAAAGTTGCTTGTGCAAGTGCAGTGGGGGCCCTTGAAAACCATCCTTCATTCAATTAATTTGCTTTCCATCTCTATCATAATTTTTATAACTGGAGAAACTGAATCCTAGAGTAATGGAGCTGAGCATGAGTCAGCTTGAGAAGCTCTGGTTGCCCAGCCCTCCCTGCTGCAGGACCTGCAGTTCGTCGTGAAGCTACATGGACTCGAAACACTCACAAAATCCCCAGCTCCCGGTTTCATTCACAGGCCATGCCAGAAGGGTAAAAACAGAAAGGTAAAAAATAAATATTTTTCAATGAACTCAGCCTCTGTGTGGGCAATAAGCTGCTTGGTTTGGTAGGAAGAACGCTGGGCTGGGAGTTGACAGGGGCAGTTGTTGTTCATTCTATTAAGCACTTAGGAAAATAGACGTGCTGATGCTGATTTTGAAACAGATTAATATTGAGCCAGATAACAAGTTTCTACTCCACATTAATAGGAAAAAAATGGTGGATTCTGAGCTCAGTGGAGCTAAGAATTTAAAGAGGTAACCAGTTTTGTAAGAACAGGGAAGAAAAAGCCACTGCACCGCTTAATCACTGTGACCGCCACAGCCCTTTGGGAGCAGAAGGTCACTTCTCAGAACTCCTCCCAATCACTGTGACCACCACAGCCCTTCGGGAGCAGAAGGCCACTTCTCAGAACTCCTCCCAATCACTGTGACCACTGCAGCCATGCAGGGGCAGAAGGCCACTTCTCAGAACCCCTCCCAATCACTGTGATCACCACAGCTCTGTGGGAGTAGAAGGTCACTTCTCAGAACCCCTCCCAATCACTGTGACCACTGCAGCCCTGCGGGAGCAGAAGGCCACTTCTCAGAACCCCACTTCTCAGAACCCCCTCCCAGCCTCGAAGTCAAATCTGATGCCATCCCAAGGTCTTATACCTGGATTGCCTCTTCATGCCTTACCTTTTTGAAGGCATCTTTGAGACATCTTGATCAGTCTGTGCCTGTTTGTGACTTCAGTTTTGCCTCTAGACTCTCTTTCACGGATCAGCCTTGCCCAACCCGGGCCCCTGAGTCCATTCTGCAAGATCCCACTTGTTCAGGATAGAGGTTGAGACCTTCATTTAAGGAAAGTCCTACCGATGATAAGACTCCAGTTTCTAACCTTGTCATCAAGGTTGTCATCCTGCAAGCAGGAATGATAATGTGTGGGGGTGGGGGATTGTCACATGATTTAAAACTCCGGTCCCAGCTACGTGCCTTGGAGGCCATTCTTGCTCCCGTTTCCTAACTTACAAAATTAGGGGCTTCATTGACTAATGAGTGGTATATACACACCATGGAATACTACTTAGCCATTAAAAGGAATGAAGTAATGTCTTTTGCAGCAACTTGGAGGAAGCTGGAGGCCATTAGTCTTTTTTTTTTTTGAGATGGAGTCTCGCTCTGTCGCCCAGGCTGGAGTGCAGTGGTGCAATCTCAGCTCACTGCAAGCTCCACCTCCTGGGTTCACGCCATTCTCCTGCCTCAGCCTCCCGAGTTGCCAGGACTACAGGTGCCCGCCACCATGCCTGGCTAATTTTTTGTATTTTTAGTAGAGACGGGTTTTCACCATGTTAGCCAGGATGGTCTCGATCTCCTAACCTCGTTATCCGCCTGCCTCGGCCTCCCAAAGTGCTGGGATTACAGGCATCAGCCACCGCGCCCGGCCTGGAGGCCTTTATTCTAAGTGAAGTAACACCAGCGTGGAAAACTAAAAACCATATGTTCTCACTGAGAAGTGGGAGCTAAGCTCTGAGTATACAAAGGCATGAGTCATAGAGTGG